>NC_000018.10:7510000-8760000 GCF_000001405.40 Homo sapiens | reverse complement strand
CTGACCTACTTTACAGCATAGCCCCGATGTGCTGTGGTGGAGCAGACCCACCCTCAGGACACCAAGGCCCCATGAGCATGAGCCCCTGGGGCCCCCTGGAGAAACCGGGAATCGCAAACCACGCCACCCTCCCTCTGCCAGGACGTGCACCTCTCACTGATGGGTGCCACCTCTATCCCGCTTCAAGCTCTGGGACCCCCCGCAGACCCAGATCTGGCATTTTCTAGATTACTGGTAGAAACAGGAAATCTATTATAATAACACGTTGACATTTGTGGCCATCACACTTTTTTCTGGAAATTTATGCCAATTACATGCTTCTTTAAAAATCCTGGGCTTGGAAGGGCAACTCCCTTGTAATAGCCTCATTATGGCCTTTGGCTCTTTGAAAAGTTTTCTTCCCATAAGATTGTTTTTGGGTTGTGACAAGTGAGAACCTCTCCAACTCTCCTGCTAGAAGGGTCTCAGAGTGCCCTTGGGAAAAAGCAGTCTCAAAATGATCTAAGCACAGCGGGAAAGGATTAAGGTTGTATATTCCTAGCTGTACAGAAGAAATCATAGTCAACCCTTCACCCTCAAAGAGTCAATGTTCCAGCAGTCTTTGAAATCAACAGGATTCTTTCCAAATTCCTCCTGAACTCAGCTCAGATACCAGCTAGTGACCAAGAATGAATAAAGTATTGAGCCCCAGCAAAGATGCTGAAAATACTTCACAATGTTTTTCTGCTTTGAGAAGAACAAGCATTTACTTTCAGACCTAAGTCATACAGATGATCTCTGCAGAGGGCATGCTTGGTGGCCTGTTAAGACATCAATAAGTTTAGAAGCATTCAGCGTCATCGTGCATGTGATCTGCTACTTAAGTCTTTCCACACGAAGACTTTGCTCACAGGCAATTTTCTTCAAAGTGTGATCGCAAATGCAGAATTGCAAACAGTAACAACATCCCCGTTTTCCTCCAGGATGCTCTCCACACCCCCTGCTGTCCTCTTGTCCTTCTGCCCCTCTACTGTCACTACCTTGGACTGAAACTTCGGAGGAGGTGTTTCAACTGGATTTCACTAACTCCAGTAAGTGGAGGGGGAAAGGGAGGAATTTTTTAGAGAAATCTGCAAGATAGGTATATTTGGTCCTCTCATCTCTGTTTTGAATCTTGTCATCTGGTTTCCCTGGGTATCAGCAGAATTTGCAACAATAGTTTTGTTTCCTTGTGCCACCCATTATTGTCTGATCGCAAACTCCTGATAACCAAGAATTTACAATTACTGAAGTCCCCGGGGCCCTTGGGAGATGAGAAAGCGCCCAAATATGGGATAAGTACAAACCTTTCTCAGGAAAACTTCAGCACAAAGGAACGCAGTCACACAACTTATGCAAGACCAGGCTATGTTAGATTTATCAAGTTCTGGAGCCTACCTAGAATCCTAAAGCAGAAGCACTATGCTTATCACAGGTGAGATTAATCAACCTGAAAGACTGTATCCTTTGCCTTTAATTACCCCAAATCCTATGAATGAAGGAAACCCCAGGTGAAGGACACTGTTGAAATCCATAGAAGAAGAAAATGTGTGAAATTATTTCCACCTAGGAAACAAGGAGTGAGCCATGACTAGATGAGTGGAAAGATCTCCTGGTGGTAGATCTGGCATAACTCCTGAGGGATTAGAAGAGTGGGTGTGGCCAGGCGTGGTGGCTTACGCCTGTAATCCCAGTATTTTGGGAGGCCGAGGCAGGCGGATCACCTAAGGTCAGGAGTTTGAGACCAGCCTGACCAACATGGAGAAACCCCGTCTCTACTAAAAATACAAAATTAGCCAGGCATGGTGGTGCATGCCTGTAATCCCAGCTACTCGGAGGCTGAGACAAGAGAATCGCTTGAACCCGGGAGGTGGAGGTTGCTGTGAGCCGAGATCGCGCCATTGCACTCTCCAGCCCGGGCAACAAGAGTGAAACTCTGTCTCAAAAAAAAAAAAAAAAAAAGACTGGGTGCTACTCATCAACTTTGAGTCATTATTGAAAACACTTCACAAAGGAGCAGCTTGTGATATTTCCTTTTATCTTTCTTGGATAAAAAAGCTGACAAGTCAGTCTTTAAAACCTTTTCCAGCCAAATCCAAGGTTCTAAAACCAAAGGAAGAAAAATTATGTCAAAAGAACCATACATTTTATTGACAGCAATAACAATAAAAGACAATGATAGCATTTAACACCCATAGTAAAAACCTATTGCTTTCAAAAACTGTGAAACTTTTATCAGATCACCTTTATTAGATGACAATACTCCTGAAAAAAAAATCTCAAAAATGCAAATGTGTCTCCAAACATGCCCTGGCATTTGCCATAGACGTGCTTCTGCAAGGGGACACGGCCCTTGCACACACGCCCCTTCCTGTTCTAGATCCCTGCCGGGGTCTCCTCACTGCTGACTGATTGTCAGTGACAGCAGATGCTCACACGATGACAGGTCTCCCGGCTCCCCAGCCTCTTCTATTTTTGTTTTTAACCTGTATTTTCTATAAAAACTTTATGGAAACTTTCTTAAAGGAAGAACCTTTTTGGAGGTGAATCACCTGTTACAAAGTCTGGGGGGTCTCCTTGGTTGCCGGGACACACATCTTTTATCCTACAGCGGCTACTCCTGATCTGGCAACCTCAGGAAAAGAGGTTTCCTATGTTTCCAGGGAACTGAAGCTTTCTCCTGTAGAAGCTAAAACTTAAAGCAAGAATTAAATACACAGAGTCAAGCATTATAGATGGCTGTGAAGTTCTAGACTCCTGGAAATTCTGAACCTGGGATGAAAACACCACAGCTGCCCATGGCATTCAGCAGTGGGAGAGCCAGAATTTCTCATTCTCAGGTACTCTTTCCAAAGAGGCACAGGCAGTCTCCTGCCTTCTTATATGAAAATGACAGAATGCAGGTCAACATCTTCCTTGTGTCTGGGGTCCTCTTACCAGTCTTTGGGGACCCTACCTTGTAGCTCTCTGGCTGACAGTTCCACGGTGCTAATGCTGCTCCCCTCACTCATCACTAGGGTGTCTGCAGTGCCCTTTGCTTTGCAAGTGTCACATCCACCAGGGACTGGGGCCTTAGACAACGACAGCCACTAGGAGATAGAAATCCAGCTAACTTCACAGGGAAGGGCTCTAAGAGGAGACCTTGCCCACTAAATATATTCCTTGGGATTCACTGCAACTTCTTTGGGAATTCAGAGGCTTTTTGAAGCACCCTGCGGTTTGGCCACATCCCAGATGCTCAGAACTGACAATGGCTGGATTCTGGACCTCACTGCATAAAGAGATAAAAACACTCCTATTTTTCCTTTCTTCCTCACCTTTAAAGGCTCTAAATTTTTCTTTTCTCCAACAAGTTTGCCTCTCTCCTTCAACATTCCTGAAACTCCACCTAAGTGAGAATTTGGATCTCTTGCCTTTGAGATATATATACATATATATACACATATATACACACACATATATACACACATATATATACACACATATATACATATATACACACATATACACACATATACACATATATACACATATATACACATATATACATATATACACATATATACACATATACACACATATATACATATATACACATATATACATATATACACATATATACATATATACACATATATATACACACACATATATATACACACATACATACACACACACACTTCTTTTTCATGGCTAAGGCTGAAATCTCACACTGTTCTGTAGTGGAAATGTGACATGGGTTAGAAGTCACCGCATGGTCTGACGACCTCCAGAAAGGCCCTGACCTACAAGAGAGACCCCAGTATGAACGTGTTAAATCTTGTGCATGGTTATTCTTTATTTTTTTAGAGAGGGTCTTGCTCTGTCTCCCAGGCTGGAGTGCAGTGGTGCGATCTTGGCCCACTGTAGCCTCAAATTCCTGCACTCAAGAAATCCTCCCACCTCAGCCTCCTGAGTAGCTGGGATTACAGGTGTGCACCACCACACCTAAGTAATGTTTTTGTTTATAGAGACAAGGTTTTGCTATGGTGACCAGGCTGGTTTTGAACTCCTGGGCTCCAGTGATCTTCCTGCCTTGGCCTCCCAAAGTGCAGGGATTACAGGCATGAGCCACCATGCCTGGCTAATAATTCTTACTCTGAATACAGACCTAACAAAATAGATGAAAAGAATCACATCTGTGTCATGCTTCATAACTTACTGTATAACCTCCAAAACCACATCCTCCTCCGTGCCCCACTCCCTGTGAACATTCTGTTGACTTGATTGGACTATATTCTCTGAAAGAGGATGATAGTCTGTCTTTTAAAGGTGGTTTAGACTCTAAAAATAGTCATGATCTGCCACAAAATAGGTCAGGTTCTCCTGGGGCCACCCGAGAGATGTCCTGGAACTCAGAAGCTGCATGGCCTCAGGAAGGTTTTCTGGGACAGACCTGGTCCCAGGGAGAGTGAGGAGAAGCGTGTGAGATGTCCCTGAAGTGCTCCTGGGAGAAATGACAGCTGGCTTGGTTCATCAGCATTTCATAAAGAGTAACACTCACACACGCTGCAAGACTGGGGCCAAAGAACGACCTCGCCACCACCCAATCCCTTGTTAAACTCCAACCTGTTGAGGAGAAAATCAAGGACTAAACACGGTGCTTTGTGCTGATGTGGTCATTTTCATTTCAAACCAATCCCGGTTAAAACAACAAAAGCAACAAACGACATCCCAAATAGCACCTGCGACCTTGGCAGGAGAAGGCCTAGGTCCTGCCCCTCGTCCTGTCACGCGTGTGACCTTGGGCAAGTCCTTTGGTGGCGCTGAGCCACAGTCGTCCTATGCATTAAGAAGTTACCATTTAACTCAGAGTGGCAGCAAGAGCAGCCGTGGCACGGGGGCATTTGGTGCAACAGGCGGTGTTACTCAAATGTGCTGTGTCGCTAACATAGCCACTTTCACAAAAAAGTGACCGAAGCACTCCCAGATATTATCAGTGATTCAAGATAACCCCTGCAGGACCAAACGCACCAGGCTGCTCACATCAGGGGCTCTCTGATGCCACCAGGTAAAAAGGACCAGGGAGTCAGGGCAGAGCTGGAGACTCTCAGGTGTACTCCACCTGCAAGCTATGTTCTTCCCATCAAAAAGATTGAAGAGCTAAGCCCTCTTTCCACTAATACTTACTTCATACATCAGAGAGACAGGGACCAAGAAATGGAGAACAAGAGAGAATATAAAACAGAATTGGGAAGAAAAAGGCAACATTAGATAGCAGGCATTTTGCAGAACTGCACGCATCTATACTAAAGCTACTAGGAACCTGGGTGGCTATGGCTGCAAAAATACAAATTTAAAACTCTGCATCTATCATAAGATTCCATCAAAATCTTACAAAACGACTTGGTTCCCTTTTCTCTCTGACATTACTGGTATCTCATTACCAGGCACTTGATGGATTTACTTTGCTTGTTTCCTGTAATGCTGTCTCATCATTCTAACATGTTATAAAGCCAAGGGCAAGAACTGAACCCTTTACTTCTTCCATATTCCCAAAAGCTCCTGGTAGAGTATTATACACTTATACACATGGGGTTATTTTATAGATGCTTGCTTAAAAATAAAGGAGAGGCCAGGCGCGGTGGCTCACGCCTGTAATCCCAGCACTTTGGGAAGCCAAGGTGGGCAGATCGCTTGAGGCCAGGAGTTCGAGACCAGCCTGGGCAACACGGTGAAACCCCGTCTCTATTAAAATTACAAAAATTAGCCAGGCGTGGTGGTGCACACCTGTGATCCCAGCTATGCAGGAGGCTGAGACACCAGAATTGCTTGAACTCAGGATGTAAAGGTTGCAGTGAGGCAAGACAGTGCCACTGCACTCCAGCCTGGGCGAAAGAACAAGACCGTGTCTCAAAATAAATAAATAAATAAATAGGAAGTAGGGGGAAAATTTCAACCAGTTGCTTGTCACGTAAGTCTGTATGAAAAGCAATAAAATTTTCAGTTTGAAATAAGAATTAATACATATTTTAAATTTGAAGTATATCACCAAATGGTATGAAATGGTCCCATATTAACAGTCACAAATTGTAACAGTCCTCTCAGATTTTTACCTACAGTATCATTATTTTTATATATTTATGTCACTAGGAGACAGTCTTCATGGGCCTCTTACACTCCTACACAGCTTGCTGGGTGTGTCGTGAATGCAAGGCTGGAACCATACACTACCTGGACTATTTCTCAGGACCGTGTTTGCAGTGAGAAACCTTGATGGCTGAGGTGATGTCTCCCTCTGCAACAAAGAGCAGGCTTGCTTACTATAAAATGGCTATAACATGGTGGGTTCTCCAGGCTCAGTGTTCCCCAGCTGTGACACCACAGCTCACATCAGGGGCTCTCTGATGTCACCAGGTAAAAAGGACCAGGGAGTCAGGGCAGAGCTGGACTGTCTTTCAAAGGCATCCATCTGGGCCCATTGGGTCATGCTTACTGGATGTGGGGACAAGGAAAACTGACTGTGCTGATGCTGCCTGCTGTGCCCTGAGTAATGAGTCCTTTGTCTCTGATCCAGGAGTCTCATGTCTTCTGCCAGCATCCACGGAATGGTAGGAGGCTAGCTTGTTAGCTTGTGAGTACAGTAAAATCAAATCCCAGATCTGTCAATACCTTTATTTCAAACAATAAGTGTCTCCCATTTTTTAAAAAATTGACATCATAGTTGATTCATAGGTAAACAACTGGATTAGAAGGCCATGCCTCTAACAGTGGAATGTAGCACTGGCTATTTTAAACAATGATTTTAGCATTTTATGAAAACGTTCTCACCCATGTTGGGCTTCCCTGGGTCCAGGTATGAATGTGCATGAAGACTTCTGTCTGTGCCAGAAGTTCGGGATTATTTGTTCTACTCTCATCTCTTTCTGTGGGCTGCTGTGGCTCTGCTTGAGGCCACCTGGTCTTATAGCCTTAGGGGTCTATAGTAAAAACCATCCTCTTTATACAGGAGCAGGTCAGGATGGCCATGTTCGATACGGCGACGTCTCCACGCATTTGCCTGTTTGCCCACTGTATTTTCTGAGGTTGCTCATGTCCAGCTCTTTGTGGCACTGTACTCAGGCCTCATTATGGCTCACTGTGCACTGTCCAAAGCCCAGAGCCACCTTGTGTCACTCCTCTTGGAGGCAGGGGATATGTTGTTTGTAGAAATAGCCTACGCACCCAGCAATAGGGTGCCTGAACCCCAGGAGCAACTGGTAGCATCTGATAAGTGGCTGAATTGATTCTTCATCATTTCTAGACTGTCTTTATGACAATATTTTTCAATATCATTCTATTGTGTTTAACAATTGGGATGGTAACAAGAAAGATTTTTAAATAGTTACCCCCCAAGAACCTTGGAAATACTCTGTGGGTCTGTAGCATACAAACTCAGCCCTCTAAGACAGCAGACATTTGCACTCTTTAACTTGCTATGCCACATGCATTCCTCTGGGACAAGTGCCAGGCCAGGCCTTCTTAAAACTTTCCTTCAAATCAAACATAAAAAAGAGAGGCACAGTTGCTAAAGAAAGCAATAACACAAAAAAAATTCGATTTAAAAGTTATGTTAACAACTATCAGTTCCTATTCAACTAGTACATGGAAGTTTAAATAGTAAAAGAGAAAACTTTAACAAATTTTTCAAAACCACTGCTCAGTACTTTGGATAGGCAGATGACTTTTTATAAAGTCACAATATTTACACATCTTACTCAAAATAAAACTTTTTAATGTTCTAACTTAAAACACTGGATTATATTTAGTTTTATCTCATACTCAGCAAGTCAATGCTGACCTGGCCCTCTTCTCCCCAAATCAGCCATCTCTATCTCTGTCATCGGGATGTCCTAGAGTCAAAGCTCTGGGGTCCTTTCCATCCCGCTCCTTCTTTACCTTTCAGCCTTATAGATTTATCAACAACCTCTTTTCAAATATCCCTCTGGGGCCTTCTTTTGACAGAACACACACCAGCTATGTCCAAACATGCTAAAATTCTGAACAAACATTCAAGTGAAAGTGCAGTCTGCAGCAGCTTGGCCTTAAACGTTTCTTTTCCGCGTCACCGCTGCCCTGAGCTAAGTCTTCAACACCTCGTGTGCAGGTCAATGAAACAACTTTCACAAGCGAATCCCACGGCTCCATCTGCCCCAACTCAGAGCATTTCTAACCTCGTCTAGTCTTCATAACAGCAAAAAAGATTGTTTTTGTATTGTGATGTCCCCCTCTTCTGCAACAGCAGCCAACCTCACTTCAACTGTACCCCCCACATCTGCCTCACACCTACCCCGTCCTGCACTGGACCAGGTGACTCAGACCAATGAGAAAATTCACCTCGGATTTCCTTGACTATTGAAGGGAATGGAGCTAAAACCCTCAAAACCAAAAAGCGTTTGTTTTTAGAGTGTTGATGACATGAGTGTCAAAAATTGCAGTCCAGGGAGAAACTATAGCACAAAATGTCAGTTATCTTGTCCCAAAACAATACCATTCTATTCTGGAAGGATTTAGGTGGCCCACTTTTGAGCAGTAACAGTAGCGGCAACATCACTTACATCCTCAGAAGCACAGATCAAGCATCGCGTTTCACTCCTGGGTGGTCACCAAAAGAGGCATGTTTAATGTCTACGCATGCAAAACTTAAAACAGACAACTGAGGACCTGGTGAAATATCCTTCTGGAGCCTTCTTTTGACAGAACACACACAAGCTATGTCCAAACATGTCGAAAATTCTACATAAACATCCAAGTGAAAGTGCAAAGTCATCAGCAGCCTGAGCCTTACAGACCTTTTTTGCATAAATATTTTGTTCTCAACAGAATCCAGACACAGTCCATGTGCGGAAAAGATGTGTGCATGAGTCATGCACACATGCAGTCAGATGCCCACACCCACTGGTCCTTCTGGGGGCCCGCTGCCCAGGGCACTGTCCACCCCATCCTCCTCCTCCTTGGAGCACGAGAGGGCCTGGCCACGGTGCACACTGCATCTGTCCACCCTACCCAGCACTCAGGCCGCCTTGCCAGTAACTTTATCAACGCATCCAGAGAAGGCAACTGCAGGCCTCACTCCCAGCTATGCCAAAGGGGGACCAGCTTGGGACTCCCGGAAATAAATTCAGTTTTACCAGCAAGTCATTTCCCTGTAATGAAAATAAAGCACTCTTATAAGCCAAGACTCCCTTAAATCAGACACATAATCTGATTATAACTGCAATGCATTCAAAAAGCATGTTCATAATCTTGTTACAACTTTTCCCATGCCTAGAAAAATGTTCTCAAGACCGTTGCAGGGCAGTGTCCTCTGGATATAGGCATTTGGGGTCCAGGTTGGTAACCCCAAGGAAGAACTGGTAGCATTCAACACCTCCTCCCTGCCCTCCATCTGATTAGAAGATAGAAACTTCCTTCCTTCCTCTGCACCTCCAGCCAGCCAGGAGACAAGCGCAGAATGCACTGGCCCGAGCTGCCCAGCCTTTTCTGCATGGTGCCCAGGGCACAGAGAGCAGCAGGTGGGGCCCCACCCTGGAGGAGGGGCACCCTCCAGGACCGGGCTCTCTCCAGGCATATTTCGCTTAGGCAGTCACACCAGGGAAAGACATAAAATGACATTACTGGCCGGGCACAGAGACTCACGTCTGTAATCCCAGCATTCTGGGAGGCTGAGGCGGGCAGATCACTTGAGGTCAGGAGTTCGAGACCAGCCTGGCCAACATGGTGAAACCCTGTCTCTACTAAAAATACAAAAATTAGCCAGTGTGGTGGCATGAGCCTGTAATCCCAGCTTCTCAGTGGGAGGCTGAGGTGGGAGGATCACTTGAACCCAGGAGGCAAAGGTTGCAGTGAGCCGCGATCACACCACTGCACTCCAGCCTGGGTGATGGAATGAGACTCTGTCTCAAAATAATATAAATAAAAATAAAAACAAATATAAAAAATAAAATGACATTACCATCCAGCTAACAGCAACTTTAATATTCCCTATGGGTTAACAGAAACAAACTGAAAATACAGTTTTATGTTAGTCTTAGTAGTAAAGTTACTCTTAGAGCAAAGCTTTATTTTACTGAAACATCGAAACAAGTTTATAGCTGGGTCCCAACAACTCAGTTTTACAGTTGCAGACACTGAAGTTCAAGCCATTAAGCAACCTGCCCGAAGTCCCATAGTTGCCAAGGAAAGAATAGGCCCCCATGTCTGTACGATCCAGGATCATGCCCTAAGCCCTGTTCGCTGGGGTCCAGGGCCAGGGCCAGTGGGAGGCACTGTGCTTACAGGTATTTACAGGTGGCCAAACCCCATCCCTGTGCTCTTGTCACTCTCTCGGGCCCACCATTGGATCTGCCCAAGCTCAGGCTCTGCTTTCTTCTCACTTAGGCCACGGCCACAGCCTCTCCACTGGCTCTGTCTTCTCACTTCACTCTTCCTCCACTTACCTTCCAAAGATATAACTGCCCATATCATTCTCCCTTGAAAAACCTCCTGTGGTTTTTCAACCACAGCACCCTCTGCCTTCAGAGTGCATCGAACACCCTGAGCCAGGACCCTAGATCCATGTGGTCCGTCCGCAGCCAGCCTGGCCTCTCCATACACCTTGCCTCCTGCTATGGTGACAGCATGGCTTGCAGCCCCAGGCTGGCCAACTCTTAACCTGTCCCTACTGTCCTCCCCACCCTGATATAGTGTCATTACTGGTAAGGCCTGAGGCAGCGGCAACTGCATTTGGGGGTGCCACAGCACACCTGTCATTCTCCAATTGCTCTCCCATGCCTTTATGAAATGAGCTTGCAGATGCTGCATAAGAAGGGATGTCCCAGGAATGGAAAATGCTGCTGGCTGATCGAAGGCTCCACCTTTTAATGCTGCCAAACAAATAAAATATCTCACAAGGTCATCTGAGGCAAGTCCAGGGTCTCCATTTATAACAGAACTAAAAGTAGAGATGATGTGTGCCATTTTGACGGCAGCATCATGTGCTAGCAGAGTGAACAGAGGACACCCCATCTGTCCTTGTGCACAAGAAACTGCTTTGAAGGAACTCAATCTCTTAGGTGACTGTGATGACCCCCAAGAAGGAGCTGTGATCACCTGAACATAAGATACAAAGGTCCCCTGTCAGTTTCATTTTACAAACCACATGGCTTCCTTCACTGAAGTCTTGCCTCAATCCAGTGACTTCATCCCGAAAGACAGAACTGGCTAATACCCTGAACTCATGTTAATATTACTATTAACGTTAATACAAAAATATATATGTATATATACACACACATGTAGAGTCTTCAGAATTTATTTACATATATATAAACTGAATTTATTTCGGGGAGTCACGAATATATATATTCAGAATATATATATGTGTGTATATGTGTGTGTGTGTGCATATATATATATACACATACATACATATATTTGGAGACAGGGTCTTGCTTTGTCACCCACCCAGGTGAGAATGCAGTGGCACAATTATCATTTACTGTAGCCTTGATCTCCCGCGCTCAAACGATCCTCCCATCTCAGCCTCCCAAGTAGCTGGGACCACAGGTGCATGCCACCATGCCTGGCTAATTTTTAAATTTTGGTAGAGATGGTGTCTCACTATGTTGTCCAGGCTGGTCTCCAATTCCTGGGGGCTCAAGCGATCCTCCTGCCTTGGCACCTACTAATATACGAATATATTTAGTGTTGTGAGGCCTCTTCAAGAAGACCTACCTGGCAGCTTTGTGCAAAACTGACTGCAGGGGAGGGATGGGGGCAGGGGTCCGGCTTGGTGTGAGGTCTGGGCACCTCAGTTCAGTGCAGGCAGAGAGACTAGAAAGCAACAGGGCAGAACCAGGAAACTGTGTGAGGGAGAGAGCTGACAGGGGTGCAGAGCCCCAAGTGAGGCGGCCACAAGCAGTTCTGAGGGGTATGGTCTGGGGACGGAAGACCAGGGGCACCAACATGACCTGGAGGTAGGACACAGAGCTTAGGTGTGTGGGTGACAACCAGGCAGCTCTCCTCACAACCTGCCAGTGGGACTCCAGCATGGGGCACACAAGGAGGACACAATGAGGACAGGAGCCTGTGCAGGGCTGCTGAGGCTATCCATCTGGAGCCACTCAGGAAAAACACAATGCAGATAATTATTAACAAAAAACAGAAAATGCGAGCCCACTGATCCTGTCCTCGCAGGGCAGGGCAGTGTCAGATTCCAGCGAGACTTCCTTAGGGCTTACTCAGCTTCTCTGTTTTCCTGTATGTTGTGGGCTGAACTATTTCCCCAAGAAGATATGTTCAAGTGCTACCCCCAGTGCTGGGGAATATGGCCTTATTTGGAAACAGAGTCTTTGCACGTTTAGAGGAGGACCTACTAGACTGCATGGGCCGGATCCAAGATGACTGGTGTCCTTATAAGCTGAGGACGAGACACACACACAGAGAAGGCAGCTGAGACTCAGACACACAGGGAAGAGGTTGTGTGATGACAAAGGCAGAGGCAGAGATTTGGGTGGCTCAGCCACAAGCCAGGGAGCAAAGCACCAGGCATGGAACAGACTCTCCCCTAGGGCCTTTCCAGACAGCGTGCCCTGCAGGCACCTTGATCTTGGACTGCAGCCCCCACCACAGGCCAGGGAGCAAAGCACCAGGCATGGAACAGACTCTCCCCTAGGGCCTTTCCAGATAGCATGCCCTGCAGGCACCCTGATCTTGGACTGCAGTCCCCACTGCTGTGAAAGAATAAGCTTCAGGTTCTGAAGCCGTTCAGTGGGTGGGCCCTTGGTTGCAGCCGTACTAGAAAAGACAGAGTCAGTACCTGTGTGGACCAGTGGTGTCCAGACCACAAGAGGCATGGTGTGGGCTCTGGACCTGTCTCTCCAAAAAGCTGACCATCTCTGATTTCCACCTGGAAGAGCCGGGCCAACACAGGACATCGGAAGGGTGAGCATCGTCGCGATACCCAGGCCCCAGGTGACGATGCTCAGTGTGGGTGGAGAGACGGAACTGGCAGTCCAGGTTCTCCAGCTAAATCTTAAATGGGCTTCCCTGTCCCATTCCACTTTTGTCTCCTTTCTTTGAGAATAGAACTGCCCCCACTCCTACCACCCTTTTTGCATTTATTGTAGGTGCACGCGGTCCTCGGGTATATATTCATGACTGTTGTTTGATATAATGAGATAATTATCTGTTTAATAATCCCACATCCATAATCCACATCCATCACTGCCCAGGCCCAGCTCTGGCACATTGTGGAGACCCCCTCTCTCCTGCACCAACATGGGCAGGAGATGGGGAGCAGTGCAGGGGCCCCTGTCAGCAGGGTTTGCAAACACCACAGTGCAGCTCGAGAGAAGGCTTCCGTGCAAGAAGGAAAACCAAGGTATCCTCTATCTTATTTTTACTCCACATAGGACAAGAAAATGCCCACTTTAACATATCCAGGGTTTCTAGATTCAAATCCATGGGATTCCCCCTCTCCACACTTCAAAGAATGACAATGCTCATAAGAGTGACAGCCCCTGTTTAAGTAGCCTCAGCACTTTAGATATTTCACCTCAAGTCCTCACAACCGAACAAAAAATAACCAGAGTTGGCAAGGATGTGGAGAAATTGGAAGCCTTGTGCATTGCTGATGGCAGTGTAAAACGGTGCTGCCATGTGGAAAACAGTGGGGCGGTTCCTTAAAAAATTCAAAGTAGAGGTATCATCTGATCCAGCAATCCCACTTCCGAGTACACACCCAAAAGAACTGAGGGTGAGACTTGAACAGACATTTGTATGCTCACGTTCATAGCAGCTCATTCACAACAGACATAGGTGAGGGCAACCTAAGTGTTTATTGATGGATAAACAGATCAACTCAATGTGGAGTACCATAGAATATTATTTAGCCTTAAAAGGGATGGAAATTCTGACACATGCTGCAACGTGGACCAAGCATGGATTCAGGACATTATGCTAAGCGAAATAAGCCAAACACACAAAAAGACAAATACTGTATGATTCCAATTATATGAGGTACACAGAATAGCAGTTTCATAGAGGTAGAAAATAGAATGGTGGTTGCCAGGGGCTGGGAGGAGGGAAGAATGGAGACTTGTTGTTTAATGGGTACAGAGTTTCACTTCTGCAAGATGAAAGAAGTTCTGGAGATAGACGGCGGTTGCTCAACAATGTGAATGTACTTAATGCCACTGCACTGCAACTTAAAGATGGTTAAAGTGATAAACTTTATGTCATGTATGTTTTACCACAGTTAAAAATAAAAAGATAAAAGTTGAACATGTGCACATCCTATGGCCCTGCACATCTACTCCTGGGAACACACGTTAGAGAACTTGCTGCACGTGGGCACCGGGAAACGAACAGTGACGCATGTTCACAGACACATGTTTTGTAATAACAAAAACCTGGAAGCTCCCGAACAACCCAAAACACAAGAGAAGAGACTAATAATGTGTGGTACATCCAGACAACGGAATGATAAAGAACAGTAAAAATGAATGAACTCCAGCTGCCGGCATCAGCATGTAAGAATGTCACAAGCATACCGCCAAGTGACAGAAGTATGCCGCAGACGGATGGCTACAGTGCGACTCCGTCTCTTGGTTTATTCAAAAATAAGGAAAACTAAACAATATACATCCGAGGGGTACACACATTGTTGGCAAACTGTAAAGGAGAGCAAGAAAAAAATTAACACCATTAATGGGGGACAGACATACTTGGATCTGGCAACCAATTGATAATGCTCTATTTCCTAAGATGGGTATTCTTTTTACTATTCTTTAAATTATTTAGTTTACATAAAATATACATTCTTTTTATATATAATGATTGATTTTTAATCATAAAAATAATGAGGTCATGAACTTTACTTATAACTGAAAATCTCCAATTCCCAAAGCCTCTCAAAATCAGGAGGTGGGAGGTGAACTCACTGCTCTGATCCTCCATTGGCAGCTGTAATGTCTTTGCAGATCATGGGATTTGTGGAGACCACAGAAGGCCACAGCCGGACAGCTCAGGGGGGCTGGCTGCCCTGCTCAGGGCCACCCCCTCCCAAACACTCCCTGCATAAGCCTCTAGTCGTCAGAGCCAGGGAACTTCCGGGGGGTGGAGGGCAGGATGGAGGACTCTCATAGAGAAGTTTGGTGTAACCCACATCCTTGCAACAAGAAGAAAACCACCAGGTGAGTGCCCCCGTCTTGAATAAAGGGGGCTGTGGTGGTTACTCAAAAAACCTAACAGATGCTACTTGAAAAACCTAACAGATGCTACTCAAAAAAAACCATACCATGCTTTAAATGGGACAGTTACAAATCAGGTTCATACACTCTAAAAAAAGTATCCAAACCTGTGAAAAGAAAAGAAAATTAAAAACAGAAAGAAGATAAAAATATAAAAAAATATGGGACGTAGTCACAAGAAGCAGCAGGAAGCAGGGTGAGAAATGAAAACCAGGAGAAGTTTTTATCTCAGAATTTCCACAAAAATCTGATGTGTTTGAACTGAGTAACACAATAAAATTAATGTTCCAAGGGGATGAAGAATATACAGTGTCCCTTAAAGAAGGAAGTCAGAAGCTACAAAAATTGAAAAGGTTTGATAACACCGATGATACTTCAATCTTTCAAAGAGGAAGTTCTGGAAAATGTATTATTACTCATGTCACTGGAGGCAAATGTGAGTGAGCAGAATGGGAGAACAGGAGAAGAATGCCAGCCGGGAAACCGGAGACCTGGCAGCTAACCGCATGCACCTAGCTAGCGGCGGAAAGGGTGCCAGTGGGCCCGGGCAGCTGCCAGTCACAGCTGTGAGACTCAGCTCTCTGTCATTTGCTAGCTATGGGACCTAGGGCAGGTTTGCTAGCTACTCCAAGCCTCAGTTTTCTTATCTTAAAGACATATAAAAATGAAATATAAAAATGCCCACTTCAAAGGGCCGTCCTAGGATTAGATGAAGATTTGGAAGTATCCAGTCATGCAGAATAAATGGTATGCCCTGGGCCTCAGTTTCTCAACTATGCAAATGTAAGACAGAATAAATGAACTCCAACCTCACCAGCTCTGAAGTTTTGCTTTCCTACTATAGTAGCCAGAATAATGCCCCTCAAATATCCACGTCCTTGATCCACAGAATATGTGACTGTATCATGCTACACGGCAAAGGGAGTAGAGGTTGCTAATCAGCTGACCTTGAAATAGGGAGATTATCCTGCATTATGTAGGTGGACCCAATGCCATCATAGGGTTTTTAAAAATGAAAGAGGGAGTCAGGAGAGAGCACCAGACAAATGGCAGGGAAAGCTCTCAGCCCGCCATTGCTGGCTTTGAAGATGAAGAAAGAGGGCATGAGCCAAGAAATGTAGATGGCCTCTGGAAGCTGGAATGAGCAAGAAAATGGATTCTTCCCTAGAGCCTCCAGAAGGAACACAGTCTTGCAGAAAACTTCATTTTAGTGCAGGCCCACTTCAGACATCTGAACGACAGTACTATGAGACAATAAATTTGTGTCGTTTTAAGCCACTACATTTGTGGTCATTTGTTACAGCATCAATAGTAAACTAATATATTTATCTGTAGTACTAAGACCTTCTGTGCTTAGGACTGGACCTATACTGTGCTGGGAAAGACAGAATCATGCAAGTAAAAGGAAAAGTAAAGAAAAGGAAAACATAAAATGCCAATATGTAACATGTGATTACATTTATCAATTCATTTACGTATGTTATATATTTGCATGTGGATATGTCATTTAAAAATTGTTCAGCCTTACTAGCCAGCTAGAACAATGTCCTGTACTAAGGAACAGGAAACTATCAATGAATCACAATTAGACTATCTTCTCTAGCTCCTCCACACGGGACTTCTCCATCTGCAGCTCCACCAAAAGCAGTTTAAAGTAAATTACTCAATTTTCCCAAGTAGTTAAAGTAACTCATTCAAATTTTCTAAATAGTTTTAATAAGGTGATACAGTTTTAATTGTGATAAGTAGAAAAGCAACAGTAATAACTTCTATTGCCAACCTCAAAGTGAAAGTCAAAGGCATACAGGTCCATGAGTGGTGCATGTGTTTTCAAAGTCCACAGTATTATTGTAGTCATATTATTGGTGTCACACTTCCTCCCTAAAGGTGAGCTTTGTTAAGGGAAAACTGTATAAACCATGGACTGCTTCCATTTGTTATATGCTTTACATTTTCCATACAAAAATAAGAAATTCAGAAGTACTAAATAACACGTGTGTAGGTATCTGAGACTTGCTTTGAAATAGTCAGCATAAAGGAAACGACGGTGATGTGGTTTGGCTGTGTCCCCACCCAAACCTCACCTTGAATTGTAATGATCCCCACGTGTCAAGGGTGGGACCAGATGGAAGTAACAGAATCATGAGGGTGGTTTCCTCCATACTATTCTTGTGATAGTGAGTGAGTTCTCAGGAGATCTGATGGTTTTATAAGGGGCTTCCCCCTTTGCTCAGCTCTCACTTCTCCTTCCTGCCACCATGTGAAGAAGGACTTGCCTCCCCTTCTGCCATGATTGTAAGTTTCCTAAGGCCTCCCCAGCCATGTGGAACTGTGAGTCAATTAAACCTCTCTCCTTTATAAATTACCCAGTCTCAGGTGCGTCTTTATTAGCAGCATGAGAACGCACTAATACAGAGGGAGAGAGGGAGAGAGGGAGAGAGGGAGAGCAGGAGAGGGAACAGATAAAAGCAGTCTGTGGAAAGGTTGGAGACAGGTATCTCACGCATCCTTACATTATTCTCTGTATATGTTTGAAACTCTCCATAATAAACAAAAATTCTTAACCAGGTATGTGTCCCACCTGCCTACATACTCCCACCAAACTGGGATTTTTTTTGTCCTATCTAGAACTGGCTTCTGCCTGTCTGAAGATCATTAGGCTTGGCTCCATAGCACAGTGCTTTTTTTTTTTGCCCTGCATTAGAGCTCCTGAGGACACCAGGGCAGGTCTGAATAGGATCAAGGAAGCAGGCGTTTTCTTGGAGACACAGGCAACTGTTTTCCAGCAGCTTCCCCTCAGACCCACTCTTCCTTGCGAAAAACAAGCTCTTCTGCCAGAGGATGCCCACCCTGCGGCGGAGCCACACTAAGTCAAGCGAACACAGGCCCTGGCTCCCAGCTGCTTCAAGCCAGCTTGTTTCAAGAGCCATTTAACTCTCCATTAAGTTGATTTGATGAGTTCCTGGATGGCCACCAAGTCCACTGAGAAATAAACTCCCGAACAGCAAGCACATCATCATTTACCGTACCCATTAACTGATTTGCGAGTCTGTGCTGCTTGGCACAAAAGTAAATCATTTTTGTTTTCTTATTTCCTTCCTGTCCTTCCTGGTTTGGGTGTGCATGAGTTGGTGCTCAGTCACAGTTTTCCATTTAGCTGTTATATCCTTTTTATGTTTCCCATCCCATAATCTTTTACTTAGTTGCACAGTTTGCTATTGCCATTCAGGTAATTTTTGCCCTGGAAAAGCAGCCAGTTCCTTCTATTAAGGAATCCAATTGAAACCCATCCTTTAAACACTCTCAAGTGTTAACAATAGAATAAAAGGTACTTGCTATTATAAGCAATTTATTTGCAGTTAGGAAAGCAGAAGCTGAACAAAGAACATTGATGAATGACTGAAACCAAAGTGTTCTCATTAATTCCACATGGACGGCAGGGAAAAGGACAGCCAGGCAGCCAGACATAATTATTCCTGAGTAATTAACACACTGTAATGAACCAGGGTCCTGCAGTCCAGACATCTAACTTCATGCAGACAATCTTCAAACTCCTTCCACCCATCCCACTTCAAAGTGTTCCCCATCCCCAAGTACCTGCATGCATGAAGCTGTACAGTAAGAACATTTGATGGGGACTCAAGAAAATCCTGGCCATGTCCCTTCACCATTCTGGGCTCTGGTACTGTCCTATGTAAAAGGGGACAATTTAGGGTTGCTTTGTGGAAAGAACACAGAGTCTGTGGTGAGAAGACCTAAGAGGCAAAAGATCTGATCTGGTGTTCACTTTTCAACTCAACTCAACAAATGTAAGGGCAACTAGGACATCCCAGGTGCTGCCTTGGGCTATGGCTGTGGATTCCACAAGGAATACCACACAGCCCCTGCCCTCAGGAAGCCTAGAGTCCCACAGCTTCATAAAAGGAGTAATCTAAAATTGAGTTATTTCAGCCGGGTGCGGTGGCTCACCCCTGTAATCCCAGCACTTTGGGAAGCCGAGGCAGGCAGATCACCTTAAGTCAGGAGTTAGAGACCAGTCTGGCCAACATGGTGAAATCCTGTCTCTACTAAAAATACAAAAATTAGCCAGGTGTGATGGCGGGTACCTGTAATTCCAGCTACTTGGGAGGCTGAGGCAGGAAAATCGCTTGAACCCAGGAGGTGGAGGTTGCAATGAGCTGGGATTGTGCCATTGTACTCCAGCCTGGGTGACAGAGCGAGACTCTGCCTCAAAAAATTAGTTAATTAATAAGCTAAAATAAAAAATTGAGTTATTTCATTTCCTTGGGCCGCATGGTATCTGTCCCATGAGGGTGATAAAATAATCCACCTGCCTCACAGGGCTGTAACATACAAATAAAACTGATGTTTGGCCATTGTCTTGTTTCTCAAGGATTTCCGGATGCTTCAGAGGGTTCCTGCTTCTCTAAACACATAGGAGTAAGAGAGCTCTAAAGACTGGATTTTGATTAAAGGGAAAACAACCTGCTTTAAAAACAACTTACAGATAAGTGAGTAAAAAGAGCAATATACGACTATTTCTTGACTAACCAATTACTATGATGCCTGCCTCCAAATTCACTCAGCAGGATGGGCTGCAGGAGACATTAACATCTTTTACAAGGACAAAGCAATTGTTTCAATTACAGCCAGAAAAGAAATGTTACTCTCATTTCCTCTTTTCCTCTTTACAATCTCCTTGGCTGGGCGCGGTGGCTCACGCCTGTAATCCCAGCACTTTGGGAGGCCAAGGCGGGCAGATCACGAGGTCAAGAGATTGAGAACATCCTGGCCAACATGGTGAAACCCCACCTCTACTAAAAATACAAAAAATTAGCTGGGTGTGGTGGCGTGCGCCTTTAGTCCCAGCTACTCGGGAGGCTGAGGCAGGAGGATTGCTTGAACCTGGGAGGCAGAGGTTGCAGTGAGCCGAGATCAGGCCACTGCACTCCAGCCTGGTGACAGAGCAAGACTCCATCTCAAAAAAAAACAAACGAACAAACAAACAAACAAAACAATCTCCTTAATGCAGATATTTGTGGCAGCCCTCTTGGTATCAGTACTAAAACCCACACACAGACCTCCCCTTTGAGCAGAAGGCTGTATGATCACACAGTGCTGTTTCACAGTGTTCTCCCTGAACTTGCCAGTTTCTCAATTACTCTGACCTCTCTGAATATGAAAGATGTTGTTGTTGATCTCTGAAAGATGCAGTCTTATTATTAACATGAAAAGAAGAATCCTAGGCAGTGTAGGGTGTCTCATAAACACTGCAGATATGCACAGGAACTCTTAGGGGGAAGCGCATTCATATTCTAGCAGAAAACCTTTCTGTATTGCTTCTCTTCCACCGCGCATGCACGCCCACCCCAAACGTGCTTGGAGGGTGTGCTTTCTGGTGAAATAGGCCCCTGCCTGCTCCTGACTAGTATCCTCACCCCTGAGCATCCCATATTTCAGGGTGTTTTTTAATTTTTAATTTTTTTAGAGACAGGGTCTCACTCTGTTGCCCAGTCTGGAGTGCAGTGGTATCATCAAAGCTCACCACAGCCTGGAACTCCTGGGCTCAAGAGATCCTTCCGCCTCAGGCTCCCAAGTAGCTGAGACTATAGGTACATGTCACCACACCTGGCTAATTTTTTTAATTTTAATTTTTGTAGACGCAAGGTCTTGCTATGTTGCCCAAGCTTGTCTCGAACTTCTGGCCTCAAGCAACCCTCCCACTTTGGCCTCCCCAATTGCCTGGGATTACAGGCGTGCTCCACCATGCCTGGCCAGGATGATTTTTTTTAGATGAACAAGTGACATGCACCAAAATATACTAAGTCCAGACTTCAGGAATGTCATCTATGAGTTAAGTGGACTCTCGCTTCAACATAGCACTGGCTGCCCAAGGTTTTAATTTGTGGTTTCTTACTCTGTTGAGCCTAGTTTTCAGATGTCATAGATGCTGCAGAGTGGAAGTTAGCCAAGAAGGACTCTGTGAGCCTCCCTATCCACTCTCAAAGCAGTGCGTCCTTATCAATGCACCAGGTAGGTCTAACCTGACTTTAAAAAGCAGTTATTGGGCAAAACTGTGTTGTGGGGAGGAAAAGGAAGAGAAACTCAAAAGAAGTGTCTCTATTTTCTATTCTGAAAGCAAAAGAAATGCCACACCTTTGTTCTCCGCTAATCATATGAGGTCAACTGGACCTCCAAATCTCTCCCAAGGTCATTTTTAAATTATTGGTGTCCATTGGCCAACATCTCTGTCTCAAAATATGAAAGAGCACCACCTCAAAATCATGCTATAAACCCACAGGGCTTCACATTAAAAGTACCTACAAAAATGATTTTACAAAAGAATACAGAAATCACCTCCTTACTCATGAGTTTCCCACCACATGTAAACTGGGAATTACTATATGTAAACACATGTGTAATACCCATAAATCCAAAGAATATTAGTATATAGAGTAACTTAATAAGAATAACAAATACTGCCTTCTAGCAGATGATTAATGCATACAATTATTTTTAAAAACTGCACCAATAACCTCAAATCCCAGGTGGGAATGGGCCCCTAAGCTTTGCGGTGAGAGGAAGCCCACCCCACTGCGTAGCTACCCAACAGAAAGGAGAGGCCTCCTGGTTTGGAAATGTGAGACCAGGCAAAACTCTTTTGGAAGGAAATGATATTAGCTATGAAATTATTGACTAAACTGTTGCTTCTTAAATACTATTGAAGGAGAAATCAGAAAAATGAAAACATATGTTGATTCTTCGAGACCAACACACTCCGGCGAGACTGACATGATGGCTGCCTAAACCAAACTCACTTTTTCTCATCATGCTCACATGGCCCCATAAAGCAACAGACAGGAAAGCCAGCCCACCGGCCAACTGGAGTCATGGGTCAGATGGGCCATGACCTTGGTTTAGTAGCAGATTCTGTCCTGCAGTTGGTTATGGAGCCCCGCACGACCCCAGTTCTTGAACAGTTCTGAAAGTAGTCAAGGGCTACTTTCCCCCCATGGGTATGTCATGGGACTCGAACCCAGTGCTCTATCCTTAGCCTGCATCGTTTATAAAGCATTCCCTCAGTCATCGTCTCAGTCCTGAGGAAACTGACGGAGATCCCAGATGCCTGGCTGCCCTCGCGTTGGTCACCTGCTTGGCATCTTCGATGGTTTCTGCTCATTTCACTTGCTATCAATCAGGTTCTGAGAAGAGTTTCAAGAACATGCACCCTGATGGCCAGCCCAGACCCCATGGCCGTGACATGCCCCTCACTGCCTGGCCCAGGGTTTGTTAAAGATATAAGAAGCTGTTGGAACCAGCTGTGAATTTTAAATACAGGTACGAAGTGAGATTACCACAGGTAGCTTCTTAATGCTTTCTCTAAACCCATCCTTAAAACTCTTTAAACTTCCCTGTCTCTGTTTAAGCTATTTACTAAATGTCAAAACAGAGCCTAGTGCAAGAGCTCAAGAAAACTTTATCATGAACATCAGCTACTCTCTTAGTTTGGTTTGTTGCTTTGAAGATGAAAGTGAAGAGTGATGCCAGCGTCCTGTGTGTGAATGTCCCGTCCAGAACTTTACTGCACAGTAGAAGGGAACATGCAGAGTTACAGGCAATATCCAGTGCAGCTCATAGGAACACTGCAAAAAGGTGTCTTCTGGAGTCTTCTGGAGTCAGACATAGCAGCAAATAGCTCTTTAAATCCCCTCATGCCTCCTGAGGTTTCTACTCAGGTAGGAATATTTGCATAATAGGGCTTATCCAAGGGAACTTTAAAAATAGATGGATAGGCCGGGTGCAGTGGCTCACGCCTGTAATCCTAGCACTTTCGGAGGCCGTGGCGGGCAGATCACGAGGTCAGGAGATCGAGACCATCCTGGCTAACATGGTGAAACCCCGTCTCTACTAAAAAACTACAAAAAAATTAGCCGGGCATGGTGGTGGGCGCCTGTAGTCCCAGCTACTCGGGAGGCTGAGGCAGGAGAATGGCATGAACCCGGGAGGCAGAGCTTGCAGTGAGCCAAGATCCAGCCACTGCACTCCAGCCTGGGCGACAGAGCGAGACTCCATCTCAAAAAAAAAAAAAAAAAAAATACATGGATATAGAAGGCCCCCAATGTATGATGGTTCCAGGTATAACTTTTCAACATTACTGGTAGAAACCCGACTTCAAATACCTGTACAATCATTCTGTTTTTCACTTTCAGCACAGTATTGCAATAAATACATGAGACACTCAACACTTTATTATAAAACAGGCTTTGTGTTAGAAGATTTTGCCCAACTGTAGGCTAATGTAAGTATTCTGAGTATGTTTAAGGCAGGCGAGGCTGAGCTATGACATTCAGTAGGCTAAGTGTATTAAATGCATTTTTGACTTAATATAGTTTCAACTTACAATGGGTTTATCGGATGTAACCCCATGATAAGTCAAGGAGCATCTACACATACCGTATTTCACTGATTTTAAGATGCATGATGTCACATTTTAACATCTCTGAAATCAGGCTGCATGTTATGATCTATGGCATGTCATCATGTAATTGGCAGCATGTTTTACTTTCTCCTAATGGTGTACCTTTCAATCAATGGCAGAGCAGGTGAAATACGATTTGTCCATGGAAGCAGCTATACCCCGGCTGCTTATGTGACACAGGATTAAAAAGTGAGGAGAAGGACTTAATTATTTGTCTTCTTTATTTCCTACACACACAGCCTTAATATATGATAGTAGGCAAATTTATACATTTCACACAAATACTGCTGAATTTCCCCATTTCTTTTCAGAAAAGGAAAAGATATTTTGGTTAAAAAAAATATATATAAAGCATTTGTTCTGTCCCCTACAGTCAATGGCTCCTACTGGCACAAGGTCCTGTCTGCCATTCACAAGTTGTATGACCGGGGGCACGCCACCTACTCTCCCTGAGCTCTGAGTTTCTCAAGGGGAGGTGTGCCCTGACACTGAGTTGCTTTGAGCATCGGGAAACACTCAGCCCGTGGCTCTCAGCGGGCCTTCACTCATTCAGCTCACACGCTCTATCTCCTGCTTTCATTCAACTTCCACCCCTACCTCCATGCCCACCCCCCAACTAGAGGAATTTCCAGAAGTAATGCACAGAGTAAGCCTGCCCAGGCTGGCAAACTCCCCTGAACCTCCTCCTTTACAGAAAATGTGTTCTACCACCCCTAGAGCAGCAGGGATCAAATGAAACCCGGCCTTTGAAGGGGATGGCTTGAAAAAGGCAGCCAGGAAGGACAGGTCAGAGACCACCCACATTCCGGCAAGGGTTCCTGTCCTGTTAGATTCCATCTGCCAGTGACCCAGAGGACAGAGCCACACAGATTCAGTGCCATTTTTCACAACAGCCAGAACAGTGTGCTCTTTAGCTGAGCTAAAGGGGAAGAGGACAGAGGAGAAAAGAAACTGAAGGTGGCAGAGGAGTGGAGTAGAACTGATGAGTGGCAGGTTCAAATCCACCATAGACAAAGGCCACCTTCATGCATATGCTAGAATCTGACCTTGGATTTGCTTTAGGAAAACTGTAACAGGAAACCATACAGTTATTGTCCTTTACAACTTCTGTAGTCCTGGAAATATAAAACTCATGACTGTGAACTTATTAACTTATTAGAGTAATTATATATCCTAGCTAAATTGGGGCCTTGGCTTTGATGGACAGAGGTCATTTGTCCAAACAAGTGACTCCGAAGCCTCATGTTCACAAAACGCCAGTTTGGGAAACTCCTACATTTACCCTTCATTAATCTGACCAACTCCCAGACCCTCTCCTGGTGGAAAATTGTTAAGTTTCTGTAAAGGAGATGCTGCAGGCACACTGCTGCTGACCTGAAACCACCAGGGAAGTTCTAAAAACCACAGATGCCTGGGTCACCACCCCCAGGGTCTGATGTAGGGGCCAGGGTGTAGCTTGGGCAGCAGGATTCTTAAAAGCTCCGCAGGGATGCTACCGTGCAGCCAGGGCCTGGCATCACCAGCTAAAGGGCTTGATCCCAGGCACGCACTGTACAATCTTTCACCACCTCAGTAAAAGTGACGGCACAAGAAACCACTTGTCAAAACCTGCTCCTGGCACTGCCGCCCTCTAATCTTCCCACAGAGAAGGGCCCAAACATCTAGAGTCACTTAAAAGGGTGTTTTGCAAAAGGTTGAGAGCAAAGGTGAACATGGGTATCACCTTCTACCCATCTCATCAATCAGCTAGAAAATGCAGGGTACCCTTCAGAAAATACATAATGAGCCAAGCTGGAGACTTCACGGGGATGGCTCCGGAGCAGGGTGTGACCTGAGACAGTAAGAAGGGAGACAAGAGAGTTTTCCTAAGGTGCTAGAACAAACCTTGTGCAGCCAACCCACAATCTTGTCAAACAAATCCTTCAAGACAGTTGAAATCCTTCAACACAAAGTACTCAGGGTCAAGCGATGACTCTTCCCTCCAAAGCTTCAACGGAGTTGGAGGAGGAAAAGAGTTCTTGATTGCCACAAATTGGGGAGGGGGGGTGCTACCAGCATCTAGTGGGCAGAGGCTAGGAACACCGTTAAGCATCCTGCAGTCCACAGGATAGTCCCCACAACGAAGCAGGACCCAGTCTAAAACGACAGCAGAGAAACCCTGCTCCAAGCAGATTACTCAAGTGATTCCTCTAGCAACCCTCACCTGTAATGTTTCCACGAGGGTTAGATGACAACTGGGCCTTATTACTTAGGTGACCCTGTGAGTAACCTCGTTTACAAATAAGTTCAAAATAATGTTTATGGCTCTTTCTCAAGGGAAGATAAAAACGACATATCCAAACCCAAACCAAGATTCCTACACATGAGAACCCTTGGAAACAAACAAGAAACTCTGAGTGTTACTTCAAGATTGAAAAGTAAAAACGGCCTGGCCAAGCCCCACCACTGACCCAGCCAGCTGGCCGGCCCACTCCCACCTGCGAGGACGCTCCTGTAGCCTCCTCAGTGCCAATGCTTGAGGTTCTCAATCATTAACAGGATACTAACGGCCAAGCACAGTGGCTCACGCCTGTAATCCCAGCACTTTGAGAGGCCGAGGTGGGTGGATCACTTGAAGTCAGGAGTTCAAGACCAGCCTGGCCAACATGGTGAAACCCCATCTCTACTAAAAATACAAAAATTAGCCAGGTGTGGTGGCAGGCATCTGTAATCTCAGCTACCGGGAAGGCCAAGGCAGGAGAATCGCTTGAACCCAGGAGGCAAAGGTTGCAGTGAGGCAAGATCACGCCACTTCACTCCAGCCTGAGCGACAGAGACTCCCTCTCAAAAACAAACAAACAAACAAACAAAAAATGAGGCCGACACAGATACAGACAGGCACTTGTGAAAAACCATATCATCTTCAAATTTTAATGTTTCCTATAGTTTACAGAAACAATACATGGAGGATTTTTCAGCAGTGATTTTGTTTCTCTCATTTATGAAAAAAAGCTTTACTAATGCCCATGAATAAACACAGAAGATCAAACACTCCCCGGCCTCGTCTCACCTCAGCCCCCGAGGTGGTCTGACAGTCCCGAGGGCTGCCCTGCGCCCTGGCTCCCAGGCACTGCGTCCTCAGCTCTCACCTTCCTCCCCCCTGCCAGGAGAGATGAGCCACGTGTGATGCGAAAACAACTGGCAACGGTCTACCCGCAACTGTTGAGTGCTAAACAGTACACAGATAGATGTCTGATCAATGAACACGGCTTTGCCTGGGCAACCAGAGCACATCCGCACCCAAAGATGAACAGTGTCTACGTTCAAATGCCAACTGCCTGATGAATGCCCTCCCCATTTCCTGCTCCCCTTGTCCCAGGAACACTGCTGAAGGTCACACGAAAGCATATCTACGATGCAAGGAACAAACACACACCTAACTGCCCCCACCCCCAACATTCTTTCAGGGGAGAATAACCACCCTGTACAAACAGCCATGGGGAGCGGCACCCTGCCAGCACCTGGGGTCCATCCTCTCTCTGGGGCTTATTCTCAGGTCAGAATTCAAGTGCTGCCTGATTACCTGCCCAACAGGGAGACATTCAGTTGGGCTGTGTAACTATGTATGGGTGACTCGGCGTCTTTTCAATGCGAATGATTTTTTATTACCAGGGAGAAAAAAACAACACAACTTGCTTATTTGGCTCATAATCATACCATTTCAACGTACGATGGCTCACTTGAGTCTGAGCAACACCAAGAAACAGCACTCAGGCCGTAGAGAATCCTATGGAGTATTTTCTAAGCATTTCTATTTCTCTGACTCTTGATTCTGCACTTGAAGATAAAAGTTACCTAAATTAGCCAAACACGGCAGCTCACCCCTGTAATCCCAAAACTTTGGGAAACTGAGGTGGGAGGATTGTTTGAGCTCAGGAGTTTGAGACTAGCCTGGGCAACATGATGAGACCCAGTCTCTACTAAAAAATAAATAAATAAATAAATTTAAAAAATCAAAAAAATTAGCCGGGTGTGGTGGCACACGCCTGTAGTCTCAGCTACTCGGGAGGGTGAGGCAGGAAGATCCCTTGAGCCCAAGAGGTCAAGGCTGCAGTGAGCCATGATCCCTGGGCAACAGAGCGAGACCCTGTCTCAAAAAAAATGAAGATTAAAAGAATAAAGTTACCTAAATTATATTACATCAATAACATGACTTGTAGCATATAAATTCAACAGACCCCAAGAGAATCAAATACAAATTTTGAGGCGGGACACAGTGGCTCACGCCTGTAATCCCAGCACTTTGGGAGGCTGAGACAGGTGGATCACTTGAGGTTAGGAGTTCAAGACCAGCCTGGACAACATAATGAAACCCCGTCTCTACTGAAAATACAAAAATTAGCCAGGTGTGGTGGTGCACACCTGTAATCCCAGCTACTCAGGAGACTGAGGCAGGAGAATCACTTGAACCTGGGAGGCAGAGGTTGCAGTGAGCTGAGATCACACCACTGCACTCCAGCCTGGGTGACAGGGTGGGACTCTGTCTCAAAAAAAAATTTTTTTTTTGAGAAGAGCAGTAGTTTCTATTTTTCCCATAGCACAGACAATGCTACAAATTTGATGCAGTTTACTGCCTAGTGAAAGTCTAAATTATTCAGAAATATGTGCTGTCTATATTTTAATTATTATTTTTTTTCTTGAGACGAAGTCTCGCTCTTGCCCCCCAGGCTGGAGTGCGATGACGCGATCTTGGCTCACTGCAACCTCTGCCTCCCAGGTTCAAGCGATTCTCTTGCCTCGGCCTCCTGAGTAGCTGGGATTACAGACGCCTGCCACCATGCCTGGCTAATTTTTGTATTTTTAGTACAGACGGGGTTTCACCATGTTGGCTAGGCTGGTCTTGAACTCCTGACCTCAGGTGATCTGCCCGCCTCGGCCTCCTAAAGTACTGGGATTAGAGGCATGAACCATCGTGCCCAGCCTATTTTAATTATCATTATTATTATTTTTTACTTTTTTATCTTTTTTTGAGATGGAGTCTTGCTCTGTCGCCCAGGCTGGAGTGCAGTGGCACAATCTTGGCTCACTGCAAGCTCTGACTCCCGGGTTCACGCCATTCTCCTGCCTCAGCCTCCCGAGTAGCTATGACTACAGGCGCCCGCCACCACGGCCGGCTAATTTTTTGTATTTTTAGTAGAGATGGGGTTTCACCGTGTTAGCCAGGATGGTCTTGATCTCCTGACCTCGTGATCCGCCCACCTCGGCCTCCCCAAAGTGCTGGGAAAACAGACGTGAGCCACCGCACCCAGCCAATTATTTTTAAGAAAAGCAGCAAGCACAGTGTCTGTTTCACTACAAGTCAGAGGTTCCATTCTAACGTGTAGGTAAAATGCTGAAACGCCCTGCACATTATCAGAGATTCCCATCTTCCAAGAAAGGCTGTCTTAGAGAAGGAGAGAAATAGATGGATCTTCAATCTCTCAGGAAGTCTGCAAAGTAATGTTCACACAGCATCGCTGCGTCCAAGGTAGCCATCCCAAGGGTGCCATAATCTGCCCTAAAAGGTCCCCCGGAGCCTGCAGTGCTGTGGGCGAGACTGCACAGGAAATAAAAAGAAGGCAGCTGTACAGCGCACAGGGGACAAGCCGGCGTTGTCCAAGCCCAGCGAGGAGCCTGGCTGACGTTCAGGAAGTTGATGAACAGAAGCGGCTTCGCTTATCACTAACCAAACAGGCCAATTTCATGACTCACAGTCATTGTCAAAAAACTTGACCTACAGTGGAATTACTGGCCTTTATTAACTATCCTTAGGTAATGATATAAAGAATCAGAAATTCCTCAGCAAGAGATTTTTAAATAATGTTTTGGCTCTTTCTCAAGGGAAAAATAAAGATGATAAAACCTTCACCCATGGAACAAATATTTATCCAGCGTTTCATAAGGACGGGGCTGTGTAGAGAGACACAGACATACCAAAAGGCAAAGAGGTGAGTGGGCCAAAATGCCATTGAGGGATCAAATGGGATTCGGATCTGCTGGCTGGCACGGACTCCGCACCAAGAAAGCACTTTCAGGACATATATAGCTAAGTGATCAAGGCTGGGTGGCTCTGGCAGAGATCAATGGAACAGAGCAGAGAACCCAGAAACAGACCCAAACACATGTGCCCAACTGATTTTTGACAACAATGCAAAAGTAATTCGATGGAGGAAAGGTGGCCTTTTCAACAGACGGTGCCAGAGTAACTGGGTGTTCACAGGCCAAAAAAATGAAGCTTGACCTAAGTTTCATAGCATATACAAAAATTAATTCAAAATGGATCACAGACATACATGTGCAATGTAAAACAATAAAACTTTCCAAAAAATACATAGGAGAAAATATTCAGGATGTAGGGTTAGGCACAGAGCTTTTAAAATTGATACCACAAAAGGAATCATTCTTAAATTGGGCTTCATAAACTAAAAACTTTTGCCCTGAGAAAACCTTGTAAGAGGATGAGAAGACAAGCTACGGAGTAAGAGAAAATATTTGCAAACCATATATATATATATATATATATATATATATATATATATATATATATATATATATATATATTTGTCTTCTTGGGAAGCCAAAGTGAGAGGATCACTTGAGTCCAGGAGTTTGAGACAGCCTGAGCAACACTGTGAGACCTCATCTCTACAAAAGATTTTCTACAGTCAGCTGGGTGCGGTGGCGTATAACTCTAGTCCTAGTTACTCAGAAGGCTGAGGCAGAGGATCCCTTGAGCCCCAGAGTTCAAGGTGGCAGTACATCACGAGTATACCACTGTACTCCAATCTGGGTGACAGAGGGAGACCCTGTCTCTAAAAAAATTTTAATTAATTAACTTAATGTACAAAGAACTCTCAAAACTCAACAATGAAAAAAAATATATAACAGGCAGGCCTTAAGCCTGTAATCCCAGCACTTTGGGAGGCTAAGGCAGGAGGATCCCTTGAGGCCAGGAGTTTGAGACCAGACTGAGCAAAATGGCAAAACCCTGTCTCTCCAAAAAATACGGAAATTAGCTGGGCATGTGGCACTAGCCTAGCTACTCGGGGCCGGGGGTGGGGGTGGAAAGTGCTTAGGCGAGAGGACTGCTTGAGCCCAAGGAGGTCCAGGCTGCCTTGAGCTGTGATCACACCACTGGACTCCAGCCTGGGAGACAGCAAGACCTTGTCTCAAAAAACAGTACAATAAGCAAGCAATCCAGCTGGGCGTGGTGGCTCACATCTATAATCCCAGCACTTTGGGAGGCTGAGGTGGGTGGATCACCTGAGGTCAGGAGTTTGAGACCAGCCTGGCCAACATGGTGAAACCCTTGTTTCTTCTAAAACAAAAAGAAAAAGCTGGGCATGGTGGCGTGCACCTGTAATCCCAGCTACTCGGGAGGCTGCGGCAGGAGAATCGCTTGAACTCGGGAGGCGGAGGTTGCAGCGAGCCGAGATCAATCACGCCACTGCACTCCAGCCTGGGCGACAGAGCGAGACTCCGTCTCAAAAAAAAAAAAAAAAAAAAAAAAAAAAGAATGGACAACATAAGAAGGCCCCACATGGGACTAGCAGAAGTTTTAGAAAGAATACAGGTGATGAAAGGAAATACAATTCAGAGAAAATTTCACTATCGAACACTATTCGGAGTGAGAATTCTCCAGATTTCATGACAGACTTAATCAGACTGACGGTGAATGCTGAGCAAAATAAGAATAAATCTAGATAAAGTGGACTGAAACTATAGAATACCAAACACAAAAAGAAAAGTATAAGAGTCATCAGGAAGACAGATTAGCTTCAAAAATAAAAATTATGCTGACAGCAGACCTCTCTACAGCAAAATGAGCCAAAAGATAATAAAATATTATCTTCAAAGTGTTGGAATTCCACACCCAACTAAATAGATTTCAAGACAATATGAAATGAAAGCAATACTGCTAACTGAAAAAAACTGCTGAAGGATGTATTAAAAGATCAGCAAGAAGGAAACTGAACTCAGAGAAGTAACACTCAAGAAGCAATGATAAGTAAACAAATAGGCAATTAAATTAACTGTAAATTAATCTAAACAAGCATTAGCTATTAAATAAGTTTTTAAAAGGTCATTTTAAAAAGATGAAACTAAAATGATACTAAAACATATGAAAGACAAGATTTGATTAAAGTTGAAGCTTTCTAAGATGGCTGTATTCTTCAGGAGGAGAATACAGCTAATGATTAGTTTTAAACTTCAATTCAAACATGCATGTTAAACATGTGAGTGATCATTAAAATCACAGAAATAGAATGTATAACTTCCCAACTAAGACACAGAATTAAAAACTCAAAGAGAAGTCAAAGAAAGAGAGAGAGAGAGAGGGAGGGAGGGAGGGAAGCAGGGAGAGAGAGAGAGAGAGAGAGAAGGAGCAAGCAGGGAAAATAAAGAACATAAAATGCAATGACAGAAATAAACTCAAACCATCAGTAGCCACAATGCTTATATATGCATTAAATTTATCAGTTTAAAAAAGAGAGAGTCTCAGATCCCATTTTTAAAAAATGTAGCTACATTCTGTTCAGAAGAAATACACTGAAAACATAATGACATAGAAAAATGAAACTAAAGAAACCATAGAAAAGCTATCCCAGGCCATGCAAAGGACATGAACAGACATTTCTCAATTGAAGACATGTACCTGGTCAAGAAACATGAAGAAATGCTCCACATCACTAATCATCAGAGAAATGCAAATTAAAACCACAATGAGATATCATCAAACACCGGTCAGAATGGCTGTTATTAAAACATCAAAAAACAGCAGATGTTGGCATGGATATGGAGAAAAAGGAACTCTTATACACTGTTAGTAGGAATGTAAATTAGTACAGCTCTATGGAAAACAGTATAGGGAATTCTCAAAGTAGTAAAAATAGAACTACCATTCAACCCAGCAATCTCATTAATGTGCATCTACCCAAAAGAAATTATATTAAAAAAATACCTACACTCATGTGTTTATTGAAGCAATATGCACAATAGCAAAATCATGGAATCAACCTAAGTATCCATCAATAGACGATTAGATAAAGAAAGTGTGGTATATATACACCATGGAATACTACGCAGCAATAAAAAAGAATGAAACCCTGTCTTTCGCAGCAACATGGATGGAGCTGGAGGCCATTATCCTAAGTCAAATAACTCAGACACAGAAAATCCAATACTGCATGTTCTCACTTACAATTGAGAGCTAAACAATGGGTAAACATAGACACAAAGATGTAAATAATAGACACTGGGGAGTCCTTAAGCGGGGAGAATGGGCGGGATGGTGGTGAGGGTTTAAACAAATTATCTACTGAGTACAGTCACCGTTCGGGTGGTGGGTGCACTAGAAGCCCAAACCTCACTATTATGCAAGATACTCATGCAGCAAACCTGCACACATGCCTCCGAATCTAAAATTTAAAGAAATTTTAAAAAGAATTACCAAAACCCTGGGGTTCAAACCACCACCATCTCTCTCAAGGATTTACTGGAGAAGCCTCCTAACTTGCCTCCTCCACTCTCCCCCTTATTATGGACTGAACGTTTATGCCCTCCCCCAAATTCATATGTGGAAGCCCTGACCCTCAGCGTGATGTTCTATGGAGGTGGGGCCTTGGCCCCATGATGGGGTTAATATCTTTATGAAAAGAGGAAGAAACACCAGAACATTGCTTGTTGCGCGCGCGCATGCGCACTCGCTCTCTCTCGCTCGCTCTTGCGCGCGCGCGCGCTCTCTCTCTCTCTCTCTCTCTCCTCTTATTCTCACCCTCATGCTCTCTGCCATGTGAAAACACAGCAAGAAGGCAGCTATCTGTAAGCAGGGAAGAGGGCTCTCGCCAGGAACCAAATTGACTAGCATTTTGATTTTCGACTTCCCAGCCTCCAGAACTGTCAGAAATAAATGTCTGTTGTTTAAGACAAAAAAAAAAAAAAAAAAAAGAAAAAAAGAAAAAAAAGCTATCCCAAGCCAATACTACCCAAAAGAAATTTGGTATAGATGATGAAAGCAGATAAAAAAGAATTTACAGCAAAAAGCAATACATTAGAATAAAGAGGTCATTACCAACTGATAAAGGGAATAACTCATCACAAGGAAGAGTCCTAAATCTGTTTTCACTTAAAAATACGGTATCAAGACCAGGCGCGGTGGCTCACGCCTGTAATCCCAGCACTTTGGGAGGCCGAGGCGGGCAGATCACGAGGTCTGGAGATTGAGACCATCCTGGCTAACATGGTGAAACCCTGTCTCTACTAAATATGCAAAAAAAATTAGCCGGGCGTGGTGGCGGGTGCCTGTAGTCCCAGCTGCTCCGGAGGCTGAGGCAGGAGAATGGCGTGAACCCGGGAGGCAGAGCTTGCAGTGAGCCGAGATCGTGCCACTGCACTCCAGCCTGGGCGACAGAGAGAGACTCCATCTCAAAAAAAAAAAAAAAAAGAAAAAAAAAAAAAGAAAATGGCACCAAAATACATAACGCAAAGTTTGACAAATTACAAGAATAAAATTAAAATGCGCAATTATAATGGGACCAAAAGCTATAAAGGATATAGAAAATTTGAATACAGCGAACAAATGAGTCAATACATTTTTCCAAATTGCAACAACACACTAATGAACTATAAATCAATCTTATAACCACCATTAAAAAATTTTTTTAGCTGAATGGAAAATAACAGAGTGTACCCCAAATGACAAAGTTAAGCATTACTTTGTTAAACCTTTGTGTATTTGTAAAACCTTTGTATAGTTGTATATTGAGTGATGATGCCCTTTTTGCTGTGGGTTACAATTGAAGTCTTCAATCTAACAGATTTAAATCAAAGTCTGCACCCCAAAACACATTCGTCTCAAGCACACAGGAATCATTACAAAATCTGATGATTTACTATGCACAAAAGAAGTCTCAACCAAACCCAGGGAATCTATGTCATTTTCTGAGCTTGAGGAAAGGCAGCCGCAAGAAGTCGTCTCTTAGTTGGTTCCCTCGGACTCTTTTCAATAACCTGAGCTCACTGGAATGATCTAGAACATGTATATAGTCCCGTATAAGTGCTGGCTAACCTGGCTAGTTGTTATTTGTGTCTAGCACGTAATAGAACTCTAAAAATTGGGGGTAGAATGAAATACTGTTCAGTGAAAGAATTAGGGCTATCTTTAAGAAGTGGAAACTAAGCTAAGGTTAACCATTTTCTACTTTTTGAGAGATTCCACTATAGGTAGAGTTGAATACTAGAAGAAATATATCAGAAAAAAAAAAAAAGATGAAAATTGTTTGAGTTTTGTACAAGCAGAGGGCGTGTGGGTGCCTAGGGTCACAGACTCCAAGAGTGAATAGGCACAGGATGCCAGCAAGCAAGCTGGCTAGTGGGAAGGGATAATTCTAGCCAGATCAGCCCTTTTTTTAATCAATAGAGAAAGTAACTTTTAAAAGATACACCTCTAGTAGTTCAAAAAGAATCAGAGCACACAGTCCTAGTCATCATTCTAAACTGCTCTCCCATTTCAGGCCAACGTTTACAGCCCTGGAGTGGGAAACCCAACAGGGAGCCGGGGATGGGTTAGGGGGTAATAGGCTGCTGTGTCATGCAAAAGAGTTAAGACAAGCCAAGGCAAGTCTGCCTGTTTAAGCAGAGTGACATGTTCAGAATTTTGGCATGTAGAGAAAACAAAAGGAAAGGACTAGAAATCGTGTACACATTCAACGTGTATGGTCAGCCTACACTTTCAGCTCTCAAATACTCGTCTGAGGTGGGGGACTGGTAAAAGTACGGATAGAGTGGAGAAAGAAAAATGTTTTTATTTTGTTTTGTTTTTTTAAGATGGAGTTTTGCTCTTGTTGCCCAAGTTGGAGTGCAATGGCGCGATCTCGGCTCACTGCAACCTCTGCCTCCTGGGTTCAAGCAATTCTCCTGCCTCAGCCTCCCGAGTAGCTGGGATTACAGGTGTGCGCCACCACGCCTGGCTAATTTTTTGTATTTTTAGTAGAAACAGGATTTCATCATGTTAGCCAGGCTGGTCTCGAACTCCTAACCTCAGGTGATCCACCCACCTCGGCCTCCCAAAGTGCTGAGGTTAAAATTCACGTAACAGAAAACAAACCATTTTCAAGTGCACAGCTCAGTGGCACTGAGTACATTCTCGTGTTGTGCAGCCACCACCTCTATCTCGCTCTAAAACATTTTCATCACCCCAAAAGGAAACCGCCTACCCATTAAGCAGTTGGTCCCGCTTCTCCCCTCTCCCCAGCCCCAGGAAACCATGAATCTGTTTTCCGTCTATATGAATTTATCTACTCTGGATATTTCTTATCAATGGAATCGAACAGTATGTCTGGCTTCTGTTACTTAGCAGATTTTCAAGGTTCATCCATGTCCTATCAGGTATCAGTGAGAAAGAAATGTCTAAAGCCTGCAAAAGCCGAACCTACAGCACTGAGCAAGTGGCTGAAGAAGGGAGAAGAGGGTTAAGGGTAACACCATCATCGGCCTTGGGGACTGAAAGGACTCAGAGACCGTTTCACAAATAGGAGACAGAGAAGGTGCAGGGTGGGGCAAGGGGCGATGAGTTTGTTCTGAACAGAGTCTAAAGTGCTAGGAAAAACTCATACTGGAGATGTCCACTAAGCAGCTGAAAACAGTCTAGGGCTTCAGAGAGAAGGGAGTGGTGGCTCCAGAGAGAAGGCATGGAGATGCTGTCTCACGGACCCCTGAGGCCGAGGGGACACACACACACCTGCGACAACTGCTGCTGCTCAGACACACACAACACATGAACTGTCCTTGCCTTTTTCAGGAGGTCACACATCCATTTACAAAACTCCAGAGGTGAACAACAAAAAGTGAGGCGCACAATAGAAAAAATATTATCCTCACCCCAGAGCAAAGCTCAGCCTGTTTGTACTGGCTTTTGCAAAAAGAACCCATTCACAAAGATAGCAGCTGGCATTTTCCAATAAATATTTCCTCCACCACCTTTGAACCTTGTATCATGAGATACCATCGTTCTCTGCTTCCAGTTTAATCTACCAGCATCTAACGCTCCTGGGACTCCTGTCGGTTCTATGATTCATTTAGAAGTTTGGTGTAAATATGCGGTCCCACCACCCTGAATGCAACTCTGGAAGTAAAATACTTATTTCATTCCAATGGAACAATTCCTCTCAGTAATTCTAACCCACAAAGGGAGGGCTGATCCCTCTCCGTTCTCTCCTCACATCCACCCTGAGCCAGCATCAGGTTCTCTGAAGATACTTGTCTCACTCTGGCCTTGCTTTTGAATGTCAAGAGTAACAATAATCATTTCTTCCTTCAAAGAGATGCCAAATCCTACACAAATCCATTTAAATGTATGCAACAGAATCTTCACCTACTTAAAATATATATTTATGTTTAGTTATACACAAATGTATACACATATAAAATTTTATAAAATATAGTTCTACAGTTGACTCTTGAACAACATACTTTTGAACTGTGAAAGTCCACTTATACTCAAATCTTCTTCCACCTATGCCACCCCTGAGACAGCAAGACCAAACCCTCCTCTTCCTCCTCCATCTACTCAACGTGAAGACTATGAGCATGAAGACCTTTACGGTGATCCACTTCCACTTAATGAATAGTAAATATATTTTCTCTTCCTTATGATTTTAACAACATTTTATTTTCTCTAGCTTTATTATAAGAATACAGTACATAATACATACAACATGCAAAATATGTGTTGATTGGCTGTTTTATGTTATCAGGAAGGCTTCCAGTCTACAGTAGGCTATTATTAGTTAAGTTTTGGGGGAGTCAAAAGCTATATACATTATTTTCTCTTTTTTTCTTTAAGAAACAGGGTCTTGCTGTGTTGCCCAAGCTGGCCTCAAAGTCCTGGGCACAAGCAATCCTCCCGCCTCAGCCTCCCTAGTATCTAGGACTACAAGACATGCACAGATTTTCAACTGCACAGGAGGTGACCCCCGCACCTCCAATCCCCACGTTGTTCCAGAGTCAACTGTAAACTATTTTCTATACCCTCTAACTGTTGAGGTCAGGCTCAAACTGAGAAAGGAAATTATTCCAGCAAACTTAGAACAAAGGAACAGGAGGGAAGTAAAGTACCAGCAACTGGTACTTTAATTGAGGCAGAGATCCTTAATTAGAGGACAAATTCCTCGAGTCCTGGGAGCAGACACAAGTCTAAGTTAAGGGGTGAGGGTTACCTGTGATGAAAGCAAGCTCCCAGAAGCTAACCTCTTCCTCTGGGAGGCCACCTCATCTCCCAGGCATGCTCTGATCACACAGCTCTATGCTCCGCCCCCTTCATTCACTCCTCCACCCAGCATGTGCCAGGCACTGTTCCAGGCATGAGGGCCCCACAGTGAGCCAGACAAAGCCCCTGTCCCTGCCCCACAGAGCTTGTGATACGAAGGGGCACTAGTAAAGGAGGGGACGGATAAAAGACAGAGAAAGAAAACACACAGCATTGTCAGATGAGCGGTGACAATAGACAAATAATGTCCCAGAACACGTATGTCAGATGGGAAGGTGAACAGGGCTGGCCAGGGTGGAGATGGGGACAACTTTCACGAGTGTTGAGGGGAGGGGCTGAGTGAATCTCAGCAAGGACCCGAAAGAGATAAGGGAATGAGCCACAGGTGAGTGCCTGGAGAAAGAACATTCCAGCGAGGGCATGCATGGGAAGAGCAGGGAGGCCGAGGCAGCTGTGAGAAGAGGGGTGGGGGCAGAAGCAGAGAGGGGCACGCCTGCTACTTTGCTGTGATTTGTTTGTTTTGTTATCTGTGGGCCTGACTGAACTGGAGGCGCCTTGAGAGCAGGGCCTGCACTGCACATGCACAACCCTACCCAGAGCCCATGCAGGCCGGAACCAGGTGCAGCAGATGGGAGGGGGCATGGATAGGGAAGAACTGTGTGAATCAGGAAACTGTTCCAAAGGAAAAATGAGCCGCTAAGCAAGGCTGCTGGCAGGTGCAGGTAACACACCAGAATTCACTGTGAGCTTAAAGCCTTCGCCAAAGGCTTTTAATTTCAACACATGCAGGACATTTTCCAAGAAAACACTCAGCTTTAATCTTATAATGGAAGTCAATAACAAAACAGGATTTGCATTGCTGTATGCAAATGAAAAAAATATATATTCATTTTCCAGACTACTTTGCTAGAAAAATCACTCCCTACAATTTAAAAATGTCTATATTTAACTCATTTTAGCTACACAGGTGGTGTTACATACATTGTCTGTTTACACAGCTTTAACAGACAACCATAACATACTTTCCAGCTCACTGGAGAAGACTCTGGAGAAAAAAGCTACTTCTTAACTCTGTATTCTAGCAATAATAGGCTCCACTTGGACACATCAAAGGAATTAATGGTCAGCTCATCTGAGTGGTAATTACAAAAACTAGCTTTAGACCAGGGCCCAATAAGCGTTTTCTGCAAAGGGCCAGATAGAAAATATTTTAGGCTTTGCAAGCATCACACAGTATTGAATCCATAGTCTTCTTTGCTTTTGGGGGCTTTCTTTCCTGTGAGTTTTGCTTGTTTGCTTGTTTGTTTACCACGCTAGGAAAAAAATGTAAAAACAATCTAACTTATGAGCCAAACAAACAGGCCACGATTTGCCAACCCCAGCTTTCGACCACAATGAGAAGGGGGCACTTGGAGTTCCAAGCTCCTCCTTATTAAATCCAAGGGGGCAGGACCCCCACAGTTTTGGATTACCTCTTTCAGTCTCTCCAGCTCATTCTGGAGGGCCTGTTTGGATATTTCCACTTCAATCATCTGCTGTCGGAGAGTTTCGTTTTCATCCTCAGCTTTAGCGCGCTTTTCCTCCACCGTCTTAAGTTCGTGGTGCAATCTGACAGATACATCTTTGGCTACCTGCATCGACCCACAGAGATCATTATCAGGATATGAGGCTTTTTGTGTGCTAAGGGTACTATCAGACAACATCAGAGGCAAAATCATTAAGTAATATATTACACCACATAGCAAAGACCCTGGCAATACACAACTGACTTATTGTTAAAAGGAGGAGGAGATTCATTTAAAAATGAAATCAACATCTGGGCTAAAAGGCCACTCTGGCTGGTCTGATGGTGGTGCATTATCAGAACGTGCTAACCTTAGTGTCACTAAAGTTGGTATCCAACCCCCCCAAACTGCTAAATTTAAATGGCTTTAAAATAAATAAATTGTTTTTAAAGCCCACTTTGGATAACCCTCCTCCCTCACAGATGATCACCAACCATGCCAATTCTGCCCAAGCTCACGTGCTTTAAGCGAGAAATTCGAATAATAATAAACAAATAAACATTTATATTCACTAAAGTAATACTGAACCCATCTGCTAACAAAACAAGTAAGTTGCCTGTAATCCCAGCACTTTGGGAGGCAAAGAAAGGAGAATCACTTGAGGTCAGGAGTTTGAGACCAGCCTGGGAAACACAGTGAGACCCTGTCTCTAAAAAAATTATAAAAATAAAAAATAATCCAGGCATGGTGATGCATGCCTATAGTCCCAGCTACTTGAGAGGTGAAGATGGGAGGGTTGCTTGAGCCCAGGAGTTCGAGGTAACAGTGAGCTATGATGGTGCCTCTGCACTCCAGCCTGGGTGACAGAGCAAGATTCTATCTCTAAAATAATAATAAAAAAAAATTCTCTATGCATAAGATGTTCAATGTAGTCAAGTCTTAAATATTGTACTGTGGCTCTGGTGTGGTAAACCATTTGAATGAGCAAAGCAGTTAAACACGTTTACTTTCTAAAAGCAAATGAGGCAAGAGGCCTTGTAAGAGAAATATAAATCACCCTTTATCACACTGAATGACATTTTGTCAGTGGTTTATAACTTTGGTAGAATTACAAAGGTTCTTTTCCTGTTATCACACTGAAAGGCTAGATGAGATTTCACAAGTACTCCGGCAATAAAGAGAACAGTATGCATAATTCATCTCCAGATAAATGATTTGATAATCAGGTCATGAGGGCCTCGCTGCCCACGGAGAGAAAATGGCTTAAAGTCTGGGGTTTCTTCCCATTATTCCCACTTCTCCCAGTGGTTCTCAAAGACACCTCAGACAATTTGTGATTACTTCTCCTGGCATTAGATCCTCACTACACAATTCTCACTTGGGTAATGGGAATGTCAGGATTTCTACATCCTAGAAACCTAAATAACAATAAAAAAATGTTAAGTGATATGATCAACTTTTAAGAGTGGCCTTTGACTACACTGATAATCAATAGATTTTTAAAAAAAATATTTCAGATCTTTCAGAGTTTCTGCAGAATTTCTATCCAATTGTCAGACCCATTGGCAGGTATTAATTCTTCGTTATCACAAATAATCATCATTTTTTTAAAGTTCATATTATGACAAATGTAAACCTTGGGGTGTCAAAGTCATATAACTACACACACTCTATAAGCCATAAAGCAAACCAAGACTGTTTATGCTGCAATCTGTAGAGACAGACACAAGCAGGGAAAAAACACCAGGGCAACGTGCATGTGGCCAGCCGGTCCACAGCAGCCTTGCGAGGTGCACGCACCACCCCCTCACTCACCTTCAAGTCCTGCTCCAGGCTTCGAATAAGCTCACCATCCACCTGACCCGTCTCAGCCACTTTCAGGCTTTTCTGCTCGGCTTTCCGAAGACGGTACTGCAGGATTCGGCAGTTTTTATTAGCGCGGTCCAGTTCTCGCCGAAGTTCCTGCAGCTGGTAAACATCTTCCTCTAAATAACTGTCTCTCATCTCTTCCATCTCAGCACGGAGTTCATCTAACTCATCCTATGCAAATCAGACAGAGAAGATTTATGAGCCAAGTACATCAAAAAAGGATGGCATGTCTCTCCTTCATACCCGCTCCTCAATACTAAATATTGAATACCTACACGCTTACCCATCACCTCATGGCCACGCCTGGGTGACAGGCACCAGAACCTCTGGAAATTTGCATATGAGATAATATAATTGAGTATCTGTTCAAATCTTATGTAACCAGAAGCTAAAAAACTGGATTATTCATTGTGGCCTCTCAGAACTTATCCCACTCCCAACATCTCCCTACATGATCAAATAAAATCAACTCTGCAGATAATTGAACCTTTCAATTCAAACCAAACATTGACCTAAGCCTTTATCTCTAAGGCATAATCTAGGTACTAAGATGAATCATACGGACCCTGCCTTCAAAGAACATAAACTTCAGTAGGATAACAAGTGCTAATTGCCCTGGAACTAAAACATACCTGCAAATGTCCCAAAAATTCTGTTCCACAAGACGCATCTCAGCATTGACTAAGCGACGCTATCCACAAATGAGACATTTTCCATTATTTTAAATACACATTGGGTCTGTTTTTTCCCATTCACCTATTCTGACTTTCCCACACCTCCACTCTTTGCTGTCCACAGGAATGCACCCTGAATACAGGGGAACCCAAGGAGTCATTTCATTCCTGGCTCCCCCTCCCCTCCCATTCTACAGCCAAGCCCTCAGCCAGAGCTGCGCCCCTTCCGGATGGATCACCCTGGTCCAGGCCTCCATCCCTGGGGGAGGGGAGCCACACACAGATGTAAGTGGAGACACACAGGTGCCCACTGCTCAGCTGGCCCTCTAATCCTCCTACAGTCTGTCCCCCACCCAGCAGAGTAATCCTTTTAATGTGCAAATCAGACCACCTCACTCCCTACTCAAACCCTCCAGGGGCTTCCTTCTTTCCAGGCCTCCTGGCCACACTCCCTCCCTGCCCACGACTAGCACAGGGTCTGAGACTGCTCGCACCTTTGCTTCTTCAGGCCTCAAGACCTCGCCTGCTATTCCCACTTCTGAAAACACTCCCCGCTCCAGATCTCTGCAGAGCTCATTCCATCACATAATCTGACGTCATGCAAAGCCTCCCCTGGCCACCCTCATCAGCCCGAGTCTCTAGTCTCTTGCTGGCTCTATTTTCTTCCCACCTCTGAGTGCCATCTAATAGTATTGGTATTTTTTCCTACTTACTGTCTGTCACCTACACTAACAAGGTAAGCTTCAGAGGGGAGCAAGCTTGTCTGTCTTTCTCCTCTCTGCATCCCGAGCAGCATGGAGCACACGGTAGGTCCTCAATAAATATTGCTGAATGAATACACAGGTGCGCCAGTGAACACTTACAAACACCAAGTCAGAAAGGCGACTAACATCAGACACAACTGCACGCTCGCTTTGTTCCAGTCTTGCAGCCCAGTGATGAAAGCTTCTTCCCAAACCCACAGATGTAGCTGCAGGTATGAGATATTCACTCTACTGAAGGGTTACACAAGATTTAAAGGAGGAACAATTTGGAAGGAGGAAGATTAAGGAAACATTCTAGGGATTTTCTTGACTAGTTTCATAATTGATAGTTTCAGATGCCTCCAGAATAGCATGCACTCAGTTATTCCCATTTACTTTATTCAATTAATATTAAGGTTCAAGAAAAAAAAATCTCTCCTATACTCAGACACCCTAATTGTCCATTCTCGTCCTGCTATTCCCTTTGTTCCTGGATTTTTACCACTCATGCTAATCCTGTATTTATTCTTAAAAACAGGAATTGACTAACAATAAAGAACAAGGTGCCCAACATCCGAGCCTCAGACAAAAAAAAAAAAAAAAAAAAATGAACAAAAAGAAATCTCCTGAAGATGTGTTTATCCTAGGTAAGATTAAGTACAAGAAACACAACAAATAAAAATGTGAATCCTTATGGAAAAATAAGGGTTGGCACAAAATGGGGTGATGATGATGCTTCGGTCAACCTTACCTGCACACAATGGTCTACTGGAAAGGGCACAGATATGGCAACTCATCCCCCAATCCAGCATGTAGGTTCTCTCCACTCTGCCTACACTATCCCATCAAGAGAACGAGCTACTCACTTGACCAGGACTCATCTGGAGCCTGTTTCAATAGGCTACCAAGGAGAACAGATGTTAAAGAAGAAACCTTCACCAACTTCCCAGTAGTCAAATGCATAAAATGTTCTTCTTCTTGGCTCCTAAGTGCTCCTACAGAATTTCTATACCAATGATGAAAATATTAAAAGTATAAGATGTCCTAATGTGTCTTAAGAAAGATCAATCTTAACACTGAAAATGTTGTGAACTCGTAACCAAGTTTCATTTCTTTTTTCCTCCATGGAAATCTCTCCTGGTAAATCCTGGTCCTTGTGGGAAGATCTGCTGGAACTGGAAGTTACTGGACTGAGCATAGGAGCTGATCAGCTGAACACACATAAACAGAATGGGTGGTTTGGGCTCTTCAGGGGACCAGAGAACACAGCTCTTTCAGGACAGTGCTTGACAACCTTCTGCAAACCTTCCACAAACAGGAGGTTGTTACTGATGCCTGATCACTGAGGCTTTGAAGACGCCCTATGGGAGCTGTGCCCCTGCACTACCCACTCCTAGAGGAGGTCAACTGGAGACTGAAAGCTTTAAAATGAGCCTTGTGGTTGTCACTCTTTCGATAGAGTGGGAAGTTAGTTCTGAATCTTCAAAAATCAACGTCAAGTTTGATTCACACCCCATCCATGAAACTAATGGATCAGACTTTGAGAAAGAACCTAACCGCAATGCTTGTTTCTGAGTAAAGAGGTTAATTGTTTCACTGAGTCATTAATACAAATCAGTTCAATACAAGCAATAATCACTAAATGTTCAACACTAAGTCAATATCTGTATATGTATATGTACATGTATATCCACACATACAAATATACAGTGACTCTGGCCATTCTGTTCATGGAAAGAATGGTTTGTGATTGCTTTTCTTTCCAGAAAGCCTGCCAAAGTCATTAATGCCTGGGATTATCGGCAACTAAGACAAAAGTTTTTAAAATGCAATATAGCCCTAAGATGCAAGATACAGCTTCCAGGTATAAAATGTCTCTAGCTTTCAGACTTTGCAACTGGAGAGCCCACATCCACCCTAATGTTAAATGCTGCATTTTCATACAGATGTTACAGGCTATGAAAACTGTTCAAGGGCTAGATGCACCCACACCTCCACATCATTGAGCAGACCAGATGTAAATAGCAATATTTTTTGGCACAAATAATCACCAACATTAGTTGTACTGCAAATAAAATTAGGGGCCGGGTGCGGTGGCTCACGCCTGTAATCCCAGCACTTTGGGAGGCCGAGGCGGGCGGATCACAAGGTCAGGAGATCAAGACCATCCTGGCTAACACAGTGAAACCCTGTCTCTACTAAAAATAAAAAAAATTAGCCAGGCGTGGTGGCGGGCACCTGTAGTCCCAGCTACTCGGGAGGCTGAGGCAGAAGAATGGCGTGAACCCGGGAGGTGGAGCTTGCAGTGAGTGGAAATCGCGCCACTGCACTCCAGCCTGGGCGATGGAGTGAGACTCCACCTCAAAAAAAAAAGAGAAAAGAAAATTAGGGAGAGATCATATGATATGGTTTGGCTGTGTCCCCACTCAAATCTCATCTTGAACTGTAGCTCCCATAATCCTCACGTGTCACAGGAGGGACCCAGTGGGAGGTAACTGAATCACGGGGGCGGGTTTCTCCTCTGCTGCTCGTGACAGTGAGTAAGTCTCAAGAGAGATCTAATGGTTTTATAAACGGCAGTTTCCCTGCACACGTTCTTACGTGCCTCCATGTAATATGTGTCTTTGCTCCTCCTTTGTCTTCCACCATGATTGTGAGGCCTCCCCAGCCATGTGGAACTGTGAGTCCATTAAACCCTTTTTTCTTTATAAATTACCCAGTCTAGTGTTTCACAGAAGTATAAAAATGGACCAATGCACCATAACGGCATGTATTTAAATCACTGCTCTTATAATTCATATTTTACCTAAATTTACAGAACAGGCGTCGTTTATTAAGCACCTCACCCTCATTACTAACCCTACAATAACCCTGTCAGGAACACATTATGCAGTTGATAGACAAAAAAACAAAACTGAGGCTAGTTACCTGTGTCCAAAGCTTCACATCTAGTAAATTGAAGCCACACTGCAAACCCAGGCCTGTCTGCTTTCAATCACACACTCTTTCGAGTAAATACCATAAATTATTTGCTTCAACCTGGACAAATGAAACAATAACAGACCTTCAATTGTACTTTTAAAAGTCCACCATCAGTGTAAAACAAAAAAAGCAGCCTAACATTTACAGCTCGACAAGTGACGACACAAAGCATATCCATTAGGGCAACTGGTTCTTAGGAAGACACTGCAACGTGCGGTAAAGATATCCGTGCCCCTTCCCCGCTTTTTTTAAAGAGACAGAGTCTCACTCTGTGACCCAACCTGGAGCGCAGTGGTGCAGCCATGGCTCACTGCCACCTTGAGCTCCTGGGCTCAAGTGATCTTCCTGCCTCAGCCTCCTGAGTAGCTGGGATTACAAGCACATGCCACCATGCCTGGCTAATACTCCCATCTTTAAAACGAGGAAACTGAGATTCTAAAAGTATAAATGGCTTTCCACCATTATTGGTCTGCTGCAGCAATAGGACCAGGGCCAGTGTTTCAACTCTTCCCAGAGAGCCTAGAAAAAAGTAATTTTCAGGTTCAGTGAAAAGAAGTTAAAGACAAGCAAATTATAAACCATGTAAGCTGGCAGCAGCCATCTGAAAAGCAAAAACTATGATTACTGGAATTAGGGTCATGATGGATAGTGATTTTCAAACTAACATTACATTAATTTTCTGACGGCATGCTCCAATTTAGAAAACTGTATTGCAGAACCTTAATGACATCTGCCAACTAAAAATTTAAGTAAACCAAATCGAGCAGAGCATATGATGTTTCTGACAGGTGTAATTTAGAGATAGTACATAAAATTGGAAAATCGCTGTTGTCTTTTTATACACGGAAATAAGAAAAAGCTGTCCTTAATAGTTTTTTACTGAATTAACATCAAGTCTGGAGGATACTTAAGTATTAAATCATTATCTCATTGAAAAGCTAGTTTTAATTAAATACCTTTTTAAAGTTTTGTATATAAAACGAAATCTTGAAGTACTGTGAAGTCCAGTCGACTATTCCCCTTTGCCTGTGGCTGACAAATCAAGCCTTATCATGTATCTCAAATTAGAGGAATAATGAGGTACCAGGTGTGCACTAGAGTAAACCAAGATTAAAATTATATGTTTTAATGAAAACCTCTAAAAGGATAGTTTTATCCATGAATATATAATAAAAGTCAAATCCATGGCTTCTTAGTATAAGTGATGAAAACTCTTAATCATGTTAATAACTATATGAAAATCTTAATCTCTTTTAAATACCCAAAATCAGTAACTATCTCTATTTTAGCACCTCCTCTTTAAATAGACCCAGTTTGGATGGTAGAAGGAGTCCTCTGGCTACTGCTGCAATAATTCTATCTTCTGGGCAGACAGAAACTACTGTCTTTTGTAACATACGAATAATCCACCTCATTTCCCTCCAGACAAGGGAAATGTTCTCCAAGAGTCCCAGCTGTAACTAAGGAGGTGCAGGGCGACTCCCACTGTCTACCAGGTGATGGTCCAGCCAGCAGCTGGTGGCCGCAGCCCTTGTCTACATTAACTGCCACTGAAAATGATCATAGCCACTCTTTCAGTGGCTGAATACAGAGTGGGTATGGACAGCGAATGTCAGGAAAGAATGGGGAATACTGTCCATGTTAACCCTTCTGAAAGAGAAAGGAGGAGGAGGCGGGGAGCAAGGAGGCGCTGAGACACCTCAGCTACAGAGCACTGCTTGCGCTCCTCTCCAAGTGCCCCTCCACCCCCAGGCCACACTGAGCACCCGGCATCTGGGCAGCCCAGCTGCCAAATGTCAAAAACCAGGTCAGGGCCTGAAACTCAAAAGGCTAACTCCAATGAGAAGCAGGATGGTAAGCTTGGATCAGCAGTGAGACACTGCAACCTATAAAACCAAAACTCAACCTCTCCCTTAGGAAATCATTCCTCTCCAAGAAGCCAATTTTCTCTGCCCTTGTATCTAGCACCAACTTGTTTTCTTTTAACAGAAAAATATTTCCTATGAAATAACTGAGAAAGCAAAGCAAAGCAAAAAGAAACAGCTCTTCCCACCCCAATCCTCACCCACCCTGCAGGAGGTCAGCATGGCAAGAGGACACTATTTGGGGGTGGGGGAGGTGTGGGGTTATGGCTGCTAAAAGCATTTTCAAAATAGGCTCATAAATGCCAACTGATTAAATCCTCCTGAAAAGCCTGTGGAAACAGAGAACATAATTAATATGTTGACAACGAGCACTCCGGCTTGTCTGACTGTCTCCGAGCACTCGAGCAAAACACAGTCTTGGCAGCCTGGCAGGGAAGGAACACACCAGCGCTTTACCAAAGTCCTCAGCATTAAGAAAGTGCCTGGGTTCAACCTACAACATGGGAGAAAATTTTTGCAACCTACTCATCTGACAAAGGGCTAATATCCAGAATCTACAATGAACTCAAACAAATTTACAAGAAAAAAACAAACAACCCCATCAAAAAGTGGGCGAAGGACATGAACAGACACTTCTCAAAAGAAGACATTTATGCAGCCAAAAAACACATGAAAAAATGCTCACCATCACTGGCCATCAGAGAAATGCAAATCAAAACCACTATGAGATATCATCTCACATCAGTTAGAATGGCAATCATTAAAAAGTCAGGAAACAACAGGTGCTGGAGAGGATGTGGAGAAATAGGAACACTTTTACACTGTTGGTGGGACTGTAAACTAGTTCAACCATTGTGGAAGTCAGTGTGGCGATTCCTCAGGGATCTAGAACTAGAAATACCATTTGACCCAGCCATCCCATTACTGGGTATATACCCAAAGGACTAGAAATCATGCTGCTATAAAGACACATGCACACGTATGTTTATTGCGGCATTATTCACAATAGCAAAGACTTGGAACCAACCCAAATGTCCAACAATGATAGACTGGATTAAGAAAATGTGGCACATATACACCATGGAATACTATGCAGCCATAAAAAATGATGAGTTCATGTCCTTTGTAGGGACATGGATGAAACTGGAAATCATCATTCTCAGTAAACTATCACAAGAACAAAAAACCAAACACCGCATATTCTCACTCATAGGTGGGAATTGAACAATGAGATCACATGGACACAGGAAGGGGAATATCACACTCTGGGGACTGTCGAGGAGTAGGGGGAGTGGGGAGGGATAGCATTGGGAGATATACCTAATGCTAGATGACGAGTTAGTGGGTGCAGCACACCAGCATGGCACATGTATACATATGTAACTAACCTGCACAATGTGCACATGTACCCTAAAACTTAAAGTATAATAAAAAAAAAAAAAGTAAAAAAAAAAAGAAAAAAGAAAACAGATTAAAAAAAAAAAAAAAAAAAAGAAAGCCTTCCATACCAAAATTCAAACCCCTCCTTTATCAGACATTGCCCTAGACTACTCAAGCCTAACATAGACTAGTTCCCAAGCTTTACTCCCTGCCCCCATTTATTGCTCCTTTATGCTACAAACATGATTGCAAGAGGGAAAATGTAATTTTTAAAATTCACTTTGGTAAAAGGGATTCCAATGATTTCATTACCACCTTAAACTTTTGTGAAAAAAAAAAACTCATCACTTTAAATTATTAAAGTGTATATTTAACCATTATTGTCATCCAGGTACACTTTCAACAGTTTTGTTTCTATTAAGGCTGTAATTATTTTATAAGGAAACATTAAATATTTACCATAATTAAAGAGAAAAAAAAAAAAAAAAAAAAAGAAAGTGCCTGGGTTTTATGAGAAGCCCAGGCCTTTGGATAACTGAAGTGCTCACCTGAATTTCTGAATACTTCCAAATGTATTTGAGTTTATCAGAGGTCAAAGGACAACAAGAGTGCTTTTCTGTCTGTGTTTTCACACAAAAGCCAGCTACCTGGATTGATTTTGCATTTTTCACCTAGTCACCCAGGCACCATTTGATGAAGGTGGAGAAGGAACAGAAAGCAGAGTCAGGGACGACCAAATTTGCTCTGTTACAGCACAACACAAGGTGTCCGCTTCTCTGTTGACACTGACTATTTAAAAAAATACAGGCCAGGCCGGGCGCGGTGGCTCATGCCTGTAATCCCAGCACTTTGGGAAGCCGAGGCGGGCAGATCACCTGAAGTCAGGAGTTCAAGACCAGCCTGGCCAACATGGTGAAACCCTGTCTCTACTAAAAATTCAAAAACTAGCTGGGCGTGGTGGCGGGCACTTGTAATCCCAGCTACTCCGGAGGCTGAGGCAGGAGAACTGCTTGAATCTGGGAGGCGGAGGGTGCAGTGAGCCGAGATCACGCCACTGCATTCCAGCCTGCACGACAAAGCAAGACTCCGTCTCAAAAAAAATAAATAAAAATAAAATAAAAAATACAGCAGCCTGGCTAAAAGCCAAGATAATTCCACTTAAATGTCCTGATCCGAAGAATATCCTCCTAAGGTTTTGCTGGACTTATTTTTCTATTGAATTGGGCTTTGGTCATTCTAGTTCAGAAACTGTCACAGTCTTGTACAACAATGATGACAGCACTTACTTGGAATGCTCCAGAATATAGCAACGTAAAATTTGTGGGCCGAGCCTCTTATCAGATACATTGGAATAGATGAATGCTATACCTAATCCTGAGAGTTAGTTCTGTGCAGTGCTCCCTAACAAAGCAGCAGGTCAAGGACGTACTTTTATCTACCCTCTTTAAAAAGTACCCCACGAGGCACAGAGGCTCAAACTTGTAATCCTAGCACTTTGGGAGGGCAAGGAGGGAGGATCACTTGAAGCCAGGAGTTCAAGACAAGCCTGGACAACATAGCCAGACCCTGTCTCTATAAAAAAATTTAAAAATTAGCCCAGCTTGGTGGTGTGTTCCTGTGGTCCCAGCTACTTATCAGGATGAGGCAGGAAGATCACTTGAGCCCACGGGTTCAAGGTTGTAGTGAGCTATGATCATGCCACTGCACTCCAGCCTGGGCCACGGAGCAAGACCATCCCTTCAAAAAAAAACCACAAAAAACGGAAAAAATACCCCTGAAAATAACAAAAAGAGAAGTTTTGATTTATAAAGGGCACACGCTAACCACCACTGCAAAGGCATGACTACTGCCTCTGCCACAGGGGGTCCCTGAAGCTCTGGGCCCAATTTTGCACATGTGGGCAGGCTCCACGACCTGTAGAAAAGTCCATTAGGATCCCTGCGTTTCCTTCCCGAATTGAACTATTGTCATTTAAGCTTCTGAGTGGCCAAATGAGTACCTCACATGCATACACGCAATCATCTGGTTTGCTAGCCTCCTTCACAACCCTCTTCTCTCCCCTGCTGTCGGAGGAACAGTGGGGAGGTGGCCTCAGGCAGAGTAAACGGATGCAAGTGACACCTTCTCCACAGTAAATGGCAACTGAACAGTCCCCACAACTGAAACACTGGCAGTGGGATTTATGTGACCATTCGTACACAGGCTAGTGGAGAGACGGGCATGACGGCCCTCTCACCTGAAAAGAAAACAGAGGGCCCCTAGAAAAGCTCACCACAAGGAACATTTTGAGCTACGAAAACAACTCAGAAGCAGTGTGCTCGGAGGAAAGCAGCCTCGCTGGAAATAGGGCTGCATCCCGGTGCAGTAAAATGGGCAGAGGCTCTGGGGAAACGCAGGTGCCACCTCTTACTCACTCTATGACCTTGGCCAAGTCATTTCTGTTTTAGGTTCTCAGCATCTCCGTCTGTGAAATACTAGTTATGATCATGATACCACCACCACCACCCTATGTTGTTGGGAAGATCCAGTGAAATAGCAAATACACTGTATCAGACTCCAGGCTCAGACACATTTCATTCATTGGGAAAAAATAAAGGAAATAACCAGTTGCACCAAGAATGAACTTCAAAATGATGGATAGCCTACCTTAAGATCAAAGATGCAATGAGAAACTTCTTTAAAGAAATACAGTTTTCCCTTGCACAGCAGTCATTTGGATAAACATCATTCAATCAGAAAGTAAGTCAGGGGTTATGCTAAGAGCCAGGGATACAAAAACAACAAGATTATCTTGGTCACCCTCAGGGAGCTTACATTTGTTGAAGATTTACAAAAGAGCTGCTTTCATGATGGAGTCACCCACAACATAGTTGCCTTTGAACTTCACTCCGTTGTCTATTACCTAAGAGTAAGTGACAAAAACAAACATACTATCTGAAATATCTTGCTTTAAGTCCCAATCTTTCTTTTATCACCTCTCTTTCTCTGCCTCACTGTTACTTCTTGCACAAAGTAAAATAACCACAAGGCTCAGTTGGTTGGAGCAGCTCCATAAGAAATTTAGGCTTGAGATCACCCAGCAGTTAATGTGCTCTGATTTCCGTGTGAACTGCAGACTTCACCACCATGCACCTTAAAGCCCAATCCTCAATCTCACTAGCCAAAAACTGGGCCCGTATTGGTTAGCTCATCATTTGCTGAGAAAACAGCTCAAATCACATAACCCACTGAAGAAGCAGGGCCACACCCCTGGGTTTGGTTGGCTGCTCATTAAGACTTAACAGATACACAGATTGATGCCACTGGAGTTGTTTACTAACCTGAAGATCACAATAAATAAAACAGTTGGTGTCAATACAACTCCCCTTATTTTCTCTCAAGTCACCTGGATCGTCCTGACCCCGGGAACCCCGTCTGCAGCACCAGGCCCCCTCCGTGGAGAAAAGATGGAGCCGGATTAAGCACCCAGTGCTAAGGCGACTAAGACGCCACTGCCCGCAGGCCCTGCCGGAAAATACTCAGAGAGTGCAGCAGGCGCCGCGATTCCTTAGAAAGTGCTGGCGTGGCCTCTCCTGACACAGAAAGCCGGCTCCTGGATGCTTACAAAGGACTGGCCCGCGCAACACCGTTGCTCCTCAACCCGGGCCACACTCCAAGGACCTCTACTGAGCTTCAGCTTGCTCACCGAAAACGGCGCGGCCCCCTCTACCCGGGATGTCGGAGCCCAGGAGACCCTGAGAGCCCCCAGCTCTTTCCGTAATTGCAGGAGAAGGGGCAAGCGGGTCCGTAGCCGGGGGCCCTCCAGTGGCATTATCCTGAACCGCCACGCCCGCACGTGGCCCGGCTAGAGCTCCCTGGCGAAGGATCACCTGTTCCTACAGGTGAGGCTGGCACGTTCTGAGCGGGGATGGGGGCGTCCGCTGATGTCCCCAAAACGATTACAGCCTCCTCTGCCCCAACAGGTCAACAAAAGTAAAAGTATCAGCGAAGAGACGCAAGAGTTCTAGACGCGAGAAAAGAGAAGTGGGTTGCGAACTGGCGGGGTCCCACAGGTCTTGCTTCTCCTTCCAGAAGTTTGGGCTTAAGTTGCCAATGCCTGACAATGCGGGGGTAGGACCGTGGAGAGCAGGAGGGAGAAGGCGCTGGACAGGCCCGGGAAGGAGGGGTTGGCGGGTCCCCGCCGCAGCCAGGCCCTCCGGGGGCGCCCCGGGACACCTGCGGCCGAGGCGCGGCTCACCTTGAGATAGTCGTTCTCCGAGCGCAGCTCCTCCATCTCCCGCAGCAGCTCTTCTTCCTCCGCCGCTGGCACGAGCCGAGACTGCTCGCCCAGGCTGGGCTCCTTGGGGGTCCCGGGGACTGGTCGCTCCGGTGGCGAGCGCCCCCGGACATCCTCCGCCACGCCGGGCCCCGCGAAACCCCCCGAAACCCCGCTCGGGATGCTCCGGCCCCCGGGACAGGCGCCCGCGGCGAGGGGCGCGGCGAGGAGCGCTGGGGGCTCGGGGCTGCCCGGCGGCGCTCCTCGGGCTGCGGGGCTCGGCGTCGGCGCTCCTCGTGGGGGTTCACGGTCGCTGGAGCCCGTGCCGGATTCGGCGTCGCTGCTGGCGGCAGGGAGCAGGCGCTGCTCGTCGGACAGGGGTTCGGAGGGGCAGTCAGAGAGGTCGGAGCTGCTGTCCGTGTGGCTGATGCGCGAGCAGCGGGCCGGGGACCCGGCCACCGAGGTCACCGCGAGGGTCACGGCAGGGATCCGGGCGGCCGGGGTCGGGGGGCCGACGGTGCGGGCGGGTGGCGCCCGGGAGCCGCGCTTGGCTTTGCGGCCCTTGGCAGCGGCAGACGGCGGCTCGGCTCCGGGAGGCTTCCCAGCCCGGGACAGCGGCTCCGCGGGCGCCACGCGCGCCGCCCTCCTGCTTCCCAGGGCAGCCTTGGCACCGCCCGCCGCTCTGGCCCCGGCGCCCGGCGGGGGCTTGTCCTTCGCGCCCGGGACGCCGCCACTGCGCCGAGAGAGGCGGCCGGGCGCGGCCAGGGACCCCGGCGAGGGCGGCGCTTTGCCCGCGAGGTTGGGCGAGCGCGGGGCGGCGGGAGCCGGGGCTCGGCCCGAGGAGGGGACGGCCGGGCCGGGCGCGGCGGGCCGGGCGTGCAGGTCCTTGAGGAAGGGTCTGGCGGGCGAGGGCGCACGGTGCAGCCGCCGCCTTTCGGCCACCGGGTGGAGGTGGTGGTGGCGGTGGTGCTGGCCGGGCGGCTGCAGCTTCGCGTCCGGGGCACCTCCGCCCGCGGGGCCGTTCAGTGTCTCCATGGCCGGGTCCGCCGGCAGCAGCTCAGGCAGCAGATGCTCCGGACGACGACGGCGGCGGCGGCGGCGGCGGCGGCGTGCAGCCTCCCCGCGCGCTCTCTCATCACTGTCCCAGCCCCGCCCGGGCTGCGCCCCGCGCTCCCGCCGTCCCCGCCCCCCGCACCCCGGCCCCGAGGATTCCCGCGGGGCTCGCCGCCGCCGCGCTCGCCCCTCGCTGAGGTCACCGCGGATCGAGTTCTCCCGGCTCAGCAGCGCGGCGGCTCCCGGCCGCTCGCATCCCCGGACCTCGCGCTCCGGGCTCGCGGTCACCGGTGCCGCGGCGGCGCTGGCGGCGCGCGCCCGGCTCCCGCGTCCCGCTCCCCGCCCACCGCCGGCCCGCTGCTGCCCGTGCCCGCCCCCGCCGCTCCCGGCTGAGAGAAGCCGCACGCGCGCGCCCCACCTCCCCGCCGCCCAGCGCCCTCGCCCAGGCCCGTGCGCATGCCCCGCCTCCAGCCAGCCGGCGCCGTGCAGGGGAGGGGCGAGGGAAGGGGCGGGGGCTTGCGCTCCCCGGGGGGCGGGCGCCCGGCAGGGGCGGGACCTGCGCGCCCTTGGGAGCAGGCGCAGGCTGGATCCATGGGGCCTCGCTGCCCGGGGACCCTCCTTGCTTTTTGAGGCCCTAGAGACGCTGCCAGGAGCTAGGGAGGAAGGGAAGAGGCGGAGGTGAAGTGGTGGCAAGGGGCGGCGCCGGCCACTTGGGGAAGGCGTGTGCCGCGGCTGACAACACCCCTCTCATGCCTCTCCATCCACCGCCCGCCTCCCCGAGGCCAGTCACCTCCCTCGCTGTCCTCTCCAAGCTGTGCCCCTGGTCCCCGAGCTCCTTTAAGGATCGCTGGTACCCGACGCAGCTCTCGCGTCTAAACGGCACGGCGGGCGCTCCACAGTTGGCACCCCCGTGGCCTCGGGAGCTCAGGAGGAGCTGCTGCCCAAACAGGAGGAGCCCTCGCCAAACCTGGGGGTCAGAAAGGGAACTCACATTTATAGTTCCGGCTGCGAGCCAGGCCTGCTGGCCACTTACTGAGCAGTGTTTTATTTAAGCCTCACCACAGTCCCAGATTGGAATTGCTGTCTTCGGTGAAGACTAGGGCACCGGCGCTGGGAGGTGAAGTCACTTGCCTGCGATGCCTCACCCAGTCCCTAGCTGAGCGGGTTTAAACCCAGGTCTTCAGGATTCCGAGTCCTGCAGGCTTTCCGCTCAGAGCCCGGAGCCCGGCCACCGGTTCTACCACTTGAGTCTCCCATGCGCAAGGCACTAGACCTTTCTGAGCCCCAGTTCCCTCGCCTGTATCATTAAAACGTACTGCCACCTGAGCATGTGTGAAGATTTAGCAAATACCAGAACACACCGTGCAAACTGTAAAGTACAGTTCACATACCATTGGGTGCAGTTTATGTCCCAGGCGTTGGATGTTGGCCAGTGCCCATAGGAATAGGGGCCAGCCTGTCCTCCAGCCCTGGCGTTGCAGGAGGCAGAGGGTCAGGTAATAATTACAAGGAGGAGGGCGGGAGCATAACCCTGCCTGGTGAGGCTCGCATTTTCCTGGAAGGACGGGTTGGTCTCTCAGCTGAGGGCCCAGGACACAGTAGAGCCTGCAGAGAGCAGGGCCCCTGGGCGGGGAGGCAGGTAGGTTAGGGATTAGAGGGGAGACTGGAGGGTGTGTGGCACCAAATATCCTACCAAGGCCGTTGGGCATTATCCTAGAGGCGGTAGCCACGGGGTATTCTGAGCAAGATGATCTGATGTGCTCAAAAAGACCCCGGGGGCAGCAACCTGGAGGAGAGGGAGGTGGGCCACGGGAGCTGCGAGCGGCTGTGGCAGTATGCGCGGTGAGGGGGCCTTGGGAGCAGGGACAGAGAAGAGGGGGCCGACTCGCAAAAATAGGAGGAAAAAATCGACTCCAAAGTCTGTGATCTTAACCACAGATTTACCCTACTTAGCCATCTCCTTCAAAAAATGCAGGATGAACCCTTTTGTTGTAATCCCTACGTCAGGAGAGCCCTGCCCCGAAGTCGTCCTGCCTCGCCCTGGCTGAGCTCTGGGGGCACTGAGACCTCGCCTGCTCTGCTGCTGTTGTGGTCTTTGTGAGTCGTTTTTCTGGGAATGCCTCTGAATGGGAGACAGCACGCACGAAATCCAATCTCTACGAAATCCAATTCCTTAATCTCCTTTGAGGCTAATGCCCTAGCCGTTTCTCCAGCGTTGGGAGAAGGACACTGTTGGCTCCACGGTGGGCGTGGATGACGGCACACCTCGAAAGGCTTGAGAGGTGTTGGCCACCGCTCGCGCCGGGCCTGCTGTCCCCAGAGGGCCCTCTAGCTCTGCCCTTCCGTGGGAGGGGGCCCGCGGTCGGGCCAGAGCACAACTGACCTCTGCCTAGAACTTCCTCCAGAGGCTCTGAAGCCTCCCACACCCTCACATTTCCGAAGAATTATGGCCAGGACTCTCAGCACAAGCTTGCCAGCTTCTCATACCATATACACTCAAAGAAAGGGCCCCCCAAAAAAGTTTCAATACGCTAGTCTTCTAAAGACAGTAGCTTGATGACTATAGGATTTGCAGCCAGCTTCTCTTTCTTTCAGGTAATAAGTCAGATAAAATTCATCCTCCTTACTACTTATTATTAGCCTGGCAAATGAGACTACTAGCCCTTTGTAAGGAAGTATTCAATCAATGCTTTCTCTTTTTTTTTCTTTTTTCTTCCTTTTTTTTTTTAAGAGATGGGGTCTTGCTATGTTGCCCAGACTGAAGTCAAACTTCCTGGGCTTAAGCCATCTTCCCACCTCAGCCTCCCAAGTAGCTGGGACTACAGGCATGCACCACCCAGCCCAGCCAATAATGCCTTCTTTGTTTTCCAGTATTCAGTGAGTTACAGGTATAAAGAGATATCTGATTGCATAATAGATGTTTTTTAAAGTCACTCAAAAAAAAAAAGAAAAGAAAAGAAAAAGAAAAAGTGGTCCAGGCGTGGTGGCTCACGCCTGTAATCCCAGCATTTTGGGAGGCCAAGGTGGGCAGATAGCTTGAGCTCAGGAGTTGGAGATCAGCCTGGGCAACATGGCAAAATCCTGTCTCTACCAAAAAAACACAAAAATACAAAAATAAGCTGGGCATGGTGGCATACACCTGTAGTTCCAGCTACTTGAGAGGCTGAGGCAGGAGGCTCCCTCAAGCCCAGGAGGGGAGGTTGCAGTGAGCCATGATCATGCCACTGCACTCCAGCCTGGGTGATGGGAGTGAAACCCTGTCTCAAAAAAATGGGAAGGAAGGAAGGGAGGGAAGGAGGCAGGGAGGGAGGGAGGGAAAGAAGGGAAGGGAAGGGAGGAAGGGAAGGAGGGAGCAAAGAAAGGAAATACTTGATTTTAAATTCTTTTTCTGTTAAATCAAATTAATCTAAAGGTAATAGAGGATTTACTATTTAAGGGAACCATAGAGTGCTTATTCTGTGAAATAACAAAACCCAGCATGGGCGTGCCTGTTTTCATCTGCGTGCCCTCAGATCCAGTCTTGCCCCTCTGCTACTCTGATGTGAGTGGAAGTGTGGGTTTCCAGGCCGCTGGGTTTGCTGATTGGGTTTGGCCAGTGGAGGTGCCGTCAGGAGATGGGAGTGGACCCAGAAGGAAGAAACCAGGTTATTTCTTACTCTCTCTGCTGCAGGCGGCTTCTCTGGCAGTGGCTGGGTCTCTGTGAGGAGTGGATTTCTGAGGTTCCAGCCATCACTGGATGGACTACTCCTCCTGGTAGCTTTTCGTCCTCCACTGCCTCGTATCAAGGGTGGTGGTGCCTTCCTGTGCTTGCAGATCTCCGGGTTGCTTCACTGTGGCTGATTCCCTGCATTGCAACCCTGGATTGTAAATGCTGGCACAAGGCCCAGGGCCCCATCGTCTCATTCCTCTGCAGAGGCCCAAATACTGTCCTAGGGAGCTGCGTGCAGCAGTGGTGTGATGAGTAATGTTTGTGTGGCTGTGTTCACAACCTCTTTGTCCAAGAACGGTGTGGTATGGTGACAAGACCTGAGGCTTTGACACCAGGTAAATCTGGGTTCAAATCCTGCCCAAGTCATTTGCTGTCTGTGTGGCCTTGGGTAAGGTATTGTTATCAAGTCATCATCATCATTTAACACCAGTGAAATAATCTTCAGAATCATCATCATTATTTAACACCAGTGAAATAATCTTCAAAACTCTTAAAATATGAGCAAACCAGATTTTTCACTCAGATTCCAAACTCTCACTCAGAGAGTTAGAAATCTATTCTGTGTCTATACAGTTATATAAAGAGAAATGAATTCTTTTTTTACTTGGTTTGACTCATAGACAAAAAAAAAAATGTGACTTACTCAGGACTATACTTCACTCTATACTCCCAGGCAGAATTATATGCAGAATTTCTATACCTTTAATACATTGTCCAAACCCAGGCATATGTGTATCTTCCAGTTTTTCCCCTTATTTTAACAGAAAGGCACATTTAAAATATGAAAGCATTCCTGGTTGAAGTCATGAGAAATCATGAAATCATACTCTTTGAAAAGAATGGAAAGAAGAGGGAATTTTTCAGAGTGAGTGGCTTTTTGGGCACTGCAAGAAAGTTAACCTTAAAAAGAGACAACCTAATAATGCCTGATCCCCCCGCCTCCCCACCACCCGCCAAGGTTGAAGCTGGAGTCTGCATCCAACACTGGGGTCTGTGGGGACCTCCCAGCTCTCTTTGCAAGGGTGATTGCCAAAATGCCACATGGGACCTGAAAAAGGCTTCATGTCCAGATTGGCAGCTGTGCATGGCATTGGTGGTGACAATGACAATAACTTAAGAGGCTCTTAAACCTTGAGGTCATTAAAATCTCCTGGTGAGACTGTTAAAAATGCAAATTATCTGGCCACATCCCCAGGGATCTGATTTAAGAGATATGAGCCCAGAAAGCTGTATTATTATTATTATTATTATTATTATTATTATTATTATTATTTTGAGGTGGAATCTTGTTCTGTTGCCCAGGCTAAAGTGCAGTGGAACGATCTTGGCTCACTGCAACCTCCGCCTCCTGGACTCAAGCGACTCTTCTGCCTCAGCCTCCTGAGTAGCTGAGATTACAGGTATCCGCCACCACGCCCAGCTAATTTTTTGTATTTTCAGTAGAGACAGGGTTTCGCCATGTTGGCCAGGCTGGTCTCAAACTCCTGACCTCAAATGATCCGCACGCCTCAGAGTCCCAAAGTGCTGGGATTACAGGTGTGAGCCACTACGCCCGGCCGGAAGGCTGTATTTTTAACAAATACTTTTGATGCAAGTAATTATCTTACTTCCCATTGAAAAACACTGTGTTAGTGTTTCTTTTTTCTCTCTTCCTTCTTTTTTTTTTTTTTTTTTTTTTAAAAAGACAAGGTTTTGCTTGGTCACCCAGGCTGGAGCAGAGTGTGCAATCATAGCTCACTGCAGACTCCAAATCCTGGGCTCCAGTGATCCTCCCACCTCAGCTTGCCAAGTAGCTGAGACCACAGACACATGTGTTAGTGTTTCTACACAGGTCCAAGTGTCACATGGCTTGTCATGTGCGTTCTTCCTATTTCTGTTCAAAACTCCTTCCAATACTGTGCGGGATGACCCACCTCTATGCATGTGAGATGCTGGGTGATGGATATTTGCTCACTTAAATCTGAACTAGAGAGTCCCAACCTAAGGTGTGCTCTAGAGTCTGCTGGGAGAACAGGGGAGTCTCCCTGTGACATGAGAACCAGAGGAAGTAGAGAGGTGAAGGTGTAAGGAGGCCCTTTCCCTCCTGACCAGTGGTTCTTCATGGGGGTGGAAGCACCCACAGGGAGCATTCTAGACGTATATTGGGGTGTTTTCTCTTGTCATAACAACTGGATTGGAGGGCACTACTGGCATTTAAGTGAGGGAAGGGGAATAGTCAGGGGGGCTAGATATCTTGCAGTGTGCCCAGAGAAGGGTCGTCCTAGGCGGGATGAGGTGACTCACACTTGTAATCCTAGCACTTTGCGTGGCTGAGGTGGTGGATCACTTGAGTCCAGGAGTTTGAGACCAGCCTGGCCAACATGATGAAACCCTGTCTCTACTAAAAATACAAAAATTAGCCTGTCATGGTGGCATGTGCCCGTAATTCCAGCTACTCGGGAGGCTGAGGTGGGAGAGTCGCTTGAACCGAGGAGGCAGAGGTTGCAGTGAGCTGAGATCTCGCCACTGTACTCCAGCCTGGGTGATGGAGTGAGACTCCATCTCAGAAAAAGAAAAAAAAAAAGAGTCATCTCTCCTGCTACAGGACTTCCAAGTAAGAGTCCTCTGAAACATTCACGTGGGTAAAAAAATCTGTTTATCATTATCTAAGGCTAGAAGTACATGTTTTACACATAAACACAATACTTTTACATATAAAGCAGTATTTTTTAAGTTTTTAAAATATTTTTTAAAAGTTAATATAACTATTAATTGACAAATCATAATTATCATAATTACATTGACAGAGTACACCGTGTTGTTTTGATATATGTATACTAAAGCAGTATGTTTTTAGGGTTGTTTTACCATCAACTGAATTTTTTTTTAGGAATGAAACCACAGTAGAAATCAAGACTGGGCTGGGCACAGTGGCTCACGCCTATAATCCCAGCACTTTGGGAGGCCGAGGGCAGTGGATCATTTGAGGTCAGGAGTTTGAGACCAGCCTGCCTAACATAGCGAAACCCCATCTCTACTGAAAATACAACAAATTAGCCGGATGTGGTGGCACATGCCTGTAATTCCAGCTACTCGGGAGGGTGAGGCAGGAGAATCACTTGAACCCAGGAGGTGGAGGTTGCAGTGAGCCGAGATCGCACCACTGCACTGGGTGAGAAAGGGAGAGTCTGTTTCAAAACAACACAAAGAAAATAAAAATAAAATAAAGACTGCATTTTATTTGGAGATTTTCAATGCATTTTTTATCTTTGATCATTGCATTGAGGGAGTGCCACTCAAGGGACTGGAGTCATGAATAGAACCCACCTGTATTTGTCCGTGTTTTAGCAGTTGCTTCTATGTAGAGCATCTGACTACTTCATTATATATTTTGTAGTATATATGTACCTAAGCTTTATATATTGAAATAGATATTATTTTGTTATAAGTTGGTTTCTTATTATTTCTTTTTTGTATTACCATTAGAGAAGTATATCAGTTTTTAAAAATATACGGTTAGGGGAGTGACAACCACAAGTAGTGATTCTCATTTCAAGAAATTAAATGGCTACAAAACTGGTGTCCAGAATATATAAAGAACCCTTGCAACTCAGCAATAAAAAGACAAGTAACACAATTTTAAAATGTTCAAAGGATTTGAATAGACATTTCTTCAAAGAAGATATATAAATCACCAATGAGCATATGAAAATGTACTCAACTTCATTGGTCATTAGAGAAATGCAAATAGAAGTCACACCCATTAGGATGGCTAAAATAAAAAAAGATGAACAATAACAAATGTTGGCAAGTATGTGGAAAAATTAGAACCCTCATACACTGTGGATGGGAATGTAAAATGGTGCAGACACTTTGGAAAGTTGGCTATTCCTCAGAGATTTACCATATGACACAGCAATTCTACTCTTAGGTGTATACCCAAGACAATTAAAAAGATATATACAGGCCGGGCGCGGTGGCTCAGGCCTGTGGTCCCAGCACTTTGGGAGGCCGAGGCGGGTGGATCGCGGGGTCAGAAGATCGAGGCCGTCCTGGCTGATACGGTGGAACCCCGTCTCTACTAAGAGTACGAAAAATTAGCCGGGCGTGGTGGGGGGCGCCTGTGGTCCCAGCTACTTGGGAGGCTGAGGCAGGAGAATGGCGTGAACCTGGCGGGCGGAGCTTGCAGTGAGCCGGGATTGCGCCACTGCACTCCACCCTGGGCGACGGAGCGAGACTCCGTCTCAAAAAAAAAAAAAAAAAGATATATACACAGAAAAACTTGTACATAGATGTTCATAGTAGTATTCCAATACACATGCCCATCAGTAGATGAATGGATAAGCAAAACGTGGTATATTAATAAATGAAATATTATCCAGCCACAAAAAGCAATGAAGTACTGATACATGATCCAATATGGATGGACCTTGAAAACTATACTAAATGAAAGAAACCAGCCACAAAAGGCCACATAGTACATGATTACATTTGTATAAAATGTCCAGAATTAGCAATTCCATAAAGACAGAAAGTAGATTAGTAGTTGCCAAGGGCTGAGGGAAGGAGGAATGGGAGTGACTGCTGCTAATGGGTACAGGGTTTCTTTTTGGGGTGAGAAAAGTGTTCTGGAATTACATAATGATGATAGTTGTATAACTTTGTGAATATACTAAGACACACTGAATTGTATCTTTTAAAAAGTTAAATTTTATGGTACGTGAATGATACCTCATTAAAATAGTTACATGAGAAAAAAAGGCAAAATACAGGGTATAATTCAAGAATTTTAATTTTTAAATATAAAGTATTTATAGCCAAATTTGATTTACTTTTAAAATATGTCTTATTAAATAGTTTAATAAAAGCAAAACTGTTCTAGCAAAAAAAAAAAAGAAATTAAATGGCATTTGTAAAAAAAAAAAAAAAAAAAGCAGGTGGGGCTCTGGGGCTGGCAGGGTTGAGAAAGAGACAGCTCCTGCCCCGAGAGAGCCGCGATGTCCCGGAGGGTGCCCCCTTGTGGTGGCTTTTGGGATGGCACCCTTCCCCACTGGGATAAAATAGAATCTATTATGGAATGGTCAGCCCCACGGTGATGGGTGTATGTATAATTTAAAACAGCCTCCAGGTGGTTCTAAGAATCTTCTTTCATCAGAGGAGGCAGAATTCCCTTATACAACCTTTTGGCATGTTTGCTACATGTTTGCAACCTTTTGGCATATTGCCTTGAAATTGAACATTTGAACTCTTTTTCTCTTAAAACATAACTGCTAAACTTTCAAAAATTATCCTGGGATTCTAAGCTTGTTGCACAGGAAAAATACGTTGTTATGTAAGGAAAACTAATCAAAGTTCTCTACCTTTCCTGGTCAGCAGCATGTGTTTCCAAAAAATTTAAGAGAAATTAATGGGTTAATTGAGAACATTCTACATCTCACCATGTTTGCTCTTATCATAATTCACCATTGCTGATTTCTCTACCTACAGAGTTGCTGAACCTGGCTTGATTTTCCCATAGAACTGAAGCCTGAGGAACTTATATTTGTTTTGTCTGAGTTTCTTTCTCGGGAAACCAACCATCAGGGCTCCCAGATAGTATCAGGGAACTGAAACTTTTCAGATGATGGCATCCAGTCATGAGATGCACCTGCTGCCTGTTGACCAATTCCTCTTCTTTACCTCTCTCTAACCCCCTGCTATATAAACCCCTAACTTTAGATAGTTAGGGAGATAGATTTGAGACTGGTCTCCCATGTCCCAGCTGATGTCACCTGCATTAAAGCCTTTCTTCCCCAGCAATACTCATCATCTCAGTGATTGGCTTTCTCTACAGTGACAACTGGACCTGGCCCGAACCCCTGGCATCTGGCAACATTATTACCTGTCGAAACAGAAGTAGAGATTTGAAATAGAGGATGCCTGTTCCCATTTCCTCCTGCTGTCTGGAAGGAAGTCTGGCTTTCCAGCCCAACTCTAAGCTCATCTTTACATACAAAATAAGGGTATGTTTACATGGAAAGCAAAAATAGAACCATGGATTTACAGAAGGTTCCATAGCAGCAAATAACAGTGCTTATGAAATAAACATTTTAAATATTATTCCTGTGTAAAATTATTGTCAGGCATACTTTACCAATGAAGAGATAGAACAATGTGGGTTCTATGCCTGGACACAATGATTTGTTTAGTGACCTTGCACAAAATAGGCTCAGTCTTCCTGGGCCTTAGAGGCCTTGTCTATAAAATTAAGGAGTGGAATTTAAATAAGCTTTAATATTATTCCCAGCTTTATGAATCTGAGTAAGGTTGACTTAAAAGTGTTATTTTTATTACTTTTTACATTACTTTTTTTTTGAAATGGAGTTTCGCTCTTGTCGCCCGGGCTGGAGTGCAGTGTCATGATATTGGCCCATTGCATCCTCCGCCCCCTAGGTTCAAGTGATTCTCCTGCCTCAGCCTCCTGAGTAGCTGGGATTACAGGTGCGCGCCACCATGCCTGGCTAATTTTTTGTATTTTTAGTAGAGACAGGGTTTCTCCACGTTGGCCAGGCTGGTCTCAAACTCCTGACCTCAGGTGATCCACCCCCCCTCAGCCTCCCAAAGTGCTGGGATTACAGGCGTGAGCCACTGTGCCCCACCCTTTTTACATTACTTTTAATGGCAAAAACCACAATTGCTTTTGCACCAACCTAATAATTCTCAGTATGGCATTATTCACAACAAACTTTAGGTCGCCTGTGTTCAGCCATTTTTGTGTCACCATAAAGAAATAACCTGAGGCTGGGTAATTTATAAAGATAAGAGGTTTAATTGGCTTATGGTTCTGCAGGCTACGCCAGCCTGGCTCCGGCATCTGCTTCTGGTGAGGGCCTCAGGGAGCTTCCAATAACGCTTTAAGGTGACAGGGAGCAGGCGCCACGTGGTGAGCGTGGGAACAAGAGTTGGGGGAGGTGCCACACACTTCTAAATAACCAGATCTCGTGTGAACTCAGAGCGAGAACTCACTCATCACTGAGGGAATGGTGCTAAGCCACGCATGAAGAATCCCCCCCCATGATCCAAACACCCCCCCCCAGGCCCACTTCCAACACTGGAGGTCACCATTTAATGTGACATTTGGAGGGGACGAAACATCTAAACCATATCATCACCTCTGTTCATTCTCAGACAAAATATACTCAAAGGATGTTAACTAATCTTAATAGAATAGCATAATTAGGAAGGTTAATATGATGGAATTAATATAACAGATGTTGGTGAGCCAAAAAAGCAAACTCAGTTGCCTCCCACTCTACCCTCACAACACAATTCTGATGCCAAATGTGCAGGGATTTTTCCCCAGCAAACAAGCAATTAATTCTGCAGTGGACATCAGCTGGGTGTCCTCTAGTTCAATTCAATTCTGACACTGTCCACCTAGAGATGGCCTCAGATTACAGAGGTTGAGGCCCCAGCCCCATAAGGCCACCCACCATACTTCTGATGCTCATCAAAAGCCCCAGGCTGTGACCTGTGCTTCCAATCTGGCTATGAATCAGAATTCCCATGACCCTGTTCTTGGGTTTGATTGATTTGCTGGAGCAGCTCACAGAACCCAGGGAAACATGTTTACTGTTATAAAGGATATTATAAAGGACACAGAAGAAAAGATGCATAGGGTGAAGTATGGGGAAAGCGACATGGAGCTTCCATGGGCATACCAGCCTCCAGGAACCTCCACGAGTTCAGCGATCCAGAAGCTCCCTGAACCCAGTCCTTTTGGGTTTTTATGGAGGCTTCATTAAGTAGGCATGAGTGATTAAACCATTGGCCATTGCTGATCAACTTAACCTTCAGCCCTTCCCCGCTCCCCGGAGATTGGGAGGTGGGGTTGAAAGTCCCAACTCCATAATCCTGTCTTGGTTTTTCCAGTGACAGCCCCCATCCTGAAGCTACAGAAAGGCATTTATCACTTTGAAGAGTCCAAGGATTTTAGGAGCTATATACCAGGAGAGGGGGAGGAAAACCAAATACATGTTTCACAATATCCCAGTTAGTTCTACATATTCCTGATGACCTTATTGGGGTAGAATGTTGAGTGTTAGCCATGGTTTTGTGTTTTTCAATACTGTGGATTTGGAATAAGTAAATTTTGTATTCCCTCCTTTAAATATTGCCCACAGAGCAGTCAGAACACACACAACATTGATCAATTAAGTCTGTCATCTCATATGAGTGCACCCCAAAACAATGACAATAGTAATATCAAAGATCACTGATCAAAGATCACCATGACAGATAATGGTCATAATAGTCAGGATAAATTGTGAAGTATTGTGAGAATTACCACAATGGGACACAGTGACACATGCTGTTGGAAAAGTAGTGCCAGTAGACGCACTCGATGCTGGGTTGCCACAAAGCCTCAATTTGTAAAAAACACAATATCTACAAAGTGCGATAAAACAAAGCACAATAAAATGAGGTATGCCTGTAAATAAAGAAAAAATTATATATATATAATAACATATAAAATATAATATATATGATATAATACATATGTGTATATATAATATATCTCACAGGATCTAAGAATCTGAGAGCAGAAAGAGCCCTTAGATCCTGGGTGTGGTGGCCCATGCCTGTAATCCCAGCGCTTTGGGAGGCTGAGGCAGGAGAATTGCTTGAGCCCAGGAGTTCAAGACCACCCTGGGCAACATGGCAAGACCCCATCATCCCCCCCCAACCAAAAAAAAAAAAAAAAATTAGCAGGTCATGGTGGCATGTGCCAGTAGTTCCAGCTGCTAAGGAGGCTGAGGTGGGAGGATTGCTTGAGCCTGGGAGTTTGAGGCTGCAGTGAGCCATGATTGCACCACTGCATTCCAGCCAGGATCATAGAGCAAGATCCCATCTAAAGAAAAAGAAAGAGGGCTTAGAAAGCATTTGCTGTCCCCTCCTTCATCAACACCTATCTTTAGGAAGTCCCCTGACTGGTATCTTCTTGTTATTATTCTTGTTCTGAAGGCTTCCTACCTTCTGTAATTAGGGTGGTCATATAGTTTATCATACAGATCATAGAACATTTGAGAGTGAAAGGAGATAGTCAGTAATTACAGGGGACAACAGGTGTGAACTGGCCCAGGCCGGGCAGCTCAGCCTGCATGGTCAGCCATGACTAACGCACATTCCCACAGGTAAGAACATCTCCAAATTGAATCCAACTGGGATAGAAAATGAAGAATCCTGTTCATCTGCTCACCCGTGTATACACTCATTCATTTGAAGATTCTTTATTGAACACCTTCAAAAATGCTAGGCCATGTATAGATATTGGGAACAGCAGGGATGAAAAAAACATGGTACCTGCCTTGATGGGGCACATAATCTCATACAGGAAATGTCACAAGAAAGAGAAAAGCTGTGGCTGACATTTGGAGCTGGCCCCCATGGTCACCCAGGCGTTTGTGTTCCTAGGACCTCACCTGGCCCTCTGAGCGAGGCCCTGTGTTCTCCTGCTCAGTATAAACCATTTCACAGAACCTTAGCCTCGCAAAAGGGCACTCTAAGATCGTGATGGATCAAGACAAAAACAAGACCATAAATCTTTCTGTTGTGCAAAGCCACTTTTAAATGCAAAAAACATGGGCTTTTAGCTCACGTTGGATCACAGATATTACACAAATTATATTTTGAATATCGTATACTTATATGTTTTATTCTTACTAGAACTGTAGAAACACTGTCCCAAACTAACTCATCTATTTTTGTTTTGCTTCTTGATATTCATGTATTTTACAAACACTCTTCCTTCAGCTTACTAAAGAGTAAGGAAGAATTAGAAGAAAAAGGAACGGTGGGTTGGCTAGTAGAGGGAAATTGCATGAGTAAGAAAGGATGTGATAGGGTTTCTTGGCCATCTATGCATCTTTGAACACTACTGTCTGTCTCCTTTCTGCATTCAAAAGCCAGTTCTGGTCAGTTCCTGGTCCAAAGGAAAGCATAGCCTCTCAGAGCTCCAGTGCCTCTGCCTACTTGGTCATGGACACCACATCCTTACCTTACCTTGTATTTGCATTGAGCCTTGCCGAATTCTGTATGTCGTGGCCCACTGGAACGCTGTGCTCAGGGGCCACATGAATGCAGTGTGCAAATCAGATGGCAAGGAACAGCAGACATGTATCTTGCATGTGTCTGCTCTGTTCATCCATACACTCCATTGTCCCACTGGATTTCTTTTAAGAAACGCAGGTTCAGAGATCAATGGGCTAAGAATTTCAAGTTTAGTGCAACAGCAGAGTATTAAACTAAGGATGAAACTCTTCCTTTTTTTTTTTTTTCTTCAAGACAGAGTTTTGCTCTTTTACCCAGGCTGGAGTGCAGTGGCATGATCTCGGCTCACTGCAATCTCTGCCTTCCAGTTTCAAGCAGATTCTCCTGCCTCAGCCTCCCAAAAGCTGGGATTACAGGTGCCTGCCACCACACCCAGCTAATTTTTGTATTTTTAGTAGAGACGGATTTTCACCATGTTGGCCAGGCTGGTCTTGAACTCCTGACCTCATGATCTGTCTGCCTCAGCCTCCCAAAGTGCTGGGATTACAGGCATGAGCCACGGCACCTGCCCTAGGATGAAACTCTTCTAAGCACAGATCCTGTGAGATCATGCAGGTCATATTCCCCGGGAAGTTAGCCCAGCAGTACAGATGTGCGTGGTAAGAGGCGCAGAGGAAAGCAGTGTGGAGTCTGCGCTGCAGTCTTCTCCCTGGAGAGAGAGCACAGTGCCAAGAGCTTGGGCTCTGGGGCAGACCCCAGCATCGCCAGCTGTGTGTCCTTGGATAAGTGACTTTCTCCATGCCTCAGTTTTCTTGTTTGTGAAAGGGAGCTTATAACAGTTCTTAACTCATAAGTTATAGTGAGGATTAAAATTTAATAAATAAACATTTAGAGTCCCGTCACCTGGCATCTAGCACCACCTGAATAAGGATGAGCTATTATTAGTGGAGATGAATGTGTGAGGCCATCATTGCTTCACAACACCAGCGCCTCTGAGCCGTGCACAGCCAACATCCTGACAATAATTTAGCTTCCCGTATAAATCTGCTTACAGGCAAACAATGTGCTTGATAGTTCCATTTCTCATCGGAAAATAAATAGGTTTTCTGTTTTGCAAATTTCGAAGACAAGAACAAAAACCTACAAGGGAAGTAATTAGGTTTGGCAAGGCTTTATGGTGAAGGTAGCAAATGAGCCTTGTCAATGCGGTAATGGGTCCTAAGGTGGGGAAGGCAGATATTATTTTTCTCTCAGTGCTGCGGATGAAGAAACCAAGACACAAGGCAAATAAGCCACTCACCCCACACCATAACACTGTTAAGTGGCAGGGCCGGGCTTTGAACTCCGAAGTGCCTGGCGGTGCACACACTCCTGCCCCACTGGGTGCTGCCTCCTCTCATACACTCTCTACTCCCTGCGGGCACCAGGCCACCATCAGAGCTGGGGTCTTTCCGAAGAGTGAGACGGGCCGACTTTGCAGGATGCACAGAGGAAAGAGATGCCAGAGAAGTGGCTGGAAGGAAAGAGCTAAGGGTCCTCAGACAACAGTCAGACATGCTGAGATGTCTTGCTTCCTCATGGAAAGTTCCCACTAGATGTCTGCCCTGGGGTTCTCAGAGCCAGGAGCAGCTCTGGAATTTCCATTTGCAAGTGAGATGATGGTGGAGAGAAGGTTTTATGCTCATCAAGAATCGGAGGCCTTTGGGAGTGCATGGAGCCCATAGGACGAAAGAGTTCCACTCAAACGAGTTCTATACAAGTTAAAAATGGAAAAGATGAGGAAGAAATTTTTTAATTAAAACATTAAATAGGGCGGTGAGTGTGGAGGAGCACAACCCCCATGCGCTGATCCAGGAAGAGGCTGGCTTTGAGCTCCTGATTAATTAGCTGATTTTTGATCCCTCCAGAAGTTTAAATTCGGTCCTGGGGGAGTGTTCTGAGAAGACTGATGAAAGGGGGCAAGCGGTTCGATTCTTTGAGACTTTGGGAAAACAAAACCCATTAAGGCTCAAGGAAACCTGCTTGTGACATTTCAGCTGCCATTGAACAACACGACCTTGCGTGGCCCAGCGTCCCTTTGTGCTACGTGAGGAAACACGCAGTGGCCAAGCGTCAGCAGCCCAAGTACGTGCTTGGGTTGTGCTTATGTGCGGTGCGGTGAAGAAGAAGCACGGCCTGTGGCTGTCTCAGACGCTGATTTGAGTGCAGGCAGTGTGATTGGATCAAATGCTGATTTAACAAGGTGCTTTAGAAGGCCCTTAACAATAGTAATAGCATTGCAGATGCAAAAGTGATGTCATCGGGATTCATGATGTTTTTGATGGTGTGTGTGTGTGTGTGTGTGTGTGAAATTGACTTGGCTTATTAGGTCATAGATGGAAACATTTTCAGCTGCTTATCTCCCGTGGCAGTTTCTCCACATTACTGAGTGGGGAAAGACTTGCCACAATCCCCCTATTCCTGTTTGTCTGTCTTGAAGGCCAGTGGGGTCTCCCAGGAGCTATGTTCTGATCGAGACTCTGATCCAAGCAGGGAGAAGAGGGAAGGCCAGGAGCATGAGCCTGAAATTCTAACAGGAAGTGTCTTCTAGAAGGCAGAGGAACAGGCAGATGCTTAGAGATGAGAAGCCTCCTTGTCTGCACTGCTTTTCTGCTCCTTTAAATTGATATTGGGCTCCAAAGGTTCATCTTTGAACTCCCTCTCCTTCCCCTTCCCCAAAGACTTCTGAGCCATCTGTCTTGAGACTCCACCTTTGTTGAGCATCTACTGCATGCCGGGTACAGCCAGCACCCATCCCTGTCATTGTGCCCCTTCCTTAGCCCCTCAGATCTACCCCACACACCCACCCAAGCTCTCCTAAGTCCTCAGTGATGACCAACTTCCAATTTGCTGTCCTTGCATGTGTGGCTGGCGTCACCGCACAGCTTGGGAGGGAGAAGCCCCAACCGGGGCCTTTGCCGTAGGAACCAGCACATTCCCACGTTTCTCCTGCACGAATAACCACAGCGTGTGCAGATTTCAGGATAAGTCTCACAGCAGCACTTCCAGTTGCTGAGAAATTTCTTGAATAAAGGAGAAATATATGTATTTATTTTTGCTGTGCAAAAGTATCAATGTTTCCCTCCAAATATTCAACCTGAGTGTTTACTTTTATAATTTTTAAATTTAAGGACAGAATATACCACATCAGTTGCTGTTAAGTACGCTGCAAATCTCAAATGAGGGGGGAAATAGAAAAAAGACACATCCATGTTTTCACTCCTGATTTCACAATGTTCATATGACCTTTGTTGCTGTCAGACAGCTCGTGAATTCAGTGAAATATAAACATCTTGATAATGGTTAATTTGGTCGGGAACTAACTAGAAGGCCAACTTGAATGTACAAAATGCCCATTTTTTTTTTCCAATTTAAGAAATGCAGCCTTTTATGTACAGTAATAATAGGAACTAAGCAGCAGATGTTCATTGCTGATTTAGGAATTGAGACCCTGACGCCACAGTCTACAAAAGACGCTGGGCCAGAACAGTGCCGTCATAGCCAGGGTACGCAGGGCCCTTTTCATTGGGTACTGCATTTACTTAGGCCACAAGAGACGGAGTGACCCTACCTTCAAGAACAGGCTGTGAGAACAAAGAAAGACACAGAAGCTTGCCAAGGAGAGAGCTGAGCTTTGCAAGTGACCTGACCTTAAAGTTGCTGAAGCTGTTCAGAAATCTTCTTTGAAGAAATACAGCTCAGAGAAGAGTTACTAGCTCAAGGTGAGTGTGAGAAGGACATGGAGCATCTGATGACAGGGAGTGCTGGGTGTGGACAGTTACTGCGAGTGTCCAGTGGTCCAATGCTCCTGAGTAAACTCCCAACAATTATCAGAAAATTGTAAGCACTCAGAGCTCTGCTAAAGATGTGGAATGATAAACAAATGCCAACACAATAAAATCTCAGTTAAAAATATTAGTGAAATAGGCCAGGCACGGTGGCTCACATCTGTAATCCCAGCATTTTGGGAGGCCAAGGTGGGCAGATCACCTGAGGTCAGGAGTTTGAGACCAGCCTGGCCAACATGGCGAAACCCTGTCTCTACTAAAAATACAAAAAGTAGCCGGGTGTGGTGACCAAGGCCTGTAATCCCAGCTACTCCGGAGGCTGAGGCAGGAGAATCACTTGAATCCAGGAGGTGGAGATTGCAGTGAGCCGAAATAACGTCACTGCACTTTAGCCTGGGCGACAGAGCAAGACTGTCTCAAAAAAAAAAAAAATTATTGAAATACTCAGCTAAGAAGTTGAGCAGCTCTGGGGAAATAAGAGCAAATATGTTTGTTCTGGACTGTCCTGCACTGAAATCTATCAAAGGCAATGTTTAATTCATGTAGATCCATTTGTTTGTTTTATTTCTTTTTCCCAGTGAAAAGTATATTTTGATAGCAAGCTTTTCATTTTATAAGTACACTATGAGTTACCCAAAATATCATGGATTTCATTTCTTCCGAAAAACATGCAATTAAAATGCACATATAACATAATATCACTTACGTTAAAAATACCCAGTGCTCAGTTTTGAAAAATAGGCGAAAAAGTGTAGGAGAAAGCTGAAGAATGCACATTTTTAAAGCTAGTACATTTTGCTACGAATCAGAAAATTGGATGGAAACTTGAATGTGTTTGTAAAAACTGAGCATTAAAATCTTTGAGTGATTAAAAAAAAAAATGGAGACAATCTTAGTTCTGTTCCCGGTAAGCCAAGAATGACCTTCGAATGTTCTTTTCTGGGACCAGATTGACCTCAGCCGAAATCTCAACAAACCTCATTTGACTCCTCCACTCATTAGCAGAGTAAGTCTGGGCAAGTGGCAGCTCTGTGTGGCTTCCCTTACAGCATGGCAATAATAGTAATAAAATACTCACCAGAGAATTGCTGAGAGGATTAAAGGAGGTATTGCATGTAGTATTCTTCGCACATTGGAAACACGTAGCAAATTTCCCATTGATTAGCTCTGAGACCTTTGGGCATGTCATTTAACCTAACTGCGTTTCCATTCTCTCCAATTCTAAATTCTCTTTCCAAACAGCCTTCAAAGATTATAGAGAACTGTAATTAGCATATCAAGTACCAGCCTAATTCATGCCAGCTCCTGCTGTCCCTGCAATCGTGAGGCTGATATGCAAATGTCCAAGTCCCTGAATAAAGCCACCTCGCTCAACTAAGAAAACAGTGTCCCTGGTCTTGCTGACACTCTACATTTCCTTAGCAAACCTCTGTGCACTGAGAACACATAAGTACACTTCTCAGCAGCCCCGAAGGAACCAATAAGGTTGACACAATGCAGTTTGAATTTCCAGTGCTTTTCTTTGCATTCTGTGATGGGAACCGAAATGACCCTACACATGAGTAGTATCTCACCTTTCTGTAAGATGTGTGTGTTCTTTGGGAGTAAGGCAGTGGAAACTAATTCTTCTATTTGAATGGACCATTGCAACTAGCCACCATAGCCATTGAAAGCTTTTTTTTTTTTTTTTGAGATGGAATTTTGCTCTTTTACCCAGGCTGGAGTGCAATGGCGTGATCTCAGCTCACTGCAGCCTCCAACCTCCACCTCCCAGGTTCAAGTGATTCTCCTGCCTCAGCCTCCCGAGTAGCTGGGATTACAGGCAAGTGCCACCACACCCGGCTAATTTTGAATTTTTAGTAGAGACAGGGTTTCATCATGTTGGTCAGGCTGGTCTCGAACTCCTGACCCCAGGTGAGCCACCCACCTTGGCCTCCCAAAGTGCTGGGATTATAGGCGTGAGCCACCGCGCCCGGCCCATTTAAAGGTTTTTTAAACTGAAAGGGAATTTTAAGTGTCCTGAAATCACCATTAAGATGTGTATATGTGTGTGTGCGTGCGAGGCCAACGGGAATCTACAGTCAGGAAGGGCTGATTGCCTGGGTTTTAGGATCTGCTAGCCAACTCCCCTTGCCACCCAAACATCTGCACCAGCCCTAGTTAAAGCTCATTCATCCAGCAAATACATTTTGCCAAACACAGAGAACACAAAGATGACTAATCATTGCTTTGGCCCTCAAAGAGTCTCATTAAGGAGCCAGTCTAGAAGCAAGGATAACAGTATCGTGCTGCGTCGGAGGAGTTGGAGCTGCCCTGGGGCACAGAGGAAAGAGAAAGCAGTTTTCCCCTGAGGAAGACGGGAGGGGCTGGTGAGGAATGATCTAGTAAGGAGTGGCCATTTTTTTCCTTCTTAAAATGTGTGTTCCTCCAATTATGAGGGCTTCTTCCCTGCTTCTCATCCTAAAGAAAGATGCTAGCTCTTGCCATCTGTCAAGTTTTCAGGCCTCCTGTCTGGGGACAGGACATTGTCCCCGAGCTAAACGTGTCAGCAGGAGATCAGCTTGGCTAACAACTGCAAGCAAATCTGAGTCCTGCTGACTTGCTCGGGCACGTTCGCTGTGAGGAGTGCTCATGTTCACCTCCTCATTAAACTCCTTCTGGACGGGGAACCAGGCCAGCCAACAGTGTAGGGTTATCGCAGGGCCAGTGGAGCCACAGTTGGGCCTGTTGTCTGAACAAAGCTCCACAGTCCACAGTGGAAACAGTGGGAGGCTTTTCACCGGGTCACTGTCTAAGCCCCTCTCAAGGGGATCATTTATTTATTGAAGAGAGGCCACTTTGAGCCAAGAAGAATATGGAAAACTGGCATGTGGATATGTCCCCACAGGATTAACAAAAATTGCGTGCTGGGTTCTGGACAGAAATATACTTATAATCAGCATCAGGCAGGCTGCACTCCGGCCCACTGCCTTATTGCTGAAAGTCATGAAGCCGTAGACCCTGACCCATAGGTCTCCCTATTGTTTCTGAGATTTCTGACACAGGGTCAGAAGACTGTGTGAGAATTAATTTGCCTCCCCATTGTTCTTATAGACATGATCGCTGACATTAGAAGCATGAGGACTTTGTTTAACTTAAGATGTTTTTCAGACCCTGAGTTCCAGCACCCAGTTTGAAGACCCCACAGAGGAAGGGATCAGCCTGAAAACACAGCTACTTCCTCTCCCTGTCCGACGACTTCACCCTGCACTATCCCACCAACGAGCTCCATGTCTTGGCCCACTCCAAACCCTTAAAAACCCTGGCCCCAAACTCCTTGGGGAGGTGGATTTGAGGTTCCCTCCCATCTCCTTGTTCAGTGACCCTATGATTCAACCTCTTTCTCTGCTGCAACCTGGTGGTCTTAGCGGATTGACGTGCTGTGTGCATCGCGCAAGGAGCCTGTTCTGGTTACACCCTTCACTCCTGTACAACCCAACCCAAGCTCAGTCTTTAGAGGAATCCAACAAGCACTATGTGAGCTTCAGTGTCCCGAGTACAGAGGTTCTTAAATGTCATGCATGTCAGCATCACCTGGATCTCACACTGTGGGGTCCCACCTACAGAGTTTCCTATTCAGTTGTTCGATCGTGACCAGAGAATTTGCGTTTCTAGCAAGTTCCCAGGTAAGACCACTGCTGAGGAGAACATTGAGACATCTGCTGCCTCAGAGCTTGCCTCATTGTCCTTGCCTGAGAAAACTTTCAGACAATTTGTATATGAGATTAGTACAATCTTATATTCAAAGGAAAAGGCCCCTGTTAGAATAATACAATTTGTGGCTGGGCGTGGTGGCTCATGCCTGTAATCTCGGCACTTTGGGAGGCTGAGACGGGTGGATCAACTGAGGTCAGGAGTTCAAGACCAGCCTGGGCAACATGGTGAAACCCCATCTCTACTAAAAATACAAAAATTAGCCGGGAGTGGTGGTGGGTACCTGTAATCCCAGCTACTTGGGAGGCTGAGGCAGGAGAATCACTTGAACCTGGGAGGCAGAGGTTGCAGTGAGGCGAGATCGTGCCATTGCACTCCAGCCTGGGTGACAGAGCAAGACTCCATCTCAAAAAAAAAGAAAAAAAAAAAAGAATAATACAGTTTTCTCTTGGCAGGGACATTTTACAGGGAAAAAAAAAAGGTGGTTATCAGATGGTCATCAAGGGGCCAGATACAACCTGAAAAGGATGTTTGATTAAAGGTCACCTTTGTCTTGCTTGACTGGGTGAGTGAGAAACAGGTTTCCCAGAACAAGTCTTAACCCCATTAAAGTTTAATATTAAATTGCCTTAATTTTTCAAAATCAAAAATGTTGATTTCTTGTGATGAAGTCTTGCATGGTAAAAGAAAAATGAAAAAAAAAATTTAAATTAAAAAAAGTCAGTTTCTTCCCAGAAGTTTGGGGATTACATCACATAAAATTAGGTTCTGTCCCTAGATTAGATTTGGGACATACACTTTTCACTTTTTTACACCTAGAACACAAGCCCACTTGAGTCAACATTAAGTAAAAGATGGTTTTACTAAGGATATAACAGTTACTCCCTCAGGCCTCTGAGAAATGAAACAGCGTGCAGCCACATCATGCTGGAAAATCAGAGACCTCTGTCTTCTCTGCACTGTGGAGTTCCTTGTGTCTGCTTGTCTCCCCAAGCGATGTAGCCTGGCCCACTCGTGGCTTCTCTCGCCTTCTGTAATTTCTCTGCACATGGCTTTGGTCTACTGCAATAATAGCTCAAGCTATGACCACATATGACACTGCAGCTCTGTTGCCTGTAGCACATCAGCTCCTTTTCTCAGGACCTGTGTTCCAAAGCTCCTGAGAGAGAAAATCCAACTGACCCAGCCTGGGTCAGGTGTCTGCCCCCAGCCCAACTGGTGGAGGAGAGGGTGGGAGTGGATGGGAAGCAATGACAGCTGTGTGTCCGTCGGCCTTTGTCTTACTGTCTTATGTAGGACCATGTGTAAGACACCAGACACATTGTAAGACAGACAGTGGACACCAGGCGGAGGTTGCAGTGAGCCGAGATCACACCACTGCACTCCAACGTGGGCGACAGAGCGAGACTCTGTCTCAAAAAAAAAAAAAAAATTAGTTTCTTCTTCACCTCTTTCTTCTCCCATCAGGAGTTTAGGAAATCAAGTCGCGGGTTCTGGTCCACCGTGTCTAGTGGGATAGCACAGTCTGCCAAGGATGCTCTTCTGAATGGAGAGGCTGCACAGCCAGCACAGTCTCTGCCCCACAGAGCAGGTGGGACCTCAGGGCTGTGAGCCCAGGACACCAGGGAGTAGTGACACACTTCTCCTTCTTCACACTCCTCAGAAGTGTAACCATTTGGTCAAAGATTTTCTTTCTTACAGAAAAAGTGGCAGAAAAATTGCAGATGCGTAAAATTGCACCTTGATCTCAAGGGTCTAAACCACCCCATTAACTGTAATCCAAATGCTTGAATATGTGGATTTATTCACTTCAGGGAGATTTCTTTCCTTTCCTCCTGTCCCCTCTACTTTCTTCCCCTCTTTACTTCTGGTTTTGTTTTGTTTTTCTGAGACACAGCCTCACTTTATCACCCAGACGGGAGTGCAGTGGCACAGTCTCGGCTCACTGCAACCTCTGCCTCCCAAGTTCAAGCGATTATCACGCTTCAGCCTCCCTAGAATTACAGGTGCCCCCCACCATGCCCAGCGAATTTTTGTATTTTTAGTACAGACGGGGTTTCGCCATTGTTGGTCAGGCTGGTCTCGAACTCCTGACCTCAAGTGATCTGCCTGCCTTGGCCTCCCAAAGTGCTGGGATTACATAAGTGGGCCACTGCGCTGCCCCCCACCCTTTTTTTTTTTTTTTTTTTGAGACGGAGTTTCATTCTTGTTGCCCAGGCTGGAGTGCAGAGGCACGATCTCGGCTCACTGCAACCTCTGCCTCCTGGGTTCAAGCGATTATCCTGCCTCAGCCTCCTGAATAGCTGGAATTACAGGCCCCCGCCACCACGCCCAACTAATTTTTGTATTTTTAGTAGAGAGGGTTTCACCATGTTGATCAGGCTTGTCTCGAACTCCTAACCTTAGGTGATCCACCCTGCCTCAGCCTCCCAAAATGCTGGGATTACAGGCATGAGCCACTGCGCCCTGACTTTTTTTTTTTTTTAAGAGACTGGGGCTTACTCTGTAGTCCAGGCTGGAGTGTAGATCACAGCTCCCTGTAACTTCAAACTCCTGGATTCAGCCAATCCTCCTGCCTCAGTCGCCTTAGTAGCTAGGACTACAGGCGCACACCACCAAACCCAGCTAATTTTTATATTTTTTGTAGAGATGCAATCTTCCTATGTGGCCTAGGCTGGTCTCAAACTCCTGGCCTTAAGCAATCCTCCCACTTTGGCCTCCCAAAGTGCTGGGTTTACAGGCCACTGTGCCTGGCCTATTTGTTTTTAAATTTTAATTTTATCAACATTTCTAGGACTTTCTGTCAATAGAATTTGCATTTTTGTTGGCTGCATTTTTGACTCAACACAAAGTTATGCTGAAAGACAAGATAGGAACTGGGTGCCACAATCAAAGGTCACCTTCTGCATGGACTTGTGGCCCCTCACTTTGAGTCTGCAATAAGACAGTGTCAACCAGGGTTTCAGGGCGCCTGCAAAGTTCACGAGCACCCTTGACTTCACTGTGGCAGGGGCCAGTCTCTATGGGGAGAAGCTACCGGTTTTACTTTCATTTCAAAGCACTTACATTTCTACCTAGAGTACACTAAGCCATACATTGGTTTAGCATTTGTTATTTCCCAAAGTTAACAAAAGAAAATACAGGCACAGTGGTTCACATCTCTAATCCCAGCACTTTGGGAGGCCGAGGCAGGAGGATTGTTTGAACCCAGGAGTTGGAGACCAGCCTGGGTAACATAGAGAGATCCCTGTCTTTACAAAAAAATTAAAAATTAGCTGAGTGTGGAAGCACATGCTTGTAGTCTCAGCTATGTGGGGGACTGAGGTGGGAAGATCACTTGAGCCCTGGAGGTTGAGCCTGCAGGGAGCTATGATCATGCCACTGCACTCTAGCCTGGGTAACAGAGTGAGACCCCATCTCAAAAGCAAGCAAACAAACAAACAAAAAACTTCTTCCTCAGTTTTTTGTTTTTTTGTTTTTTGGGGTTTTTGTTGAGATGGAGTCTCGCTCTGTTGCCCAGGCGGGAGTGCAGTGGCGTGATCTCGGCTCACAGCTACCTCCGCCTCCCAAGCTGAAACGATTCTCCTGCCTCTGCCTCCCAAGTAGCTGGGATTAAAGGCACCCACCACCACGCTCAGCTAATTTTTGTATTTTTTGTAGAAACGGGGTTTCACCATGTTGGCCAGGCTGGTCTCGATCTCCCGACCTCAGGTGAGCCACCTGCCTCAGCCTCCCAAAGTGCTGGGATTACAGGCGTGAGCTACTGCCCCAGCCCTTCCTCAGTGTTTTTTTAGCTATGAGTACGCTACTATTATTTGCTATATATCAGGTCAGCCATTGATTAATTAGGTGCTGTAAGAAGGAACATATTGAAACATCTCCTTTGGGAATTCTGACTACTGTTTTTAATCATGTTCATGTCAGGAAGAAAGAAAATCCTGAAGATAAATTTCACTGTGTTTATACTTCTTTGGTAGTTTCCTACATTTTCACCAGTGATCCCAAAAGAATTTAGACAAGGAAACTTCAAAGAGAAAAGTTCTAACTAAAAAGTTGTACTTTCTCTTTCAGATTAACTATAGTTTTTCAAATTGTTTGACCATATTATGGAAAAGAATATTTTACCACTAGTTAGAGTTAAACATGTGTGCACTTCCTGTAACCTCCTCTCCTTATTTATCAATTCTCTTATATTTTGGGAAGAAAATACTTTATCCAGCATTATTCTCTATTATATTTTGTTTTTCTGCTCTGAATTGTCATCTGAAGCTATTCATAGAGTCTTCTGAACTTAAAAATAATTTTGATGTTGGAAATATGGGGCAATGGTTCTCAGACTTTCATATGCATCAGAATCACCCCGAGGGTTTGTCTAAACCCAGATTGCAGGAGGCCATTGCCGGAGTTTCTGCTTTAGCAGGTCCAGGAAGAACTCGCATTTCTAACAAGATCTCAGATGCTGGTCCAGGAACTGTCCTTGAGAACCACTGGTTTAGACAGAGAGAAGGTAGCAGCTAAATTGGCCTTCGCTCCCCAACTCCTACTTCACTCCCTGCCCCCTTCCTGAGTCCCTTTCACCCTGCTAAGATTTGGCTCTGTGAGTCTCTGGAGAGGGTGAGCAGAAGTCTCAAGTCAGATATCTTAATACAGAACATGGCGGGATGCGACAGTTCTCACCTGTAATCACAGCGCTTTGGGAAGTCAGGGTGGGAGGATCACGTGAGCTCAGGAGTTCAAGACCAGCCTGGGCAAAGACATAGCAAGACCTCATCACTACAAAAAATAAAAAAAATAGCCAGGCATGGTGGCATGCGTATGGTCCCAGCTACTCAGGAGGCTGAGGCAGGAGGATTGCTTGAGACCAGGGGTTGGAGGCTGCGGTGAGCCCTAATTGTGCCACTGCACTCCAGCCTGGGTAATAGAGTGAGACCCTGTCTCTAGGGAAAAAAGAGAGAGAGAGAGAAACAAATCTCATAGGTAAACTCACCTTTCAATGATTTACAAACACTCTCATTCAATTATAGAAAAAAATATAAAAAGATTTTGTTCATCATTAAGTGCCCCTTCGATAGGTTTAATATTTCAAAATCCTCACTGCAAGTTGCCTGGCCTCTGTGCAATTTTCTTGTCACTGCACCTTGCTATCTCTCATTTATTTACAAAAACAAGTTAAGTCTTACTTTAAGGAGTTCTCTCTTCTAAGCATTGGGAAATTCCTAAAGAAGAAGTAAAGCATTCACTGTCAAGCCCCACGGACTGTGCCACTTAAGGGCATGTAACTCCAGGTGAAAATTTCAAGGAGGGATGAAAACTAGACGTGTGGCCTCCAGAATTGAGATACTTTTTGTAAATTTCTGCTTAAATTTTATAAAAAGAAAATGGCAGTTGTGCAAATGAAGGACTAAAAAATTTCATAAGTCAATTCTTTTCCTAACTAAATGAAGTTTGGTCAACCATCAATTTAAGGAAACATTTCACACTCTAATATTAGCTGGAGGACCTGGTAAGATATTTATCATTTATAAGGGGGAAAGTGTACTCTCTTAACCTTATTAAAGTTGGGAACTTTATCACTAACACCTGGATTAAAATGTAACCACCCAAAGATGAGACAGTTAATTAACAAGTGAAAATGTGCAGCATTACAAATTTCCTTAGCTCAGAAATGAAAGAACAGTGTGAGCAGGGTTATCTTTTCTACTACAGATTACAAACACATAGAAGAAAAGTCAGTTGAGGAATGCACCAGTAAAAATGCCTTTATTTAGTCTGAGTATATGAAAAAAAGACAAAAATTCATAATTTATTTTATTTTATATTTATTTAGAGACGGAGTCTTGCTCTGTTGCCCAGGCTAGAGTACAGTAGTGCAATCTCAGCTCACTGCAACTTCTGCCTCCCAGGTTCAAGCGATTCTCCTGCCTCAGTCTTCTGACTAGCTGGGACTGCAGGCGCCCACCTCCACGCCCAGCTAATTTTTTGTATTTTTAGTAGAGACGGGGTTTCGCCATGTTGGCCAGGCTGGTCTCAAACTCCTGACCTCAAGTGATCCGCCAGCCTCGGCCTCTCAAAGTCCTGGGATTACAGGCGTGAGCCACCATGCCCAGCTCATAATTTATTTTTAAATTAAAAAGAGACAGCAAAAATTATCCCTAGAGACTTGCTTGCACTCCAGGGTGACAATGACAATGTCTCTGGAGAGGAGAGTCACTAGGCCGCCAGCAGCCCCTTCTGAGACTGGTGGTCTCCTAGGCTCAGGGGTCCTCAGCTGTGCACTGATCCCCTGTCTGTGCAGCCTCCCCGACGCCTGCCTCCACAGAGCCCCCGTGGGATTGGGAGGAAAAGGAACTAATTTGAAATAAGTTGTCTGCATCCATACGGATCATGGTTGTCTTACAGGCCAAATCTATGGAAAGGTAGCAAGTCAGCCTGGCAGCTCCCACTGCTGCGGTTTGGGACCCGCTTGACTGCTCATCACTCTTTTGTGAAACCCCTTTTTGCTTATTTTGCCAGTTTTCTACATTTTATATCTGTGGCAATTCCTTATATATTGTGCATATAAGTCCTTCATTATTTAAATGTAATGCAGTATGCATGTGTTTGCAGATAATAAGCATAACATTTTTAAAGTGCATAATATTGAGAACTAAAAGTATATAAGCTGTAAGTGTACAACTTGATGAATTACCACAAAGGGCACACACCCAAGTATCACCAAGCAATAGAACATCACTAGCACCCCAGAAGCCTCCTTGTGCCTCTGCTAGAGTGGCCACTCTCCTGACCTCCAGCGCCATAGGTTAGGTTTGCCTGTCTTGAGCGTTACAGAAATAAAATAGTTTAGTTTTTTTCTTTTGTGTCTTGTTTCTTTTGCTCAGTATTACGTTTATGAGTTTCATACACACATATTGTTTTATATAGCTCTATTTCATTCTTTTTCATTGCTGTATAGAGTTCCATTGCAACTGCCACAATTTATCCATTCCACTGTTCAATTGCTTGCATTTGGGGGCTATTAATAATGCTGCCCCAATAAATATAGACAACTATTACTTGTCAATTTAAAAATGCTACTGTGGGGCTGGGCATGGTGGCTCACGCCTCTAATCCCAGCACTTTGGGATGCCAAGGCGGTTGGATCACCTGAAGTCTGGAGTTCGAGACCAGCCTGACCAACATGGCGAAACCCTATCTCTACTAAAAATACAAAAATTAGCTGGGCACTGTGGTGCACGCCTGTAGTCCCAGCAACTTAGGAGGCTGAGACAGGAGAATCACTTGAACCCAGGAGGCAGAGGTTGCAGTGAGCCAAGATCACGCCATTGTACTCTAGCCTGGGTGACAGAGTGAGACTCCATCTCAAAAAATAAAAATAAAAAAATGCTGATTCACGTGTGCATGCAGTTCTATTAGCTATAATTTTAGTAGATAATACAAAAGAAGTTTCCCAAAATGATGGCTGTACCACAATCTACTCCCATCAAATTATATGAGAGTTACTATCCTCCAACATATGGAATTATTCTCCTAGATATATTGTAAAACCAGCCTCAGTTCCAATAAATACACACATACACACAAAATATACATACGTTTAGAATTTGCACTGAACGTACTGATGATCTCTCTCTCTGCCTTTCTCTGTAATATTAACGCAGTATTTGTTTTCTAAAACATTTAAATTCCTACATAGGTTTAGAAGGAGAGACGTTCTTAAAATTTTCTGTTCTCATAGAGCAGTTGTTTTTAATTATAAGGTTCATGGGCCCTTTTCAGAATAAAACATATAGACTTTCTCCTCTATAAAATGCACGTATGTACAAATGCCCATAGAACTCTACCCGAGCAACCATAGAGACCCAGAAGCTCAGACCCCAGATTAAGGACTCTGTCATGAGGCACAGACCTGAGCCGATTCCTCTCGAGGGGTCTTCCAGGGCTGTTTCCTGCTTTTTAATCTCCCCCTTATTTTCAATGGAGGAAAGCCCTAACTTCTGAATTTGAAAGAGTTAGCCTCATTTCAAGGAGCGGAGGGTCGGCTCCTGCATGCTGTTGTTCCAAGGGGTTGGAGGGCGTCTGAGCTGAGCTCACTCCCTGGCAGCATCTCACTGCCCCTCCGCCTTTGCCCAGGAGCCTCTGCTCTGCTCGCATAGCTGCTATTGCCTATGATGCCAACTCATACAAATCAGTCGTGGCTACCCACCCTCCAGCCACTGGCTCAGTCTCTCCCATCTCCACATTTCCAAGAAGGAACTATCATCCCCCAATTTCCACATTTCCAGGGGAAAAATAGAATTGGCTGGAACTCCTGAGCCAGCGGGAAGGTCAGGTGGTGCAGAGTCCCATGGGTCCCGCGCCCTGGCTGCCCGTTAGAATCACCCAGAATACAGATGCCTGGCCCCCACTCCATCAGATTAAATCAGTGTCTTGGGACAGGGGCCAAATGTTGGCGTATTTTAAGTTTTCTCTGGTAACTCTTCTGATGCTCAGGGAATGTTGTATAGGCCAAGAGCTACAGACAGGCAAACAATGTAAAAAATGTTTTCTCCAAATGTATAGGAGTGCCATCTTTATGTGAAAAAGTATAAGGAGGTGGAAGACATTTCTGCAAAACTTAGAAAAGACTGCTCTGCAGTGCCCTGTTAAGTTCAGAGTACTTGGATCAAGTAGGCCCTCTCCACATTCCATCTATACTCCCCGCTAGCCAGCAGCGAGAGACAAAAATGAGGTCCTCACCCTCGCACTGGCTGATTTAATTTCTTCTCTTTAAAACACTAAATCCTTAGTGTTGCCCCAGGCGCGGTGGCTCATGCCTGTAATCCCAGCACTTTGGGAGCCTGAGGTGGTGGATCACTTGAGGTCAGGAGTTCAAGACCAGCCTGGCCAATATAGCAAAACCCTGTCTCTACTAAAAATACAAAAATTAGCCAGGCATGGTGGCAGGTGCCTGTAATCCCAGCTACTCGGAGGCTGAATCAGGAGAATCACTTGAACCTGGGGGCGGAGGTTGCAGTGAGCCGAAATTATGCCGCTGCACTCCAGCCTGGGTAACAGAGCAAGACTTCTTCTCAAAAAAACAAAACAAAACAAAAACAAAAACAAAAACAAAACCTTAGTGTTTGTTTTCTTTGTCATTAAAATAATGCATACTCAACAAAAAGCAACTTTTAGAATATACATTACTCCATATAATTTTAAATAACTAAAGAAACTAAAAATCTGCCAAAAGAAACATGACTGTTAACCACAGTCACCTTCAATATTTCTCTATTCATTTGACTCACTTTTTTCCCAAATTTGTAATTATCACATTATGTTAATTAAGCTTTCTGCTTTTCCCCTTAAATTCTAACATAAGTGATTTGACTGGCTACTATATAGCTTGAAAATATTGTTTTAAATTGTGCTTACATTTTAAATACATAGGCCCATGATACCATCACCACAAATAAGGTAATAGATATATCCAGCCCCTCCAAAATTTCTTGTGTCTTCTTGCTTTTCTTTCTTTTCTCCTTTATTCTTTTCTTCTTTCTTCCTTCCTATTTCTTTTGGTGAGAATACTTAGCATGAGATCTACCTCTCTCAAGAAGTTTTTGAGTGCACAACACCATATTGTTAACTATAATAACTAGGTTCTTTCTTATTTTCTTTCTTTTCTTCCACTTTCTTAGCATAAGATTGCACTATGCTACTTGCTTCTGTCTCTTACTAGTGTGACCTTTTGGGCAACTTATTAACCCTCTCTGTGCCTCAGTGCCTGAGTTCTTCCATTGTAAAATGAGGATAATAATGGTATCTATCTATTTCCATTTTACGTGTGTATTTGATTTGACAAACAATTATATAGCATTCAGGATCAGGACAAGAGGTAGACACGATGAATATCAGTGCATTTAATCCCAAAAGGGCTGTGAAAACTGTGAAAATTGTCAGAATCAATATGGAGTCACTTGTATTAAAAATCCTGGCAAATAGAGCCAGGGAAGGCCACGGAGGAAGGATTTTCATGCCTAAAAGTCCTGATAACAAAAACTATCACAAAAGACTCTGCAAAACCCACAACCTTGCACAAAGGTCATCGCAACCTTACCAAAAAAAAAATTATTCTGTGAGGACATCTGCCCAGGAACTGCCTGTTCAAACTTGGACTGGCACTACCCTGGTTATTGGTCCTTATAGCCAAGGAAAATCATCTCAAAACAATTATGTAATCCTCATTTTCCCTTTAAAAACATTTGTCTTTCTTCACCTCCCTGAATCCACACATAGTTTACCCAAGACATGCATATTCTCATCACAATGCCTATTCCCAAATAAACACCACTTTCTTTTAGCCAGCTTCTCTCTCTGTTTGTTATTTATGTTGACATAATGGTGTCAGAAGTAGGACAGAAGTGAGCTCACCTAGGGTGAATCAGCAGCCCTGGAATTGAATGTGGTACCAGCTGAGCCCTTTGTGCTCTCCACTTTCGTGAGTTGCTCTTTCTGTCCTGGTGAATCTCCTCTTGGATTCTTGGACTACTTCTGTTTGATGGGTTCCTTTTGACCTCATTCAGGATCCGATCTTATTATAAGGCCTCCTTTCATAAAGAACCTTGGGTCCGTCTTGGGACTATAAAAGGTTGTTTTTGTTTTTGTTTGTTCGTTGGCGAGTCCTTTCTGGTATAAGGGCAACGTCTGTCTGGTTTAAGTACTCTGCTTTCTACAGAATTTACATTCTGTCTGTGAGGCGTGTCTTTCGGGGTGACTTCACTTCTGGTTCTGTGTACCTAGTTTAATACTTGGTTTCATCTGCACAGCTGGGCTAAAATTTGTGTGAGCACTCTGATTTTGGTTTCATTTTGGTTTTGTTGGTTTGGGTTACACATGTCCAGAAACGAATTGACTCTTTTTTTCCCTTGCTTGTTTCTGAACATCTTCTGAGAACAAAAATAAACATTCTTTCTTATGTATATATTTATTTATTTTTGAGACATGGTCTTGCTATGTCACCCAGGCTGGACTTGGACTCCTGGGCTCAAGTGATCTTCCTGCCTCAGCCTTTCCAGTTGCTGGGGCTATAGTTGTGGCCTACCATGCTTGGCTCAAAAATAAACATTTTAAATGGTGGGCATGAGATGGTTAATTAAAAGCCACTAGGGTGGTTGCTGCCATCTAAGATACTGATCCAAACTCCTTGATAGGATTTTCTTTTCTCTCAAGAGATTAATAATAAATGAAATGGGTTCCTCAAACATTAAGGAATGCCAACTTTCTAGGACTCCAGCTGGCTACAAGGCTTCCCTTGTGCATGTTTTTAAGTCAGTGACCATCGTGGGGCTCATTCAAGCTCCCCAAGCTTGTTTTTCCCTTAGAACTGAATTTTAAAACTACAACCGACTATAGAGTCAACATGTAGAGCTTCTAAGTTCTCTATCTCTCTCTATTTTTTTCTGCCTACTTCGAATCTGCTGACTTTTTTGCTGGTGTTGAGATAATTTCACTGCTTATGGCATTCCAGGCAAAATTCTTTTTTAATGTCTTAAAGGGCTTTCAAATTAACGGCTTTACAAGTTACAACAGCTGTATGGTAACCAACAAACTAGATACCTTTTGGAAATGTTAATTTAGGTTTGCCTGACTCACAATTGCTTAGAGTGAATAGTTAATTGAAGGATTGATACTCTAAAATAAAATAACTAGATACATGTTTATAAAAGTTGGGCTGTCTTAGATCAAATGGGTCAAAATCTTGAGTTCAGAGCAATCACATAAGCTATCTTTGTCCGGCATACAAATTGCTTTGTCTGCCATATAGGGACTACATGGCGACTGTTTCTCCACCTACATTGACTAGTCAAGCAAACCAGACTAGAAACAAAAGATAGCTTAATTCAAGGCCAGTTGGAGATTTTGTTTTTTGTATATAATTCGGCTAGTCATAGCTGAAATATAAACATTTAAATATTTAACCCTAAACTCACTTGGAGCTGGAAAAAAAGGATAAAAGAGGTATTTTTTAATAAAAAATCCAAAATTTTGGTCCACAGCCTTTGTTAGACTACTTATCAGGAAAAATAAAATTTAGCCATGTGGACAGTCCCACTTTGTCAGAAATATAATTTAGATCTGACTGTCTTTTATAAATGATGTATTTGTATTATTAAGTTTTACTGTCTCATGACAAAAATTCTAAAATTAAAGCTAAAAGATCTTTACTTATATGTGTGTGTGTGAGTGTGTTTACACATGTGTTTACTTGGCAAAATCTGGCGTAGTCAGCCAGAAATCCCTTAAGGAATTCTACTCCGATTAGCTTAAATGAGCACTCATATACAATATATAGTAATTAACCGAAATGACTTTTAGTTCACTTGACTTAGGTAAATCTTTGAGCTAGTTATAAATTTGTTGATAAGACGAAAATAGAATGTTTTCAGAATTGTCAGCATACGTTTTTGCCTGATTTTACTGGTCAGGCAGGACTATATTTGTCTCTGCTACATGTTTAAAGGTCACAAAACTATAAACCCAGCCTAAAAACAGGACGATTTTTGTGTAATTCTTTGATAAATAAGACCAATTAAATATTACTCATTTCATAAAAACAGCTGTATCTCCTGAGTTTTTGAAAAAATATCCATATATTTCACTTCCAGGTTTTTTCTTAGGTGAACACCTGGTATTCCCAGGCTATAAAGATGGTTAACAGAGAAATATCTCGAAATGATGATTAGCTTTGTCTAATATCTCCGTTTTCATAAGTAATCTAGGTAGAATTGTTAAAAACAAATAACTTAGGTAAATGTAAATGGGATAAACATTTATAAATGGACTTTTCATGTCACTTAAAACCTTAAAAGTTATGTTATGTTAAATTAAATGATACTCATTAAATATCTGAGTCATTTCCAAACAAGATAAAACACAGAAGCATAAGTTGCTGCCCATAAATGTTTCTTCTTGACTTTTAGAATTTCATAAAAAAGACTAAATATATTTCGTTCTATTAATATACATAACAACTATATTTTGGGGAAACATGTTTCTAAAATTACAAAATGGTTCATATCTATAAAATACGTGACAGTCTAACATTTCTTGCTTCCTTGGTTTTCATTGGAAATTAGTGTTACTTACCAGTTAAAAATTCTAATTAATATATATGATTCTGTATACAAAGTGTACAAAAATGTTTTTGATGATAAAAATGATAAGGAAAGCATAATATATGTTCTTTATTGAGAAAAAGGAATAATTTTGTCTAAATTAAGAAGTTATTAAAGGTTGTTTCAAAATATGCACTTAGGAAGAAAATACAATAGAAACAAGATAGAAAGTAGGAGAGGGATGTGAAGAAAGTTATAGGTATAAAGATATATTATTGGTAAAGAATATTAGACAGAGAATAACTGTGTATGATAAAGAATATTATATGGTAAATTTTTGTCCTAAAGTAAAATGGTTAGTTATTTAAGAAGGAGGAAGTATAGGACAAAACTAAAATTCTAAGCATGTTGTGGAAGGTCTGTTAAATAAGAAGACTCGTTTATAAAAGGTCTGTGTAGGATGAATTTATGAGAGAAATTTTTGCATGTGATCAAGTTGGCTACAGTTAGAAGGAAATTGCTTATAAGCCTTTCTTTTTTCTTTTCTTTCTTTTTTTTTTTTTTTTTTTTTTTTTGAGACAGGCTCTCACTCTGTCACCTAGGCTGGAGTATAATGGCACAATCTCAGCTCGCTGCAACCCCCACCTCCCAGGCTCAAGTGATTCTCCCACTTCAGCCTCCCGAATAGCTGGGACTACAGGCATGTGCCACCATGCCTAGCTAATTGTTGTATTTTTAGTAGAGAAGGGGCTTAGCCACGTTGGCCAGGCTGGTCTTGAACTCATGACCTAAAGTGATCTGCCTGCCTCGGCCTCCCAAAATTCTAGGATAACAGGCATGAGCCACTGTGCTTGGCCATTTATAAGCCTTTCTAAATATTGGCTTTGATATTAAGAATACGGTAACACAAACATAAAAATTTGGTTCCATATACTAGAACAATAAGGCTTTCTTGAACTATTGAACTGCTCTTAGTAAAATTTGCAAAAGGTTTTGATTTAATTCTGAAATCTGCTTTTTAAAATAAATTTTCAACCACCTTCCAAACTGTAGCTTTACAGTTTGGAGCACTGTCTTTCTCTAGGCTTTTTTTTTTTTTTTTTTTTTCTTGAGACAGAGTCTCGCTCTGTCACTCATGCTGGAGTGCAGTGGCACGATCTTGGCTCACTGCAACCTCCACCTCCTGGGTTCAAGCAATTCTCCTGCCTCAGCCTCCTGAGTAGCTGAGACTACAGGCACCCGCCACCACGCCCGGCTAATTTTTGTGTTTTCAGTAGAGACGAGTTTCACCATGTTGGCCAAGCTGGTCTCGAACTCCTGACCTCAAATCATCCACCCACCTCATCCTCCCAAAGTTACAGGCATGAGCCACAATGCCCGGCCGAGTCTTACTCTTGGCTTTTCTTGATGTGTCAGAATTGTTCCATATAACCAGAAAATTTCCCATGCTTTTATTAAGAGCCCTGTATTCCCCTGCTCAAGCTGCTAGCTTTCTTGTTTACGTTTGTCTATAATGTGGCATACACTCATAACCTGTGGACATATATTCTTCCTGTGTCTGACTAAATTCACATATCTTTGTAATCAGGTTTGACTTCTAGGTTATCCAAACAGGTGCCCCATAAGAAGAAGCAATCACACTGCAGGAGGTTTTTCTTTACCTACTTGGTAACTTTCCGAAGAAAAAAATATTTTCTGACTTATTAAGATGATTTCCTGTGTGGCCTGTATCAAATTTTTTGATCATTCAGGAAATCAAGCAGAACAGAAATAATTACATAAGATTAAACAACTGATGAAGAAAATGTTTTTATGACTCTGTTTAACACGTTGGCTTGTTACTTAAATGTTTTGTTTTCCAGATTTAATAATTTTTTTCTCTTAAGCTATCCATAATTTATAGTAACTGGTAAAATATACTTTTGTGAACACAGACAGAAGCATTTACTTTTTTTCCTACTTGATCTCACCAGAATTTGGAAACTATTTATGAGTATTCTTATGGCAATATGGTTATTTGCATACATTCAGTAAGAATTTGCTCTCTTTTTATAATAGGATACAGTTGGAAATATTGGTTGTAGTACCAAGGCTTTGACTGGAATGTTATATTCGAGAATGTACGTAGCATACATACCTGGCTTCAAGGGTTCCCAGCATTGCAGCAAGTGAGTAAAAATTGTCACTTCCTTGCAGGCCCAGGAATCTTAAGACTATGTAAAATCTGAAATCTACCTTGGTTCGGCTTTCTAGCCTCAAGAGCCTTTAAAATTTGAAGTCTGAGATTCTTTTGTGTTCAACGTAGAAAGAAAAAATTATGTTTCTAAATAAAAGCTATGGTACACCTGTAATTAGATTGTAGCCCTGAACACTGTTTCTGAGTTCTCATTATTTACCTATAGACTAAACTAAACCCTGAATTCTTCTAGATTCCTCCAATCCAACTTTTTTCCATGGAATTACTAAAAACAGGAACTGTTCTGTTCCTGGAGCATTATAAACTGAAATTAGATGAATTTTAATGAATAAGTCTAGGGCCTGATGTATGGATCACACAGAAAGTTCACCAAACTGCCTGATGCCATAACCAGAAATATTCAAACTGCAAGCCAGGGCAAGAAGTTGATAGCTTCACACTGCAAACAGCTTTTCTCAAGATGCCTGAACTTAATGACTCCATATTATAATGAGACTGTTACCACTCTTAATGCCTACCTTGCTCACTTGGCAAGGTAATGGTATCTTCTGCTGGTAACTTGACAGAACCTGGCCTAAGAGATCCTTTAGTCAGCCTAGTGGGTGACTTGGCAACATTCCTAATACAACTGGCTTACTCTGCTTTAATTCAATCCAGCCATAGGATACTAGATGCTAAAATTACTCTATAGGCCAGGTGCAGTGGCTCATACCTGTAATCCCAGAACTTTGGGAGGCCAAGCGGGGAGGATCACCTGAGGTCAGGAGTTTCAGACCAGCCTAGCCAACATGGTGAAACCCTGTCTTTACTGAAAATACAAAAATTAGTCAGGCGTGGGGGTACGTGCCTGTAATCCCAGCTACTCGGGAGGCTGAGGCAGGAGAATCACTTGAACCCGGGAGGCTGAGGTTGCAGTGAGCCAATATCACACCACTGCACTCTGACCTGGGCACCAAGAGCGAAACTGTCTAAAAAATAAATAAATTAATTAAATAAATAAAATTGCTCTACAGTATGTGTTGGTCAAGTAAGGAAATGCCTGCACTATTGCTAATGCTACATGCTGTACCAGGATAAATTCCTCTGGGAAAGTTGAGACCCACATACACAAAATAAGAAAACGGACTACATGTTTACTACAAAGCTCACTTAATTCCCTGTGGTCATTTGACTTATTCAATTTGGTTGTCTTTAAGCCTAGGTTTATGGCTCAAAACTATTATACAAATTGAGATTATCATTTTACTTCATATTTTCTTTTTTAAGCTTTGTACTTGTTACTTGTTAAATTCCTGCATAAGTACAACAGAGTAATGCTGGCCCAACACTTTGAGATGAAGCTAACACCTACAGAACAGACAAAATTGAGCTTCACAGTGGACTCTGGGTCCACTGTGGGCCTAGCATGAGATCCACTCCCTCCAACCTCTTTTGTTGCTCAAATGTGGCTAGAAGGGTTTTGATGCTGACTCCTGGTTACTAAACACTTCCTTCCAGCGGGGACCAGACCAGACCGAACTGGGACAGGTCTGTCCCAGCACCAAAGGACAATCGAAATCTAACCACAATCCAGACACAGTGGCATGTGCCTGTAGTCTCAGCTCGTCAGGAGGCTGAGACAGGAGAATCACTTGAACCCAGGAGTTTAAGGCCATCCTTAGTAACATAGCGAGACCCTCATCTCCAAACAACAACAACCTAACTACAGAACGATTGATCAGCAGTGCTTTTGGAGAAAGATTTTGATCAACAGGGGAAAGTGTGAAAGTTGTCAGACTCAAAGAGGAGTCACTTGTGTTGGAAACCTTGACAAACAGATCTGGGGAAGGCCATGAAAGGAAGGTTCTCATGCATAAATGTCTGATAACAGGAACTATCACAAGAGGTTCTACAACACCCGACGTCTTACCCCAAAACTATTGCACCCAAAAAACAAAAACTACCTCTTCAAAGACATCTGCCCAGCCACTACCTGTTCAACCTTGGATTAGCACCACCCTTGTTAATTGATCCTTACAAGTCAGATAATTATCTGACTCAACAATGATATGATCCTCCTAATTTTCCCTTTAAAAATCTTAGTCTTCCTTTACCTCCCTGAATACACACATAGTTTACTATGACACACATACTACCATTACAGTGCCTATTCCCAATTAATCATTTTCTTTTAGAGCATCTCCCTGTCTGTTATTTAGGTTGACAAGACTAAACGAATACAGTTTACACACAGTGCATAGGGCAGAGTGAGTGTGCAAACAGTATCAGCTAGCATTACTATTCCCCATCTGCTCATCCACCTCTTTCATCCCCACCTCTGTGAAGTCCACTCACACCTGTGAGACCCTCCTTTTTGCCCACGGTGTGCACGCATGTCTGCAAAGGACTAAACACTCTTCTGATGACTTTTGCTTGAATGTGACGTAGATCGTTCTCTCCATCTGCTTGTGTGTTATTTTAGAAGCAGAAGTGCTCAGGGAATAGAGTGAGACCAGTAGACTTCCTGGCTGACCAGGACCTTTGAAGGATGTGTGGGAATCTGCCACTCAAGGGAACATGAGAAATAAAGGTGTGGACATAGGAGATGGGATGGTAACATATTTGAGGAGTAGTGAGGACCCCAGTGTGACCAGAGCCTAGAGTGCAGGGCATGAAGTTTGAGATGAACACACTTTCAGAGATGGTCGGGGGACTTGCAGAGATGGGGGAGTTTCTGACCCGCCACATAAATGGAATCTCACAGTGTATGGTATTTTTTCACTGGCTTCTTTCACTTGGCATAAGTGAAACCACTGGAACCACTTCAAGGTTCATCCATGATGTAGTGTTATAGCTGTGTAAAGTAATATTTCTTTTTTTTCTTTTTTTTTTTTTTGAGACAGAGTCTCACTCTGTCACCCAGGCTGGAGTGCAGTGGTGCAACCTCGGCTCACTGCAACCTCCACCTCCCAAGTTCAAGTGATTCTTCTTCCTCAGCCTCCCGAGTAGCTGGGATTACAGGCATGCACCACCATGCCCAGCTGATTTTTGTATTTTTAGTAGAGACGGGGTTTCACCATGTTGGCCAGGCTGGTCTCAAACTCCTGACCTCAGGTGATCCACCTGCCTCAGCCTCCCAAAGTGCTGGGATTACAGGCGTGAGCCATGGCACCCAGCCAAGTAATATTTCATTGTATGTATAGACCACGTTTTGCTTCTCCGTTTATCTGTTGATGGACATTTGCATTGTTTCTGGGTTTGGCTTTTATGAATAATGCTGCTCTGAACATCCAAGTACAAGTGTGTATGTGATATATGTCTTTGTTTCTATCGAATATATATCCAAGAGAGTAGAAGTGGCTGAGTCATATGGTGAGTCATATGCTGGGTCTTATGGTAATATGTTTAACTTTTTGAAGTGGGGGAGAATAGGATCTGGAGGCAGGAAACCTAAGGCTGATTCACCCTGACTTCCTAGAACTAAATCAAAAGAAAAATCCCAGCTTTCCATGCCCAAGTACCAAAAGGACCAGAGGCTACTCTCTTTGCAAACCCCCACCTTTTCTGCAAGGCAGATGGAAAATTGGAAGTACCTCTAATTGGTTGCTTTCTGCAACCAGACGTTTGCATAGGAAGGTAGCTTTGTAACTTCAGCCTCTGACTGTAGGCCAAGTCTTCATTTGCATAGGAGTGCATCTTTGTAACTTCACTTTAGCTTCTGATTGGTTGCTTTCCGCAACTAATCAGACTGATTGCAGGCCACCACTTCATTTACATGGGGTGAACACCAAGTGGCCAATGGGAAACCTCTAGAGGGTATTTGGACCCAAGAAGATTCTCTATCCGGGGCCCTTGAGCTGCTGCTTGGGCCGCTCCCACGCTATGGAGTATACTTTCATTTTCAGTAAATCTCTGCTTTCGTTGCTTCATTCTTTCCTTGCTTTGCTGTGCATTTTGTCCAATTCTTTGTTCGAAATGCCTAGAAACTGGACAACCTGCAGTCAAGACCCTCCACCAGTAACAGAAGAACTACCGATTTTTTTTCCCAAAGTGGCTGCACCCTTCAATATTCCCACCATCAGTGTAAGAGAGTTCCAATTTCACCACATCCTCACCAACACTTGGTAGTATGTATGTTTCTGATAATAGCCATCCTCTTGGGTATTAAGAAGGCTTTCATTCTGGTTTTGGTTTGCATTTCCCTAATGACTAGCGATGTTGAGCATCTTTCCATGTGCTTTGGCCATTGGTATACCTGCTTTGGATAAATGTCTATTCAAATTATTTGCCCATTTTTAAAATTAGGTTGTGTTTTCATTATTGAATTGTAAGAATTCTTTATATATTCTGGATATAAGTCCTTGTCAGAGACATGATTTGCAAAGATTTTGATACAGACAACATTTTTTGTGCATTGTTTTCCCACTTTCTTGATAGTTTGTAGCACAAAAGTTTTTAATTTTTAATTTTTTATAGAGACAGTGTCTTGCTATGTTGCCCAGGCTGGTTTCGAACTCCTGACGAAAGTTTATCATTTTGATGAAGTCTACTATATCTGTTTTTTCCTTTTGTTGTTTTGTGCAATTGATGCCATATTTAAGAAGACATTACCCAAAGTCATGAAGATTTACTCCTGAGTTTTATTCTAAGAGTTTTAGTTGGACCTATTTTGACCTACTTTATGTGTATTATGTGAGGTTGGGGAACTGACTTTATTCCAGATATCCTATCTTTACCAAAGGCTTGAGTGTCTATTACTGAATGAAAATTGTTTTAGATTTTTGACAAGTGTGCTTGAATTTCAGAGCAGGGACTTGGGCTCAGTATCTTTGAGGTAGGTAGCAAATGATTCCTTTTCACAGTAAAAACAAATAAAAACCTGATCTCTTTATTTGTTGAACAGTTTCTTCTTTTCTGTCTTTAGTTCTCTCTCTTTGTCAAAATACTGAACTTTCCAAATCCTTATCTTTTCTTTAGTTTCCTTTCTTTTTCACTTGCCATTATATTGTAATATTGCAAGCACATTCCTATATTAGAACACACACACACACACACACACACACACACACACACACACACACACACGGCCCCATTTCTCCCACTTCTTCATCTATCCTGTGCTTTCGTTACCGTTCTCTAGGTCAGCCCAGGGTTCTGGTCAGCAAATGAGCCTGATGCCATCACTCTCTCATTCACCCCACATCTCTTTGGGGCAAACCAGAACCCTCACCAGACTGACCTCCAGTTTAGGCTCTGCTGTGTACTGAACATGTAGATCTGAGGAAGCAGCATCCACGTCAGGCACCATGCATAAAAGGGAGGGTTGGATGGGATCGATCACAGATATTGGAAGGATATGATCCCTCTTCCGATCACTCACAGTGGGTCTTTGCTCACCTCAGGTGTGTATTGACCTTACAACAAATTGCACAATGGGTCCCTCCCAACCCGAGGCTACCTTCCTTTCTCTTGGGTGAAAAATTGCAGTTAGAATGAAGTGCAGATCCCTCTCCAAGGCCTGCGAGTCATGTGAGCCACTCACCTCCCTTGGCCACTGTCCTCTGCTTGCTGGGTGCATCTGGCCGGTTTCTGCTCCTGAGCCCTGCTGGGGGCCTGTCCCCAGGTCTGCTTGAGGCTGTCCTCCCCCTAATGTCTTGGCGGGCAGGCCTCAGCCTCGGGAGCGTTCTCTGAGCACCTAGGGAAGTCACAGCCCTCACCTCAGCTTCTTCACTCTTGATCCTGTGGCAACATGTGCATCCCCTCAGGCCCTGCTGCTCCCTTGCACCTCCTGTCTGTGTCCCCTGCGGGTCAGCAGGTCAGCCTGGAGGACCGGGACCCTGCCTACCTCACTGGCAGTGCATCTCCCCATTCCAAGCTGGGACTGGCACTCGGAAGGAGCTCAGATAATGCCTCTTAACTAGGCGTTTTCCTAGGTACCCATGCAGCCTCTCTTTTCCTTTCCTTTGGCTTCCGCCTGTCCTACAGGGATCACTAAGGGAGCAGTCAAGGTTGGGGAGCATGGGTGGAGGGGGAGGCGGATGGCCCTTCAGATCAGTTCCATAGCGCAGCTCGCAGATGACAGGGGACAGATGGGAGCTCACCGCGGGCTTGCCAGGCCAGACAGCGAGTGAGGACGCCAGGGACAAGTTAGCAAGGCCAGTTGCAGCCTGGGTCCCGCACCTGCTCTCAAGGGCATTGAGTGCCCTCTTCTGCTGAGCTGAACCCACCTGCATGTAGGGGCGAGTTGGGGGGTGGCCGGTGCCAAGGGTGTCAGGAGTCAGTTACTGGCCATGAGGCCTGCACAAATCACTTCCGCTGCCTGCATCTGGGATTGCCCCTTTCTCAAATCAGCATGAACAGTGCCCATCTCCTAGGTTATTATGGTCAGGGTGAAGTCATTTTAGACACGGAAGTCCTGAGAATAACACCTACAACTAAAGGCGTGAGTTAGCTGTTATTATCACATGAAGGTGTGAGTTAGCCGTTATCACATGAAGGTGTGAGTTCGCCGATATTACATAAAGGTGTGAATTAGCTGTTATTCCATGAGGAGAAGAGAAAACGAGTAACACAGAAGTGATGCAGGCAGCCCCTCTCCCCAGGCACCCGCCCCAGGGCCTCTGCACTTTGCATACAGCTGGCGCCCAGCCCCTCTCAGAAGTCACCGAGCTGACAGCACAATGGGGCAAAGAAAGGAGCGGCTGTGAACAAACACTGAGCTGACGACCACGGCCTGGGGTTCCTATTGTCCAGGCACATTCTCCTCACGCCTCCCCACTTCAATTTTTTATTTTAATTAACATGACTAAACTGGGCACCCAAGGTCTTTGTCCTCATCTCAGCCAGCCTAACCTGCAGGCTCTTCGGGAACATGGTTGGGAGAAGCGATGTTCTCCCAATTAGAAATACAGGGTTTTGCACAAAGTGACAATCCAAGGACCATTTTCATTTTCATCATTTTCAAATCAAAAGCATTTTCCAGCCTCCTTCTGAAGGAAAGCAATGGGCACGCGGGACCCTTAAACAGACTCCTTACAGAGGCAGATGCCTGTCAGGTGGACCAGGTAGGACCGGGCACCCTCATTCAGCAGCAGGATTGGATTAGCTTTCTGTCCTCTGGCGAGGTCACCCGAAGCCCAGCTGCGAATGCAAATTTGCAGTGAGAAAGGGTGCGGTTTCCAATCTCCACCAGTCAGCAGGAGAGCCAGTTACCTAGGTGACAGACTGTGCTGTTTTCCTGGTTAAATTCACAGGAAGGAGAGGAAGGGGAAAATATTTAAACGAGCCTGAGCCTTGAGCTAACCCTCCTCCCTGGTGAAGCCTGATCTCCAGCCATCGCTGAGAATTGTGGACCACATTTTAACCTGTTCTCTCACTTCCTAATCCTTCTTCCAGTCAATGCCATCGACTGCAAGTTTGATTGTTCCTGGTGTATTTTTCAATTTATATCAACAGGCAAAAAAAGCAAAAGGCAGCAGGGCAATTTGTGTTTTCACAAGTGAGTTTTATTTGCTTCCTTTGTAGCAATTAATGCTAAATTCTCAGGTTACAATACGAAAAAGAAGCTTGTATGAGAGAGTAATGACTGCTCTTTCTCTGTCTCAGATTATAAAGAAGTAGCAATACTTGAATAACTGTAAGGCTGTGGTTTAAATGTATCTATGTATCCATTTATGTACCTACACAGACATTACGGCTATTATATACAATTTTCTTCCTTCCTTCCCTTCCTTCTTCCCTCCCTCCCTCCCTTTTTCTCTTCCTTCCTTCCTCTCTCCTGCTCTTTTTCTTGGCAGACACATTCAGACTGAAATGTCCCCTGTCCTCAAGCACTTCACAATCTAGTTGGGAGACAGACCAAGAAGTAGCTATGTCTCAAATGCCAAGCAGTCTTCGCCAGCCCACTGAGTCAGGAAAATCACATTAAGATAGACAACCCACAGTTTCCATTCTCACCCCCTCCTCCTCCACAGGACCTCACTCCCAAGTCCCCTCCCCTCCGGGGCGGCTGATCAATAAGGCAGGCTGGACAAATCGAGGGACAAATAAATAAATGAACAAAAATTATATAGGGTCCAATCAGGTATGCCTTGATATAGGTATGAATATATTCCTGAAAATTGGTTCAATTCATTTAGATCATCTATTTTAAAACATAGGAAGAGAGCTTACTATTTAAAGTAACTTAATAGTGAATCATTTTGTAAAGCACGGAAATTACTTTCATTTTGTAATGATCATGATTAACTTTATTTGGCATGGATTATCACATATGGATTTTTCGTTTTCTTTTTGTTAGAGACAGGGTCTTACTGTGTCAACCCAGACTGAGTGCAATAGTGTGATCACAGCTCACTGTAGCCTTGAACTCCTGGGCTCAAGCGATCCTCCTGCCTCAGCCTCCTGAGTAGTGGGGACTATAGGCCTGTGTCACCAAGCCTGACTAAATTGTTTTATTTTTTGTAGAGACAGGGTCTCACTATTTTGCCCAGGCTTGGACTTTTTGTATACACGTCTCATAATATTCTAGAGACTCTATGTACCCATGAAAATTAAAAATATTTTAAAACATTCTAGAGACTCATCCAGGAAGCTGTGACGAATCCCAGACTGTCAGAAGCCAAGGTCAGGGAAGCCGACCTGAATTTGTTACTACAGTTACCAATCAGGAATTTGGTAGGAAAGCTTTTTTTAAAATTTATTTTTTATGTTTTTAAATTAAGGCTTCTCTTTCCAGAAGTTAGTCCTGACTGGTACCTGCAGGAAGGTTGAGCTCTGTGAGTGAGTAGCTCACAGGCCACCGATACCAGAGCCGATAGGAACATAGCCAGTGAGTGTTTTGTAAAAGCCCAGCAATGGGATACCTTGGGAGTCCACCTGTATAATATTCAACAACTGCAAAACTGGCGTGTGGTGGTAGAAATCAGGAGGTATCTTTGGAAGAGACGGAAGAGCTAGTCAAAATAAAACTCGATTAACGCTTCAACGGAAGTGCTTGCTGCGTGCTAAAACCAAACCTCAGGCCGGGAAACACCAGATCGGATGAAGGCGTGAGGAAAGCGTGGCGGAGGTGCTTATCTGAGCTGGAACGGACGCGCCTGCAAGCTTCGGTGGCCGGAGCTGGGAAAGGAGTCTGAGCTGTCTGTCACTGGGTGACCCTGGGCAAATCCACGGCCACTTCGGAGTTTCCCTCTCTGTGAGGTGGGGCTGGTGAGCTCTGCCCATGGGCTCTCCAGGGCTTGTGCTCCCGGCGAACTCTCGGGAAGCGCAGGGCCGGGCGAGGCTCTCCCACGAGCACCCACAGCCGGGCACGGGGCTCCAGCCCCAATCCAACAAAGCCGCTCGTCCTTCCTCTGCCACTTCAGTGAAGGACTTATGCATGGCTGAAGCTGAATCTTGAAAGCCAAGGGCCTGCTTGGATTTCTCTGGTCATCTGAGGAGGGTGGAGAGGGTGCTGAAATGGGCGGGGTGTGTGCCGGGACGCGCGGCCCTCTCACCGCCAGAGCACACCTGGCCCCTCTGCGAGCTTGGCCTGGAGCCCACCTGGCCTCCGGGGAACAGGCCCTTCTTCGCGGCAGCAAAGGAGTTCGAATCTCTCAGCCCTCGTGGCTGGGCACTTACAGGTCCGCCCTCCTCCCCACAATCTCATCTTACAGACGGAGGAACTGAGGTTTCAGAAAATCCCGCGCATCGTCCCAATTCACAGTCAGGAAGGGAGGCTTCCAACGAACATGGAAGTCTGCGCATTGTCCCAATTCACAGTCAGGAAGGGAGGCTTCCAGCGAACATGGAAGTCTGCTGGAGTGCAGGCCTCTTCCCAGGCACGGGCGTTCTGCGCGGGGCGCTGCCTCTCGGGCCAGCCCGTCTTCAGCTGCCACTTCTGTCGTGGATGGCCTGGGAGGAAGCCGAGTTTCCATCTGAGCGTGGTTATTGATATCAGCACCACGAGTCGTGAAGATACACGAGGCAAAGAATAAGTCCTTTTAACTTCATCATCTGCAGGTCCCCAGACGACCGTCTCATCGGGTGAGGGGGTTTTCTGGGGAGGTCAGGCTGGTGGCCACCCCTGGCTGAGTCATCCAGGACCCACGTGCTGCTGTGACGGCACCTCTCTTCCTACCGCTCCCTCTGCCCCCTCTCTGTGGCGCTTCTCTCCTGGCCACTCTGCCCGAGAGCCTTTGTTACAAAGTGGTTTATACATGATTGAGCCTGTGCATGATGTGTTCAAGCTACTTTACGGAGAAGCTTTCGAGAGAGAAATGCCACAGTGGCGCCATAGAAACCCTTCCCTAGGACAACCAGCTACTCCTATAGTTTAAGAACGGCAAGATGTTGAAAACATAATAAAAACTACCCTTGCAAATGTCATAAAATCTGTGTGGGTCCTCCCTGCCCCAAATTTCTTAGAGCTTTTCTCGTCCCTGTCCCCAACTAGATTCCTCATGAAGACGCGAAGACCATCATTTCAGCTCAAAAGACATTCATTCTTTTTTTTTTTTTTTTTTAAAGACAGGGTCTCACTTCTGTCACCCAGGCCAGAGAGCAATGGCACAATCATGGCTCACTGTAGCCTCAACCTTTTGGGCTCAAGTGATCCTCCTGCCTTAGCCTCCCAAGCAGCTGGGATGACAGGCGTGCATCTCCATGCCTGGCTAATTAAAACATTTTTTTTTGTAGAGACGGGGTCTCACTATGTTGCCCAGGCTGGTTTCAGATTCCTGGGCTCAAGTGATCCTCCCACCTCAGCCTCTCAAATTACTGGGATTATAGGCATAAGCCACCACACCCAATCTCATTCTTGACGTTCCAATAAACCTACTCGAGGACAGAGTGATGACAGATTTCTCTGCAGAGAAAATACAGAAAACTTTCTGCTGCTCTTCACCTGGGGTGATCTTCACCCCCACGTGTAACTGAGTCAGGATGGGTGAGAACTGAGAGCTGGCAGGATCCTTCTAGGACGATGAAGGCGCTACCGAAGGGGGTCGTTTCATACAGTGCTAAGGGAGGTCGGCTGCTGGACCAATGCCCAAGGCCAGACAAGCACACCCGGAGCTTGCTGACTTGGCAGGTTGCTAGTTGCCATGGCAACACAGCAACCTCCAGAGATGGGCAGGATTGGGCCAGAAAGCAGGAAGGCCTGGCAGGCAGCTAAGCTATTGCATGGGGGTGTGGTGGGCTCGGGGGTTCCGGAAGGAGCTTCAAGTGTATGTAGGACCTTACAGCATTTTTTTTTCTGGCGAAGGAAAAAACCGTAAATGGTGATGATGAAGAGTTGTATGACAATGGAGAAAGGAAAAGGTCACCATAAATGCTAGAAAACAACCAGATGAAGGCAAGGGACAGTGAGAAAACAATATCTTGGTGGAATTTAAAATCTTGCCAAGGAGGAAAGGTAAAGGAAGAAAGCAAGCAGCAACCTGATCTTTGGAGCCGAGAGAGAAAAGAAATGAAAGCATCCACAAAGGCCCCCTGTGCCTGCAGCCTGGGGCAGTGCGTGACCAGGGAGGGCCAGGGAGTGACCTTGGCGATGACAAAACCAGACTTGTGTCAGAAATGGAATAGCAGCAGCTGCCCTCCGCAGCCAGGAACACACCAACAGTTTTATATTCAGTGCTGATGGTGGCTAGAGATTTTGCTCTGCCTTGAATTTAAAGCGTTTCTTCCTATGAAATCAGACCTTTCCTGTAATGGGAAAATGGATTTAAGTGGCAGTTTCAAGTAGTAGTCACAAGTGATGCCAGGCACAAAATGCAAAAAAGCGTCAGGCCGGTTCTGAGCAGGCAGAGTTTACTGGTAGATTAGGCCAGTCGGCAGGTGCTCCTGGCTCTCAGGAAATCTGCTCCTAAGTGCCTGCTGTCGCCCACCTCGTCAGAGATGAGACCTTCAGAGGGCCAGTGGGGGTGAGGCACCACCTTGCCCCGGGCCCTCACTGTGAAGTGATTAGGAGGATGTGTGGACAGCCTGCCAGGAGTGTGAACACACATTATAACTTGAGTCAGAGGGGCCACGACCAACACAGTCTCTAGCCTTCCTGACGATCTCACAGGGGCTAACTGAAAAGCCCTAACTTCTGAGTGACCACGGCCAGTGTTAACTTTCTCTGTGAATTCATCCGAGCAGAAAGTGAGCAGAACCAATGTTATTATTTCCAAAACAGTGAAAACAAGGCCGAGGTTCTGTGTAGTGCCTGTCTGGGCTCATTTGGTATCAAATCATTAGCCATATATGAATCGTTCCTTTTTTTTTTTTTCCTTTTGAGAGAGACTCTCTGTCACCCAGGCTGGAGTGCAGTGGCACGATCTCAGCTCACTGCAACCTCTGCCACCCGGGTCCAAGCGATCCTTCTGCCTCAGCCTCCAGAGTAGCTGGGATTACAGGCACATGACACCATGTCTAGTTAATTTTTTTGTTTTTTTAGTAAAGACGGGGTTTCACCATGTTGGCCAAGCTAGTTTCTGATCCAAGTGATCTGCCCACTTTGGCCTCCCAAAGGAATCATTCTTATTATGCCAATCAATCATTTAGACCACAATCTAAAGGAACACTCTATGGGAAGATGCTGCAAACAGTTGTCCGGTAAAACACAAAGTCACATATTCATTGGATTGAGTTTAACTTGAGCCTTTGATTCTTGGAATGGCTCCTAGCAATGGTGTTGGCATCTGCTACTCTCTTCCAATGACTGTCTAGGGAAGCCCAGCTGCCAAGGAAGGAGGCTGAGCATACTACAGCTTCCTGCAACAACACGGGTGACTCCCACAAACATCGTGCTGAGCAAAAGAAGCCGACCTGAAAGAGCGCTCCATGTATGGTTCATTTCTGTCAAGTTCACAACCCAGCAACCTAATCCAGGGGGTTAGAAGGGCGTGCAAGGGCACTCTTGAGGTTCTGATCCTTTTCTTGTCCCGGGCGTGAATACAGTCATCGTGAGGAAAATTTATCAGTTGAACAACTCATGATTTGTGTTCTTTTCTTTATGTATGTTATACTGCAACGACAGCTTACCAATACAAAACAGAACCAAACCAAAACCCCCCAGAGGAACTCGCCCTTGAGAAGCCCTGGTTCCCCCAGCCCAGAGGACCCTGGGCCCCTGGGAGCCACAGCTGGCTTCCCTGATTGTTCCCCACTAAGAGGCCAGGAGAGAACTGTCTTTTTCTCAACTCTTATTTCTTACCACCTGCCCCTGCTCACCCCACAAAGGCCTCTCCAAGCATACCCTCTGCCTAATCTCCATTGCCCAGGAGAGAACTGGAGCAAAGTTAGTATCCTTTCCTGACTCCCTAAACCTAATCATTACTTGCCTATCATCAGATAGCAAGAGAAATCATGCTCTCTTCTAGCTGGTGTTAGTTAGATCCCAACTCTATGGTATCCTTGCCCAGGCTATCTACGTACAGAATTCATTAGAGCATCTACTCGATTCTCCCTCTTTTTCCTTTGCAGAGACTTTTTGATACTCCCTGCTTTTTTGCTGCTGACACTGCACTTGAGAGTGCTGAATCTTCTTCTTCTTCTTCTTTTTTTTTTTTTGAGACGGGGTCTTGCTCTGTTGCCCAGGTTGGAGTGCAGTGGTGCGATCTTGGCTCACTGCAACTCCACCTCGCGGGTTCAAGTGATTCTCCTGCCTCAGCCTTCCAAGTAGCTGGGACTACAGGTGGCTGCCACCCCACCAGCTAATTTTTGTATTTTTTGTAGAGACACGGTTTCACTGTGTTGGCCAAGCAGGTCTCGAACCTCTGACCTCAGGTGATCTGCCCTCCTTGGCTTCCCAAAGAGCTGGGATTACAGGCATGAGCCACCATGCCTGGCTGAGTCTTCTTTAAACACTTTCCCAATCTTGTGAGGACAGTGCCACTTTGTGGAAAGTGGCCCTTGGCTACCCCTGTCTTTTGTGGATTCCTTATCTACGACCCTCCCTGCTGTGTCACTGACAGACCCCCCACTCCTGTCCTCAGCAGGTCCTGTGATATATGCCAAGGTCACGAGTCACAATCTTTGAGTGTAGTCCATGACTAAAGTTTAAAAAGCAAATGCCAAGTAGATTTAGTGAATAAAATACAGTTTTGTCTTCCTTAAATGGCACCTAGAAAAAAAAAGCAAACAATAAATGTTATCAAAAGAGTTACCTTTAAAAATTATTGTACACTGTCTACATTTAACATTTCTTTGTGCTTAAAATTCTTCAGCCTTCTAATTAGGGAAATTCCCCTGAGTTCCAACTGAATTCATTGTGTCTGTTCAAATTGCAGCTAAAATGTAGGGCATAATTTTTAAAATTTACATTCCTCTTCTAAATTATACCACATCCACATATTCAAAGGATCTATTTTAATTATGTATGTTTTTTAAAATAATAAAGATTCTAATTTAGAAATAATTGTACAACGTATAAATGATAGTCTAACCTGAATTTTTTATCATTCGTGCTCTGCCTCCTCCTAGTGGAAATTTTGTATAATTGCACCAACTCCTCAGCGATTATTATAACACCAGGATTATTTAGAGTCCATATAGTTTCCCAAGAGATTTGAGGTGGCTTAATGAACATACACACTATAAAAAAGTAAACTAAATAAGTTGAAATGCAGGTTTACAGTGTATTCACTAAAGGTAATAATGGATTCCATGAGAGGTTTCCTAAAGTTGTTTCATTTTGGATGAAGGCATGACACCAAGTCAGAAGACAATTCCTGGAGTCAAGACCATGGGTTTCTTCATGCAGCTGTGTCTGAGCTGTCTTGACCTGGGAAATAATGCTAAAAGAAAAGAACAGAGAGTATGACTTTCAAACTATGCTCCACGGGATTTTCGATAAAGTTGAGCAGCAGGTATTTGAAGCTGGTATTCAATTTCAACAGCTTGGAGTGTGGGCAATTTGTGTAGCTGATTAAGAGCAATCCGTATGTTTTAAAAGCACCAAACAGATGGTAGGACTGCTGTCATTTCTGGTGGAAAATTAAGAACCTAATGAAAATGCTAGATTCACGAGATGACCAGCCGGGTCTTAGTATTCAATTTATTCACAATCACTTGATACTTCCATTGGCTTTTGTCAAATAGGCTGTGGTAAGTTATTTTGGGATCAGTCATGGGGGGAAAGAGAAGGAAACTGACAAAGCAACAGATATTTAAAAGAGCAGGGACTATGTTAGTAACCTTCATTTTGCTATCTCCCTTATTGTCACAACAATTCTATCAACCTACCTCACAAAGCCAAGTGGGGTTAGGACTTTGCTGAAAGAAAGATTTCTCCCTGTTTTCTTCTAGAGGATTTTTAGCTTTAGGTGTCATGCTTAGGTCTATGATCTTTTTTGTAGAGAGTGCAAGGCGTAGATTGAGGTACATTTTTTTTACATATGAATATCTAATTGTTCCAGCTATTCACTGAAAAATCTATCCTTTCTCCATTGAATTGCCTCTTTCCAAACTTGTTGAAAGTCAATTCACCATATATGTATGACTCTATTCTGTTCCAGTCATCTGTATGTCTATCCTTTCTTCTCCACTATTTTTTTTCTTTTCTTTCTTTCTTTCTTTCTTTCTTTCTTTCTTTCTTTCTTTCTTTCTTTCTTTCTTTTTTTTTTTTTGAGACAGGGTCTCACTGTGTTGCTCAGACTGGTCTTGAACTCCAGGCCATCCTTCTGCCTCAACCTCCTGAGTAGCTGGGACTACATGCACGCACCACCATCCCTGGCTTATCCCTTATGCCTTGATTACTGTCGATTTATAGTTAAGTCTTGAAATTAGATAGTGTGGATCTTCCAACTTTGTTGTTCTTCAAAATTGCTTTAGCCTTTCTAGTTTATTTGTTTTTATATATAAAGTTTAGAATTAGCTTGTTGATTTCTACAAAAAATCCTGTAGGGATTTTGATTGGATTGGTGTATCTCTCTCCACTTGTTTAGGTCTTTGATTTTTTTAATCAGAATTTTGTAGTCTTCAGCGTGTAGATCTTACATATATAATTTGTTGTGTGTGTAGGTGTGTGCGTGCTGTTTAAATAGTACTTTGAAAAAATCCAACCTTCAAGTGTTTATTGATAGTAAATAAAAATACAATTAATTTTTGTATGTTGACCTTGTATCCTGTGACCTAGCTAAACGCACTTATTAGTTCTAACAGCTTTGCTGTAAATTCTTTGTGAATTTCTATGCAGACAATCATGCGAATAGTTTTATTTGTTTTATTTATTTGTTTCCGTTAATTTCTTCTTCTTGCCTTATTGCAGGCTATAAACTTTAGTATGATGCTTAACTTTTTAAAAAAATCCTTGTATTGTTCCTATTCTTAGAGTTAAGACAAGTCTTCCACCATCAAGGATAAGGCTAGCTGTTGTTTTGTAGGTAACATTTACCAGGTTGAGAAAGTTCCCTATGTTTTTTTTTTTTTAAATAGCTTTGGCAGTTTGTGTTCTTTAGGAAATTTGTCCATTTAATCTAAGTTGTTAAATTTATAGGCTTAGGATAGTTTGTGCTGTTTCCTTATTATTATTTATTATTATTATTTTTTGAGACAGAGTCTTACTCTGTTGCCAGGCTGGGGTGCAGTGGTGCAATCTCAGCTCACTGCAACCTCTGACTCCCTGGTTCAAGCTATTCTCCTGTCTCAGCCTCCCGAGTAGCTGGGATTACAGGCATGTGGCACCACGCCCAGCTAATTTTTGAGAGATGGGGTTTCACCATGTTGGTCAGGATGGTCTGGATCTCCTGACCTCATGATCTGCCCGCCTCGGCCTCCCAAAGTGCTGGGATTACAGGCATGAGCCACTGCAACTGGCCTCCTTATTATTCTTCAGTGCCTGTAATGATTTCTCCTCTTCCATTTCAGTTATGGATAATCGTCTTCTCTCTGTATTTCTTGGTGAGTGTGGCTAGAGGCTTATCGGTTGTGTTAATTTCGCTGGGCATGATGGTTCACACCTGTAACAAGCATTTTGGGAGGCCGAGGTGGGAGGATCACTTGAGGCCAGGAGTTCAAGACCAGCCTGGGCAACCCACTGAGACTCCTTCTCAATAAATAAATAAATAAATAAATAAAAATAATTTTTTTTGAAGTTCAAGTTTTATTTAATAAATTAAAATACATTATTCAATTTTAATTAATTTAAAATTTTTTTATTATACTTTAAGTTCTGGGGTACATGTGTAGAATGTGCAGATTTGTTACACAGGTATACACATGCCATGGCGGTTTGCTGCACCCATCAACCCCTCATCTACATTAGGTATGTCTCCTAAATGCTACCCCTCCCCTAGCTCGCCACCCTGTGGCAGGCCCTGGTGTTTGATGTTCCCACCCCTGTGTTTATGTGTTCTCATTGTTCAACTCCCACTTATGAGTGAGAACACGTGGTGTTTGGTTTTCTGTTCCTGTGTTAGTTTGCTGAGAATAATGGTTTCCAGCTTCATCCATGTCCCTGCAAAGGACATGAACTCATCCTTTTTTATGGCTGCATAGTATTCCATGGTGTATATGTGCCACATTTTCTTTAGCCAGTCCATCATTGATAGGCATTTGGGTGGGTTCCAAGTCTTTGCTATTGTGAATAGTGCTGCAATAAACATATATGTGCATGTGTCTTTATAGTAGAATGATTTATTATCCTTTGGGTATATACCCAATAATGGGATTGCTGGGTAAAACGGTATTTCTTGTTTTAGATCCTTGAGGAATCGCCACACTGTCTTCCACAATGGTTGAACTAATTTACACTCCTACAAACAGTGTAAAAGCATTTCTATTCCTTCACATCCTCTCCAGCATCTGTTGTTTCCTGACTTTTTAATGATCGCCATTCTAACTGGCATGAGATGATATTTCACTGTGGTTTTGATTTGCATTTCTCTAATGACCAGTGATGATGAGCTTTTTTTTCATGTGTTTGTTGACCACATAAATTGTCTTCTTTTGAGAAGTGTCTGTTCATATCCTTCACCTACTTTTTGATGGGGTTGTTTTTTTCTTGTAAATTTGTTTAAGTTCCTTATAGATTCTGGATAATAGCCCTTTGTCAGATGGGTAGATTGCAAAAATTTTATTCCATCCTGTAGGTTGCCTGTTCACTCTGATGATAGTTTCTTTTGCTGTGCAGAAGCTCTTTAATTTAATTAGATCTCATTTGTCAATTTTGGTTCTTGTTGACATTGCTTTTGGTGGTTTAGTCATGAAGTCTTTGCCCATGCCTATGTCCTGAATGGTATTGCCTAGGTTTTCTTCTAGGGTTTTTATGGCTTTAGGTCTTATGTTTAAGTCTTTAATCCATCCAATTTTTGTATAAGGTGCAAGGAAGGGGTCCAGTTTCAGTTTTCTGCATTTGGCTAGCCAGTTTTCCCAACACCATTTATTAAATAGGGAATCCTTTCCCCATCGCTTGTTTTCGTCAAGTTTGTCAAAGATCAGATGGTTGTAGATGTGTGGTGTTATTTCTGAGACCTCTGTTCTGTTCCATCAATCTATATATCTGTTTTGGTACCAGTACCATGCTGTTTTGGTTACTGTAGCCTTGTAGTATAGTTTGAAGTCAGGTAATGTGATGCCTCCAGATTTGTTCTTTTTGCTTAGGATTGTCTTGCCCATACAGGCTCTTTTTTGGTTCTTATGAAATTTAAAGTAGTTTTTTCTAATTCTGTGAAGAAAGTCAATGGTAGCTTGATGGGGATAGCATTGAATCTATAAATTACTTTGGGCAGTATGGTCATTTTCATGATATTGATTCTTCCAATCCATGAGCATGGAATGTTTTTCCATTTGTTTGTGTCCTCTTTTATTTCCTTGAGCAGTGGTTTGTAGTTCTCCTTGAAGAGGTCCTTCACATCCATTGTAAGTTGGATTCCTAGGTATTTTATTCTCTTTGTAGCAATTGTGAATGGGAGTTCACTCACGATTTGGCTCTGTTTGTCTATTATTGGTGTATAGGAATGCTTGTGGTTTTTGCACATTGATTTTGTTTCCTGAGACTTTGCTGCAGTTGCTTATCAGCTTAAGGAGATTTTGGGCTGAGGTGATGGGGTTTTCTAAATATACAACAGAGACCATTTGACTTCCTCTTTTCTTAATTGAATACCCTTTATTTATTTATCTTGCCTGATTGCCCTGGCCAGAACTTCCAATGCTATGTTGAATAGGAGTGGTGAGAGAGGGCATCCTTGTCTTGTGCCGGTTTTCAAAGGGAATGCTTCCAGCTTTTGCCCATTCAGTATGATATTGGCTGTGGGTGTGTCATAAATAGCTCTTATTATTTTGAGATATGTTCCATCAATACCTAGTTTAGCTAGAGTTTTTAGCATGAAGTGGTGTTGAATTTTATCAAAGGCCTTTTCTGCATCTATTGAGATAATCGTGTGGTTTCTGTCATTGGTTCTTGTTAATTTTCTGCCTTGTTGATCTGTCTAATATTGACAGTGGGGTGTTAAAGTCTCCCATTTTATTGTGTGGGAGTCTAAGTCTCTTTGTAGGTCTCTGAGAACTTGCTTTATGAATCTAGGTAATCCTGTATTGGGTGCATATATATTTAGGATAGGTAGCTTTTCTTGCTGCATTGATCCCTTTACCATTATGTAATGTCCTTCTTTATCTTTTTGATCTTTGTTGGTTTAAAGTCTGTTTTATCAGACTAGGATTGCAACCCCTGCTTTTTTTTTTGCTTTCCATTTGCTTAGTAAATATTCCTCCATCCCTTTATTTTGAGCCTATGTGTGTCTTTGCACATGAGATGGGTCTCCTGAATACAGCACACTGATGGGTCTTGACTCTTTATCCAATTTGCCAGTGTGTGACTTTTTTTTTTGAGACGGAGTTTCACTCTTGTCTCCCAGCCCATAGCCCTCACTTCCTCTCACCTATTGTTGGGGTCTCTGCCTATGGGCAGAAACCACTGCTTCCTTGCTTTCCCACTGCTTGCTTGCTTGTTTGCTTTTTTTTCTTTTTGAGATGGAGTCTTGCTCCATCACCAGGCTGGAGTACAGTGGTGTGATCTTGGCTCACTGCAACCTCTGCCTCCCCGGTTCAAGTGATTCTCCTGCTTCAGCCTCCTGAGTAGCTGGGATTACAGGTGCATGCCACCATGTCCAGCTAATTTTTTGTATTTTTAGTAGAGACAGGGTTTCGCCATATTGCCCAGGGTGGTCTCGAACTCCTGACCTCAGGTGATTCACCCACCTCAGCCTCCCAAAGTGCTGGGATTACAGGCATGAGCCACTGTGCCTGGCCCACTCTGTGTCTTTTAATTGGGGTATTTAGCCCATTTACATTTATGTTAATATTGTTATGTGTGAACTTGATCCTATCATTATGATGCTAGCTGGTTATTTTGCCTATTAATTGATGCAGTTTCTTCATAGTGTTGATGGTCTTTACAATTTGGAATGTTTTTGCAGTGGCTGGTGCCAGTTTTTCCTTTCCATATTTAGTGCTTCCTTCAGGAGCTCTTGTAAGGCAGGCCTGGTGGTGACAAAATCTCTCAGCATTTCCTCGTCTGTAAAGGATTTTATTTCTCCTTCGCTTATGAAGCTTAGTTTGGCTGGATATGAAATTCTGGGTTGAAAATTCTTTAAGAATGTTGAATATTGGGCCCCACTTTCTTCTGGCTTGTATGGTTTCTGCAGAGAGATCTGCTGTTAGTCTGATGGGCTTCCCTTTGTGGGTAACCCGACCTTTCTGTCTGGCTGCCCCTAACATTTTTTCCTTCATTTCAACCTTGCTGAATCTGATGATTATGTGCCTTGGGGTTGCTCTTCTTGAGGAGTATCTTTGTGGCGTTCTCCGTATTTCCTGAATTTGAATGTTGGCCTCTCTTGCTAGGTTGCGGAAGTTCTCCTAGATATCCTGAAGAGTGTTTTGTAACTTGGTTCCATTCTCCCTGTCACTTTCAGCTACACCAATCAAACGCAGGTTTGGTCTTTTCACATAGTCCCATATTTCTTGGAGGCTTTGTTCCTTTTCATTCTTTTTTCTCTAATCTTGTCTTCATGCTTAATTTCATTAAGTTGATCTTCAATCTCTGATATCCTTTCTTCTGCTTGATTGATTCGGCTATTGATACTTATGTATGCTTTACAAAGTTCTCGTGCTGTGTTTTTCAGCTCCATCAGGTCATTTATGTTCTTCTCTAAATTGGTTATTCTAGTTAGCAATTCTTCTAACCTTTTTTCAAGGTTCTTAGCTTCCTTGCATTGGGTTAGAACATGCTCCTTTAGCTCAGAGGATTTTGTTATTACCCACCTTCTGAAGTCTACTTCTGTCAATTCATCAAACTCATTCTCCATCCAGTTTTGTTCCCTTGCTGGTGAGGAGTTATGATCCTTTGGAGGAGAAGAGGTGTTCTTGTGTTTGGAGTTTTCGGCCTTTTTGCACTGGTTTTTCCTCATCTTCGTGGATTTATCTACCTTTGGTCTTTGATGCTGGTGACCTTTGGATGGGTTTTTTTTTTTGTGGATGTCCTTTTTGTTGCTGTTGATGCTATTCCTTTCTGTTTGTTGGTTTTCCTTCTAACAGTCAGGCCCCTCTGCTACAGGTCTGCTGGAGTTTGCTAGAGGTCAACTCCAGACCCTGTTTGCCTGAGTATCACCAGCAGAGGCCGCAGAACAGCAAAGATTGCTGCACGTTCCTTCTTCTGGAAGCTTCCTCCCAGAGGGGCACCTGCCAGATGCTAGCTGGAGCTCTCTTGTATAAGGTGTCTGTCGACTCCTGCTGGGAGGTGTCTCCCAGTCAGGAGTCATGGGGGTCAGGGACTCACTTGAGGAGGTAGTCTGTCCCTTAGCAAATCTTGAGCACTGTGCTGGGAGATCTGCTGCTCTCTTCAGAGCCAGCAGGCAGGAACGTTTAAATCTGCTGAAGCTGCGCCCACAGCCGCCCCTTCCCCCAGGTGCTCTGTCCCAGGGAGATGAGAGTTTTATCTATAAGCCCCTGACTGGGGCTGCTGCTTTTCTTTCAGAGATGCCCTGCCCATTGAGGAGGAATCTAGAGAGGCAGTCTGGCTACAGTGGCTTTGCGGTGCTGCGGTGGGCTCCGCCCAGTCCAAACTTCTCAGGGGCTTTGTTTACACTGTGAAGGGAATACTGCCTACTCAAGCCTCAGTAATGGTGAACACCCCTCCCCCCACCAAGCTCTAATGCCCCAGGTCGACTTCAGACTGCTGTGCTGGCAGCAAGAATTTCAAGCCAGTGGATCTTAGCTTGCTGGGCTCCGTGGGGGTGGGATCTGCTGAGCTAGACCACTTGGCTCCCTGGCTTCAGCCCCCTTTCCACAGGAGTGAATGGTTGTGTCTCACTGGCATTCCAGGCTCCACTGGAGTATGAAAAAAGCTGCAGCTAGCTCAGTGTCTGCCCAAACAGCCACTCAGTTTTGTGCTTGAAACCCAGGGCCCTGGTGGTGTAGGCACCCAAGGGAATCTCCTGGTCTGCAGGTTGCAAAGACCATGGGAAAAGCATAGTATCTGGGCCGGAATGCACTGTTCCTCATGGCAGAGTCCCTCATGGCTTCCCTTGGCTAGGGGAGGGAGTTCCCTGACCCCTTGTGCTTCCCGAGTGAGGTGACACCCCACCCTGCTTCTGCTTGCCCTCCAGGGGCTGCACCCACTATCTAACCAGTCCCAGTGAGATGAGCTGGGTTCCTCAGATGGAAATGCAGATATCACCTGCCTCCTGCATTGATCTCGTTCATAGCTGCAGACTGGAGCTGTTCCTATTCAGCCATCTCGTGAGCCACCCAATAAATAAAATTAAAAAAAAAGAAAGAAAGAAAAGTTGCTTCTTTTTAAGGCTGAATAGTTAATATTCCATTAATTATCGTACATGTATGTACATGCCAGATTTTGTTTACCCATTCATCCACCAATCGACACTTTCTTTGTTTCCACCTTTTGGCTATTTTGAACAATGCTGCTATGAACATGAATGTATAAATATCTGTTTGAGTACCTGTTTTCGGTTCTTTTGGGTATATACGCAGAAGTGACATTGCTGGGTCATATGGTAATTCTATACCTGATTTTTTGAGGAATCACCATACAATTTCCACAGTGGCTACACTATTTTATATCCCACTTAGCAATACATAAGAGTTCCAAATTCTCTACATCTTCACCAACACTTGTTATTTTTTCACATATAATTGCCATCCTAATGGGTGTGAAGTGGAATCTTGTGGTTTCAATCTGCATTTTCCTAATGATGAGTGACATTGAGCATCTTTCCATGTGCTGTTGGCTATTTGCATATTTTCTTCGGAGAAATGTCTATCAAGTCCTTGCACATTTGTTAATTGGGGTTTTTGTTGCTGCTGAGTTCTTTGGATAGTTTTGGTTTTTCTCTATTATTATGTTCTTAATTTCATTGAGTTATGCTTCATCTTTATTATTTCTTTTCTTCTGCTTGCATTGGGTTTCATTACCGCTTCTTTTCCTAGTTTCTTAAAGTGAAAATTTAGATAAGTTATCCAAGACTTTTTTCTTTTCTAATATAAGCACTTAATGTTATAAATTTCCTCTGTGCACGACTTCAGCTACATCACACAATTTTTTTTTTTTTTTTTTGAGACAGAGTTTCACTCATGTCACCCAGCTGGAGTGCAGTAGCGCAGTCTCGGCTCACTGAAACTTCTGCCTCCTGGGTTCAAGCGATTCTCTTGCCTTAGCCTCCCGAGTAGCTGGAATTACAGGTGCCTGCCACCATGCCCAGCTAATTTTTGTATTTTTAGTAGAGACTAGGTTTCACCTTGTTGGCCAGGCTGGTCATCATACAAATTTTGATATATTGAATTTGGGTTTTTGTTCCATTAGAAGTACTTTAAAATTTCCCTTTTAACTTCTTTTTTACATATGGATTATTTGAAAGTGTATTGTTTATCTTCCACATATTTGGAGATTTTCCAAATATTTTCTGTTATTATTATTCCAGTTTAATTCAGCTGTGGCATAATACATACTTTATATTATTTTTTAAAAAATTTATGGCACAGAATGTAATCTATCTTGGTGAATGTTTCATGTATATTTGAAAATACAAATTTTTCTTTTGATAGTGTTCAATTAGGTTGAGTTTAATTAGGCCACATAAGTCAAATAGGTCTTCTGTAGCCTCACTGATTTGCTATTGACTTGTTCTGTTGACTGAGAAAGGAGCATTGAAATCTCCAACTGTAATTCTGAATCTGTCAATTACTTGTAGTTTTATCAATTTTTGTTTCATGTCTTTCGAAGCTCTGTTGTTAGGTGCATACACATTTAAGATTACTGTCATGTCAGTGAATTGACTCCTTTATTATTATATAATGCTCCACTTTTTCCTGGAAATATTTCTTGTTCTAAAGTCTGCTTTGTCTGATAGCAATAGAACCACTTCAGCTTTCTTTTGATTCGTGTTTTCATGATACCTCTTTTTTCATCCTTTTAACTCATCCTTAAAGTGGGTTTATTGTAGACAGCAAATAATTAGGTCTTTAAAAAAAAAAATACAGCCAGGTGCAGTGCCTCACATCTGTAATCCCAGCACTTTGGGAGGCTGAGGTGGGTGGATCACGAGGTCAGGAGTTCGAGACCAGCCTGGCCAATATGGTAAACCCCGTCTCTACTAAAAATACAAAAATTAGCTGGGCATGGTGGTGTGCGCCTGTAATCCCAGCTACTGGGGCAGCTGAGCCAGCAGAATAGCTTGAACCCAGGAGGCGGAGGTTGCAGTGAGCTGAGATCATGCCACTGCACTCCAGACTGGGTGACAGAGCAAGACTCTGTCTCAAAAAAACAAAAACAAAACAAAACCAACAAAACAGTATGACAAATTTCTTCTTTCAATTTGTAAGTTTAAACTGTTTATAGTTAATGTAATTGCTAATATAGTTGGATTAAATTCACCATCTTGGCCGGGTGTGGCAGCTCACGCCTATAATCCCAGCACTTGGGAGGCTGAGGTGGGCAGATCACTTGAGCCCAGTTCAAGACCAGCCTAGGCAACATGGTGAAACCCCATTTCTACAGAAAAAAAAAAAAAAAAAAAAAAGCTGGGCATGGTGGCACATGCTTGTAGTCCTAGCTACTCGAGAGGCTGAGCCAGGAGAATCACCAGAGACCAGGGAGGTCAAGGTTGCAGTGAGCTGTGATCATGCCACTGCACTCCAGCCTCAGCAACAGAGCGAGACCCTGTCTTAAAAAAGGAAAAAAAAACCCAGCATCTTGCTAGTTGTTTTCTATAGACATTTAAAGTCAGTGCTCATCTTATAATGATTTGTGCATATAGTGATTGCTAGCAAATTTAAATGACACTAAGAACATAAGCCATTTGGGCCATCTTCTAGTTGGTGGGAAGTCAAAATCCTGCTTGGATGGTTATTACAAATAAATAAGGAACATGCTACTATATACTTAAGCCAAAACGTTAGTAAATCTGTTCAGACTGTGAGAAGACAGCAAGGAGTCTAAAGACCTGGGGCTCTGACCCAGCTCTACCCCTTGCTAGCTACAGAGATCTGGGCAAGTTGCCTAATCTTCCTGAGACTCAGTTAAATAGACAAAACAATACCGTCTACAAGCAATTAGAGGAACTATCTCTAAATCTTGGGTACAGTTGAGGAAAAAAAATCTCTTCATTTGGGGAAAGTCCAGAGAAAATGGAATTTCTGAATCTGGATGACAAATGGAATTTCTGAATCTGTTTGATGACTTGTCACAGTAAGCTTGCGAGTATTTTTGTGTACAGGGAGAATAATTAGAATATATGTATAGATCAGTGACTGCTGCAAGGATGCAAATGAGAAACTAGGGACTTCAACTAATGCAGAAGGTTGGAGAAGAGGATTTAATTCAATGGGGCTTGAAGACCAATCGGATGTAGGGAATAGAAAAGAAGTCAAGGACTCCCAAGTTTCAGATTTGGGAAGCTAGGTAAATAGTGGTTACTTTCACTGAGGTATGAAATATAAGAGGACAAGTTGGAGGGGGCTGGTTTATAAATAGAAGGTAATATCAGTTTTAATGTCAGTTGATTTAGAGGTGTCCATAAAACCAAGGTGGAGATGCCAGTAGGTAGTTTGATGGGTGTATTTGGAGTTCAGGAGTAGTCTTCACTAGTCTTGGAAGTCATCGGTGTACAGGTAGAGGCTGGGCCACTGTACACTGACAGTTGGGCCCTGACCTCTCTCTACTCTGAGCTTCCCCAGGACTTGGTGCGTCTTCCGTGGATTCACAGAGGCTGCTCTGCCGCGTGTTCTAGTTATGGATCCGCCATCCCTTGCACCTGAAACTCGAGGGTCGTTGTATTGATCTAGGCCTTGCACAAAGCAACCACACAGCAAATTTCAACTGTTACTACAGTGTCACAACAGAAATAATGGGTTCCTTCTATCACGTCCTGACCCACTCATCACTCTTATGCAGCTTGTAAGCCAAGTTACAAATTCTAGGCAACGCGTAATCTATACACAAGGACTTTCCCTCTCCCTGGTAATGTAAGTCACTCATGGAAAAAGACCTAATTTGAGGAAGCTTGTTTGAGAGCTGGAGACATGCGAGGTAAATCTCCTGTTCTGTTGTCATCAACTAATATTCACCCCTCACATTTCATTGTAAAGACTTTAAGCAATTAGTTAAATTAAACCAGCTGCCCACTAGTGACTCCATTTTGAAGCCCCAGGAGATAGAAAGAGAACCAGCTGGAGATGAGTGTACAGAGAATGAACCTGTTGTTTCCCCACTGCTTTACAAGAAATCCACTGTAATTCTCCACAAAGCTGCTCAACTCCAGGATGTTTAGCATCCAGTTCACAGACCAGAAATACAACTTTGTGGCCCCAACAAAATCTGCAGATCTTGTGGTCTTGGGTGGTTTTTATTTGTTCTTAGATTATGCTCCTCTCCATCTACATGGATGACTGAAAATTCCTTTTATATCTGGCTCTATTTACTTCAGAGTCTCTGTGAGAACCAAATAAGACACTAACCTAGGACAATGAGCTATAAACGTATAAAATATTACTTGCGACTGTTCTTCAAAAAGACAGTTCCTAGCTGGGCATGGTGGCTCATACCTGTAATCCCAGCACTTTGGGAGGCGGAGGCAGGCAGATCGCTTGAGCCTGAGTTTGAGACCAGCCTGGGCAACATAGTGAGACCCCCATCTCTACAAAAAATAGACAAGGTGCGTGCACCTGTAGTCCCAGCTACTCAGGAGGCTGAGACGGGAGGCTCACCTGAGCCTGGAAAGGTCGAGGCTACAATGAGCCATGATCGCACGAGTGCACTCCAGCCTGGGTGACAGATAGAGACCCTCTCTCAAAAGCAAAACAACAACAACAACAACAACAAAAACACAATAGGACAGTTCCCTTAAAAAATCTAGAAGAATGGCCGGGCACAGTAGCTCACACCTGTAATCCCAGCACTTTGGGAGGCCAAGGCAGACAGATCACTTGAGGTCAGGAGTTCAAGACCAGCCTGGCCAACATGGTGAAACCCGTCTCCACTAAAAATACAAAAATTAGCTGGTCATGGTGGAAGGCACCTACAATCCCGGCTACGTGAGTGGCTTGAGTGTGGAGCATTGCTTGAACCTGGGAGGAAGAGGTTGCAGTCAGCCGAGATCGCACCACTGCACCAGCCTGGATGAGTGTGTCTCAAAAGACAAAACAGAAATCTAGAGGGATCAAACTGCATTTCAGCTGATCAGACAATGGACTGCTGGGCTGTCCAAAGGTGAGACAGGCCACTGACAGCATGAGAACCACTGGCCAAGCAGATACTGAATAACCAGCCCCTATGACAATGTGGGAATTAACAGTCTAGAAAATTTAGCTCTAGTCCCACGCTCACAAATCGTACTCATTGGAAGAAAAACCCAAAAGTATACTTACTGGAAAACCTAAGAATAAAAATTTAATCAGTCTGGGCCAGTGGTTCACACCTGTAATCCCAGTACTTTGGGAGGCCAAGGTGGGTGGATCACCTGAGGTCAGGAGTTTGAGATCAGCCTGGTCAACATGGTGAAACCCCATCTCTACTAAAAATACAAAATTAGCTGGGTGTGGTGGCGTGCACCTGTAATCCCAGCTACTCGGGAGGCTGAGGCAGGAGAATTGCTTGAACCTGGGAGGTGGAGGTTGCACTGAGCTGAGATCACGCCATTGCACTCCAGTCTGGGCAACAAGAGCAAAACTCAACAACGACAACAAAAATTAAACTCAAGAGCTATAAACCACACTGCCTTCTTGCAAAGTCCAACTGTAACCCCCAAACTATCCTACTAAACAAGGATAGCACTTTTGTTAATACTACAGTTGACAGACTGAAAATGCAGAAACTAAGATTGAGTTGTAAACATAAAATAGACCACAGATTGCTGAATGAGCTACAAATGCCCATGCCAAACACCACCGTTTTTTTTGTTGAACTCATCTTTGAGGATCTGTTTCTTGAGATCACTCCTGGTTCCAGGTCCTCTATCAGTCAGGAAGACAGACACCAATGCGGGATATCTAAACAGAAGGATTTAATACAGGGGACTACATGGTTGTTCAAATGCTAAACCAATGAAGTGAAGGAAGCAGCTACCAACCCTAGGGCCCTGGGGGCAAAAAGGGGAGGGCACTGCCACAACTCAGGAGCTCAGAGGAAGGACCCCTGCAAGACTGGGTCCAAGCTTCTGAGGAGGGGAGTGCAGACTCGGAGGAGCAGGACCCTGGGGGGCAGAGGGACTGCTGAGGGTACAGTCCAGCAGGGGCTGGAATGACCCAGCTGGCAGGACACTGAGAAGCCCAGATGCCACTGGTACCTCTGACAGGGCACAGTGAGGTTGGAGCCAGGGGTCCCGCAGGAAGCTGGAGGCTAGAGCTGGTGGTCTGTTGTTGCTCCAGGGAGGCTGATGGGAACGGAAAAATGGCAAGCAAGCCCCTTCTTCCCTCCTGCCAACTTCTAGCTCTCCATCAGCAGATTTTAACAGGAAGAGCAAGAGGGTTTGGCAAATATAGTTGGGAGTCCCAACCCCAGCATCACAGAGCAGAACACAGAAGGGCAGGGTGGGAGGTGAGGGTAGGTAAATCACCAGCAGTCGTAATCGACTGTGGCTGATAAAGGCATATACACGAACTAAAAATCTTTTCTGGAGGACACGACAATCCAGTTTGCTACAGCTCAGTGGCACTAAAGAAGTCCCTGCACACTGCTGTGCTGCCATCGCCACCGTCCATCTTCCCCAGCTGAAACTCTGCACCCAGAAACAATGCTTCATCCCCTCTCCCGCCCTCCTGGGAACCACCATTCTACGTCATCTCTATGAATCTGGGTGCTCCATATACCTCATGTAAGTGGAATCAGGCAGTATCAGTCCTTCTGGGCCTGCTTATTTCACTCAGCGTAATGTCTTCAAGATTCATCCGCGCTGCACATGTGACAGCATTTCCTTTCTTTTTAAGGATGAATATCCCATTGTTTGTAGAACACACATTTTGTTTATCCATTATTTTGCTGATGGACATTGGGGCGGTTTCCACCTTTCGGCTCTCGTGAACAATGCTGCCGTGGGCACTGGTGTACAAGTACCTGTTTGAGTCTCTGCTTTCGATCTTTTAGATATAAACCTAGAAGTCAAATTGCTGGATCATATGGTAGCTCTATGTTCAGCCCTTTGAGAAAACATCAAACTCTTTTCCCCAGTGGAGGACTATGCTTTTCCTGTCTAAACACTCAAAAGGATTAAGCTGTGGAGCTCATGGAGAATACTGTCATATATACAATTTATAATTGGATAAATAAATATGGCAACTCAACTTCATTCATAAATACAAAATTTTATTTGCACTTCATTAGTGTAGAAAGACCACAATGCTTTTCATACCACAACACTCAAGACACACCAAGTTATTCAAATACATAATTACTTAATTACCTTGACTAAACAAAACAGTGCAGTTTAATAAAAGATATACCAAAGATAGAGTTCACAAATTCATCATCAGACCAAAAAAAAAAAAAAAAAAAAAAAAAAAAAAAAAAAAAAAAAAAAAGAACACAGTCTAGGCTTAATCAGAATAAGCTTCACCGTAAAGAAGGGGGAAGTTTTATCATTACAAAGGTACAGAGTGTTTAGGCAAATACACGTATGTTCTTTGATATAGTAAAATGCATCTCTTTAAAATTCCTTTAAACAGGATTTGTTTAGGACAGCAGCGTGTTTTAAAATCTTTTTCTATAGTTTCAAAAACATTTCTTTCTTTATTGAATCTTTGTAGTTCTTAAAAGCATAAAGGTACATCCCTTAGGAAGCCATGAGAGAGATTCTGTGGCCTTAGGACCAAGTCAAATCCAACCCTCTAACTAGTAATATTCTACCATTATGTAACATTAATAAATAACCTTCCATGACGGCCATGAATGGAGCTTTGCTTCGTGGCAGAAACACTCCAATACTTCAGATGCTACCACTGGGGGAAATGTCTTGTAAATAAAGAAAAAGCACTTAAGATAGCTTTTTTTCAAAAAGTCTTTAGTTTTACAAATTTTCTTTAAAACGGTAAGCAAAGCACCACGTTCTCTCTTATCAGAATATCTTCTGTCCTCATAATATAATTAATAAGGACAATTATATTATTTATTTCAAGAAACATTATACCTTTCATTTCTCCCATTCTTCATATTAGAAGTACTAGGTTTCCCAGTGTATGTACACTAGACACTGGGGTAATGAATGAAATATAATAATTTGGAGGGAAATAGGTAACTTATAACCAAAACTTACCCAGGATTGCATATATGCATATTTACAAGTTAGTGTATAGCTCTGACTTGGATTACAAAGTGCGAAAGGAAATTGTCAAAATGATTGTAGTGCAGAATAGAACGTTTTTTCCCCTTTCCAGGAATCATTTCCACTTTGTCTCCAAAGTAGGAAATCAACAGCATCGGACATGTGGTCTTGGTGGAGGCAGTTCTGGCGGTATCTCAGGCTCTGGTTGTAACGACAGGATACTATTGGACAACTCATTCCTTAAAATATCCAGAGGCATCTAACGTATAAACAAACAAAAAAAAATCCGTTTTAACTTTACAAGGTACACATACAGCTGACCCTTGAACATGAGTTTCAACTGCACAGGTCCACTTATACACAGCTGCTTTTCAATACAAGTTTCACCTGCCTCTCCTGCCTCCCCACTCACCTTCTCCTCCGCCTCTGCCACCCGGAAGAGACAGCAAGACCAATCCCTCCTCCTCCTCCTCCTCCTCAGCCTACTCAATGTGAAGATGACACAGATGAAGACCTTTATGATGATCCACTTCCACTAATGAATAGTAAATATATTTTCTCTTCCTTATGATTTTCTTAATAACATTTTCTTTTCTCTAGCTTACTTTAAGAACATGGTATAAAATACGTATAACATACAACCTATGTGTTAAGTGACTGTTTATGTTATCAGTAAGGCTTCCAGTCAGTGATAGGCTTTTAGTCGTTAAGTTTTTAGGGAGTCAAGTTATACTCAGATTTCTGACTGTTTAGGGGGTCAGCACCTCTAGCCCCCTTGTTGTTCAAGGGTCAACTGTAAATGCTTTCCAAATTATACAATTATATAAAAAAAAGTATTATTATTGAAAGTCCTCCGATCGTTAAAGATCAATTAGACATTAAAATATTAAGCCAAAAAAAGCCATGTTCAAGACACTTCATATCACAACATGAACAATGCCCAGCCTGCTTAATACCCTATGGTAGAAGAGAACAGATCAACCTCATAAACATATATTTTCACAGAACCAGGCAAAATAAAAATACATTAATAAATTTTAAAAATGGTCTGCATTCCAAGGAGTTGCATACTTACTAAAGACAGACATAACCTACCTTGGCAATTATATAAACTTTTTTTTTTTTTTTTAAATAGAGACAGTGTCTCATTCTGTCACCCAGGCTGGAGTGTAGATACGATCATAGCTCACTGTATCAAATTCCTCAAATTCCTGGGCTCAAGCAATCCTCCTGCATCAGCCTGGGTAGCTGGGATTACTACAACCAGGTACATGCCACTACACCTTGCTAATTTTTAAATTTTTTTTGTAGAGATGGGGCTTCACTGTGTTGCCCAGTCTGGTCTTGAACTCCTGGCCTCAAGTGATCCTCCCACCTTGACTTTCCAAAGTGCTGGGATTATAGGTGTGAGCTACCACACCCAGCCTAAACAATTACTTTATTAGAAGCTTCTGAATTATGTATGAACTGAGCAAATTTCACTTAATAACATAAACTTCAGTTCTTATTAACAATTTTTGAATGTAAGCCTAAAGATGCCTGAAGAAACTGCTGCTGCTCAATGAAGCTGTCTAGCAATTTTCTTGCAACTCAGCATCATGGAAAGGTCTCTGTAAGGAAGTGGCTCCCACCAGGGAGCAGAACAGGAAGGGATGCAAGCGCAGCACCACGGGGCTCTCTTTTCCGCTAAGACACCTGCAGACTTGGCTAGGTCTCCAACTGAATTCTCACAGAAAAACGGGGGTGGGAAAACAAGCAAATGTCAAATAAACACAGCATATTGCTACACCCTGTTAAGTCTACCCTGCTGTATCTTAAGGCGAAGCAAGTATGCCATATACCAACCCCAAGGACACCAGAAGCCCCTGGGTGGGAAACGGCTACAGCAGGCCGGGTGCCTGTGGCTGAGTTAACAACCATACCTGGTTCTTGCGCCTGAGCACAACTACTGTATTTTGGTTTCTAAATACAAAATTCTCAATAAAAAAGCAATAAAGGAAACAACAGGTTTCAGATGATATACTTTTATAATGTAGATTCTTTTTTTTACCTTTTTCAGAATGTCATCGACAAGTTTCAAAAATATCTCGTCCACATTGAAGTTATCCTTGGCACTTGCTTCACAGAACCGCATCCCAGTGATCTGCTGTGCAAACTGAGAAGAAACACACACCTATTTCCTCTGTGTGGGGCCTCACAGACCAGCGTGCGAGCATGAGGTCTCTGGGCTCAGCTTCAAGGGAAGGGCTGGGATTAAGGGGTAGAAAGTCCCACTGACGCTCAAAGATAAAGTTCACAAGTGTAGCAAATTCTTACATTATAAGCAACTAGCAAAACAAAAGACAATAAAAATCCTGAAGGTGATGCCGGGACCTTCCAGTCAAATCAGTTGCCTAAGTTTCTAAAAGTGTAACATATCTGACATTTAAATGTGAATAGCATCGTTTCTCCATGATTCAATCCTTAGCAAAAACCAAGGAAGTTTAAAGTACGTTAAAGTAAATTATAAAAGCAACTTTATGGCTTAAAATATGTTTCTCTGTATAAAATGTCAGGTTAGATAATAATGTTGTATACACTGATGTGTTTTTTTCTCCCTCCATTTCAGAATGAATTTAAAGGAGCACGAAGTCAAAAAAGTGCAAACAAATTAGGAGGATGTGACTGAGTTATCACTGTATTGATAATTTCTTTGTAATTTTTAAAATAAGTAATTTATTAAAAGAAACAGTACCTCAAGCGCTAAGCACAGTGTGTGGCAACCGTGCCTCCCACGCCCTCTCACCTTTTCCCCCTGCTGCCTGGTGATTTCTCTGTCCGTTTCACAGTCCAACTTATTTCCAACTAAGAGAAGCTCTGCATCTTCTGAAGCATACTGTGGAATTTTAAAAGAAGCCACATTTCAAAGATGGGCATCGCCATATACTGACAGCAGAAATATAAACCGATACAGTATTTTTCGCTAATTTACATTTGTCCATTCACTTCCACTGTCTTTGAGGTTCTACCAGTTCCCAGGCAGGACTGGGCAGCAGTGCAAGGCAGGGCTCACTGTGTCTTAGAAAGAACTAGGGCACAGGCATTAAGAACCACAATGCTCTTGGCTGTTGACCCAACAATTCCCAAGACCTCTTCCTAAGGAAATGATTCAACATACAGGCAAAGCTCTACACTCAAAATGGTTATCAACTGAAAAACCTACAAGTCAAACAAAATGGCTCAAGAATCAAGTTATTTTAAAAACACAGGCATTTAAAAAAACACACGCTTCAGAAGAACAGAGAATGACACAGGAAGGACTCCATGACAGAATATTCACAAAATAAGCAAGACGTAAAGCTAAATACAGTGAAGCCAATTTGGTTTTTCAGGATGCCAGAGGTACAGATTTCTTCTTTACTTTTGTGCTTTTCTTCATTTTCCAAATTTCTATAATGAAGGTATCATTAATTTTATAACCAGGAAAAAAGTTAAGCTACATTTCTAAGTTTAAAAATACATATAGGTACAATGAGATTTCTGTCTTTAAAAATGAGGTTAAAATCTCTTGAGCAACTAACTTGTCGTTCTAAAAAGTTACTTGAAACAGACTGCAACAAAAGGAACCTGAATGGTGTGGCCGTGGGCCAGTTACGCAGCCAGGTGAGGAGTGCCGGCCCCTTATCAGGGAGGTGTGGGTAACAGTGACAGCACCCACCGCAGGGCTGGGGCAATGGGCCCCGCACTCAGGAAATGATGCTCTCACTCAAGTAAGGTGAAAAGCAGCAGTTGATGACAAAAGGAAGACAGCATCAGACCTCAAGACCTGGGTGGGCACAGACTCACAAACTCAAGTACCAAATGGGGTAGGATTTAGGCCATTTCTTTTGGTTTTGTATTCATCCTATTAGTTCTAAAAGTTTTAGACTATGAGGACTGTCCACTTCTAATTTCCACAGGATTGCACTCTGTGACTTCCGTATCAGGGAACATCAGTATCCACTGATGTGCCAATGGAGGGCCTGGTATGACTGATGCCCAGTGCAGAGCAGGCTGGGGCAGGGGCCCCGCCTCAGGTCTGATCCAACCTTGCAACCCTGATCCTAACAACTTTTTTTTTTAATGAAAAAAAAAAAAAAAAAAAAGAGAGAGAGAGAGATGGAGTCCCACTATGTTGCCCAGGCTGGTCTCGACCTCCTGGGTTCAAGTGATCCTCTTGCTTTGGCCTTCCAAAGTGCTGGGATTACAGGTGTGAGTCACCATGCCTGGCCACCAATCCTAACACATTTTAAAGAGGCATACATCATCAATGACATGCTTGGTAAAGCTGGCAAACATTCTCCAATGTTATCTAGCAGACAGGTTTAAATGCAATGTGTAGATAAAATCCAATTTATATTGCATATGCTTGTTATGCAAAGGAACTAAACATGAAACTACTGCACGAGGGGAAGAAAACTCAAAATGTGGTCAATGGTATATCATCACATCCCACTCCCAACTGCTCTGCCTTCTAAATGTGTATTTGGGAACATGTTTCTTAGCGGAGAACCCACGGTTCACATTAACCACAGGGACACAGCCTATCTGTATGATTCCATCACGAGCCAAAGGAGAACTCGAGCTCCTCTTGCTCAAAATGAGGAGCTAAAGGGCATCTATAATTGCGAGGACAGATGTCCAGTGGGTGACGGAGGCGCGTGGGACATCCGCAGGCACCGTGGAGAAGGCCATCTCCTCAAGGTTGTCACTCAGTGGACGTGCATGAGATGAGTGTCCAGGTGACCTTTCCGCAGAAATGAAATGTCTTATATCTATTCCATGAAAGCAGCTGGATGTAGTGGAATGAGCATGTTTGGCCTCTGTAGTTGAGACAGTCCAGGATACCAGACGAAAAATCCTGATTCTGGATAAATTTAATTCTTCTTTGCCTCATCCACAATACAGGACTACATCCCTATCCCGAAGGCTATATATGGGCTAAATGATGTTTAGTCTATATGAAAACATGCTCAATACATGTGTTTCCCCTCCTTCTTTTAATAATGATTAAGACTCACAAGCAGAGAGTTCACATTGGACAGAAAAATGCAACATTTACCTTATCAATCATCTTCATCCATTTCGGCAAATCATCAAATGTCTCCTTCTTAGTGATATCATATACTAATATGATCCCCTTGGCACTTCTGTAATAAGCTGAGGTAATGCTGTTGAATCTCTCCTGACCTGCTGTGTCCCTAAGAAAAAGCAGCCAAAGTCAGTTCCCAAATAATGCCCAAAGTGAGCACCATCACATTCCAATGCAAACATAGATTATATGCTGCAGTTTTTCTGCGAAAAAAGAACGAGAGTAACCCCTATTTCCCTTTGACCTGATGACCACACTTAAAGAAAGTAGGAAAAATTTAGGTTGACTAAAACTATGACATAGAAAATACCTTTATATTTAACAACTAAATTAGATTAATGGAGATGGATTATGAACCAAGATCAACATACTCTCCTGAATAACTTTTTCCCTCAAGACAGAAAATCAGCAACAGGAATGCTAATATAACATCAAAATATATGATGTTTTCCTAAAATAAAATGGGGGAAAAGTTTTTAAAATACAGAGTTTCCAAACAATCAATCCCTAAGAATTCACATTGTAGGTGATTTACAAAACCATTTGTCATACCCAAGAGCAACAATGCCACACAAGAAACACACACTTGATACACATGCATGACCCACTCCCCGCTCACACACACAATAAATGGTGGGCATCCTAGGATTGTGAAAATGAATGCCCTCCAAGCCACAAAGAATTCATTTCTCAGAGCTCACTAACCACCACCTAGAGTGCTGGGGGCAGGCGTGGGGCACATGTGGCAGCTTACGATGACCACTTCAGGAAGAAAAGAAGATCCACAGTTACAACCCTAGCAGGCACAGTCAGGCCAGCAGCACTGAGTCTGTGGAGACAAGCAGAGCCAGCTCTTGAGAATGCCTCTGTCTGGGTCCGGCCACTGGAAGCTCCTCAAGTCTGCACTGACATCCGTGCACAGCCACTACTGTCAGCCACAGTAGCTTTTCTGAACAAGTTACACTCAAACAAAAACATCAATAAGTCCCAATTACTTTTTTTTTTTTTTTTTTTTGGAGACAGAGTCTAGCTCTGTCACCCAGGCTGGAATGCAATCAGTGACATGATCTTGGTTCACTGCAACCTCTGCCTCCCGAGTTCAAGCGATTCTCCTGCCTCAGCCTCCCGACAACCTGGGATTACAGGCATGCGCCACCATGCCTGGCTAATATATTTTTAGTAGAGACAGGGTTTCACCATGTCGGCCAGGCTGGTCTCAAACTCCTGACCTCATGTGATCCACCTGCCTTGGCCTCCCAAAGTGCTGGAATTACAGGTGTAAGCTACCAGCCCAGCCTCCAATTACTTTCAAACCAAGATTTTGAAAATTAGAAAACAAGAATTTTCATAGCAGAAAAGATCTGAAAATCCTTTACAGAGTAAAACTTTTAATTTTTTTTTCAAATGAAATATCTTTCCAGAGTGAAATTTTGTGCAGAAATGAAGCATGAAAGTAATTTTTTATTTCTTACCTCATACCTGAAGGATTAATGTTAGCCAACATTAGCTTTGTAATCAATGTGCTGACCTTCTAGAATAAATCATAAGGGTACAAGGAAATTTAATACTCTAAATTATAGATGTGCACTTGACCATATTTCTTCCCCTTACAAAACCATAACTTCTGTTCTAGAAGGTTCTGAGTCCCCAATCTACTACACTCAGAGGGAAACAGACATGGAGGGAGCCCGAGGAACAGTGAAGATGTGCTGGGAACCGGGCAGTGGGCTTTTTCCCAATTTTCTCAGCAGCACTGGCTCAAAGGCTCCCTGGCTTGGATGACAGCCGTATCTGAGCCGCTCTGCAGCCAGCAGGGCAGTAGTGGGCAGAGTCTCATGGCACCCGGGCACTATTCTTGGCCCCATGACTTGGCTTCTTGGAAAACTCAACCTCTCTGAGCTGAGCTCTGTTTCCTCCTGTGTAAAATGGTGGAAGCTGTAACACCTCTATGGTAGGCTGTTATCAACAACATGAAAATGTAGGACAATTGACACTATTTAAGTCTACAACTCTCCTTTAACTGACATTGATTGTTAATATCTGGTTTTGTTGAAAAGATGACCAATAGTCCCACACTTATGAAAAATGCTGTAGAATTAGCCTTGTTAGGCCGGGCGCAGTGGCTCATGCCTGTAATCCCAGCAATTTGTGAAGCTGAGGTGGGCAAGTCACCTGAGGCCACGAGTTCAAGACCAGCCTGGCCAACATGGTGAAACCCCCGTCTCTACTAAAAATATAAAACTTAGCTAGGCATGATGGCAGATGCCTGTAATCTCAGCTACTCAGAAGGCTGAGGCAGGAGAATTGCTTGAGCCTGCGAGGCAGAGGTTGCAGTTAACTGCAATCGCGCCACTGCACTGCAGCCTAGGGGACAGAGAGCAAGACTCCATCTCAAAAAACAAAAACAAAAACAAAAACAAACCAGAATTGGCTTTGTTATTTTCTTAACCCTAGACAGAATAGGTGGTCAAAGGAAAAGGGAGGAGAGATACCAGATAGGTTTGCAAATATGGTAAAGTTCATTATTACCCAACTGCTCCTTTGAAATCTAAAAGCGTTCTTTTTTCTCCAGGCTGACACTGGCCACATCCACATGAAGAATGTAAGCACATCAATCAGTACAGATGCCAGCTGAGCCCTGTTTCTCCTTTTTAAACCAAATATAAAATTTGAAGTCCTCCCACAACCATCTGAATGGACCTCCCCTTCGGCCAGGGCACTCTAAAATTTAACCTGAAAGGCTGGTGCTGGCCATGATGAGCAGTGGGGGTCAGACATTCCTCACTCTACCCTCCAGCATGAACATGAACACACACTTTAAGTCTGGTAAGAAACGTTTAGTCTCTTCTCTCTGAAGCCAGCTACTTAGAGGCTCATCTACATGATAAAACCTAGGTCTCCACAACCCCTTATAGTAACCCAGACATTGCTTTCTATAGATAATAACTCTTTCAACCAACTGCTAATCAGAATATGTTTAAATCTACCTATGACCTGGAAGCCCCAGCCCCTTTGAGCTGTCTCACCTGTCCAGATCAAACCAGTGTAAATCTTACATGTATTGATTGATGTATTATGTCTCCTTAAAATGTACAAAAGCAAAGTGTACTCTTGACCACTTTGGGCACAGGTTGTCAGGACCACCTGATGCTGTGTCATAGGTGTGTCCTTAGCCCTGGCAAAATAAACTCTCTAAATTGATTGAGACCTGTCTCAGATACTTTTTGGTTTATATCTTATATTATGATAAGCCTAGAAACTGAGAACCACTGCAAATTTCTAATTCCAATAAGGCTCAATGGAGAAGGCTTCCAATCAGGAAGGACTAACACTTGCAAAGCGATTTCTTTAAAGACCATCTATGATTTAGCTTTACCCAAAGAACCCCAACCAAGTGCGCCACAGTGGAGTAAGCTGGGGGGCAACAGGCTCTTCCATGCAAGGCCACCAGAGCCTCTCACCACACAGCAGGGAGTTCCTGAAAGGGGAGGAGAACACTTCCCTTAGGCACCTGTGGGACTGGGTCCCTAGAAACACCCCTTGGCCATGCTGTTACAATTTCTGGTTTCCTTCAGAGGAGACCTGCCACCAAATTAGTTCACATCAGTGATGCCTTATTGTCAAACAAGCACGAAAGCTCACTGGCAAATTCATTTCCACATAAAGTGAAGCCATTTGCTTTGCCTCAGAGGATATGAGGATCCCCTGCTGCCCTGACTGGAAGGTGAGGAGGGCAGAGGTGGGTATGTTTCTGTCTACCCAGGTCCTGCAGTACACGATCAGTAGACATGCGCTGGTAACATGTTTAAAAATTAGAAAGTTGATGCCACATCAGGCAAGGCAAAGAAACTTCATCTTTTGGCCTCAGAACTGCAAAAACAAAAAAGGAAATCTGAAGAATATGATAGACGAAGACTGAATTCTTCAGGATTTCTAAAAGCAACTTAAAGACCACACTAATAGTCACCTTCAAGGTGGCTGAGAAGGAACAGAGTTAGATACCATTTGGTTTCCATAAAGAGTCAATGAATAAAATTATTTCTCTAATCCTAGGCATTTAGGGGTATACTTTACTACTTCCAAACCAATAAAGAGTTAAATCTTTCAGAGGATGGTTTACCATCCTCCCAAGTTATGGCTTGTCTAAATTAGGATTCAATCAAATGTTTTTAATGTTGAAAAATATTCTGTGCTATTTGAGTACTGTTACAAAACATTCCCCATTTCTTTAAAAAGTTAAAAATAATAAGCATTTTTTCTACTCTGAAATCAGTGGTTAACACAATATCGCTGAACCACAAATTTAAATAACAATCAGATTTAAGGTCTTCAATAAGCATTTTAGGAATTACATACTTTAATAAACTTTTATTCTAGGTAATTTTAATCTGGTTTTCAGTATAAGTCAACTCACATGCACTTCCATTCACATTCAATGACTTAAGAATCCAGAAACTGGAGGCACAAAACCAGAGAAATTACAGATAATAGGAGTTTTAATAAAAACAATCAAAGAACAGGGATAGTAAAAGGCAATTTTGATGTAGCTTAAAATGTTTTTGCATGAATAGCATACTCAGGAATCTTAGAAACATTAAGAAGCTCACCATTAAGAAGTCAGCTGCCTCTACTGACTTTAAGTCCAATGTAAAGAAAGAGGATAGAAACCTCAAAATTCAAAACCTGAGGCAATCGTCCTAACGCAAATGAGCAAACTGATTTAGTTGACAAAAATCCCAATGAGGAAACATGAACTAGTTCAGCACTCCCCATTTAAGCCCATTCCTTAAATGCCACTGTTTGGGCCTGGCTCTGAAGGCTGGGGGTAGAAAAGCATGTTTCTTTGAGAGACGATTCCACACTCCCAAAATATTTGGGTTGAGAAAGCTTTTATTTTCTATTCCTCTCAAAAGTGCCTTTGCTTGATTTATTTCCCTTACATACTAAATTATCTACTATCAGGTACGGCCAAAGAATAATAAATGAAATGTTGATTCCATTCAGCAAGTATTTCTTAAATATCTACCGTGTGCCAGCACCATAAAAATCCCACACAAATCTCTCCTTTTCAGAAAATTAGATTACATCAATGCACTGATCATGCTTTCACCTTTCTATGAAAAGGCAGAATCCTAATATTTCCCTCTTTTTCCCCATAAACTTGAGTTTTCACTGTAATGATAAGGTGCGGATTTCTAGAGGTTTGCAAGTTATGAACGTCAGCTCAATCATCGTTTACTACAGTTAGCATGCCACCTTATTCTGATTTTTCTATCTGGTTTTTGTGCAATTGAAAAATTCCTGCAATTCTGTTTTCCCAGTTTGGTGATACAACAACGCTTGGAGAATTCAAAGCCTCTTATTTGCTGTATTTAATATAGCCACTTAAATTATTTAATTACTAATTTTCAGGGCACACGCCAATATAGGGTATGAAATATTCCCCCTCTTCCAAGCAGAGAACAAAAGGAATGATGCTGACCTAAGAACGCTGGTTAAAACAAAGTCCCCCAACAGTGGACTGGTCCGACAGGCAGAACAAAGGGCCCTTATATGAAGCATTTCAATTCTGTGTTTGCCTAAAGGTAAGAGGCAAATTTCACGGCTTCAAGTCCATTTCAACACAACTCCAAGTTCACTGTAAATAATTTCTAGGACACCATTTGGATATAAATTCATCAAACTACATCCTAGTCAACATGTTTTATTTTAGCTACTTACATAAAGTTCTAACATTCATGTAGAAATACTTTAAAGTACAGAGAAGAGAAAAATGGTCCTTTTTCTGACCACAGGTAATCAACAAACTGAAATATGTGGCAATGACATAAAACGTGACGTAAAAATGTAACAGACACCTGCAGCTTTTGGTACTTTTAGCTTTTAGGAATCTATAGTAAATAATGCACTTCTTCCAACAAGATCCTCCTATGAAAACCGAATGGCAATGCTTTCATGCCAGTCTAGAAAATCGGAGCAGAGCTATCTATTATTAGCATAGCACAATCCACTGCGCCTCCTTGAGGGACCGTTTCCAGCTACACAGGCGCCTTCTATGCCCTCAATGGATGAGAGTGAAACGACGACAACACGCCCACAACAAAGCAGGTTACACCAGCAGCAGCACAAGGGCTGTGCCTCACTCCTAAAGAAGCCACGCATTACTTTAAAACAGTAATACAAATTACAATCATGATTCTAACACTTCCTTTTTACCTGCTGCATAGCAATAATGAAGGAAAAGGTTTTCATCTTTTAAATAAAATATTTCAGAAGATAAAAATCTTATTTTGAGTATTATGTGATCAACAAAATGGCTGGCCTGTAGTAGATATATGAGTCACTGTTCAAAACCTTCCTGCAGGAAAAGAGTCACTGGAATATTCCATGTAGAAAACTTGCAATCAACCATTCCGTAAGTCCAATCCATTTCATTCTTCCTCCCTTAGTTACGCTCTTTGCCCATGCTGTACAGCTGCACAGATTTAGAGAATGAAAAAGTAGTAAAGAGTCAAGGGAGAATCAGGAGAGGGAGAGGGGTCATTTGGAGAATGCTTTCATATACAAGAGAAAAATGGTTTCTGAGTGCCCGCTGCTCTTCGTGGAGCCACAGTATCTCACTTTCTCCCCGAGGGGGATTCCATCAGGTAGGGCCCTCTTATCTCAGAGTCAAGGACATTGTAGTCAGATTCCAGGAGTGTACAATGTCACCAGCATAGACTTAGTGGGCAGAGCTCCAGGGAGGCACCAGGACATTTGGACATACTTTATAAATCATTTGGACATACTTTATAAAGAATACTGCCGCCAAAGATGAAGATGGAAGTATTAATGCATTAATTAAGACATGTGCCACAGTCATCAGGCATGGCTGTCACCAAGGCAGGCGTCACACATTCTAATAATGTTTACATCACTTTTGTGGGGCAATATTCTCATCAGAAAGTACCTCACACAGGTACTAGGAACAGAGAGAGGCATATCCCAAATCCTTGTGAAGATGGTCTTTACCTTATAGAGCTTATAATTAGAAACAGCAGCTTGTGTGCCAAACACTTTGTTGCCATTTCCAGCGTTTAAAAGCTGGGCAGCAATGCACAAAAAGTCTGCGGGACTAGCACAGGAAGAAATATCTATTTGTTGTTTATTCAAGTATTTAGACAAGACCTAATGTTTCATAATCAAGCCAAAAATGAAAATATGCAGACCAAATGCACAACAGAAAAGAAAACGAACAAAAACCCAAATCAAAAAATCTTAGAAGTGTGTTATACAGTGAAGGGTGACCAAATGAAGATATTACCTCAGACACCTCCAGAAGGCAGGCACTGCGGCTTGGCTGCAGCTGCGGCCCAGACAGGGACACGGATGAAGAATGAAGACATGGCACTAACATTCAAGCATTAGGTGACCGATGATGCCACAGATGAAGCAGCAATTAACGCAGATGAAAGCAAACACACACATGGTGGACAAACAATCAGAGCTGAGGGTGACCTGCCAAGAGGAGTTAGTAAGCTGAGTACACCGCAGCTGTAGCATTCAAAACAAAACGGCATTCTCAGAGCACCTCAATGGGGCTACTTTTAAGCCACCGCCAGACCACCAGACCAGATCTTATCCCTTCTTCCACAGACAGGTCGCTAGCACCTGCGGGCTGTTAACAGGTTAATAGCTAACAGAAAGCTCTTAGTGCTGAGTGCAGTTATAACACAGCTGGTTGAGTCTCTCATTCCAATTGTGATTTGAGAAAGGGGCCTGGATTCATTTCTAGTAGGCATTAGTGGGGGCTCACATCCCGTGGAATCAGCAGTACAGCCGGAAGGAGTATGCCCACCCGCAGTAATAGTCACATTGTGCCACCAAGAAGCTCTGGAACTGTCTGCAGGGGACCTGCCTTCAGATTGTGCAAATCTGGTTATGAACATATTGGGCTTTCTTTGAATACTATCATACAAAATAAAGACATGAAGACAAACATTTGAGCAATCATTTTAGTGGAGACAGTTTTGATATCACGTAAATAATTTGAAAATAGAGGCAAAAAGGTTCCAAACTAGCTACCATTAAAGTAACATTCTTCTGTCCACAACTGCTCCCCATGTGCAAGTGGCATATAACATAACAGCCTTATCTAAATTCTCTCTCTTGATGGAAACACTGTCCATTTAATTTTAAAATGAGCAAAAGAGGAGAAAGTAGGAGAGGCAAATCAGCTCAAACAGTTCATTTTATTAGACAAGTACATGGACTGTTAAACACACACAGCACATTACTGGGTGCACACTCTCCCACTTACCAGATCTGTAATCTAATTTTCTTTCCTCTTAGCTCTACAGTTTTGATTTTGAAGTCAACACCTGTAAATAAAACAAATAAATGTGAAGCAAAAACAACAAAGATGCAATTTGTCATACAAAATAATCCTATTTGTGTATTTTGTTATCATTATCAGAAAAAAAGAAAACCCCACGAAACCTGACATCACTTAATTCCAAGGAAAAGCAGTATCTGCACCAGTGTCTATAACCTCCCATCTCTCACGCTTCAGTCCACACTGGGAAGGTCAGCCCATGTTATGTCTTATCCTGAGTGATCGGTCTAGTATTTGCTGTTCATAACACAACTTATAACTACCACAGTTCAGCATAGAAACCAGTTTAAAATTACATTTAATAACTACATCAACAAATAAGTGGCTTTAAAAGGATGTTTTCTCAGGGAAAATTCTTATATGGAACACTGGAAACTTAATCAAACTTAATCAACTTTAGTCAAATAGCCTTAGTCTGAATTTAGAAATTATTGTACTAAAAATTTCAGTACTCATGAAAATTTTAGGTAAATATAAACATAACATTATATGATCAACAGTGAGAAGATTTTAAAATTTACTCTTACACAAATTAACATACCCAACTTTAATTTTTATTCATTTTAATATTACTAAGCAAACCATCATGTATATTTCCTTTTCAATTTAGCCTGTAAAGCTTCAGATATATTTTTAAAACCAAGTTTTCATTTGTGTATGCTACCTTATATGCCTTCCAGTTATACAAAATGTAAATATTTCACAACAATATTTTATTACACAATTTTCATAACTAAGGGAAACAAAAGGGATGCTGGCTGAATTTAGAATTAGAGGCACCTTCCCTACAGGAACGACTTCCTGACAGCTTCCTTGGGACCCAGGGTGTAGACGATCCCAGCTCCCCGGGCCAGCAGGTGCCCATGTTTGTGAGTGGTATGGTGGCTGCAGAGGGCAAGGCCCTGGCCATGCCCCTGACTGCCCGTCTCTGGGCACCAATGAGGTGCTGCAGTCAGATGAGGCTCTTGAGGGGAAGTGGAAGACATGTGACCGATTTTTATAATTAGTAACACTGTGGACACCAATGCCACACAAAAGGCATGTTTACAGCCCTGGGGCAGGGTGTGGCCAGGGAGGCAGCCCTCCTGCCCTAGGAGAGAAGTTGCATGAATATAAAATGTCACAAGAAAACAAAGCTAGAGAGCACTACTCCATGTCAATTCTTAACCTCTCACATAACACATAATTTCAGATGTCCCTGAAGGAAAGCTACTTAATTCAATTTCACTTTCAGTTCTGGAAATGATTTGCTTTCCAAAGTCAAAGGAAGCTCAGACACTGCCTTGACCCAGGAAGCAGGTTCTGCATGATGGAGAACTTGAAGACAGTGGCTTAACACTCAGCTGCAAGGAAACTGCAATTTCAAGTGACACTACACAAGACGCACAAAATAGCGCAGATATTTGCTATCTGGTTTAAAGCAGCACAGTTTAATGACAAAACACTGTCTTCATATTAATGTAGAGTTAGGATTTCACTGCTGCCATGCTACTCTGTGATGGAATTTACTAATCAAATGCATAATCTGTGATGACTACTATTCTATTGTTGCGGGAAGTCAGGGACCCCAAACGGAGGGACCAGCTGAAGCCATGGCAGAAGAACGTGGATTGTGAAGATTTCATGGACATTTATTAGTTCCCCAAATTAATACTTTTATAATTTCTTATGCCTGTCTTTACTGCAATCTCTAAACATAAATTGTGAAGATTCCATCGACACTTATCACTTCCCCAATCAATACCCTTGTGATTTCCTATGCCTGTCTTTACTTTAATCTCTTAATCCTGTCATCTTGTAAGCCGAGGAGGATGTATGTTGCCTCAGGACCATGTGATAATTGTGTTAACTGCACAAATTGTAGAGCATGTGTGTTTAAACAACATGAAATCTGGGCACCTTGAAAAAGAACAGGATAACAGCAATGTTCAGGGAACAAGAGAGATCACCTTAAACTCTGACAGCTGGTGAGCCGGGCGGAACAGAGCCATATTTCTCCTCTTTCAAAAGCAAATGGGAGAAATATCGCTGAATTCTTTTTCTCAGCAAGGAACATCCCTGGGAAAGAGAATACTCGCCTGGGGGTAGGTCTACGGGGTGGCGGGGGGCCCTGGGCGTGGCCGTCTTCTATGGTCAAGGCTGTAGGGGTGGAATAGACCCCAGTCTCCCGTAGTGCTCCCAGGCTTATTAGGAAGAGGAAATTCCCACCTAATAAATTTGGGTCAGACCGGTTGCTCTCAAAACCCTGTCTCCTGATAAGATGTTATCAATGACAATGGTGCCTGAAACTTCATTAGCAATTTTAATTTCGCCCTGGTCCTGTGATCTTGCCCTGCCTCCACTTGCCTTGTGATAGTCTATTACCTTGTGAAGTATTTGATGTCTGTGACCCACACCTGTTCACACACTCCCTCCCCTTTTGAAAATCCCTAATAAAAACTTGCTGGTTTTGTGGCTTGTGGGGCATCACGGAACCTACCGACATGTGACGTCTCCCCTGGATGCCCAGCTTTAAAATTTCTCTCTTTTGTACTCTGTCCCTTTATTTCTCAAACCGGCCGACGCTTAGGGAAAATAGAAAAGAACCTACGTGACTAACGGGGCAGGTTCCCCAATATTCTATTTTACTTTTGTTTCCAATTTCTTCAAGTAAGTTAGTTTTTAAAATGTAATTAAAGGAGCTGTAACTTTTGTAAACCTTGTGGCAGTGGCTGCGACTTTATTGAAAATAACTGGCAGATGATATTTCTTTTGAGCTCTGCTTCAAATTGACTAAGAGTCCCTGAAACAGCTAGAGCAGATAATCTTTGTTTTGACTACAGTTTTCTCTGCTAACAATGGAGTCTGAATATGTCAGACTGCCTTTCCCAACCAACTTGAACAACTTACCGAACTCCAGCAGTCCTACACTAGGACTATTTTGTAATCACAACATTTAATGAATAAAAATAAAAGGCTAGGACATTAATATTCAAAATCAGGAAATAAGTGGTAACATTATCACTATGTAATTATAAACACATTATTAGTTCTAATAGGAAAACAAAGCAAAGATTACCCGACAGTAAATAGGGCTAAGAACCTGTTTTAGCATTGAGTACTCAGACAAAAAGAAGGGAACAGACACTGGGGCCTACCTGAGGGTGATGGGTAGGAGGAAGGAGAGGACTGAAAAACTACCTATCAGGTCCTATGCTCACTGCCTGGGTGACAAAACCATCTGTACACCAAACCCCCATGACACGCAATTCACCCATGTAACAAACCTGCACATGTACCCCCTGACCCTAAAATAAAAGCTGGAAAGGAAAAAAACAAAAGAAAAAAAGAATCTGTTTAGCCAAAATGAAGACTATCTTATAGTGAGTAGATGAATGACAATTAACAACACAACAGAAAAATACCCAGTGGCCAGATCTACGGTTCCATGAGTAAAACCAGTTCCTTAAAACAGTCCTCGCTCTTAAACAAAATATCCTATACCTATACCACATCTAACAGACATTAAGTAGCCTGCAATGACTGGAAACTTAATCCAATTTTTGGCTTAGAAACATATACCTCTATCAAAGTACATGACTAAACATTTCTAAAAACTTTCTTATATTAAAAGTCAAAAATATCCCTTAATGTTGTCTATTTTTAATACTGGGATGTCATAGAAGTGATAATGATCCTCAATAAAAGGAAAAAAGTCATGAATAACCTCAAATATCTGGCAGATGATTTAGGAAAAGTCAACAGAGTTCCTGTTACAGAAGAGGAAATGTTTACAAACAACCAAGGGACAAAGAGGGTGGCGACTTCACTACTGTCTACAACCCTGTTGAAAACCGGTTTCCTACAGGTTATCTTGACTAAGGGAGGAAGCAACGAGCCCCCACCACTGTTGATGGGGACAGTCCCTGCCTTTGAAAACCTCAGTCATACTGACCTAAATTAACACACCATGCACTTGGCAAAGCATCTGTCTTTGCTGTTCTCTCTTCTTAGAGAAACTCCTTGTCTGCCCAGAACCCTCTGAAGCCCTAGATTTCCCATCTGACCTCTTCTGACTGCACCCACCTTTACCCTTGTCTTTATCTATGTTCCAGTTCTTGGCCCTGAACTCTCTTCTAGCCCATATCACATCGTTCCTTCTTTGCTGGCCTCCCCGACAGGCTACGTGCCTGCCCTCCGAGGATGTAGTCATCTTCAGCCCCCTAAAGTCTAGGACACTGCCTGGCACACAACAGCAACTCAATAAATTTGATGGCTGGAAACTGCTCCCTCTTCTCCATCAAATGCTGTATATGTAAGAAGAAATGCAAATTATTTTTGGGAAAAAATAGGGAAATTCAGGACTGATTAGTTAAAAAAAAAAAGGCATCTGAGTAGCAGGTGTGGAATGGAAGCAGTGAACGCAGGGGTGCCCAGGACACAGGGGAAATATGAGTGTGTGCAGCAACACAACCTCTCATTTCTCCTACAGTTCCTCACAGGATGGGGCAGACATCCTTGCTCACAGCCTCTCCCTACACACACTAATCTCAGAGGATTACGGTAACAGTTTCTCCATTCAGTCCCTTAGATACAGAACTGGTCTACCAGGTGAATTAGTCTGGTGAGAGGAGCTTGCTTTTCTTTAGGCTTACCAGTTTTGTGGAAGTCTTTCTAAAAGTATTTTAACAATGCTTTCTAAAAGCACGCAGGCTACAGAGATACAGTATTATCAAAGGTCTTAGACTGCTCTGTTTAAGTCAGTCTTTTTTTTTTTTTGAAGCAAAAAAAAAAAAAAAAAAAAAGAAGAAGAAAAAAAAAAGAAGGCTTTGTCACCCAGGCTGGAGTGCAGTGGCAGGATCCTATATAGCTCACTGCAGCCTCCAACTCCTGGGTGATCCTCCCACCTCAGCCTCCCGAGTACCTGAGTCTACAGAAGCACACCACTGTCACTAACTGATTTTGGTTTTTGTAGAGATAGCATCTCACTATGTTGCCCAGGCTGGTCTCAAACTCAAGCGATCCTCCTACCTCAGCCTCTCCAAGTGCTGGGTTTATAGGCATGAGCAACTGTGCCGGTGTCTTATTCTTGACCTTAATTTCCTTTAGTACTAATGACAGTGGACATCTGTCAAATACTCCATGTCTAATACCCAACATATCCAAGCCTCACAGCAGCCCAGTGACGGGGAAACTATTACCCCCATTTTATAAAGGAAGACAACATGATGAGCAGAGAGAGGACAGGGTAATTTGCCTACAGTCATACCACATGACAGAGAAGCAGCAGAACCAAGACTCAAATTTACACCACTGCCCACAATGAAAGGTTATTATAATAAAAGTCAGATGGGTGAAAAGAGAGAAAAGCGTGAGATGTTCTGAAGTGGCTCATAGCTCCCACAGCCAAGCTGTTAAGACAAGGCCTGACTCTGCGCTCTGCCTTCTTGCTGGCTGTCTTTCACATGTCTAGCAACAGCGGGAGGAATCCCTGGACTTAGTGCTTGTAAGATTTCTATGTTCCCCTTAAAGCGAAACATTTGCACACTACTGTTTCTTTTTGCTGGGCCATAAGAAGTTACAAAAGTGAAAATGGCAAAAACACACGGAAACTTCTTTCTTTACACTCCTTTCCAGTAAAAAGCCTAACCACCACTGTGGTCCACATCTAGGACTACGGCCAAGCGGACTGTGCCCTCTTCTTCCATGCCCAGGTCACTTCTCCTCGTTCCACCAAAGATCTGGAGTTTGGACCAGACCATAGATTTTACTTAATACTTTCAAGAAGTTGAAGAATTTCCATAGACTTGGAAGTAAGTCTCAATACAAACAGTAGTTGTCACTGCCAATTTATAATAATGACCTTAAGTTTTATATAGTGGCTGTTCTTCCAAGGATGTATCTTACATAATGTTAAATTGGATATAATATTCTACTAAGGGATTGGATTGTAAGCATTTTCAGTGAGTTGTGAGAAAATAAATTAAGGAACATGTTAAGGTTACAGAGAGAGGCAAATCTAGCATTAAAATCAAGTCATGTGGGCATAAGGCCAGTCTTCTGCCCAAACTCTACCACCTACCGGGGAAGAGTTCAAAATGAATTCTCGTCCCATATAAGGAAAAGAGAATGTGGCTGAGCACGGTGGCTCACACCTGTAATCCCAGCACTTTGGGAGGCCAAGGCGGGTGGATCACGAGATCAGGAGATCAAGACCATTCTGGCTAACACGGTGAAACCTCGTCTCTACCAAAAACACAAAAAATTAGCCAGGTGTGGTGGTGGTGGGTGCCTGTGGTCCCAGCTGCTCGGGAGGCTGAGGCAGGAGAACGGCGTGAACCCGGGAGGCGGAGCTTGCAGTGAGCCAATATCGCGCCACTGTACTCCAGCCTGGGGGACAGAGCAAGGCTCTGTCTCAAAGAAAAAAAAAAAAGAGGAAAAGGGGATGCAAACTCACTGCTAGTAGACCTGTCTTGTGACATCCTACTATTTAATATTATCTGGCTTTTCCTATCTAACCTGTGTGGTAAGGATTTAAATAGAAACTAAGTACTATAACTATAAAATATTTTGATCAACTCAGAAGCAGGTACTATTAAAATCCTAATGTTACTATGCGTCATTAAAAAAATGCTTATCCAGGCCTGAGGATGTCAAATTGCATCCAGGTACAAGAAGACCTGTCCTCGCTTGCACTCCAGGGTTGGCACGCTCCCACCCAGCAAATAAAGCCCACCCTGTACACAGAAGCACAAGGAGACAGCCTTGCACTTGACTGGAACAAACAATGACACCACGGACTGCATCAGGGAGGGGAGGACAGAGGGACAGTTGGAGGTCCTGGGCCTCCAAGGAGAGGCGTGGCTGGAGCCCAGCAGAGTGAGTGGACAGTTCCTCTCATGGAAGTGTACACACGTATGAGAATTCCACAGAAAGGTGTATGTTCTCTTCACAAATGAAAAGATTAAGAACTTTTGTGGTGTTTGCTATATTTCAGATAATATTCTAAGGGCCTTATCTACATTAACTTATTGCAGTGTATATTCATTAACAATATTATGAGGTATATATTACTGTCTATATTTTATAGATGAAAAAACAGAAGTCAGGGAAGCTGGTAGACTGCCTAAGGTAACCAAGCTGGTGAGCATGAGGGCACAGATTTGAACCTGGGTTGCCTGGCTCCCGGCTGTGCTCCTCCCTGTGCACTGTGCAGCCCCACCTGATGAACAAAAGGCAGAGGCTGGAAGGGAGCTAAGAACATATATTTAAGGCTGAAAAAGAACTTTGCATTGCTAGGCAAGTATATAAAATTAACAGTAAGACAGGGTGGATGGCTGGTTGGCTGGGACAGACTCCATCCCTGCACCAGGAGGCCTTCTCTACTCCTTGCCTTCAGACAAACCCCCATCTGAAATGCTACCATGTTATTTGAGTTCCTGGTCAAAAGAGGAGGAGAATATTTAAAGGGAAGAGATTAAAAAAAAAAAAACCATGATCAAACAGTGGATTATTAACATTTTCTTCATATGCAAAAAAATTGAACTTCACTACTACTCAGAATGGATCCATGAAAACACAGGGACTGTCAAACAGATTATGTTTTACCCAGGACATGTGATTACATTTTGAAATTTATATCATCTGTATATATCAGTGTGTATCATTAAAGGGTAAGGATTTTTTTATGGAGTGTTTCAGAGTTTTCGGATCTACAGGATAAATTAGGAAAAGAGAATTAAAAATTGTCTTTTCTATGCCAGACATGTAAGATATTTTAACTTCATTTATGCCTATACTGTGAGATGTGAAGAAAGTGTAAATCCCACTTTGTTTTTCTTCCTATAAGTGAAGACACTGAGGTAAGCTGCTTGCCTAAGGACAGCTGGCAGCCTGTCCTGGAGCTGAAACTTACATGCAGGACTGTATGCCTGCCTCCAAAATCTCTTTCCACAAGTGCCATGGCTTGGGAAGACAGTGGTGGCCAAGGAGAAGGTGGAGTGTTTTTTCTTTTTTGAGACAAGGTCTCACTCTGTCACCCAGGCTGGAGTACAGTGGCATCATCACTGCTCACTGCAGCCTAGATCTCCCTGGCTCAAGTGATCCTCCTGCCTCAGCCTCCCAAGTAGCTGGGACCACAGGTGTGCACCACCACACCAGGCTAATTTTTCATTTTTTTTTTTTTTTGTGGAGATGGGGTTTCGCCATGTAGCCCAGGCTGCTCTTTTTTCTTTTTAAGTAAAAAATTAAAAGTGAAAATTTGACTGCAGGTGTGTGATTCTTTAGCCAATCGACAAGTGTGTTGAGGTCCTACCACACACATGGCTTGAAGAGGTGAGAGGAAGCCAGCGAAAAACACAAAGCTCCTCATTTATAGGGGCCTATTCCTTCGCCCAAGTGCTGACGTGGAGTTGGAATTGCAGGTTGTTTTGTTAACTAGGCACCAGAAACCAAAGGGTGGAGTTTGTCAGAGTTGGAGGGAAAACATTTTCTATGGAATCCAGTGCTCTGTTCAGCCTGTGCTGTGCTTCCCAGTTTCACAAGTTTTTTTTTTTTTTTTTTTTTAACAATCACACTCAATTAAGGGCACAATTTTTGGTCTGTAGTTTTGGCTTTCCAAATACTTTCCAAATGTCAAAGACGTGAATTAAAGGACAAAAGGAGGATGATAAATGTCTTCCTCAGCTGAAGCAGGAGGCACTCTTTTCTAACACTTATTATGGCTACCTCCGTGACTCACCTCCTCTCTGAAAAGGGTAAACCAGGTGTGAGCTTTGTGCCCAGGGGAAGGTCGAGCAGGATGGTGTCTTATATAAATACAAAATGCTGCTTAAAACTATTTGTAGAATGACTACTGTACAAAGCTGTTTTCTTTACAAATTCAAACTAATGCTTATTTGGAACAACGTATCTGGCACCCAAGGATAGAGAATAATTTGGACCTATCAGTTCTCAAAGGAACCTACTCTGCCTTCTACAGCCAGTTCCAAGATCCATTAACAGATGGCTTCTGGCAGATTCCACAGACCAGAGGGAAAGAGGCAATCTCTAAGAATCTGGATCTCTGTCATGCATAATAAAATCTTTCTTTTTTATTGTAAGTGCAGACAGTGAAAGGCTGAATGCACTTCAGCCAGGTCTTTAAATAGATTTTTATTCAACATAAACAACCTAACACCAACTAAATCTGCATGCTTTCTCTGAAAGATAGCTACTTCAGTCCACAAAAGGGGACGTTTTGTCAAGCCTCTCAGCTTGCATTAAGTTCATTAAATAAACCTAATCACACAACACACAGCATATGTGGGTATAAGAACTAAATGTTGGTTCCTCTCACGCTCACATCCCTGAGTCATCATGTTACATCATTTTGGCAGGGGAGTCTGTGTGAGGTTCTCTCCAGATGGAGCAAAACCACACTGCAGGGCTGCAGAGCTTGGGCTTTTGGAGTGGGAATTCTGGATGATTTTCCTTAATTCTCTCTTAAGTGAAACACGGGCAGATCGGTCATGGCTTAGAAGACTGTGTACAAATACAGTATAGCAAAATAAAATACACAGTTAAGCATTTAAGTCCAGTATGAGATGCTCATTCTGGGTTTTCTAACAAAAATCTCTGCCCTAAGTTTCCAGAATAAAGTACAAGTAGTCAATTTCCAGGTGAAGACCCTGGTGGACTGCATTTGACTTGTCATGCCGCCTAACATTCAAGGGCAGACCCCCAGAGAGCATTTCTGCAAGGGATTCACACTCACCCGTTTCTCGGACCCCTCCATTCTGCTGCCAGCTCAACCGCAGGTCCAAAGAAACGGAGTCACTCGCACTACCCTACTTCCCCAGCGTAAGCAGTCTCAGGCCGAGGCCCCACCAGTGGGCATCCTGAGTGCACCCCCATGTCAACACAGGCTAGAGGGGAGTCAGGCAGAGAGCACACAGGACTGCGGCCTGCAGCGGAGTTAAAGGGCTTCACCGAAGGGCTGCCATCCTTTAAGGGGGCCAGGCTGTGAAGTTTAGAGCACTGCCGCACAATGAGAAAAATGAAGATAAATTTAAAGAACTTTTGGCTGGGGGTGATGGCTCACACCTGTAATCCTAGCTCTTTGGGAGGCTGAGGAGGGTGGATCACAAGGTCAGGATTTCGAGACCAGCCTGGCCAACATGGTGAAACCCTGTCACTACTAAAAATACAAAAATTAGCCAGGCGTGGTGGTGAGTGCCTGTAATCCCAGTTACTTGGGAGGCTGAGGCAGGAGAACTGCTTGAACCTGGGAGGCGGAGGTTTGCAGTGAGCAGAGATCGCACCACTGCACTCCAGCCTGGGTGACAGGGTGAGACTTCGTCTCAAAAATAAAAATAAAAAATAAAATAAAAAACTTTTAAACTGTGGTATCTTATCTTTCCTAATTTTTTTAAGTCTTTTTTTTTTCTTTTTTTTTTTTTAATGTTCTTACTTGGCAAAATAAAGAACTGGCAATCCTATGCTGGCCACCAGCATTCTGAAGGAAACTTTACTACCCAGAAAAATCAGAATTCTGGTCCAGATTGCCTTTCTTTGACTTCTCCTGTATTCAAATATACCTATTTTGGTATGTAAAAGGCTTAAGACACTTGAATTTGAATGATGGAATATATAGATTAAAAAGCAGTTCTTGTAGCATTATTTTAATTCAAAAGGCAAGTGACAAGTAATGACAGGGGCACACTTAAAGAAAATCAGTTTCACTAATACCATAGGATAATTATGTCACTATCTTCACAGGGCTGTAACAAGGACCAAATTCTAAAATGAGGAAAGGGCTCCATCATGTCTGACCTTTATGTGTGTGAGCCATTAGTATTTTCAACAAAGCAAAGTCAATCTAAACCTGAAAGTAAGCTAAGGAACAGACAGAAAGATAGTTAAAAAGAATTCACTTGCAGCCCTTGGCCCTGACCACTTGCTGAGCAGCTGTGCCACAGCAGGTAAATTTCTACCTCTCTGAGACTTCTCGTCCTCATCTGTAAAACGGGGATAACTTTCAGGGCTGTGATGAGGCCTTCTGCTGGTGTAGTAAGTGCTCACCATATAGCAGTGACCACTACTACTACTACTACTACTACTACTACTACTACTACTTCTATTTATAGGCACAGACAACTACATTACTTATCCAAAGTCACAAACTAGTTAGTGGCAGAGCCTGGAGCAAGAACCCACATTTCTTATTCTTACTCTAGTGTTTTTTCCAGCATGCAATGCTGTTGGAGCAAGGGCGGGGGTAGGTTTTTAAAAGGTAAAACCATTTCAACCTAAACAAAATTAACAGCTAGCTTCCAACAGTAACATAGAAATAAAACAAAGATTGACAGATATGTAATTTTATGGAGTTGTTTTTTGAAATATACTTTTAAAAAAGCACATTTACCTGTTTATGCTAAAACTAATGAGAGTCAAACAGAAGGAACCAAGATCAAGAATTCGGCATTGCTAGATAGAAATGGTTTCTACAGCTTCACTCAGGAAGCAATAATGTCAACTTGCAAAAGCACACACAGATTCATGGTGGATAAGTATGCTTGTGATACAGGCACTGCTATGAGGAAAATAGTGGACCAGGCATGTTAGTTGTAAATTTCTTTAGTCAATTACTTTTTTCTGTTTCTCAAACTTTAAAAAGCTGCTCCTGTACTTTTTAAAAGAACTTGTAAATTATAATCAGACTAATTAAATTCCATGAAAACAAAATCCCATTTGAAAATATGAGACAATTCCATTAGACAATTTCCATTAAACAGACCAATCAGTAAATACAACCTCTGTTTTTCATACCCTTGTGAATTTTGTAAATCTTTTAAACCAGTTTCTGATTTGATTAACAATACAAAAAACAACATTTTGCTCATTTATAATTTTACATAATAGTTCATCATCTCAAATCCCTAAGGACTTCCACTACGGATCTTTTATAGAAAGTTCAAGTGAATCCCATTTACTTTAAAAGGGCACTTACTGGTCAGGAGCAGTGGCTTACGCCTGTAATCTGAGCACTTTGGGAGGCCAAGTGCTTGAGACTAGGAGTTTGAGACCAGCCTGGACAACATAGCAAGACTTTGTCTCTACTAAAAATCAAAAAAGGGCTTGGTGGTGTGCACCTGCAGTCCCAGCTACTCAGGAGGCTGCGGCAGGAAGATTGTGTGAGCCTGGCAGGTCGAGGCTGCAGTGAGCCATGATCGTACCACTGCACTCCAGCCTGGGTGACAGAGCAAGACTCTGTCTCAAAAATAAATAAATAAATAAAAATAAAAAGGCTCTTAATGGAAACACTCTCCTAGCCTAGGAATTAGACAATACTACCACTCTAGTGACCCATCTTGGTCCAGGCACACTCAGGGACTCTTCCCTGGGCCATGCTGTGAGGCTCACGGTCTTTCCCAGACGGCTGTCGCGAGCAGCCCTGACAGGGTAGGGAGAAACTCCTACTGTGGAAGAGACTCTTGCTCTATATGGAATTCACTGCACTACATGAAGATGAAACTAGAAAAACCAGCCTGGGAAGAACCCCGGGAGCTAACTGCTCAAATGGTAAGCGTTCAGGTAAGGCAACCACAATTCTACACCACACCCAGTACCATATTTAATTTGCATTTTTCTAAAGGAACTAGAGGAACAAACTTATCTTCAAACATTCCAATGACGAGGAAGCCTTCTCTGACCAGGCCTCATCACTAGCCTCGACTGGAGGCGCTTTCACTGTGCTCCCAAATACCCATACACATCTGTCACTGCCCTGACAAGCGGTCACGCAGCTCCCAGAAGCTCCGATCCACTTCTGGACAGAGTCGATGTCCTGTTTACCACTGAATCCCCACTGGGTAGCATAACACCCAACACACAGTAGGTGCTCAACAAACGATCTGATGAGTGGAGGGGAAAAGCAACTCTGAAGCAGAAACTGAAGTGGAGCTGGCTGGCGTTCTCACAGTGTCTTCCCGCTCTGCAGCAGGCCAGGGGCCATGATCATTCTCTGAACATCCCACAGTTAGAAGCACGCACTGAGTACTAAAGTACTCCAGTACTCTAAGTATTATAGGCTACATGTGAAGCAAACAAAAATGAGCAAGACAGAAATTCAACCACACTCAGAGTAGGGAGTATGTGCTCGGGTAAGTGCATGTTTGTTAAGGGACACAGAAACAAACTGCTTGGTCTCCTTGCCTCCTGGTTTCTTCCTTATTCCCAAGCATCCTCCGCAGCTCTTCCTTATTCCCAAACATCCTATGCAACTCTGCCAAACTGTTTTCGTGCCAATGCCTTACTAAGGAGTCTTTTGGTTCCAGGTGCCCATAGGATCGGGTCCATTCTCCTTAGCATGGCGGTCAAGGTCTCGCAGCATCCATTCCCAAGTCCCCTAAGGAACCCTCCCCAGAGGTGGGGGGCTGCTCCACTGCTGCCAGGCTTAGAAAATCCTTCTTCCTCTCTCCTCTTCTGCATTCTAAAGCACACCTTTGCTCATCCATCTCACCCTCCATCCACTCAAGCCCTCAGTTACCCACCTATGGGTACCTGATTTCTCTTCATCACACAGTGCAACTCTATTATCTCTCATTTTTATATACTGAAGTACGGAGCCATAAAATATTGACAATTCTAAACGGAATTTAACCCTACTTTATTTATGTCAGGTACTAAAATAACAGCCTAACCCTCATTTGATGGTTTAACAACTCCCTGTACTCTGCATGATCCAAGACTGGATATTTGAAACAGGTATAGTTATGCTACTCATTTTAATATAATGTCTCCAACGACAACATTTTAAAAACATATGGTACAGACATCACAAATATTTCCAAAATGATCTATTCCAAAAAAGCATTAAGGGAAGTAAGTTCTTGAAAACAAACCAAGAAAGACAGTACAAAAATTGGAGGTTTCACTTTCCAATAAGACACTTTAAATGTAGTACTGTTTTGTTACATGACAATTTCAAATCAAGTCATCTCAAAATCGTACTGACAGCCTTGGAACTACCACTGGTTATAACACTATTAATAAATAGAATTACATGAAATTATGCTTTTAATTCTATCAAATCTCCTGACTACTCAGTTTCTTGGACCGCCCCTGGGGAAATCTCTCACTTCCTATCACGGAAGTGACTGCCCTTTATTTTAAAGAACGGGGTTCTCCTAGTTTGGACATCTTTTAAGGGGTTTTCCATAGAAACAACTGCTACCCACATCCAACTGAGAAATCTCAATGTCAAGTCCTCTAAGCATGACTTAATTAAAAAAATTTCCCCTGCAGTTTCCATTTCAGATCCACGGCTGTTTTCCTCCTTGACCCTGGAGCGTTCCTGTACTTACTTCACTCCTGTCCCTCACCGAAAACAGCGGTACTGGAGGAATCAACCCCATGCCCGCCAGTCACCGGGTTGTTTGAGGTCATGGATAAATACAGCTGAAGCTCCTCTGCCCCGTACGTACGGCTAGCACGAGAAACTTACTGTAGTTTTAGTTTTAACATTCTCCATAGGTGACTTTAAACTTCATTTCTTGAAAATGGGTTCAAAATAAGAAAACTGCCCTGGTTGCGCAGGGATCACACCCGCAGCAGACGGCGCGCGCTGGCCTTGGCGGGCCGGGCGAGAGCGGCCTTAGGCGTTCACTCCCCTGCCTGCCTGCGCTCCACTCGAACCCAGCTTTTTCTTGGGCGAGTATGCTAAGGGCCGAAGTTTCCGTGGAGAGCCGCCCCCACAGGCCCCGGGGGCTGCCAGGACCTCTGAGGCAGGGCCGGGGGCCAAGGGCAGGTCTGCCCGGAGGCGGCACGAAAACCTCTGCCAGGCTTTGGGATTGGGATGCAGGGCGCTCCAAGGAGACCCCCGCCCCTAGTTTCACCGAGAGGCCCATCCCCGAAAGACTCCCAGGCTCGATGAGACTCGAAGCCCACGGGGCGAAGGGCACCTGCCCGGGCGCCAGGAGGCCCGGCCCAGGGTCGCCGTGGCGCCCTTACCCACGGTGGACTTGCAGGCCTCGCAGAAGGTGTCGTCGGTGAAGCGCTCCATCAGGCTGGTCTTGCCCACGCCGCGGGAGCCGATAATGATGACCTGCAACTTGAAGTCGGCCGGCCTGGGGGGCTGCTTCCTCCGGCGGCCCTGGCCGCCCGACAGCGCCGGGGAGCCCGCGCCCAGACCGCCGCCGCCCCCGGCCCGCCTCTGCAGCGCGGCGCCCGGATCCATACACGCATGCGGCTCCCGCTCGGCCCGCCGCCCGCCGCCGCCCGCCCCCCGGCTGCGCGCCCCGGGCCCCGGCGCCCCCTCGGCCTCCGCCGCGCGCGGGGGGTCGGCCCCGGGCTCGGCTTCCGCCCGCTGGAGCGGCCCCGGCGGCCCGTGGGCTCCGCGCTGCAACTGCGCCGCCGGCCGGCTCTCTGCGCCCGGGTCCCCTCCTCCTCCTCCTCCGCCGCTGCCGCCGCCGCCGCCGGGAGAGGAGGAAGGGAAGCAGCTACTCCGCAGTAGCGGCAGCAGCATCCCGGACGAGGAGGGGCAGGAAGCGCAGGCGCGGGCGGGGCGGCTGGCCGCGAGGGGCCGGAGGCGGGCGGGTGGGCGCCCCCTGCCGGCGGGAGGACCGCGCGCCCGGGCCTCGGTTGGGTACTGCGCGCGGAGCTTTCCCGCAACCCGCGCCGCTCTTTCCCTGCCTCTGCTCGCCTGCCCGCCCCCGCTTCCCTCCCTCTTCCGCCGGCTCTTTCATCTTTTCTTCCTCTTATCTCTTCCCTTTTCCCCCTTTTCACTCCTCCCTACTCGGCTTTCACTCTGACCCGCATTTATAGTTAACACAAGAAACTTAGTGTGGTTTTAGTCTTAAAATTCTCCGTAGGCAATTTTGAACTTCAGCATTCCGGTGCATCATGAAAATGGGTTCAAAATAAGAAAAAGAACCCTGGTTGACAGTGAAAACACTCCCATGCGCACAGTCCCCAAACACCATGCACATGTTTTCGCCCCCGCGCGCTCGGTGTAGCTGGAACGCTGGAAAGGCCCCGACCTGAGGCCGCGCCGCCGGGCCGCCTGCGCTGCGTTCGCGTCTACACCAGCGCTCTCTCACAAACACCAGCGGGTGCAAGCCCCCGCACCCTCTACCGGGCCGTGGCACTGCTCGGTCTCTCTCCGTCACGTCTGTCTCCCATTTTGCACGGAAACGCGCGAAATCAGTTATTTTTAACTCTGATCGCTGTCTCACTCAGAGTTCAGAAGTTTTTATGCTGTTTAATTTTTAAATTAAGTAAATGGCATACTCCTTTGGGGGAATAAGCGAGTTAAAACTCAAACAGTGCGAGAAGATTGAAACTTTAGGAATTATGGACTCGGGTCGTATGTTTTGCCATTTCTGTTTGGAAGGATTTAAGGATACAGAAAATCACTGCTGATTCCTTGCCAGAGATTTGTTTAGCAAATTCCTCAGCTTGAACTTGAGCATCTCAGAACACAGGGTTCTGAATATGATAGGGGCTGGCAACATTTGCCGAATGATCACGTTACCCACAAAATTTCAGCTGTGCTGTATTTAGAACTAGGTTTAGTAATGCACAGTACACGCATATGTTACACAGCAAACCTGATTTGTAAAAATCTAGCGTTGCCCACAGTGTAGATTGGAAGTTTACATCTATGAGAGCATTCTTAACTGTGCAGTCACTGTAGGGATCTTTATAATATGAATTCTGAGAATATGTAAAATATGATCCCTCTATATTATTTGAAACACAGATCCATCACTTACCATCACGGAATTTACTTTCTTTCTTTCCTTCTTTCTTTCTTTTTCTTTCATTTTGTTTTGTTTTGATTTTGAGACAGCCTTGCTCTGTTGCGCAGGCTGGAGTGCAGTGGTGCGATCACAGCTCACGGCAGCCTGGAACTCCTGGGCCCAAGTGATTTTCCTTGCTTAGCCTCCTGAGCCGCTGAGACCACAGGCACGTGCCACCACGCCTGGCTAATTTAAAAATTTTTTGTACAGTTGGGGTTTTGGTTTGTTAACCAGGCTAGTCAACAGTGTGAGACCCTGAACTGGCCTCAAGTGATCCTCCCACCTCAGCCTTCCAAAGTGCTGTGATTACAGGCATGAGCCACTGTGCTCCGCCGCAGAACATTTCTTAGCTGTGGGTTTCTCTTCTGTTCTATGAGAATGAGAGTAGTGGCCCCTCCTTTCCTCTAGCATTGTTAGGAAAAAAGCAACTAACAATCTCTGCAGTCTGCTGCAACCATAAGGCACTATATAAATGTAAGGGATTAAAGAAACTGATTTATGCATGGCTTTTCAGGAATACTGTGATTTTACAAAGCAAGACGCATCTGCAAAGGTAATCTCAAGATTTTTAATTTGGTCCATTCTGATTAATAGCACCGCCTGTCTTAATAGGCAGATGCATGTGGCATGGCTTGTGGGGCTGAAGACCTTCTTGCCCAAAATAAAATATCTTCCCCATAAGGTAGATCTGTAGTTTCTGCCACTAGAATAATTAATGAACTAAATGACAGAGGTTGGGCAGTGTTTCTGGAGGACAGGTAAGTGCATATTCACTATTTTAAATCAATTATTATAGTGCCCCTAATCCCCTGGGAATATGTCCCAAGACCCACAGTGGATGCCTGAAACCTCAGAGAGTATAGAGCCCTCTATATACTATGTTTTTTTCTATACATACATACCTATGACAAAGTTTAATTTAAAAATTTGGCACAGTAAGAGATTAACAATAACTAATAATAAAATTCAGTTGACCCTAGAACAACATGGGTTTGAACTGTATGGGTTTGTTTATATGCAGATTTTCATCCGCCTCTGCCACCCCTGAGACAGTAAGACCAACCCCTCCTCTTCCTCCTCCTCCTCCTCAGCTACTCAATGTGAAGATGACGAGGATGAAGACCTTTATGATGATCAACTTCCACTTAGTGAATAGTAAATGTATTTTCTCTTCCTTATGATTTTCTTAATAACGTGTTCTTTTCTCTAACTTACATATTTTGTAACTTACAATATAATATTCTTACTAGACTACAGTAATGTATATAGCATACAAAATATGTCTTAATCGACTGTTTATGTTATCAGTAAGGCTTCTGGTCAACAGTAGGCTATTAGTAGTTAACATTTGGGGGAGTCAAAATTATACACAAATTTTTGACTGCATGTTGTCGGCACTCCTACCAATCACATTGTTCAAGAGCCAACTATACAATTACTATGAAGATATATACTGTAATAACAGTTATGTGAATGTGGTCTCTTTCTCTTGCAAAGTATTGAATTGTACCGCACACGGTATCAGTCCACAGTGCTCCAGCACCTGGAACTGTGCCTGACACATGGTACAAGTTAGTAAATATTGGTGAAGTGAATGAATTAATGAAATTTTTATAGCTATCTATATCCATAGATATCCATTTTCGTAGATATCCCTATAGAACATTTCATAGTTTATCCATAAACTTCATTGGCTCTTTGGGCTCTGTCTTAAACCTAGACACCCCATATCCTGCTTTTTCCTAAAAAAAAAAACCTCCCTCCTATCATTTGGTGAAGTCTCCCTTTTTCACTGTCTTCACTTTAACAACATCATCACCACCTGAGGTGGATGATGTGGTTTGGCTGTATCCCCACCCAATTCTCATCTTGTATTGTAGCTCCCATAATTCCCACGTGTTGCGGGAGGGACCCAGTGGGAGATAATTGAATCATGTGGGTGGTTTCCCCCACACTGTTCTCATGGTAGTGAATAAGTCTTAGAAGACCTGATGGTTTTATAATGGGTTTCCCCTTTCACTTGGCTTTCATTTTTCCCTTTTGCCCGGTGCCATGTAAGACGTGCCTTTTGCCTTCCGCCATGATTGTGAGGCCTCCCCAGCCACGTCGAACTGTCAGTCCACTAAACCTCTTTTTCTTTATAAATTACCCAGTCTCAATTATGTCTTTATCAGCAGCATGAAAACGGGCTAATACGGGGGAGAAGTTTCAAGTATAACAAAGGCCAGAACCAGAAGAGTATGTAGAGTAAGAAACAAAAGGTCAAGAACAGAGCTCCAGGATCACCAGCATCCAAAAGATAAGCAAGAGAAGAGAAGCTGGAAAGAAACCTGGGATGGGAGGGAGGGGATACTGGAGATAGTGAGGTCATGGAAAAACAGGGCACAATTGTGTTTCACAAAGGCAGGAATGATCAAAAGAGCCCCGTGTCACAGAATGGTCACATAAAATAAGTACAGGCAGTCACAGATTTGCAAGGTAGTCAGACACCATAAAGATCGTTGCTTAAGCCTGAATAGTAGAAAGTGATCTTAATAACCAATGGGAAAATTATTATTATTATTTCATGGCCTTTAAAATTTTTGTCAAAACATTGAGAACACTTCAACTATTGCTATACGTGTATAAAGACATGAAGAAAAAATTGTAAAGTTAGTATTTATTTAGGACACTATAATTTAAAATGCCGGAAACATTGAGAATTAAGTGTTTTTTTTTTTAAAATACTTATCAGGAATAGTTTGGGCCATGCATGGTGGCTCATACCTATAATCCTAGCACTTTGGGAGGCTGAGGTGGGAGGAGCACTTGAGCTCAGGAGTTCGAGACCAACCTAGGCAAAAAAGTGAGACTTCGTCTCTGTTATAATAAAAAAAACTATAAATAATTGTTTGAACAGTGCTTGTCTTCTTCTTGCCATATAACTTAATTCTTTCTTTCTTTATTTTTTTTTGAGACAGGGTTTCACTCTGTTTCCCAGGCTGGAGTGCAGTGGTGTGATCTCAGCTCTCTGAAGCCTTGACCTCCCAGGCTCAAGCAATCCTTCCACCTCAGTCCCCCAAGTAGCTGGGACTACAGGAATGCACCACCACACCTAGCTGATTTTTGTGTTTTTAGTAGAGACAGGGTTTTATCACGTTGCCCAGTCTGGTCTCGAACTCCTGAGCTCAAGCCATCCACCTGCCTCCGCCTCTCAAAGTGTTGGGATTACAGGCATGAGCCATTGCGTCCAGCCCATATAACTTACTATAAGGAGTTAAGATCTTTTTTATGCCTTGCTGAATTGTCATACTCCATTCTGTTTGGATCAGCTTCTAATTTTTCTTTCTTTTTTTCTTTTTTTGGGATGGAGTTTCCCTCTGTCGCCCAGGCTGAAGTGCAGTGGCACGATCTCGGCTCCCTGCAACCTCTGCCTCTCGGGTTCAAGCGATTCTCCCACCTCAGCCTCCTGAGTAGCTGGGATTACAGGGATGTGCCACCACGCCCAGGTAATTTTTGTATTTTTAGCAGAGACGGGGTTTCACCATGTTGGCCAGGCTGGTCTCAAGCTCCTGACCTCAAGTCATCTGTCCACCTCGGCCTCCCAAAGTGCTGAGATTACAGGCAGGAACCACTGTGCCCGGCCTCTAACTTTTCATCCTTTGAGCTTTCAGTGTCATGAAATAGCTCTGAGAGTTTCTTTAATGTTAGGTTTTTTGCCCGTGTCACTTCCTCAGGGCCACCTTTGTCCTTTTGATCACAGCCACTTTCCTCCTTGTGACAGCGACGAGCTGGCCGTTACAGAATTCCTGATCGCACATCTACAGCCTCCCGAGTGGCAGCAAAATCACATTTCCCACAGTCAGCTATTTCCTTTATTACTCCACTTAACAGTAGATTCAGGTTTCACTTCCAGCATTATCACTTTTTGTTTCTTTTTTTATTGTTATGAAAATAATTTTGAACTCACAGACTCCCTGAAAGGATCTTAGGGACTGTGGGTCATCCTAGACCACACATGGAGACCTGCTGCTCTAGGGATTACAGTCTGCATCCTGAACTCTTGAGTCTTTCCGAGTTTATATCGCAGCACTGCGGGTAACATGCAGGACGCTTGTAACTGTATGAGTCTACCCTCTCATCCTTCATGCTGTAGCTTTCGTATATGTTACATCTACATATGTTACCAACCCCACAATACAACCGTTTTTGCCTTAAACAGTTTGATGTATTTTAAAGACATTAAAAAGAAAAATACATTTTGTATTTACCTACAAATTTACCATTCTCTTTATTCCAGCCCGTAGCTCTGTTCTTCCATCTGGTTTCATTTCCCTTTTCTCTGAAGAACTTTTTTTTAGCACTTCTTATAGTGTAGGTCTGCTGATAACGAAATCTGTTTTCTTTTATCTGAAAATAGCTTTACTTCATTTTCATTCTGGAAGAATGCTTTCACTGGAAAAGCATTTCTATTTATTTGTTTGTTTGTTTATTTATTTATTTATTTATTTATTTTCAGAACAGGGTCTTGCTCTGTCACCCAGGCTGGAGTGCAGTGCGTGATCTTGGCTCACTGCAATCTCCACCTCCCAGGCTCAAGTGATCTTGCCACCTCAGTCTCCCAAGTAGCTGGGATTACAGGCACACACCACCACGCCTGGTTAATTTTTGTATTTTTTGTAGAGATGGGGTCTCACTGTGTTGCTCAGGGTGGACTCAAACTCCTGAGCTCAAGCAATCTGCCCACCTCAGCCTTCGAAAGTGCTGGGATTACAGGCGTGAGCCATCGTGCCCAGCCAGGAAAAGCATTTCTGAGTTGACTTTTTCTTTCAGCGTTTTAAAGATGTTATACTGTCTTCTGGCCTATATTGTTTTTCATGAGAAAACAGTGACACTGAAAATGTTGTTCTGTGTATGCAGTGTGTTCTTTTTCTCTGGCTGCTTTCAAAATTTTCTCTTTCTCTTTGCTTTTTAGCAGTTTGACTATGATGTGCCAAGGGATACCATTTTTGTTTTTTTATTTCCAATTCTGCTTTGAGTTTTACTGTGCTTCTTGAATATGAAAATATGTCTTTCACCAAAGTTGGGAAATGTTCAGCCATTAGTTCTTCAACTGTTTTTTCTGCCTCATTCTCTCTTTCCTCTCCTTCTGCCCTGGAGCTTCCTTTAAAGAACTTTCTCCTCCCTTCAGCAAAACTCCAAAAAAGTCTTCTAGGATGGGCTAGCCTGGGTTCTCCAGTTTCTGTCCTTCTTAGGAATGGAGTACAATCCTGTCCACCATGGGCTAGTAGTGCACAGACCCCAGGGCACAGCCCCCCACCAGCATCTCCATCCATGGCTGCCATATGGCACATTTTGTTTCTTTGCTGCTGCACTTTGATCTTTGTTGGCCAGTTTCTTCTTTTGATTGCCTATTTTTGTGAAATGTCACATGGGCTTACCACTGAAAGACAAGGAGGCATCACTGCTTCATGCTTTGCTGTCTGTGTATGAACTGACTGACTTACACAGAAATCAGTTACCAAGAGATTTTGATACAAGTGGTGTTGTAGTAAAGAATCTAACTCCATTTTTTTTTTGAGATGGAGTCTCCCACGGTCTCCCAGGCTGGAGTGTGGTGGCGTGATCTCCACTCACTACAACCTCCACCTCCTGGGTTCAAGCGATTCTCCTGCCTCAGCCTCCCGAGTAGCCAGAATTACAGGTGACCACCACCACACTCAGATAATTTTTTGTATTTTTAGTAGAGACAGGGTTTCACTATGTTAGCCAGGCTGGTCTTGAGCTCTTGACCTTGTGATCTGCCTGCTTTGGCCTCCCAAAGTGCTGGGATTACAGACATGAGCCACCGTGCCCGGCCTAACTCCATTTTTTGATGTCTGACTGCTGAAGTCTCACCTCGCCCTCTTCAGCTTCTGCCCCACATCTGGGCAAGCTGATAAGAAAGCCTGTGTGCTCCCTCCTTTGGTGACAGATTCAAACCATGCAAGTCCCTGCTTATGTGTAGAGCCCTCATCCTAGTCCACTCCCCAGAGCACAATCAATACCCCCAGCCAGTTTCCCTTCCTCTGTTCAAGCCATTTTCAAACCAGCTTGGGAGGGCCGCCCTATTCTTCCCAGAAATAACAAACCAATGTAAAGAACACATACACCTTCTTGGTGTGTGTGTGTGGTGTCATCAGTCTTGACATCCAAACCAAAAATTTTGATGGGAGTTCATTCTATTCTTCAAAGTGTCCACAACAGACATCATGGATCACTGATTATGATGTAAGTGTTGTTTATTTATGTAGTGATCTGTGAACTAAAGAGCTAGCTGTGAATTTTGTACTTCCTGCAATTACTCATAGTTAATATACCGTGGTAACTGAAATCTGAAATGCTGGGGAACTGGTGTTATTTAACTAAGCTGTGGTAACTGAAATTTCTACCATGCAAAGAGGACTGTCCATATTTAAAGCATTCATTGCAATGAGGGTGGGAGTGAGATTGCACTAGACTGAGTAACACACGCAAAGTGAAGACCAGAGATACAGAGAAGCAAGCAGGTCTTAATCTGGTTCCAGCCGAGATGCATTTTAGCCATTTTCATCACACATTCCCATAGAGACATACCACATTATGTGCCATTCCTATTGCTCTGATTATACCTTACTCCCTTTGCTCTTCCTCAAGAAAGCACATCAGAATGCCAGTGAGCAACTACGGCAATCACTGTTGGTTATCCATGCAACAACCACTTCCTCATTCTTTTCAATGCTAACGGAACCATGACTTTTGTTCAGATACCCACACTGCTCTGTGAAATAAAGTGTTTCGGCCAGAGCTTGCTCAAGCATCAGAACTGGAAGTTGAATGTTGATTCTCTAAGTCAATCATTCTGATTCTATTCTCCAGAGTGTGGCTTAGGAAATGGCATATGACCACACTCTGGTCAGTGAGACATGAAGGGAATTTTTAGGAGACTAGAGACTTCTAATAAAATGTTGTTAGCTCTTTAAAAATGACCATTTTGTAAGGCCAAGACAGGAGGCTCACTTGAGCACAAGCGCTTGAGACCAACCTGGGCAACATAGTGAGACTCGGTCTCTACAAAAAATAAAAAAAAAAAATTGGCTGAGTGTGATCCTACACCTGTACTCCCAGCTACATACACCTGTACTCCCAGCTCTGGAGACTGAAGCAGGAGAATCACCCGAGCCTGGGAGCTTGAGGCCACAGTGAGCCATGTTTACACTACTGCACTACAGCCTGGATAACAGGTAAGACCCCATCTCAAAGTAATAATAATAATAATTTTAAAACTACCATGCTGGGCACAGGGACTCGCGTCTCTAATCCCAGCACTTTGGGAGGCCGAGGCAGGAGGATTCCTTGAGCCCAAGAGTTTGAGACCAGCCTGGGCAACATAGTGAGACCTTGTCTCTACAAATAATTAAAAAATTAGCCAGGCATGGTGGCATGCATCTGTGGTCCCAGCTACTTGGGAGACTGAGGTGGAAGGATCACTTGAGCCCAGGTGGATGAGGCTGCAGTGAGCTGTGATTGTACCAGTGCACTCCAGCCTGGACAATAGAGTGAGACCCTGTTTCAAAAAAACCAAAAAACAAAAACAAAGAAAAATGACCGAAGGGAGAAAGAGTCACCACTCCCCACCTTTTTTTTTTTTTTTTTTTTTTTGCCTCAGAATCTTTGTGTGGAAGGGTATAACCATTACAGTTGCTGTTGCCATTTGCAGTCTTGAGGAGAGCTAGTTGATAGATTGTAGACAGCAGAGTAAAAAGATAAAAAGCCCTCAAATTTTGTTGTAGTTGTGAAGTCACTGAATTAATCAACCATGAAGACTCCCATCTAGGGACATTCTTACCATGCAAGATAATAAATTCTCTTCCTAGATAAGCATTTGAGTTAGGCTTTTTCATTATTTGGAGCTAAAAGTGTTCTAACAAATACATGAATGCATCCTTACAAGTATAATGACATTATAGAAGTAAGCTTGAATCACCCCAATCTATTAAAAAGAAGATAATTGACAAATGTTGTTACTTTAGTGATCAGTAACAAATCACTTGTGCCGTGCCTTATGTCTGATCAAGTGTTTGAAGGTACTGTAGTTGAGAACTGTACTACATACTAGTTATGGGGAAAGGCAACAGATAGGAACAGCTAGAGAATGTTGAGTTCAATATATCTCCCAATATTGGAAGTCAAAGTAAATCTAGTGAATATGGCAACTGATATCAAAATCATCATCTATAAACTTAGAGTGGATCAAGGTTTATGGGGCTTGAAGCCTTTACAATTTGGGGGTTCCTCTTCAAGGAAAGGAGTTTCAAAATACAAATGCAAAACTGCCAAGAACTGTGAAGGATCTGAGATTTTGCTGTACTCACAAGCTAAATAGCCTCTCAAAGTTTCATAGATGCTGGTGGAAGACATGAGACCCCTGGGTCAGAGATAGAGACATAGGGAAGCAAGCAGCTCTCAATCTGTTTTTACCAGGATGCAGTCTATTACTTTAGCTCGTTACCTTATTACGGTACAGCAAACCACACGAGCTTCATATTTGCCTCAGTTCCTTTTGTCCCCAAGTCCCATGCAGTGACACAGGGCTGCACCCAGGTGAATGTTGCACACACAGTAGGTTTGTATCACAGCAGAGGAACCTCAAGCTTAGGAAACCCCAGTTTTTAAAGGGACTGCAGCTAACTTGCCCAAACTGCCCAAGAGGGAGACATTATTATACTGCTCAGCAGGCAACTCCTCCCTCCATCCTGGACGGAGACACAGTCTCTATCTTCCAAAGTTGTTTACTATGCAAACATTCCTAAAAAGATACTCTGGAACAAAAGCGGTCAGTGCCCTGCTCACAAGATATGCAGAAACATGAGAGATCCATGGAGGATTGTCTCCCAACAAAAATTAGGTATACAGCAAATATTTATTTCAAATGATAAAATAAATAACAATTTGTACATTTAGAAGAGCTGATAAAAGCTCTAAACATATATATATATATACATATATATATATTTTTTTGAGACGGAGTCTCACTCTGTTGCCCAGGCTGGAGTGCAATGGCGCGATCTCGGCTCACTGCAAGCTCTGCCTCCCAGGTTCACGCCATTCTCCTGCCTCAGCCTCCCAAGTAGCTGGGACTACAGGCACCTGCCACCACGCCTGACTAATTTTTGTATTTTTAGTAGAGACGAGGTTTCACCATGTTAGCCAGGATGGTCTCGATCTCCTGACCTCATGATCTGCCCACCTCAGCCTCCCAAAGTGTTGGGATTACAGGTGTGAGCCACCGTAAACATAATTTTTAAACTTGGTAGTTGTATTAATTGCCTGGATCATTTCTATAATTTATTTTTTTTTTTTGAGATGGAGTTTCGCTCTTGTTGCCTAGGCTGGAGTGCAACGGTGTGATCTCAACTAATTGCAACCTCCGCCTCTTGGGTTCAAGCAATTCTCTTGCCTCAGCCTCCTGAGTAGCTGGGATTATAGGCATCAGCCACCATCCTCATTTATTTTTGTATTTTTAGCAGAGATGGGGTTTTGCCATGTTGGCCAGACTGATCCGAACTCCTGACCTCAGGTGATCCACCCGCCTCAACCTCCCAAAGTGCTGTGATTACAGGTGCCTGCCACCATACCTGGCTAATTTTTGTATTTTTAGTAGAGATGGGGTTTCATCATGTTGGCCAGGCTGGTCTCAAACTCCTGACCTCAGGTGGTCTGCCTGCCTTGGCCTCACAAAGTGCTAGGATCACAGGTGTGAGCCATTGTGCCCAGCCCATTTCTACAATTTTTTTACTGCATTTATTGGCTGTATACATTTAATCATATGACAATGATTTTGTAATATAATCTTTTATAGAGATAACTGAAATGCAGCCTTTGTTTTAGAATTGACTGGGTTTTGTGTGTGTGATTGAGTGTTGAAATGTGTAAATTATGTGACTTCCTATTCAGACATACTCCCTGTTTATTACCTCTGCCTTAGGCTTTTGTCTAGAAATATGGGAATTATGTTGGATTTTTTTCACATCATTTTCATCCCAAAAGAAAACAAAATGTGCCATTGCCTGTGTTTTATCATGAAAAGCATCCCTTACAAGGAAGAACCCCACTTTGCTTAGACATTGATGAAGACTGGTTCTCCACTTGAACTTTTATTTTCCTGTCTGGTGATTGGAAGAATTTTTTACAGATGAGTTTCCAGGTCCATATGCTGCTTCCCCATTGCCTGCACACCTGTAGGACATGTTCCAATCGCAGTGCAGCTTCTGACCATGACCCTTTGTGTCACAGCCTTGGATTAGTTGTTACCGTGAACAGAAAGCTCATTCTTACCTGGAATTGTTAGCAGTAATTTGGCTATCCATAGAAGTGACTGTGAACCACATAAATAGATCCCGTTAAGCCTGAACCAAAAGTACCCGCAGTTTAATTTCCGCCTAGGTCTGGCCACTCAAATACCGCCTGACACAAGGGGAAGTGTGATGGACAGAGAAGGCACGAGACGAGACAGTGGCCTGAACAAATCACAGTCAAGGTACTTTCCTGCAATTCCTTCCTTCCTTCCTTCCTTCCTTTTCTTTCTCTTTCTTTCTTTCTTTTTCTTTCTTTCTTTCTTTCTTTCTTTCTTTCTTTCTTTCTTTCTTTCTTTCTTTCTTTCTTTTCTTTCTTTCTTTCTCTTTCTTTCTTTCTCTCTCTCTCTTTTCTTTTCTCTCTCTCTCTTTTCTTTTCTCTCTCTCTCTCTTTCTTTTTCTTTCTTGCTCTTTCTTTTTTTTGACAGAGTCTTGCTCTGTCACCCAGGCTGGAGTGCAGTGGTGCAATCTCGGCTCACTGCAACCTCAGCCTCCCGGGTTCAAGCAATTATCCTGCCTCAGCCTCCTGAGTAGCTGGGATTAGAGGTGCCTGCCCGCTAATTTTTTTGTATTTTTAGTAGAGACGGGGTTTCACCACGTTGGCCAAGCTGGTCTCGAACTCCCGTTCTCAAGTGATCCACCTGCCTTGGCCTCCGAAAGTACTGGGATTACAGGCGTGAGCCACCACACTTGGCCCAAATGTTACAAAAACACTTGACCACAGGGACACAGTGCTAGGACCTTTCCCAGGCCTTGGAGGGGCTTCTGCAAATGAAGGGCTCTGACACTTATGCTTCATGGCTTGTGATAAATCTGCATAGAGCCAAACTCAGTTGTATATTATTCCAAATCAAAGTAACCTTTTTCTCCTCATGACAATTAAGGTGAATAAATATTTCAAATATGAGCGTATAAAACGTATTTATACTTAAGAAAAATGTGTTTTGTATTTGGGGAATCTATATAAGAATTCACGTTTGTTGGAAACTTGATGGGCAGGTAAAAAAGAAAAGAGTCCGGGCACTGTGGCTCACGCCTGTAATCCCAGCACTTTGGGAGGCCAAGATGGGCAGATCACCTGAGGTCGGGAGTTTGAGACCAGCCTGACCAACATGGTGAAACCCAAAATATAAAATTAGCCAGGCGTGGTAGTGCATACCTGTAATCCCAGCTACTCGGGAGGCTGAGGCAGGAGAATCGCTTGAACCCGGGAGGTGAAGGTTGCGGTAGCTGAGATTGCACCATTGCACTCCAGCCTGGGAACAAGAGCAAAACGCCATCTCAAAAAAAAAAAAAAAAAGAAAGAAAAAAATAAAGAAGAAGAATTTATGTTTGGGAGGCCGAGGTGGGAGGATCATTTGGGCCCAGGAGTTTGAGATCAGCCTGGGCAAAATGGGAAAACCCCATCTCTACTAAAAATAGAAAAATTAGCTGGGCATGGTGGCATGCCCGTGTAGTCCCAGCTACTTAGGAGGCTGAGGTGGGAAACCCACCTGAGCCTGGGTGGTCGAGGTTGTAGTGAGCTGAGACCACACCACTGCACTCCAGCCTAGGTGACTGAGTGAGATCCTGTCTCAAAAAAAAAATGTGGACGAGAAAAAGAGTTTGAAACCTACTGAGGGAAGAACTGAGAGAGCAAAACCCTGGAAGAGATGGGAGGGCTCTGAGCAAATAGACAGCTGCCCCTTTTCTCAGAGGAAAGAGGGTGGTGGGTGGTGGTCAGTAAGTTTGCAAGGAAGGAAGGGGGCAAGGTGTGTCCCTTGGTCCCTTGAGTAACCTTGAGTATGTCAAGGTTACTCAAAGCCCCCCAACAGCCATTATGTTGTCATGTCTGTGAAGTCCCAGGGTGACCCAAGACCTCGAGAAGCCCTAAGTCATGAAGAGGATGTCCTCCACTGCTACCTCCCCTACGTGTCATTCCAAAGAAGAGACAGCAGAATTCAATATAAATGTGAGAAGGGTTCAACCCCTAATAGGGTTGAATTGTGTCTTTCAAAAAGATATGTTAAAGTCCTAACCCCTGGCTCTTCAGAATGCAACCTCATTTGAAGGTAGGATTGCCGCAGATATAATTAAATTAGGACGAGGTCATACTACAGCAGGGTGGGCCCCTAATCCAGTGTGAGTGGCATCCTTGTAAGAAGGAGGAGACCTAGAGACAGGGGAGAGAACATCACGTGATGATGACAGAGGCAGAGGAGAGACTGAAGTGCTGCAGCCGAAAGCCAAGGAAATGCCAAAGGTTGCCAGCAAAACACCAGAAGCTGGGGGAGGAAAGGAAGGATTCTTCCCTGCAGATTTCAGAGCCGGCATGGCCCTGCTGGCCCCCTGATTACAGACTTCTCAGCATCTTCTCTGCGGTACTTTGCGGTTAGCAGTTGTAGGAAACCAACAGAGGGCCAAAGAATTCTGATGTTTGTCTTGATAATTATCCCTTTATGAAGTTCTTTCTTTAAATCTCTCCCTGCCGCTCTTTTCTGGTGCCTGTGTTTTCCTGGTGCTCCAGGTATAGGCTTGGTCAGTTGGTTGTGTTTTTCAGAACGGAAGTTCTTTTCTCTCTGTCCCTGTAATGTGTTTGGTGATCGTTACAAAGACCTATTCAATGTTCTGCTTTTAGCATCCAGCTCTAATGAAACCAGAGTCAGCACCTTGGAATCCCAGAAACCAACCTGGCTGAACCCCTACCTGCCACTAGGCCATAGCAGTGCCCTCAAAAGCAGGAAGCTTCTGCCGAGGGACACAGTAGGTTCTGGGAAGGAGACCCACAGTGATGCAGTCGGGCTAAGGGAGTGCCACAGACAGCAGAAGACTTGTGTTGGTCATAGTGTTGTCTCCTTCTCCCTGCACCCACAATCTTTGTCAGTAGCCGACCATCTCCCTACACTTTTTTTTTAAATTTTTTTTTTTGAGACAGAGTTTCACTCTTGTTGCCCAGGGTGGAGTGCAATGGTGCAGTCTTGGCTCACTGCAACCTCCACCTCCTGGGTTCAAGCGATTCTCCTGCCTTGGCCTCCCAAGTAGCTGAGATTACAGGCATATGCCACCACACCTGGCTAATTTTTGTATTTTTAGTAGAGACAGGGTTTCACCATGTTGGCCAGGCTGATCTCGAACTCCTGACTTCAGTTGATCCGCCTGCCTTGGCCTCCCAAAGTATTGGGATTACAGGCGTGAGCCACCATGCCCTGCCCCTACACTTAGTTTTTAAAAACTTATTCCCGGAACCAAGCCAAGTCTGGCTGCGTTTTCTCGAGGCCCAATAACGAGAAGCAGACAAACTACAAAAGAAGAGAATGTTTTGCTGTAACTGGATACAGGGAGAAGGCCGGAGATAATTCCACCAGACCAACTCAAAGCATTACAATTTTCTTAGTTGTTATATTGGTTGGGGTTAAGTGCCTTCATGAAGTATAGTATTTGCCTAAGTCTATTAGTAACTAATTTTGTTTCAACTGGAAGGTCACAGGCAAAACAATACTTGCCAAGTCCACTTAAAAGTGTCTCAGTACCTTCCAGGCCTGTCTACTGCGATACCAGAGTGATTATTTCTATCTTATCTCCTTTACTGCATCTTTTGATATGATCATGTGATTTTTCTTCTTTAGCTTGTTGACGTGATACATCTATCTATTCAAACAGCTGCCTCTGTTACCTTGACTTGGATTCTGACGACCCAAGACCGGTCCTGGCACTGGGAATGTAAGACTGTCTCTATTATTTTGACTTGCTCCAGGTTAGAGAGAAGCCCGTGCAAGGTGCCTACTGACCATATGTCTCATTTCTAGCTTTGATGTCTGGGCACTGATTTCTCAGTTTAACTATTTGCTCAATGTTAAGGCGATTCTGTGGAAATCTGTCTGGGTAACTGAAGTGCTATGCAGGCCTGTCTGCATTGACTGTCATGCAGGCCCGTCTGTGTGATTGTCAGGGAGGACTGGCCTGCCACAGGCTTTATATTTTAGAGCAGTCTTAGGTTCACAGCAAAACCGAGCAGAAGGCACACACCCTCACACATGGGCAACCTCCCCCATTAGCAGCATCCTCCATCAGAGTGCAACATTTCTTGAAACTGATGAACCTGCCTTAACACATCATTATCACATTGGGATTTGCTCTTGCTGTTGTACTTTCTATGGGTTTGGACAAACGTATAATGACATGTATCTATCAGTATAGTATCATGGATACTGCAGAGTAGTTTCACTGCCCTAAAAATCCTTGGTTACATACCTTTTAAAGGCATGTTAAATATTACCTAAGAGTGAACCAATTCATATTCTACCATTGTATACGAAATTTTCTGTATTCCTCAATTCTCATAACACTAACAATTATAAGAAAAAATCTGGCTGGGTGCAGTGGCTCACGCCTGTAATCCCAGCACTTTGGGAGGCCGAGGTGGGCGGATCACCTGAGTTTAGGAGTTCAAGACCAGCCAAGACAACATAGTAAAACCCAGTCTCTACAAAAAATACAAAAATTAGCCAGGCATGGTGGCAGGCGCCTATAATCGCAGCTCCTTGGGAGGCTGAGGCAGGAGAATCACTTGAACCTGGGAGGCAGAGGTTGCAGTGAGCCAAGATCGCACCACTGCACTCAACAGACCGAGACTCCATCTCAAAAAAAGAAAAAATTCTTGCCAATCTGATAGCTGAAGGATGACATTGCACTTTGATTTTTAAGTGAGTTTTAGTGAGCCATATAGTTATTGGTTATTTGAATTCTATAAGATGTCACAGAGCAGGAATTTTTAATTTAAATGAAGTCCAGTTATCAATTCGTTCTTTAATCTTCATGGATTGTGCCTTTGGTGTTGAATCTAAAAAGCCAAATCTAAGGCCATCCATACTTTTCTCCTATACTGTCTTCTAAGGTTTTTATAGTTTTGCATTTTACCTTTAGGTCTGTGATTCATTATGAATTAATTTTTGTGAAGTGTGTAAGGCCTGTGTCTATATTTATTTTTTTGCATGTGGATGTCCAGTTGTTTTAGCAGCATTTGTTTAAAAGACTATCTTTTCCTATGGTATTGCCTTGCTGCTTTATTAAAGATCAGTTGACTATATTTATGTGGGTCTACTTCTGGGCTCTTTGTTTTGTTTATTTATCTATTTGCCTATTCATTTGCTGATACCACACTCCTTGATTACTGCAGCATTATAATAAGTCTTGAAATTGGGTAGCTTCAGTCCTCCAACCTTGTTCTCCTTTAATACTGTGTGGCTATTCTGGATCATTTGCCTGTCTCTATATACTTTATAATCAGTTTGTCAATATCCACAAAATAACTTGCTGTGATTTTGATTGGGAGTGCATTGAACTGATAGATCAAGTTGGGAAGAACTGATGTCTTGAAAATATCGAGGCTTCCTACCCAGGAGCATGAAATATGTGTCCATTTTAAAATTTCATATTTGATTTCATTCATCAGAGTTTTACGGTTTTCCTCATATAGATCTTATCCATATTTTGTTAGACTTATATCTAAGTATTTCATTTTTTGGAGGGAATGCTAATGTAAATGGTACTGTGTTTTTAATTTCAAATTCTACTTGTTCTTTGCTGGTATATAGGAAAGCAATTCATTAAACTTATATCCTGCAATGTTGCTATCATTGCTGATTAGTATCAGTAGTTTTTATTTTTTGTTGGTTCTTTCAGATATTTTGTAGAGATGATTATGTCATCTGTGAACATGAGCAGTTTTATTTCTTCCTTCCCAATCAAACATGGCTTTTGTTTCCCTTTCTTGTCTTATTGTGTTAGCTGGGACCTCTAGTACAAAGTTGAAAAGCAGTGGTGAGAGGGGGACATCCTTGCCTTGTTCCTGATCTCAGTGGGAAAACTTTGAGCTTCTCACCATGATGTTAGCTGTAAGGTTTTTGCAGATATGCTTTATCAGGTTGAAGAAGGTTCCCTTCTATTCCTAATTTACTGAGATTGAGTTATTTATTTATATATTTATTATGTATGCATTCATGTATTTAAATTGACCAATAAAAACTACATATATTTATCATGTACAATCATGTACAACATGTTGTAAAATATGTATAATTGTGAAATGCCTGAATCTAACTGATTAACATTACCTCATATACTTATTTTTTTTGTGGTGAGAACACTTAAAATCTCTTGGTACTTTTCAAGAATATAATACATTGTTATGAACTATAGGCACCATGTCATATCTGGTTTACTGACAGTTTTTATCAAGAATGGGTGTTGGATTTTGTCAATGCTTTCTCTGCATCTTTTGATATGATCATGTGATTTTTCTTCTTTAGCTTGTTGATGTGATGCATTACATTTATTTGATTTTTTAATGTTGCCATGCATGCATGGAGTAAATTCCACTTTGTTGTGGTATATAATTATTTTTAGACATCGTTGGACTTGAATTGCTAATATTTTGTTGAGCATTTTTTTTTTTGAGACAAAGTCTCACTCTGTTACCCAGGCTGGAGTTCAGTGGTGCTATCTTGGGTTCAAGTGATTCTCCTGCCTCAGCCTCCTGAGTAGCTGAGATTACAAGCATGCGCCACCACGCCCGGCTAATTGTTGTATTTTTAGTAGAGATGGGGTTTCACCATGTTGGTTAGGCCGGTCTCGCACTCCTGACTTCAAGTTTTCTGCCCACCTCGGCCCCCCAAAGTGCTCGGATTACAGGCATGAGCCACCGCACCCGGCCGTTGAGCATTTTTATATCTGTGTTCATGAGACATATTGGCCTGTAGTTTTCCATTCTTGTTATGTCTTTATCTGGTTTTGATATTAGTGTAATGCTGGACTCAGGGAATGAGGTAGGAAGTATTTTCTTTGGTTCTCTCTTCTGAAAAAGATTGTAGAGAATTGGTATAATTTCTTTCTTCAGTGTTTAGAATTCACCAGCCATCTAGGCCTGGTGCTTTCTGTTTTGGAAGGTTATTACTTATTGATTCAATTTTTAAAATAAATATAGTCCTGTTCAGATTCCTCTTGTGTGAGTTTTGGCAGATTGTGACTTTCAAGGAATTGCTCTATTTCATTTAGGTTATCAAATATGTGGACACAGAGTTGTTCATAGTATTCCTTGGTTATCCTTTTAATATCTAGGGGATTCATAGTGATTTCCCCTCTTATATTTCTTATAATAGTAATTTGTATTGTCTCTTATTTTCTTAGTTAGCCTGCTTATTATTTTTATTGATCTTTTCAAAGAACCAGCTTTTGGTTTCATTGATTTTCGCCATTGATTTTCTGTTTCAATATCATCGATTTCTGCTCTAATTTTTATCATTTATTTTCTTCTATTTACTTTGGATTTTGTTTGCTCTCCTTTTCTTAGGTTCCTAAGGTGGAAGCTTAGAGAATTGATTTTAGATCTTTCCTCTTTTCTAATCTATGTATTCAATGCTATAAATTTCCCTCTAAATGCTGCTTTTGCTGCATCCCACAGATTTTGATAGGACGTGCTTTCATCTTCATTTGATTCAAACTATTTTAAAATTTCTCTTGAAATTTCTTCTTTGACCCATCTATTATTTAGAAGTGTGCTGTTTAACCTCCAAGTATTTTAAGATCTCCCAGCTATCTTTGTTACTGATTTCTAGTTTAATTCCACTGTGGTCTGAGAACAGACATTGTATCATATCTATTCTTTGAAATTGATTAAGGTGTGTTTTATGGCTCAGGTGTGGTCTGTCTTGCTGACTGTTCTGTGTGAGCTTAAGGAGAATATATATTCTCCTAATGCTGGATGAGGTAGTCTGTACATGTCCATAGTATCCAGTTCATTGATGATGGTGTTGAGTTAACCAAGCCCTTATTTATTTTCTGCCTGCTAGACGTGTCCATTTTTTTCTATCCAAATGTTATCCTCTATTTTTCCTTGAAAAGTCAGGTATCTTTCCAGGAAAGTACATCTAACATCATACAATTTAGAAAATGTGAACCAGAGGGTGGTCCCCAAACACCTGTGAGGATAGCCTCCAAGAGAGCAGGAATGCTAGTGATAGCATTTTGGATTTGGCATGTGACATGGGAGCCTGAATATGGATTTCAACCGAAGAAGAGGAAGCTTTGAGAAATTTGAGATCAGTTCAAAATGAAAACGTCAAGAGATAGCTGGAAACTGTTGCTGTTTAACATTCATATATATAAAGACAGTATTAACATTTCTGATCCTCATATTCTGGAAAAATCACAGAGCAGCTTTTGCTAAAAGGGTAATTATCTTTGTGAGGAATTGTTTGACTGGCTGGAGTAGAAATCTGCTTAAGTTATCACAAGTCAAAGATAGAACTGATCTTATATCCCAAGGATGGGAAGTGTAACCAGGCCCCAGGAGGGGTAACAATCAGGACCTGGAGAGTCAGAAGAAGAGTGTTATGGGCTGAGCTATGCCCCCTTAGATTCATATGTTGAAGTCCTAACTGCAGAACCTCAGAATGTGACTGTATATGGAGGTTGGGCCTTTAAAGAGCTGATTAAGGTAGAATGAGGTCATATAGGTGGGCCCTAATCCAGTGTGACTGGCAGGTTAGGAGAGAGACATGCACAGAGGGAAGACCATGTAAGCACCCGGGGAGAAGGTAGCCACCTGCAAGCCAAGGAGATAGGCCTCAGTAGAAAGAAACCCTGTTGACACCTTCATCTCAGACTTCCAGCTTTCAGCACTATAAGAAAATAAATGTCTGTTGCTTAAGCTGCCGTATCAGTGGTACTTTGTTATGGCAGTCCTAGCAAACTAGTACACAGAGGTCACAAGATGACAAGTCCGCCTCTGTGCAGCCAGGACCCTTCTTTTCTGCCTTTCTTGGCTCATTTGTCTATCTCTCTAAAAACTAGCTTTCTCTGACATGGAACACATATGACAAAAATGGTCTTTCCAGCCTTGAGTCTAAGTGACCTCTGTCAGCTCCAGTGCCTCAAACTTACTGTAGGAGTTTCCCAGAAGAGAGCATCACACCAACTCAGTTGGGTCAAATGGACTTCCTGATATAACAAAACCTGTAGCAGTTGGTAGAGGAGCGTCCCAAGGTAGAAACATGGAGACCTGGCCTCCTGGATCTGCAGGAGATACTGGTAATGAGTGAGTCAAATCTGGAGGTTGGGACTAGGTAGGCATCTTGAGGGGTGATATACTACAGCTATTTTCAGCCAAACCTTAAAGAAGAAAGTATATCTCAGACAAAGCTAACACAATATCGCCTGTTTGCGCAGGACCAAACTTCTTGTATCTTCTTCTTTTTCATTGGTTAATAGATAGCAGAATGTAATGGAGGGAAGAAATGGCTCCAGCAGCTTATTCTAAAAGGTGAGGAGACCATTAGACAGCCAAGAAGTTGGTGATAACTTTAACCACAGTGGGAAAGAGGAGGAATGAGTGTCTCACACACAATCCTCAGCTGTTGTTTTGTGATTTTTCTTCCCTCTTTAATATTGTTATTTATTTAAAACCCATACAAAATGCACACACATGGGAATAGACTGAAAAGGAAATATCCACTGTACTTTTTTCTGTCTTTGTCCCCTAAGAGTGGACACAGATCCCACACAGAAACAAGGTTAGTCTGATGTCTTTGGAAAAGTTTAGGCCACGTGTGGTGGCTCACGCCTGTAATCCCAGCACTTTGAGAGGCCGAGGCGGGTGGATCACTTGATGTCAGGAGTTAGAGACCAGTCTGGCTAACATGGTGAAACCCCGTCTCTACTAAAAATACAAAAACTAGTTGGCGTGGTGGTGGGTGCTTGTAATACAAGCTACTTGGAGGCTGAGGCAGGGTTAATCGCTTGAACCTGGGAGGTGGAGGTTGCAGTGAGTCGAGATTGTGCCACTGCCCTCCAGCCTGGGAGACAGAGCGAGACTCAGTCTCAAAGAAAAAAAAAAGTTAGTCAAGCAAGTAAATATGCTTTTTTAAAAAAGGAAAAATTAGGCTGGGCATGGTGTCTCATGCCTGTAATCCCAGCACTTTGGGAGGCCAAGGCAGGTGGATCACCTGAGGTCAGGAGCTCAAGACCAGCCCAGCCAACATGGTGAAACCCTGCCTCTACTACAAAAACAAAAATTAGCTGGGTGTGAGTGCGGGCACCTGTAGTCCCAGCTACTAAGGAGGCTGAGGCAGGAGAATAGCTTGAACCCAGGAGCTGGAGGTTGCAGTAAGCCAAGATTGCACCATTGCACCCCAGATAAACTCCGTCTCAAAAAAAAAAGAACATGGCAGCTCTGATTTAACCAGTTTAATGGGTGGGATGGAGTAGATGTGGGGAGTGAATCCAGAAGAGTGGAGAGGGGTGGTCGAGAGGGTGTGGGCGTGAGCCAGAGAGACAAAATTAGAACTGTCTGCTTCCACATATAGGCAGAAAAGAGGGCGTAACCCATAATCGTACATTTAAAGAGAACACTTGGAATATCTGAATATCTTTTTACCCCAGGGAGGAAGGATTTTACACTTTAAGAAAGAAATGGTGGTAGGATTGTGTGAACATTTTTGAAGTTTTCCTTTTAATATTTTAACGTGTTTTCTAAATGGTCTACTATGAATCTGCTTTTATCATTTGAAAAAAATAACATATATTTAAAAACAAATAGAGGTAATTTCGGGAGACATCAGGTTTTCAAAGTTTCATTTCTGTTTTCTGAACACTCGTAACATGTGCATTGGGCAGACATGATTTATGGGCTGCCATCCTGAAGTCATTGTATTTTATCTGTCACTATTCTTTTAAATGTATTCAGCAGGGCTAGTTCTTCCCTGTCCCTGGATAAGAACTCAGGCAGTCCTTTAACATTTCAGGTCACTGATGTGTGATACGAAGTGTCTCCACACAGAAATGGGCATTTCCAGTCCCCTGCAATATTCTAAACTCAAGGCTGGGGTAAGAGGAGGCGTCTCTCTTCCATCATCGAGGGCAGCTGCAGGTGGGGAGGCTGCTGTGAGCCAGGGGGCTAGACAATGGGTCCTTCTCTCTCTCCCCATCCAACGTTCTCCGCCTCCCACACATCCTCCAGTTTGCTCACCATGGTTTCCGATGCCTGTGGGTTGCTGGTTTCATAGGGAGTAACTGGGAGACAAGAGAGGGCTGACAGGATGGAACTGTCGCTGTCACCAGTTTCCTTTTTGCTCTCTGTTCCTGACAGACGTTCAGGGCCAATGCCTTCTCCCGTGGAGGTTTGTGTGGGTTCCTCAGAGCCCCTCCTCCAGCCACCCACGAAGGTGGGCACTTCCCGCTGGAAGTTCCCTAACTCGGGGGGATGCTTCTCCTGTGGCTCACGGTGGTTTCCCCATGGCCATGGGAATCCAGCAACACCTGCAGCTCTGTGCCCCTCCAGCTGGCCCTCTTGGACAAAACCTAAAGTAACCCACAATGGCTTTCTCACAGGCATGACCCCATCACCTCTGCCCCAGCATCCTGGGGGTGCAGGCGTCCTCCCCTCAGCTATCGGCAGAGCTGCCACATGGCTCACCCTTTAGATTTCTCAAGTGGGAGTCACACACCAGCCTCCTGGGCCCCCTACCACATGGGACACACAGCAGCTCTCCATGTGGCACCTTCAGTGCCCCTCTTAGCAGCTTGAGGACAAACCTCCCCATTTTTCCTCCTTGGGAGCTGGGACTTAGAACGGATCAACAGCTTTCCCTAAAAAGTCTCTGCACAAATCCCTCCCATCTCCACACATTCTGGCCTTTGATATAGGTGAGGGTTAAAGCTTCTCACCAAAGACCCTAAAAGCTAGACTCCTTACTTGGAACCTCAGGTTGGCACACGATCTTTCTCATCTTAGGGTCTCAGCCAAACCTTCCATTTTAAAAAAGTTTATTTTTATTTTTATTTTTGTAGAAGCAGGGTCTCATTCTGTTGCTCAGGCTGGAGTGCATTGCCGCAATTGTGACTGCAGCCTCAAACTCCCAGACTCAAGTGATCCTCCTGCTTCAGCCTCCTGAGTAGCTGGGACCACAAGCATGCACCACCATACCCGGCTAGGTGTTTAATTTTTTGTAGAGATGGTATCTCACTATGTTGCCCAGGCTCATCTCGAGCTCCTAGGCTCAAATGATCCTCCTGCCATGGGCCCCCAAAGTGCTGGGGTTACAGGCACGAGCCACTGTACACGGCTCAAAACTTCCATTTTTATATTCTATTATGTACTATATAATGCCTCCCAGAAAGCCACCCACAGCCCCACCCAGCAATAATTATTACTACACAATACATATTTTTGTATTTATTAATACATTAATTTTAAATAAAATAATATTACTTCATCTTTGAAAACTGTTTTTTCTTTGGAAAATTAAACAATGCAACTGTATTTTTTTCTCAGTCCATCCATTTAAAGAAATTAGGCATTGGAGGCCTTACATCACTCTGCTTTCGAGTTAAAACTGGAAATGATAATACTTTTCATTTATATAGCACTTTAGCGTTTAAAAAGGAGGGCATTCAAATTGCTTATTTCACCACTTGATTGTTCAAAATGAGGAGACATGGAAGAACTGTTAAGAAAAAATGGAGCTACAAATAAGACAAATAAGGCATGCCTTTGTGTCCACCCCAAATCCATAAGCAAGTGAGGAAGCACACAAAGGATTTTAAAACTTTGGAAGAAGATTTGTACCTCGATCAAGATGACAGTTTTATTATTTATCTCAAATGTTCTTCCTCATTGATGGTCATACTATTTAAAACGTTTTGGATTTTTCTTGTTCTTCCCTGGAAAGAGGCATTCAAACTTGGGAAGATTTAACCTATGCTGGCCGGTGTGAATGGTGTGAAATGACTGCTCTCCAGTGCTTTCCGCAGGCAGCCCCGAGACCAGGTCGGGCTCTCCAAGTAGGGATTTGCAGAGAATGTCGGTGCCTAAGCCACTGCATTACCCAGACAATGCATGCTTGCTTTTTGACTTGCTGCCTTAATTTCATCTGCAGAGCGGGACGGGACTGCTCCACACTGGGGCTAGTCCTTTTATTTGGAATAAAGGCTTGTTAATGATGGAACTACTGCTTTCCATCCCCAAAATAAAAGACAACTTTAAAAATTGTCTCCACTTCCTGCTCCTCCTGCTGCTGCTCCTCCTTCTGTCCTCCCTCCCTCTCCCCTTCCCCTCTTCCCCTCTCTCCTCTTCTCCCTCCCTCCCTCTCTATTTTGTTCTCTACTTAAACCTTCCTCTCCAACTTTACTAGCGCAGGAGACATCTTAGCACTTGCCTGGCGACTGAAGCTCTCTGTTTTCCCCACCGGGGAGAAAGAATTGGCAGTCAGAAGCCAAAGTCCTCCGCCGCCCATACCAAGTTCTTCCTTGTACCTGGGCATGAGGCGCAGAGAGCCAGGGAGTCACCCAGCCTTTATGAGGAAGTGGGCTAACCTTAGACCCTGTCTCCTGATGACCTCATCTCTTAGCTCTGTCTACCTCTGTAAGATATTTGATCAGAGCAAATGGGTTTCCCTCTGAGTAACATGGGGCCTGTCGAACCCTCTTAGACCCAGAACCCCTCAGCCACAGTGCTGTGCTGCTTCCTGGTCTGTGTTGGGGGACATTCTCGCTGTCTATCATGGCCCCCAGTCTGTGCCCAGGTATACTCAGGCTCACCTGGCTTCCCAGGGACACTTTTCATTTCAGGCTTGGAAGGTACGGTGAAATCCATGTTTGCCACATCTTTTAATGTGACCTGGATCTTTCAATAATTGTTGACTTATTATTTAATTAATTTCTTAGTTTTTGCATCCAAAAAATGTTTGTTGAGTGCTTCTACTGCTTTGAGTCCTGAGCCAGCTGCTTAAAGGGTTCCAGCCTTTGGAGACCTGTCAATCCCACAGAAGATCCTATGTGTCTCCTTCTGTCTCTGCCTACTGGCCTGCTAAGGATTCAGTGTACAAGATGCCTCCGGCGCTTATTCAGATCCTCTCAGCCTCACTCACACATTGTCCAACTACAGTTGCAGCCACCAGATAGTGCGGGCTCTGATGGCTTTGTGAAGGTGCAGCCTGGTGATGCCTTGAGTCCCCACAGGCCCATGCCAAGCACCTCTCACTCCCCTCCCCAGGGCTTCCTGGATGCCATCCATGGCACCTGCTTAGCACCTGTGCATGTGTAACCTACACACAAAGGAGTTAACTCCTGTGGGGCACCCTTGGCCAGTGGGTGACAAGAGCTTCCTTTTTTCATTGCTTTGTCAGGGAAGTAAATCAGAAGTAATACCACATCCTGGGAGACACTGCAGTGATCAGCACCATCAAAGATGAAGGATGTAGGGGGTGTGAACCCCATCATATCCTCGTAAATTCTCTGGGTGGTCCCTGCACACCCCCGATGGACCATGCCAGAGGCCAGTGGATTATACAAACATAAACAATTGGTAGCCAGTGGCACCAGCTGTGCTGGATGTGATGTCTTTATGGGAGCACGTGGGCTCCTGTTTTGGCATGTGGCATGCAACTATTGATCTGGCAAATGCATTTTTTTCAATTGTCATCAATAAAAGTATCAAAAGCAGCTTGCTTTTACAGGAAAGTACTCCAGGACTTTGTCAACTCTCCTATTCTTTGTCATCATAAAATCTATTGAAACATTGATTACCTAGACATTCCACAACCGCCATGCCAGTTTACTTTATTGATGATATCATGCTTAGTGGACTTGCTGAGTATAAATTGGCAAGAACTCTAGAGGCCCTAGTAAAATATGAGAGTGGCTGAGGGTGAGAGATAAACACCATGAAGATACAAGAATCTGTTACTTTGGTAAAGATTTTAGGGATCAAGTGGTCTGGGCAAAGAAGACAAAGCCACCTTGGGAAAGGGGAAATGGTTGCACCTCACATCCCCTACTAGTTAAAAAAAAAGATGAGGCACTTCATGAGGCTCTTTGGGTTGTGGAGACACTTGGAAATGCCACTCTCATCCATTTGTAGAGTGGCTTGGAAGGCCACCAGCTGTTTCTGTTTTTGTTTTGAGACAGGGTCTGGCTCTGTCACCCAGGCTGGAGTACAGTGTCTCCATCACGGCTTACTGCAGCCTGGACCTCCCAGGCACAAACAATCCTCTCACCTCAGCCTCCCAAGTAGCTGGGACCACAGGTGCATGCCAGCACACCTGGTTAATTTTTAAAACTTTTTGTAGAGATGGGATCCCACTATGTTGTGCAGTCTGATCTTGAACTCCTGGGTTCAAGTGATTCTCCCACCTCGGCCTCGCAAAGTGTTGGGGTTATAGGCATGAGCCACTGTGCCCAGCCTAGGGCCACCAGTTTTAAGTGGGGTTCAGATCAAGAGAGGGCTCTGCAGTGGGTCCAGGCTACCCTTCCATTCAGGTGATATGACCAAGCAGAAGTGATGCTGCTGGAGGTATCTGTGGTGGTGAGGAGGCTGTATGGCAAGTCCTTAGTGTTCTGAAGTAATGCCATCCTGCAGCAGAGAACTATTTGCCCTTTGAAGAACAACTCCTGGTGTGTTCCTGGCCCTAGTAGGGACTGACTTCCTTTCCAGAGACACCAAGTACCTCTGTGATAGAACTGACCTCCGTGAGCTGGAGATATGCAGCTGTGCCATGGGAAGGTAATGCTGCGTTCGAGGTTAGCCGTGAGCAGGCCCAGAGGAGCTGAGTATTACATAGACAGGCGGCCCTGAATCCCAAGGAAACAATCTCTGTGTCAATGATGTCCCTGCCTCAACTCAACCCTTGGGCTTCATTGGTGGAGGGAGGAGAGGTTCCTCATGAGCTGGGAGAGGTAGACAAAATTCAGGCCTGGTTTACAGATGGTTTATCATGATATTTTGGTGCTAGCCATCAATGGATTGCTGCCACTGTTTGAAGTAGCCTTAAAAACAGTACTAAAAGAAGGGCAGGGTGCGGTGGCTCACGCCTGTAATCCCAGCACTTTGGGAGGCCAAGACGAGTGGATCATGAGGTCAGGAGATCGAGACCATCCTGGCGAACATGGTGAAACCCCGTCTCTACTAAAAATACAAAAAAAAATTAGCTGGGTGTGGTGGCAGGCGCCTGTAGTCCCAGATATTCGGGAGACTGAGGCAGGAGAATGGCATGAATCCGGGAGGCGGAGCTTGCAGTGAGCCGAGATAGCACCACTGCACTCCAGTCTGGGCAACAGAAAGAGACTCTGTCTCAAAGACAAAACAAAACAAAAACAACAACAACAACAACAACAAAACAGTACTGAAAGAAACTCTTCCAGTGGGCAGAGCTGCAAGTGGTATTCTCAGTTGTTCCCCTATGTGGAAAGTGGTCGGAGGTACAAGTGTCCATAGATTTCTGGGCAGTGGCAAATGGCTTGGCCAGACAGGGATGTGACTGGTGGATTCGAACTCCATGTAATTAATGAAATTAAATGCAAGATACATAGATGGGCTAAAGTATTGTAGCGATACCTTACACTTGCACAAAGAGGTTATAAGAGCTGGTAAGGTCTGCATGCTTAGAGATGAGATCCAGGGCTTGATCTGTAAACAGTCCTGTGCCATAACTGCCTGTGTGTTAGCAGAAAATTTGGCTGCTTAATATCTACTGTCAGGAAAACAGATTCCTGCCTCTGAAAAATTGTTGCATCTGCCTCAAGGGAACACTTTTCTATAGGGTGGTTGTCAACTTGGGATTTCATAGAGCTTACAAAAGAGATTTTATTTTCTGCTTTGTACCTGCCTATTAATAAATATTTATTTATTCAATATTTATGCATGTGAAAGAATCCCTTTTGAGACATATTTTCTTTTTTTCCTTCCTTTCTTTCTTTTCTTTCTTTCTTTCTTTTTTTTTTTGAGACAGAGTTTTACTCTTGTTGCCCAGGCTGGAGTGCAATGGTGCGATCTCGGCTCATGGTAACCTCTACCTCCTGGGTTCAAGCAATTCTCTTGCCTCAGCCTCCCTAGTAGCTGGGATTGCAGGTATGTGCCACCATGCCCAGATACTTTTTGTATTTTTAATAGAGACAGGGTTTCACCATGTTGGCCAGGCTGGTCTCGAACTCCTGACCTTACATGATCTGCCTGCCTCAGGCCTCCCAAGGTGTTGGGATTACAGGCGTGAGCCACAGCACCCAGCAAGACTTGTTTTCATGATAGTTTAGCACTAACTGTAGGCAATCTTGACTCACCTCAAACATTTTGGTGGCTACCATTATTTACCTAAGAGTTCTGCTTGCCCGCATTAGCTTAGGAAGCTTGCAACACAAGCAACTGGGCATGGGTTAGGGTCCCGCACCTGATCTGCACAAATATTAAAGTTATTATTACAAACTAATTACTAAAACTAATTACAACAGTGCAGTACTGATACAGGAATAGATTAACAAACAGGACAGGAAAAAGTTCCCAGAAACATAGATGTGGATGTTTGGTTTGTGGCAGAGGTGTACCATACAACAGTGAGGCAAGAACTGGCAAGAACTCTAGATGCCCTAGTAAAATACGAGAGTATATAAAATATAGCCACAAAGGCTATATTTTTAAAGAACAGCTCTAGGAGAATTGGGCATCCATATGGCCACAAAATGAAATTAGGCCCCCATCTCACGCCATCCATCAGAATAAATTCCAGGTGGATTAAAGCTTACATGAAAAGACAAAACTATAAAAGATTTACAAATTTCTTTGAAAAAAAATCTTCCTGATTTGTTGTACAAGACACAAAGAGCTCTAGTCATACAGAAAAGTGCAATAAGTTGACTACATTTAAAATAAAGAATTTCTGTCCATCTAGAATATATAAAGAATGATCATACATTAATAAGAAAAAGACCACCCAGTTTTTAAAAAAATGGGCAAAATACTTGAACAAGCATTTTACAAAAGAGGAATCCCAAATGTCAGTTATCTGACGAAAAGGTGCTCAACCTCCAATGAAATACAACTTTACAGTGATCAGATGGGGAAAAGTGGGCTTGTACTGCAATGCTGCCTCTGTCATAAATTCAAATACACACATCTCTACTTCTGGACACTCAATTCTGTTAGAGAGACCCTCTGTTTTACTGGCTTAGAGAGTAAACCCCTGTCTTATGTTGAGATGGAAGAGGGGGAGTTTCTACTGCATAAAATCAGAGGAGGGTTGGGATTTTTTTTTTTTTAATGAAACGTACAGCAACCAGTTCTCCTATTTATCTCTTGCTTCTAGCAGTATCTGGACTGCAATTCCTGGGTCCTTTGGTGGCTTTTGTGCTGTCTATCATGTTGCTTCTCAGCTTTCTCTATGGCTGGCTTAAGTAAATTTCCTTGGGTTTACTGGGTCGTGTATAACTCTTCCATCTGCTTCTAGTATCTAAATGATGTTGTCTCCTTTTCCATCCTTGTGGGATTATTTTCTTTAAAAATAAACCCAAGCCCATTATTATCCTCTTAGTGAGATTTCAGGAGGAAGAGTATGTCTACAAATGTGCACAGTTTAATTTCCTGTCTCTGAATAAATGTTATTTAGATAAATGTTTCTAAAATGAGATTAATAAAAATCATAGAGGGGTGGAGCTAAGATGGCCGAATAGGAACAGCTCCAGTCTACAGCTCCTAGTGTGAGCAACGCAGAAGATGAATGATTTCTGCATTTCCAACTGAGGTACTTGGTTCATCTCACTGGGGAGTGTCAGAAAGTGGGTGCAGGACAGTGGGTGCAGTGCACTGAGCATGAGCCGAAGCACAGCAAGGCATCACCTCAACCGGGAAGCACAAGGGGTCAGGGAATTCCCTTTTCTAGCCAAGGAAAGGGGTGACAGACAGCACCTGGAAAATTGGGTCACTCCCACCCTAATACTGAGCTTTTCCAATGGTCTTATAAAACGGCACACCAGGAGATTGTATCCCGCGCCTGGCTCGGAGGGTCCTACGCCCACGGAGCCTCACTTATTGCTAGCACAGCAGTCTGAGATCAAACTGCAAGGTGGCAGTGAGGCTGGGGGAGGGGTGCCTGCCATTGCCAAGGCTTGAGTAGGTAAACAAAGCGGCCGGGAAGCTCGAACTGGGTGGAGCCCACCACAGCTCAAGGTGGCCTGCCTGCCTCTGTAGACTCCACCTCTGGGGGCAGGGCATAGCCAAACAAAAGGCAGCAGAAACCTCTGCAGACGTAAATGTCCCTGTCTGACAGCTTTGAAGAGAGTAGTGGTTCTCCCAGCATGCAGCTGGAGATCTGAGAACGGACAGACTGCCTCCTCAAGTGGGTCCCTGACCCCTGAGTAGCCTAATTGGGAGGCACCCCCCAGTAGGGGCAGACTGACATCTCACACAGCCAGGTACTCCTCTGGGACAAAACTTCCAGAGGAACGATCGGCAGCAATATTTGCTGTTCACCAATATCCACTGTTCTGCAGCCTCTGCTGCTGATACCCAGGCAAACAGGGTCTGGAGTGGACCTCCAGCAAACTCCAACAGACCTGCAGCTGAGGGTCATGACTGTTAGAGGGAAAACTAACAAGCAGAAAGGACATCCACACCAAAACCCCATCTGTACGTCACCATCATCAAAGACCAAAAGTGGATAAAACCACAAAGATGGGGAAAAAACAGAGCAGAAAAACTGAAAATTCTAAAAATCAGAGCACCTCTCCTCTCCAAAGGAATGCAACTCCTCACCAGCAACAGAACAAAGCTGGAAGGAGAATGACTTTAACAAATTGAGAGAAGAAGGCTTCAGATGATCAAACTACTCTGAGCTAAAGGAGGAAGTCCGAACCCATGGCAAAGAAGTTAAAAACCTTGAAAAGAGATTAGACGAATGGCTAACTAGAATAACCAATGCAAAGAAGTCCTTAAAGGACCTGATGGAGCTGAAAACCATGGCACGAGAACTATGTGACGAATGCACAAGCCTCAGTAGCTGATTCAATCAACTGGAAGAAAGGGTATCAGTGATGGAAGATCAAATGAATGAAATGAAGCAAGAAGAGGAGTTTAGAGGAAAAGGAATAAAAAGAAACGAACAAAGCCTCCAAGAAATATGGGACTACGTGAAAAGACCAAATCTACATCTGATTTGTGTACCTGAAAGTGACGGGGAGAATGGAATCAAGTTGGAAAACACTGCAGGATATTATCCAGGAGAACTTCCCCAATCTAGCAACGCAGGCCAACATTCAGATTCAGGAAATACAGAGAATGCCACAAAGATACTCCTTGAGAAGAGCAACTCTAAGACACATAATTGTCAGATTCACCAAAATTGAAATTAAGGAAAAAATGTTAAGGGCAGCCAGAGAGAAAGGTCAGGTTACCCACAAGGGGAAGCCCATCAGACTACCAGCTGATCTCTTGGCAGAAACTCTACAAGCCAGAAGAGAGTGGGGGCCAATATTCAACATTCTTAAAGAAAAGAATTTTCAAACCAGAATTTCATATCCAGCCAAACTAAGCTTCATAAGTGAAGGAGAAATAAAATGCTTTACAGACAAGCAAATGCTGAGAGATTTTGTCACCACCAGGCCTGCCCTAAAAGAGCTCCTGAAGGAAGCACTAAACATGGAAAGGAACAACCGGTACCAGCCACTGCAAAAACATGCCAAATTGTAAAGACCATCGAGGCTAGGAAGAAACTGCATCAACTAACGAGCAAAATAACCAGCTAACATCATAATGACAGGATCAAATTCACACATAACAATATTAACCTTAAATGTAAATGGGCTAAATGCTCCAATTAAAAGACACAGACTGGTAAATTGGATAAAGAGTCAAGACCCATCAGTGTGCTCTATTCAGGAAACCCATCTCACGTGCAGAGACACACATAGGCTCAAAATAAGGGGATGGAGGGATGGAGGAAGATCTACCAAGCAAATGGAAATCGAAAAAGGCAGGGGTTGCAATCCTAGTCTCTGATAAAACAGATTTTAAACCAACAAAGATCAAAAGAGACAAAGAAGGCCATTACATAATGGTAAAGGGATCAATTCAACAAGAAGAGCTAACTATCCTAAATATATATGCACCCAATACAGGAGCACCCAGATTCATAAAGCAAGTCCTTAGAGACCTACAAAGAGACTTAGACTCCCACACAATAATAATGGGAGACTTTAACACCCCACTGTCAACATTAGACAGATCAACGAGACAGAAAGTTAACAAGGATATCCAGGAATTGAACTCGGCTCTGCACCAAGCAGACCTAATAGACATCTACAGAACTCTCCACCCCAAATCAACAGAATATACATTCTTTTCAGCACCACATCACACCTATTCCAAAATTGACCACACAGTTGGAAGTAAAGCACTCCTCAGCAAATGTAAAAGAACAGAGGTTATAACAAACTGTCTCTCAGACCACAGTGCAATCAAACTAGAACTCAGGATTAAGAAACTCACTCAAAACCGCTCAACTACACGGAAACTGAACAACCTGCTCCTGAATGACTACTGAGTATGTAACGAAATGAAGGCAGAAATAAAGCTGTTCTTTGAAACCAATGAGAACAAAGACACAACATACCAGAATCTCTGGGACACATTCAAGGTGTGGGTAGAGGGAAATTTATACTGCTAAATGCCCACAAGAGAAAGCAGGAAAGATCTAAAATTGACACCCTAACATCACAATTAAAAGAACTAGAGAAATAAGAGCAAACACATTCAAAAGCTAGCAGAAGGCAAGAAATAACTAAGATCAGAGCAGAACTGGAGGAAATAGAGACAAAAAACCCTTCAAAAAAATCAATGAATCCAGGAGCTGGTTTTTTGAAAAGATCAACAAAATTGATAGACCGCTAGCAAGACTAATAAAGAAGAAAAGAGAGAAGAATCAAACAGACACAATAAAAAATGATAAAGGGGATATCACCACTGATCCCACAGAAGTACAAACTACCATCAGAGAATACTATAAACACCTCTATGCAAATAAACTAGAAAATCTAGGAGAAATGGATAAATTCCTCGACACATACAAACTCCCAAGACTAAACCAGGAAGAAGTTAAATCTCTGAATAGACCAATAACAGGCTCTGAAATTGAGGCAATAATTAATAGCTTACCAACCAAAAAAAGTCCAGGACCAGAAGGATTCACAGCCGAATTCTACCAGAGGTACAAGGAGGAGCTGGTACCATTCCTTCTGAAACTATTCCAATCAATAGAAAAAGAGGGAATCCTCCCTAACTCATTTTATGAGGCCAGCATCATCCTGATACCAAAGCGTGGCAGAGACACAACAAAAAAAGAGAATTTTAGACCAATATCCCTGATGAACATCGATGCAAAAATCCTCAATAAAATACTGGCAAACCGAATCCAGCAGCACATCAAAAAGCTTATCCACCATGATCAAGTGGGCTTCATCCCTGGGATGCAAGGCTGGTTCAACATATGCAAATCAATAAACGTAATCCAGCATATAAACAGAACCAAAGACAAAAACCACATGATTATCTCAATAGATGCAGAAAAGGCCTTTGACAAAATTCAACAACACTTCATGCTAAAAACTCTCAATAAATTAGGTATTGATGGGACATATCTCAAAATAATAAGCTCTGTCTATGACAAACCCACAGCCAATATCATACTGAATGGGCAAAAACTGGAAGCATTCCCTTTGAAAACTGGCACAAGACAGGGATGCCCTCTCTCACCACTCCTATTCAACATAGTGTTGGAAGTTCTGGCCAGGGCAATCAGGCAGGAGAAGGAAATAAAGTGTATTCGATTAGGAAAAGAGGAAGTCAAATTGTCCCTGTTTGCAGATGACATGATTGTATATCCAGAAAACCCCATTGTCTCAGCCCAAAAATCTCCTTAAGCTGATAAGCAACTTCAGCAAAGTCTCAGGATACAAAATCAATGTGCAAAAATCACAAGCATTCTTATACACCAATAACAGACAAACAGAGAGCCAAATCATGAGTGAACTCCCATTCACAATTGCTTCAAAGAGAATAAAATACCTAGGAATACAACTTACAAGGGATGTGAAGGACCTCTTCAAGGAGAACTACAAACCACTGCTCAGTGAAAAAAAAGAGGATACAAACAAATGGAAGAACATTCCATGCTCATGGATAGGAAGAATCAATATAGTGAAAATGGCCATATTGCCCAAGGTAATTTATAGATTCAATGCCATCCCCATCAAGCTACCAATGACTTTCTTCACAGAATTGGAAAAAACTACTTTAAAGTTCATATGGAACCAAAAAAGAGCCCACGTTGCCAAGTCAATCCTAAGCCAAAAAACAAAGCTGGAGGCATCATGCTACCTGACTTCAAACTACACTGCAAGGCTACAGTAACCAAAACAGCATGGTACTGGTACCAAAACAGAGATATAGACCAAAGGAACAGAACAGAGCCCTCAGAAATAATGCCACATATCTACAACTATCTGATCTTTGACAAACCTGACAAAAACAAGAAATGGGGGAAGGATTCCCTATTTAATAAATGGTGCTGGGAAAACTGGCTAGCCATATGTAGAAAGCTGAAACTGGATCCCTTCCTTACACCTTATACAAAAATTAATTCAAGATGGATTGAAGACTTAAATGTTTAACCTAAAACCATAAAAACCCTAGAAAAAAACCTAGGCAATACCATTCAGGACATAGGCATGGGCAAGGACTTCATGTCTAAAACACCAAAAGCAATGGCAACAAAAGCCAAAATTGACAAATGGGATCTAATTAAACTAAAGAGCTTCTGCACAGCAAAAGAAACTACCATCAGAGTGAACAGGCAACCTACAGAATGGGAGAAAATTTTTGCAATCTACTCATCTGACAAAGGGCTAATATCCAGAATCTACAATGAACTCAAACAAATTTACAAGAAAAAAACAAACATCCCCATCAACAAGTGGGCGAAGGATATGAACAGACACTTCTCAAAAGAAGACATTTATGCAGCCAGAGAAACATGAAAAAATGCTCATCATCACTGGCCATCAGAGAAATGCAAATCAAAACCACAATGAGATACCATCTCACACCAGTTAGAATGGCAATCATTAAAAAGTCAGGAAACAACAGGTGCTGGAGAGGATGTGGAGAAATAGGAACACTTTTACACTGTTGGTGGGACTGTAAACTAGTTCAACCATTGTGGAAGTCAGTGTGGCAATTCCTCAGGGATCTAGAACTAGAAATACCATTTGACCCAGCCATCCCATTATTGGGTATATACCCAAAGGATTATAAATCATGCTGCTATAAAGACACATGCACACGTATATTTGTTGCAGCAATATTCACAATAGCAAAGACTTGGAACCAACCCAAATGTCCAACAATGATAGACTGGATTAAGAAAATGTGGCACATATACACCATGGAATACTATGCAGCCATAAAAAACAATGAGTTCATGTCCTTTGTAGGGACATGGATGAAGCTGGAAACCCTCATCTCAGCAAACTATCGCAAGGACAAGAAACCAAACACTGCGTGTTCTCACTCATAGGTGGGAATTGAGCAATGAGAACACATGGACACAGGAAGGGGAACATCACACACCGGGGCCTGTTGTGAGGTGGGGGGAGTGGGGAGGGATAGCATTAGGAGAGATACCTAATGTTAAATGGCGAGTTAATGGGTGCAGCACACCAACATGGCACATGTATACATATGTAACAAACCTGCACATTGTGCACTGCACATGTACCCTAAAACTTAAAGTATAATAAAAAAAATTATAATATGGACCGCTGACTCAGTTTGTCATGGTCAACAGAATGCAAAGAGCTGCGCAAGAATAAATGGTTTTATCGATTTTTAGTCAAGTTTTCTGTCATTGCCATTTTCTTCTTTCAGCCCCATGTGGCGAAAATCTTCATGATCCCTCAGTATATTTGGGAGAAAATCAAGACATATGAATCAGCCAGGTTGACTGATGGTGGCTCTCAGGGTGGACAGTGGTCAGTCTTAGGAGGACCCTCCTTCTAGGCTGATTCAGAGAAAGTGGGGCGTCCCTTGTCCATGGAAGTGTAGAGGGGGTGCAGACCTGTTCACACCACCATTCAGGTGTCCATCATAAACATCTGTTTTGTTTGTAGCTCATCATTTGCGTACTAGGGGAGGGAGTCAAAATTTCATTCAGTTCCATCCAGTCAACTTAGGAAATGTTTATTCGTTCTCTGTAACATATTCAGTCTCAGAGGCTCTCCCCACACCCAATTTCTCCTCCTGCGAGAGCATCTGTGTTAGTGGAGGAGCTCACCGTGGCTTCTTTGCAGAGGGATACCTTGGGTCTTTGGGGGCCTCTGGTGCTGAAATCCACGGGGAAAGAATCTGGACTATTCTTTTGGCCTAAGAGATGCTTCCAGAAAGCGTCGACCATCACTTCTTGCTGGCCGGCTCCTACCTTGGCTCTCACTGGTTAATAAAATTTAGGTAAAGGCTGGGTGCGGTGGCTCATGACTGTAATCCCAGCACTTTGGGAGGCCGAGGCGGGTGGATTATTTGAGGCCAGGAGTTAGAGACCAGCCTGGCCAATTTGGTGAAACCCCATCTTTACCAAAAATACAAAAATTAGCTGGGCATGGTGACAGGTGCCTGTAATCTCAGCTGCTTGAGAGACTGAGGCAGAGAATCACTTGAACTTGGGAGGTGAAGGTTGCAGTGAGCCAAGATCACACTGCTGCACTCCAGCCTGGGTGACAGAGCGAGACTCCATCTCAAAAAAAAAAAAAAAAAAATCTAGGTAAACTCCCAATGGACGCCTAAATCTGCATAATTTGTGCTGCAACTCAATGACAGGACTAATGCACACAGTCTTTGGGCAGCTTCCCCAGCTGTAGTAATTCACTCACTGTATATGTATATCAAACACCATGGTGTCCACCTTAAGTATACAATTTTTATGAAAAATAAAAGTGAAAAAAGTTATCCACATCAAATAAATGAACGTAAGATAACATAAAATGTAAATGGTCAGTAACAATAATTAGGTTCATCAAGTCAGAGTTGGTTGAAAAATCTCTGCATTGAAAATCTGCGTAGCGTTTCCAATGCGTAATCGCTCCAAGATACCGATTTCTAGAAATGCTCACTAGATTTTGTAGTGACATTGTAGACCTTGAGCAATGTTTTAAAAATTTTAATTTTGAGAAGCTGTGTTCTCCACAGGTGACTGAAAATGGCAGGGTTAAATATATTTTGTGAATTACAAAAATGCTCAGAGGGCGGGAAGGGCAAAAGAAAAAGAGAGTGAAATCAGAGCTTGGGAGCCAGGGGTTCCCTGTGGAGGCTGGAACCTGGGGAGATGCGGCCATCACATGGGTCCCACGTGGGGCAGGGAGGACAGGGAAGCTGGATTTGGATTCCTCTCTTCTTCCCGCCCTCCTGCCTTCTGTCGTCATTTCCCATTGGCTTATTCTGGCCAGATTCCTGGGTCAGGGAGCCTGGGAAATGCAGTAGCCAAAGTCATTTCTCTGAGCTGGCAGATTAGGGGAAAGGCAGTGTCACAGTGAGTTTCTTAGGAAACAGACTGGGAAATGGAGATGAGCATGCCTGGGGTTTTATTAGAGAATGCTTTTGAGATCAGCACCTGTGGCAGGAAGGCAAGAAAGTAGGACTGTGCAGGGGGTGAAGGTAAGCTGCTATGCTTACTGGACGCGATGCTTATTGGAGGCCACACCAGCTCTATGGAGCTTCTTAAACTAGTGTGAGGCCCTCTAGAGTGGTCCAAGAGGGAACAGATTATCCCAGGAAGGAAGTGAGACTTTGGTCAAGGTGGCTGTCTTCAGCTGCAGCAATCCCTGTAGGGGACCATGCCCAGCAGCTGAGGGAGAAATGCCTTCATCTCTGAAGGGGAGTCCGGACAGCTGGCCACAGTGTCCATCACGGGCAGGGATGGACCGTCACGGGCAGGGAATGGATGTGAAAGCAATGCCTGCACATTGTTGAGTTTAAAAAAATCATACATTGCTGGCTGGGCGCGATGGCTCACGCCTGTAATCCCAGCACTTTGGGAGGCCGAGGTGGGTGGATCACTTGAGGTCAGGAGTTTGAGAGCAGCCTAACCAACATGGTGAAACCCCGTCTCTACTAAAAATACAAAAAGTCAGCTGGGCGTGGTGGCGCGCACCTGTAGTCCCTGCTACTAGGGAGGCTGAGGCAGGAGAATTGCTTGAACCTGGGAGGTGGAGGTTGCAGTAAGTAGAGATGACATCACTGCACTCCAGCCTGAGTGACAGAGTGAGACTCCATCTCAAAAAAAGAAATAAGTCATAAACTGCTGAAATGTATGATGTGAAAGTTCAATTTGCCTTTTTTACTTAATACCATTTCCATGTCCCAGCCTGTAGATCTACCTAAATTAAAATAAAATATGCATATTCTAATAGAGTTATTGATAAAATAAGAAAATATTTACAAAATAGTATCACATACAAAATGATGAGACAACGTTGTATATAGAATAATTTCCCAATTATGTACGTATATGGTTTTGAGTGTGTAGAGGCATTTAAAACAATTAAAAGAAAAGAAAATAGACCAAAAAGTTTAAATAGTGGAAATTTTGTGCTAGAATAACATGGATTCATGCCTATTTCTCTATTTTTTTCTTCTCAATAAACGTTCTATGTGAGAATAGTTTTAGATTTACAGAAAAGTCATGAAGCTGGTACAGCTTCCAGTATCCTTCGTACCCAACTTTTCTGTCATTAACATCTTACAGTAGTATATGGCACATTTGTTACAATGAATGAATCAATGATGATACATTATTTTTAAGTAAAGTCCAACTTTATTCAAAATTTAAAAACAAAACAAAACAAAAATGCTCAGAAATATGCCTGGTAAGTTATTGCTGCAAATACATTGCAATTCTTCAACAGGGTTCATAGTATTGGAAAATCACAGCCAGGCAAGGTGGCTCATGCCTGTAATCCCAGCATTTTGGGAGGCCGAGGCTGGTGGATCACTTGAGGTCAGGAGTTCGAGACCAGCATGGCTAACATAGTGAAACCCCATCTTTACTAAAAATACAAAAAATTAGCTGGGTGTGGTGGCACATGTCTGAAATCCCAACAATTCGGGAGGCTGAGGCAGGAGAATTGCTTGAACCCAGGAGGTGGAGGTTGCAGTGAGCCAAGATCATACCACTGCCCTTTAGTCTGGGCAACAGAATGAGATTCCATCTCAAAAAAAAAAAAAACAAAAAAAAAAAAAGAGAAGAAAATCACCCACGTTAATTAGTTCTTCATGTTGATATTCTATTAATTTAACATTCCTTGCCATGTTTATCCACCAATTTCAACTGTAAATTTAACTTTAGTTGCAGAAATTAATGCTTATTATAATCTTCAAATTGTGTATGATTTAAAATTATAAGACTATAATTTAGCTTTTTGATATTATACAACTTTCTTTTAAGGATATTATTGTATTTAATATGGCAAAAATAATTAATTTTGAAATCTAAAGTTGGGTCATAAATTGTGCAACCTGTAATCAAAATGAGTGTTCTTCCTCCTTTTTCCAGTATTTTCTACTTTTGAAAAGTTGGTTTCAGTGTCAGAAAACTCTGCAATTTGTTTCACCTAAATAACATATTTTTCAAAATAAATATTACCGCATTTTTTCTTCAAAGAACTTGTCAATTCCTTTGATGCTTTCATGGTCATTAGTACATTAAATTTTTGTTACTGCATCACTTTGCCTATAACATTAATTTTACTTAAACCATCATTCCAAATAAGTACCAAGCAAATACAACTGAAAGTAGGTATTTTTAAAAAGCATAACTTTTGCTTGCATTCTAGAATATGCATCTTTATTTATATTTTCCAAAATTTGTATGTGGATTAATCTGAGGCCTGAGGTCATCAACCTTGCCTTCCTACTGAGATTTAACATTTTCAAATTTATGCTTAGCAAGTATCTTCTCTTCTTTTTTCTTTTCTTTTTGAGACAGGGTCTTGCTCTGTCACCCAGGCTGGAGTGCAGCGGCATGATCACAGCTCACTGCAGCCTCAACCTCTCAGGCTCAAGTAATTCCCCTCCCTCACCCTCCCAAGTACCTGGGACTACAAGTGCACACAACCACGCCTGGATAATTTTTTAATTTTCTGTAGAGACAAAGTCTCCCTATTTTGCCCAGGCTGGTGTTGAACTCCTGAGATCAAGCCATCCACCTGCCTCAGCCTCCCAAAGTTCTGGGATTACAGGTGTGAACCACCGTGTCCCATCTTGTGTTCTTTTTTTAATTTTTTTTTTTCCTCTTATAGATAGAATCTCTCTCTGTCACCCAGGCTGGAGTGCGGTGGTGCAATCATAGCTCACTGCAGCCTCGAACTCCTGGCCTCAAGCGATCTTCCCGCTTCAGCCTTCCGAGTAGCTGACACTACAGGCATGCATACCACAACTGGCTAATTTTTAAAGTTTTTTTGTAGAGGCTGGGTGCGGTGGTTCATGCCTGTAATCCCAGCACTTTGGGAGGCCAAACCGGACGGATCACTGGGGGCCAGGAGTTTGAGACCAGCCTGGCCAATATGGTGAAACCCCATCTCTACTAAAAATACACAAATTAGCCGGGTGTGGTGGCACATGCCTGTAATCCCAGCTACTTGGGAGGTTGAGGCAGGAGAATCGCTTGAACCCAGGAGGCAAAGGTTACAGTGAGCTGAGATCACACCACTGCACTCCAGCGTGGGTGACAGAGAAAGACTCTGTCATTGAAAAAAAAAAGTTTCATTGTAGAGATGAGGTCACACTAGATTACCCAGGCTGGTCTTCCTTGGCTGAGGGAGAAGGATCACTTGAGCCAAGGGGATAGTCCAAGTCTTGAGTCTTTGAGATAGAATAAAATAACGATTACAGGCGTGAACCACCACCACCCGGCCCAAGTGTGTTCTTACTACACCCCAATATTCACTGAAGCACCAAAGTAGTTGTGTAGCTCTCGGATATTAACGAAAATTTCAGTGTCACAAAAAAGTTTTTGCTGCAATGTTCACCGACATGCTTAAAAATGTTCGAAACAAGAAATATAGGATGCCTTAGAATTTTTTTGTGGTTCTGCTCTTGCAGTCTATTCTATTTTCTAGACATATTCATGGCCTTTCAAGTATTTACTAATCTAGTTTTGGTATTAGTCTTTGAAAAATGGCACAAATTCTCATTAGTCATGTCATCTCCTGGGCAAAATCACACAATATGCTCACATACAGAGTATTTGCATCTTGGAAATCCAGAAGTAAAGCAATAATTACCTGCTCTACGTGGCTACTTATGGGATTTTATCTAAAACAGATGTGTAGCATTTTACATTTCTTACCTTATCAAAGTTAGTTCATTCACCACTTCTACTGCACTTTTATGTGGTTTTGTGTTTTATTCCCTAAATAATGTGTAATATTTCATATTGATCCTTATATTCTGTGTAAATGTTCTGTTTTAATGTTATTAAATTTTGCTATTGTTTCTGCCAAATGGAGAAAATTACCACTATCATATTCATAAAAGCTCATAATCCTCTGAGCACTAGACATCGTCTACAGAAAAAAACTGTATCGTGTATATTGTGCATTCAGTGTGACCATTTTTTGTTTGAATTTTCACTTAGTTTCTGCCCTATGGCTTAGACTGTTACCCCCAATTTTTACTTTTATTATTGTTATTTTTGAGACAGAGTTTTGCTCTTGTCACTCAGGCTGGAGTGCAGTGGTGTGATCTCGGCTCACTGCAACCTCTGCCTCATGGGTTCAAGTGATTCTCCTGCCTCAGCCTCCCAAGCAGCTGGGATTACAGGCGCCCACCACCACGCCTGGCTAATTTTTGTATTTTTAGTAGAGACAGGGTTTCACCATGTTGGCCAGGCTGGTCTTGAACTCCTGACCTCAGGTGGTTCACCTGCCTCGGCCCCCCAAAGTGCTGGGATTACAGGCATGAGCCACCGCACCTGGCCTATTTTTAAATACTTAACATTATTGAAGATGTACATTTCACTTACTTCATGTTTACCAAGTGCATGTGACAATTACTGACAATCTTTATGTCCATTCTCACACTTCAGTTAATTATTTTTTTATCCTAGAGAGTTTGCAACACAGACAATATAGAGTCTATGAGATAGAATAAAATAAGGAGGATCTATTTATATCTTTTCTCTACTTGGGAATAACTTGTGTATAGTAAGTTTCTGAATCTTTCTACCTGTACTACTTTCAGAATGTTTCTAATAAGGGTTTTCAAGAGAATCTGGCTTTTAATGTTCAATCACATGGCCGTGTACTTGGCTGGGCAGAAAACATATTTGGTTTAATGCATTCTCTTTAAAAAATATCTTCTTCTAGTTTTTCTGGAAATCAATCAGTTACGGTTGACATGGAATCAAAGCGTTTGATCACGTGCTTCTCATCGATGATACAGCCCTGTTATAGTCTTCTCTGGAGTTGCTTCATTTTATTTTTACATTTTACTTGCTTTCTTTGAAGATTTACTTAACGATCAAAGTAGTTGTAATCCTTTGTGGCTTTGTTTTCTGTTTTCTGACCCTGATGATTAATTTTTTTTTTTTGGCCATCTTGGGGGCAACTATATAATAGTTTAGTTTTTTATATTAGGTTTTTAACTTTAAGAAATAACACGAACTTAACAAACGTCTCAATTTTAACAGTACTTAGTTTTTTACTAATGATTTTTATAACAGCAAATTACAGAATTGAATTATGAAATATTAAATTTAGTCAGTGCACTGATATCAGTAAGGGGTTTAAAAAATGTTTAAGATGCTCACTGACCAGTACTTCAGACCAAAAACGGCTCCTTGCTTAAAAATACATATTTATTTTAATGAATTTGATTAACAGGCTCTGATTATTGACTGATTCCGTCTTCACAAGTCAATGAAGAATCATTGTATGCTACACTATTGGAGAAAGTCTTTTTCTTCTATCCATCAAAAATGATCAAAGTATACTTATTTTGTTAAAACAAGATATGTTACTGCCATCTCCTAGAAAATTGTCATCATAATTGTATGAACTGCCTCCCACATTTTTTTTTGAGACAGAGTCTTGCTCTGTCACCCAGGCTGGAGTGCAGTGGTGCGATCTTGGCTCACTGCAACCTCCGCCTCCCAGGTTCCAGCGATTCTCATGCCTCAGTCTCCTGAGTGGCTGGGATTACACATGTGTGCCACCACGCCCAGCTAATTTTTGTATTTTTAGTAGAGATGGGTTTTCACCACGTTGGCCAGGCTGGTCTCAAACTCCTGGCCTCAAGTGATCCACCCGCCTTGGCCTCCCAAACTGCTGGGATTACACATGTGAGATACCGCACCTGGCCCAAATTGCCCATTTTTAAGTGGATAAAGATATAATATTCAAAATCTACAATGATAAACAGTCTCTCATGTGAACGACTGTCTCCTTATATGTGGTGTTCTTGTGCAGTGCACAGTCTGAACAACTGTGCATTCTGCTCTTACCTTCTGGGTCTAGTCATAGGGGTTTTTCTGGATAGCTTCCTTCTCACAAGGGAGATTCTCAGGAGAACTTGGGTTTCCCTCTGCCTAATAACAGTCATTTCCTCCAGATTTGAAGATAAGAAGTGAGCAGTTTATAGATAGAAAGTAGGCAGATACCCTCTGACCTTGAGCTATGCTATGTATCACCTGCACGTTCTAAACTCTCCCCTCACAAGGTTTGGTCTCAAAGAGGAGAAGGTGAGGAGGATCTAACAGGAGAGCGCAAATGCTTGCCTTTCTTCTCTTCCATCTCCCTTTCCCTCTCCTTGCCATGGTGCCATGAGTCCAGTAGGGACAGGGTGCTCTCTTATTCCCCCGCGCCATATCCTGCCTCTTCTAACCACCAAGTCTTTGAGGTTGCCAGCTTCCCTGTCATGAGAGAAGGTCTACATCTTGTCCCTGTGGCCTTGATGTGGGAGCTAAAGGAATATAGTCAACCTTCTCTAGCGTCTGGCTAGCTAGGCCCACAGCTGGCCCTCCTAGGCAGAGGAGGCCTCAGTGGCTGCAGTGGGGCATGACTTAGAAAAAAGTCTCAGGGCGTCAGTGTAGTGTCCCTGCTGTTCAGTAGCTTCAAAGGATGAATTATGCTCTGTAATTTGGAAATGGAAGAGCAGACCGACTTCATTTTTGTTCTGGATCAAGACCACCTAGACTTTACACCTAAGTCATCATAAGCTTTAAAATAATTTTCATAGCTGGCCACTCTAATTTGTGCACCAGAAGGCTGCAGGAGCTTTTAAACTGTAGAGTGGCCATCAAGTCTGGACACGTTGATACTGTTATTTATCATGTAGAATATGGCAACAATAAGTTATTGCTATGTATTTGACCATTACATGTGTTCCCACTGCTGCTGTAACAAGCTACCATTAACTTAGTGGCTTAAAACAACACAGATTTATTATCTTACAGCTCTGGTGATCACAAGTCCAAAATGGGTTTCACAAGGATAAAATCAAGGTGGCATCAGGACTGTGTTCCTTCTGGATGCCCTAGGGGAGAATTTACTCCTTGCATTTTCCCAGCTTCTAGGGGCCTCCTGCATTCCTTGGCTCGTGGCCCCTCCCTTCATCTTGAAATCGCATCACTCTAACCTCTGTTTTTGCATCACATCTCCTGTCTCTAACTTTGACTGTCTTGCCTTTTCTAACTGTGAGGGTCCCTGTAATGACACTGGGCCCACTCAAGTTATCCAGGAAAATCTCCCCATCTCAAGATCCTGCAAATCTGCACACACCCTCGGTATGACCCTTGGCGCCTGACCACCAGATGGGACTGCATGTGAAAATACACCTTGCCTGGCTCGGGTGGGGAGGCTGCCGCTCTGTGGCTGGGCCTGATCTCTCCTTGGCTGGCCTTCCTCCCCCGTCGTGCTTTCCTACTCTCTGACCCATCTCCCTACAAACCTGTCCCTGGTGCATCACTTGCACATGAAGCTTCCTTGGGATCTACTTCTGGGGGAGCCTGACTTTGGGCACCCTCTGACTGTTTCATGTGAAAACAACACAACAATGGTCAGGACAGATACATGCATCTCAGAGAGGCAGAAGGGTGCTCAGGCCAGTGACACCTGACTTTCGTGCCACTGTACTTAATCATGTGTCCACAGCAACTCTGTCTGGCAGAAACCAGAGGCAAGACACAGGTGCGATTTCCAATTTTCTGGGAGCCACTTAGAAAAGTGAAAAGAAATAGGTGAGATGTATTTTAATGATATTTTCCTTAACCCAGTATATTCACAATAGCATTATTTCCATATGACAACAGTATCAAAACTATGGGCTACTTCACATTTGATTTTTCCTATGAAGTCTTTGAAATCAGTGTGTATTTCACACTCACACACATCTCATTGCAAACTAAACACACATCAGGTGCTTAGTGGCTGGTTGCAGGTGGCATGGCCATTGTGTCACAGGGAAGCCCTAGAGCATGACCATGAGAATCAGAAGGAAATTCAGAAAATTAGTGAGGAGAGAAGGGTTTTGAGGTGCCGCCCTGAGTGCTGTCTGGCAGGGAGGGCGTCTCGGCCACAGGCTGCCTACATTCATCTCCTGCTGGGATTGCAGCTCACTGAACTTCCCTTGCCAGTGTGCCCATGGGGAGAGGCTGGCCTGCTCAGAACAGCTCCAGGTATTAGGTCCCCATGACCATTCCCACATTTGTGAATAAGCAGCATGGTTAACTGAGCCTGTCCTTGAGAGGGCACCTACATTTGGCATTCAGATCATCAGGCTTCTGATCCTGCAGGGAAGAGTGCCAGCACCTGATGGAGGAGGGTAAGTGAGTGTGCAGGGCTGCCAGTGCTTCCCCGGGTTACTGCATCTGCTTATCAGTCCTGCACCCAGCCTTGCCCAGAGCTTGAAACGTGGCCTGCTCTGCTTGTATATTGACTTATCTAATTTCTACTGTGGCTTCACAGGCAAATGTCGGTTTACAGGCCCTTCAGAGTCTGGGCTTGTCTTTCTTCCTCCCACCCTTGCCTCTGAGCCTTTGCACATGCTAATCCCTTTGCTTGGAAAACTAGTTTCTTTCCCTTGCCCTAAAACTTCAAGCCATAAGCAGATCTAAATTTTTCTCTTTTTAAAAAATTTGATTTAATTTTTATTTTTTAAAAAAGAGGTGAGGTCTTGCTATGTAGCCCAGACTGGTCTTGAATTCCTGGCCTCAAGTGATCCTCCTGCCTCAGCCTCCCGAAGTGCTGGAATTACAGGCCTGAGCCACTGCCTCCAGCTGCAGATCTAAATTTTTTTAAGGTTTTTTTCTGTATTAGAAATAAAATATCTTATAAATTGTGAACAAAAGCCTCTAGCTTCCAACAATTTTTGTACTGAAGGTGTTTTTGGCAATCCAAAACAACTTTTCAAAATACAATAAAAAAAACCTTTTGGCAACATGTATGTTAATTCTGAAATAAAGAAAAATCGATTGTTACCTGTATTGAGTATGCAGTTTGAAGATCAAAACATGAAGCAGCCTACTGAAGCATACATTGGAACAGTGATGTCCAAAGGCCCATATACGGCCAGCTTAATTAGCAGAGGGCACTGGGCTCGGGCCCAGGAGAAATTAGGTCAAAGGAAGCCATGCTATGGGAAAGTAAAAACAATTACTACAAACCAATTATGACCTCCCGCCCAAGCCATCATTAAGGCATTAACTATACTCCTCCACCCTCGGCTGCAGCCTTCCTGTCCCCAGCCCTTTCCTGGCATCGCTGTGGCACTGATCTGCACAGTGCCAGTGACAATTTTGCAACTTACTGACAATGTGACCTGAAGGTTTTAGCTTATTTTTTAAAACTTAGTTATAGGTCAGGATACATGAATGAGGTCTCTCATATTTTCAGCACTGGTACGAAACTAAAAGGGTGACTCTACTGCAAAATATCAGGTGGTTTGTATCGGTTGATTGAGATCTATCGCTGTCCTGCTCTTTGTGCAGGGTTTTGAGGCAGTCTAATGCTTTCTATGAGGAAGGCTCACAGGATTTTGAATGTCAACTCAAGGCCCTCGTAGAGTGGTGCTGGGAAGACAGCATGAGCTTCATCAATACATGGGTGGCTGTGTGCGAGGACAACTGTGCTCCTGAAATACACACATTTAAGGGCACGTGGCTGACACAGGCCACTTGCTGGTGCAGTGCCACGGACTAAGGAGGAATGATATATAATAAAGGCAGAGATCCTGCAAATCCCATGGCAGCCCAGGCATTCTCCAGCCCTGGGCACAGTGCCTGAATGTCACGGGGCTGCCATGCCAGTGTGCTGAACAGATTAGAAGAGATGAGAGGGGACAGAAGCCCTGTCTCTAGGCAGCACATTTTCAGGCCATGTCAAGTAGTAAACAAGTAGAAAAACGAACTAGCAGAACCACTGGAAAAGGGAGAGAGATTTGCGCTCAGAGGTCCTCAAAATCTCCCTCCACTCCGGAGGTCTCTGGCAGCTTCGTCTGTTCCTCCAGTTCTGCCCTTGGGTGGCTGCAACTCTCCTTCCCCCACACCCCCTTTGCTTCCATTCTGCTTTAAGTCACTTTATTTTATTATTTTTAATCAATGTAACACATTTTTTGGTAGCAATATTAAAATATATATTAAAATATATTAATATATATTATAATATATTAACATATATTAAAATATATATTATAGTATATATTTTTATATTCTTGATTAATGTAACAAATACCAGCCAGGAGCAGTGGCTCCCACCTGTAATCCCAGCTCTTTGGGAGGCTGAGGCTGGGGAATCACTTGAGATCAGGAGTTCAAGACCAGCCTGGCCAACATGGTGAAACCCCATCTCTACTAAAATACAAAAATTAGCCAGGTGTGGTGGTGGGCGACTGTAATCCCAGCTACCCGGGAGGCTGAGGCAGGAGAATCACTTGAACCCAGGAGGTGGAGCTTGCGGTAAGCTGAGATTGCGCCACTGCACTCCAGCCTGGGTGACAGAGCAGCACTCCATCTTAAAAAAATATATATATGTATATATATATGTATATATATATATGTGTGTGTGTGTGTGTGTGTGTGTGTATAACAAATACCTAATGACAAATACTCAAAGAGAAGGAGAAACGGAGGAAGGGAGGGAAAAGAGAAAGAGAGCGGGACGGATGCAGAGGAAGGGAGAGGGAGAGGGATTGCTTTTTATTTAGAATTTCTGGGTGTATGGGCTGTGACAGTGTATTCACCGTCTGTCATGGAAGTCAGGATTTAGTGCTCAAATAGCATCTCTGCTTCACTTCCCCTCTCTTCATCTTCTCTTTCTACAATTTTTTTTTGTTAAAAATTATACTAATTGAGTTTGGTTAAATTATACTTCCATTTTTGGTAACCTGCCTCTCCTGGTCTTTCTGCAATCAGCCCTGAAATCCTTAGACTCTGCACACTTGGTGTGACCCTTCTGCCATTCATTTACTTGTATTCAGTAGGCTTTCTGGGAAGTGTTTCTTCATGTACGGTATCTGGATGAGTTTTTTAAAATCCATTCAAGTCATAAACCTGTTGTTTTTTAAACTTACAGTTGAAAAACAACATTAAACATCAGCATATCAAAACTCTTTGCCCAAGCCATTTATACTAATTTTGCCCTCCACATTAGAAATCATACTATCCAGCCCTAGAGTGGTTCAGAATATTTGAGATCCTGTCTGTGTTGCTGAGCTATATCACTGGATTGAACTGGTAAAATCATGGAACTGGCCTGTACTGGCATTAGCAGTTTGTGAAGAAACTTTTGGAAAATCTCATTCCTTTTTTCAACAGCCAACAAAGTCCAGACAGAAAAGGAAGGAAGAGCAGACAATGTTGGTTTTGGTGCCTGAGATCTGAGTGCATTCCCTGAGGAATGGAGGTCCCTAAGGAGTTGTGATGGGCCAGAATGTTGACTCCAGATGTTCCCAGCGCCCAGACTCGTTGGCTCAGGAGGACTCTGAATGATAATATCCCATCAGCTGAGATTTTTGATGCAGATTTTCCAGCCTATGTTATGACTCACATTACAACAGTTACCTAAACAAAGATCTTTGCTCTTTCTGGATGAGTTTCCAGTGATAAACGAATAAAATGGCATCAAACAACTCCCCTTCTTAGAGGTGTCATGTTTGTATACACAAGCTCTGATTCACCCTCTTCTCATCAGTGGTTTTGTCTGATTGTCAAGCACGGTGTCTTCTAGTGGGGACATGTGACAGTAATTTCTTTTCCACATTATCTGCCATTGACACCATGTCACCCTCTACTGCATCCTTTGATAAAGGGATTCTACAAGTAGTTTTTATTTCTCTTTCTGAGCATAACATTTTTCATTAACTTTAACACTACTTTTCCCAAGCTTCTGAAGAATCCTGTGACTTGCACCTACTTTTGCTATAGGGAATGTCACTTTAAATGCAGTTTCAAAACGTTGTTTTTGTCTTTTTTTCTGTGTAAACAACTGATTTTTTTTTTCTAGAAATCATTATTGACTGGGCACAGTGACTTACGCCTGTAATCCCAGCACTTTGGGAGGCCAAGGTGGGTGGATCACAACGTCAAGAGTTTGAGACCAGCCTGGCCAACATTGTGAAACCCTGTCTCTACCAAAAATACAAAAATTAACCGGGCATGGTGGTGGGTGCCTGTAATTCCAGCTACTACTCGGGAGGCTGAGGCAGGAGAGTCGCTTGAACCTGGGAGGCGGAGGTTGCAGTGAACCGAGAGTGCGCCACTGTACTCCAGCCTGGGCAACAGAGCGAGACTCTGTCTCAGAAAAAAAAAAAAGAAAAGAAATCATTATTTTGAGATTTTTCTAGGGGGAATTCATGGAGTTTACCAAAGGAATTTCATAGGGCCTTAAAATGATATAACAGCTTCAGTGGTTTTGGACTTTCATTTGGCAAAGTTTATGAGAGTGACAGACTCCCATCCATTTGCATTTTTCAATGTTGGCATTTTAAGCAACACCATCCCAGTTGGAGATTCGCTTGTTCTAACACCTACAAATTTACTGAAGTAGTGCTCAAATTTGTTTTCACATTGTTTTGAAATGTATTAGCATCATTTTCAATACTAGTTTACACCTGATGAGCCACTTCCGAATCACTGCTCCACATTTGTGATTTGTAAATATGAGATGCACAGTGGAAAGAAACAAAAACTCCAATTTAATGAACAGAAACCACCAAAATAATGTGAAACTCTCTTAGCAAGGACAAGCTATAGACTTATAGCTGAGATGGGCTGACCAACAATTCTTGTAGCCAAGTGAAGTCTAATTTTACGTTGAAAATTTGAATGTATACAAACAACTTCTTTCATGTATTTTGTTTTTTGAAATTGCTCAGCAGCCTGTGGAGTCACTGATAGACCACCAAGGATGTCAGCAACCAACGTTGAGGAACACAGCTCTGGGCCGAAGTAAGCAGCTGCCTGGCACCAGAACTCTCTACTTCCTGCTCTGCTGTGAAGGCTGGAGCCCCCTTGGCAACACCAGCCCACTTTTCCAGCAGGTACTACAGGCTCTATACAAGTCCTTCCCAGCATCAGTCAAGAAGCAAGAACATATTCTCTCAAAAGAAGCCAGACCTCAGCCAGATTCAGGAGAATCAGCCAGGGGACCCCACTCTCTGAGAGACTTCAATCTCTCTGAACATCAGTTTCCTTCTCCAGAAAATGCAGATCATAATGTCTCCCTAATAGGACTGTTGGGAGGAATAGACTAATTGAGATGTCAACTGTCGTACACCAAATACAGAGACTGGTACATACCATGGACTTTGTAATTAGTAGTTGTAACTATCTTCTATCTTTTTATGTCCCCATAGTATTTAGAAAGATAGGATATCAAAAGCTGGGACACTTAACCCCACAGTAATGAACTTACACTTGGTAATTCCAGCACACAGGGGCAGAGGAAATATTTAAATAGCCTCCAGAGGCGGGGCACTGTGGTTCATGCCTATAATCCTAGCACTTTGGGAGGCCGAGGCTGGCAGATTGCTTGAGTCCAGGAGTTTGAGACAAGCCTGGGCAACATGGTGAAATACAAAAAAAAAAAAAAAAATTAGCCGGGTGTGGTGGTGCGTGCCTGTAGTCCCAGCTATTTGTGGGGCTGAGGTGGGAGGATCGCTTGAACCTGGGAGGCAGAGGTTGCAGTGAGCTGAGATCGTGCCACTGCACTCCAGCCTGGGTGACAAAGCAAGACCCTGTCTCAAATAAATAAATAGCCTCCAGAAACAATATATAGAAGCTGAGAAACAGCAGAGGCTCATAGGCCACCCAACACAGAGCTCAAAGCAGTGCTTTCATCCTCCTTCAGCCTCAGAGTGAAGTTTCATCATCACAAAAAAGGGTGACCACACGAGGACTCATTTGTATGTGATAAACTGATATGGACAATCGGCCTTTCTTTTTTCTTTCTTAGATATGAGGTCTTGCTCTGTCGCCCAGGCTGGGGTGCAATGGCGTAATCATAGCTCACTGCAGCCTCCAATTCTTGGCCTCTAGCAATCCTCCCACCTCAGCCTCCCAAGTGGCTGGTACTACAGGCTCTGATCCTGCTTAAGGATTCTGTGTTTGCATTTCTTTGTTGCTGGTCATTTATGGTGCTGATTACGTTCATGAGTGAAGGGGAGTTTCAATGGGGAAGAAGGGAAAAGATAGAAAAAACATCTGGAAGCAGGAGGAAGGTTGGAGGTTGGAGGAGATATGGGGAATTGAAGAGAGTCATTGTGGACTGGGAGTTTTGTAGGTAAGATATGAACAAGGCTGTGACAGTTGCCTTGAAATTGGGGACTTCAGGGATTTGGATGGATAAAATAGATTTCTAGGAAATGTTGCTGCTGTGTGTTTTGCAATTTAGTATCTCTCTTTTGGGGATTGGACTTATGTTTCTTTTGGATGTGGCATTATGCTGAAACAAGCAATATGGTGGATTGCAAACATTGCCACAAATTCTTCCCATTCATGTTGCAACGCTCCACAACATAATATTGCAGCTCCCCAGTCAAGAAAGGACGTCTGTTTTTTCACCCCTTGAAGCTGGGCTTGGCCTTGTGACTTAGTTTGGCCAAAGGGACACTAGCAAATGTGCAGCACGCAGAGGCTTGCAAAGTGCATACATATTGGAACTTGCCTCTCTTGCTGCTCTAGGAAATGCTTGAACCAACACCCTTTGGAGGAGCCTGCCTAGGCTGCTAGATCAGAGGGACATGACCTGGTTTTCTCCACGGGCCCTGCTGATAGTCAGCCACTGGTGGACACATGAGTGAGGCCACTGACTGGCGGCTGACGGCATGCATGTGTGAGCACTGCTGAAATCCCACAGAGCAGAGACCAGCTGTCCCAGCAAGCTTAGCTCAAAGTGCAAACAAATAAACAGCTGTTTTAAGCTACTGTGTTTTGAGAGGGTTTGTTATGCAGCAAAAGCTAATAGATACAGGCAGGAACAAGAATCTCCAGTATTTCATAGGTTTGTTATGTGATGGTGCCGTGTGCCTGGGGCTGAGTTAGTGCTCAACCATCAGTAGCCTATAAAAGAGCAGCTGCTGTCCACTAAACAGTGGGCCATCACCGGAGCACTGTGGCAATGCGAGTGTCCCTGGAGCATATCGACTGCAACCTGCCTCTGATGCAGGGGTCCCTGACACCATGCCCAGCTGGTCCTGCTCTGCCCGGTGGCTTCTTGTGGCAGAGATTCTCCTGGCTGGCCATTCTGCATAGAGAGTTGGGATTAGTGACGTGCCCTCTATTGTATTTAGCCAAAAGCCATTGTGAGTGAGGAATGAATTTTATTTTCAGAGTAATCCTGAGTCAAGAGACGTGAGGTGAAGGAGAAAGACCAATATTCCTTTGAGCTCCCCTTTGCCTATCTCCCATCCTTTACCCTGAAGGCATCTGCTGAAGTTCTGAACTGTGAGAGCCTCTTCCCTTGAAATGACCCCATTAGTCAGCTGGTGTGGGGTGATTTGGGTAACACCTATCCAAGGGTATTAAGCCTCGGAATCTGGGTTATTAGGGAGTGAAGGGGGCTAAGAAAGGAAGGCCAAAGACATGGGCATAGGAGAAGTCAAGGAAGAGGCGCTGTGCCGTGTGTGCAAGGTGAGAGGCCTATGGAATGAGGCAAGGTGTGTTGTGATATATGGCAGATAAGTGTGCAGAGGAGATGCCACACTCAGTAAGTATGCTATGGCATGATTTTCTGTGCTCAAGGGACAGTTTGCACAAGCTTTGTAGCAAGAGGAAGTTGACCTGGGGTAAAGTCAACTTAGTGTCCTCAAGATTAAATAGCTTGTCAGTAACTCCTTCATTATTTATCAAATATTTACTGAACACTAGGTTCTGGGGATGCAGTGACCAAAATGTGAAAAGAATCTGAACTCATGGAGCTTCCATTCTAAAGGGGGAAATCCCCAATTCACATCTTATTACATAACATAATTTTGTGTGCATAAAGCAGGATGAGGGGTTGCAGAGTGTTTGATGCTTCTAGATGATGTGTTCAGGAAAGGCCTCTCTGAGGGGATGCTGTTTGAACAGAATCCAGAATTGGTGATGGCACCTCAGGCAGAGAGCACAGCAAGTGCAAAGGCCCTGAGAGGCGATGGTGCTGGTGGAGGATAGAGTTGGGCCCTGATGGTACAGTGGTCAGTGGGAGACACCTGCCCATCATAGGCAGGGGTTCCTAGGCCATGGACAGCACCTTCACTTGGTTTACAGTAAGTGCGCTGGAAGCCTTCGAGGATAGGGAGTGACTTGATCTGATTTTCATCCCAAAAGGATTCTCTGGCTGTTGCATCAGAACAGAAGATTTTGGGGGAGCCTTGGAAAGACAGAGCTGAGTCTGGAAGCTGGAACAGTGGCTCCACTGCTGGGTGATCTTGACATGTAGGTTAACCTTTCTGAGTTGCAGAGTTCTCGTCCATACCTTGGTGACAACTATTATATCATTTTCCTCCCTGCATTGTTAAGCAATTTAGCGGATATTTTTTTGAGGCCCAGCTCTGTGCCAGGCATGTGGTGATGCCCCGAACTATGTAGAGGACTCAGTAAGTGACGCATGTGGGCCCAGCATGCTTCTAACACACAGCAAGTTTCAAGAATGGTGACCATGCTAGTACATTTATTATCAGTCAGTGGGTGTCCTGGCCTGATGGAGGAAGCAGCTCTGCATCTCAGATCAAGGATTACAAAGAAGGGTCCATGTGGGTGGTCTCTGTCACTCTGGAGACCCAGGCCAAGTGCTACGGAAACCTCACAGCACCCCAGCCTGGTTTATCACCTGCTCCTACCTGCCTGCCATTTTATTTCTTAAATTCTATGATCTCTTAAGTAACTCGCATTCATTTGCCTTGTTTTGACATATCTTATCCTTTGTCCTGTCAATCTTGGAGTGCTTGATTTAGACTTTGTTTTTGGTGTATTAATGATTCCACTCAATCAAAATTCACTTCCCTGTAGCTTCAAATGTTGGTCTGCCTTGGTTTCCTCAATCTAAGGGCTGCAAGAGGGGTGTTTTGTGTTACATTATTTATTTATTTATTTATTTATTTTTGAGATGGAGTTTCACTCTTGCCAGGCTGGAGTGCAATGGCATGATCTTGGCTCACTGCAACCTCTGCTTCCCAGGTTCCAAGCAATTCTCTTGCCTCAGCCTCCTGAGTAACAGGAACTACAGGCATGTACCACCATGCCTGGCTAATTTTTTTGTATTTTTAGTAGAAACAGGGTTTCACCATGTTGGCCAGGCTGGTCTCAAACTCCTGACCTCAGGTGATCCACCCACCTCGGCCTCCCAAAGTGCTGAGATTACAGGCATGAGCCACCGCGCTCAGCCACATTATTGTTTATTGGTTTTATTATTAACACAACCTCAGGCAAAGTTACACTAAGGAACTGTAGCTTAGAAAGTATACATTTTATTTTATTTTTAATGTGGTAAAATACACACAACATAACATTTACCGTTTTCATCATTTTAAGGGTAAAGTTTAGTGGTCTTAAGTATATTCACATTGTTGTGTAACTATCACCACTTTTCATCTCCAGAACTTTTTCTCCATCCCAAACTCAAACTCTGACCTGTTAAACAATAGCTCCCCATCTCTCCCGCCACCAGCCCCTGGCACCCACCACTGTACTTTCTGTCTCTATGGATGTGGCTATTCCACCTCCCGCATAGAAATGTCATCATTCAGTATTTGCCCTTTTGTGTCTGGCTTCTTTCACTTGATATTATGCCCTCCAGGTTCATTCATGTTGTAACATGTGTCAGATTTTTCTTCTGTTATCGGAAAAAACAAACTCTGTAAAACATTTTAAAGAGGTTTGTTTCTGAGCCCATATTGTCGGAGTAGGTAGCTAGGCAGACATGAACAGGGCAGGAAAGGCCCCTGCACTCCTGCCCAGGAATGTCAGGTGACCATCAGGTGATGGTCAGGCAGTTGTTAAACTGTCTCTCTAAAATAATAATTGGTTGCAGCTGCTGCCAGGGAAAGGCAGTCTTCCAATAGATGGAAACACCTGAAGCTGGTGATCAGCAGCTTCCTGATGAGATCTTGGGAAATGGGCAAGTAGGCTCATGAATGTGCACTAGGAGGCAAAATAGCAGAGTTTAACTGGTATACGACCTTCCTTTAGGAACACTTGAATGGTAAGGGAAAATTGCCTCAAATGAGCATGTGCACAACTTCAGTAAACACACTGTGCATGCAGCCCCTCCCAAGTGCTGGCAGGCCACTGTGCATGTGAATGGCCTACCCCAATGAAAAATCAAGTGGGGAGAGACCTAAACCATGGAACCATGCCAATGTATGAAACCCCAAGTGAAAGGCCAAACAGTGTACGTGGATCTCTCAAGCTGCCCGCTTGGCCCTCTTCCAAGGGTAGTTTACTTCCTTTTGTTCCTGCTCTAAAACTTTTTTTTTTGTGTGTGACACAGTCTCGCTCTGTTGCCAGGCTGGAGTGCAGTGGCGCGATCTCAGCTCACTGCAACCTCTGTCTCCAGGGTTCAAGTGATTCTCCTGCCTCAGCCTCCGGAGTAGCTGGGACTACAGGTACGCGCCACCACACCCAGCTAATTTTTGTATTTTTTTTTTTTTTTTTTTAGTAGAGACGGGGTTTCACCATGTTGACCAGGATGGTCTTGATCTCTTGACCTCATGATCCACCCACCTTGGCCTCCCAAAGCTCTGGGAGCCACCGCTCCCAGCCTCTAAAACTTTTTAATAAACTTTCACTCCTGCTCTAAAACTTGCCTCGGTCTTTCACTCTGCTTTATGCCCCTTGACTGAATTCTTTTCTCCTAGGGAAGAATTGAGTTTGCTGCACACCTGTCAGATTTGCTACTGCTAACAACGTGAGTGACTGTGGCCAGGAGAAAACAAAAACTCAAGAAGCCCTGAGTAAGTGATCACGAAGTGGTTGGGTTACAGTTAGGTTTTATACATAATTGTAAGTAAAATTATAAATCAATAAATGAAAGGTATATATTGGTTTAGCTAGAAAAGGCAGGGCATCTCAAAGCAGGGACTTACAAGTCATAGGTGGGTTTTCAGGATTCTTTAGTTGGCAATTGATTGCAAGAGTTAAGCTTCATCTAAAGACGCGAAGTCAGTAAAAAGGAATGCTTAAGATAAGGGGGTCTGCTATCTCTCATGTGATGCTATACCAGAGTCAGGTTGGAAAATAAGCCACGTTATACTGGGTTAATTTAAAAAAACAATTTAAGGAGACTTTATGGTTTGTAGGGTGTCATTTAACCTTATCCTTGCATAGTCTTGGGTCTTATTTATTTATTTATTTATTTATTTGAGACTGAGTCTTGCTCTGTCTTATTTATAATTCGGTATCTTATTTCCACAGAGAGTCTATTCTGTCAGTCTTATGATCTCTATTTTAATGTTAATGCTGGTCAGTTGTGCCTAAACTGTGACAGGAAGGGGGTATTATGAGGCATGTCTGACCTCCCTTCCTGTCACGGCTGGGAATTAAGTTTTTAAGAATTTTCTGGGGTCCCCTTGGCCAAGAGGGGGTCCTTTCAGTCAGTTGTGGGGACTTAGGATTTTTTTTTTTTTTGAGACAATCTTGCTCTATTACCCAGGCTAGAATGCAGTGGCACTATCTTGGCTCACTGCAACCTCCGCCTCCTGGACTCAGCCTTCTGTCTCAGCATTCTGAGTAGCTGGGACCACAGGCGTGCGCTACTGTGGCCAGCTAATTTTTTGTATTTTTTGTAGAGATGGGGTTTTGCCATGTTGCCCAGGCTGGTCTCAAACTCCTGAGTTCAAGCAATGCTCCCGTCTTTGCCTCCCAAAATGCTGGGATTACAGGCATGAGGCACCACGTCCAGCTAGGATTTTATTTTTAGTTTACCCTTCCTTTTTTAGGCTGAATAATATTCCACTGTATGTATATGCCACATTTTGCTTATCCATTTATCCACTGATGGACACTTGGGGCTTCTTTTTTTTTTTGGCTACTGTGAATAATGCTGCTATAAACATGGGGTTCAAATATCTCTTTGAGACCCTGCTTTAACTTCTTTTGGATATACACTCAGAAGTGAAATTGGTGGATCATAGCATAATTTTGCCTTTGTGAAATTATGACAGTAAGAGAAATCTGACATAGTTGACTCCATCTTGCTTCTAGCCTCCAAGCTGTCCTTGGTCATTCCTGGGCATAGGCCAAGCTAACTTTGGGAGAAATTTATTTTTATATTATTCTTATTTTTTTGAGACAGTCTCGCTCTATCACCCAGGCTGGAGTGCAGTGGCGCAATCTTGGCTCACTGCAACCTCCTTCTCCTGGGTTCAAGTGATTCTACTGCCTCAGCCTCCCAAGTAGGCTAATTTTCAGATTTTTAGTAGAGAAGGAGTTTCACCATGTTGGCCAGGCTGGTCTCCAACTCCTGACCTCAAGCAATCTGCCTACCTCAGCCTCCCAAAGTGTTGGGATTACAGGTGTGAGCCACCCTTACTTGAAAGTGAGGATGACAATAGTCCCTCACTAAAACTAACCCCCTTCTTGCTCAGGGATTGAAAACCACCTTTGTAAGATTAATGAAAGGCCACAAGAATAGGACTGTGGGAGGGGTCTGAACTCTGCTAAGATGCAGGCATAGTGTCTATAATTCCTTCCTGCTCAAGAGTCATGGGGCCAGAGGTCACAATATTTGTGACTTCCAGCCAGGCATGGTGGCTCATGCCTGTAATCCCAGCACTTTGGGAGGCTGAGGTAGGTGGATCACTTAAGGTCAGGAGTTCGAGACCAGCCTGGGCAATATGGTGAAACTCCATCTCCATTAAAAATACAAAACAACAACAACAACAACAAAACAAACTTAGCTGGGTGTGGTGGTGGGCGCCTGTAATCCCAGCTACTAAGGAGGCTGAGGTAGGAGAATCACTTGAACCTGGGAGGCAGAGGTTGCAGTGAGCCAAGATCGTGCCACTGCACTCCAGCCTGGGCAACAAAAACGAAACTCCGTCTCAAAAAAAAAAAAAAAACCAATTATAGAAATTACAGGTTTGAGTCACTGTGCCTGGCCTGTATATGTCTATCTTTATGTCAGTAGCAGGCTGTTTTGATTACTGTAAATTTGTGGTAAGTTTTGAAATCAAGAAATGTGAGATGTGCAACTTTGTACTTCTTTTTCAAGATTGTTTTGACTCTTTAGGGTTCCTTGAGATTCTATCTGAAATTTAGGATGGATTATTCTTTTTCTGCAAAAATGTCATTGGGATTTTGGTAGAGAGTGCATTGAACCTGTAGACCATTTGAGTTATACTGGTATGTGAAGAATATTGTCTACCCGGCCATGAACACAGGATGTCTTTCCATTTATTACTGTCTTCTTTAATTTTTTTTCAGCAACATTTTGTATTTTTCAGTGTATAAGACTTTTGCTTGCTTGGCTAAGTTTATTGCTACATATTTTACTCTTTTTAATGCTTTTGTAAATGGAATTGTTTTCTTAATTTTCTTTTTGGTTGTTTATTGTTAATGTATACAGGCAAAACTGATTTTGCTTGTTGATTTTGTATGCTACAACTTGGCTAAATTTGTCTATTAGTTCTAACAGGTGTGTGTATGTATAACAAAAAATTTTTCATAATAAAGGAATTTTATTTTATTTTTATTTTTTCAGATTTGGGGGAACATGTGCAGCCTTGTTACTTGGGTATATTTCATTATGCTGAGGTTTGGACTTCTAATGAGCCCATCACCCAAGTGTGAACACAGTACCTGATAGGTACTTTTTCAACCTTTTCGCCCCTCTCTCCCTCCCCCTCGGAGTATTTTTAAAACACTTTCAAAACCATCCTCTCCCTATCTATTAGGAGGCTATGCATGAATGCTCTTTGCATCTAATGAATACCAAATGCAGATGTGTAGAGAATCCTAACCAAGCCACGCTGGCGCCAGTGAAGGTAGAAAAGCAGATCACGATTGTTAAAGTGCTTTGAATCCCCAGTTACACAAAATCAAGCATAAATGGTTGATATTCCAGGTTGAAAATGTTGACAGAAGACAGGAATATTTAAGGGATCTTTTCAGAGGTTTCCAGTTTGCTTAGTGTTAAACTGTGACCTCTGAATAAATTTAAATTGTGGTTATCCCGGCATGTTAGAATTTCACAGAAAATGGTAAATAATGTAAATAATGTTTAGTAGAAAATTGTTTTGATTTGCAGGATCTCCTGCCACACCATAAATGAGGTATAAATAGTTTTCTAATTTGGGAAAAACAGTGAGAAGATTTTCCTGCTTGAGAAAGGCAGTTGTACCTACTGTCAAAGTAATTGAAAGGACTTACTGAAAACATGGGAACAGAAGAACGCAGAGGTCAGAGAATTTCTGGAGTGTCCAATTAGAGCTACAAATACAGGATGTGTGTATTGGGGCTATACATACAACTGCAAGGAAAATGATGTGCCTCAAGAAGGGAAATAACATGCAGCTGCTTCCACTGTTTAGGGGCTTGTCCTGGAGACAGCTCTACCCTCTTCTGAGCCCTGTCCTCCAGGTGATAAAACGGAGGGGAACCACATATGCAATTGCTGCCTACATGGTGCAGAACCAAGACACCTTCACCTGGCCCCCAGGAGCCCAGGACACCTATACCTGGGCTCCAGGAATGTGCTTTTCAGCCTTATCCCAGACTATCTTCCTTCCAGACAGGGAGGCTGGGATTAGAACAGGTGGGACCATAGGCATTTGCAACCCTGAGGCTCATCAGGGTCTACCAGGGGCAGACAGCAGAACATAGCAGCTCTCTTGAGTACACGGGTTCAGTAAGTCAAAGCCTTCCCCGTTCCTCCTTCGTCTGAGGGGCAGATGACCACCTAACTCCTCCCAGACCTTGCATGGCCCTGTCGGTAATTACCGTTTCCTTTAATTTCTGGCGGTTCACCTCATTATAGTCCATGAACTTAATGAGAGGGTCCCTTTGCCTGGCAACCAGGGATGGAACAGGTTTGGATTAGACTCTGACTCACTGTGTTTTGTTGGTCGGACTCCAGTTGTGTCTGCTCCTGGCTTACCTCACTTCTGTGGTCCCAAGAATGCAAACCACAGCCCGGTTCTGCCGGGCTCCACTCACCGCCTCCACTCCCCACCACTCCTAACTCTGGCTGACCTACATAGTCTTTCCTGAGTGCACTGAAATAGCTGTTTTCATTTCTGCTCATCCATGCTGATGGCTTTCCCTTTCCCGATGCATTAGATTCCCCCTCCATCAATATTGCACATTTGGCCTCCATTCCACATACTTCACGTGCCTTTCTAGATGGTTTTATTCCTATGAAAAACAACTGATTATTATTTTTCTCTGTCCATGTTGTTTTACTTATTATTTTACTTCTGCCTTGTGTTATTCCAAATCATAAGAAAAATAGCAATACCCCCTGCTATTATAATTCCTATTTGAAACTATGTTAGGCTCGGCATGGTGGCTCACACCTATAATCCCAGCACTTTGGGAGGCCAAGGTAGGAGGATCCCTTGAGTCTAGGAGTTTGAGACCAGTCTTGCCAATATAGGGAGACCCCTATCTCCACAAAAAAATTTGAAAAATTAGCCAGGTATGGTGGTGCACACCTATAGTCCCAGCTACTAGGGGGTTGAGGCAGGAGGATTCCTTGAGCCCAGGAGTTCGAAGTTGCAGTGAGCTGTGTTCACACCACTGCACTCCAGCCTGGGCCACAGAGTGAGACTCTGTCTATATATTTAAAAAAAAAAAAAAGAAATAAACTAGGTAAAATATTAACTGTCCTAATACCATTTCCCAAAGGGAAACATTCTCTTAATGATGCCAGCCAATGCATCAGGAAAGATTACCTTTTGACTGTCATAGATCACTATGACCTGCTTATTTATCCTATTATTCTAAGTGTGCCATGTTTCTGTGGCTAACGCATTTCTTTTATTTTGTTAAAAATGTGAAATTTTCAAGCTTAAAGGAACTTTTAAACTTAGAGTTGTGAGTACACTACACAACGATTTTTTCCTAAGCCATTTGCAAGTAATTTGTCCATGTCATATCCCAACTCGCCCCAATTTTTCGGATGTATTTGCTACAAGGCTATCTCCTACGTAACCACACTACACCATTCCAACCAGGAAATTAAAAGACACATCACCTCCATCTCATCCTCAAACCCCCTTTACATTTTGCCAATTATCCTGAGTGTTCTATGCAGCAAAATGATTCAATCCAAAGTCTTATATTGCCTTCTGTTGCCCCCCTCTGTCTCTTTTCACAAAAGCACTTATTATTTGAGGCAAAGAGAAGTCTTGCCGTAAGGATTACAGTTCCATCAGCCGAAACTCAACTGTTAGAGGCACTATTTTGACTCTGTAGATTTTGCTTCTCTTTGGTCAGAAAAGGGTATTCAGGTTGCACTTCCTTCAGCTGAACAAAAATGGCAAAGAAAGTGGGAAAAGAATTCCACTCTACTGATGCTGCTCTTCAGACCTGACGTCAAGCTTGACAGACCCTTGCTGGTCAGTCTGCAGATTGCTGCCCCACTGCCAAGGGATACAGGCCATACTACATTTGCAAGAAAACAATGAGGCGGGAAAACCAGGTGTAGGTTACTTGCGGAAGAGCAGACATCCACAGCTTCGAAACTCTTCATGGAATGGGTGATCCTTGGGGGCGGTTCAGCTTACCAAGGCACAGACCCTTCAGTTCCTGTTGCAGCTGAGTAAGGAGGTCATATCCTGGCTGCTCAGTTCAAAGTCAAAGACCTTGAAGTTCTCAGCAATGCGATCCAGTGTCACAGATGTGGGGGTCACCACCAAGTTCCTCTGTGTGAGGAGCCACATCAGAACCTGGCTACAGTTTCATTGTGCTTGGCTGCAATCACTTTGATCCTGGGGTCTTCCAGGAGGGAAGGGTCCTCAGGCTTGGCCCTGGGCCTGTCGGGAGAGCCAAGGGGGCTGTAGGCGGTCACTATGCTGCCTTGGACTGGTAGTACTGGATTAAGTTCTCTTGAGTTAGGGACCTACCAGTGGCGCTCAATCTGATGAACCACTGCTGGCTTACACTTTTTTTTTTCCCATTGAGACGGAGTCTCACTCTGTTGCCCAGGCTGGAGTGCAGTGGCACGATCTTGGCTCACTGCAACCTCCATCTCCTGGGTTCAAGCGATTTTCCTGCCTCAGTCTCCCAAGTAGCTGGGACTACAGGCACACGCCGCCACACCCGGCTAATTTTTTTGTATTTACAGTAGAGACAGGGTTTCACCATGTTAGCCAGGATGGTCTTGATCTCTTGACCTCCTGATCCGCCTGCCTCGGCCTCCCATAGTGCTGGGATTACAGGCGTGAGCCACCATACCCAGCCAGCTTTCACTTTAAGCCAGATTTGTTTAAGGTCCTCTCGGCCTGGAGATGGTGAAGTTGGAGATGCCAGCAGCTTTCACCAGCCCCTGAATGAGTTGCCTGATTCATCTAAAAAGGAAAATTCCTTCCCAGGATGACAGCCTGTTGGCCAGTGAATAAGGTGGAGGTCCAGGTAGTCCAGCTCCAGGCCACTGAGCACCTTTCGGCAGGATCCTCTCACCAGGCACTTCCTGTGGCATATGCCCCATGGCTTGCTGATGATGAAGAGCCACTCACGCCTCACCACCTGCTCCTTGAGCTGCTCCTGGTCCTTGTTCTGGTGCACGTGGCTGCAGTCGATGTGGCGGTATACAGTGTTGATTGCTACCTTCACAGCCTCGGCCACCTGGCCTGGAGGGGACTTCCAGGTGCCTAGCCCTAGCATGTCCGTCTTGGTGCCATTGTTGAGCATGATGTGGCTGTCATGGCTGCGTTGTTTTACAGACCCCTGCCTGCAATTTGCCTTAGTTGTCCATCTCTTCGGTCTTCTTCAGTCCTGAATAATTTTAGTGTTTCCTTGACTTTCATTACCCTGACTTTTTTTTTTTTTTTTTTTTTTTTTGAGATGGAGTCTCACTCTGTCGCCCAGGCTGGAGTGCAGTGACACGATCTCGGCTCACTGCAACCTCCACCTATCAGGTTCAAATGATTCTCCTGCCTCAGCCTCCTGAGTAGCTGGGATTACATGCACTTGCCACCACGGCCAGCTACTTTTTGTATTTTTAGTAGAGACGGGGTTTCACCATGTTGGCCAGGCTGGTCTCAAACTCCTGAACTCAGGTGATCTGCGCGCCTCGGCCTCCCAAAGTGCTGGGATTACAGTGACCCTGACTTTTGGAGATAACAGGCTAGTTATTTGGTAGAAAGTCCCCGGATTTGGGTGGGTCTGATGTTTCTCGTGGTAAAACTCAGATGATGCCCCTTTGCAGGAATATCACGAGTGTTGTGTTCTCACTGAGTCCTTGCATGTGGCACGTTTCCATTTGCCTCATTAGTGGTAATGATGCAAACAGCACTCCTGATTAAGGTGGTGTCTCCCAGCTTCCCCTCCCTAAAGCTACCCCTTCTTTCCCTTAGTAAGTGACAAATATTTTGGGGAGAGATTCTCTGATCCTTTATAAATATCCTGTTCCTCATGAAACTTTCAAGTTACCTATTTCCTTTCTTATTTATATCAACATGGTCCTGTGGGTTGTAATGTCACTCAATGGGTTGTATCTATTGCTATCATTATCTATTTGTAAGCTCAAAAATGTCCCAGGTCTGGTGGGGGGCCCCTTTAAGCTGGTTCTGTGTCCCTTTGCTAGGTCCTCTTGTTCCTGGAGCACTGCCTCACTTACTGGCACGAGGAGAGACTCCAGGCTCATTTTGAGCATTCCTTGCCCCCGTCCCAGAATCAGCCACTTCTCAAGGTGCCCTGGTTCATCTTAGTGGAAAATGCTGTTTAGAAACTAAGCTGTTTGCACTGCATGTGCTCATTGCTATCTGCTGCTTGATATTCCCAGGCCTGTCAGTGCACAGAACCACACACACACACACACACACACGCACACACACCTGTATCTATTTCTATGTCTATCTCTCTGTACTGAAAACCTTGATATCTCCAGTTCCAATCAAACAACAGCGTTCACGCTGGTTTTCTCCCTTCCCGCTTGTCCCACAGTGAGAAATCTGCCTCCCATTATCCTCAGCATATTGGCTTATTTGGTCAGTCTCCAAGCTATACCAAGTCTTCCATCACTACAACTGCCCTGCCCACCTCTCTCTGCAAACACCCTCCTTACCCCACCAGGGAGGGCCTGCTCACCCTACACAGGTTGGTCTGATCCCCGTGCCAGGCCAGCCCCCTGTGGGGACCTCCTCACTCTCTGCAGGGCTCCTTTCCACCCCTCGCCATCCAGGCAGACCCCTACTTTGCTTGGGTCTACCTGATGCTGTTGGAACGTTATTGTTCTGAAAGGGAAGGAAGACAAGAGGATGAGCCCAGTGCATATTAAATGTAGTGCCTACCTTCACTAAATGGAAGTCTTCTTGCCACTTGGCTACCCATGGTCTAGAAGACAAATTCCTTTGCTTACTGTTTTATTATGGATCACTCTGGAATATTAAGGATACAGTTCTGAGCAGATAATTAAAATGTCTTGTATTACCTGGAAGAAACAGAAACCACCTGTGGGTCAAAAGTATTGTGATGAACTGACTCACCTTATTACAACTTTATCTTGGCGGTCCCTGCCAGCATCGCCCTTGGACCCAGGCAATGGGGCTTCCTTTCCATCTGGTGCTTGAGAGTCCCCTACTTCAGCCCTCCTCCAGCCATGACCCTTACAGGGAGTGGAGTCATGGGGTCAAGGGGAAGTGCCCACTGGAACCCATGTGTCCCTCTTCCAAGCCATGCTGTGAACACTGGGGTCCCTGGAACTCTCCACCCAAACATTCCTTGAGCCCACATCTAAGGCCTGCACCAGCCTCTCCTCCAGATCAGGGTGAATGGCATCCCTGGTTCATGCACTCTTTAGCTGGGCGGGGCAGCCAAGCAACAGCTATTGGAAACAGTGAGGAGAGGCTCGATGTGCAAGTTGGAGCATCAAGACCAGGCACCCACTGGGCCCTTTTGGGTGCACAGTGAAGCTGAGGATGGAAAGAGAAAGTAGATGGCCAATCGCCATGTTCTGGTGCAGAATTCCAAGGAGGCTGAACATTCTACATGTGAGACTGGCCTTCCAGATTATTAGGAAGGGGGATAGGTTGTATTTTATTTTCCAGCCATTAGCTTGCTTTGTAACTTTTCTTTTCTTTTCTTTCTTTTCTCCTTCCTTCTTTCCTTGCTTCCTTTTCTTTCCTTCCTTCCTTCCTTCCTTCCTTCATTCCTTCCTTCCTTCTTTCCTTCCTTCCTTCCTTCCTCCCTCCCTCTCTCCCTCCCTTCCTTCCTTCCTTCCGACAGGGTGTCACCCTGTGGCCCAGCTTGGAGTGCAGTGGTGTGATCTTGCCTCATTGCAGCCTTGACCTTCCAGGCTCAATCAATCCTCCCACCTCAGCTTCCTGAGTAGCTGGGACTACAGGCATGCACCACCACGCCAGGCTAATTTTTGTAGAGACAGGGTTCACCATGTTGCCCAAGCTGGTCTTGAACTCCTGGGCTGAAGCAATCACCTGCCTTGGCCTCTCAAAGTGTTGAGATTACAGGTGTGAGCCGCTGTGCGTGGCCATAACTTTCAAATATCTAGATATATAGTATATGAATCTACATTTGTATTCTTGCCCCATATCCATCAACTATTATAGATAGGCCTGCTCCTTGCATAAAGTAGGTTCTCATATGTGTGGGTTTTCTTCATGTGCCACACTTAGGGAACGTCCCTCACATCCTCTGTAACAGAGCCTATTCTAACTTGCTGTCAGGTTTGTGCTACGGTTTGGGACGTGTGCACTCACAAAGCTTGTTCTGGACATCCTTAGACAAATTGCACTTGCCCTCATGTCCATCCTGCCCAACCTGGAGAGGGCAGTGTTGGAGACCAGTTGTTCACCTGTTGTGAGGGGCTTGGAGAGTAACGATGCTCCTCAAATAGCAGCGACATTTACTGATATCTGTATGCTGCACTTCACCAGTAGAGATTATCAAGATCATCTGAAAAGTAGATGACTTTCTGCATTAACATATGTCACTGTCACTTGACAATTCTTATTTTCTAGCTTTTAAAAAAATGCGATAACAGCTTGCACTTATGTATTATCTCACACTTTCTAAAACACTTCACATTTAGTATGACATGGAAAATTGAATTTCTGCATTAGTTCCTTATTTATATCACTTGAAAAATACCTTCTTTTTTGTAGTGGGACATCTGATATGTTCCTAAGTTTAAGGCAATCTGCATAGTCATTTATTCTCTCTCTCTCTCTTTTTTTTTTTTTTTTTTTTTGATGCAGGGTCTTACTCCGTTCCCCAGGTTGGAGTGCAGTAGCGCATTCATGGGTTACTACAGCCTTGACCTCCCTGGCTGCAGCGATCTTCCCACCTCAGCCCCTCAAGTAGCTGGGACTGCATGCGCACACCACCATGCCTGGCTAATTTTTTATTTTTTGTAGATATGGGATCCCATTATGTTGCCCAACCTGGTCTCAAACTCCTGGGCTCAAGTGATCCTCCCACCTCAGCCTCTCAAAGTGTTGGGATTACGGCTATAAGCTGCTGCACCTGGCCAATTTATATTTTTTGGTAACTTGCTGTGAATTTTTCCTAACCTTCTTTTTCATCTGTTTTTCAAAATAAAAGACAAAGGGTAATGCAGAGCTTTGCCTTCTCAGAACCACTTGTATCTACAGCTTTTCATCCTCTTTAAGTTCCTGCTTAAAAACACACAAGGAAACAAATCAACAAACAAAAACTTGGGGCCTCTTCCATCAGTCACTTCTTAAATCAAGGCTTAAAAAAAAAAACTTTCAGAAATTCTGTTTTGATCCCCACAACTGAGCAGTGTGGCTCATGGCACAGTCATTATCCACAAAGATTAGGTGAGATTTGGTTTGGTTTGAGGAACATAAGGAGACCTGAAGACATTTTGCCAATGACTTGCAGCTCATTACAATGAGTCCTGGAGCCAGAAACCAGTTCTCCTGGCTTTAAATCCTCTCTACCAAACTTCCAATTTTGATAATATGAGCATAAATCAGTTATAATCCCAAAGGGCTGTTACATTATTTTTATGATATTTCTACATTTTTTTCTGTTACCTTTATATAAAACTCAATGTCTATAGAACTTCGTAATCCTAAATATAACTTTGAAAGGAATCAATACATGGAAAAACTTTAGTTGACATTAATAACTAATAATTTATAACGATATAATTAGTTTATATATTACAATATATTTATAACAGTATAATATTAGTTGCTTAAAAAACCCAACAGGGCCCAAATAATGATTTACAAGTAGATATGGTTATTTCTAGAAATAAACTAAAAAACAAAATTATTTATATGCAAAATTCTTCTAAAGAGGTAAAAATAGGAATAGAAAAGAGATGTTCATTCTAAACACATATTTGTTCTCTTCTATTTAAAAAAGCATCTCAGTTTTGGGCAGACAATTGTATTATCACATTAAAAAGTGTCAGGGAATGGTGATTTTTATGAGTTCACACTGCCTTTGACCATTGCAATTTCTTGGAGGTAGATTTACCTGTCCTGAGCAAAGTAAGAGAATTGACCTCAATTAAGAAACTACAAGTTAGACAGCTGGGTGTTCCCACAGCAAGATATGAATGGCGGTGGATACCGTTTAGGAATGAATGTAAATAGGCAGTACCCAAAAGACATTTCAGTTGCCTGCAAAAGCCACCGAAGCATGCTTAATTATCTTTATGATAATAAGCCTTCAGTCTGGTTTCAAATGCGTAATTTTTTGATACACTACATTTGAAATGCAACATTGCAATTCTTCTTGGACTTACACAGACAGGTCATCTTCACTTTCATTTTACTAAAATAGCACCCCCCCCCCCCGGTTTAAAATTGATCAGATTAAATTAGTCTAATCAATAGGAACAAAAGAGGCATGTACTTATTTTATTTCTATCCCTAATAGAGTTGTAATTTTAAAAAGGCATTAAATACGAATTTTCAAAAACCACTTTCCTTGAATGACACATTGTCACGCTTCATAAGTACACATGTCTGTCTTTCAGGGTGATTTCAGTGATTATTCAGTAGTGAAATTGGCTAATTTTGTTTTATAAGGCTTATTTTGTAAATTTAGAGATTACATATATAAGGCCTAACAGCTGGTTAATTAAGTTAATTCAGTAAAAATCAATTGATCACTCAATCATCTTGTAAACAGATTAAATTTTTTCCACATTGACCCATTGATTAAAAATCAGAAGGCACAATCTAGTCCTAAAATTGTACATCCTATTAAATTATGCAGAAAAAGGGGGTCACTTTCATCACTATTTTCACCCACTTAATAGTTTGTCCATCCACGGGTTTTTTTGTTGTGGTTTGTTTGTTTGTTTGTTTGTTTTTCTTTTGAGACAGAGTCTCACTCTGTCATCCAGGCTGGAGTGCAGTGGCATGATCTCGGCTCACTACAACCTCCGCCTCCCGGGTTCAAGTGATTTTCCTGCTTCAGCCTCCCGAGTAGCTAGGATTACAGTCACTCACCACCACATCCAGGTGATTTTTTGTATTTTTAGTAGAGATGGGTTTCACCATGTTGGCCAGGCTCGGACTCCTAACCTCAAGTGATCCGCACACCTCGGCCTCCAAAAGTGCTGGGATTACAGGCGTGAGCCACAGTGCCCGGCCCATCCATGGTGTTTTTTAGTTGGAGCTGGACTCTGTGTGCCTGAGCTGATCCCCCTGAAATGCCCTTCTCCTCTTGCAGACTCATGGTCTGAGCTTAGCTCCTGGCGTGAGGACACCATCCAGTGGCAGAAGGCACTAGCCAGTTGCTGTGGTGTGTGAAAGTGGCTGAACTCCAAGGTAGAATACCATAAAGCAATTTCTAGAAGGATTCAGGACTTGTGATGGACTTTAGTCATTTGTCATATGTCAAAATTGAAGAAGAAAACATCAGTGGCCACTTCATAGAGAGTAAGTCTGAAGGTAAGGTAGGTGGCAACTGCAGCCTACCTGATGAAGGGCACAATATAATTAAGCAGTAATGCCTGCGAGCCACTGTGGCCCGGGACATTAATGGTATTGCATAGGAAATATGTATCTCCTTGATGAGAAACAAACTTTCAGCTGGACCCTGGATCAGTTAGGATCAGGCATCACTACAGGTAATAAAAAAAACTCTCAACTAAAAAATGGCTTTTAAAAAAGCAGAAGTTGATTTTTGCCCTGGAGTTAGGTAACCAGGGCCTTTAAGTCATTAGGGACCAGCTTCATCCAGTTCGCCATATCTTCCTGCAAGGGAGGCTGGGAAATGTAGTCTTTTAGCTGGGTACGTATTCACCCCCTAGTGATGTGCTGGTAAGCCAGTTTTATCCTCCCCCCACCCCAAAGTGGGAGATGGCAGGGAGAGAGAAAGAAACTCCTGATTGTAGCATTTGCTAATTTCTGCAGTATAAATACTACCACCATGGTTAATTTCAAGCTACCAATGGTTTAATGATTAGTTTACCCAATTCCTGCAAATCTACTAATTGGCTCTTGGGAGCTGGTACAGGCTTGCTCTATAGACCACTGGGCTGCAAATAATATCAGAGTTTTGTTATTAAGGAGAAAGGGTGGGATGGCTGATGGGTAGACATCTGACAGTCTCTGCCACAGATCCCAAATGGAACACAACTATGTATTCTGACCAGAAGTAGGATTAGAAACATGTGCTCCATGATTCCTGCAGAAAAAGGACACTAATTTCTGATGAAACAACATAAAAGGCAGGAGAAAACATGGGCTGGAGAGGCTGCTGATGTTTAAAGAGCTGCAAGGCCAGAAAAACCCATCCTTGGTGCAAACAGGTGCCACAAGCAGAACATATTGGAATTAATCCCTTGAGAATGCAAAGACCCCAAATTAGATGATGAAATGGAACTCCAACGTAGAATACCATAAAGCAAGGCAACTGGGATCATCTGAAGAGTAGGAGACACGGGATGACGTTTAATGATGCATCTTCCCTTTAGACGAAGCTTTCTGGGGCTTGGGGCCATGTCTTTCCTGTTCATTGTTTTATTTTTGGCTTGTAGCCCAATCCTTGGTACCTTCATTCATTCAACAAACACTTAGTGTGCTTACCTGTGGCAGGCACTGTTCTATGTGCTGAGGGAACAGCAGTGAACAAAACTGGCAGAAGTCCAGGCCGTCATGGAACTTACACTCTATTAGGAAGGCAAGGGAAAGAAAATAAAATAACTTACATGGTGCTAAATACTATGGGGATAATCAGGCAGGGAAAGAGCATTGGGAGGGCTATAAGTGCTCAGTCGTTTAAGAAAAAAAAAATATTTCTTTTTTGTTACTGAGATGAGGTCTTGCTATGTTCCCAGGCTGGTCTCAAACTCCTGGGCTCAAGTGATCCTCCTGCCTTGGCCTTCCAAAGGTCTGGGATTACAGGCGTGAGTCACCGTGCCGCCTATGAAAAGTGTTTTAAAACCAAATGGTGTTTTAGGTTGGATTTCCTAGAAGCAGTCCCTGCGATGAGAACCCGGGTGCCAGCGATGTGTTAAGGATGTGCTGGGAGGCACCAGCAGCCTCAGTGTTGAGTCTGGCTATCAGTGATGTTCGGGCCAGGGTCCTCTGAAAAGCAGAGCCACAGCGAGAATTCGAGTCCCAGCGTTTTATTTGGGAGGTTTGAGCCGTGAGCAGTGAGAATGAGGAGATAGAGGGAGCGAGGCGGGGAAAAGCGCGAAGTGACGTGATGCCTTGCCACGTGGGTCAATGCACCCTGTGAGCTCGCAGGCAGGCCTGGGCCCGTGCCCAGCGTGGTGGACCCATCTGGAGATTTGCAAGGAGAGGCTGCGTGTGGAGCAGGCTGCTGGGGGCAGGGGTAGAGGAGGGTGAGTGGGCACCGTCTGCTTACTTCTCTCCTAACTTCTCTTTCCAACTAGTCAAGACACACTCCGTGGGGGCCACTGCCCTGCCTTCTGGGGCAGCACCTGGCTCCTCAAGCCTTCTCCAGAAGTGGGAGCCTCCGCCTGGTGGTGTGACATTTTATTAAAGCCTGGAAGGGGAAAGGCAGCCCAGGTAGGGGGCTGGAGGTGGGGGTGCTGCGGAGGTGTTGTTGGACCAAGAAGAGAAAGAAGAAGGCAGCGGAAGGGTATGAGAAGCTGCCCAAGGTCCCTGTCCGACACGGCAGGACGGCAGGCCCTGCTTGGCTGCTAACCAGCCTCGCAACCTTGGACACGTCACGCGACCTCTCTGAACTTAGTCTTAGCGAGAGGGCTGGGGTGGGGTGGGACAGTCTTTCGAATCCCTTTGGCTGAAGCCACCTGCCTCTGCAGCAGTCAGCACCCTGCCATGCTCCTGGCAGCCCCTGGGCGAGCTTGGAAATGATACTGAACGCCAGGCTTTCAGCAGTCACAGCTGCTGGCAGGGAACGGAGTCCGCTGGGTTTGAGCAGAGCTTTTGAGAAAGGGTAGGAGGGAGCTTTCACCCCTCTTCCTACCCCAGGGGAAGTATTTCTTTCACCCTGTAGGAGGGGAAGGAGAACTGGCTTCAATGATTTATTTGTCCTTGGACAAATTTGCTACTAACAGCCCTTCAGTAGTTAGCAGGGGCCCACTCAAGTGAGTTTAAACAGAATTTACTGCATAAATAACTATAGGTAGCTGCAAAGGGAATATAATAATAATTTTTGAATCCCTCAATTCAAAATACTGTAATGTGTTTGAATCCAATTGCCAACAAAATATAAGCACAAATTCCACATGGCCATAAGAGCAGAGGGGACTTGGGGTCGGGGTGGGGAGAATGCGGTCCCGGAGGAAACTGAATGATTGCAGCTACTTTGTGTGGCTGTTCTTGAGGTTAGACCGGAAGAAAATTCTTGAAGCATCTCAACTGCACGTACGGCCGGGAATCACCCTCAGCTCCACTGGTGCCTGAAGGACAGATACAGGATGCTCTATAACAAGTGCCAGGAACTTCCTTGGGTGATGAGTCGCCTTCACCAGCAGGACCGCCTCCCGGCAATTCAGCCTGCTGTTCTCGGACCAGGACACTGCACCCCACACCTCCAGGGGCACTGTGCAAATGGAATCCAATGTGCAAATGTGCTTGGCAGGGGAGACGGGGTTATTGGTTGCCTTTTCTGTGTGTGTGCATGCCATCATGTTAGATTTTTGAGAATAGAATACTAAACTGCATATTTGATTACATATCTTAATACTAACCTTCATCACCTCAAAGTAGGATTGCCAAATTTAGCAAATATCAACACAGGTTTCCCAGTTAAGTTTGAATTTCAGATGAAAATGAATACTTTTTCATCCCAAATATTGAATGGAATATAATAAAAATTATTCATTGTTAACTTAAAATTAAAATGTAACTGGGTATCCTAAATTTTATCTGACAGGCCAACCTCAAATATCACATTTTCTGCAAATACAAATATTTGTGTGTGTCCATAAATATAAATACATTTTATTTTTCACACAAATAGTAGCACATTGCACACACTATTCTGTGTCCTGATTGTCTTATTTAATAATAACATTATATATAGCTGGGCATGGTGGCTCACACCTATAATCACAACACTTTGGGAAACTGAGACAGGAGAATTGCTTCAGCCCAGGAGCTTGAGACCAGCCTGGGCAACATAGTGGGATCCTATCTTTACAAAAAATAAAAAGTTAGCCTGGTGTGGAGACACACACCTGTGGTCCTGGCTATTTAGGAGACTGAAGGGGAGGATCGCATGATTGCATCACTGCACTCCAGACTTCAGCCTGGGCTACAGAGTGAGACCCTGTCTCAAAAAACAAACAAACAAGCAAACAAACAAAAACCAACAAAAAAAATTGTATAGATTATTCTTTATCAGTGCACACATATCTGCCTCATTTTAAAAAAATTTCATTTTAGGTTTGGGGGTACATGTGAAGGTTTGTTACATATATAAACATGTGTCACAGGGGTTTGTGATACATTTTATTACATCCTGCAAGTATTAAGCTCAGTACCCAATAGTTATGTTTTCTGCTCCTCTCCTTTCTCTCACCCTCCCCCATCAAGTAGACCCAGTGTCTTTTGTGTCTTTCTTTGTGTTTTTAAGTTCTTATCATTTAGCTGTCACTTCTAAGTGAGAACATGCAGTCTTTGGTTTTCTATTCCTTTGTTAGTTTGCTAAGGATGATAGCCTCCAGCTCCATCCACATTCCTGCAAAAGACATGATCTCATTCTTTTTTTTTTTGAGACGGAATATCACTCTGTCCCGCAGGCTGGAGTGCAGTGGCGCGATCTCGGCTCACTGCAAGCTCCGCCTCCTGCCTCAGCCTCCTGAGTAGCTGGGACTACAGGCGCTCACCACCATGCCTGGCTAATTTTTTGTGTTTTTAGTAGAGGTGGGGTTTTACTGTGTTAGCCAGGATGGTCTCAATCTCCTGACCTTGTGATCTGCCTGCCTCAGCCTCCCAACGTGCTGGGATTACAGGTGTGAACCACTGTGCCCGGCTGATCTCATTCCTTTTTATGGCTGCATAATACTCCATGGTGCATATGTACCACATTTTCTTTATCAGTCTCTCATTGATGGGCATTTAGGTTGATTCCATGTCTTTGCTATTGTTAATAGTGCTGCAATGAACATTCGCGTGCATGTGTCTTTATGGCAGAATGCTTTATATTGCTCTGGGTATGTACCCAGTAATGGGATTGCTGGGTTGAATGATAGTTCTGTTTTCAGCTCTTTGAGGAATTGCTATGCTGCTTTCCACAATGGCTGAACTAATTTACACTCCCACCAACTGTGTATAAGCGTTCAGTTTTCTCTGCAACCTCACCACATCTGTTATTTTTTGACTTTTTAATAATAGGCATTCTGACTGGTGTGAGATGGTATCTCATTGTGGTTTTCATTTGCATTTCTCTGATGACCAGTGATATTGAACTTTTCTTCATATGCTTGTTGGCGGCATGTATGTCTTCTTTTGAGAAGTGTCTTTTCATGTCCTTTGTCCACTTTTTAATGGAGTTGTTTGTTTTTCTCTTGTATATTTAAGTTCCTTATAGATGCTGGATATTAGACCTTTGTCAGATGCATAGTTTGCAAATGTTTTCCCCCATTCTGTAGGGTTGTCTTTTTACTCTGTTGATAGTTTTCTTTGCTGTGCAGAAGCTCTTAAGTTTAATTAGATCCCATTTTTTAATTTTTGCTTTTGTTGCAATTTCTTTTGGTGTCTTTGTCATGAAATCTTTGCCTGTTCCTATGTCCAGGATGGTATTGCCTAAGTTATCTTCCAGGGTTTTCATAGTTTTGGGTTTTACATTTAAGTCTTTAACCCATCTGGAGTTGATTTTTGTTTATGGTGGTCCAGTTTCAATCTTCTGTGTATGGCTAGCCAGTTATCACAGCACCATTTACTGAATAGGGAGCCTTTTCCCCATTGCTTATTTTTGTCAGCTTTGTCAAAGATCAGATGGTCGTAGATGTGCAGCCTTGCTTCTGGGATCTCTATTCTGTTCAATTGGTCTATGTGCCTGTTTTTGTACCAGTGCGATACTGTTTTGGTTACTGTAGCTTGTATAATAATACAGTTTGAAGTTGGGTAATGTGACTTCCTCCAGCTTTGTTCTTTTTGCTTAGGATTGCCTTGGCTATTGGGGCTCTTTTTTGGTTCCATATAAATTAAAAATTGTTTTTTCTAGTTCTGTGAAGAATGTTTTTTGTAGTTTGATAGGAATAGCATTGAATCTGTAAATTGCTTTGGGAAGTATAGCCATATTAATGATATTGATTTTTCCTATCCATGAGAAGGGGATGTTTTTCCATTTGTTTGTGTCTTCTTGGGTTTCTTTGAGCAGTGTTTTGTAATTCTCATGGTAGAGATCTTTCACCTCCTTGGTTAGCTGTATTCTGAGGTATTTATTTTTTTGTGGCAGTTGTGAATGGGATTGCCTTTCTGATTTGGCTCTCAATTTTGCTATTGTTGGTGTATAGGGATGCTAGTGATTTTTGTACATTGATTTTGTATCCTGCAACTTTGCTAAACTTATCAGCTGAAGGAGGTTTTGGGCCAAGACTATAGGGTTTTCTAGATATAGGATCATGTCATCTGCAAACAGAGATAGTTTGACTTCCCCTCTTCCGATTTGGATGCCCTTTATTTATTTATTTTTCTTGCCTGATTGCTCTAGCTAAAACTTCCAATACTATGTTGAATAGAAGTGGTGAGAAAGGGCATCCTTGTCTTGTGCTGGTTTTCAAGGGGAATGCTTCCAGCTTTTGCCTGTTCAGTATAATGTTGGCTGTGAGTTTGTCATATATGACTCTTATTATTTTGAGGTATTTTCCTTCCATACCTAGTTCATTGAGAGTTTTCAACATGAAAGGATGTTGAATTTTATTTAAGAAAAGCGTTTTCTGCATCTATTAAGATAACCATGTGGTTTTGTCTTTAGTTCTGTTTACGTGATGAATCACATTTATTGATTTTAGTATGTTGAACCAACCTTGCATCCTAGGGATGAAGCCTACTTGATCATGGTGGATTAGCTTTTGGATGTGCTGCTGGATTTGGTTTGCAAATATTTTTTTGAGGATTTTTGCATTGATGTTCATCAGCGATATTGGCCTGAAGTTTTCTTTTTTTTTTATTGTGTCTCTGCCAGGTTTTGGTATCAAAATGATGCTGGCCTCATGCTGGCATTTAGTGCTATGAATTTCCCTCTTAATACTGACTTAACTGTCCTAGAGATTCTGGCATGTTGTATCTCAATTTCTTGGAATAGTTTCTGTAGGGATGATACCAGCTCTTCTTTGTACATCTGGTACAATTCAGCTGTGAATGCATCAGGTCCTGGGCTTTTTTTGGTTGGCAGGCTATTTATTACTGATTCAATTTTGGAGCTCCTTATTGGTCTGTTCAGGGAATCAATTTCTTCCTTGCTCAGTCTTGAGAGGGTATATGTGTCCAGAAATTTATCCATCTGTTCTAGGTTTTCTAGTTTGTGTGTGTAGAGGTGTACATAGTAGTTTCTGATAGTTGATTTTATTTGTGTGGGGTCAGTAGTAACATTGCCATTGTCATTTCTAATTGTGTTTATTTGGATCTTCTCTCTTTTCTTCTTAATTAGTCTAGCTAAAGGCCTATTTTATTAAACAACTCCTGGATTCATTGATCTTTTGAATGGTTTTTTGTGTCTCAATCTCCTTCAGTTCAGCTCTGATTTTTGTTATTTCTCGTCTTCTGCTAGCTTTGGGGTTTATTTGTTCTTGCTTTTCTAATTCTTTCAGTTGTGAAGTCAGGTTGTTAATTTGAGATCTTTCTAACTTTTTGATGGGCATTTAGTGCTATGAATTTCCCTCTTAATACTGCCTTAATGATCCTAGAGATTCTGGTATGTTGTACATTTGTTCTCATTATTTTTAAAGAACTTCTTGATTGCTGCCTTAATTTCATTATTTACCAAAAAGTCATTCAGGAGCATGTTGTTTAATTTCTATGTAATTGTATGGTGTTGAGCTATTTTCTTTGTGTTGAATTCCATTTTTATTGTACTGTGGTCTGAGAGTCTGTTTGGTATGATTTTGATTCTTTTACATTTGTTGCAAATTGTTTTATGTCCAATTATGTGGTTGATTTCAGAGTATGTGCCATGTGGCAATGAGAAGAATGTATATACTTTTTTTGGTGTGCGGGGGAGGTTGGAGATTTCTGTAAAGGTCTATCAGATCCATTTGGTCCAATGCTGAGTTTAAGTCCTGAATATCTTTGTTAATTTTCTGCTTCGAGGATCTGTCTAATACTGTCAGTGGAGTGTTGAAGTCTCCCGCTATTATTGTGTGGGAGTCTATGCCTCTTTGTAGGGCTCTAAGGACTTGCTTTATGAATCTGGATGCTCTTGTGTTGGGTGCATATATATTTAGGAGAGTTCGGTTTTCTTGTTGAATTGAATCCTTAACCATTATGTAATGCTCTTCCTTGTCTTTTTTGATCTTTGTTGGTTTGAAATCTGTTTTGTCTGAAATTAGGATTGCAATCCCTGCCTTTTTCCTGTTTTCCATTTGCTTGGTAGATTTTTCGCCATTTCTTTATTTTGACCCTATGAGTTTCATTACATGTGAGATAGGTCTCTTGAAGACAGCATACCATTGGGTCTTGTTTTTTTATCCAACTGGCCATTCTGTGCCTTTTAAGTGAGGCATTTAGCCCATTTACATTCAAGGTTAGTATTGATATGTGTGAATTTGATCCTGTCATTGTGCTGTTAGCTGGTTATTATGTTGGCTGATTATTATGTTTGCGTGATTGCTTTACAGTGACACTGGTCTTTGTCTTTAAGTGTGTTTTTATATTAGCTTATAGTGGTTTTTCCTTTCTATATTTAGTACCCTTTTCAAGATTTTTTGTAAGGCAGATCTGGTGGTAATGAAGTCCCTCAATGCTTGCTTATCTGAAAATGATTTTACTTCTCCTTCACTTAGGAAGCTTAGTTTGGCTGGATATGAAATTCTTGGTTGAAAACTTTACTTTAAGAATGTTTCATATAGGTCCCCAGTCTCTTCTATTAATTGTAGGGTTTTAGGTGAGAAGTCTGCCGTTAGTCAGATGAGGATCCCTTTGTAGGTGACCTACCCTTTCTCTCTAGCTGCCTTTAACATTCTTTCATTTTGACCTTGGAAAATCTGACAATTATGTGTCTTGGGGATGATCTTCTTTTGTAGAATCTTGCAGGAGTTCTCTGTATTTCCTAAATTTGACTGTTGACCTCTCTAGCAAGGTTGGAGAAGTTTTCATGGATGATATCATGAAATATATTTTCTAAGTTGTTTGCTTTCACCCCCTCCCTTTCAGGGAGGCCAGTGATTGGTAGATTTGGCCTCCTTACATATTCCCATACTTCTTGTAGGTTTTGTTCGTTTCTTTTTATTCTTTTTAAAAAATGTTTGTCTGTCTTATTTCAGAGAACCCATATTCAAGTGCTGAGATTCTTTCCTCAGTTTGGTTTATTCTGCTGTTAATACTAGTGATTGCATTGTGAAGTTCTTGTGTTATTCAGCTCTGTCAGACCCATTAGGTTCTTTTTTATATTGGCTATTTCTTCCTTCAGCTCCTGTATCACTTTATTGTGATTCTTATTTACCTTGGGTTAGGTTTTGTAATCCTCTTGAATCTCAGTGATCTTTGTTCATATCCATATTCTGAATTCTGTTTCTGTAATTCCTGCTAGTTTGGCCTGATTAAGAATGCTTGGAGAATTGGTGCAGTTGTTTGGAGAATATATGACACTCTGGCCGTGTGAGTTACCAGAGTTCTTGTGTTGGTTCTTTCTCATCTCTCCATATGGGTGTTCCTTTAACTGCAGTGTAGATTGAGTACAGTCAATAGACTTTTTTTCTGGATGTTTTCACCAGGCGAAAGCTTTGTGTAGGGCCTTTATTTGAAGCTGACTTCTTGTCACTGGTTCAGAGGGTGGTATGTTAGTGAGGTATTTTTCTGTGTTGAGGCTTTGGGGTGTGATCCAGCAGGTGGCACTTAGGCTTATTAGTCATTTGGTAGACTCTTGCTCAGTTATGTGGCTACCCTATGTTTCCTCACAGTTGCAGCCGTGTTCCTTCTCAGTGCTCTGAAAGTGTGGGTTTCTCTTCCCCTTGAGTGTTCACTGTAGATCACGACTTGGCACTCCTGGGCTGCCCACTGCAGCTCTGGGGCAATCTCAGTGTTTATGCTCCTTCTCCAGCTTAGAGGCAGCAGAGGAAGATATCTTAGTAGTGATTATGGCCAAGGATCTTTTGCTTGACTCCTGGGAGTTCCACCCTAGAGAGATGCAGGTGAGCAATCACTCAGTGCAGTCAGTCCCAGATGGAGGATCTATGCTGTGGGCCCAAGCCAGGGGTTTCCTGTCTGGTGACGAGTCATGGGGGGTGTGTGGTACCTGTGGGAGATGGGCTGGCCCCCTCTCCTTGGGAAGACTGTGGTTTGTTGGAGGTGTGGATAAGGCATGTAGGGTCTTCTCTCCATTAGTCCAAGGGTGGGAAGGGCAGTTCCGCAGCAGAGTCAGTGGCCAAGAAGCTTTCAGTTACCCCTGGAGGCTCTTTCCAGGGAGTTGCTGAGTTGGTATTGGCTCAATAGCTCTGGCAGGGGGTGTGGCTGGAGGTCCAGGCCTGGAGGACCTGCCATGTGAGGAGATATGGGAAGAGGCACCCACGTAACAATCTGGCCACTTTTCCATAGGGCTGCTGCAGTATGCTTGGGGCCCACTCTAGTCCTTAGTCACCTTGGGTTTTCCAGAACCTGGAGGTGTCACCAGTGATGGCTGTGAAACAGCAAAGATGACAGCCTGTCCCTTCCTCTGGGAGCTTTGTTGCAGGGAGGTATGGACCTGTTGCCAGCCCAAAGGCATCATAGGAAGTGACTGGAGACCCTGGTTTTGAGGTCCCGCCCAATGAGGAGGAATGGGATCAGGTGCCTGCATAAAGCAGCAGTCTGGGCACGTTGTGGTAGAACAGCTGTGCTATGCTGGGGGATCCCTCCTGCCCTGGGTGGGCTCAGACTTTCCAAAGCCTGAAGGCTAGAACAGCTAAGTCACCCAAACAACAAAGATGATGGCCCACCCCTCCCTCTGGAAGCACCATCCCAGGGGGAATTCAGATCTCTGTCAGCTGGAGAGCTTAGTTGGGGCTGGCTGGAGGCCCCATTCGGGAGTCCTGCTAGTGAGGAGGAACAGGATCAGGCACCTGCTTAAAGCAGCAGTCTGGCTATGTTGAGGTAGAGCAGCTGTGCCATGGTGGGGCATCCTTTCTGCCCCAGATCAGCTCAAACTCTCCAAAGCCTGAAGGCTGGAATGGCTAAGGTGCCTAAATAGCAAAGATGTCAGCCTGCTCCTCCACCTAGGAGTTCCTTCTTAGGGAGGTGTAATGCTGCTATTAGTAGCTGGGTGGAATTCCAAACCAGTGGGTCTTATCTTGTGTGGTGCTGTGGAAGTGGGGCCTGCAGGCTGTTGCTGTTCAGCCCCCTAGATTCAGCCTCCTTCCTAGGGGTATGTAGAGGAGTCTAACCTCCCACTTTCCCAGAACTGTAGCTACTTTTGCCAGAAAGCCCAAGTATGTAAGTCTCCAGGGTCTCCATGCATGCCTAAGTGGCTGCTCTGCCAAGACTTTGCATAGCTCTGTCTGTCAGACTTAAGACTGAAGGCCCTGGTGGAGTGGGTTCACAAGGTGATCTCCTGACCCAAGGGTTGCAAAGATCTGTGGGAGAAGTGTGGTTTCCCAGGGTGGTTCATTCACTCACTGTGTCCCTGGGTTGGGGAGGATCTTCTGGCTCCGTGTTGCTCCGAGGTGGGCCATTGTCCTGTCTTGCTTTTCCTCATTATCTGTGGGTCAGGTTGTTTCCTCGATTAATCTCAATGCGAGGACCTGGATGTTTCAGTTGAAGGTGTTGTATTTGCTTGCCCCTTCTGTTCCTCTCTGTGAGATCCACGCACACCAGCTGCTTCCAGTCAGCCATCTTGGCCACCCTGCCTCATTCTTTTTAACATCTGCTGAATGAATGGACTATAGACATTCAGCCATCTATAGATACTTGCCCCCAACTTAGCATTTTCATGGTTGCCAAATAATGCAAAGTTTTAAGTTTGTGCTCCCTTCTCTGGGGCTGATCTAGGTCTCTCTTATGCTGTCCTCTTGCTGATGGAAATGCCTTGTGAGGCTTCTCTGCTGTATCATTCAGCACACAGTCAGCAGCAATCATAATTGCACCCTGGAGGCCCTTCACATTCTGAGTTCATTGTGGCCTGGTTGCTCGTCAGGCATATACAGATAGTATTACAGGTCTTATCTTCATTGCTCTTTTGGGTTGAATCTATTGTCTCCTGGACTCCATGTTTTCATCTTTCTTGATTTATACCCTCATATTATGGGAGAACATTCTCTAGGAGTTTTCTTAGAAAGACAGCTTAAGAAGTAATATTATAGGTCTTTGCATGTTTGAAGATATCCTATTCTGCTCATATGTTATTGCTAATTTGGCTGGTTATATAATTCTTAGCTACAAATATTTTCTCTTGGAATTTGAAGACTTTATTCCATTATCTTCTAAATTCGAGTGTTACTATTAAGAATCCTGAGGCCATTCTCACTTGTGTTCCTTTTTCAGGTAACCTGTGTTTTGTGTTTTTTGTTTGTTTGTTTCCTCTTTGGAAGCTAATAGAATTATTCCTTTCTGGTGATGAGAAATTTCTTTAAAACTGCCTCGGTATTGGTTTTTTTTCTTTATGGTACTGGGTTGATAATGGATACAGTAATTCTGGAGACTTATATCTTTTAATTAAGGCTCATATTTTTGTATTTCTTGGATACTTTCTTCCGAATAATTTTCTATATTCTCTCATTTAGAACACTTACATTGGCTTTTGTGTGTGTGTATTGAATCTCTATATTTAAAAATCTTGTCTATTCTACTTTCCAGGAGATTTTAAAAAATTTTTACCTCTCAAACCTTTTAATGAATTTTTTAATGTTGCATGTTTAACTGTTGAATATTGTATCAATCAGCATAGGCGAGGCTATGCTGGGGGCAATGACACAAAACCGCAGGTAAAGGGGAATGACCGCAATACATCTGACTACGTGTTATATTTTTAAATAGCAAGATTGTGTTCTTGTTTTTAATTCATTCATTTATTGATTTAGGGGCTCAATATCATCTTGAACGTCTCTGAGGGTATTATTTACATTTTATTTATATTTTAAAGTTTTTGCCGGCATGACTTCTGTTTCCTCTAGTTCCTTTTTTTCTGTGTATTTTTGCCTGCATGTGGTGAGCTTTCCTTGTACTTATTGTACCATGGTTTCCCATTCAGAAATAAGAGTGAGTCACTTAGAAGCAGATGGGAAGTCGCCCAGTGGGCCTCTCTGTCGAGTGGGTGGTGGACAGCTTGTCAGGGGACCAGAAGTTATTGGTGTGTGGAGGTTGTGTCAGCCGCCATCCGGTCGGGAAATACATGGATGCTCCAGACGGGGCCAGGGAGAGAGTTGAACAATGGGACTGTAAGGGGCCAAGGGGACCAGTGATGGATGTGAAAGTGCTCGGTGGTGACTGCAACAGCCAGGAGCCATGACCACCTGAGATCTGGAGCGATAGAAGTTTCTGGACTCTAGTAAATGCTCCTAGCTGTGGGAGAGGGGCTTCTCAATAGAAACCATTGTCATAGGCAGGGGAATGCAGCCCTGGCTTAACTATAGCCTGGCATGAAGAAAAAGGAGAATAAATACGCCAGCCCCCTGTGTGCCCCCGGCCCAGCAAAACCCACCCTAAAGCCACAGGGAGAGAGCCCAAGGGACACAGTGTGTGTGGTTCACCTCCTGGGGATGGGCACGGTAGAGAAGGGTGGACAGCAGATCTGAGGGGCCAGGGGAAGAATGTCCCGTACAGAGAGCTCTCCCTAGGGGGCAGCACAGGTCTCCAGGGAGGGTCCTTGAGAGCCTGTTGGGGCATTCTGCACACAGGGAGAGAAGGGGGCTGTGGGGCCAGCTGCGCCATGTGAAGTCTTTCATCTGAGCCCTGCTTTCTTCTCCAGCCTCAGCCTGGCTTCTGTGGTGTCTGCTGCCCCAGCCTCCGGCTGTTCGGGGACAGGTAGGATGGGCTGGTTCCTTTTCTATGTGTGATTCAGGCACATACTTTAGGCTGTGGCTTCCTCTTCTCTGCTAAACCAGTTACCACTTCTCTTCCACGAATCTGTTAAAAATCCCTTGATTCTGTTTGCATTTCCTTTTTTCTTACACCTCTAATTTATTTTACTAGAAAATGAAATCGCTTTACATTTTTATATTTATTTTCACAGAAGGACATATGTGAATTATTTATAGTTCTTTCCCATTATCCATAATGTCCTGTACAAATATAACATAACTGATTAAAGTAACTTAAAAACAATACTCTGGCAGTGTATCCTCAGGGGAATATATTCTAAAGACAAAAATAAAATTAAGAGGCAAAGACATTTTAAACTTAGTATTGGATGTGTTTTTTAAAAATGGTGTTGGCACCTTAATACTAAAACTCTTGGGTGTGAACTGTGGGTTAGCACACAGGAATCAATATATCCCTGTTTTGGGAAGCAGGGTTTTCACTGTGGAAGAAGTGGAATGAGAGAAGCTGTGGAAGAAGCCTGTGTTACTGGATTTGATACTGTGGCTTCAAACACCAACAATACTATGTGTTCCTGCTGTGAAGTAGTGAGAGGTTCAGAAATTCACCAAACAGTGTTCTTGCCAGAAATGTTGCACCTAAATATAGTCACAAGGAAAGGGACGAATATAGAATGTGGGATGTTTTGCAGGGACCCTTCAAAGGACTCATTACCAGGTAGAGTGAGGGGATAGGATTGTTCTATATTAAGGAAGAATAACAAGGCATAGCACCCAAATGCTAAAGTGTGAGCCTTGATTTTATTCTGAGTTGAAAGGAAAATGAACTATAAAAAACACCAGTGGGACAATTGGGGAAATTGTGTTAGATTCTTTTATTGAATACATGTTTGTTTCCTTAGTGGTGGCAGAAGCATTGTAGTTGAAGGGTCTAGGGGGCCTGTCGGGCACCTGTGTCCTCCTTTCTAATGGTTCAGCAAGAAGGAGGTGTGTACACAGAGAGCCAGCACAGGCAGGGTATGGTGTTAGCAGTGGGTGGGCTTGGGGCAAGTTCGTTGTATTGCTATTTTGAAAAATGACAATTTGGGTGCCTCGGCTCATGCCTGTAATCCCAGCACTTTGGGAGGCCGAGGCAGGTGGATCATTGAGGTCAGAAGTTCAAGACCAGCCTGGCCAACATAGCGAAACCTTGTCTGTACTAAAAATACAAAAATTAGCTGAGTGGTAGTGGCACACGCCTGTAATCCCAGCTACTTGGGAGGCTGAGGGAGGAGAATCACTTGAGCCTGGGAGGCAGAGGCTGTGGTAAGCTGAGATCATGCCACTGCACTCCAGTCTGGGTGACAGAGTGAGACCTTGTCTCAAAAAAGTAAAAAACAAAAAAATTTAAAAAAAGGAAAAAGAAAAATCAAAATTAAAAGATGAATAAATTTTAAAAGTGTGCCACAAAACTTCAACCTTTAACATTTAAAAAATTCTCGTGGGAACATACCCGTCCTTTTTTAGTTTTTGCAGAAGCACAACTGAGCTTGCTTTGTGACTTAAATGACTGAGGCACACTGAAAGAAAGGACAATAAGGAGGACATCCTAGAGAAATCTCTCCTGGTGAGGAATGCAATGCGCTCTCCTCTAGGAGAATGTTTCCTCAAAAAAATGGCTGTTTTTCCTTGAGTCTTCATCCTGTCACTTCCAATGGCCAAATACCCAAACCCAGCCACCCCAGGTCCTCTAGAAGGAGGGGATAGTCAGATACTAGGCAAGAACCAGGAACCCTAAGGATATGACTCCTCTCCTCAGTGGCACAGCTCCAACAGAGGTCCCATCTGGAGAAAATGCTGCCTTAAGATTTGAAAATAAAAGCTTTTTGTTATGTACAGAAGCTAAAAACCTGACATGGCTTTACCTCTGCTGGTCACTTAGGGGCACAGGATAGCAAGGGACGAGCTCTCTCTCTCAGATGTGTTTTGGCCGCATCCCAGAGGGATGAGAAAAAATAAAAGAAAAAGAAACAGTAAGACCTCCTGATGCTTGGGCTATCCAGCTGCTGGAGTGGCCATGAAATCTGCTCTTCTAAACTTATTTCAGTCACAAGTTTTTCTTCTACTTACCTCTGAGCCTCTCCCTTAAGAGGGCATGCAGACAGCACAGGGTGAAGCCAGTGGCTTTCCACAAGGACCTAGAACACGTGGTGGCAGCTGACCTAGATTGCTTTCATGTCTAGATAGGTCGTACATACTACATATGTGCCACAGATAGGATGGCAGTGCACACACAGGCAGTAAACATATGCACGTTAAAAGAATGTACATAAATGTCTTGGTTTGTTACAACAGGGAAACGCTTTGGGAAGTCTGATGCTCCCTCCACATCTCTGATCCCCCTGAAGGTGTGCTTGTATGCCTGCTCCCTTGTTTTTCAGAAGTGGCTGTGACGGAGCTGGTGTAGACAAGTATGCCCATTTGGCTATTTGTCTTTTTCTGGAGTGATCTGACTCAGTGCTTCCTCTTTCTAGACAACAGTTTAGAAATGCTGTTCATCCCGCCCAGAGATTAGAGGGAACAGGACGGAAAATGTGGGGAGGGGAACCAGAGAGATGAGTAGGGGGCTGGAACTGGAAGCACTTTCACCTGTGATGGAATCTAATGCTGTAGGAAAGAGCGAAGGACTTGGTCAAGGCTGAGTGACAAGAGGAGCCAGTCCCAGAGGGACAATTTGTTCTCCTCATCAGTTTTTCTTCAAGGAGCAGACAACCTAGGACCCTCTCTTCTGTCATCTCAGAGTTGAGTCCTTCCACAACACAAGGATTGCTGTAGGCTTTCCCAACTGGGTCCGTGCCACAGTGAGTAGGTGGGTCCCATGGATGATGGAAAGGTCTTGGTCTCCACATGGAAGCAGCACCTAATGGTGGGGGCTGAGGATCATCAGCAAACAGGTGTCCGGTCTGCCTCCAGTGATGCCTCCTTATGGCTTCCACGTGTTAAGGGTGGGCTCAGAGCAGCAGGAGGCAACCCAGAACATGCTCCACATTCAAGACGATCTTCCTCCATCCAGCCAAGAAGGCTACATCCGTGAAAAGATGGACGTGAGAGAGCCCTCCTTGTTTGGAATGTGCAATGTCTCACAGAGAGAAGGGGGGTCAAGGAAGGGACACCCTGGTAGCAAGTAATTCCTCTGGAAGCGCTGACTTTCTTCAGGATTCCCTCTTGGCGCAGGCATGCAATTATCCTGTGTTTTGTCTTTTAAAATTGTCTGTTTCAATGCTTCAAAGCATATTCTGAAAATGATTCATCACATCCAAGTTCTCTACATCCTCTTCTCACACATTCTAAGGGAAAACAAAGATGAACAGAGTGGTTAGGTTATTATGTCTCTGTTTGTAGCTACTAGCAGGGCATTAGATGAAGAAATCCATAGAACTCAAGAAGTTCTATGCACAAGAAGTTACTAGAACAATAGATGAGAAGATTTGTTCTGGATTGTTATCCTGTATCTTCTGTGGAAAACTTTGTTTTTAGGATCAAAATACTGCTTCGTAAAGACAGAATATTCCTCATGCTCCTGCAGGAGACATCTTCTGTCCTATTTCTTGGAGCTGTCCAGACAGGAGTCCTCATGTGGATGGCCCTGGCCTGCTACAGCTCCTCTGTTTGCGCCGCACACTGGTGTTGGACTGGGAGGAGATGTCCACATTTCTCCAAGTGAGCCTTCTCTTCCAGTCTGATTTCCCAGTGATAAGGGTGGTAATGGGAATAGTGGGAGTTCCTGCCATTTGGGAAGAGAGTTTCTCAGGCATTTATGTCTAAGTTTTAAGATAGCCAGTCATCGTGGCTAGGCTTTATAATTTTCTCGGCTGGCATTATGATGTGCTAGAACTGGACGATTTTCATTTCACCTTCAGCTTGCTGTGGTTTCCAGAGCGGAGCTGAAATTGCTGAGCACACTTAGAATTCAAATTTGGAAAGACAGAAAAAGTCTTCACTTTCATCATAGTCAATATCTCAAGATTCATTAGGGAAAATCTTGAAATTTAGAGATTTTTCTTTTCCAGAAAGAGAGTGCCTCAACTTCTAAGAAGTTTTTTATTTTTTAGACGGAGTCTGAATCTGTTTCCATGACTTTTCCAGCTGCTAGTGGCCACCTGTATTCTTTACCTGGTCCTTTTCTTCCATCTTTAAAGTGCATCACTCCAATCTCTGCTTCCATAGTCACATCTTCTCCTCTGACCCTGCCTTCTCTTATAAAAGTAATTATATCTGTAATTATATCAGGCACACCCAGCTACTCCAGGATAACCCCAAAATCTCAAGAAACTTAACTTAATCACATCTGTAAAGCCCCTTTTGCAATATAACACTCATAGGTTCCAGGGATTAGGACAGGGACATATTTGGAGGAGGGACTATTATTCAGCCCACCACAGGAGGTAAGTGGGGCAGATCAATTGGTGACTCTGAAAGATAATATGCCCAAGACCCTGTGCCCAGTGGTCCAATCAGGCTCCTTCCCTACTGCCGGTCTTACCACTCCCATCTTAGATTGAAGTAACTTTATTGCACAATTCATATGTAAATATTTATCTTTTTAAAAATGGAAACATTATCAATAGAACTAAGTCCTCTGACCATCTTCCATAATCCTGATCCTCTCTTCAGCTCCTTCTCCTACCCCACAGGTCAGCACTGTTCTTTGCTTGATACACATCAGACGTGTTTCTGCATGTACATGTATTTATTTGTTCCTGTAGAAAGTATAGTCTTGGTTATGGCTTCCCTCTGTGTAAGTGATATTGTAATGGATATATAATATAATTCAGCCACATGCTTTTTTCATTCACCAGTGTCTTCAAGATCTTTTCATGACAGCACATATTGGTGGACCTCACTCTTTTCAATTACTGCACGGTATTCTATGAAATGAGTATACCATGGTGTATTAGTCGTCTTGGGCTGCTATAACCAGAAAAGAAACTTGGTGGCTTAAAACAACCAAAATTTATTCTCATGAGCGCTAGATGCTAGAAGTCCAAAATCAAGGTGCTGGCAGGGCTACACTCTCTCTGACAGTTCTAGGGGACAGCCTTACTTATTCCAGCTTCTGGTAGCTGTTGGCTTTCCTTGGCTTGTGGATGCATCTCTCCAATCTCTGCTTCTGTCTTCACATGGCTTTTGCTTCCTGTGTGTCTCTCTCTCCTCCTCTTCTAAGGGCATTGCCACTGGACAAGGAGAAAAGGAGAAGGGGAGGGTGTGCTCCTTCCCTTTAAGGGAACATCCTAAAAGTTGCAAAGTCTCTTCTCACATCTCATTGGCTGAAACTTGGTCACATGGTCACACTTAGCTTCAGGGGAGGCTGGGAAGTGTAGCCTTTAGCTGGGTAGTGAGATTGTTATGACAAGGCAATGGGGAACTGATGTGGGAATGACTGGTAGCCTCTGCCACCGTAAGTGTTTCTCCAGTGTGAAGACACAGAGAAGGATGACTGGCCATGAGGGCTCCCTTTAATTGTGGTATTGCCAAACTATCCTCCAATGCTGTCATGTAGGTTTACACTCCCATCATCAATATTGATACTATCCTTTCCCATTTACTCACCAACCACTAATATAAACAAATTTAAAATTTTTGGCATTTCAATTAGCAAAATGACATCTCAGTTTTTAGTGTTTTCATTTTCATGATCCCTAGTGAAGGTGAGCATTATTTAATATATTTATTGGCTTTTTTTTTTTTTTGAGATGGAGTTTTGTTCTTGTTGCCCAGGCTGGAGTACAATGGCACGATCTTGGCTCACTGCAACCTCTGCCTAACAGATTCAAGAGATTCTCCTATCTCAGCCTCCTGAGTAGCTGGGATTACAGGCATGCACCACCACGCCTGGCTAACTTTGTATTTTTAGTAGAGACAGGGTTTCATCATGTTGGTCAAGCTGGTCTCAAACTCCTGACCTCAAGTGATCCACCCATCTCGGCCTCCCAAAATGCTGGGATTACAGGCATGAGCCACCGTGCCTGGCCTTATTGGCCATTTCTATTTCATCTTCTCTGATTTTACTTTTCTTTTCCTTGTTCATTTTCCTACTAAATTGTTTTGTCTTTTTACCAGTTGATGAGTTCTTTACAATATTCTCAGCATGAATATTTGCCTGTCATAACTATTACAAATATTTCTCCCAATTTGTCATTTATATTTCAATTTTGTTTAAGAATATATTTTGTCATAATAGAAATTTTAGATATGTTTTATTTTTATCATCTAAAAGCATTAATTTAAAAAAAGGAAATGTTGGTTCTAAGCTTTTTGATCTAGGATGCTAACAAATTCAACTATGATTGACTGAAGAGTATTATATGCCCTAGTCTAAGTAATAAGGATGTAGAAAGCCAGCTGGTAACTCGTGGCACCATCTCACAAATCTCAACGGCATCTGTTTCTTCCAGGTTGTCTACACAAGGCCCTTGCCATCAGTCAAATGAGTGACAGCTTTCTGGCAACTGTGTGCACACTCTGGCTCCTTGGAAAGCCAAGGCATGTGGCTGAGAGCAGAAGGCCTTCCCTGTTACCTATTAGAGTCTATTTGGGCTGCAAGGCACTCACAAACACAGAGACATCCAGGTGGCCAAATTTTGCTGTACCCATAGGTTTTACCCATAGGTTACTGAGGTATAACAAAGAGGTTCCAGTGTCAGAGCCTACTTGAAATAAAGTTAGATAGAAGACAGTGGACCTCCTAAGCGAGCTCCCTGAAGACCCATACTCACTATCCCTGAATCAGAGGGGAAGTGGAGCTTTTGGAGAGATTAGATATTTTATGCCACTTCCAGAGTGGCCATGGGTACTCAGGGCCTGCCTTGGATCTTCTTCAGAGAAAAGCTGCTCTATCCACTTTGTCCCTGGGGAGTTTGCCCTTTCTCAAGGAACTTTGTCTTTAAAGCACCAAGGGGCCAGCCTGTGCCTGCACAGAAAAGAGAATGAGTTCTCGGACCCTCTCTTGTGATGATAAAGGTGGCACATCTCTTTGGCTGCGTATCTACCACTTGTCAGACTTTTAAGGTACACACTATTGGGTAAAATATTGGCTGCAACATTATCAAGGCATCAGGCATCTGGTTCCAGGACTACCTCCCCCAATCCCTATGGACATCTCACCACCTCTTCAACCTCTCCCCTTTCTCTAAGTGAAAAAACAGTTCAGAAAACCCCTTAAAAGAAAAAAAAATCCATTTTAAGAAAGAGCAATTCATGCCAGCGTGGTGGCTCATGCCTATAATCCTGGCACTTTGGGAGGCCAAAGTGGAAGGATCACTTGAGGCCAGGAGTTTGTGACCAACCTCGGCAACATAGAGAGATTCCATCTCTACAAAAAAAAAAAAAAAAAAAAAAAAATTAGCCAGTCGTGGTAGTGTACACATGGAGTCCCATTTACTCAGGAGGCTGAGGCAGGAGGATCACATGAGCCCAGGAGTTTGAATTTATACTGAGCTATGATTGCACCACTGCCCTCCAGCCTGGGCACAGAGCAAGATCCTATCTCTTAAAAAAAAAAATGGCAATTCGGATCATAGCCTCTCTCAAACAGCCTTCTCCACATTTTCACCCACATCCAGAAAAAGAGGAGTAGCTATATTTTTCCCCTCTTTAGAATGTTGGAAAATTTCTTGCTGAAAACAGTGAAGCAGGTTATGATCTAGGGTCTCCCTAATTACTAGTAATCTAGGGACAAAGCTATTCCTAATCAAAGTGAGCATTATTGAATACATTTATTAGCCATTTCTATTTCATCTTATTTGCTTTTCCATTTTCTCTCCTTTGTCCATTTTTTTGTTCTGTTAGATTTTTTTGTTTTTTGCACATAAACTGGAGCAAAAGAATTCTACCTGATTCCCCAACCCCCAAAATAACATCCCTGTCCCCTACGGCGTGTTGTGGCAATCAAGATGACATATAGGAGATGTACACAGGGTGACTTGCAAGGGACAAGAAACAGGAGATCCAGGTTTGGACCCAGCTTCATTGCTTACCAAACAATCGGCCTGACCCCTCTCCACTTTCCTTCCATGAATGAAGAGGTTTCCGTTTACATTTAAGGACCAACAATATCTGCTAACACTAACTCCTCTTCTTATCTTTGGGCATAAATTTGGGTATCCAGTTACTAGACCTCTTCCCAGACTGGTAGACTGTATTTTCTCCTGTTGCCTTTTCCTCTAAAGTTTCAGACCACAGAAGTTGAGAGTAGGACACCCTCCCTGCCCTGGCTCCCGGGTCCTGGCTCACCCGAGCCCAAGCCCAAGCCCAACTCCCTTACACTCCTGCTTGTACTGAGCTTGCTTCTTGGGGTCTGCTCCCTCCTCAGATCTGCAATCTTTCCTTGTTTTGTTGTTGCTGTTTGTTTGAGAGAGGGTCTTGCTCTGTTGCCCATGCTGGGGTTCAGTGGCACCACCGCTGCTCACCACTGCCTTGAACTCCTGGGCTCAAGTGATCCTCCCACCTCAGCCTTCTGTGAAGCTCAGACTATAGACATGCAGCACCACGCCAGGCTAATTTTTTTATTCTTTCATTTTTTTGTAGTGACGAGGTCTCACTATGTTGCCCAGGCTTGTCTTAAACTCCTGGGCTCAAGTGATCTGCCCGCCTCAGCTTCCCAAAATGTGGGAGTCACAGGTGTGAGCCATTGTGATCGGCCTTCACCTTGCTTCTCGGCAAATGGTGATAAAAGCACACACTCATGTTAGCAAGGAACTGGTTCTCCTCTTTCCTTTTTAGGGAAATTAGATATTTGGTAATATGACGACTTCTTTACAGGTGAGTCATCTTTGGATGTTCGCTCCTTCCTGTTTCTTGACAGGAGGTATAGCTCCCCCATGCACTATGGCTGATGCCCAGTAACAACGGGCTTTGGGGATTCCGGCCCCATTTGGAGAAGGTTCCCCTGTCAGTGCCTTGCCTGGATTAGCTTGGTTCTCACTAGTTTTCAAATATGCAAAAGGCCTCTTACTCTACTCTGAGCACCATGATTGCCAGACGGCTTCCCGCAGCACAGGAGCTTGCTGGGCAGAGGGGCAGGCTAGAACTGCTGGGAGGTCAGAGCCCTCCGGAACAGCCCTCAAGCAATGACAAAGAGGCACCCCTTGGCCTTCGGGTGAGACAAGGATGATGCATGGTCTAAACCAGGTCGGCAAACTTTTCCTGTGAAGAACCAGCTGGTAAATGTTTTGGTCCTTGGTGCCCATATGGTCTCTGTCACAACTACTCAACTCTCCCGTGGTAGGACATACGCAGCCATCACGTAGAGAACAGAAACACAGGCGTGTGGCTTTGTTACAGGACAACTGAATTCATGGCTACTGAAACCTGAATTTCAGTAACTTTCATGTCACTAAATATTTTTCTTTGATTATGTGTCAACCATTTCAAAACATAAAGACCCCAGCCTGGTCAACATGGTGAAACTACTAAATATACAAAAATTAGCCGGGCGTGGTGGCTGGTGCCTGTAATCCCAGCTACTTGGGAGGATGAGGCAGGAGAATCGCTTGAACCCAGGAGGTGGAGATTGCAGTGAGCCAAGATCATGCCACTGCACTCCAGCCTGGGCGACACAGTGAGACTCTGTCATAAAATAAAATAAAATAAAATAAAACGAAAAATAAAAACATAAAGACCATTCTTAGCTCATAGGCTATAGAAACCCAATGAGCTGGGTTCAGCTATAGTTTGCTGACCCCAGTCTAAATCATCTCCCAGAGGTCCCAGTGAGCTGGAGCCCTGCTTGCCCGCAGCGGTAATCTGGAGTGATTGGCTCCTTCCCTTCCCTGGTTTACTTTGCCTACTCTTCTGGGGTCACCTTCTAAATAAGCTATTTGCACTCAAAGCCCTCTCAGAGTCTGGTTCTGTTCTTAGACCTCTTCCTAGACTGGTAAATTTGATTTTCTGTTTCTCCATCCCCCAAAGTTACAAACCAGGGACATCTAGAGCAGGGCAATTCTATCAGCAGCTCCTGGAGCCTGGCCCTCCTGAGTTCGCCTGCTCCACCTCCTGGCTACCCCACCCTGGATTGTCACATTAAGCCAGCTTCCAAAGCTCTTGGCTTTATGTCCCATTTCCTGAGGACACTTCAGTGAACAAGACCGTCCTTGTCTCATAGCTTTGTGCTTTCATTCTACTGGGGTTGGGGGAGGGTAAGCCACAATTGTAGTGCAGTGTGATAGCCAGGAAGGATGGCAGGCTGTGCCAGGGGAGTCAGGGGGATTCGCATCTCAGCTCGTCCTTGTGATGAAGAGGAGAACTTGCCCAAGCCTTGTTTCCTCATCTGAAGAGGAGAGAATGAATCTGAGCTCAATCCTTATGAGGTGGGGGTGAGGAAATGAAATACACATCCAGTGCCAGCCATGCATTGTATTGCGGGGCACACAGTAGGCAATCAGTGAGCAGAGGTGACCACTGTCATTAATAGACAAGTACTCGAGGAGCCACAATGGGAGGGTCAGTGAGGGCCAGTGTCATCGTGGGAGAGGTGGCAGTGTGTGGGCAGGCCCCTGAGGAGTGGCAGGATATGGGTGAGGGGCTGGGGGAAAGGAGCACCTCACACAGGAGGACAGCACGAGCAAAGGCATCGCCATGAACCCAACAGAAGGAACTTGGGTAACTAATCCAGCTTTTATCTTGCCAACACAGGCCAAAGAAGGTGGCTCAGAAGCACCTGAGGTATGCTTATCTTTATTATTTTTTTGAGTCAGGATCTCACTCTGTTGCCCAGGCCAGAGTGCAGTGGCATGACTATAGCTTACCACAGCCTCCAACTCCTGGCCTCAAGCGATCCTCCCGCCTTGGCCTCCCAAAATGTTGGAACTGCAGGTATGAGCCACCATGCCTGGCCAAGGTAACACTTACTGAGCATCTGTTGAGACCCTATGGAGATGCAGGCCATGTTCTAAGTGCTCCGTGGGTCATCTCAGTCACCCTTACAACAGTTAGGTAGGAATTTCTATTACCTACATTTTATAAGGAAGAGACCAAGGCTCCAGAGAGGTTATGCTGCCAGTATGGAGATTCCAATCATGCAGAACCTCTTTTCCTACCCAGTGTGCCAGGGTGATTCTGTAGCACGTAGAATAGAGACTGAGCTAGACTTGGAGTTCAGAGAAGCCATTCTGAAGGAAGTAACATCTATGATGAGATCTGCAGAATGAGCAGAAATCATCCCTGGGAAGGCAGACAGAAAGCATTCCAGGCACTAGCGTGTCCTGGGGTTCAACGGCAGGCTGGGAGGCTCTGGCAGTAGTGCGGTCTGGCTGCAGCATATAGAGAGTCAGAGAAGCAAGCTGGGGGATGAGAGATGAATTCACAGGCAGGAGACCAACCCAGGAAGAGCCCTAGAAAGGACATTAAGGCATCTGGAGTTTATCCCAAGGCAAAGGGAAGAGTTCTGAGGAATAAATAAATAAAGATTTCTTTCAGTTTAGATTTTCTTTTTTAGACGGAGTTTCACTCTTGTCACCCAGGCTGGAGTGCAGTGATGAGATCTCAGCTCACTATAACCTCCATCTCCTGGGTTTAAGCGATTCTCCTGCCTCAGCCTCCCGAGTAGCTGGGATGACAGGCGTGCACCACTATGCCCAGCTAGTTTTGTATTTTTAGTAGGGACGGAGTTTCACCATGTTGGCCAGGCTGGTCTCGAACTCCCGACCTCAGATGATCCACCTGCCTCAGCCTCCCAAAGTTCTGTGATTACAGGTGTGAGCCACCATGCCTGGCCCCATATAGATTTTAAGACAGCTCTCTGGTTAGTGTGCAGGATGGACTGGAAAGGGGCAGAGCTGGAGAAAGGAATGCCAATTAGAAGGCTGCTTCAGTTCTCCAGTAACCCAAAATGCACAGGTCCTGGACGTGCTGGTGCTATTCCTTGGAGAGAAGGCATGCCTAATGATCACAATTTTTGTTGTAAGACAAACTTCTGGGCTTTGGAGGGCATGGTGGTGGTTGGGGAACAATCATATAATTACTAGAGGTCAGGGACTCTGCCTCATTTATCTCTTCTGTCATGGACAGCCAAGCTGGGCTCCTTCCTGGCATCTCTCATCCATGAGTGCTCTTCAACTACCAACACCATTGAGCTCATCTTCTCAACTGGGATTTCAAATGAGTCTTCTGACAAGCTCAAGTATACGTCTTCTGAGAAATCTGTGTATATGTCTTCTGGCAAAGTCTCATCTGTGGCTACAAGGCATTGTTCAATGATGACATTTTCAACCCACAGATCCTCAGTCCCATAAAGGGGGTCTCTGGCCATGGAGGGATCCAGACTGGTCACTCTGACATGGCACGGGAGTCTTCTGACTTCACACAGCTCCTGCAGGAGCCCTGGCCCAGCATCATCAACCAGTTCCCGGAAGTCTCCTTCTGCAAACAGGAGAAGCTGGACTATGGTTTTGGCGATAATGTTCTGGCACGTTAGGACTTCAACACTGTGTAGCTCACCTTGAATTTTGGCAGAAACCACACCCTTCTTCAGAGCAAGGAAACACTCACTGGCTGTGAATGATGCAAATGGCTTCACGTGGGAAGTGTAGTCTCTGGAGGACTGGAAGTAGAGCTGTCCACTTGGCATAGCCACAGTAATGTCAGAAACTGAGTTAAAATACAGACCTCTCCCGAGGACCCTGCCCTGATAGGCATATGTGATGAGGAAATGCTGCCTCTTCTTTCCTTAGGAAATCTCTGTGGCAAGGAACTTTATCACTCTGTTCATCCCAAGGATGGTTAAGAGCTGCCTGCACTTGAACAGAAAGGGCTTGCTTGTGCCTGTTTTAGTCTCTGTAAGGACCACACTCATTATTTTGATTCTCAGCGGGAATTTGCTTTTTTCCATACTGTATATTTGTCTCATTGTCACTGTTTTAATGGGCAGACTTCCTAGGCCTGTAATATCAGTGACATGTATGTCTAGGTAGGAGGGGATGGCAACCTGGATTGCACCTGGGGAAGTGAGGAGGGAGATGATTAGTAGGAGGTCTGAAGGTGCAAAGGAAGACAGCAGAACCCAGGTGATATGGTTTGCCTGTGTCCCCCCGCCAAATCTCATCTTGAATTGTAGCTCCCATCATTCTCACTTGTCCTAGGAGGGACCCAGTGGGAGGTAATTGAATCATGGAGTGGGTCTTTCACATGCTGTTCTCATGATGGTGAATAAGTCTCATGAGAGCTGATGGTTTTATAAATGGCAGTTCCGCTGCACATGATCTCTCTTGCCTGCTGCCATGGAAGCCATGACTTTGCTCCTTCTTTGCCTTCAGTCATGATTATGAGGCCTCCCCAGCCATATGGAACTATGAGTCCATTAAACCTCTTTCCTTTATAAATTACCCAGTCTCAGGTATATCTTTATTAGCGGCATGAGAACTGACTAATACACCAGGTGACCAATGGGAGCTTTTCACAGAGGGACAGAGCTAACTGCAGCAATTTGGTCAGGATTATGTACTCTGTCCTCACTCTCCTCCAACCTCTGACCTGTGGGAAGCCCCCTTTCTCATCTGAACTGAATCTGTAGCCAGACAGCAAGGGAGGTGAGTTGATGCCAGCCTCACAGGTCAGCTTCAGCCTCTGGGGCAGAGCACAGGGCAGAATGGAGAAGGGGCAAATGAGGGCTTGGACACATGGAGGGTCCCGTAGAGAGGGGTTAAGTGATTTGCTTGAGGCTGAGATAGGAAGGAACAGATGTGGGAAGACAACTAAGGTTTTTACACTTGTTTAAGTGCTCTCTCCACACCGCCATGTGGGGGCATGAGAAAGCTCATCAGAGTGCAAGTGTGGTGGCAGAGCCCTCTCTTGCTTAAATTCCCTATGAAGATGAAAGTGACAATGCACTGCTACTCAGGCAATGGTTTTCAGAACATCTCAACGTGGTCATTTAAGCCTCAACATTCTAAATGGAAAATAGCCATAAACAAGTGATGAGAGAACCAACATTTATACAGCACAATGAGCTGGCAGCTGGCCCATCATCTCTTCATCTTTCCTTTCAAGGTTACCAATCAAAAATTAAAAATTTAAAATGATTATGAGGAAGCTTAAGTGTATATGTCATTTTTATGGCCAGTGGAAGCAATAATTCTCTCTGAGCTGGGCTTACGTCTGAAGGCTACAGACTGACATGGACCCTTAAGTCTTCCTGTGCATATAAGGATATAACGGGATCAAGGTCAGCTGCTGCAACTGAGACCTCACTTTCACTGGGGAGGAGGACTTACCCTAAAGTAAAATATTGCGAGTCTGACTATATTTGATTGATTCCTGAAAACTGAAATTGAGGCCCCATTCTTTTTAAGGGATACCTATATATAAACATGCACTACAAATGACCTGTGGAATTGTTGTACCCAGATCAAGAATGCTCATTGCCAATGGTTTTAGGAGTATCTGGACATGGTCATTGAAACTCCTGGAGAAAGTAAGAAGTTGAGAAGAGAGAATTTCCTTAATAAAACTCAGAGTATCAACTTAGACATACATTTCATTTAAGCAAAATATGGGGCCAGGTGCAGTGGGTCACACCTGTAATCCTACCACTTTGGGAGGCGGAGACTGGAGGATCACTTGAGCCCACTAGTTGGAGACCAGCCTGGGCAACATAGCAAGACCCTGTCACTGCCATGTTACAAAAAATAAAAATAAAATTAGCCGGATGTGGTGGCACACGCCTGTAGTCCCAGCTATTTGAGAGGCTGAGGTGGGAGGATTGCTTTAGGCCAGGACTTCGAGGCTGCTGTGAACTATGATCATGCCACTGCACTCCAGCCTGGGTGACAGACAGAGTGAGACCCTGTCTCAAAACAAAACAAAACGACAAGTAAACAAGAAAACTATGGGAAGCCATGAAACAGATATGGGCTGTTGCAGATTGGATCCAGGATTCCTGGGAGGTGACTGAGCCACTGAAACAACAACATGCAATGCCAGGTTGAAGGGGTAAACTAAGGAATGAAGACCAGTCTGTGGAGACCAAAGTCTCCAGGGCAGGAAGTGGGGCCCATGAGATCTGGTGATTAGATCTGCCACTTCCTAGCCATGACACCGCACGCATGTTTTCTAACTAATCTAGGCTTTGTTCTTATTTGTAAAATGAGAATAATAATCACTTTGCTTATCTCACTATTAGTTGTAAAGATCCAGTGAGATCATGGATGTGAGAGTGCGATGCAAATCGTTTTGGGCTCACAAAACTAAGGTATTATTTTTGTTCAACTGAAAATATCTTCCTCAGAAAGTGTAGAAACGTACACTACAAATCCAAAATCCCTCAATGCCCAAGTGTTTACTAGCATGAGTGCAGTTCCAGGGCTGCCCTCAAATTAAAGGTTTCTTGTGATCTTATGTGATTTAGGAACATTTTGAGCAGTTAATGCACAATGTTTCTGAAATCTAAAGTAAGCAGAGGCTTATTGTCTATTAATGACAGTCTCTGGGGGCTAGGACAGATGCCCCCACTCCAGTTCCAGATGATGAAGGACTCCAGAGCCAGAATACCCTAGCAAGGCTGTTTGCATCCCAAAGAGGTAAGGCCAAGATACCTGGAAAGAAATCTAGATCCATCTGTTGGTCCAGAGTGAGGACTTGGGCTGGAGGAGACAGCAGTCTTCACAGTGGATGTGGCTAAGCAGGGTAAGCCCCTGGTGTGGCTCCAGTCTGGTGAACCTTGGGTACCCAGCCTTCTGCCACCTTTCCGGCTACGCCTGCCCTGCTTCCTGGGCCAATGTCCCAGCCAGTGGGTTGTTCTAAAAATTATATTCCTGATCCAGCCTTGACTGGGGACTGAGAGCCACATAGCTCCCTCCCTCACCAGACAGACTCTGCCTGAAGTCTACACATGCCTAGCCTTCCTAAAGGCCACCCACAGTGGACCTTGCTCTTTTTGCTCTTTTAGTCTCATTTTTTTTTTTTTTTTGAGACAGAGTCTCACTCTGTCTCCCAGGCTGGAGTGCAGTGGTGCAATCTCAGTTCATTGCAACCTCCACCTCCCAGGTTCAAGCAATTCTCCTGCCTCAGCCTCCCAAGTAGCTGAGATCAAAGGTGCATGCCACCATGCCCAGCTAATTTTTGTATTTTTAGTAGAGACGGGGTTCCCCCATGTTGGCCAGGATGGTCTCGATCTCTTGACCTCGTGATCTGCCCACCTCAGCCTCCCAAACTGTTGGGATTATAGGCGTGAGCCATCGCACCCAGCTGAAACTCATCTTTAATGTGAGGAATAGCAGCTCTCTCACACAAAAGCTGTCCCAGAGATCAGCTTATGGAAAGGTTCAGGTCTGACTCTTCCCATCCCTTCTTGTAGCCTTTCCTTCCCATTTTTACTTCCAGACACTGACTGGCCCACCCTGTTCATCCACATGTGTGCTTTGCCCTCCCATGTAGGAAACTCAACATGAATTGGAGGCTTGAGTGTTTGGAGGGAGGGCGCTGGGGTGGGCTGGGGCACAGCTTTGCACCTGCCGCCTCCCACCAGGGATTGTACAACAACCACAGCCCAAGGTGTGTGGGCAGGGCCAGGAGGCTACCTTTGACCAGAGGAGGCTCAGCTAACATCCTGGGAGAACAGAGTCTCTCCTGCAAGTGAGTTTTGTGGATTTTAAGGTTTTAGGTGGCACTCTTGCATATCATGCCCTTAATTTAACAGAAGACTTAAAAGGCTGATTCAATGCAAGAGTATGCTTTGTCGTTAATGTCATTAATCCAGCATCATATTTTCATGAATATTATTCATTCTTCTTAGTACCAATTGTTGCAGCCCATATGACCTAAGTGTCTGAAGCAGGAGCACAAACAAAAGAAGAAACTGTTCATCGAGATTTGATTAGGAGGAAGAAATGAAACCCAATTTTTTTTTTTTTGAGATGGAGTCTCGCTCTTGTCGCCCAGACTGGAGTGCAATGGTGCAATCTCAGCTCACTGCAACCTCCGTCTCCTGGGTTCAAGTGATTCTCCTGCCTCAGTCTCCTGAGTAGCTGGGATTACAGGCTCATGCCACCACGCCGGCTAAGTTTTTGTATTTTTAGTAAAGACAGGGTTTCACCATGTTGCCCAGGGTGGTCTTAAACTCCTGACCTCAAGTGATCCATCTGCCTTGGCCTCCTAAAATGCTGGAATTACATACGTGAGCCACCACGCCTGGCCTGAAACCCAATTTTGGATTTGCATGTCCCTGCTCAGAGACATGCTTCTGCAGTCAACAACGCATGCAAAGCACCTGGACGGAGGTGGGTGATTCACTCCTCACCCTGCAGCCTGCTGGGAACGACAGTGCCATTGACTAATTACCTCTACTGCTCTCATCATTGTTGTCATCATTATTCAGAAGATGGAGGAGCATGAGAAGGACAAATGGACATAAGCTATTGAGACGTGATGGAGTGAGGATTTGGGGATGCTCAGTATTATAGTCTGAATACAGCCAATTAGCAAAGACATAACAGGGCAAATCAAAGCAAGGTTTCTACTGGAAACTCTAATAATGAAAATATGAATACTCTTGCCCTGTCATGAAGCTGAATTAGTTTTTTTTTTTAAATAAACATTGCCTCCTGAAAGAGATCTTCTGGCAAGCTAAATACTACATCTGCTATAAATTTACACCTCATATAGTATAACATTTCTTTTCTGCAAAGGAAAATAAAATGATTCAGTCCATGAGTAGATAGAAAAATGAATCGGAGTTTGGCATTCACGTGAACTACACAGTCATAAAATTAATGTGTGGTAAGAGCCTGGCCTTTATGACAGCATATAAGAAAATGCACCAATAATAAATTTGCTCGAAGGATAAGCTTTTTTTTTTCTGCCTGCAGCCCTTCGGGTTGTCACCTTGAAATGAATATTTATTAAGGGAATAAAATTAAAGCATTTTAAGTCTACTAAAGGAATGTGTTTAAGTATATATAATGACAAAAATATAATAATAAATGATGAGATGGACTGAATTTTTAAAATAATAGAATAAATCATATTTTTCAGGAAGAATGTGTTAGGAATATGCTTTTGGCATCTAATCATTCTTCATAAATCAAGATGTGAAGTCAGTGAAGTAAGAGATGAACAATTTCTGGAAATGGAATCTCCACAGCTACTTCTGGACAACCTCAGCCCATTCATCTACAAACCTCCGTGCCCGGCACGTTGTCCAGGCTGGACCCCCAGCCGGATGGTGTATTAGGAGTTCCTTTACATGCCTGCTGGGGGCGACATCCTTTCTCACATTTGTAACAGTGAAACAGCAAAAGAATGAACATGACTAACTCCATTTTTGTTTGAGTGGTCCTTATCTATGTTTAGATACCCATTCCTGCATGTGGGCTAGAATAATTTTAGAGCACTGGGATGAAACACTACAATGGGAGTCATACAGTTTTTGAAATGAACTCTGGGATTAAAAAGGAGTATTTGAGCAACCGACCATATTTTGTTAAAGATTTATAGGAGGAAGGAGCATTGTGACCTGACCAGGGACAAAGAAATTCCCAACTTCCTTGGACCCTTGCTGGCACCCAGCTGTCTATAGTCATAGGTTATGTGTTGATCCCAACACCCTCCTCTTCCCCCTGCCCTTAACATAAAAAGAGCCTGAAATTTGTACCGACTTGTGATGGTCTTTGTGACACTAGTCCACCATCTCCCCAGGTTGCCGGCTCTCGGATACACCTGCTTTTCCTTCCACCAAGTCTTGTCTCTCCAGTTTGGCTTTTGAGTGGTGAGCAGCTGAACCTGAGTTGAGTTACACATTGATGGTGAGACAGCTCCAAACCACTTCCCCTTACTCACCTGGCCAAAGTGCCATCACCGAGAAATAGGGTTACAAAACCAGAGGACCAGCAAAGTTCTCTGGAATCAGGGCACCAAGACTCCTCAGGCAATTCCCCACCACCGCCCTGACATGCATTTCCTCCCTGCAAGCAGGTTCCACTTCACATGCTGTAGATGGAGTAGAGCAAACCATCCTGGCACTCCAGGAACCGGCCGTGGTCGACCATGGGGAGGAGAAGCTTAGGGGCGGGTCTTCTTTCCCAGGACTTTGCGTCTTAGGAGCCTCTTCCCTCGACTCTCTTCAATGCCAATTGAAGACAATTTTTCTCCTTTCTTGAGCACTATGGGTAACTCTGCTGTGAAGATGGGGACCAAGTTCTGGAAGAAGGAAGGGCTTCTGTGGGTTGTGGGACCCTGGGCAACTTGGACCAAGTAGACCAAATTGGCCACAGTTTCAAACGGAACTGGATCTGCAATCACCTTTCCAGCAGAGAAAACAACAGGAACAAAATGTCCAAGTCCATCAGTAGGAACACAAACATCCATCAGTAGGAACACAGGAAGAATTGTGACTCCAGGCCAAATTCCACGCCCTTTACAAGAACAGTCCTGCTTCCATAATGACATTTCTATCAAGACTGACCCTGTGATAGTGGTCCTATAAGATTCTAATTTTCACTGTACCTTTTCTATGTTTAGATACATGTATAGTTACCACTGTGTTATAGTTGCCTGCAGTATTCAGCATGGTCATATGCTGTGCAGCTGTGCAGCCTAGGAGCAATGGGCCATACCACACAGCCTGGGTGTGCAGTAGGCTCTACCAGCTCGGTTTGTGCAAATCACTCTATGATGTTAGCACAGTGCTGGAATCACCTAACAATGCATTTCTCAGGCTGTATCCCAGTCGTTAAGTGATGCATGACTATACATGTTTCTTATTTTATTTTCTTATTTTATTTCATTTTTGAGACGGAGTTTTGCTCTTGTTGCCCAGGCTGGAGTGCAATGGTGCGATCTCAGCTCACTGCAACCTCCGCCTCCCAGGTTCAAGTGATTTTCCTGCCTCAGCCTCCCGAATAGCTGGGATTACAGGCATGCGCCACCATGCCCAGCTAATTTTGTATTTTTAGTAGAGACAGGGTTGCTCCATGTTGGTCAGGCTGGTCTCGAACTCCCGACCTCAGGTGATCCACCCACCTTGGCCTCCCAAAGTGCTGGGATTACAGGCATGAGCCACCGTGCCCAGCCTGTTATTTTTTAAATACAACTCTTCCCTCACCTGCTGAATTCCAAACAGCCACTGGGACCCACTGTCTCCCTCAGAGTCATCCCTTCTCCCCTTCCCAACCCACACCCTAAGTCAGGCCTCAGCATCTCTCCCATTTGCACAAAATGGTCTCTATGTCTTCAGTCTCTTCCCCTTCCCAGAGACTTCCCTGAATCGCACGTCATTCCTGTGTTCAACCCCCATAGTGGTCTCCATCACCCACTAGCCTCTTGTCCCTCAGCCCATGTCCTGCAGGCCCCTCTCCCACCCCCTCCCAGCACCTGGCCCAGTGCAGGCCACAGCTCAGTGCACCCCTGAGCAGGTCTCTGTCCCCTCCTCTCCCAGGCTGAGCACACTCTGCCCTGTCCTCCGACTGTCAGAAATCTCTGGCCTGACAGGCACTGTCCCTCCGGGAGGACTTCTCTGGGCTCGTCCATCATTCTCTCAACCTGCATCTAGCTCACGTCAATGAGGCCTTCATTATCTCCAGGATCACAGTTTCCTAACTCAAATCTGTGGTCCTAAGTGTTTCACGTGCTGTCCTGGAGGGTTTGAGGGATGCCAGTGCCCCTGACTGCAGCACTGGTGGGTTTATCTGCCAACCGTGGCAGGTGCTCCAGATGGCAGGGTGACAGCACCCAGCAAGATCAGGGCACAGCAGGTGCTCGTGAAAAGTTTGCTGTCCTTGAGGGGAACACACCAGCTTGCAGGCACACAAGAGTACAAAGCAACATCTCTAAGGCCTGGAAACTAGCTGCCCTCCTCGTAATTGACCCCAGGCAGCAATTTTTGTCACCCAGCACGAACCTGATCATTCATTTTAACCTTCTACTGTTGCCTGTTGTCCTTGATAATCAAATTATTCTCCTATAATGGGCACCTGCTCGTTGCTGGAACCCTTTCCTCTTCCTTCCTGACATCAGTATCTCAAATTTCTGTGTGTTTTGCTTTATGTTGGTATTTTAAACCACCCCTTCTCCTTTCTCAGTTGGGGTTTGGGTGGGACTGACCCCCCCTTAAGGTCCAGAGGCCAGTTAGCATATCCTCTCCCCTACAACAGGGAGGGGCCCTGAGCCACGGTCACTCACGCAGGGGTGGGCCCACATCTCAGCTTGTCTGTTCATAGCCTCAGGCCTGCTCTGGGAATCCTGACACCTACATACTCTCATTCCCGGGCTCAGTGGTGTGAGGACAGGAGGCACAGAATCACTGTCACCACAGGGAGCACTGGGAACTGCACTGGAGGTTCTCTGAAAAACCTGAGAAGGAGGATGTGGAGCTCAGACATGGATCCTGCAGGAACTGAGTCCTAGATCAAGCTATGCCTGAAATCAGGATTTATCCCTGGAATCTTCAGTTATGTAAATAAAACCCGTCATTGCAGGCCAAAGCCAGTTAGACCAGGCTGGCCAATCAGGGTGGTCCATTCCTATGGCCCTTTCAGTGCATTTGCTGGGATTTCGGATTTCAATTACAGGGATGGTTCACTAACATCACATATGCTACAGCTGCTCATGACCTCCCCTAGATGCATACAGGAAGTTATATACAGTAGCAGGGAAAGAGGCCAGTGGGTAAGAGGAGACCTAAAAGCAGAGCCAAGACACTGAGAGAGAATAAAAGACACAGACAAGGAGGGCATTAGTCTGTTAAAGCTGCTGTAACAAAAATACCATATAAACAGCAGAAACTTATTTCTCACAGCTCTGGAGGCTGGGGAGTCCAAGATCCAGGTGCCAACAGATGTGGTGTCTGGTGAGGGTGCATGTCCTGGTTTGTAGTTTGCTGTCCTTTCTCTATAACTTCGCTGGGTGAAAGGGACAAGGGACCGTTCTGGGGCCTCTTTTATAAGGGCACCAATCACATTTATGAGGACTTCACCCTCATGACCTCATCACCTCCCAAAAGCCCCACTTCCTAACACTATCACCTGGGGACTAAGATTTCAACATGTGAGTTTTGGGAGGACATAGACATTTAGAAAACAGCTGGGGAGGAGGAAGGAAAAAAGGAGAGAGGAAAAGAGAAGCAATTGACATATAGCCTCTAGATCTAGTAAAAACTTCCACATTCCTCCTCAACATTTTGGTAAAAAAGTCAGTGAATTCCCCTTTTGATCCAAGTTATTTTAAACTGGTTTTCTGTCACCTGCAACTGAGTTTTTACTAATAAATATGCCTCTCATCTCACTTAAGGCAGACAAGTCCAGAACTGGCATCTACTCGTATTTCAGTCTCTGGCTGTGTCTGACACATTGTCAGTGAGCAATAAATATTCAGTAACAGCAGCAACTGTTGTTTAATTATATGCCAAGTCACATGACTGAAACAACTGAATATTTGAGAGTTTTTGTTTTAAAAAACTATTTCTAGGGGGATAATAAGAATACCTGGCAACTTTATTTTACTATTTGATTTTCACAGGTAGGCTCTTTTTTGGTTTGATCTTTAAAAAGCAATAAGCAGTGTTTCTGCCACCAAAAGCACAGACAACAAAAGAAAAGAGAGATAAATTGGGCTTCAACAAAATTAAAAACTTTTGTGCATCAAAGAACACTATCAAGAAAGTGAAACGATAACCCACAGAATGGGAGAAAATATTTGCAAATCATCTATCTGATAAGGAATTAAGATCTAGAATATACAAAGAACTCCTACAACTTAACAAATTAAGATCTAGAATATATAAAGAAACTCCTACAACTCAACAACAACAAAATAGTCTTACTAGAAAATGGGCAAAATATTTGATGTTCAACTTGTAAGTGTAATGCAAATATTCCAAAATCCGAAACAAATCCAAAATCCAAAACACTTTTTGTCCCAAGCATTTCAGATAAGGGATGATCAACCTGTATATACATACAATGGAATATTACTCATCCTTAAAAAGGATTAAAATTCTTTTTTTGTGTTTTTGAGACTCACTGTTTCCCAGGCTGGAGTGCGGTGGTGTGATCATGGCTCATTGCAGCCTCAACCTCCCCAGGCTTAGGTGATTCTCCCACCTCAGCCTTCTGAGTAGCAGGGACTACAGGTGCATGCCATCATGTCCGGCTAATTGTATTTTTTGTAGAGATGAGGTTCTCACCATGTTGCCCAGCCTGGTCTTGAACTCCTGGGCTTAAGCAATCTGCCCACCTCGGCCTCCCAAAGTACTGGGATTATAGGCGTGAGCCACTGCGCCTGGCCTAACTCTGATGCATGCTGCAATAAAGATGAAGCTTGAGGACACTATGCTAAATGAAATAATCCAGTCATAAAAGGACAAATCGTGTGATTGCACTTGCATGAGTACCTAGAACAGTCAAATTCAAAGAGACAGAAAGTGGCCAAGTGGCTACCAGGAGCACAGGAGAGGGGGAATTACTGTTTAATGGATACGGGGTTTCTGTTTGGGGTGATGAAAAAGTTCTGGAGATGAACAATGGTGAAGATTGCACAACAATGTGAATGTATTTAATGCCACTGAATTGCACACTTAAAAATGGCTAAAATGGGCCGGGCACGGTGGCTCATGCCTGTAATCCCAGCACTTTGGGAGGCTGAGGTGGGTGGATCACGAGGTCAGGTGATCAAGACCATCCTGGCTAACACAGTGAAACCCCATTTCTACTAAAAATATAAAAACAAAATTAGCCAGGTGTGGTGGCGGGCACCTGTAGTCCCAGCTACTCAGGAAGCTGAGGTGGGAGAATGGCGTGAACCTGGGAGGTTGAGGTTGCAGTGAGCCGAGATCACGCCACTGCACTCCAGCCTGGGTGACAAAGTGAGACTCCGTCTCAAAAAAAAAAAAAAAAAAGGCTAAAATGGCAAGTTTGATTTTATGTATATCTTACCATCCCCTCAAAAAAGCAATGTTTCTCAAGGCATATCTATAGAGACAGATAAGATTAGTGGCTGCCTAGGGTAGGGGGTGGGGGCAGGGGTTAACAGTAGATGGGCACAGGGATTTCAGGCGGGCAATGAAAATGTCCTAAAACTGATTTAGAGTAATGATTGTACAACTCGGTAAATTTTCTAAAAATCATTGAATTCTACACTTGAAATGAGTGAATTATATGATATGTAAAATATCTTTCAATAAAGTTATAAAAAACCCAGCAATATTTCTAGAAACATTTCTCAAAGGAATCCTAGTTCTGCAATGTGTTAATAGGAGTTCCTGAATAAGGGAGCCGAACAGTCAGGGGTGTTTGAGAAACACTGTAGGTATAGCCCGTGGAGAGATTGACAAGGCATAGAACACTGAGGCCTGAGAAGGCGTGCAGGAAAGAAACCGGCTCAGCCTGACCTGGCCTCGAATCCCCTGAGTGCCCTTAACAGGCATCCTTTTCTGCCCATGGCTCTTATTTACCTCCCTCTGATCCTGTGTCCGACAGAACACACTTTAGTGAATGCTAATCGAGAGTTTAGCAGGAATCACTTCACTTGGCAGGCAGCTGCATAGGATCATTTTAATTGCTCTGTCTGGGTTGCTGAAGTTGTTTACTTGGCATTGCCTGGGGTGTAACCAAAGGGAATGATTCGGCTCAGCAAGTGTGAAGCTTGCCTGAATGCTCTGCCAGATCCTGTCTATCTGCATCGCCAAAGCGATCAGTTTGGACGTCGACGAGGCACCAGACCCCCTCGACAGGGAGACAGGAAGGGGCACGGACTTAGCCCCGGGCTTCCCTGGGGAACCGCCTGGCCCCACCATTCATTTCTCCTTCAGTAACGTAGCTCTTACTAGGAAAAGACAAACTTTTCTTAGTTTTCTTGATGGAAGGATTGATCTAAGGTGAAATCTTAGATAGCAACTTCTAAAGGGTCTTGTGAAACTCACTGGATAGCACAGAGCATTTATTAAGCACCCACTGTATGCCAGGCACCACCCTAGCTGTGTCCTATGTGTGTCCCTATTGACTCACGTAATCCTCTCTGCCAGCCTCTGTGGCAGGTACTGTTCCACTGTTTTGTAGGCGGGAACGTGAGGTGCAGAGATTAACTCACGTGCTTGTCAGCTTAGGTCACACAGCAAAGCCTGGGTTCAAGTCCAAGTTTGGCCTTTTCATGGCTTGTGTTCTTCCCATGACACCACACGTTGAAAACCTGGTCAAAGACAGCTCAAGAGAATCATCGACAGTGGGAAACAAGGTGACAAAGGTTGTATCAACAGGGCATCATTTGGCAGAAAATCCTAGGCAATGATGTGTGAATAACATGAACACTCACACACCCCATTAGGCAATTAGGGCTGTGAACAGGGAGATGGTAGTGTGGGACACAAAAAGACAGGAGAAGGGCCGGAGAGTGCAAACCTTTAGCAGTAGTCAGGGAGTCCAGCCACATCTGAGCCAGGGCATGTCCCCTGGTGAGTCTGGAAGAAGCTGAGAGGCAACCACAGGCCCTCATCTCTCGGGCTCAGCAACTCCGAAGGCTATAATTCACAGAAGAACCAAGAATGCCCAGAAGGGAAAGTGGCACACACTGATGTCAGTGTGTAAACAGGCCAGCAGGGCTCACCAAGCCAGGGAGAGGGTGGGGTTTCCTGCTGTGTTTCCCTGGCCAGTTCAGTGGCCCTGCTGCCATGCAGAGGGTCATTAGCTACCTGCCCTCCCTCCAGGAGGCCAAGTTCAAAGTGATATCCGAGACCTGAGGCCAAATGCACCTTCCTGTCTCCCAGCAGGCCAAGGTAGCTGGGCTGAGAACCACAGCTGCGGCTGGCTGGACCCTGTACAGTCACCACCTGTTCTCAGAGCAGGTCCCTGGTGACAGCCCTAGATGGTCATGCCACTGTCATCATTTTGTGATGCTCTATAAATAATAAAGCCGCCAGCACCTCACACAATCCACCTCATTCAATGTACATGTCAAAACAGCTCTGATGTAGGTAGCATTGATCCCTTTTATGGAAGCAGAAACAGAACACACAGAGGTCAAGCAATGTGTCAGAGTCTCAGAGCTAACAGGTGTGCAACGAAACCCAGGCCTCTGCATGCAAAACCTGTGCTCTGAGTGACTTACAGACAGGGATAAACAAGACTATGCATTTTACTTTGTCAAAATGTTCATGTAAGATGGAAGTCCAGAGTGCCTAAGTCAGTTCTTATCCCTGTTTTGAGAACCGCCCATCTAGCTTCCTGCTTCTGCACTAGCTCTTACACCTGCCACATACTACTCACCCTGCATGAGGGTCAGCGGATCCCAGCAAGCTCGCTTGCCATACTCTGTGGGTGGGGCCACTTCTTCAGCCCCTCATCTGTCCAAAGCTCAGATGTAGTGCTTGGCACATAGTAACTGCTTAATAAATACTTGTTAAACATCATATGCTCTCAAAAAGCACCCAAACAGAGGAACCAGAAGAGAGAGGTAACTGTCACCAACTGTCACAATTTCTTGTCACTAGGTACCAGGAAGCTGAGTGGGCCCCCGAGTCCTGGGCTTGTCCAGTCTCATGAACCTTCCTCTCTCCCCTGTGTTCCTGTCTTCTGCAGGAGCTCCTGGGTGCTTCTGCCAGGACGTGGCTTTCCTACACAGCAACAGGCTATTGTGAAGGTCTTTAAAAATGTATATACATGTACAGCTGACCCTTGAACAACATGGATTTGAACTGTGTGGATCCACTTATACGTGGCTTTTTCCAGTAAAAGTTACACCGAGTGTGCCTGCCTCTCCTGCCTCCCTAACCACCTCCTCCACCTTTCCTATTTCTACCACTCCTGAGACAGCAGAACTAGCCCCTCCTCTTCCTCCACCTCTTCCTCCTCCTCCTCAGCCCACCCAATGTGAAGAAGAGGATGAAGCTGAGACCGAGACCTTTATGATGATCCACTTCCACTTAATGAATAGTAAATATATTTTTCTCTTCCTTATGATTTTCTTAATAATATCTCCAGCTTACTTTACTATAAGAATACAGTATATGATACCTACAACATACAAAACATGTATGGATCGAATGTTTATGTTATCAGCAAGGCTTCTGGTCAACACAGGCTCTCAGGAGCCAAGTTTTTGGGAAGTCAAGTTATATTCAGATTGACTGTGGGGGACAGGGTTGGCACCCCTGACTCCTGTGTTGTTCAAGGGCCAATTGTATAAAACAAGACAAATGGGATCTAATTAAACTAAAGAGCTTCTGCACAGCAAAAAAAAAAAACCTATCATCAGAGTGAACAGGCAACCTACAGAATGGGAGAAAATTTTTGCAATCTACCCATCTGACAAAGGGCTAATATCCAGATTCTACAAAGAACTCAAACAAATTTACAAGAAAAAAATAACCCCATCAAAAAGTGGGCAAAGGATATGAACAGACACTTCTCAAAGGAAGACATTTATGCAGCCAACAGACATATGAAAAAATGCTCATCATCGCTGGTCATCAGAGAAATGCAAATCAAAACCGCAATGAGATACGATCTCAAGCCAGTTAGAATGGCAATCATTAAAAAGTCAGGAAACGACAGATGCTGGAGAAGATGTGGAGAAACAGGAATGCTTTTACAATGTTGGTGGGAGTGTAAATTAGTTCAATCATTGTGGAAGACAGTGTGGCAATTCCTCAAGCATCTAGAACTAGAAATGCCATTTGACCCAGCCATCCTACTACTGGGTATATACCCAAAGGATTGTAAATCATGCTACTATAAAGACACATGCACACGTATGTTCATTGTGGCACTATTCACAATAGCAAAGACTTGGAACCAACCCAAATGTCCGTCAGTGATAAACTGGATTAAGAAAATGTGGCACATATACACCATGAAATACTATGCAGCCATAAAAAAGGATGAGTTCATATCCTTTGCAGGGACATGGATGAAGCTGGAAACCATCATTCTCAGCAAACTGTCTCAAGGACAGAAAAGCAAACACCGCATGTTCTCACTCACAGGTGGGAATTGAACAATGAGAACACATGGACACAGGGCGGGGAACATCACACACTGGGTCATGGGTCGGGGGAGTGGGGGGCTGGGGGAGTGATCGCATTAGGAAAAATACCTAATGTAGATGACAAGTTGATGGGTACAGCAAACCAACATGGCACATGTATACCTATGTAACAAACCTGCACGTTGTGCACATATACCCTAGAACTTAAAAGTCTAAAAAAAAAAAAAAAAAAAAACTGCATGTGCAAAACCTGTATCGCTGTCTTTTCCATACTGGAAGAGTAATACCTAATGTTCATTGTTTTAAAAAAGTCGGGGAAAGGCCAGGCACGGTGGCTCACGCTTGCAATCCTAGCACTTTGGGAAGCTGAGATGGGCAGATCACCTGAGGTCAGGAGTTCAAGACCAGCCTGACCAACAGGGTGTTACCCCATCTCTACTAAATATACACAAAAATTAGCTGGGCGCGGTGGCAGGTGTCACCTCAGCAGGAGGCTGAGACAGGAGAATCCCTTGAACCCAGGAGGCGGAGGTTGCAGTGAGCCGAGATTGCGCCACTGCACTGTAGCCTGGGAGACAAGAGTGAAACTCCATCTTGGGAAAAAAAAAAAAGTGGGGGAAAAAGATAAGTACAAATAAGAAAATGAATATTACCTGTAATGCCACCTCTGAACAATAAGGAAGGCTAACTTTGGCTTTATATTCTGAAGCAGTTTTTCTCAAGTATTTACATATAGTCACAAAAATGAGGTCATATTCTGTTTTATAGTCTTTTTTGAACCTATCTGCATAGCGAACATTTTTCTGTAATGTGGCATATTCTTCTACAACCAGGCTTTCTAACACCTGCCCATATTTCACCATGGTGGGTCTCTCCATTTTTGGATGTTTAGTTTGCTTTTACTTTTTTCACTATCATGGAAAAATTATTTAATAAACATTCTTGTAACAAAATCTACATGCACATTTGAATATTTTCAAATAATAATCAGATGAGAAATTCTTGGTTTAAAAAATTTTAAGTACAATTTTAAAACTTTTAAAGATTTATAAAAGTAACATACTCTCATTACATAAAATAGAGAAAAGATGTGAAAGTTGAAGAGTCACTATTACCCATAGTGACAGCTCTTTCAAAACAACCATGGATAATACTTTATTTTACTTTCTCTGAGTGTTTTGTCTATGCATTCAAAAAAGCATTATAATCAGTCACTTCCTACAATTTTGCGTTCGGTGGTTTTCACTCTACACTGTGTGGCAGGATAATTTGCGTTTCCCCTATTCTTTGTGTATTCCAACTCTCAACTTCAAAGATTTTCCCACAGGAAAACTGAGAGCTGCTTAAACAGTACGGATATTTAAATAAACGAACAATCCCTAACCCCAAACACTTTTGCATAGCTTCTGCTGAATGCTTCGAATACCAAGGAAGAGCCCAGGCCTTGGGCCTTGGCAGGAGAGCTGGAGCCCTGCCCAGCCTGAAGGACGCAGGGAGTATGGGGTGGGGGTGAGGAGGGAATCCCATCCTGCTCAGGGGCAACCCCTCGGGAGAGGATGTCACCGTGCGGAATGAGTTGGTCCGCCCAGGGCACACAGGGAGGCTGGAGACCAGCCAGGGGCCTTTCTGCCTCCTCTAGGCCCCCTCAGCCTCAGGCATCACAGAGAGACTGGAAAGCACTCGGGCCAGAAGGGACAGAGCTGGCTGGGACCCTGAGCATATTGGAAGGAAAAATTTATCCAAGAGACATTTCCTAGGGATGTGTGTCAGGACCACTGAAGGTACCGGGAATTCAGTGATAAACAAGGTGGATGAGGTCCCCCCTTCTCCTTGAGCTTATAATCTAGTGGAGCAGCGGGGAGGGATGGGGAATGAGTGCATGAAAAAGAAACCTAGCATGTGCTGAGTGTCCTGCCAAGAATCAAGATCAGGTGAAGCGATAGGTGTGACCTCCACAGAAATGACTCTCAGGCTGAAGAGCTGGCCATGAAATGACCCTGAGGGAAGCCATCCCAGGCAGGGGGCAGTTGGTAGAGGGCTCAGGCATGGCTGAGCTTGGAATGCTTACAGAACAAAATGGGGGCTCCTGCAGAGAGGGCAGGGAGAGGGGAGGGTGAGAGTCACGGCACCAGATCTAGGAGGGCTTCACCAGCTGGGATGGGAGGTGAGACGTGCCTCGGGTGACGGGTGACTGCAGGAGGGTTGTGGGCAGGAATACGATGTGTCCTGCCGGATTCTTCTAAAAGATCATCTGGATGCTCTTCGGAGGCTTTGGAGGAGTGGATGGAGCAAGATGGGCTTCAGGAAGGCCAGTTAGGGACCAGTCCAGGGCGGTAAAGGGGATGGGTAGGTTGGGACTCGGAGGATGAACAGACTGGCAGTGGGCTCAGGGGGCATGCACCTGCTGATCCTGGGTGTGAGGTGGGAGGCAGAGGAAGAGACAGCAATCCAGGAATGTGGCCTGAGTTTAGATTTAAGGGCTATATGGTGGGGACATAATTTACTGAACTGGAAAAAGGTGAGGGAGGAATAGATTATGCCTGGGATGAAATTTCCTGCTAGTCCAGGGAGACGAAGGCTGCATTTGGATTTCATTTCATTTAAGAACATAGGAAATGAATATTTCTGTCTTCCCCCCAAGTCTATGGATTGGTTCACTCCCCTGCAATTATAACACAAGCATGTTTATTACTGCCATTATCACTTAATATACTATTAAGTAACTAGAATCTGTTGAAGCAGTCTTGGCAATGAAACAAGGTGTAAATAATTCAATAATTTATCACTGAACATTCAGTTACAGAACAATTTGGTTGTCTTCCATTTTTTCACAATAAATAACCACTGAATTGAATATTTTTGTGTTTACTTCTTATGATTACCATAAGATACAGTTCCAGAAATGGAATTATTCAATTAAACTTCAGGATACAAACTCATATACATTGTAAAGTTGTTTCCAAAGCAACCTAAACCATTAACAGAGAACAGAGTACAAGTTTCATTCTTGCCAGTAATGAGTGTTCTTGTTTTTAAAATCCCTGTCGTGGGCTCTGCTTCTAAGGAACCATAATTAAAGTGTTCAATATCAGGAGTAGTTCTAAAAGTAGACTCTAGACATAGGGCTCTTGCATTGGGTCACCCACCAGCTTACCAATAGTGAGGACCCAGCACTGGTGGCAGGTGGAGCAGTCTGGGGTGCTATGGCCCCTGGCGTGCCAAGGCCACTGGGGTGCCACAGCCCCAAGTTCTCTGCAACTACATAAGATCACCCTTCCTCTAGTGGGCAATAATTCACTCCTTATTTCTGCTAGAGTCTTCACCAGAAGCACCTGTTACAGCCATCTTTCTACTAATAGCCTTTTCAAGAAAATCTAGGATGTGCTTCTGGCAGGTACTTCAGAGCTCTTCCAGCCTCTACCTATGACCCAGTTCCAAAGCCACATCCACATTTTTAGGTATTTGTTACAGTAGCAACCCACTTCCCAGTACCAAACTCCCAGCAGCAGCTGATAGCTAGCAGGAGACTGGGACCTCAGTCCTAAAACCCTAAGGTCCCAAATTCTGGCAACATCCAGGGAGCTTGGAAGAGGACCCCCTGTGCTAGGTGAGAACTCATCCTGCTGACACCTTGATTCTATCCTGGTGAGACCCTGAACAGAGAATCTAACCACACTGCACCCAGACTTCTGACCTGCGCAAACTGTCAGAAACTGTGAGATAAAAAATGTGCATTGTTTCAAGTTCTAGTGTGTGCTCATTTCTTATGCAGCAATAGAAAGAAAACTCAGACAAGCCAGGTGTGGTGGCTCATGCCTGTAATCCCAGCACTTTAGGAGGCTGAGGCAGGAGGATCACTTGAGCCCAGGAGCTTGAGACCAGCCTGGGCAACATAGCGAGACCCTGCCCCTAAAAAATATTTTAAAAAATTAACCAGGTATGGTGGTGTGCACCTGTAGTCCTAACTACTCAGGAGGCTGAGGTGGGAAGATTGCTCAAGCCCAGGAGTTTGAGGCTGCAGTGAGCTATGATGGCACCACTGCACTCCAGCCTCGGTGGCAGAGCAAGACCCTGTTCAAAAAAAAAAAGACAAGAAAACTGAGAAGGTGCTGCTGAGGAGGAAGTTGGCACTGCTGTGAGGCTCAGCACGGTTGTTTTCCTGCAGACCAGGGCTGACGGCAGGAAAGGCTGTTCAAGATCTGGCTCTCTGACAGCAGTGAGAGCACCAGGCAAAGGGCATCTGGAATGGGTGGTGGGATCCGGCAATGATGAGCATCAGTAGCAGCCTTGGGACCAATTGCTCCAGTTGGGCTGTAGCTTGCCCCTTAACTCGCATCTGGTGAGTTTTCCCAGAGTCTGGGAGCAGCCAGCATGCTACTGCTGGCAGGATGGGGACTCCTCAGGTGAGAAGCAGGAGGATCTGAGTGGGGTAAGGGGTGGCTTATAGCAGGTGCTATCATGCTCTGCCAATGCCCTGGGGGCCTTTTGACCAGCTTGCTTGGTGCGCCCATCTCCCGGCTGCTCTGGCTTCTGTGATTAATGGTTTGCACCTGTGACCTTCTCTAGAGGCTTGCCCCCAAACTTTCAAAACCACCTCTCTTGTTGCCCAGGCTGGAGTGCAGTGGGACCGTCATAGCTCACTGCAGTCTCAAACTCCTGGGCTAAAGTAGTCCTCCTGCCTCAGCTTCCCTAGTAGCTGGGACTACAGGCATGTGCCACCATGCTCAGCTAATTTTTAAAATGTTTTTTTGTAAAGACAAAGTCTCACTATATTGCCCAGGTTGGTCTCGAATTCCTGGGCTCAAGCAATCCCTTCACCTCTGCCTTCCAAAGTGCTGGGGTTACAGGCATGAGCCACTGTGCCTGGCCTCAAAGACACCTCTCTTCTACTGCCCTGACTTCTGCTCTAGCAGCCCATGGTCCAGGACCAAAAGGTGTAGGGATATAGATATCTCATTCACCTGCCTCAAGACTCTGTGCTAGAATTCACACTCCAGAGCAGGATAAAGCTGAAGCTAGACTTTATCCAAAACCCATGTTCTCATGTGGCTTCTTTCCCTCCCCTCCCTGGACTCCTTTACCATTTTCTCCTGAGAATACACTCTCGATATATCATAGGCTCTGCACCTAGAGAATCCAGGTTACAACAATGCCTCTTCCTCCTTTTCCTTTCCAAGTGTGAATGTTCTTAGGTGACAGCTTGCTCTCCAGCCTGGACCTCTCCCCTGAGTTCATGACTTACCCAGGCAGTTCCCTCCTGTGGCCCTGCGTGGGTATGGCCCTTCCTCTTGGGAACTGTGAATAATAAACTATCTTTTCAATGGCAGCTGTCTCCTGATTTGTTGGCCTCACCATACTTGAATAAAACCCAAATCTCGGGTACATTTTAAAACAATACATTAATTCATTGAGTTCTCACAGTGGCCCCATAAAAGAAAGCATGATGGTTTCCATCTTAATAAATGAGAGGACAAATAACCAACCCAAGGTCACAGAGATAGTAAATGCAAAGGCAGAATGAGAAGCCAAGTCCAGAGCTCCTATTTTCCAACAACCATTATTATGCATCTATAATACAAAGCTGCACTTAGTTAATTTGCTCTATGCGACTATTAAAAGTGTGTGTGTGTGTGTGTGTGTGTGTGTGTGTGTGTGTGTGTGTGTTTAAGACGGAGTCTCCCTCTGTTGCCAGGCTGGAGTGCAGTGGAACCATCTCGGCTCACTGCAACCTCTGCCTCCCGGGTTCAAGCGATTCCCCTGCCTCAGCCTCCCAAGTAGCTGGGACTACATGTGCACACCACCATGCCCAGCTAATTTTTGTATTTTTAAACAGAGACAGGGTTTCACCATGTTGGCCAGGATGTTCTCGATCTCTTGAACTCATGATTCACCCGCCTTGGCCTCCCAAAGTGCTGGGATTACAGGCATGGGCCACCACACCTGCCTTTAAAAGTGTTTTATGTATATTTGATAGCAGGACTTCAGAGGCAAGTAATTCACTTTCTCCAGCCCTATATTTTCAACTTAAAATTAATTCAACAGAGTAAGAATGAAAATGTCTTTTCTGCATCCATTGCCTATTACTGCTGTAACGAATTACCGCAAATCTAGTGGCTTAGAACAACACAAATGTATTAACTTACAGCTTTGAAGTCAGAAGTCAAAAATGGGTCTTATTGGGCTAAAATCAAGATGTTTTCAGGTGTGTGTCCTTTGTGGCGGCTCCAGGGAAGAATCCATTTCCTCACCTTTTCCAGTCTTTAGCGACCTCCAGCACCCTTTCACTTGTGGCCCCATCCTCCTCTTCAAAGCCAGCAATATATCCTCATCATCCCCTCTCCCTCTGACTCTGACCACTGCTTCTCTAGTCACATCTTCTTGCACTCTAACCCTCCTGCCTTCCTCTCATAAGGACCCCTAAGATTACATAACTCCCCATCTCAAGATCCTTACTTCAATCATGTTTCTTTTGCCACATAAAGTAACATATTCACAGGTTCTGGGGATTAGGACATGGATATCTTAGGAGATCATTATTCTGCCTACCACACATTCCAAGAAAACTTTGTTTGAAATCCAAAATGCTTTCTTAAACCAAAATTTACTCATCATAATTTCCCTACTTCTTTTCCATTTTAATTTCACTCCTTAGAAGTAATTTCAGTAATTTCCTATGTGTATCCAAACATAATTGATTTATTTCTCTATTTCTACCAATTAACAGCGTATGATACCCAATATTCTTTTACTTAAAAAAAAAAAATTGGCCGAGCATGGTGGCTCACGCCTGTAATCCCAGCACTTTGGGAAGCTGAAGTGGGCAGATCACTTGAGATCAGGAGTTTGAGACCAGCCTGGGCAACATGATGAGACCCCTATCTTCACTAAAAATACAAAAAATAGCCAGGTGTGGTGTCACACACCTGTGGTCACAGATACTTGGGAGGTTGAGGCAGGAGAATCTCTTGAACCCAGGAGGCGGAGGTTGCAGTGAGCTGAGATCGTGCCACTGCACTTCAACCTGGGTGACAGAGAGAGAGACTGTGCTCAAAAAAAAAAATTAATATATGATATAGTTTGGATATTTGTCCCCTCCAAATTTCATGTTGAAATCTGATCCCCAGTGTTGGAGGTGGGGCCTAGTGGGAGGTGTCTGGGTCATAGGGGTGGATCCCTCATGAATGGCTTGGTGCCATCACCACGGTAATGAGTTAGTTCTCACTCTGTTAGTTTATGCAGGACCTGGGTGTTTAAAGGAATGTGGGACCCCTCCCCTCTCTCTCTTCTTTCCTCCCTCTCTCACCATGTGATGCCTGTTCCACTCCCTCTCACCATGATTGGAAGCTTCCTGAGGTCCTCACCAGAAGCAGATGCTGGTGCCATGCTTCCAGTACAGCCTGCAGAATCGTGAACCAAATAAACCTCTTTTCTTTATAAGTTACCCAGCCCCAGGTATTTCTTTATAGCAGCACAAATGGACTAAGACAATACAGCTGAGATTTTTCCATGTCACCATATATAGATTATCTTGTTCTATTCGATGGTATACAAGCTTCCATTTAATGGATACACCATGAATATATTTAATCAACTCCTTATGGATATTGAGGTTGTGTGATGGGCACTATTTGTTGCCTTCCTAACATCATCTGTTCCCTCTTTCCATTCTAAGTTTGTTCAATTATTTATCCCTTCCCGCAGCTCCAGAAGAGAAGACTGATTAACCCAAGCCCTGCAGAACCTGGCTTAACCCAGGTGATAGTTGTTGGTCTGGGAATATATACCTAACCTAAACTGATCAATTAGACTGAAGGTTAGGGCTTAGAGCACATGCATAGCTAGGGGAGAGGAGCTATGCTCTGCCTTCTATCTTCTTTGTCTCCTCTCTAGAAAGGCACCAGGAAACGTGCCGCCATCTTGCAACTGCGAGAAGAGGTGCTGATCCAAGAAATGGCAGAGCTGAGCCAGGAAAGACCTAGCTCCTGGGGGGCAGCTTTGAGTTGTTTCTCACACCACATCTGGGCTTCTCACCTCTGGACTTAGCGTTATATGAGAGACTAACTTCTCTGTTTTCTTAAGCTAGCTGGAATCACAGTTTCTGAAACTTGTGTATCTTAACTGTACAGGACTTCTAGGAAGATTTAATCAGTTTATATTTGTAAAATGCTTAGAGTGATGCTTAGTACATAGTAAGCACTACATCAATGTCTGTTGAATAAATAAATAATACAGGTTGGTTTTTACCTTTCTTCTATTACAAGTAATGCTATCATAAACCTCCTGTACATATATCTTTACACACTTCTACCAGAATAAATGACAAAATAGGCTAAACGACTAGAAGAGGAATTGCTGGGTCAAAGGGTCTCTGTATTCTAAATAGAAATGGGTATTGACAAATGGCCCTCCAAAGAAGTTGCTGAATTCACACATCCACCAGCAGAGTATAAAAGTGTTTATTTTCATATGCTTTCATCAACAAGTCAGATTATCAAGGCTTTTAATCTTTGCTAATATAATAGATTTAAAATGGTATATTATTGTTTTATGTTGGATTTCCTAGTTGTGATGGTATGACCTTTTTATTTGTATTGGTGATTTGTATTTTCTTTTTAAAATCACTATTTATAAATTCTAGTTTCAAATAATCAGGACCAACTAATTTTCCATAGATTTAACTATGTAAGAAATAAAACATCTATATGTTAAAAAAATCAATAAACTACAACCATTAAATACAGAACATAAAAGACAGTCTCTGAACAAGGAAAATATCATTGCAATATACATGAAAATGAATAATATAAGTATCTCTAATAAACCAATAAGAAAGAATGAACACTCAACTTTAAAACAGGCAGAGGGTATGAACATTTTATAGAATTCAAATAACCAACAGCTACATGACTCATTAAAACTCACTAAAAGATCAAAACGAGATATCATCATTCGGCTATCAAATGGGTAAAGATTTTTTTCTTATAACTCTGTATTAGTCCTTTCTTGCACTGCTATAAAGAAATACCCGAGACTGGGTAATTTATAAAGAAAAGAGGTTTAATTGGCTCATGGTTCTGCAGGCTGCACAGAAAACCATGACTTCTGCTTCTGGGGAGGCCTCAGGAAACTTAAATCATGGCAGATGGCAAAGGGGAAGCAGGCACATCTTACATGGCCAGAGCAGGAGCAAGAGAGAGGATGGGGAGGTATCACAAACTTTTAAACAACCAGATCTCAAGAGAACTCACTACAGCACTAAGGGGAGTGGTGTCAAACCCTTCACAAGAAAGCGCCCCGATGATCCAGTCACCTCCCACCAGGCCCCATCTCCAGCACTGGGGATTACATTTCAACATAAGATTTGGGCGGGGACACAGATCCAAATCATATCAAATTCTTAGTGTTACAATATTTCTGGGTACAGAAACTTTCATACACACTGGTAGAGTATGAATTGGTCCACTCTTAGGTAATATTTAACTTGCCTTTAAAATGTGGGTAACCAAGGATTTTGGGGACAGTGTAACTACTCTATGTAATTCTATACTGGAAAATGTATTTCTTTATACATTTGTCCAAATCCATAGAAAGTACAATACCAAGAGCGAACCCCAATGTAAAGTATGAACTTGGGGTGACGATGTTGTATCCATATAGGTCATCAATTGTAACGAATGCACCACACTGGGGGTGAAACTAAAACTGTTCTAGAAAATAGTCTATTAATTAAAAAAAAACTTGAATGTGTGAAACGTACTTAGACACACCCATTCTACTTATAGAAATTTATCTTAAGGAAGTTATCGGAGATGTAAACGAGGCTTCTTATGTACAGATTATTCACTGCACCATTATTGTAACTGGAAAAAAAACCACACTCAATGCTCAGTAATCTGGGAATGTTAAGTAAATGCTGGTGTGGCTATGCCATGGAATACTATGTAGATGTTAATACTTGTGAGCAGACTATGAAACCACAAAAGAGCTTGTTCATGATTAAGGGGAAAAGATCACCAGGCAAGTACTAACAATGGGATCTCAATGTTGTGTGTAGGGGGTGGGCTGTGTATGTGCTGTGGAGGGCACAAGCAGCCACAGAGAAAAAGATTGTGAACATACACAAAATGTTTACCGTAGCCATCTCTAGGTGATATGATTGCAGATGATCTTTATTTCCTTTTGTACTTTTCTGTACCATTTCCATTTTATTTTATAAAGAGCAAGAAGTATATCCTTTCCCCTAATCAATAAAGCTATCAAAAGTATTTTCCATCCTATTAGTCATTTTTGTATAACTTGTAGTTTTCTAGTTTGCAAGAAACTAAAATAATGCTAGACAATTTTATGCAACAGAAGTTGGATATTAATTCTTTAAAAAGAATATCTCAGTTATTTGCATGAAAATACACTCATTTCTACTGGCTTCTGATAGATTGTTGGAAGACCTGATAATCCTCATTCTCGAGTGGGAGACTATATATTATTCTGCTGGACATAATATAGCTGAGGTTGTTTTTGAATAAATAATTACAGCTGCACTTTAAAAAAATCTCAATTTTAAAGCTTCATTTTTCAGAGTCACAAATGATTAGTTGAGACTCACAGTAAGAGGACTTTCCTCTGCTGGAAGCTACTGGGTTGTGTTTTTTAGAAATATGTAATTTGAAAATTAAAATGATCTTGTTCATTTTCGTTTAGGTAGCAGTTTTAAAAATTAAATTGTTTAAGATGAAAGTGTGTGAGTAAGCACCATGTCTTCTTTTTAATCCTATTGTCGTTTCTAAATTTACTTCTAATATACAAAGAAGCTGGAAATTAGCCTGATATCCAATGGGGCAGAAAACTTACTTATCTTGATGAGAAGAAGAAAGAGGCAGGGGAAGCTGCCCAATTTTACATTAAAAAATGACAGCAACTTGCTTACTGTATGAATGACTCCATTTGGGCCTGGACTCACCATTTGAGTTTCATGCTTTCGTTCTCACTGTCCACTTTTCTCTGAATGTGGGAAAACTTTGCCCTGATCTTGAATTTGGTACTCCCTGAAGAATTACTAGTATTTTTATTATTATTACTATTTATTTATTTAGAGACAGGGTCTTTCTCTGCTGTTGGAGTGCAGTGGTGTGATCATGGCTCATTGCAGACTCCAGCTCCTGGGCTCAAGTGATCTTCCTGCCTCACCCTCCTGAGCAGCTGGAACTACAGGTGCATGCCACCATGCCCAGCTATTTTTAATTTTTTTTTTTTTTTTTTTGTAAAGACAGGGTTCTCACTACGTTGCCCAGGCTGGTCTCAAACTCCTGGCCTCGAGTGATCCTTTCATCTCGGCCTCCCAATATGCTGGAATTATAGGCGTGAGCCACCACATCTGGCCCCCTGAAGAATTATTGAGCCACAAGTAACCTTCTCTAATGCCCTCCTTCAGAAGTGATGATGTTTTCTATCATTAACTGTTTCCCTATGTGTCACAAACACAGTCCACCACAGAATCAACTGTCAAACTGTGAAATCACATCTTCAGTTTCCAGGGGTTTTAATAGACAGGGTCTTTCTTTAGAAAACCTGTTCTTGGGGTTTGGAGTAGCTTTCGATTTAACTGGGTCATGGTCCTCACAGAGGGAGTCATTTCCTGGTTGCCAGAGGCTGGGTTTTAGGTAATAGTTGTAGTCTTCGTCCCTACCAGGCATACTCCAGAAGTCAAGGGAAAACTTGAGTCATTTAAGTTTGAACAGGTTTTCTACTGCTTTGCCCACCTTCCTCCAGAAGTGCTAAAAGAACAGGAGCTATTAGAGTCTTTCTCACCTACCTGACCTCTGAAAGCTGGGACTCCTGAAGGCTCAGGCAGCCCAGAGTCATCTTCTCTTTTCTTCCCATACTTTCTTCCCATATGACTGCATAAGTTACCCTGAATTTAAGTTTCATCTTCATGCTGCTGTCTCAAGTCCATGCATTTCAGCCTAGATCTCTCCTCTGAGATACGAGTCGACATATCCAACTTCTGGAGAGAGACCAGCCTAGACCAAGTGTTGGAATGAAGGTTGTTGGTGTGTGGGAGGGGTACATCAGGATGATATTATTCAGCCTTTTGATTTCCCAGAAGAGTATTCTGAGACCCCCAGGGTTCAGGGTTATGTTCATTTGGCATTTTCAGACAACCTCCTGTTGTATCTGTCTGAAACACTGCAATTAATTTTGCATGTCTTAAAAATCTCTTTATTTCCCCCCCAAACCACCTCTTCATGACCCAGCTTTGCCTCTGACAGTGAGTGGCACCATGACTTTCCACTTCCTTAAGCTGGAACTGAGGAGTTACACCTGACTCCCCCACTTCCATCATTAGTCCATCAGCAAGTCCTATCAGTTCTCCTTCAAAAATAAGCCTCAAATTTGCCCATTTCTTGCTACGGCCACCATCTCTACCTGGTCCATGCCACTGTGATGGAGGGCTTGGACCACTACAGCAGCCTCCTTTTAGTCTTTTCTTGTTCCAGTCCAAAAAGCAAAAAAAAGTGACCATCCTAAAATGTAACTCGAAACCCAAGAGGACCTAAGAAAACAGCATGTCAGAAGCTCAAAGCGGCAGAGCTGATGGTGAATTTGCAGAGCCCAGGGGCCCCCCGGGTGGCTGGAAGGCAGACTGTGAGGAGCTGATGAGAAACAGTTACCGCTGAGGGAGTCAGCCAGTGCCCAGTGCACAAAGCTGTGCATCAAGTTCTGTGGAGCCGGAGAGCAACGCACATGGGCAGTGGGTGCTGTCCTTCTATGGTGGCACCGGTTGCAGCCAGCACTGTGTTCTGTGAACCAAGACATAGCCCTGAAGCCCTGAGCCTCGAATGAAAGAGTTGGAGAGATGATCACTGTGGTCCCTTTCGGCTCTGTTAATCTGTCATCCTGCGACTTTAGACAGGACTTGGATTGTGTCTTGCTGCACTTCATACCGGGGGCCTGTCCTGGTAGCTGGACCATCCTTGATTTAGTGCATTAGTTTTACGGAGGCCCTGGCTCACCTAATGCCCACGTTGAAGTAACAATTTTTCTCTGACAATCTCTCCCTTTCCTTCTCCCCCCTTCTCTTCCTTCCTGGTAGCCTTTATCCTCCATGAAGTTGAGTGTTCAGGCTGCTGCTTGGCTGTCAAGGGCCTTCCTGATTTCGGACATGTCTCCCCATACCCTAGGTGGACGAGAACTAATGTTGTAAATTTCTATTGTTTATAAGGTACCCAGTCTATGGTATTTTGTTATAACAGTGTGACTGGACTAAGACAGCTAGCCAAGTTACCAAATCATGAATAAGAGTAGGGTAAAAAGATTTTAGACCTACAAGTTCTCAAATTTCATTCTCCATGTACTCTTCTAAGGAAGCTACTGGAAGATGTCCTCCTCCAAAATAAGCAAGTGAGTCAAGAAGAGGAAGACATGGGATTTACCCAGGAAAAGAGGTATAGGGACATCAGGAAAGCAGCCGAGGTTATAATGGGCTGGACACCAAGAAGGAGGTCTTAAGAAAGAAGATGAAATTGATCAGATGCTCTGAGGCATTTGAATAGATTGTAAGGAGATACTACAAGTGGTAGGGAATTGAGGATAAATTAATAATCAAAGAAAACAAAAATGAAAATTTATAGAAGGGACATTTAATTACTGTACCTATGTGGCTCAGCTGTGAATAATATTTAATTATAATAACGTAAACCTTGATGTTGGTGTGTGTTTATGTGGGTTGGGGTAAAAAAAAGAGCTATATATTCATCTTCTATAACAGAAACCAACAGGCACTATCTAAAAATTTTTTTAAAAGTCAAAAAATCACAGTATTCCCATTTATTTAGAAATATGGAGTCAAAAACCATAAGGAAAACTTAAAAGAGTGGTTGCTTTCTAGGAAATCAGAACTGAGAGTGAGGAAGGGTGGAGAGAGAGATGCCTCTTTTTTGTTATAAGCCTTATAAAACTATTTGACTTTTAAAAACACTTATATACATAAAACTGCATGAAAGGGAGGAAAGGAAGAAAGAAAAAGGAGGCAATGGGGGAGAGGAGAAAAAAGGGGGAGAAGGGACGGGCCTGACAGATTACCTCATATTAAGATAATTATGGTCTGAAGCAGTTTAATGAATTTCCTTTCCCAAGAGCACTCACATTTTAAAAGGTGACAAGAAACACCATTTACACTTTAAACCAAAGAAATGAATCAGGGCCGGGTGCCATGGCTCACGCCTGTAATCCCAGTACTTTGGGAGGCCAAGACGGGCAGATCACTTGAGGCCAGGAGTTTGAGACCAGCCTCGCCAACATGGTGAAACCCCATCTCTACAAAAAATACAAAAATTACTAATAGCTGGGTGTGGTAGTGCATGCCTATAGTCCCAACTACTTGGGAGGCTGAGGTGGAAGGATCACCTGAGCCTGGGATGTCCAGGATAGTGACCTCGAGTGAGCCATGATTGTGCCACTGCACTTCAGCCTAGGTGAGAATGAGACCCTGTCTCAAAAAAAAAAAAAAAAAAAAAAAAGAAAAGAAAAGAAAAAAGAAAAAAGAAAAGAAAAGTATTAGGCTCTGCAGTGGGTAAAAGGGGAATATATGTGGGAACCTTATAATCTGAGGTTACACAGTGTCTTGCAAACCACGAGCAGAAGAATAGGAGGACGTTGGACACCTGGAGGAAAGAAAGAGAGAAAAAAGTCATTCCAGCAGGCACGAGAGCAACACAGCAAGGACTGCTGTGTTAACCCCTGGCAGGGCCTGGATGACAGAAAAGGGGAGCTAAGCACAGCTTGGGAAGCTTGGGCGGTGCCTGGTTGACCTAAGAAGAGGGACAGAGTACAAACAGAAAGCCAGAAACAATGTCCACATGCTTATTTGTTTTGGGGGCCATAAGTACTTATCATGAAAGGTGTCATGTTCAAGCTCAGGACACCTGCTCCACCACCATACCCTGGCAGAGGGTTCATTCACTGAAGACAGGGTGATGATGATCTGGTCCATGGCGGGAGGGGTTAATTCTGAATCCTTTCTTAACATCATGCATTTCATGCGACAGATATAGGTAAGGTAAGTATTCTCAGATATTTTTTGTGGAAGTGCTTGTGGGTACCTCCTGTGGAAAGCAGGATGGTGATAGAGGCCTGTGAATACATGGATACCCTTCGATGCAATCATTTTACTTCTGGGACTGCATCCTAAAGTAATAATTCTAAATCTAGGCTAGGTGCAGTGGTTCACATCTGTAATCCCAGCACTTTGGGAGGTCGAGGTGGGTGGATCACCTGAGGTCAGGAGTTCGAGACCAGCCTGGCCAACATGGTGAAACCCCATCTCTACTAAAAATACAAACATGAGCCAGGCATGGTGGCACACGCCTGAAATCCCAGCTACTCGGGAGTCTGAGGCAGGAGAATTGCTTGAACCCGGGAGGCGGAGGTTGCAGTGAGCCGAGATCACGCCACTACCCTCCAGCCTGAGTGACAAAGTGAGACTCTGTCTCAAAAAAAAAAAAAAAAAAAAAAAACTAGATAAATTTTTGCACAAAGACTTGCACTGCTGTTATGTATAATAGCAAGGACTAAGAAGCAATCCTAGCTTACATATTTGCTTCTCTTTTGGGAGGTTTTTTGTTGTTGTTAGGAGAAGAAGTCTTGCTCTGTTGCCCAGGCTGGAGTGCTGTGCTGCGATCATAGCTCACTGGAGCCTCGAACTCCTCGGCTCGAGGGATCAGCCTGCCTCAGCCTCCTGAGTAGATAGGATTACAGGTGCACACCACCATGCCCAACCAATTAAAAAAAGATTTTTTTTTGTAGCGATGAGGTTTTACTATGTTGCCCAGGCTTTGGGGAGTGTTTTTAATAACAAGGTAAATGTATGTCTGTGCATAACTTTTTGTCTATATTAGAACTGTTGTGCTGTTATTAAAATGATATTTATAAAAAATTAGCTAACATAGAGACACAATGTTAGAGGAAAAATGAAACAATGTGTCTATTATCACCAGCTGTATTTTAAACACTGCATAAAAAGAAAAAAGAAAATTGAAAGCAATGTATGAAATATTAACAGTAATAAGACTATGAGTCATTTATCGTCTCTTGAAATTTACATGGTTTCAAATTTATATAATGTACACGTTTTGCTTTTTAATGGAAAGTTTAATTAATATTTGTAAGAAAAACTCCTATAGCATCAATAGATTTATGCCCCTGCAATCTGGTTACTAACATACAACCTCATGAAACATATCCCGAGGTTCCAGTACCTTCTAACATATTTAGCTACTTTTGTTTCCAAGCACCTATATCAATATTGAATTTTTAAAAATTAATCCAAAAAATCCAGTCATCATAATATCTATCTGTGGATAACTGTAGAGTTATTGTTGATCTCAAGTTATTCTTCAGATTCTCTGCTAGAAGTCTCAAGCTTATTCCAAGTGTTTCAAGACGTTACTATACTATTCATTTTAAATTATTTGATAAAGATTACTAGATTTTCTCCAGGATACATAGCAGTCATAATTAACAAACCCAGCTGTCACTCAAACTGGAACACATCAAATCAAAAGGCCACAGAGCATGTTTGCAGACAGGGCTGTGCATTTCTCCCTGAAAGCAAGATAAGGCCAGGCAAAAGGGAGCCCTATAAATATTGCATCCTAGAACACTGACATTGACCTACACTGTTTGACAGAAACATTAAAACACGGAAGGACGAGATCTGACACATCCTACAGAAATGTCTTTTCCCAAAGGTAGCCAGGCTTCAAGCCTTGAGAATTGTTGAAAATTCTGAAAGGTCTCATATCTATTGTTACCGTTTCCTTGTCACATGGAAAAGGCTAGACAGCTCTTTCTCCTGGCCTAGCCAGTAAATTGGTTGCGTAGGACCACGGATAGATGAACATATTATTCCTTAAGCTACAGAGATTTCCCAGAGCTCAAGTTCTTGTCAGTTCTCAAGCCTGCCCTCCTCTTTACCTGTTCTTTCTGTCTTATTCACTCCCGCGACTCAGGAGAGCAGCGCAAACGCTGACACGGTGCGGTGGGAAGGAATGGATTTTATTGATTACAAACAAGGACTTGTCCCAAGCCGCATTTTAGGTGCTGATAGACTGAGGAAGGCCTGGTGCAGTCCTCTTCCTTGTAGCTGATACTGTGCAGAACCACGAGATGGCTCTGTAGCCACAGCAAAGCTTGTGAAGTTCCAGGGACGTTTTCTATGAGGGTATCTGCAACTGGCGGCCAAGATTCACCAGGCCTCCTGGTTATGATCTGGAGGCAGGCGTGCTGCTTCTCTGATTCTTTCATGGTTCCTTAATTTGTTGCTAGGTGACTTTTAGTGTTGGATACTAACACTATAGAAAAGTACATCCGTAAACATATTTACACAGTTGTTCCGAACATCACCATTTTTTTTCCTTACAAACTTTGTGTAAACAGGAGGAAAATAAGCTGTGCTTAAAATCATGGAACAATTTTTGTCAAATCCCCAAGAAGACATTTCCCAATGCAATTTTCAAAATGGGTTGGTGTCTGCTATTAACAGGCAAGAAGCACACTGTTCCTTATGCCTGATTCAATTGAAAAGCACTTAATTCAAGATCTCAAGGGCAAAGGTAATTGATGGGGGCTCAGGTAGCTCTCCGTTTTCACTCATGGAAAACAGCGTTTTCCGGAACAAACTTAGTGCAGTGCTTCGGTAATATAAGCAGTCCTCTTTGTGTACACATTTGGCAAAGATACCTTCCTCCAGCGTCGCAGCAGTGAGGTCTCACACACGTGCACTTGGTCCTGGGGGTGGGCGAGGGGGCGACAGAGTTAGCAGAGCATGAAGCATGCCCCGAGGGAGCTTTGGGACCGGGGTGGGAGTGGGGGGGTCACCTCTTCAAGTAGTGAGACATGAGAAGTTCTGCAAGGCCCCGACCTACCTTCCCCACCACTCTGCCGGGTACCGCGTTCCTCTGCAGGAAGCTGGGAGCACATCAGACTCGCAAATAGCAGTAATAAAAAAGCAAGATTAGTAATCTGATGAATAGACTTATGGCCTGGGCTGAAGATGGACAGTGACATGCTGAAAACTCCCCCATTTGATTATAGTGTGCAGACAGGGTGGAAAACCACTGGATTAATGAGCTCACAGGAGAGAAGGCGCTGGAGTAAGAGACACACCTGTTGCCCTCCCCTCCACACACACACACTTAGCACCTGGAGGAATTATTTCAAAAACTGTCCTATAGCACCTTAGAGCCTCTGAAAGACACAGAGGATGAGGATTTGTAATAGCGGCTGGGGTCATCAGAGACAGGGCAAGGTAACTTCTAAATGAAGCGCTGGACCCCTACCAGCCCTGCATGTGGTGCAAAGGAGAGAGAAAGGAAGCCAGGAGTCGGGCTCTGTAATGTGCCAGGTGTCTGCATTTATGCCATTTCATTTCATCACACCACCATCCTGCGAGGTGAGATTAACCCGTTACAGATGAAAATACTGAGTGTCACAGTGATTGTCTGCTTTGCCCAGCATCATACAGGAAAGAAGTAAAATGGTGAGGATTCTGCGCCATAGACAGCAAGCCAGGATGAAGGGAGGCCTGGAAAACAGACGAGGAGCAACTGAGATTGGCACCGGCAAGGGCTCCAGAGTCCAGCAGCAGCCAGACCCAAGCTGCACCGCCCCAGACGCGACTTGACCTGGGAGACCAGCGAGACCCACCATGCCTCACACCCACAGCCGAGATCCTATTATCATCACTCCCGCTTGCGGATGAAGAAACTGGGGCTCAGAGAGGCTAGGTAACTCTCCCAAGACCTCACAGCAAGAGTGCAGCAGGGGTGTGGCCCTGGCACCTGATCATGCTCCCTCCCGCCCTTCCCATTCTGTGCTCTCCTCTTTGAAGACCTTCCACCTGCCCCTGGAAGCTTTGCTTTGTGCACCATCTCGGCATCCTCTGCATCCTCCGCCTCCTCCTAGAGCACTCCCTCCGCCCCTCCACCTGCTGGCTATGCCTGGAACTGCACTCTGCGAGGACCTCCTTTAACCTGCAATCCCAGGACAGCAGGGTCCGCATTCTCCTGCTCTCCAGACCTGTAGCTGAGGAGTTATGTTGACCCTATTCAAAAACCTCTGCGCACAGCATTTGCCTTCGATGGTCACTGTCCCTTGCCAACTCCCCCTCCCAAACATCTATGGAAGACTTGTGTCCCTGAGCTCCTCACCACACACTCTGCCTATCACAAGTCCCACATCACCTGAAACAATGACAAGCCAGCTCTCCAGCTCCCCATCTCCCAAGGCCCTGATCCCCATTGGCCTGGATCTGCACTCCATGTCAGCCACCCACCCCATCCTGGTCCTTCCTCACACTCAGGCGACTCCAGCTCTGAGCATCCCAAATGCCACTGCTCCGTCTCAGATCTTGTCACCCGGTGGTTCTCCAACTCTAGGGTACATCAGAATCTCCCAGAGGGCCCCGCCCCCAAAAGGTCTAATTCAGCAGGTCTGGGGTGGGACTCATGAATTTGCATTTCCAAGAAATATGCAGTGCTGCTGCTGCAGCTACTGCGGGACCACCCTTAAGAAGTGCTGCTTTGAGCTGAAGCTCAGCCCGGACTGCTTACTCCAATCACCTGGAGGGCTTTAGAAGCCAGCAAGGTCCCAACTCCACCCTAGTCTAATTAAATCGGAATCGCTGGAGTTGGGCACGCCTAGAGTTTTTCAGAGCTCCCCGGGAGCTCTGATGCACAGCCAGGATGGAGGCCTGCTGCTCTGAGGATCTCCTCCCCCTCTGTTTCTTCCCCCTACCTCTGATTCTTCAATCTCTCTCTGATCAATACCCTCAGTGTCCCTGCCTTGCTTAGCAAAATCACAATCCTAGGTCAATCCACCTTCCTGCTGCTTCCACTGCTGAACCTGGGCTGCTGAACACACACAGCGGACAGATTGGGACTGTTATAAGTGTGGAGTTTCCAGCTTCTGTTGAGCACTTAACGCTGCTCAACCACCCTGTGATGACTCCCTCACCACCTCCCTACAGGCTCATCGGCCACGGGCCTGGGGCCAGACACACCCCAACCAGGTCACAGCACCTCTGAGCCTCAGTTGTCCCACCTGTCAAAGGCAAGGACAACCGCCAGGTGGAGGATGTTGCAAGGATGAGACAGAATCCTGTATGTGAGGAGTTCATCAATGGTCTTGTTACTGTTTTGTTATTTGTTATTATTTTTTTAGTTGATAAAACATTGCATATGTGTATGGTGTATGACATGTCATTTTGAAATATGCACATATTGTGGAATGGCTAAAGAAAGCTAATTAACATCAGCATCATCTCACATACATCTTTTTTTGTGTGTAGTGAGAACATTTAACAATCTACTGTCGGCGATTTTCAAGTTTATGATACATGTTGTTAACTGCGGTCGTCATGTTGTACAATAGACCTGGAACTTACTCCTCCTGTCTCACTGAAAGGTGAGTCCTTGAGCAGTCTTGTTATTATTGTTTTGGTGCTTGTCACTTACTCCCAGAGGATGTTCCCACTACCAACTGCACAAATAGCCAGGAACCCCTCAATTTCTGGTTTGTCTACCTCCCATGTTTGTGAAAGCATCGGGGAAATAGTCTCTCCATTCTTCATTCCTGCCTAGGTCTATTAAATGGAAAACTTACCCTTCAAGTCCAGAACCTAGGAAGAGCCTTTCTATCCCTCTCTCCATCTCCTCCCTCACTTCCACCAGTGGGTAAGTGTGGGAGAAGGAAGGCAACGGGGCCCAGCCTTCTTCTCACTCTCTCTTTGGCATCCCCAGGAAGGCGAATAGCCCTCCTTGGCCACACGTAGTAAGTGGTTTCCTCTAGCACAAGATGCTGTGATCTGCGGTGTGTCCTGTGTCCTGGTGGGAAATTGAGTGCTGGAGCCAGGAGGGTGCGTGGGCTGGGGTGGAGAGAAGAGTGAGAGGAAAGGCCCTGGGTCCAGAGGAGAAGCCAGCTCTCTCAGCAGCTTCTGATCAGAAATCAGGCTGCTAGATTTCTGGCTCCTTCTTTCTTAGGTTCTAAAGGTGGAGGGAAGAAACATAGGGGTGTGATTAGTTATCTTCTCCAGACTCCCAAGAAGTTGCATTTCCTGGTACCCTCTCTAAGCCTAAGTTTTCCATCTGTGCCTGAGATCCCAACCCCTCTCACGACCCTAGGGACAAATCACCCCCTCCCCCAAATGCATCTTCATCCTCTCCCTTTCCCCAGGCTCTTTCTCTAAACAGACACACATGCACACACACACACATGCACACACACACACGCACATCTTTTCCTTCTTAGGGAAAAAAAAACCCAAAGACAACTCCTGTTGTCGGCCGTCCCTCTCCTGCCCTCGAGGCCTGGCCAGTGCCCTGCTATCTATACTCACCCTCCCCACCTCCTCCCTCCCTTCCCTCTCCCCCCACCCCCACTCCTGCCTGCAGCTCCTCCCCTGCAGCTGACTGCGTTCTCCCCAAGGCCAGTGCTCCCTGTAGCTACTACATTCTGCTCTCCTCCATCTACAGTACTTGACACTGTTGACCAAATCCATTGGTCATTCTTGAATTTATTTTCTTTTTAAAACTGCGTGACCACTCCTTCTCAGACCCTCTGGAAGTCTCCTTTTCTTAAGTCCAGGTGTCTCCCCTTAAGCACAGTTGTCCTTTCAGTGGCATCTGTCCTGTCCTCCTCCCAGTTTGTCCTTTCCTTACATGAGCTTAGCCTCTCCATAGACTGATACCACGTTGAGGATGCCCTCCTCCCAGAGAACATGCTCCAGCCCCAGGATCACACATCCAGTTGCTCTGGACAATTCTCCCTGGAGTCCCAGAGCCTCTTCAACCAGACTCCATAAGTGGCCTTGCCAGCTCCCACCTGCTCCCCAACCAACAGACCCCAGTGAGAGACAAAAAGCTTCACGGGTGCCCGTCACCCACGTCAGCATAAGATGGGATCTGAGGCTCTTCATAACCTGCTGTCTGACTAGCTGTTGGCCTCATCTCCAGCCACCCCCATATGCGCCTTCATGCCCTGGAAAGAGGAGCACTTGTGGTTCAGCCGCAGGCCGAGCTCTTCGAGCCTGCTGTGCTCCTGCAGTTCACTATGCCAGCCTAGGCTTCTCTCTGCAGCCTGAAGATTCAGTGCACCATCCATCAGTTCCTCTATGAAGCTTCTCTGCACCCCATTCTGCCTGGACTAGGTGCTCCTTATGTGTTCCAATAACACCAAGGTGCATGGATCTAGCACATCTCTTACATCATTTTGTGGTAGACTGTTGACATTTCACGTAAACTAAACTTCCCTCCCCACATACAGGGTTGTGGCTCCTTGAGATCTTTCACCTTGGGGATTCCATGTTCCCAGTGCCCAGCACAGAGCTTTGTATCAGGCTGGTGCTCAACATCTGTTTGGTCTCACAAATGTTTGGGTTCCACTCAAGAGGTGTGGGGGCCAGGTGGGAGTAGCGCATAACCTTGGCTTGAGATCTTGGTCTTCATTTCTATATCCATGGGTTGGTGATTTAAAATGAGTTGGTTCCTGTCAAGTGATTAACTAGTGGCTGGCACTCCACGTATCTCATTATTGACAGTGTATAATCTAGAGTCCAGGGGTAAGATCTGTTTATGAAGCCGTGGAGGGGAAGGGGGGAATGGCTTTGCTCTACAGGTGGAGGGAATGGGGGAAGAGGAGAGAGGGGAAGGGGCAAGGGAAAGAGGAGGACAAGGTGAACTTTGGGAACATAGGTGAATAACATACCTTTGTTTAATCAAGAAAAGCAGAAACTTCCATTTCTTCTTCCCAATGCTGTAGTGTGTGTGCGTGTGTGTGTGTGTGTGTGTGTGTGTGTGATGTGTGTGTCAATGGCACAGTTTGCACTCTGAGCTTTTTGGTATCAGAAAGTTGACCATGAGTCTGTAATAGGATGTGGCTTATTATTTAATACCTAAAGCTAGATTCCTCATTTATAAGTCAGGGATTATAATACCTCTTTCATAGAGATACCACAAGAATTAAATTACGGTTTTAAAGGTTTTCTCAATCTCTTTTTGAAAGGTGTTATAAAGGATAAAGCATTGTGATGATATTATCATGAGTCAGCCCTATAAGCCTCAAACCATGCATCTTGTTGAATTTTTAAAATACATTTTCAATCGTTTTCCCACTGGCTATCACAGATGCCAGGAGAACGCTAAAATATGATGAACAATGATGAAAATAAATGAAAACTGAGTCAAATATTGAAGCAAATTGTAAGAAGTCATTACATAGGCTCTGTTATAAAATAGATCAGAGATAAAGGTACACAGAAATTATTTTATTTTATATAATGATCACTTTGTGAATTATTTTTCAAACTAAAAACATCCCAGCCCAACAACAACAAAAAGTACAAACAGATTTTCTGTCTTAAATTCACTAGACCATCTTTCAACAGACCTTGACTGTCAGATTTAGGCATGTAGTGCCGATACTACTGCAGATGTAACATACTCACTTCCCTTGGCTTAATAGGATAATTCTGTCAAAATACCTCAAGTTCTGTTACCGTCTCCATGAGGCTGGACCACAGATCGGGCCATCCCCAGCATACCACGAGAATGGCTCGTCTTATCTCACCTAAAGAGGTGGGATTTAGGAAGCTACCTGACTCACCACTGCCAGTGACCACCCCTGAAGTTTACTTAAATGTGACCGAGTCTGTGGATTCATCTTTTCAATCACAATAGAAAATAAGGGTAGCACGCTGTTTCTTACCCCTCAGCCTTTATGGTTTTGTCAGGGGAACATTGATGATGACTTTGGCTTCCTTCTCAGGTCATCGGGGCCATGCTCATCAATAAGGACAGAAGGAAGTGGGAGTATTTGGAGCAGAGTGACTCAAGTAAATGGCACAAAGATGCAAGGAAATGAAAGGGAAAGGGGAGTTTAGGAGAAGCTCTGTTTTGTTCTGGGGGCTGGATCTACATCACACACCAGCTGGGGTGGTTGGCTACAGGCAGCCGCCCTGACCTGGGATGTGGCCCATTAGGTGGGCCACATGAGGGGAGACTGGGACATCACAGGGCTGTGCTGTCACTAGCAACATTCGCCCACGAACTTGCTATCTAGGTCTGAGGTTCAACGCAGAGAGGCATTGATGTGGTTGGATCTGCGTCCCCACCCAAATCTCCTGTTCGGTTATAATGTCCGGTGTTGGAGGTGGGGCCTGGGGGGAGGTGATTGGATCTTGTGGGCAGGTTTCTCATGAATGGTTTAGTGCTATCCTCTTGGTACTGTGCTCATCATAGTGAGTGAGTTCTCACAAGATCTGGTCATTTGCAAGTGTGTAGCACCTCCCCCCTCTCTCTCTAGGTCCTGGCTCCTGCCATGTAAGACACCTGCTCCCACTTTGCCTCCCACCATGAGTCAAAGCTCTCTGAGGCCTCCCCAGAAGCAGATGCCTCCATGCTTCCTGTACAGCCTGCAGAATGTGAGCCAATTCAACCTCTTTTCTTATAAATTACCCGGACTTTGGTATTTCTTTACAGCAATGTGAGAATGGACTAACAGCCATTTCACTATTCATCTATTTACTCCTTCATTCTTTCAACATTCTTCAGTTCCGCCCCACAGGGGTTAGCTAGGAAAGAATAAAATTCAAACTCATGGGATGTTCTGGATAAACCCAGTAGGCAGCATTTTGTCCTGGGATCTTTGCTTTTTCCCTGCTGCTACAGCTCTTTCCCTCAAAAGATGCAACCTGGTTTTCCAAGATGATGATCTTGACGTTGAGGATGCAAATATTCGCAGCCTGGCGCCCTTAGCCGACCAACCTGCACATTTGAAGGTATCATATCACAGCCTCCAGCCTCTGATTAGTTTAATGAATCTAGGTTTCTGATGACTCTGAAGGAAAATGTATTCCTGAGTACACAGGATTATCAGGCTTTCATTGCTTCCTGGAGGCTGGGCGCCTGTTTGAGGAAGGCTGAGCCCAGCTGAAGAATTCCCTGATGAAGAAAGGAGGTTTAAATGGCCTGACATGATTTTTGTCAGCAAAGGCTGTAGAAAAAAATCAGTATGTAACCCCATCCTCAAAAAAAGTACCCCAAATTTACCAGCTCATTCTTGCCCCCCTGGATGGTAGCAGCTAACTGGCACCAGCCTCTTATCTTTCCTACTTATTCCACCACTGAAATAGCTCCATTTGGGCAAACTCCCAGTACAAATATCATCTATTCTAAAATGAAGGCCAATTTCCCAATTTTCTTTTCTTTCTTTCTTTCTTTCTTCTTCTTCTTCGTTTTTTTTTTGAAATGGAGTTTCCATCTTTTTGCCCAGCCTAGAGTGAAATGGTGCAATCTCAGCTCACTACTACCTCTGCCTCCCTGGTTCAAGTGATTCTCCTGTCTCAGCCTCTCGAGTAGCTGGGATTACAGGCACGCACCATCACGCTTGGATAATTTTGTATTTTTAGTATAGATGGGGTTTCACCATGTTGGCAAGGCTGGTCTTGAACTCCTGACCTCAAGTGATCTGCCTGCTGAGGCCTCCTAAATTGTTAGGATTACAGGTGTGAGCCACCGTGCCTGGCCCAATTTCCCAATTTTCTATGGAGAGCTGTGTGGCTTTAGTAATCAGAAAAAAAATACATGAAATTTTAATGTGAAAAACAGAATAGAAGATTTCCTGATATATCAGAACAGTCCCTTCTAAGAATCTTTCTTTTTTTAGTGATGGGGTCTTGCTATGTTGCCCAGGTTGGAGTGCAGTGGCTATTCACAGGCACAATCTCACTACTGATCAGCACAGGAGTTTTGACCTGCCCTGCATCTGACCTGGGCTGGTTCACTCCTCCGTAGGTGACCTGGTGGTCTTTGCTTCTAGTATGTCACCATATTGATGCCACATTTAGTGTGGACACCCAATCAGCATAGTGCACTATAGCCCAGGGCTCCTGGGTTCCAGCCATCCTCCCACCTCAGCCTCCCAAGTAGCTGGGACTATAGGCATGTGCCACTGCACTTGGCCCTCTGTAAGAATCTTAAAATTGCTCACTTTTTTTGTCAATAGCAGCACCAGAAAGAACTGTTGTGGTTCATGTGCCAGGGACAGCTGCATTGACGCCAATGGGAGGGAGTGGCACATACACATAGCATCTGAGGAGGATGTCAGCTGAGCAGAGAGCAGCCCACATTTTTGTCAAAGGACACATTATAGGTTTTCCCTGTGGATAGGTCAGGCTATCAGCAGTGGCTGAGCTTCCTGAGCCTTCAAAGCAGCAGTGACTCATTGGACCCTTTGGTTCTGCTGGTGGGAACAGCCAGGCCCGCCAGCGCCGGTCACGGGAATTATCCATGTGGTTTCTTTGAACAGGGCAAGACTTCTCAAGCTTGGCAAGTCTTAGAAAATGGCATGGGCCCACCAGGATAGCAGTATTTTCCCTTCAGGGGAGAATGAGGCTTTTGAAAATCCTTGTGGTACGAGTCAATCCTCTTTAGACTGTGGGAAACGGCAGTTCCCTCTATACACAGACTAACAGGCTTCCCATTTAGTGAGACCTTCCCACATGTCCACGGCTGTATATCCATGGGACCCTCCCCACCGAGCTGTGAAACTGGTATCCTTATCTAGATTGACAGGTGGAAACAGACTTTCAGAATCTAAGTGGTTAAAGCACTGTTGTGCTGGTAAACGGGTGCACAAAAAATAAAACAAAACAAGGTGACCCCAATGGGCAATGTTTGTGAGTTTCCATGGCGTGATACTCTCTTCCTGGCCAGTGTCAAGACACCAACTGCTTAACACTGGCTCACAAAAATCATGCTTTTTTTTTTTTTTTTTTTTTTGAGACAGAGCCTCACTTTTGCTCAGGCTGGAGTGCAGTGGCGTGATCTTGGCTCACTGCAACCTCTGCCTCCCAGGTTCAAGTGATTCTCCTGCCTCAGCCTCCCGAGTAGCTAGGATTACAGGCGTGCACCACTACACCTAGCTAATTTTTGTGTTTTTTCGTAGAGACAGGGTTTTACCATGCTGGTCAGGCTGATCTTCAACTCCTGAATTCTAGTGATCTGCCTGCCTCAGCCTAAAAGTCATGCATATTTAACCATTAGCTCTCCCTAGCTGATGGAGCCAGTTCCAGGATGGCGTGGGCTGAGGCATGAGGGCATCCTCCCAGCTGGGTGTACAAATGAAGGCTTAGAGATTCACTAATTCATAAGATAAATATTTATCCTGTTTCTGCAGGTTCATCTGATAAATTAGGCCAAGAGGATTTTGTCTCCTGTGAAAGGAATCTGCCTCGTGGACAGCATCCCGCAGCCAGGAACAAGGGTGCAGGTGGCTGCCGGGCAGGGGAACAGAGGAGGCACACTAAAAGGCCTTCCTTCCTCACTCGGCACCTTTCCCACCTCCATCCTGCAACCTATGTGTTCTGTTCTATTGAGCCCTGTCAGTGTCATTTCCCAGTGTCTGAGGCTCATCGCTGTGGCTGGACACACGTTCTTTGACAGGACTCAGAATCAATCCTCTAAGCACTCAGCTCAGTACCTTGCGCAAAGTACAAGCTCAAAAAATATTTATGGACCAGTCGAAGTACAGATACTCATTTCAACATGCGTACTGCCAGTGTTGACAGAGCCCCAGACTGTTTTGTGATGGTGTTAATTTTCCAGTTAAGAAGCATCATGCACAGAAAAACCTCTCTTTGCTGTAATTTGTGATGGATCACAGAATGCAGAGACAATTCTGGCCATGACAGAGCTTGGGTAGAGGTGACTTTACCAAGGATTTGCAAGTCCCCTGCCTAGGCTGACTCAGGAGCTCAGATGTTCTTCCCTGGGAACTACCCAGCATAGCCATAGGCAGTCCCCAGATCAGAGCCAAAGCATTCCTCATCGCAAAAGCAGGAAGTAGTATTCTGCAACTTGGAAGAAGGCTGATACAATGAGGACTGAAAAATTAGGGGAGAGCAGAACTCTCTAGATCCTCTGCCAACTGCTGGATTGAATGAGCTTGGTGTCGAGGTGGGAAAATGCTAAAAACACAAGTGGCTGCAGCTGGTCTCCATAGAGATCTTGGAGGAGCTTTGCTGCTGGTTCAGAAGAGAGCCTGGGAAAGGGATGGGCTGACGGAATCACAAACCCTCAAGCCCTAATGTGCCTCTGTTTTTGTGGCGGAGCCCAGGTGGTTACATCTTGCGGGGTTGGTCTGTTTCGTATCTTTCTTACACAGAGGATCACATTCTTCCTCCTGCTCAAATGACAAAGCTGAGCCCCCTTTGCTCTGGTGACAGGATCCAGAGCAGTGACCAAAGATGCAGAGCTGAGAGCGGAGACACAGGCTTGTCTCTCCAGGAGACACTGTGATCTGGGGAAAGTCAGTTAAGCCCACATACCAAGTGGACTCTATTGCCAGGTCAAAGTGACAGTTCTTGCAGATAGAACCCGGCCACAGATTCTGTAACGCTTACTCTCTCCAGCATTTCATTTGCCTCATAACCCAGTAGAGAGAAATGTGGGAAAGACATGTGTCAGGCTTGCGATTCACATGAGTCTCCTGGGACATTAGCAAACAGAATGCAGAAAGTGGTGTTGGTGGCTCTTCCTTAGGAAAGAGTTAGTGATTCAGGGCAAAGCAGAACGTTTCTTTTTTCCTGTTTGTTCTATTTAATGCGGCCAGCCCATGATGATTCCAGCTGAGAGACTGGATGAGAAAGCATGCCGAATCAGGCGGGAAGGAAAGCGGCTGTGATTGAGTCATCTATCACAGGGACGACCCTCTGTCAAAGCTGGCATCCTGCCTGCCTCTGTCAGGGAAGCCGACAGGGTGCATAGAAGGGCCAGCTGGGTGTTCACTTCTGAAAGCTTCGAGTCCTTTCTGGAGACCTCATGGTGTTCTGTCTAAGCCCTTGTTCCTCTACTTTTCCTTGGGTCAGCATTTGGATCTCACAGAGAAACAAATCATCAGTGTCTTATTTCCTGTCTATTTTATCGTCTCCCCTTTTAACTTAAATGAACAAGTTCAGTGAAGAGCCTGTCCCCAGCACTCCCCACCAACCTGCTCACTCACCTTAGAACACTAGCAGCAATGCTGACCAGCTGCTGCTGGACTCACCATTACAAATAATAAAGCATAAGGCTCTGCTCCCTGACACAGATTTCCAGGCCTGAAACTTTGTGAACAGAAAGCTGCTGCATACCAGACTGGGGTTTTCCCCTCCCAGTTCCATAGCTGTGTGTTCCTAATGATGCTCTGGGTAGATAAATGCCCTGTGATCGAGAAGAGGCCAGTCCGGTGATAAGGCTAATATCTAGCATGCTGGGAGGAACGTTTAGTCACTCCTTGGTAGGCTCTCCTTTCACCTGCTGTTCTATTTTACAGTCCACTTGCATCCTATTGCAATCAATAGACACATCAGCACGTTCTGCTGCAACCAGGCACATAGGCAATCTGTGAGGTGGGCTCCCAGAGGTCCCTGGCATGGTGCATTAGGCAGTGGGCCAGCAGGTTCCCATCCGAGGAAGCTCTCCATCTCATTAGTTTCTCCCTGTACAGGAAAACGCATGGTCATCTAGGTTACAGCAATCAGGGCAGAATTGCTTGCAATCGTGATGGGAGATGCACTAGATTTCAGAGACTTTAGACAATGCTGTTCTGTGAACTGTGGCGTTTTAAAGCAGGGCAAATGCAGAGATGGGAAGTGGGTTTATCCAGCTCAGAGGTTTTGGTTCTCACTCCTTTGTTCTGAAGGGGAAGCTGAGAAATGCTTCCAGGTGTCAGCCTTAGATCATCAACAATCCCAAGGAAGCACTTCTCTTGGCTGAACAGCAAAACATAACACGCTCCAGGAATAAGCAGAAAATGTATTTTGCTCTGCTTCGAGTCCTAGTAGGGGCTTTAAAAGTCAAATAGGATTTGAGAGCTGAGAAATCTTTTTATCTGTAAAGTTAACAAACTGGGCCTGAGACTAAGATGTTGAAATGCCCATGGTGTCTGGGCGTATATGGATGGATAAGGGATAAATTGCTTCACAAGACTATTATTGATCTTACCATTCATTCAAATTTCAGTGGATCATTCGTTTTCTTAATTGGAAGAAAGCTGGGGAACCAAACGGGTAGATGACAGTCGGGCTTAACGTTCGTGAACACGGTAATTGATTTCTACGAATTCCTCAGTTCAACTCAACACGTTGAGAATGTACTAAATTGCAGCCACTGTGCTCGGTTTGCAATTGGTCTTTGAAACCTCCTGGATTATGACTTGGCAGGAGAGGGGTAAACAGGCACTTAAACACGTGATTTAAACATATGGAGAAATATGACCGTGGCGTGCACAGGTTAGTCCGTCCTCATCTGGTCTGGGGCTGAGGGAGAGGCTCCTAGGTGAAGTGAGCCCTAACCTGAGTCTTGGCGTTTATCTGCAAAGCTTTCTGGTCATGGGATGGTGGTTTTCTGGAGTGGTCTAGTCACCTCTCCTATTGGAGGCAGAAAAAGTCAACACCCCAACACCCCACACACTTAGCCCAGCTGCACAGAGCTGGGCACAATAGCCTCTGGAACTAGACTTTAATCAGCTGCAAGATCTGGGGCCTGGGGCTGGTGAGAGAGTTCTGGAGACAACTACGGGGAGTGGAAGGAACTCTTCTGAGCTATGGGAAAAGTCGGTACATCAAGATGAGACAACCACTATGCTCCAATGAGGCCGTCTTCCTCCTGATTAGAGCCTCCAACCTTGCAGATACAAGTGAACGCTTTGAAACCTTGAAGGGCCCCATGCAACACGTGAGAAAGAGTTTGCCTTTGAGCTTTTATAAAATATGCCTGGATGACACCTGACCTGAGTGGGGGGTTGAGGTAGTTGGAAGGGGTATCACTGCCTCACCTGTCCCAATCCAGGGTCTGCTTCCTTCTGCTTTCCCTCTGTCTGGGTTTCCTGCAGAGACAGCCCCAGGAGGCCTGAAGGAAGCGGCCTAGGGTCCAGACCTGACTCGCTGCAGGAGGCTGCAAGCACATCTCAGTGGTCAGGGAGGAGCTGGAAACCATGGAGGCCTGTGGTCTGCTCATCTCTCTCCCTCAGTCTCCAAAGCCAGGGGATCACTGAGTGACCCCATCCTTCCCTTGCACTGCTTCTTCTAGAAGGGCCAGGCCTGCACTTCCACAGAAGGTGGGAGATGGGATCAGGAAAGGGGAGCAGCAGGCAGTGTGGATGTGGCGTGCATGGAGGACACACAGGGATCCCAGGCTGAGGCCGTGGTTAAGGTGGGTGGAGGGCAGCACCTTAAATGAAGCTCCCACACGTTCAGTGGCGAAAAAGATTATTTCTTTCTGTTAGGATACTTTGGAGGCAACAAACAAAAGGCCCGTCAAGTCAGTTTAAACAGCAACTGGGCTCTACTGGCCCATGCCCAGGGAGTGTGGGGCTGGTCTGGCCATGCTCAGGCTTTGTTCTGTCCTCCGTGGGGCCTCACTTGTGAGCAGGGTGTCCCCAAAGAGAAGGAACATCAATCTTTCCTTCCTTTCTCCTCCCTCCCTCCTTTCTTTCTCTCTTTCTTCTTTCTTTCTTTCTTTCTTGTCTCTCTTTTTCTTTCTTTTTTCTTTTCTTTCTTCTTTCTTTTCATTCTTTCTTTTCTTTCTCTTTCTTTCTTTCTTTCTTTCCTTTCTTTCTTCCCTCTCTTCCTTTCTTTCATTTAGACATAAAAAAACCCCTGCACATATTTAATTACACAATTTAATGAATATGGACCCATGAACCCATCACCACAATCAAGGTAATAAACAGATATATTAGGCTGATCTTGCATTGTTATGAAGAAATACCCAAGACTGAGTAATGTATAAAGAAAAGAGGTTTAATTGGCTCATGGTTCTGCAGTCTGTACAAGAGGCACAGTGCCAGCATCTGCTTCTAGTGAGGCCTCAGGAAGCTTCCAATCATGACAGAAGGCAAAGGGGGAGCAGGTGTGTCACATGGCGAGAGTTTGGGTGAGAGAGAATGAGGGGGAGGTGCCACACTCTTTTAAACAACCCAATTGCATGTGAACTCATAGAGTGAGAACTCACTCACTATTGCAAGGACAGCACCAAGCCACTCATGAGGGGTCCGTGCCCATGACTCAAACACTCCTCACCAGGCCCACCTCCAACATTCGGGGTTGCATTTCTTTTGAGATGGAGTCTTGATCTGTCAACCAGGCTGGATTATAATGGTGCAGTCCTGGCTCACTGCAACCTCTGCCTCCTGGGTTTAAGCAGTTCTCTTGCCTCAGCCTCCCAAGTAGCTGGGATTACAGGTGCGTGCCACCACGCCTGACTAACTTTTGTTATTTTTAGTAGAGACAGGGTTCTGCCACGTTGGCCAGGCTGGTCTCGAACTCCTGACCTCAGGTGATCCGCCTGGCCTTGGCCTCCCAAAGTGCTGGGATTACAGGCGTGAGCTGCCGCTCCAGGCTCGGGGTCGCATTTCAACATGAGATTTGGAGGCACAAACATCTAAACCATATCAACAGAGCCATCACCTCCAAAAGCTGCCTCATGCCCCTTGGTTTTTTGTTCTTTGTTTTGTTTTTTGGTGTGTGTATGTGTGGTAAAAACCCAATATGAGATCCACCCTCTTGACAGATTTTTGGTGCAGGCCTGGCCCTCCTTTCAGAGGCCTTCATGATCTGTCCCCCACCTCTCTAGCAACTCCTGTCAACCTGTGGCTTCCACCCAAGCTCTCTCCTCCATGAAAGGCCGGGGATGATCATGGCCTGAACGTTTGTTCATTGCCTTTTCTAGAATCCATCCACCACCACCCACTATCCCTCATAGGGTAACCAATAACCCTGGCTTCCCCTGGCCTGAGGGTATTGCCTGGATGGGGAAATTCCAGTGCTAAAACCAGGAAGGCCCCTAGGCATTGGGACAAGTCGGTCACCCTACTTCTCTATCTCCTTAACTCCAATTACAAAGTAGACTCAAATGCCACTCTTCCCTGCAGCCTGGACAACGGCGAACCTAACCTTCAAAGGCAGATCTTTTTGATGCTAACCCTTGCTCTTCTTACTATGTCATGCGGCTTCCTAACAACTGCCTGGCTCAGCTCTCAGAGTAATGAAGATGAAAGGAGATGCTAGAAGTAGGTATACGTTTAGGAAGTCTTATACGTTGGAAGGTATTCAGAACTCCCTGTCATAGACTTAATCGTTGTCTTACTCAAAATGTGGATATGATTTTAACCATATATTAAACTCATCCATTTTCTGTTGTGCTAAGGAAAACTGCTGTACATTAAAACTAGCAAGAGAACAGCGTGAATGCTTTTTTCAGTTTATGTACAGACAACCATGTGGTCGGATTGAAAACAGTGGTCTAGCCGCCAGTTCTAACATCCCCTGATAAGCAGAATGGCTATGCCATACCAAAAAGTGTCCTTTAAGACACCCCAAAATGTGGTACTGATGTGGGTGACTTGCGTATGAGACACAGGTCTATTAAGGAGTGCCAGCTTTTTGCCAAGAAATTCTAAGAATGCAAACAGCATGTTGCTTTACACAGAAATTGCATGTTAAAAATTTCACGTTGACCACACCACCCTCCTTACTTTCTCTACTTCATGGTGAGGAGAATTTTTGTGCCTCTCGGTTTGGGGCTGCCTACCAGAGAAGGGGTGGGACATTTGTTTGTCCCATTCCTCAAAATGATATAAAAAATAGTAAAGGCAGTCAATAGTGATTGATTAATTTCAATAACATAAATAATGGTTGTAATTGCAATTGAAAGAGAAATGCTTCCCACTTTGATTAATCTGACCCTCTGGGCTACCATTAGAATGCTAATCAGAAAATAAATGCAGAGAGGCAGACTCAGCTCGGCAGGTGTCCAGCTCCGCCTGGTCTTCCCCAGCCAAGCCCCTTGCTCTCCCTGCCAACCCTCCTGTCTTTTGCACTGTCACCTAAAACATCCCTCTGTCAAATAGGAAACATCACATTTCATTCCCAAAGCTTTCTTGCTCTTTCAAAGCTCTCACCACTAGAGAAACATCCTGGCTGGTACTTTGAACATTGCCCACGTGATTTTAAAGAACTGTGTGGCCCCTGGTGGCTTGGTAAGTTGGCTATGTGGCTGGATCATTATCCCCATTTTACAGATTATTGGGTAAAGACACTGAGAGGGGAGTGGCATCACCAACCAGCTGGTGGGAGGCAATCATAGAAGTAAATGTGCTTCTCGAAATCCAGCCTTGCAGCTGTGTCTCTGGCAGGAACTGCAAAAGCTCTCTAGGGCCACCTTCCCTGCTCTTCCTTCTTCCTGGGTCACCCTCGGGGCTCCTGGGCTGCTCACTGCCTCGTCTCACCCACTCCCTGTCCCATCTGGCTCACTCAAGCATATAGAGCCACTGCTTCTGATCAGCCATTTCTATTTATTTATTTATTTATTTATTTTTGAGACAGTCTTGCTCTGTCGCCCAGGCTGGAATCAGTGGTACAATCATGGCTCACTGCAGCCTAGACTTCCTGGGTTCCAGTGATCCTCCCACCTCAAGCTCCTGAGTAGCTGGGACTACAGATGTGAGCTACCATGCTCGGCTAATTTTTAATATTTTTGTAGCGATAGGGTCTCACTATTTGAGACCCAGGCTGGTCTCAAACTCCTGGACTCAAGCCATCCTCCGGTCTCAGTCTCCCAAGGTGCTGGGATTACAGGTGTGAGCCACCGCACCCAGTTGATTAGCCATTTCCAACTCTGCAGCTCTGTGTCCTTTTTATACTACAGTGGGCGGGTCTTAGAGTCTCAGTGGCAGGAAGAGAGACCAGCGGACTGACCCAGGAGGCAAGCTATTCTGATTGCTTGTGGTCCTAGTGGAAACACAGACCAGCTGTCCCTTCTGTGGTGAGGGCAGGGCCAAAGTGCAAAGTCGCCCGAGAGAGGGGAAGCAGGTGAAATGGGAAGAGTAGACTTGCCATGTGGGGGCCTCCCGCCTGGCCTCCGGCTCCCTCACAAAGCCCATCCTCAGAGTTTTTTGTCACCAGTCACTGACGGCTCAAGTCCTATAGTAAAGGAACAGATCGCTCAATGAGAACATTCTGGACCTCAGTAGGGGAGGGGGCATTGTGAAAAGAGAAAGGCAGGTTCCATGTTAAACATGGGGGAGTGGGTTGGCCACTTGGGCTGGCCGACAGGCAGGACTAGAGGGACATCACCCTTGGGAACACAGGGGACTCCTGTCTTCCAGGTGACCCTCAGATCCCATCCCCAAACCCTGATGCTGGAAATGCTTTTCCAGGATCTAGAAATACTGTGTGCAGAAATGAACTACCAAGATGAGGTGTCTAGTCCTTCTTTTCAGGGAATCCATGCTGAAATGTCTTCATTTGAGTTCTAGGAGAGGTTGGAAATGTGTGGCTTCTTAATTTGTGTACAGAGCCTGGGGCCTCTGGATCCATTCTTAAAACAACACAGAGGCCACCTAAAAGAAGAAAAGATCTTCCTCTACCTAGACAATTTTCCTTACGTCGTAGTTAGTCATGTTAGATACAATTTATGGAAGGTCATTGGTTTGGACTAAGCTCCCGCACCAGGCCCAGCGGACCAGACAAAATGGAGTCACTCCTGCCAATTCAACACCACCAAGTGGAAACTAAGATCTTCAGCATGCCAAGAAGTTACAGAGAGAGGTGATAGTCAAATCCCCAAACAGGCCAGTTCTAGTGGCATAAGGAAGTCCCCTCTGCTTGAACCTTCACAAGAAAAGTAAGTTTGAAATAGCCAATCTGCTGTCTGTTCCCTGTTTCTGCTTTCCTCAGCCCTGTCTAGAAAACCAAGCTCCTCTGCTCAGCTCTTTGGAACACTTTCTATCTTATAGAACAAGGTGTTTCCCAATTCTAGAATCACACATAAAAGTCAAGTAAGATGTTTAAATTTTTTGTAAGTTGTCTTTTGACAGTAGTCCTGTGTTAACATCTAAGCATGGTAACTTTTTATTAACAGCCATTAAAAACGGTCTTTTGCTCATTTGTTCAAAATTCAGTGCCTTACACATTCTGGAACCAACCACCCTGCAGCTGACATAGCCCCTCACTTGATTCCAGACGGTGGAGGGCTCCTAGAGAGGGCAGCATTTTACAAGTGTTGCAACAAGACAGGGCCTCAGGAAGGGCTTTACCAGGGATACTGCAGCTCCCCACACATCAGGGATGCTGCAGCTCCCCACACACCCAGTTCCAATCACTGCTCCCTTCCAAAGATGGAGAGAGAAGATTCTCACACTGCTGTGCTTTTGAGCATTAGGCTTAGATTGAACCAGTTTTTGTTTGCTTTTCTAAACAATAAATTCTGACAGTCTCATATGTATATGTCTGTCTCCATCCTTCTCAGTCTACATCTGAGGCCCCCCTGTGGCTAGGCTCATGCTTCCTCCTCACCCTTCTCTCTTTATTTCTACCTCCCATGGCCTCAAGACTTCTCTGTCACTCTTAACTGGTCATCATATAAATATGAAATTCATTTAATCTTTTTTTTTTATTTTATATACCCTTCCCAAGTTACAAATGACTAATGGAATATTTTTATTCCTTTCTATTTCAAAAAAACAAACTAAGCAAAACCCCACCAACAATCCCACCACTGAGCTGCAGGGTCAGTGCAGCCCCTGAATCAGTCTTTACCACAGTGAGCCAGTAGATTTCCAAAGCCAGCTTCTCCATGTAGGAACATTCACTGATTACATCTATCATGCGATCAAAAAGGTTTCAGGTTTTCTCAGATATGGTAATCTCCAGGAGGAACACGGTTAGTGATGTAATAAAGGAAAGACAAGTGTATGAGATGTCCTCGTTCTCATGCCTCAGCGCCATGAGGAGTTTAGAGCACCATTCACGGAGCTCACCTAGGACTGAGCAGTCAGCCTTCTGGGCCTGTGTCCCTGGGAAATGCCTATTTGTGACTCACTTTCCAATTAAGCCAAGTTCCAACAGGTACTTTGGGTAACTTATTTTCATGAGCCTGGCAAAACTAAGCAAAATTTACCTCCTCTCTTCTCCTTACACACACATACTCATACTCCACAAAAGTTCTCAAAAGCTAAAATGGAATATTGTATATTTCACCTTCATATCCAAGAAGTATATTAACCATGCCCAGAGACTTCTCTTCATCATTCACTTCTGCTCTGAGGTTGGAGAGTATTAGCTCAATGACTGTGATGGTGTCCCCTTTGGAGAATGACAGATTACACAGTGACCCTGAAAGAGTTCATTTGCGTGGAAACATTTTCAAAAGCTGAAGTTATATTCCAACATTTGTATCTAATACTTCTATTGGTAAATGACAATTTTAAGAAAAAATTTGGTTATTCAAACTTGTTAAATATGACTTAAAGACAAATGGATTCTTCTCAAAAACAAAAACAGAAAAAGACCACTCTTTTGGTAAAACTAAACCTTTTATAAAGAGGCATTATTTTAAGTATGTCAGAATGTGTAATGCATCTTACATTTAAAATGATTTGAAATGATTTTCTTGCAATAAGTGACAATCATGATTTGCCTTGCCCAATGGGCAGAGTGGTCACCCCCATCATTTTCAGAAGTCAGCCCCATTTTTCCTGTTATAATAATGTAGGGAGAGTGTTGGATGGTTTTCTGCTGCGCAGGCAGAATTCTCACGAAGCATGAGAAAATGCCTATAGCATTGACATGATTTTTTTTTGTTACTATCAAGCCAACAAAAGATAATTTTTCAGGATCATGCTTATCTATGCCTTATATTTTGTGTGTCAAATTGCAGTAATTTCTTTTTTATTTTTTGAGATAGAGTCTCACACTGTCACCTGGGCTGGAGTGCAGTGGCGTGGTCTCGGCTCACTGCAACCTCTGCCTCCTGGGTTCAAGCCATTCTCCTGCCTCAGTCTCCCGAGTACCTGGGATTACAGGCGCCCGCCACCACGCCCAGCTAATTTTTTATATTTTTAGTAGAGATGGAGTTTCACCGTGTTGTCCAGGCTGGACTCGAACTACTGACCTCGTGATCTGCTCGCCTTGGCCTCCTAAGGTGCTAGGATTACAGGCATGAGCCACTGCGCCTGGCCCTTGCAGTAATTTCTTAGCAAAGTAAAAAATATTCACTGCTCAAAAGTAACATTGGGGTGGGTTTTTTTTCTTCCTTTCTAGGGAATCACTATATTTCAAATAGCCACTAGTGAATAGCGTCCCTCCCCATCCTCCTGTCAGATTTAAAAAAAAACCTGCACCTTCAATGAGCAGGAAATATGACAACATACACTGCATTTAAATTCAAGCAAAGAGAAAATCTAGAATGTACATTTCATTCTGCCCAGGGCTAAGGAAAGTACCTTAGCAAATAAATACGTCTTCCATAAACAGAGCACTTTTTCTTTCTTTTCCAATACTCTACCATCTTGGGAAAAGAAAAATGTTCTCCTAAAGTTGTGGTGTATTAAAAAGAAATAAGGACAGGGTATTTTTAAGCAAATTCATTCCAGTGAAAGGACAGTCAATTTTTCTGAGCACAGCATTGTTTTGAGGTGATCTAGAACATAGACTTCCTTCCCCTGCTCCTATTCCCGAAGTCCCACATCAAGGAACCTTAAGCAAGCCCACATTTCTTACCTGGAAAATAGTTTCCCCTGGTCACCTCCACTTATCCAGGCAAGGAGTTCTGGTTTAAGGAATTGATGTAAGAATTCCATGTTTGCTCCATGGCCGCTGAGCTGCTTTTCTCCTGAACGACAGTCAGCACCACTCAAGGAAATAAACTGAGAGCAGAAGTCGTCCCCTGTCAGCAGGTAATCAGCCGCATGACCCTGATGGTGACCGTGATAGGGAGACCGAGGAAGCAGCTCAGCTGGCTCAGGAGGAGTGCTGATTCACCCAGTGATCGAGGGTTGGGAGAGGGAGGACACCCACTGATCATCCGGAAAATGAAGTCAATCAGCTCTTGAAGAGTCTGTTGTTGACCAGAGTGTCCCAAACTCGAACGTACCTGAAATCACCCAGGGATCTCGTTAAGCTGCAGACTCCGATTCTACAGGTCTGAGTGGAGTCTGAGCATTGACATTTTCGGCAGGCTGCCAGGTGATGCTGATACTGCTGGGTCTGGGACCGCTCTTTGAGGAACAAGGTGCTAGAGATGTGAGTGCAACGGGGCACTACCCAAAGTGTGGTCCACAGACAGGCAGCATCAGCATCACCAGGGAGCTGAGCAGGATGTAGGTGATCAAGCCCCGCCCAGACCTATGGGGTCAGGATCTCTGCATGCAGGGTCCAGAAAGCTGTGTCTAACAAATGATCCAGGGGATCCTCGTGTATGATTAAAGTTTGAGAAACTGCTCTAGAGCTGTGCCACTCATGAGCACTCAGAGCGTGATCCTCAGTTGGGTCATCTCTGTACCCTAGAAGGTGACAGGGAAGCAGAACCTCAGGCTCTACCCAAGACTTTCTGAATCAGAGTCTGCATTTTAACAAGTCCTCCAGTGATAGGTCTGCACATTCAAGTCTGAAAAGCACTGCCCTAAAGAACTATTCCGAAGAGTGGCAACAGCCCTGAGCATTTGGTGGGGGGGACACGCCTTAAACCTGGGGGTGGCTGCCTGCAGCCTAGACCCCTGTGTCTGCTGAGAAGGTGTTCCACCAGCACCCACACAGCTCAGAGCTGAGCATCTCTGCCAGGCAAGACCAGGCCCAGGATGGTCACCTGCGTGCTGGGCTACAGCCCCCACCAGCACCAGCATTCAGCTACCAGTCACCAGGCCTTTCATTCAGCTACCAACTACCAGGCCTTTCTTTCAGCTACCAGTCACCAGGCCTTTCACCAGTTACCAGGCCTTTCATTCAGCTACCAGCTACCAGGCCTTTCATTCAGCTACCAGCTACCAGGCCTTTCATTCAGCCACCAGTCACCAGGCCTTTCATTCAGCTACCAGTTACCAGGCCTTTATCACTGACATTTTTTCTTCTTGATTTAAAGAGAAGAGTGATATATGTCTATTGTGGGAAATTAAAGCATAAAGAAGAAAAGTTCCCCATAATCCCTGATCCAGAAAGATCCATCATTGACACTTTGCTATCTTTTCTTCTAGTCTTTTTTCTACATGCTGTTAGAATTCCACTTTTTTTTTCACTTGATACTTTTTAGGCTTTAAAACATAATTTTAATTCCTACAAATGCTCAACAGAAATAGCAGAAATTAATAAATTTTCTCATACTAATGTTAGACATTTGGGATGTTAAAAATTTTCTTTCTATACATGCAAGGAAGATCTTTATATTCATTTCTTATTTCCTTTGGATAGAGTCCTACAACTGTAATTACAGTAATTACTGTGCAAAATGGTTTTATTATTTGTAAGACTTACATTATCTATTGCCAAGTTGCTTTTCAGAAAGTTTTAAGTAATTGAAAACCTCACTTGTACATCAGGGTGCCCATCTCTCCTTGCCCTCACCAGCTTTGAATACTACTGGTTTTGGAATATTTGCCAATATGATGAAAAATAATATGTCGTTGTTGCTTTCATGTTTCTTTATGTAGTGATGGGCATTTGTTCATGTCTATAGCCAATTACGGTAGGAACAGAACTTGTAAGAGCCATATATCCTAAGAAACTTGACTGTTTTCCATGTCTCCTCTTGAAAAACTCCCTCTGCCAGATGTGGAGAAATAGGAACGCTTTTACACTGTTGGTGGGAGTGTGAATTAGTTCAACCATTGTGGAAGACAGTGTGGCAATTCCTCAAGGATCTAGAACTGGAAGTACCATTTGACCCAGCAATCCCATTACTGGGCATATACCCAAAGGATTATAAATCATTCTACTACGATAAAACCACATGCACACGTATGTTTATTGTGGCACTATTCGCATAGCAAAGACTTGGAACCAACCCAAATGTCCATCAATGCCATCAATGATAGACTGGATCAAGAAAATGTGGCACATATATACCATAGAATACTATGCAGCCATAAAAAACGATGAGTTCATGTCCTTTGCAGGGACATGGATTGAGCTGGAGGCCATCATCCTTAGCAAACTAACACAGAAACAGAAAACCAAATACTGCACGTTTTCACTTATAAGCGGGAGCTGAACAATGAGAACACATGGACAGAGGGAGGGGAACATCACACACCAGGGCCTATTGGGTAGGAGGCTAGGGGTAACATTAGGAGAAATACCCTAATGTAGGTGATGGGTTGATGGGTGCAGCAAGCCACCAGGGCATGTGTATACCTATGTAACAAAACTGCATGTTCTGCACATGTAACACAGAACTTAAAGTATAATAAAAAAAGAAAGAAAGAAAAATTCTGTCCGCCTCTGGGCATCCAGTGGCTATGTCCAGTCTTTTTCTGAGGGGTCCCCTCAACCCCAGAGCATGCCCTTGGGCAGGCCTGTATCTACCTGGCCCTGGTCACAGGCAACTCCTTCCCAGCCCACCCAGCTGCTCATTGGCCCAGTCACTGTAGCCCATCTCTTTCCCCAGGACTCTGCAATCTCAGGTGAGTGTCAGCAGGGCCCCTGATAATCCCCAAAATTGCATGTGTATGCACTCCAGCGCAGGTACAGATTAGAAAAAGATGTCTGGGGTGTGCAAGGCTTGGTGAAGGGAACTGGCTGGATTTCAGCCCCCACCTACCTGTTGGCCACGTGGCTTCATGCAGCGTCTACCAGCCCAATGCTACAAGGCATCCCCAAGGAGAAGCTCTCTCTGCGGGTTCTTTGTGAAGCCTCTCATTAGTTCTGAGTGCCAGCAATGCCACTCTACAGGAATCCCTTTCTCCAACTTTTGCATTTCAACAACTTTTACCTTGAAGTGGGCACTGAGCTAAGCACCTTCTTTTGGAACGAGGAAGTTACTGAACCAGACACTCACTGAAACCTCCTGCGGCACATGTTTGCTCTCTGGTCACTTGCTCCATTCTAAAGCCAGGTTTTCTGTCATTGTCTCTGTTTGTTCCCATCCCCTCCTTCCTCTCAGCTGTTGCTTGTGGCCTCAGAGCTGTCACCAGCCCACTTCTTGCTCAGGGAGGAAGCAGCTGCCATATCATGACTGTGCAGGTGTCTGCTTTGAGCCTGAGAAGAAGGACAAAGAGAAGAGGGCAGGATTGCTGGCTTAGGGAGAAGAACAACCAGTGAAGAGAATCTACTTGTCTTGGAGTAACAACTGGAAAAATGGAGACGTCAAGGGCCATCAGGTGTAAATGACAGTCTCCTAGGAGAGGAACTCAATAGCAGAGCTTCTTGCTAGTGTTAAAGATTATTAACAATGATCAGAAATGATGGCTAGTGTTCTCAACTCTGCCACCAAGACACCTCCATCTGAGAGGCATGCATCTGAGACCACAGGATCTAAGAGTAGTAAAGTCTATCCTACTGCCACTGGTAGGTAAAAAATATTTGTAGACAATAGTTAGGATGATGCTTTGTTCTATAATTTTAGCTTCTAAATGAATTGCCATGCTGTTTATAATCAACACCAAAAGTAGCATCCTCTCAGTAGCAACCTCATCTGTCTTTTGTACACATGTCCCAAGGTAGGCGGTGGGTCTGCTGGACTCCCGTGTGAGAGAAGAGGGAGAAGCTTCCTGGGGGAGACAGAGCACTCACCTTCCTGAAACCACTTTGAGTGTTTACTTTACTCCAACTTTCTCCTAAAAATGGCATTGGGTTTCTGTGTCGATGATTGTATCAGAAGGTTATGGGGGAAAAACATCTCTTCACAGACTTCCTTAACACTGAACATAAACAGCTCACTCAAGCAGCCATGAGCCTGAAATATAAGCCCAAGTCCAGAGAGGATGCCCAGAACCATTCCCACTAATGGACAGAGTCTAACAACACAACGTAAAACAAGTAAACTCTTAATGGGAAGGATCAGGTAACTGGGTTGATCCTTTGGTCGCTGCATGCAAATTTCTTTCTTTATGGGAAGCAACTTTCAATCAAATAAAAAAGATATAAACTAAGTAATCAAAGTGAACGTGAGCCCTCTTAGTGGCTGAATCATACCTGGGCACGAGTTCTGTAGGTGTGGATTCCTGCATAAACCAGAATTTCATGCAAATAAAACAATATTGTAACTGATAACTATTTTTATCAAAAAGAGTTTTCCTTGTAGCAAAGTTGTTGTTATTGTTGGTTTTCAAAATTTTCAACACAGTCCAGAGATGGGTGTCTTATTTGTGTTTCAGATATTGTCAGTTTTATGCTTGACAATTATAACGATTTCAATTCATCATAAAATTCTCCCTCACCAAACAGTGGCATTAAGTATAACACAGAATTACAGGAGAGCGTAGTAACACAAGGAAAGGTGAAAGATTTGTCAATCACAGAGTCATTGGAACCACCATCTTTGAAGAGTGTTTAAGTTCTGTGTAGAGGTGTTGGGGTCTTTTATGAAAAGCAGAGGCCTGGCCAGGAAGTCAGGACGACCACTACCCATGTCCTGAGAAGGTGACCCAAATTCACTCACATGAGGGTATGTCCAGAGAGATGTGATCTGCAGAAACCCATGGTGCATGAAAAAAGGAAAGTGTGGCCAAGCTGTAAGAGTGCAGCTCTGCATGGTGGAGTCAACTGCATGCCTGCCTATGACAAGTGGTGGCAGGGATTCTGCAAGGTGCTCCCAGGAGTGAAAGGCCCCAATTTTTCATTTGACATTTGGTCACATTTCACCTGTGTGATATAGAAGTCTCAACTGCAGAAAGACCAAAGGAACTGGGAGACAAGAAATCCCAGAAGGAAATGACCAATCAGAGGTAAGATGCGTTTCCACCTTGGCCAAATTTAATTCCAAGTCCCAGAGTTCTTGTGCGAAAATGACTTTGGACTATTCAGAGACCTGAAGAGGGTCTGAGGAAGCCAGTCAGTCCCACAGTCTCTCTGGACCCTGGAGCAGGGAAGGGAATCTTTTTGGTCCCTACAGAAGGAATAACTGCTCTTTTATTCTGGACATTAGTGTATTATTCTTACAGAAAGTGTGGTTACCAAACACCACAGCCATTTCTGCTCCTTTTCCCTGTGGGAAGCCACTTTGCTCACTGAAGGCAGCCAATACGAATTCTTGCCTTTCCAGGTACTTTTGCAGTGAGGAAGGGCCATGTGACCCAGCTCTGGCCAATGGGATGAAAGGAAAGTCTATGATGGGAATGCTTGGTTTCCTCCTAAGAGGCAGCTTCTTCCTCTCATGCTCCAAACTTGCATGTGTCTGGGGCAGCCACCTTGTGAACACGAGGCAACAAACATGAAATGAAAAGAACCCAAGGATAGCAGAGCCCAGAGATGGAGCCAGCTGAAGGCCTCGGTGACACCCCTGAGCAGTTGAACCCACGCCCAAGCTTCCTGTTTCCAATCTTCTTGTTAATGATAAAAATAAATTCCTCTTTAACCAGCAGTTCATTAGGCTTTCTGTTGTTTTTGGCTAAACACACCTGTCTAATTCACTTACTAACTTTCTTGAAATGCAGACTTTACTTCTTACATGTATATGTGTTTCTCTACACACAGAGAAGTACGTGGAAAGATAGAAATCAAGCCAATAATTTTGGTTATATTGGAAGTATAGGGGGAGATCAAATGTGGAAGAAGGAGATAAAACAGAAAAAGAAAAATTTTCAAAGAAAAATTTTTTTCTATTTTAAAAATTTTTTAAAGAAAAAATTTTTTACATTTAAAAAATTTTTAAAGAAAATTCTTTTAAATTTAAAACATTTTAAAGAAAATTATTTGTAATTTAAAAAATTTTTAGGGAAAAATTCAAGCCAATTAAGAGTAAAATTTAATTAAAAATTTTAAAAGAAAATAACTTTAGAAGATCATAAATAATATATATCTTTCATTGGTAACACTGTTGATATTGATAAATACTTGGAAATAATTGTTTAGCTAAAGAGGTTTCGTATTTGCAAAAAACAAAAGTCTCTGAAGCCACTAACAAATGTTGACGTGTATATGTTGTTAAAGGGATGTTTGTGTGTGTGTGTGATATACGTATGTATGTACATATATTTTATATTTATGTTTTATATAAACAAATGTAGTAGAATCCTATCTTTATGTCTGAGTGCAGGGAAGCAGCTTTGTTGGATGGATGTGTGCCAAAATGATAATAGTGGTCTCTCGGTTGTGGTGTTTTGGGTCATTTCCCCCAATAGCTTGTTTGCCTGAATATTCTAGTTTTTCTGCATTAGCTTGTATTTCTTCTATAATATGGAAAATTAGGAAAAAGTCAAACATGACCTCTAGACCTCTAGAAGAGAGCTTGTTCCTCCAGCAGAATCAGAGCAGCTCAGAAGGGACGGGGAAGGAGCCTGAGGGAAGCTGTGGGTGCTGGAGATGCGGTCTCTGGAACTCGGCCTCACACTGCTGAGCAGAGACGGCCCGTGCAAAGACCCCATCTAGGTACCGACCTGTCAGGCATGATGACAGGATTAATCAGATTTTAAAATTGCCTGATAAAAGTCTATTAGCTCCTTAGAGATATTCAGGATGTAAATTTAAGGTGTTATTATATTATTATGGCTTTCCCATCCTGGCTGGCGCTGAAAAATCAAGACTATTAAATATTATAGGCCTTACGTTCTATTTTTACTATTGAAGTACTGGATAATAAATTTAAATAGGAGAGACTGAAAAGTAAGATGACCTCTTTCCTACCAATTGTAACAGTTGAGAATTCAGCTCTAAACTTTGAAAACTGTGTATCTTTTTTCCAAGGGAGAAAAATGACTTAGAAATTGAGATTCATGTAGAAGGTGGTAAAAACAGCCTGTCTAGGAGCTGATCCTCCTTGGGAAATTTCACTGAATGAAACTTGTTGGTGGCTAGTCTTAGCTGAACTAGAATTTTTTCCCCTGTGTCTTTCCATCAAGTCTAAGTACATATCTGTCTTTTTCGTATCTGTTTCAAACATGATTTTTAAATATTGGAGAAATATTTCTTTCCTTTTAAAGATGCTTGTTTCAAGTGAAAACCTAAAGTTTTTTCCCCCAGCATTTAATGCATAATTTTGTAGGTTAGTCTCATTTGCAGATTTTAGAAAATGCCTTTTTTTCTTCTCCAAGTGTTAAAGCAATTTAGATTAATGGGCCTCGGACTCTTTGATACCCATTTCAAGGCATTTAAAAATCCATAGAAGACGCTACCCTTTCATATGTGGTAAGTAAAAATCTTGGCAGATGAAAGACTCTTTTTTCCTTTTTGTTTTTGCACAAAAGAAAATCCTTGGAGCCACAGAAAAACTGCAGAGGTGAGAGGGAAAATCTTCGTATTGTAGTTTTCTTTCTCCCTGCTTCAGCACCCTACCCCTGGCGGCTGCTTGTAGGAAGTGGGAAAGACCTCGGTGACACCACTGAACAATTGAACCCACACCCAAGCCAGGATGGGGCCGGCTCTGCAGGCAGGGAACAAAGGAAGACAGGCTGGCCCCACGGTGACCCATACTCAACCTCTGCACCTCACGATCACCACTGTAGCTCCCGAAACCAAACATTTACTGAGCATAATATTCCATGTTCTAGTCCACCCATCAGCTCATGGGGACTCTATGAGCACGAATGTTAGGGATGGCTACTAATGAGCAATGCAGGCCCCTGGAGGGTAAGCTGATTCTGAGAACCCTGAGTGGTGCTGACCGCACATGGGGCAGGGCCTCTGTGGCCCTGACTCCTGGGCAGGAGCCCCAAGCTGGGAGCATAGCATGTGGGGTGGAGGTGGGGCTGTCTGTTCCTGTCACTCCTTTTTGACCAAGGCCTCTCAGATACCCCTGATGGCGCGTGTGCTTGGAGGGAAGGAAAGGGAGGCCTTGCTAGGCTGCGGGCATGGCTCCAGCTTGGCGTGCATGTGTGTGTGAGTGTGTCTCTGTGTATGCACTTGGGTCCATTTGTCTTATTTACCAGTTATTGAGGATGGTTATTGAGGGCAAGAAAGAAAAGAGGCAAAGAAGTCACATAGTGTTTTCCCGTACTTGGCCATAGACTCAATCTTTTTCTTTTCTTTGATTGAGACAAATGCCAGGATGTTGGTAAATTTCGTGCCTATATTGGGGGAACATCCCTCAGCCAAACACCCAAGGAGGGCTGTAATGAGCCGTGAGTGGAGGGCTGCTTGCTGGAGAGGGAGGGCTTCTGAAGGGGCCATGTTTACTCCTCCTGGCTTAGGGCCTGGGATGTCCCCCGTTAGTGTCACTGTGGCTGTGACCACACTGATAAGAATTCAGGCATAAAAGTTCACTCTGAGGTTCCTGATATTAACACCACCAAGGACACATTTTATTGCTTTTCTCTCCGAGGACATCACATGTTGAAATATTTTGTTCATCCAATTGCATGTTAGAACTAAAGTCACCTTCCGGGACCTCCAAAAACTGGAAATTAATTATAATCTATTTAATTTTGCTGAAAGGTTTTTGAATTTTAAAACACCAAGTAATTTTTTTCTTTTTATGTTAATCAAAAACATATAAAGAATTCTAGGAAGTTGAAGTAATAGCATCTGGATTAATCTGAATCTCCCAACATATCCTCCAAAAATCAGTAGACAACAACAGGAAGGTCAGACGAGGTGATGTGAAGCCCAACCCTCAGCACATGTAGGAGATGGAGAATTCACAAACTTTAAGCTGCTGGAGAGTGGAGCAATGAACACCAAATCTCAGCAAGCCATTTCCCATGTCCGGGTCTCAAGACAATGGAAAGCAAGGGCGGTATGGGAAAAAGGGAATGGAGGAGAGGAGAGTCCGCCTAGTGGTGGGTCTGAGACTGACCCAAGATTACTGCCCACAGGAGAGGCTCCTACGCCAAAAATACAAAGTGACCTGTCTCCAAGGGCATCACTTCTAGGGCAGAAGCTAAAAGGAAGGAAGATTCTTTGGAAGACAGGGCATAAGTGGGAAGCTTTAGGACTCTGAAGGGCAAGAGAGAAGCAAAAAACATTCGCATAACCCTTCGCCCATGCCCCTCCAAAACAAGCCACCCATTAAAGAAACCACACTTTCCTACGCTGACAGAGAGGGGCCCTTAACTAGTAGTCTTGTAACCCATCCCATAAAATGAATAGGCAGAGCAAACTAAATATATATAAACCTAGTTTAACAACGAGAACCTCTCAGTGCATCAAACTCTTCCTCCCCCAAATGATCACAAAGCAGAAGACAACAGTCACGTTACACTCAAAATTCAGTGAGATCTCATCAAACAAACATTTCAGGATAGAAAATATCATCTTCAATCAGAAATTAAAAAGCTTAAACCAGAAAGACAAAAATAGAAAGAAATAAAGAGAGTTGATTGATCTCAGGAAAGAAAATGAAAAAGACAAAATGATCTCAGGAATAAAAAATACATTCCCAGTTGCACAAGGGATAATAGACAGAAATGAAAATTTAAGAAGAAGCATTGAAGGAAGGCAGGAGAGTAGCTAAAAAATACAAATAAGCTAAAGAAAGAAGAAAAAAGTTCAGAGAGAAAGCAACTGAAATGGAAGAAGCAGACAATATATGTAATTGAAGACCATGAAGAAGAAAAACAAAATGCTGGAACAAAGTTTATATATCAAACTACTACATTGCAAGAAAACCTTTTGGAATTATGAGGAAACTGAAATCTCAATACTGAAGGGGGCCACTGAGTACCTGGATAAACCAAAAATCATCAACTCTGAGACGTATCCCAGTGAAACTATTAGAATTTAAAGATAAAGAAAAAAATCCTGGCAGGGTGCGGTGGCTCAACCTGTAATCCCAGCACTTTGGGAGGCTGAGGCGGGTGGATCACCTGAGGTCAGGAGTTCAAGACCAGCCTGGCCAACATGATGATACCCTGTCTCTACTAAAAATACATAAAACCAGCCGGGCATGGTGGCAGATGCCTGTAATCCCAGCTACTCAGGAGGCTGAGGCAGGAGAATCCCTTGAACCTGGGAGGCAGAGGTTGCAGTGAGTCAAGATCGTACCACTTCACTCCAGCCTGGGCAACAAGAGTGAAAACTCCATCTCAAAATAAAATAAAATAAAATAACCTTCAAGGACAAGAGAATAAGACTGGTATCAGATTTCCCAAAAACAACGTACACGTATGTCAACAACTAAGCAGTATTTTCCAACAGAGTCATGGAAAATATGTACAAAATATTTTATATCAAGTGAAGCTATGCTTAAAGTATGAAGGTTATAGAAAAAGAGTTTTAAACAAACAAAAATATAGAGAATTCTCTGTGAGCCTCTCTTGAGGAATCAACTACAGGATGAACTTCATTCAACCAACATCTGAATGGGAAAACTTCAACAGAAGTATTTATAATAAGCACTTAATAGTCATTTGTAGATCCATGAATAAAAATAATTCAGAACAAGGGTGGAGGAATAGTATTTTATATGTTGTATGTTATATGCCATGTGTCATATATTCTGTGAATAATAAGAAATATGTATCTGTTGATCTTTGCCCCCAGTTCCTGAGACCAAACTCCTACTAAAACCCTTGTAGACAGATGCTGAGATAATCTTTTGTTCTAATATTTGGCTTCGATCTTGGATCCTGACACAGAGCTGCTGAATCATTTGGAATTTCCTGGGCAGTAGGAGCGTCTTTTGTTCCAATGAGGTGACTCTTGGTGGACTCCTGGATTGGGGATCGTCATCAGAAAGGCCACACCGTAATGAGAAGCTTGGAACGTTCACCTCCATCTTTCAACCTCCGGGAAAAGGAGAGGAGCTGGTTATCGAGTTAATTGTTGATCACACCTACATGATGGGTGAAGCCTCCATAAAACACCTGAACTATGGGGTTTAGAGAGCTTCAGGGTTGAACACATCTGTGTGCTGGGAGGGTGGTGCACCCCAACTCCCTGATGACAGGAGCTCCTGCACTCACGACCCTTCCAGACCTCACCCTATTGCGCCTCTTTACCTGAATTTCATCTCTGTCCTTTGTCACATCCTCTATTAATCTCATAAGCTTGTAAATGTGTTTCTCTGAGTTCTGTGAGCCTTCCTAGCAAATTAACCAAACCCAAAGAGTGGGTCATGGGAACCCCAATTTATAGCCAATCAGTAAGACATATAGGTGACAACCTACTACTTGGAATTAGTGTCTGAAATGGGTGCAGTCTTGTGGGTCTGAGCCCTTAACCTGTGCGATCTGACTCTAAATCCAGGTAGGTGGTGTCAGAATGGAGTTGAATCATAGGACACCCAGCCAGTGTCTCTGGAGAATTGCTTAGTGTGTGGGGAATGCACTTCTCACCCCATTTTAGTGACCAGAGCTGTTCTGTGTTGTGTTGGCTGTGTGAGAAAAGAAAAAGTGCTTATTTTTCCGGTAGGGAAATAATGCAACTAAAAGTGGGAGGAGAAGGGAGCAGAAAAGGAAAAAGCAGAACAATATCATTGACTGTGACACCAGCAGTTGGTGGATACCATTAAAAACCAGCAAGCCACAGCAATTGTGGTCAATCTCGTGGATGAGTGTTCAAGAGTACAACAGACACATTTCAGTATAGTATTAAATAATTTATTGAAAACAATTAAAAGCCACGTGGTAAAAGATAAAAATAAACTAACAAGGGACTAGTGGCATTTAAAACGTTGTGAGTACAAATATAACTACTAGAGCACAACTTTTTTTTTTAACAAGTATTTTAAATTCAGGGGTACATGTGCAAGGTTGTTGAATAGGTAAACTTGAGTCATGAGGGTTTGTTGTACAGATGATTTCATCACCCAGGTATTAAGCCTAGTAACCATTAGTTATTTTTCCGGATCCTCTCCCTCCTCCCACCCTCCGCCCTCAGGTAGGGCCCAGTGTCTGTTGTTCCCTTCTATGTGTCCATGTGTTCTCATCATTTAGCTCCCTCTTATAAGTGAAAACGTGCAGTATTTGGTTTTCTGTTTCTGTGTCAGTTTGCTAAGGATGATGGCCTCCAGCTCAATCCATGTCCCTGCAAAGGATATGATCTCATTCTTTTTATGGCTGCATAGTATTCCATGGTGTAAATATACCACATTTTCTTTATCTAGTCTATTACTGATGGGCATTTGGATTGATTCCATGTCTTTGCGATTGTGAATAGTGCTGCAATGAACATACATGTGCATGTGTCTTTATAATAGAATAATTTATATTCATTTGGGTATAGACCCAGTAATGGGATTGCTTGGTCGAATGGTAGTTCTGTCTTTAGGTCTCTGAGGAATCACCACACTGTCTTCCACAATGGTTGAACTAATTTAAACTCCCACAAACGGTGTATAAGCATTCCTTTTTCTCTGCAACATTGCCAGAATCTGTTACTTTTTGACTTTTAGTAATAGCCATTTTGACTGGCCTTAGATGGTTTCTCCTTGTAGTTTTGATTTGCATTTCTCTAACCATCAGTGATGTTGAGATTTTTTCATATGATTGGGCTGGCTGCATGTATGTCTTCTTTTGAAAAGTGTCGGTAGAACAACACTTGAAACCTTCCTAAATCCCAAAAGAAATTGTTTTAAAAACTAAAAGAGCAAAATAAACTCATCACAAAGAAGAAGAAACACAGCACTTTCAACACAATGTGGTAATTTTAACATAAAGTAGTATGACGGAGCTGAGACCAAACGCTGACTTCTGGCCTCCAGAACTGTGAGAGAATAAACGTCGGCTGCCTAAACCATCCATTTTGGGGTACTTTGCTACAGGAGCCCTAGAAAACTAATACAATAACTCACAATCAATAAATCAATACCTCCATTCAAAAAGTAACCAAACAGATAAACTACTAGCTAACTTAGAAAAAAAGAGGGGGTAGAAAGCATAAATAAATAAACTAAGAAACGGCAACAAGGAAATAACTTGACATGAAAGAAGTTTAATAAGCATTAGATCACTTACAGGCTGAGTTGAAAGGGATAATTTCCTTAAAAAATAGAGTTTACCAAAATTGATCCTATTAGAGACAGAAAGTTATCAAGGAACTCTTACACAAAAAAGGCATCAGACCCGTATGGTCTTATAGGATAATTCTACCAAAGTTTCAAAGACCAGGTATTCCCAATGCTTTTTTTTTTTTTTTCCGCCCATTTTAGAGATGGAATTTTAGAGATGGAATTTTTAGTAAATGATACTGAGACAACTGGTTAACCACTTGAAAAAAGATAAAAATTAGATCCACACCTCATACCACACACAAAGATAAACAAGGTCTTGAAGGTACAAACTTAGGTTTGAGCAAATATTAAGCTTGCTCTTGGATAGGGCAACTCAGCAATATAAAGATGTTAGTCCTCTCTATTTTAATTTATACATTTAACACAATCCCAAGAAACTTTTAAAACCCTGACAAGTTGATATTAAAGCTTATATGCTAAATAAACATGACTGGATGTGGTGGCTCATGCCTTTAATCCCAGACCTTGGAGAAGCCAAGGTAGGAGGATTACTTGAGGCCAAGAGTTCTAGTCCAGCCTGGGAAACATAGCAAGATTCCAGCTGATACGGTTGGCTCTGTGTCCCCACCCAAATCTCATCTTGAATTGTACTCCCATAATTCCCACGTGTTGTGGGAGGGACCCGGTGGGAGATAATTTGAATCATGGAGGCTGTTTTTCCCATACTGTTCTTGTGGTAGTGACTAAGTCTCATGAGATCTGATGGGTTTATCAGGGTATTTTTTTGCATCTTCTTCATTTTCTCTTGCTGCTGCCATGTAAGAAGTGCCTTTCACCTCCCGCCATGATTCTGAGGCCTCCCAAGCCGTGTGGAACCCTAAGTTCAATTAAACCTCTTTTTCTTCCCAGTTTCTGGTATGTGTTTATTAACAGCATGAAAATGGACTAATACACCATCTCTGTAAAAAATAAAAAATAAAAATAAAAATTAGCCAGGTGTGGTGCTGCACACCTGTAGTCACTGCAACTCGGGAGGCTGAGGTCAGAGGATCACTTCAGCCCAGGAGTTCATGGCTGCAGTGAACTATGATTGCGCCGCTGCTCTCCACCCTGGGCAACACAGCAAAACACTGTCTCTAAAACAAGCAAATAAATATGCAGGGATAGCCAAAACATATATATGAGGGAGGCTAGCCCTATCAGACATTGAAACATACTATAAAGCCTCAACAATTGAAACTCTCATATTGTTGCACGAGTAGGCAGAAAGACCTATTGAACAGAACACACACACCAGAAATAGACCAAACTACATATGAAAATTTAGTATATGATAAAGGTGGCATCTTAAATCACTTGTGGCAGAGATGGAATTTTTAGTAAATGATACTGAGACAACTGGTTAACCACTTGGAAAAAGATAAAAATTAGATCCATACCTCATACCACACACAAAGATAAATAAGGTCAGGAGTCCAAATGTAAAAACTGAAACCACACAAGAGCTAGAAGAAAACATTGATGAATTTCTCTGTAACTTATTACCTGGATGTAGGGAAAAGCTTTCTATGTCTCAAAATCTAAATGAAATGAAAGAAAAGATTGATAAGTTCAACGACATAAAAATGAAAATAACTTTTGCATATCAAAAGAAAATGAAGATCTGGGAAAAAAATTTGCAGCATATATAAGAAAAGTCTAATATTCCTAATATATATATCTGAGAGAAAAATGGGCAAATACATGAACAAATAATTAACAAAAATATGTTAAAATGTTCCTTAAATATATGAAAAAAGACTCAACATCACTGTTAATAAGAGGACAAATTAAAACTAATTAAAATATATTATTTCTCGGGCTGGGTGCCGTGGCTCATGCCTGTAATCCCAGCACTTTGGGATGCTAAGGCGGATGAATCACAAAGTCAGGAGATCGAGACCATCCTGGCTAACACGGTGAAACCCCGTCTCTACTAAAACTACAAAAAAATTAGCCTAGCGTGGTGGCGTGTGCCTGTAGTCCCAACTACTTTGAAGGCTGAGGCAGGAGGATTGCTTGAACCCAGGAGGCCGAGGTTGCAGTGAGCCAAGGTTGCACCACTGCACTCCAGCCTGGGTGACAGCGAGACTCCATCTCAAAAAAAAAAAAAAAAGAAGAAATATATTATTTCTCACATATTTATTAGATCTGCAAAGGTAAAAAGTATAAAAGCACACTGTTAGCAGGGCTGTGGGGCTGAAGGATTTTCTTCCAAACTGACTCATGTGGCTGTCAGCAGGCTTCAGTTTTTTGTGTGTATTACTCCATTCCTCATCATGCCCCTCAGGATCCTCCAGAGGACTGGTTACAATATAGCAGCTTGTTACCAGCAGCTTGAAAATTGAGGGAGGGATGGAGAGAGATTGAGAGAGAGGGGAATTGGTAAATGTAATACAATGTTAACTTTTGAGGAATCTGGGTTAAGTGTATATGAGAATTCTTTGTTCTATTCTTGCCATTTTTCAGCAGTCTGAAATTTACTTCACGTTGTTATCTGTTTGCTTGCTTTTTGTTTTTCAGAAATGATTCAGGAACTATACAAAAGCTATTGAAGGGCAAGTTGGAGCCTCTGATCCTCATTTGATTATCAGAGCTGCCACACAGACTTGGGGTAAATTGAGCAGTTTTGGCTTACTGCTTCTAAACACATGATTTTATTATACAATTTTTAAATACTGACCATTGGAGAACTTCAGAAGGACCAGGGGTCTCAGACTGTGAACCACAATTAGTACCCTCACCTTGCAGATGAAGACACAGAGGGGATGTCTGCCCCTTGTCCTGGAGGGAGGTTTTTGGGGATAGTGACTGACTGCTGACAACTAAGGGGCTGGGGTGGGGATGGTGACTGAGCTGCCTAAGGGGCTGCCACCAGTTCTGATCTCTACCCCACAATGACCTTGCGGTGGGCTGAGACCTCAAGTGGCCCGTCCTCTCTTCTTGGGGGAGAGGGGATCCTCACTCCCAGGTAGTTCACAGCCAGGTAAGGTTGGCAGGATTCTAAAGATGTCCCCCTAGATTCCCATCACTGGTTATCCAAACAAACACTAATCTAGGTACTGCTTTAATGGGGTTTTGTAGATGCAATTTCTGGATTTTCCAGACAAGCCCAAACTGACCACTTGGCCCTTAAAAGCAGAGAAATTTCTGTGGCTAGAATCAGAGAGATTCAGTGAAAGAGAAAAGCAGGAGAGATGAGGAAGGTAGGGGATCAAAAAGACTCACAGCTTTTGATTTGCTGCTGCCAGCTTTGAAAGGGGTGAGAAGCCAGACAGCATGAGTGGCTCTAGAATCTAAGGACCAGACCTGGTTGAGCACCCACAAGAAAACAGTCCTACACCCACACAGAACTGAATCCCACCACAGCCTATAACCCTGGACACGGATTATAGAGACTTCCAGAAAAGGACACAGCCCTGCCACCACCTTGATTTTGGCCTTGTGAGAATCTGAACAGAAAACCAGTTGAGCCACACTGTGCTCAGACTTCTGACCCGCAACGTGTTAGCCCAATCTTGCGTCACTCTAAAGAAATACTTGAGACGGGGTAATTTATAAGGAAAAGAGGTTTAATTGGTTCATAGTTCTGCAGGCTATACAGAAAGCATGGTGCTGGCATCTGCTTCTGGTGATTCTTCAGGAAGCTTACAATCATGGCAGAAAGCAACAGGAGCCACAGCAAGAGCAAGAGAGAGGGTAGGGAGGTGCCACCAGCTTTTAAACGAGCATATTTCCTGTGAACTCAGAGCGAGAACTCACTCGTCACCAAGGGGATGGTGCCAGGCCATTCACGAGGGATCTGCCTCCGTGGTCAAAGTACCTCCCATCAGGGCCAACCTCCAACACGGGAGGTTACATTTCAACATGAGATTTGAAGGGGACAAACATCCAAAGCATACTACATAAGAACTGTGAATTAAAAATGGGGGTTGATTTAAGCCATTAAATTTGTGATAATTTACTACAGAAGCAATAGAAAAAAAATGCATAGGCCAGGTAATTGGGAGAGCGTGGGCTAGGGTTGGGGAGATCCAGTAAGTAGCCCTGGGGCTCTCTCCTCTCTACAGAGCAGTTACAACAGCACTGCCTTGGGCCAAGTGCTCCTCAAATACTCACCATGATGATGATGGCCACCACAATGACACAGGAAGATCCAGCTTGGTGTGAGATCCCCAAGCTGCAGCTCTTCCGTCTACAAAATCACTCTAAATTCACCTTCATCAGCCCTTCTTCCCATGACAATAATCTCAGTAACACTCCACTAGTCAGTTAGGAAAATTCTGGAGTGTCCCTGGGTGCAGGGCCTTGAGGGAAAACATTCAGGGAGAGGATCTGAGGAGGCTCAAAGAAATGGAGCCAACAAGGCCTCCCTGTATCTGTATCTGGGGCTCTTTGTCTGTTGAGGTGGCTGCTGAACTGTAATTTTTAATTTTTAAAAAATTATATTGATTTTTGGCTGGGTGTGGTGGCTCACGCTTGTAATCCCAGCACTTTGGGAGGCCGAGGTGGGTGGGTCACGAGGTCAGGAGATCAACACCATCCTGGCTAACACGGTGAAACCCCGTCTCTATCAAAAATACAAAAAAGTAGCCGGGCGTGGTGGTGGGCACCTGTAGTCCCAGCTATTTGGGAGGCTGAGGCAGGAGAATGGCATGAACCTGGGAAGTGGAGCTTGCAGTGAGCAGAGCAGAGGTCGTGCCACTGCACTTCAGCCTGGGCGACAGAGCAAGACTCCATCTCAAAAAAAAAACTATATTGATTTTTATTTATTTTAAAGTTGGGTCAAGGGGAATATGCCATCAAAGATGTGGGGGAGTAGTGTGCATATGTTTTATGACTGTCCAAAGGTCATAAGTCAACAAATGTCAAGGATGTTGCTTAAGGTGTCTTCAGCTGCTCTGAGCAATGCCTTGGCCCCCACTTTGTGTGAGCTCTGCAGGACCAAAGGTGGAGTTCACTCAAGCAACTTTGTAGTCCTAGGCCTCAGTTCCCTCATCTGTTGATATTGTTTGGCTGTGTCCCCACCCAAATCTCATCTTGAATTGTAGCTCCCATACTTCCCACGTGTTGTGGGAGAGACCTGGTTGGAGATAATTGAATCACAGGGGCAGGTCTTTCCCATGCTATTCTTCTGATAGTGAATAAGTCTCACAGGATCTGATGGTTTTATAAAGGACAGTTTCCCTGCACAAGTTCTCTTCTCTTGTCTGCTGCCATGTGAGACATGACTTTCATCTTCTGCCATGATTGTGAGGCCTCCCCAGCCACGTGGAACTGTGAGCCCATTAAACCTCTTTCTTTTGTAAATTGCCCAGTCTCGGGTATGTCTTTATCAGCAGCATGAAAACAGACTGATGTATCTGTAAAATGGGGAGGGGGTAAAATAAAAATTCTAAGATTTTTTTGACCTTTAAAACTCTGTGGTTTCTACGTTTGGCCAAAATGTCACCCTTTACATCCTCATCAGTCACCAGATCTGTTTCTGGTGTGACCAGAGGGTAGGCCCTGTATTATAGCCCCATCCTCCACTCTTTGTGGTCTCACGCATTTATAAGATCTTTCTTTGTTCCTTCTTTTTGAGCAAATAGGTAAATATCTTTGTGGCCTAGGGCAGATTCCTGACCACAAACTTGGTGGGACTGATTGTGGATCGATCTCTGGATCTCTGAGGTCTCTTCCAGCTATCAGATTTATGACCCATTCTTTCCGGCTACGAATGGCCAACTGTTGGTGTCAAAAATATATTTCAGAGGCCAGGCGTGGTGGCTCATGCCTGTAATCCCAGCACTTTGGGAGGCCAAGATGGGCAGATCACGAGGTCAGGAGATCAAGACCATCCTGGCTAGCAGGGTGAAACCCTGTCTCTACTAAAAATACAAAAAAATTAGCCAGGCCTGGTGGTGGGCACCTGTAGTCCCAGCTACTTGGGAGGCTGAGGCAGGAGAATGGTGTGAACCCAGGAGGTGGAGCTTGCAGTGAGCCGAGATCACGCCACTGCACTCCAGCCTGGGCGACAGAGCAAGACTCCATCTCAAAAAAAAAAAAAAAAATGTTTCAGAAAGAACAAGCACTCTTGACAGTTTTAATGCTGAATTTAATCCTTGATTCTAGCGGTATAGAGCCCATCTGTAAATGTGTTTTCAGTGTGTCCATTTTTCTAATTGGATCATATAAACACACGTCACATATGTGATGCTTGCTGGGTGGCTGGTATGTAGGCTTTAATCCCTGATTGCCTCCAAAGAGTCACTGCCACACACCATTCTGGGGAAGAACCACACACAGGTAGGGTCTTTTCAGAGCAATTTAGCTAGGTCTGTAGATCTCCGGAGCTGACAAAGCTAAGTTGGGAATGCCAGGCACAAAGGGCCCATGACTTCAGAACTAAGTGACTGGCTATCAGTTAGGGTCCAACTAGGAGACAGAAACCACACAGTAATTTGAAAGTTTAATATAAAAGGTATTAACTAACTCAAATGATTGCATAATGGGAGATTGCCTAGTAAAAAGTCAGGAGAACGCTAAAGAATGCAGGAATCACAGGCGTAAGAAGTAGCTATTACTCCGGGAGCTGAGATAAAACATCCAGGGAAGAGGCTCTCTACCCCTTAGGGCTGAGGTCCAGACCTGTTGAGAGGGCATGGTAGTGACTCACTGCTGGGCAGAGAAGTGACTGTGGTGCTGTCCCAGAACCTGATGGAAATCTGCCCTCTGAGAAATGGGGGAAGCTGTCCATAGGGTGGAGCTGAATTTTTTGCTGCAAAGCTGCCCTGGGGCATGCTGGGGAGAGCAGCTGCTCCTGCTGGCCCCTGGACACGGCAGATGCCAGTGCTGGAGAAACTGCCTGCTGTGGGCACCTGGTGAGATGCACACCAGGGCCAGAGAGAGAAAAACGCCTTTCTTATTCAGTGCCCTCTACTGAGAAGGAGCAGCAGCCCGCCTGCTGCAAAGGACGTATTTACAGGGCCCCACTCCATTTTTGCAGAGCAGGCAATGAAAATTGAGTTTGGAACTGACAGGAAATGAATTGATAACTGGCATAACTGAGTTAATTGAATTCCCATGAGTCAAGAAATTTGAGGTTCGAAAATAATGTCTTTTGCAACAACTTGGATGGAGCTGGAGGCCATTATTCTCCACCTGTAGTGAAGTATCACAGGAATGAAAAACCAAAAACCGTAGGTTCTCACTTGCAAGTGCAAGCTAAGCTATGAGTGTGCAAAGGCATACAGAGTGATATAATGGACTTCAGAGACTCACAAGGGGGAGGCTGGAAGGGGGGCTAGGGATTCAAAACTATACATTAGGCACAATGTGCACTACTCAGGGGACAGGTGCACTAAAATCTCAGAATTCACCACTGTCTAACTCATCCATGTAACAAAATCCACTTGTACCCCAGAAGCTACTGAACTAAAAATTAACTTCAAAAAATCTTGATAAATTAAAAAAAAAAAAAAGGAAATGTGAGGTTCTGGGAGAGGAAGAAGCACTTTTCCTTTCTCTTCCCTCCAGAAATCAGCACCAAAAGAGGAGGTCAAGACCATTAACAGGTTCACACTGTGTATGGCTACCCAGTGTAAGTGCCCCGTAATTCCAGGGAGTCCTTTGACAAAGACCTCATTGTGCCTGGCCCTTGACATTGGGCAGCCCTGATGTGGAGAGGTGAGTTATATATGGCAGATGAGCAGCAACTGTTCCTAAGGTAGGGATGGAGTTAGTGGCAGAGTAAAGACATGGCCTTGGGTTCAGCACCACCAGGCTGCAGTCATGATATCCTAGGACAGCCACTCAACCTTGGTAAGACTTTTAGCTGTGTGTTCATGAGAAAGCTACTCTCTCCAGTCCTGGTTTCTGCAACTATTAAAAAAGGACATAGGACTTGATCATTTTTTAGGTCCTATAAGCTCTAAAATTATACACCTTTGTACTTCGACTTTATTCATCTACTCACTTACTTATTGACTCAGAGGCAGATTTACTGCGAAGCTAATGAAGTTGAAGCCTCAGGGTCCCTCACTTGCACAGGCCCCTTCCAAAGCCCTGTCTTTTATGTCTCCATAAGTTCAAGTGGGTCCTCCACATTGTGTAAGCTTCAGGTCCCACAAAACCTGGGTTCATCTATGCCCTCTCTAAAGCTTTATTAAGCAGCCGTGTTGAGACATTGCACCAGGCTCAGTGTGCTAGCTCCTGTGTGAACGGCTGCACCACCTTGAGCAGCTCACTCCCTGCTCTGAGCCTAACTTTTCTCATCTGCCAAACCCAGGCCGGTCTTTTCTCATCTGCCAAACCCAGGCCAGCGTGAGGATTCCACGAGGAAGCAAGTGCAAGGGCACTGGTGCTGAGTGGTCCCTCCAGCACTGCTAGTCCATCCCCATCTGCAGGCAGAAGGGAAAGCTCTTGGAGAAGCTGGTTGGGAGGTGCACCATTTCTCTGTGCAATGTACTCAGGGCTGCAGGAAGCAAGATGCTGAGCCAGCACCTGGCTAATATGTCAAAGGGTTCTGGAATTAGCAGAGGGCAAGAGTGGTAGATTGGGGGGTCTGAGCACCCCAAGTTGAGGGAAACAGAAAATTCCGCAGAGGCTAAGATTCCCTGCTGGGAGAGGGTGGAGGGAATTCCGGAGGGAGGAATAGAAAGTGGGATATCAGGACACACTGCTAAGGTGGAGAGAAACCCCGTGTCACCATCTCATTGATGATTAATGAGAGCCACACCCTCATCAAGAAAGAAGACACAGGGAGGTGGCAGCCAGAATGAAGAGGGGGCTCAGGCCAGCAGCGGTGCTTCCCAGGCACAGAGTGGGTCCCTGGGTCACCCTTTGGGTGTGAGGGGCCATGAGAAAATATTTTGCTGGGAGTCGTGTCTGTATGACTAGTATGATTAAAATGTATTTAAAAATTCGTGGGTCCGTGTGAGGTCTAGTGGTTGGCTAATGAAGATCTGGGATGATGAGAGAAGGCCTACTTACCTATGTATTTATTGTCATCAGCACACAAGAAAGTTCTCCGAGGTGTCCAGGCAGCATCTCTCCATGTTCTTTATTGTCAAGTGCGCCATTGCTGGCTAAGCTCATATCTCCATGAGACAAAAGCAGTAACACTGTCATCACTCACCACATGGTGGCCTTGGAACCTGTTTGTACTGAAACAATGTAGACCTGGGACTGTTAATGGGAGGCTGTGGCTGCATCATCACTCCTGAGGCTGCTGCATCCAGGCACTGCCCTTGTGGTAAGGGTTGAATTGTGTCTCCCCAAAAATGTCACCTTATTTGGAGATAGGGTCTCTACTAAGCTAAAATGAAGCCATTGGGTGGCCCCTAATCCAGTATGACTAGTGTCCACATAAAAGGGGAAATTTGGACACAGACTCGCATGTAAGGAGAACATCAGTTGAATGCAAAGATGTTGCCCTTAGCTCGGCCTTGGGTAAGCTAAGCTCTGTGACCTCAGGTAAGTCACTCATTCTCCCTGAACTTCAGTTCCCAATCAAGGAAAAATCAAGAGGAATAACCTTACCATTTAGTGTAGGGGGCTGAGAGTGCACTGCCTGAGTCTGAATTCTGCCGTCACCTGCTGTCGATGACATGCTGGCATGCTACCTAGCCTTTCTGTGTCTCGGTTTCCTCATCTATAAGGATAGAATAACAATAGTACCTAGGTATATGGTTCGTGAGGACTCAATAGTGAAGGCAAGCGAAGAATCAGACACGTAGCACACAGCAAGCACACACTCAAAAGGTGTCTGTGACTGTTATTGTTATGTGGGGTGGCGTGTGGGATTCCAGGTGCTCTGCAGGCAAGCACTCAACACGGTGCCTGGCACGTGGCAGGCAGGCAAAGGTGGGCCTGGAAGGGCCTCTCGCCCACCCCTCTTGTCTAAAACGGTCCACCTCTAAGGGAGGTTGGAGGGGGAGACCAGGCTCTTGAAGTGAGCTTCCCAGGGAAGGTCATCAGAAGTCAAAAAGACAAATCAAGTGAGAGAAAAGTAATCAAGTGAGAGAAAAGTAACCAAGTGAGCAAAAGAAAAGAAATCAATGTCAGAAATGGCAACAAGGACAGAAAAGCATCTACGATGTATCAGATGAGTGGATGGAATGAGAAAAGACAGGAGATGAGGAAGGGAAGAATAAAGAGACGGGAAACCCAGACAGCTGTGAGCAAGGGCCCTGGAAAAGGGAGGACAGGTGTGCAGCGTCGTGCCGCTTGCCGCCTGCTGACTGAGGACATCTGCACACCGGGTTTGCATCTTCTGTCCTGCCTGGTGAAACAGGAGGAGTTTGGGCATGTGATGAAGGCGTGGCTCACTTCTTCCATGTCCCGCAGCTCGAACCCCTAGAGGGGGCATGCAGACAGGCAGGTCGTGGGGAGCATGGGCTCTGACCCTATGGCAGCGTCTAGGGTTGAGTGTTTACAGCTCCCGAAGCCCCAGTGGGCGTGTGTTACAGTGCACTTTTTCAGCTTAGCGGTTCACAGGTGGCTTGTGTTAATCAGCTCAGTTAGACCCTCTGCCTTATCACAAGGAGAGAGGGCTTTCTGTATCCTGGGGTTCTTGCCTTAGCGTACCAGAAAATCAGATGACACATGGGCTTGGAGAGTGAGTGCAAGGTTTTATTGAGTGGTGGAAGTAGCCCTCAGCAGATGGATGGGAGCCAGAAGGGAGATGGAGTGGGAAGGTGGTTTTCCCCTGGATTCAGGCCATTCAGCAGCCAGACTCTCCTCCGACATTCCCCGGCCGAATTCCACGCCATCCGCATGGTTCTGCTGTCAATGGCTTGCTGGAGTCTGCCAGTGTGTTCTTCTGTCGGTGTGTTCCTCTCAACGTCCAGCCGCTCATGTGTGTGCCCGCTAGGGTCTTGGGGTTTTACAGGCACAAGTTGGGGGGCATGGTGTGTCAGGGTGGTCTTGGAAAATGCAACATTTGGGCATGAAAACAGAAGTACCTGTCCACACCTAGGTCCATGGGCACAGGCCAGAGGGTGGAGCCTTCATCAGGGACCCCGCCTTTCTCTACCTAGCACTTCCCTGCCCCGCTCCCATATCACTGGGAGCTTCCATCAAGCCCCCTGCCCTGGTGACCTCCCGAGGCAGGGGACAGGTGAGCCAGAAATTGGCACTTCAGAGAGAACCTGTAAGGTGGGTCTGGGCTCAGCTGTACCAGGAGGAGACGAAAATGCTTATCTGCACCTGCACCTCGGGAAATCAAGGCTCTCTTTTTCCAGGAGTCACATTAGGGAGGAGCCAGCTGGATGCAGGGGTTGGCATTGCTCCTGACGCCCAGGCTCTCCCCTGAAGGAGAAGCATAGTCCTGCTTCCACCTTTCTCGTATGTCATTTAGGGTATAATAATATGAGCAGGTACATAATGCCAGGCAGGGCTCTAAACGCTTCACACAAATTAATCCATTTAAGTCCCTCCACAACCCTATGAAGTAGATGATGCTCATCTCCTTCAGCAGAGGGGAAACAGAGGCTCAGGGAGGGAGCTACCTGGCTGAGGTCGCTCAGTCAGCGGCAGAGCTAGAATTCAAACCTGGTCACTGGCTCTGCGCCCCTGCGTACCATGGCAATCCTCCCTCAGGGGCACGGCCCTTTAGCTTTATTATTGCTGTTTTTAAAAAATTGTATTAGCAGTTCATTTATTTTACACCACAATAAATTGCTACTATTTGATGGGCAGGGAAAACGGATTTCTGTGCCTCTGTAGTTTAGGGCGATTACTTGTTTGATTGAGATTTAATGAGTGGAAATAAAAAATGCTTTGTGTATATACATTATCAGGTAATATATATTCAAAACAGGATATTCAAAGTTAAACATCTGCTAAGATACATTAATTTGTGTGGGAACGTTATTGCCTTGTTCTGATATGAATTTACTGACAAAATCCATCACTCCATAATTTACAAATTGGCTTTGATGTTCTGGGCAGCAGCCTCCCCCTAGAATTGATGAAATGTATTATGTGGCATCAGTGGGCTAAAACGCCATTAACCATGAGGAAGATATGAATTGTAGCAGAGCCCTGGGTACAATGATAAAGTCATAAGCACGTTTTCTGCTTGTTGATGGAAGAATTTATATTGGCAACCCGTCCTTCACAGTTAGCTCTGCTCGGCTCTGCCAGCCAAAGCGCCTTCCCCACTCAGAGCCCCCCAACCCCAGTTTGCTCCCCCCGCTCTGAGGAACTGGATTTCAAGTCATACCACCTATGTTGTCACAACTGGGTGCACACCGAGTGTGCTGCTGTGATGAGTCTATCGCAGCAGGCAAGCTCACCACGGAGCTGGGGGCCACCTTCTAGCCCCTCCAAGGTGGCAGGGCCAGGGCGGGAAGAGCCCTTTCCACCACTGTGAAAACTTCAGGAACGCCACCCTTGTGCTCTGAAGGGACAGCCACGCGCCCGGTGACCTGCTGGAGGCACAGGGGCTCTGTGGTCCGCAGTGCGCCTCAACCTCTTTGCAGGAGGCACTTGGCCGCCCGCGGAGGGTGAAGAAGGAAGCTTGGGGCTGCTCTGGCCTTCCTTCCATGTGTGGAGCCAAGGCCAGACAAGGAAGGCTCAGAAGGGCATCCGGAGCCTCTGCTTCCTGGAGACCGCACTTCCCTGGGAGGATTGATTTGGCTGGACACCTGCCTTCTCTTGAGCCAGAGTAAGGACCGCATTTTTGGGGGCTCGTGGCCCCCCAGCCAAGCATGGAAATAAAAGAAAATCCTAAGTTGCCTTCAAGATAAATTCCAGGCACCTAGCTAGCCCTGAGAAGAAAATGAGCAACTTGAAAGCAAGAAAGTCTTAGTAGCCTAAAACAATAGCCAAGGAAGTTCAAATCCAGAAACCTGGACCCCCACCCCGCCGCCGAGGGCCCTCACCAAACAGATCCATTGGCAGGCAGACCTCAGATGAGGGGGAGCTGAGGACTGAACCCTGACGGCCGTTCTTTCTTCTAAGTTTCTTCCTGGGGAGCTCCCACTGCCTCCCTCCCCAGCCAGTTAACATTGTTTTGGCAGATCCTAAAATTGAAACGAACTTTGCCCCCTGAACCAATAGCAAAGACCAGTGTGTCCCCTCCACCTGTTGATTTACAACTGTGCCCGAAGCATCCGCTTTCCTGCGGCACATCCCTGCCTGGGAGAGCCCTTGCCCGCAAGCCATCGGGGAGGCCAGGGCTGAGCAGAGGCTGCTGGGCCTCCTTGCATGGTGCCCTGCAAGCAAACACCTTCCTTTCTACCGCTACAAAAGCTCAGTGTGGCTATCTGGTTCTACTGCGGCAGGTGCATGGACCCCAGCCTAGTTCAGTAACACTCAGGAGCATCAGGCCCAGGCTTCTGCGCACACAGCGAGGCGTGTAGGGCCGGTGTGGCTTCTGTGAGGCACCCTGGTGCCATAGGGCACTGTGGAGGAGCAGCAGGCTTCCTATTCCTTCCACTTAATTAATCTAGGGGAGAGTGGAGAGATGGGGATCGGAGTCAATACTTTCTGTCACTAAAAGGGTTTGCCCTGAGTTACTTACTTTTAATGTGGAAATGGGATGTATTCTGGTTGGTAGAGTGGAGGTTAGGGGTTCTGGGGTGATCATTTATTGGCAAAATTCTAGAACAGGGCACAGGGGTTTACATGCTGCTACAGAACAGGTTCATTTGGAGTGACAGACATGTCACTCATTTCCCTCATCTCCGTTATAAATTTTAAACACTTGAGTTGATAGCATAACTACTGTCTGTTAAGTTCTTGTTAAATGCTTTTCATATTGGATCCTTTAGAATGCTTTTGGCTGCAAATGATAGAAAAGACACTTGAAATGTGTTTAAATAAAATAATTTTTATGGCTCACATACCTGAGTCACTGTAGGGATCAGATGTGGTTTGACAGGGGCCCTGGCTCCATTTTCCTCCTCTGTCCTCCTGTCCTCCTCAAAGGCCAGCCTCTTTTTCAGGCTGGCTTCCTGGTAGCCAAGAGCTCCTGGGGTTACTTACCGCCTTCATAGACACAGTCGACCCTCTGGATCCACAGGTTCAGCATCCTTGGATTCAACCAACTGAGGACCAGAAAAAAATAAACAACAATGAAAAATAACAATCCAACAATGAAAAATAATACAAATGAAAACTCAATACAGTATAGCAACTATTTACATGGCATTTACATTGTATTAGGCATTCTAAGTAATCAAGAGATAATTTTTTTTTTTGAGACAGAGTGTCGCTCTGTTGCCCAGGCTGGAGTGCAGTGGCGCCATCTCCGCTCACTGCAAGCTCCACCTCCCGGGTTCATGCCATTCTCCTGCCTCAGCCTCCAGAGTAGCTGGGACTACAGGCGCCCATCACCACACCCGGCTAATTGTTTTGTATTTTTAGTAAAGACGGGGTTTCACAGTGTTCGCCAGGATGGTCTCAATCTCCTGACCTCATGATCTGCCTGCCTCGGCCTCCCAAAGTGCTGGGATTATAGGCGTGAGCCACCGCGCCCGGCTGTAATTGACAGATGATTTTAAAAATACAGGAGGACTGTTGTAGGTTACTTGCAAATACTACCCCATTTTATATCAGGAACTTGAGCATCTTTGATTTTGGTATCCTCAGGGGTCCTGGAACCAACCCCCAGCAGATACCAAGGGATGACTGTACTATACCATCAGGGCAAAAAGGAATTTCTCTTCCCCAAACCATCCGAGTAAGAGCTGAGCTTTACTCTGACTAGACCAACCTAGGTCACATGCCCTAGATCACATGGTTGGGATTAAGCCAATCAAGCCCTGACCTGGTCAATGCCACCCAAACTCCATAGTAGCTGCACTTGGGAAGGATGCCACCGAGGCAGCTATAATTAAGAGGGTCTGCAATGCATGCACTTTCTCATTTAATCCTGCAGCAACCCCAGACATGGTGATTCTTTTCTTCCCTTCTCAGGCGAAGCGAAGTAACATGTCCAAGGTTACCCAGCTTAGGAGTGAGAAAGCTTGGAGGGAATCCATATCTGTGACTCCCCAACGCATGCCTTCGGTCTCTGTCTTACTGCCTCCCATTTTAGAGATGAGCAAGTGTGACAGATTGAAATTAGGGCCGCTGTTTGCCAGTGTGTGGTGGAAATAGGCTGGAATTACAGGGAAAGAGGCACTGTGAAAATGAGAAATGGCAGAAGAAAGACTGAGGGTTGACTCAGGGGAGAAGTGCTGAAAGACCTGTCAGGATGGGGCTGGGTGAGAAAGTGTGAGGGCAGAGGCCAGTGCCACAGAGTCTCTCTGTGAAATGGAAAAGCCTGGGAAGGGGGTGCCTATTGGCATTCTCAGAAGAGAATAGAGCCAGAGTATGGGAGCTCGGATGGCCCGTGCAATGGGCAGGTTAAACTTGAGTGCTAGGAATTAGACCCAGTAGCAAATGACCATATTTCACAGAAACTAACAAACCATTGATTCTAAGATGCACTCATTTTGTGAATCACTAAGAAAAGCATTTCCAATAAAGCTGAAACAATGCTTTATATCACTTCAAGTTTTTCTTTATATTTACTGAAAGATCTCTTTTTGAAATTCATAGACATGGATTGTATCATGTCACCCTCGTACTTACATAAAATTGAATAAATGAGTGAAATACATTGGTGGGGGTCTTTCTAAAATTTTTTCTCTATTCCGCATTCTTGTGCAACTGTATGGCTCTTGTTTTGGGCTCAGAGCATGGGCCTGTGTTTCCCCTGGTGACTGGGCCGTAGAGTGCAGTAGAGCCGTGTGTCTCTTAGAAAGCTGTTTCCGAGATTTGGTGATCTCTTGGCCTTTGGGTTGCATTTCTAGGTGTATGATGGACAGTTCCTTCTCATGGATCACTCTTTGTGGTGTCTTTCTTTGTCAGGTTCTATAAAGCCCTTGGTTATGACTTTGCAAAAACCCCCATGAAATGGAAGTGAGAAATATTTGCTTCAATGACATCAAAGGTACACCCTGATGCTCTGTGTACATGCTCATCAAACACACAATATTTTTTCATTTCAAGGCCAAATCACACTGTAACATTTTTGAGGATATTTTAAAATAGCAATTAAACTCTCCATGTGTCGTCCAATAATGCCCATTAAAGTGACAACCACATGAAACACTTTGATGGGGTAAACACACGCTTCATTAATGATGATGGCAGCTTTTTATACCTGTCACCTGCCTGACAGTGATTGTAAGGAACATCCCTATCAGAATCCTAAAATGTGCATCTTTCAGTGGACTCAGTATTGGCAGTTACCCGCCTTACACATAATCAATCATGTATTTACCAAAGATGGGTGAGGGCTTCCCAAGGGGAAAGAAGAGGCCATCAGTGGGTCTAGCCTGCACATTCAAATCACCTGGGGACTTAAAAAATGCCCGGGGCCCAGCCTCCATTTCCGGAGATTCTTATAATGATGGGTCTGGAATGGGGGACTGTTTCCAAAGCTCCCCGGGTGATTTTAAAGTGCCGCAAGGGTTAGGTGTCAGTTGGCCATGAGGTTCCAGGGTTCCTGGGAAGGGGGAGAGCCCCCATCAGGGCTGCCCTGAGCGATGGCTTCATCTCTGCCCAAGTGCTGCGGCAAAACCTCAAAAGGAGCAATGTGGCTGCAGCCCCTTGGGAGTCCCTGACCAAGGGGGAAGGGAGATTGTCCTTGTCCCTCACTCTGTGGGACACTCAGGTGGAATGGCTGTCCCAGGCGTCCCGTGCTGCACAGGCCCCAGGACAGGAGGGTTTAGGTTTGGTTCTGGAGCTCTGCCCTCTGCAGGGAACCAGGCCCCAGACATTGTGCTCCTGGTCTATTTCCCTCTTCCCACTTCACCCTTCCACACACACAGGGACCTGTGTCCACCTCCAGGTGCACACACTTGAAGACCCATGTCTCCCAGACGCATCATCTTCTGTAAAGATGCCTGGATATCAGCACACACATCCTCCAGCACACTGCCGCACGTGGCATCTCAGCTGAGGCTCAGCCTCCAGCTCTGTGTTATATCTGTATTTCCTGCTCGGATATGGCAAACTTATCTAAACACTCCCCATCCTCAGTAGACAAGTCTGGCTGATCCTGGGCTCTTGCAGCTGAAGCTGGATGGCAGCGGCCTCCATGGCCCGTGCAACTGGAGCTGCCCTGAGGCAGAGGTCGGCTGCCACCCATAGAAGCCCCTTCCTGGGCAGTGACACACAGTCATGTGCGGTCTAATTGGAAGCTAGGGCCTCCTGGCTCCCTGACTGATTCGCTGTGCTGGGACGGTGGGAGGGGGTGTGTGCTTAGGTGGGGTTGGTGGGCTGGGGCTAGAGCTGCCAGCAATCAGAATGGTCAGGGCGCAGAAGGCAGGTACTGGGAGGGACTCCCATTTGGAGGGGGCATTTCTGCCTCTTTCCCCAGCATGCTCTCCCCTGCATGTCTAGAGTCACCAATCCCCTCTGCAGCCAGAAGGAGAGTCCCACACTCAACTCCTGGCCTCCCATGCTTTTTGGAGACACTGCATGGATGCACTGAGTGTTTTTTTTTTTTTTTTTTACTGTCGTGTTCTGCACTGGGGAAGTTCCAAATACAGACATTCCGCTTTGTATCATTGCCAAACTGGAAGTGATTTTGTGTTTTATTCAAGCATTTCAACCACGCTCTGATTAGAAAACTTTTGATTTACCACGTTCTGGGAAGAAATGAATTATCTAGAGCAGAGATAAACCTGTGGTCTAAAAATGGGTCTCAGTGGTGTCCATGGAAACTGAAAAGGTCACATTTGTGTGAGTGACTGTATGGTTTGCAGATGGGAGAGGATTTAAAACTTTCTCAGATTCTCAAATGGGTGGGTGACCCCCTCAGTGGTTAAGAGCTATTTCCTGCATAGGAAAAGAGTTCACTCACTGGCTCTTGGAATTTCATCTCGCATGTTGCTCAGGTAGTTTAATAGAATTTACGAAGGGGCCACAAAGGAGTCTAATGTCAGTCACTGAAGAGTAAAAATTAGAAGCTGATGAGAAAAGGCCAGGTGCAGTGGCTCACGCCTGTAATCCCAGCACTTAGGGAGGTCAAGGTGGGCAGGTCACCTGAGGTCAGGAGTTTAGGACCAGCCTGGCCAATGTGGCGAAACCCCGTCTCTACTAAAAATACAAAAATTAGCCGGGCGTGGTGGCACATGCCTGTAGTCCCAGCTACTCAGGAGGCTGAGGCACGAGAATCACTTGAGCCTGGGAGGCAGAGGTTGCAGTGAGCAGAGATCACGCCACTGAACTCCAGGTGACAGAGCAAGACTCCATCTCAAAAAAAAAAAAAATTGGAATAAAAAACAAAACAAAGGCACCTGAGGCCAGTAATTCAATTCACAATTGCCAAAAGATGGAAACAACCCAAGCATCTACAAATGGATGAATGAATACACAAAATGTAATATATACACACAGGGGAATATTATGCAGCCTTGAAAAGGAAGGGAATTCTGACACATGCCACAACATAGAGGAACCTTGAAGGTAACATGCTAAGTGAAATAAGCCAGCCATGAAAGGACAAAGAGTTGACAACTGCACTTATATGAAGTACTTAGAGTAGTCAGGTCATACAGAAAGAAAGTAGAGTGATGGTCGCCAGGGCCTGGGGGAAGGGAGTTGTTCTTTATTGGGTACAACTTGGGAGGATGAAAAAGTTCTGGAGATGGATGGTGGTGATGGTTACATGACAATGTAATGTAGTTAATGCCACTGACCGGTACATTTAAACTGGCAAATTTTATATCCTCTAAAGATAAAAAACAAACAAACAAACAAAACGACTCTAGAGGCCAATATCAAAATACTGGAGTCTTATATAGGGGTGGCCAGCAGATTGCAAATCCGGCTCTGAGCAGCCGAGTCTCCAGCGTTCCTCCTCAGAGAGTGAGGGGCTCACCTGGCTTATGAAGCAAAACACTTTGTTATAACAGCCACTTAAGTACCAACAATTAAAACCAATACCTATTTCACGGTCATTTAGACATGTGACAATTTGCTAATGCTTTTGTCAGCTAATGAGATCAGAGAGAGAAGGAGGATTACGTTCTAACTAATATATATAATTTTAAATGAGGATAATAGACAAATAATTGGTGTTTTATGAAATAGATAGAGATTCTGAGATAGTGCAAGGAAAAGGGGAGATGGGTAGATGGACACAGACCCCCTATTGAGTCAGCAGATGAGCAGAAAGCCAAGCACTCTGACCCAGGTGGGTCACGCACACCCCAAATCCAATGTTTCCAGCGCCAGGAAAATCTCTTGGGCACTGCCAAGCAGACAGGAGCTGTTAGGTCCAATCTGTGGCCTGGAAGGGTGCAGCCGCCCGCATGCGTACCCATGAATCTCACATTCTCTTGGCAGGCTAGAGCAGGCCCCGGAAAGCCTGCACGCTGCCCCCTGCTGGCGGGGATTCCAGCACTGGCCTGGCTCCAGCAGCGAGGTCCCTGGAGAGTGACACTTCTTCAATACCTGCGTTGCTAGTCCCGTAGTCCTGGTCCCTTGATGGGGTCACCTCGAGGAGCAGCTGTAGGCTGATTTCCAACATTGCCAACTTACGCTCCTTGGAAGTGGCAGGTGGGCCTGAAACACCCTCCTAATGCAGCAGTCATCTGTCCTCCCAGGGAGGTCCCACTTAGAAGGAGGAATGGCTGGAGTGCCTCCTCATGCCCTCTGCACTCCCTCCAGCCCCCGCCTCCAGGCTGGGCCTCCGTTCTCATTCAGTGGGTGTGTGGGGATGGCTCTGTCACAAAACTCATCCTGGGGCTCTGTGGCCAAGGCCAGGGCAGGAATTCCCCCACCCCAAAGGAGCTGCGTTCTGCCGGCCTGTGGATAGTGGGCCCACCTGTCACTTCTAGGGAGCATGAGTGCCCCCCAGGGGATGAGCTCAGCTGCTGGGGCAGGTGAGGGCGGGGCTGCTATCAGCTTCCCTCCCCCGAGGAGGCCTCTTCCTGGCACTCCCCACAAAACCCTGCATCTCCATCCTTCTCCAGGGTCAGGCAGGCATGCTGGGGCAAGGCAGGTGCAGTGGGCAGGGAAGCCCTGCAGGTGCTGGAGGGGAAGGTGCCATTCAGCAGGGGACTGTCACACCCTGAGAGGCCTCTGCACAGGTGCTGGGACCTGAGAAGGCAACGCCAAGTGCGAGTTTAGAGTGCGAGTTTAGCATCATCCGTTTCAATGCTCCCTCCAGGTGGCCGGGGGCTCCATCCAAAGGTCCAGGAAGTCGTGGGCACCCTGTGCATGTCACATATGCGAGCGTCTGAGCTGGCCGTGAGAAGTCCAGAATGGCTCTGATCCACTCCCCCTTGTGACCGCTTCTGAGTCTTTAAATGATGACAGGATCAGTGCTCTGTGCTGAGATTGCCAGTCCTGTCCTGTGGTTTCAGGCTGGTGGATTGCCCGAGGCCACTCTCTGAGTCACGCTGCAGGGCTGAGTGCTTGTTGCAGCGAAGACACCCCCTGGCATTCATCATCTGCTCCCAGGCTCACTGATCTGCACTGCCTCTTCCTTTTGTCCCATGAATTAGCTGCTAATGTGCTGTCTTTCGCGTGGGAGGAAGTGGAGGAAGCTGCCTCGGTGGAAATGCCCCAGGTGAAAACTGCCAAGGCCACACTAGTCACAAGACAGCAGTTCGTTTTCAATAAGGGGAGAGAAGGAAAGGAAGGAAGAACCCAGGCATGTTCTCAAAATATGCAGTATGCGAGGAAGAACTTAATTGAGTTGATCAGATGCAGGAATTAAGATACAGAGATTAGATACACTGACCAAGATCAAACAGCCCAAGAGCCAGGCGCTGGCTGCTGGGACCCAGGCAGTTGGCCCCAGATGCCCAACACCCCAGGAGGTGCTGTGGGGCTGGCAGGTGGGGTCAGCCTGAGTTCAAATCCTGCAGCTGCCCCTGTGCAGCCGTGCAGCCTCAGGGAGGCCACTCACCCTCCCAGAACATCAGTTTCTTCACTTGTAAAATGGGGCTGATTACGTTGGTTTCCTGGGGTCCTTTGGGGGAGTAAATGGCACAGTCCACCATGGGGGCAAGTGGCTCCAAATCTAGTCTTCAATACACCAGGAGCAAGGGGCAACTTTCAGAAATGCTTTTAATTGAGTTAGCTGTGGCAATTACATTTTCATTCGATTATCTGTGTTAACAGAGAGGGATAAAGGGCATCTTAATGTTGCTTTAATGAACCAACAGCAAACCTACATGGGCTGCCAAGCAGCGTGTGGCCAGGGCTGTGGCATTGCCACTGTTTACAGGACCCCGCTGGGTGCTCTTGATAACCGAGGGTCGAGGGCCCCTCCAGCCTGAGTCATCACCGGCCTCCTTGCAGCCCAGACACAGCAGGGAAGAGCACCAGCCCCCTCTGCCTGCCCACGGTTGTTAGTTATAATAGTTAGTATTTCACTTACCACACTTTTCACTCTATCCATCTATCCATGTGAAAGTCCTTTTTTTTTTTTTTTTTTAGACAGAGTTTCACTCTGTCACCCAGGCTGGAGTATAGTGGCATGATCTCTGCTCACTGCAACCTCCACCTCCTGGGTTCAAGTGATTCTCCTGTCTTAGCCTCCCGAGTAGCTGGTATTACAGGCACGTACCACCACGCCCAGCTAATTTTTGTAGTTTTAGTAGAGACGGGGTTTCACTATATTGGTCAGGCTGGTCTTGAACTCTTGACCTCTGGTGATCCACCTGCCTCGGCCTCCCAAAGTGCTGGGATTACAGGTGTGATCCACTGCGCCCGGCCGTGAGCGTCTTTTGTAGGTATAATTCCTTACCTCGAATACTCACAGTGGCTGCATTTTACATCTGCATAGCTCTTTTAATTTTCACCACAGCTTCCTATTTCATTTTGTTCCACACCACATACATGTTTGTGTGTGCCTTCAACAGGCAAGGAAACTGAGGCAGGGAAGAGCCCCCCAGTTGGCTGTGGCTAGTTTGGTTTCATTTCTGTTTGACAGGAGGCATGGGGAGCTTGGGAATACAGTCTCTGGTTTTGAGTCACTGTCCTGTTCTTTTCCCAAATAGTCTTGAGAAGCACCCAGTGAAAATGGGTTTCTAGGGATCACCCATGACTTAAATGGTACATTTAGATTCGAACAACTAGAGAGGGCTGAGGGGCTGGCCCCGCTTCTCTTACGGGAAAAGGTGAGCAGGGTCAGGTGCTCCCCGATCCCAGCAGCACATGCGGGGGCAATCATGGTCACACAGCTCCCCTAACTCAGATCTTTAATTCAGTGGGCTCCAGCTCAGCACTGGCACAAGAGAAAGCACTGGAAGCTCACGCCAGGGTCAGAGACAGAGACCTGGTGCCAGCCCTTTCATTGCAGAAGCCTACCCACCCCTTCCTAAAGGGGGGCGATGTGGAAGAGACAGCCCCACAGAGAAGGGAAGGCTTCGTAATAGGACCTGTTATCCTGGTGGTTTGGAGCTGATGCTCACACATGCTGCCTACACGGACACAGATGTTTCCTTAAGGACGAGCTCCCACCCGAGGGACAGTGCAGACCCGGGGGCTGCTGTGGCCATGGTGAGCTGGGATGATCCAAACTGATGAGAGGGCTTAGATTTCCACAAGCAAATGTCCTGCCCCTGTCCCATGAGTCATCAGCGTTTCTCTTCCGGGCTGAGAAAAATCCAGACACTTCAAAGCCTGCCCAGGCAAACCCTCAACCCATGGGACTTACATGCAGAGGAAATCCAAGGCCCAGGGATTTTCAGACTGTTTTCTCCAGAGCCGGAGGGCCCTGCAGGGGCAAGGCTGTGACTGGAACCGGGCCTGGGAACAGTGAGGAGAGGGGACCCACGAGGGAGGCTGTCACCAGCACAGAAGGCCGCCTGTGAGCTGTGCAGGCCCAGGGCTGGGAGATCGCTCCTTTACTCTGAGGCACTGCCTTCACCTGAACAGGAGGGAGAAAAGTATTTTGTTTTATATCATTGTGCTAAAATACACATAACATAAAATTCACCATTTATATCATTTACGTGGACACTTCAGTGGCATTAAGTAAATTCATATTGTCGTGCAACTGTCACCAATCCTTCTCCAGAACTTTTTCATCCTCCCAAAGTGAAACTCTGTACCCGTCAAACACGAACCCTCTTAGCCCACCCATCCCCCAGCCCCTGGTGGCCGCCACTCTATTTTCTACCTGTAGGAACGTGACTGCTCTCAGGACATCACGCCAGGGGGATCAGACAGTATTCGATCTTTTGTGACTGGCTCACTTCACTCAGCATAATGCCTTCAAGTTCATCCATGTTGTAGCAGAAGTCACAATTTCCTTCCTTTTTAAGGTTGAACAGTAATAGTATTCCTGTATGTGTATATCCCCATTTTAAAAATCCTTTCTTCCACCAATGGAAACTTGGCTTGTTTCCACCTGTTGACTCTTGTGAGCAATGCTGCTATCAACATGGGTGTGCCAATGTGTTGGGCTGTCCTTGCATTGCTATAAAGGAATACCCAAGACTGAGTGATTTATAAAGAAAAGAAGTTTAATGGGCTCACAGTTCTGCAGGCTGTACACGAAGCATGGTGCCAGCATCTGCTCAGCTTCTGGAGAGGCCTCGGGGAGCTTTGACTATGGTGGAAGTCGAAACGGGAGCAGGCACGTCACATGGCGAAAGCAGGGGCAACGGTGGGGGCTGTGGAGGTGTCGCACACTTTTTAAACAACCAGAGCTCATGAGAACTTACCTGCTATCTCTAGGCCAGCACCAAGCCATGAGGGATCTGTCCCCATGACCCAAACACCTCCCACCAGGCCCCACCTCCAGCCCTGGGGATCACATCTCAACATGAGATTTGGGTGGGGACAAACATCCAAACTCTACCAACCAATATCTCTTCGACTCCCTACTTTCAGTTTTTCTGGGCAAATACCCAGAAGTGCAATTGCTGGATCATGCGATGCTTCTCCATTTAGCGTTTCTGAGGAAACACGGCACTGTTTCCCACCGCGGAGGGACCACTCGCCTTCCCACCAGCGGCGCAGAGGGTTCCAATTCCTGCACTTCTCCAGGCGCCCGGCCTGGGCTGCTTTCCCCTGACAACCTCACAGAGGCCGTCATCAGACCCATCATCTGAACTTGGCTTATGTCCTCCATGTGCCCCATCTGTACAGTGTTCTCTGCGACCTGTAATTTATTCACTTTTGTGGTTTTAAAATTTCTTCCTTGACTAGATTGTTCATTCCCCGGGGGTGGGAACTGAGACCACTTTGCTCATTGCTGCCAAACAAAATACAAAACACACACCGATTGAACGAATCTCAGGCAACATTCAAGTGACCTCGAAAAGTTATTCTGAGTCTGTTTCGCTCTAAAAAGTGGGGAGAGCATATATATCATGGGCTTATTTAAAAGTTAAGGAGAGTAGGCTGGGCATGGTGGCTCACGCCTGTAATCCCAGCACTTTGGGAGGCTGAGGCGGGTGGATCACCTGAGGTCAGGAGTTCAAGACCAGCCTGACCAACATGTTGAAACCCCATCTCTACTAAAAAATACAAAAAATAGCCAGGCGTGGTGGCAGGCGCCTGTAATCCCAGCTACTCGGGAGGCAGAGGCAGGAGAATCACTTGAACCCGGGAGGTGGAGGTTGCAGTGAGCCGAGATCGCACCACTGCACTCCAGCCTGGGTGACAGAGTGAGACTCCGTCTCAAAAAAAAAAAAAAAAACAAAAAGAAAAAGAAAAGTTAAGGAGAGTAAATACGCACAAAGAACCTAGGCTTGATTTTGGTATAGAGCAGACAGTTGCACAAATGGAGAAAGAACAGAAAGTATCGCTCTCGTGGAACTCAGCCTCCACTCTTTCTGCACGTGACCTTGAGGTCACTCCTCACAGTGAAGTTGGAAAACCTCTGAATTAGCCTAAAACCTTCATTTTATAGTTGAGGAAACTCTAAGGTAGAAATAAGTTTCTTCTTCCAAACTACCTCTCCACTCTCAGTTTGAATTCTGATCAGCCAACAACCCTCCGGTTGAGATCCTGCCCTGATGACCAAAAGGAGAAAGCTGTGGCCCCTGTGGTCCAGCCCAGAGGCTGAAGATGGGCTTGAGGCCTGTGGCATGAACCTGGGGCCCACACAGAGCCGGGATGAGCGTCTCTAACCTCAACACCTGCAGCCTCTGCACTTGCAGACCTTGAGTGAAGGGCAGACCTAGAATGTGCATCGGGCCAAGGCTGAGCTCTGCTCCCTGACAGGCCTGTTGTTATGGATTGAATTATGCTCCTAAAAAAGGTATGTTGAAGTTGTCACCCCAGTGCCTGTAAATGCGACCTTATTTGGAAATAAGTGTAGATGTAATTAGTTAAGATGAAATAGGATGGGCCCTTAATCCAATATGACTGGCGTCCTGTAAAAGGAGAAGAGACACGGAAACACACAGACATGCAGGGGAGACGGCTATGTGAAGACAGAGGCAGTGACTGAAGCACCGCAACTGCAAACCAAGGACTCCAAGGATGGCCAGCCACACCGGAAGCTCGGAGGAGGCAAGGAAAAGTCTCCCCAACAGGTTTCAAGGGAGCAAGGCGCTGCTTGTACCCTAACTGTGGACTTCAGCCTTCAGAGCTGAGACAATACGTTTCTGCTGTTTCCAGCCCGAGCCTATGATGTTTTGCTGTGGCAACCCTGGAACTCAATCCAACATGTTGCATGAGAGGGCCTCCCAGGTGGTCAGACCAGTGAGCAAGTTCAGAGCTTGCTCTGCGGTTGTTGCTTAGCTTTGCTCGTTCACAGTTCACACTCAAGTTGCTTGTCATATTCCAGTACTGCCTGTACTAATATTTGCAACGTATTTTTTAACCGTTTCACTTTTTGATGTTAAATAATGTATTTCAAAAGGAAACTATATCTCTATAGCACATCAATCCTAGAGAGAATGTCTTGGTGGTTGGTGGACTCATGCTATTAGAAAGATCTGCTAATATAATCATACACCAGTTCAGATTAAGTCAATGTGAAGATACGATTTTAAAAGAAATGACAACTCTTAGAAAAAATGTTCCAATAGCAACATCAGAAACAGCATTTTTCCAACACCACAGCTCACACACATGCCTGGGACCCAGATTTTGGTCTCTAACATCATTCTCCAACTGAAAGAAAGTAAGACTCCGTTGAAGGTTGATAGGATTTGGTTCTGTATCCCCACCAAACCTCGTGGGGAACTGTAATCCCCAATGTTGGAGGTGGGGCCTGGTGGGAGGTGATTGGATCATGGGGGTGGATCCTTCATGAATGGTTTAGCGCTGTGCCCTTGGTGCTGTCTCGTGACAGTTCGTGAGTTCTCATGAGACCTGGTTGTTTAACAGTGTAGCACCTCCCCCAACCTCTCTTCCTCCTGCTCCGGCCCTGTGAGATGCCTCCTCCCCTCTTTGCCTTCCGCCATGATTGGAAGCTTCCTGAGGCCTCCCCAGAAGCAGAAGCCGCTATGTTTCCTGTACAGCCTGCAGGTATATTTGGGGGCAAGAAAAGAATTTCAGGATAGGTAATATTAAGTATTAAAAATGGAGTGATTTAAAGAAAGAGTGAGTTTAATAGAATATGCCTCATCCTTATTATTTTCAATAGTGGAAAAGTGCTGCTGTCTATGGGTGTCCTGTGTCTTTGGTAAACACATGTCTATTTAGCAGATACCTTGATGGACCAGCATGAGCAGGAAAGAGTGACCTGAAATTGGTGAGTCAGTTAAAATCATGGCAGCATAAAAAGGAATGGTGTCATGACGAGGAACGTGTGGATGGCAGATGGGAAGTAACCCACCTGTTGGTCAGCCTTGCTGCTCTCACACACTAACCAATTAAAGAGGAGTCAAATATGCGTTCCTGCAGAACGCAGATGTCAAATGTCCTTAAAAGAAGAATGAGCCAGCTCCAGACTTACTCCATCTTTTCTCAAAGGGGGAAACCTCCGGATAACTCTACTAATTATAAAGAGATACTAATAAGACATGTGCCCATAAACTTCCAATTATGCTAATAGACCAGAATAATAAATCATAATTATTGGACAATAAGGAGAGGTCAAATACAAAACTTAAAGACCATTTCATTCCCGGGAAAGACACCAAGTCTCCAAAGTTACCATCATTAAGGAAGACAGGAACATAGAAGTCCCAGGGTATAACCAGTGCAGCTTCTTTGTAATAAAAAGAAACATCCTGATGGCCAAGCTCAGGTTTGAATCTGCTTGGTCTACATAACCATGTCCTGACCAAAAATCAACAGGTCACCCAAACGAGACCTGCCAAGTCCCAGCGGGATCAAGAAAATATTCTCTTACTTTGGAGTCTGGTAAAATTTGTGAAATTCCAGAAAGGTGAAAAATAGGAGTTACTGAACTCGTAGTTACTGAAATCTTAGGACAATGTAAAGAATGTAACAGTGAAAATATACAAGGAGAAGAGGATCAAAAAAGGACACTGATTAAAGTCTTGGTATCCACATCGTCGTAACTGCTTTTGGAGTAAGGGTATTAATCAATTTAGTAATCTATTTTTCATGTGTGAGACCAGTTTGCATTTGAAGGGTCTTAGAACATCGAAGGAAGTTAATATGTTAGAATTGAGATTTTAATTAAATGCCTGAAAGTGCTGGGTTAAGTTTGCAATCTAGGTTCTTATTGATTGGGAAAATTTGTTTTGTTAAATCCATAATTTTTTATTTATTAGTTGTAAGTAAGTATATATATTTAGGACGGTGTTGATTATTTAATATCTCAAAGAATGCTAATTATCTAATAAATTCCAAAGATTAATAGTTGGCACATTGCCTAAATTACAGTTACTAGTGTGCATTCCTTTTCCTGCACAAATTCCCCTTAGACACTAAGAAATCCATCACTTTTCCAAAGTGGAAAACCAGCACTTTCCAATACATAGTAAACTAAATTCAGAAGTGTTATGAAAATAAATACTCATCTTTACACCATCTACAATCATCTTTTGTACCATACTTGGGGAAATACCCCATGGGTAGAAGTTTCCAGAACCTGGACTATAAGGAACTTTGACCTACACCTTTAAGTTTCTAGGCTAGAAGTACCTCTCTCTGGAACCTCCAGAACTGGATGCCAGAATTAGAGCCTAAGTCAGAGGTACAGAATTACCCCCCAAATCTCACAGCTTAAAATAACAAATATTAGTGACCTTACACAGTTTTGGAGAGCCGGGAGTCAGTATGGTTTGGGTGGGAGGCTCTGGTGCAGTGTCTCTCATGGGCTTGCAGTCAAGGTGTAGGCTGTGGGGCTCAGGTCATTGGATTGCCTGGGGCTGGAGGATCCATTTCCCACTCAGTCTATGACTGCTGGGTCCTCGCTGGCAGTTGGTTGGAGGCCTCGGTTCCTCATCTGTGGGGCTTCTCCAAAGGGGCATTCACCCCTGTGCCTTCTCATGACCTCATCCTGGAATTGTACACCTTCATTCCACTTTGTCCTCCTTGTTACAATTGAGTCACTCAGTCCAGCCCATATTCAAGAAGATGGGAATTAGGCTCCACCTCTTGCAGGGAGGTTCAGCAGAGAATTTGTGGACCTATTTTGAAACCACCACCGCTCCCCTAAGCACGAGTGCTGGAGAGGAGGTAAGAGTTGTTATTCTGATGTGGGACACAATAGAATGCGCAGTGGTTGCTCCCACACTTCAGACTTCCCTTTACAGAGTGTGTGTCATCCAGGGCTGAGACACTGTATCACCGCAGCCACTTAAACACCATTAGCTAGAATAAAAACAAGTGACGATGACATGTTGTCTGCTGTTTGCCTGCATTTTAAGCTCCCTTCCTTTAAAACAGGTACCTTTCCTTTGGCTTTCCACAATTTTTTCTATCAGGACCAAGACCAGTAATCGATTCCTTTATCCTTTCTAGCCTGGGCTTTACAGCAGTTTCTCAAGAAAGAGCAAGCATTTTTTTTTTTCTGGGTGTTTCAGAGTTTGTCAAAACCCAGAACAGATTTTCCAAGTATATAGGTTTTGCCTGCGCAGACAAAAGGGCTAGCAAGTATACTGTCTGCTGATTCCTGCCTTCGTCCACTTATTCTACCAGTACTAATAAACACAAAGTGGCAGGCACTGTGTGAGGCTCCGGGCCCTACAGGGCTTCCAGTCTGGTGGGTGACTCAGACGTTGAACATGTGGATACGGGGACACTGAGCTTTAGAAAGGAAGGAGAAGAGTCCTAAGAGACAGATCAGTGAGCGTAGCCTGCAGGGCCAGGGAAGGCTCTCTGGAATGAGGCAGGATACCTTTCTGAGTTGGTGTTTCCTTTCTGTTATCATTTCCCTTTCCCCCTGGAAGCAGGAAGTGAGGCTTTCTGAGTCTTAGCTTCCAGGACCTTTGTTAGTGGGAGGAGAGCACACGGAAATAGTTGTTACAGGTGTCCCCAACGGGGAGAGAGAGAGACTGGGAGATGTTGCACAAGAGAGAAACAATGTCTCAGGACTGTGGAGAGAGAACAAACGAACTATGCAGCCATCTGTCCTTGCAACCCCAGGAGGTGGCAGGACCCCAGAGAGGCTGTCTGGGTGGTGCACACAGAAGGCAGGGCTCTGGCCACCCGGCTGCCCCGCCTTCCCCAGTGTCCTGTGGTCCAGGCAGCTCCAGGAAACAGTGGAGCCTGCAGGTCCCATGACCACACGGACTGGACAGGGGTTTCCAGGCAATCACAGGCAGAGGCAGACTGATGAACGCTGACTGGACGCTGGGGGCTTCCCGGCATAAGACCCCAGGATTCTGTAAAATTTGGAGGGTAGGGTAGAGTGAAAGCCTCAGGAAAGACGGAGATCTAATTTTCCTCCAGCCTGGCATGATAGGGCTGGAATCAGATATAAGTTGACTGGAAGAAGGTTCTGACAGTGAAACTTGCATGCCCTGTGTTTGTGGGATAAGTCACGCCACTAAAGCTGGAGGATGGATATGGGGAGGAGATGGAGAGAGGGTGGAGTTGCTTTCAAGGCTGAGGGCAGAGCATATGCCAGTGTTTTGAGATAAGAAAGAGATGAGATGCAGAGGACCTGAAGGAGGACTGTAGCCCCTAGCAGGGAGTGGAGTGGAATGAGGTGACTGGCCATATGAGACTGGCTGAAGAGCCAGACCTTCGTCTCAAAGCCACTGGGAAGGCAGGGAGTGGGAAGCAGGGATGAGTGACAGCCTCATATTTGGCTTTCCTAAGGATCAGTCTGGGTGCAGACTGGAGGGTGGATTGGAGGAACAGGATCAAATACTAGGAGAAGAGTTTGCCAGTCAGGTAGAGACCAGATAAATGAGGCTTGGAAGCACCCTGCTAGTGGAATTAGAGAGATCAGAATGGATCTATGAGATATTTAGGAGGTTGTCTGAGAATGCTTAGGTTCTCTGATCAAGCACCTGGGGAAATGGGGTGTGAAATACAGAGGCAGTGAGAAGGACCTCCCAGGGGAGAGGAAGCAACCCGCACCTTCCGTGCCCAGGGGGCCTCAGAGACCATTCCTGCTCTTAAGACTTGTCTTTTGAAGGAGGGAAATGAATGATGTTTCTCTGAATTAGGCAAAAATGGGGTGAGGATGGGTGTGGAAACGTAACAGGTATGAGGGTGAACAGCTTATTTTTCCTGTGGAGCGGGGAAGAATGCCATTGCTATAGCATAGGTAGCTTTAGTGTGGAGAAACCTTAGATTATTGGCCATGAAGAGTGTAAAAAGAAAGATGGATACCATGAATTTATAGCAGCAATAAGATACTCATTTGGGTAATTTTTTTTCCTAGCTGCTCTCAACAGCTTGGAGTATTGAAGAAAGCAGCCGGATGGGTTTCTTTATTTGTTGTTGTTGTTTTTTTTAATGTTCAAAGTGGGTTTCTGGTAGGCAGCATATAGTTGGATCTTTCTTTTTATTCAATCTGATAGTCTCTGACTTTTAATTGGGGTGTTTAGCCCATTTACATTTTAATGTGATTATTGATATAGTTAAGTTTAAATCTACCATCTTGCTCTTTGCTTTCTATTCATCCCATCTGTTCTTTATTCCATTTTCCCTCTTTTTCTGCCTTCTTTTGGATTAATTGAGTCTCTTTTAGATTCCATTATATCTTTTTTGTTGGCTTAGTAACCGTAACTCTTTGCTGTGTTATTATAGTGGTTGCTCTAGGGTGTATGTGTACATCTTAAACTTATCACTGTCTGCCTTCTAGTGATATTATACTTCATGCATACTAGAAGAATCTTATAGCAGAATACTTCAATTTTTCCCCTCCCAGCTATTGTTGTTATGCCTTGTACTTCTGCATGTTGTAACCTACATAATTTTTATGTAAAAATTATCTTTTAAAAATATTTAAATAAGAAAAAAGTAATATATACATATTTATTTATTCGTGGCTCAATAACCTTTTTTGTTATTTATTTTTATTTCAAAGAATGTGTTTCCCTATCACAAAAATTAGATAACCACAACCACACCACCAACAGTAGCAATGTCCATGGAGTCGCACCGATGGTGGAGAGTTCACTGGGTATTCCCAATGTCCCAAAGGTCACAAAGGAGGAAAAAGAGAAAAAGAAAAATACTCAAAAACAAATCCAAAACCCATGATGACTTTGGGGAGAGACATCACATGACATTTTCTGTTTCTTCTATCATTGTCAGCTGCAGAGGTATATCAGCAGGATCAAGTACATTTAGGGTTGAGTAAACCCTTCGTACCAATTCTAGCACCTTAATTGTACCCTCACTGTTAGCAGCAATCAGCATGTTGAACTCTCCATCTGGTTGTGCCCTCCAGCACGCAGCACCAACAAATTCATTTGTATCATCTTCTTTTCCTTCTTTGTCCAGAACACTTTTGACTGTATCAAACTTAAAAGTTAGCAAAGTCTTAGAAAGTGCTTTATAGCACAGGTTGAGAGAGTTGTTCTCACTTCCACAAGCTATATACTCTCCACGGGAAGCAAGGCCTACAAAGTTCTTTTCATTGATATGACCCTTGAAGGAATGTAGGCAGTACAGTTTCCCTACATTCCACAGTGTTAGCTGGCTGTCTGTTGAGGCAAAGACAATTTCCTCACCACTCGCAAACTTTGCATAAGAGACTGCTTTTTGGCGTCCTTTGAATACCATGATTGGCTGTTTAGTGCTACGAAGATCATAGTAATGGACACAATGATCCGCACAGCCAAAAGCCAAATGGCATCTGGAAGAGCGGCTGAATTTAACACAGCACACATCAGCCTTTGCCTCAATGCTTGCCACTGAGTTGTCTAGACCGGTAGATCACAGCTTCACTTTTACATCATCAGAACCCAAAGCCAGGAGTTTAGGATCCATCAAATGAAACACTTCAACACCTCTTCTCACGCTCCTGTTAGACCTTTGACCTCTGTCCTGTGAATCCATCCCATAGGATAACAATGCCTTCATAATCACTGCTAGCTAACAGGTTCTTATGGTAACTACTCCAACTGATACAGCTGATTTTGGAATTGAGGTCATTTCATTCACACGGTAATGAATATCCACTGCATCCTGGATGACTGTGCCATATTCATAGACTTTAATCTTCATTGTAACCTCAGCAATTGCAAAATAGTCACAATCCTGGTCAAATTCAATACCAGAGACTATCCTGGAATCATTATAGAGATCACTAGGGCATGATAATGTGGCTAAAGTTCATATTGATTTATATTGAGTAACCTTGGACAAGCATTTCTGAAGTTCATCCAATTGGCTTGCAGTTCAACTGTCATCTGAGATACGAGACAACCTTGTAGAAAAGTAACAGTGCTCCAGGTCTTCAAAATGAGCAGTGGGCCATTTTAATTTTGATGTTAATGTGCTGTTATATCAAGGCTGTTTCTTTGTCTAAGAACTGCCACTGAAACCTGGATATTGGCTATATTCTGTGGAATCCATAATACTACTGTGTGATGCAGGAGGAGCTTCAAGTTGAGGCACTGTGCTATCCTCACTGACAGGAGAGTGTAAGCCACTCATTTCTTCCACTCTTTTAATATCCTCTTCCAAAACACTTAGCTCCTTCTGGAAGTGTCCCAGTTGCTCTCTCCTATTTCTTCTTGCAACCTTGAGGAATTGTATAAGATTCTGTAGTTGGGCTGCATGTGATTCTGCTTCCAGTTGTTTCTTCTTCTGAACTAGTAACTCCAACATGAGGTTGATATTGGCCAAATCAAGGTTATCTTGGTCAGTTCCCAACAAATCTTGAAATATTCACCACCTGTGGCCATTGGTGCTACTCACTGAGTGGTCCAATTTGAACCTCTTCCTCAAATCTTTGCTTCTGTTTGAGAATGAGCTCATTCACCAACAAATTAGGAAACAGATGGTTAGTATTGTCCACAACATAGTTATACTTGGTACATATATTATTGTCCTCCGAACTCTAGTGAATCTACTTATAGCAAAAGCTGTGGCCTTATTTTGTCGTGTATGCCTCTTCAATCATATCAAAGCAGATGGGGCATATGAAATCATTGCTGTTGTCCTTATATGAGTTGATGAGCCTGTTGGAGAGGGGAGGGGCAAGCAGAGGTTGCTTCCTGCTGCTGCCTAGGCTACAGCTGCTGCCTCCTATACCAGCACTGGGGCCTGGGCATGCAGCTGAGCCGGGACAGGACTATGGACAGCACCCTGCCACTGCCTGACACAGTGGGCACCACCAACACAGGCCACACTGGGCCCCAAGGCTATCCAAGCTGGTGGCCTGGGCCGCCCCACTGGACAGCAGCACTACTGCCGAAGCTGCCACAGCGGCGGCAATGGGGAAGACGATAAGGACAAGGAGGCTAAAGTCACCAAAGAGGCTGAGGAGCAGGGGCTCATCCCAGTGGAGTCTGACCCGGCATGGTGGCTACCAGACATTACGACTCCCTCCCATCTGGCCGGGCACTTGGATGAGAGGGACCATGACCTTGACCCTTTGCCACCTCCCTTTTCCTCAGCCTTAGTGTATCCTGAGAATGCCTGCTGTGCTGGGAGGTGGGAAGAAAAAAGTATTTTATATTTCTCCATTTAATTACTCTTTCCAGTGCTCTTCATTCCTTTGCATAGATGCAGATTTCTATTTGAGATCATTCCCTTTATTTCTTGTATCATGGGCCTTTTGGGGATGAATTCTTTCAACTTTTCTTTGTTGGAAATTTTCTTTATTTTACTTTTACTTTGGAAAATATTGTTTCTGGGTACAGAATTTTTGGTTGATATTAAAAAAATTCATTCAGAACTTTAAATTGCTGTTCTACTATCTTCTGACTTTCAATGTGTTTGAAAGGAAGTCTGCTGTCATTCTTACCTTTCTCTGCACACAGTGAGTCCTCTCTGGCTGCTTATAAGATTTTCTCCTTGTCATTGGTTATAAGCAATTTGATTATGATGTACCTTAGTATAGTTTTCTTCATGTTTCTTGTTCTTGAGGGTTTTCTGAGCTTATTGGATATGTGGGTTTATAATTTCCACCCAGTTTTGAAAATTTGGGCCATTATTTCACTAATTATTTTTTTCTGCCCCTTCTCCCTAACTTTACTGCGACTCCAATGGTTCATTCATGCTCTCTTCATTGTTTTATTTTTGCCAATATTGTCTTTCCGTGTTTTTAGATTGTTTTTACTGATGTCTTCAAGTTTGCTCATTTTTTCTTCTTTGGCGCCTAATCTGCTGTTTACCACATTTAATATATATATATTTTTTGTCTCAGGCTTTGTAGTTTTCATCTCTTGAAGTTCAATTTGGGTTGTTAAAAAATATTTTCCATGTCTTTGCCATACATGCTAAATCTTTCCTCTTTTTGAGAATCTGGAGTACAGTTATGAAACAACTGCTTTAATGTGCTTGTCTACTAATTCATTGGTATTATTTCTGAGTCAGTTTCATTGGTTGGTTTTCTCATCATATGTCATGTTTTCCTGATTCTTTGTGTGCCTAGTAAGTTTGGATTGGACGCCAGACATTGTGAATTTTACTTTCTTGGGTGCTGGATATTTTTGTATTCCTGTAAATGTTCTTGAGTTTTGTTCTGAGGTGCAATTAAGTTACTTGGAAACAGTTGGATGCCTCAGTTATTGCTTTGTTAGGCAGGCCCACAGCTGTGCTTAGACCAGAGATAGTTTTGCCCCACTACAGAGTCAAAAACATGAGTGCTCTATTCAATGGAAACAGGAACTATTCTGGCCTGTGTGAACTCTGAGTATTGTTCCTTCTAATCTTTTCAGGTTTTTTTTTTTCTTTGTAATGTCCTTACAAGGTTGTTGTGATCAGTACTTAGCTAAAGACTTGAGGGGGACATTCTGAGATCTTCAGAACTCTTTCTCTACGTAGCTCTATGTCTCATACTCTGCCCTGCAGATCTTTGCCACTTTGGCCTTTTTGACTTTCAGCCTTATCTCCTCAAATAAGAGAAACCATGTGGCTCCACCTGGATCCCCCCTCCCTGCACCCATGTTCTAGAAGTTCTCTCAGGCCATAAGCTAGGGCAATCCTAGGGGTCACCTAATTTGTTTCCTGTTTCTTGGAGATTGTTATCCTTCATTGCCTGATGTCCAGTATCTTGCACACCATTTTTAAAAATATATATATTTCCCAGTTATTTCTTACACTTAGGAGGGTAGATTGGTTTTTGTTACCCTAGTTTGTCTGAGATCAAAAGTCCTGGAAGAGTTTCTCTAAAATTAACCATTTGTAGAGTGGATATGATGGAAGTATGAAGTGTCAAGGGCATTGAGAGGGTGTTAGCAAAACTGGTTGAAGTGATACATCATGGGGCTTGGGTTGTTCTGTGGAAAAGGTAAGAAAGGGTGCAGCACTCAGGATTGGGCTGAAGGTTTTCATAAATACAAAGAACAAGAATAAAAGAATAAGGCAAAGATAAAGCTAGCAGTTGAAGAGGCTGGAGTCAGAATGTGGCATGTTTATTCAAGATTTCAGAGGTCAGGCAGTTCAAGGTGACAGGCTGCAGGGTGTGACCATCAGCTCAAGTGGAGTATGAGGGTGGTTGTTGAAATTGATTAAATCTTTGAGACATGAAAGAATGACTTACCTCTATTTGAGAAAGTTTCAGAGGGAGCATTTCCGTGGAGTTCGGGGAAAGACAGCCTCGTTAATCAAGCCTGTGTTAATCAAGTTTATTTACAATGGAATAATGTTTCCTTAGGGCATACTACAAACGACTTGGAGCACTGTCGCAGTAGAAGGTGTTAGGATGAAAACGCATAGTAGGACAGAGGGGATGGTATATGGGAGGAGCCTTGACTGGCAAGCCACATGTTCCAGGGATGAGATTTGCTAAGCTCCAGCCAACCAGCCTGCAGATGCTGAGGTGCTGGCTGATGTGGGAGGTCTGCAGCTGGCCAGCAGGTGGTGGCCAACCTCCCAGATGGCTCCAATGATCCCCACGCCCTGGTATTTGTGCAGTCCCCTCACATAGTGAATAGGACTGACTTTTGAAACTATAGGATATTGTGGCAATGACAGTATATAATTTCCAAGGCCAGATCATACAAGAAATTGTGGCTTCTGCCTTGTTCCATTCTGAATCCCTGGAAGAAGCCAGTGCCATGCTGTGGGGACAGTTAAGCAGCTGTGGAAAGGCCCACATGGGGGGAAACTGGGGCCTCCCATCAACAGCCAGTTGCACTTTGCCAGGCCTGTGACTGAGCTACCTTAGAAGTTTATTTCCAGCTCCAGTCAAGCTCTCAGATGACTGCGGCCCTGACCCATTTTGATGGCCACCTCACGAGCGATCTTTGAGCCAGAATCATCCAACTAAATCATTTCTGAACTTCTGACCCACAGAAATGGTATGAGATAATAAATGTTCATTGTTAAGTTTCCAACTTTGGGGACAATTTGTTATTCAGCAGAAGGTAACTAATGCACGTTTTAGTCCTGGCACTAGGATACCTTAACAAAACCTAAAAATGCAGGCATGAGTTTTGACCCAGTGAGCAGAGGCTAGGAGGGCCCTTAGGAGAGAGGTGGAGGAGCTCACACCATTGTTATTCACCTGCGGGGCCCACAGCTGCTCCACTTTCTGAGTGTAAAAACAATGTGGCTGCTGTTTCCCTTCTGCCTCTACGTCTTACACCAAATGACCCCTGCAGCGCACCCCATCTGGAAATATACAGAGAATGGAATTCTGGAAACACACCTCAGTCTTGCTGTGCTGACACGTTACAAAAGCATCATGAGGTGCTGCTGTGAAGCTGACTTAGAGGGGGACCGTGCCAGGGGCAGGACCATCAGCTTCCAGAGCAGTCACAGGCTTTGAAGTGTCTGGGGGGTTCCGGATGCCACAACAGAGGGGAACCCAGAGCACTGCGAGAAGACAGAGAAGGACTCTCAGCCAAGAGGGTGGCTTCTCTTGCTTGCGAGGGGCAGAGACTTTCTCAGTGTACTGGAAATAACAGGTCTCAACCATGCTGTGAGGCCTCGTGGGAAATCTGAAAAAGCCACAAAATGCCTGTGCCTTTTTTTTTCTATCACTGTTTCCGCTAAAAGGTGAAATAAGTGAAAGAAAGATAAAAATCCAAGAGATTGAAAACAACTGGCTCCCATGTGAGACCGGGGTATGACGACGCAGGGAATGACTGGGAAGTGGCGGTGTCATTAGACTCACACATCTGAGGTCACTTCCTCGCCATGCTCAGATGAGCCGTCTTTTCACCCATGCTGACGGACTGGAGCCCAGAGCCACGCCGCCATGATCACGGAGGGCCAAGGGCTTCACCACACTCCCCTGGTCAGGGCCCAGCTCACCCGCAAAGGGTGCAGCGGTCCATATGTCTTCATCCCTATTCCTATATCCTGGAGAAATCATTTGGAAGAGGGACAGACAAAAATAGCAGCCTGCTAGTCTCTTAGGAGCTTAGCAAAGAGAACTGGGTGGGATGGCGAGGGGCCATCCTCCAGGAGGAGTCTGAATGTGAGGCATTGAGTACAGACTCGAAGCTCCGCTGCAGCCAGCTCTTCCTGGGGGAGGACAGGGTCCCACCCACCCAGTTTAAGGAGGGGTCTAGAGAAACTTACACCAATCGGGGCATATAGATTGCTCAGGGTACAGCGAAGCAGTAAAGGTCTAACACGCAGATGTCCAGGTCAGTCCTCTTGGAGGGCAACCTCTGCCCTTGAAGTCTTTGGTCACCAAGATCCCCAGAGCAGGCAGGAACAGTGCCCTCAAGCCTCTCCACTTCCCACAGCGGGTGGCGGGCCAGTCTCTGTCTCGGCACTAGCAGACTCTGCTCCTCTGCCATGGTGAGGGTGCTGCCCTTCCACCTCCCATGGGCTCTGGAGGCTTCTGGCACTTGCTAGCCAGTGTGACTTTGGACGGGTTATTTAATCTTTTCTAGCTTGAGTTTCTTCATCTGTCAGGTGGGTTTCGCAGTTGTACCTGGCTCATGTTTGGGGAGCACGTGCTACCACACAGGAAGATGCTCTGCATGGTATCTGGTTCACAAGAGGTGTTCGACAGAGCTTTGCCTCTGTCAGCTCTTGGCAATCGTTAACACAGCCTAAAACCCAAGCTAAATGCAAGCTGCAAGGCCACCGTGCACCTGCCTTCTGTGTCAGCGGCCAGAGCCCAGGGTGGCGCAGAGCAGGTGCTCTGGTGGGAACTTGTTCAGCTCGGTGTCCTTCAATGCACTCTGATTCTCTAACCCTTTAAAAACTGTTCTCTCAGCAAGTCTTAGGTTGGCCTGAGGCATAGAGAAGAGAGATATTATCCCCCGCAGACTGAGGGGAAACAGAGAAAGGAAGACGATGCTCCAGTTAGCAAGTCTCTGCCATGGCCCCTGGCCTGGCTGCCCCACAAGGTCAGGGCTCACGCCCCATGGTGCAGGCTCATGGCTGAGCCTCCCCGGCACCAGGGCAGGCCACCGTGAAGGGCTCAGTGCTCTCACTGACGAACACTCTCTCTCAAAAAAACTCTACTCTACTTGCTCCGGCAAACAGGCCCCGGCCGCACTCTCTCCCCCTGTGTGCTGGCGTGTCGGGTGCGGCCTCCACCGCCTGTGCACTGGGACACCAGGAACATGCCACGGCTGCTCACGGGTCATCATTTATTGAGATGAGAATTCACATAAAGTAACATCATACAGAAAATCGTTTCCAGGCCTTAAGAAAAATGATTGTCACTCACTGTGCTTCACAAAAATTTCTTTTAATGAATAAATAATTTGATGAAATCAAAAATATTTACAATATAAACACATGGAAAAGCTCTGGGTCCGTGAATCTGATCGTTGAGTTTTGCATTTTGTGAACTGAGTCCTCCCCCAAGCTTTTCCCTTGGAAACAATACAAATCTGACAGAAACGACGACTCATACAACATATCTTTGTTCATTACACATTTATCTGTTAGTCCTGGAAAGCTACATAAGCATATATTATGCAACATGTTAAAGTACAAATATTACCTAAAATAATATATTACCATAATGCCAGATAGCATTCTCCACAGAACAAAAACATACACTCAGCTGTAACAATAACGAGGGTCACGGGCCACAAAATAATACCCCAAAGGTACAAATTCCTTCATAAGAATATAGTTGTGCTCTTCAGTTTACCAGCTGTCTACGCTGCTCTAGGAAGCCGGTGGCAAGGAGTACGGGATTTGGCAACTGTGGCTGTGTGTGTGTTTCTGTCAGGCAGCAGCATTACTGGGATTGGGCAGTGCAAGCAATTTTAGAAACACTTTCTTGGGCTCTTAAAAAGAGCCAATTATGCAAAGCAAAATAAGCATATTGAGAAGTCTTCATCTCTTTTGCACAAATACCATGGAACGTCTTGGCTTTGTGGTATGAAAGGGATTGTTTGCAGAGCTGTTTACACCATCAGCCAGAATTCAAGTATTCCAGGGCCACCTCGTAGCAGAACTTGTACTGATCCTGGAAAACAGGAGGGGAAAGTGTCAGCTCAAGAATATCTCAACGCTGTTCCTAGTAAAGCAATTACCATAGAGTAGGGTCTTAATGGGAAGACATCAATCTGGGAGGATTTGAATTAGAAATGAATCAGAAAGTCACGGTTCTGAACTCCAGATACATTCACTGTTTGGAGATGCTCCCCACAATGCTGGGTGGAAGGTATTTTGCTACCTGTGCTGGCTAGAATTCCCGGAAGGTTCTGGACACTTGGAACTCTAAATATGTTTGTCCACACATGTATTTTCCAGGATATCAACATGCTGAGCTTTGTGCAGGAGGGTCAGGGGTAGAAGAGAAAGTAACGAGTGCTTCAGGAAATGCCTTCCTGACATCTCTCACAAGGCCCTTGGTACCTAGATGAGGCCTCATGCATGATCCAGCTTTACCTTTGACTTTCAGTCTGTGGGAATTCCTCAATCTCATGAGAATTTCATAAGCACCTCCTGAATACCAAGCCCCTTGACCTGGTCCCTGATTTTGAGAAGTCCGTGATCCAGTGAGGAGGATGAGACAGGTAACCCAATGACAACACATGAGGTGGAATGGTCCCTATGCTCAGGGGACGGCAGGTCTTCTTAGGGAAGATGGCAGTGGGAAGTGGACAGCGCCTTCCCCAGAGGACGGAACTGATGCGTGGAGTGGAGGCAGCCTTGGTTTGCCCTGGACGGTCCTGGCTTCTGCCTGTTGTCCTGGCATAACCCTCTTTCACTCTCAAAGTGCCCTAGTTTGGATAAAGTACGTGGCCATCCTCACCCGTTAATTAAAACAGGCATTCCAGGCGGAGGCAACAGGACGAGGAAAGGTACAGAAGGGGAAATGTTTGAGATCCTCTGGGACCCATAGACCAGTTCTTCATCAGACAGGGAATTAATTTCTCCCTCCTTTCTTTTTTTTTTTTTTTTCTTTTTAAGAAACATGGCCCTTTGTCACCCAAGCTGGAGTGCGGTGGTGCAATCATGGCTCAACACAGCCTCGAACTCTTGGGCTCAGGCAATCCTCCCACCTCAGCCTCCTAATTAGCTGGGATTATAGGCACGAGTCACCACATCCAGCATTGGATTCATTTTTCTTGAGCTCAGCTTTCCTGGATCGTGTACCTTGGCCCAAGCAAGCTCTGCACAAGGTCCTGGCTGAGGTGTGGTCTCGGGTGGCCGGGGAGAGCATTCTGCACCTGTATGCATGGAGTGTGCTGATAGAACCAAGCCTGGGAGTGGTCTCTGAACCCAGAAGAGGGACGCAGGGCTTGAGGAAGCCTCTGCCTGCCACCTGGCAGGAGCCCGGCCCTGGACAGAGCCTTAGCAACTGGAAGGCTCTCTTCTACTTCTGGAGCAGACAAGCTTTCACATGTGTGAGCGAGGTTCAGCACCACTGTCTCTACCCATCACAGCCACAACCAAGGAAATGTATCTATTACTTTTCATTTTGCCAAATTAATTGAAAACGTCCAGTATTTCTTAAGTGCCTCCTAATTTGTCACTGAAATTTCCTTTTCTTCACCTACACTCTGTTTTGTAAATACCCTAGTAGTCCAACCTATTTATTTGAGGACAAGGGACACAGTTTATCTCTCTTTGTATAAAGTAACAGTCTCTAGCCCAGAACTGACACAGTTGAGAGTCAAAGTCGGCTACATGTACACATGATGACAAGCCATGGGTCCAGCAGCATGTGATCCAACTCAATACACATGTACTGCTAGAGACTGGGGATTTTATGACACATTCAGTCCTCGGGAAGGTCATGATCCAGAGGCGAAGACAGAGAACAAGAAGATCATTTCAATCACTGACGGTGCCATGAGATTAATGTCAGTGGAATAACATTCACGAGAAGGCTCACATAACAAGAAAATCGCAGGTGTTAGCGAGGGCGTGGAGAAAGCGAACCCTCATACACGGCTGGAGGGAATGTCAAACGGTGCAGCCACTTTGGAAAACCGTCTGGCAGCTCCTCAAAAGGTTAAACACAGAATTCCCATATGACCTAGCAATTCTACTACTGGGTGTACACCTAAGGAAACTGAAAACATACGTATACACAAAAACTCTGTAAACAAATGTTCACAGAGCATTATTCCTAACAGCCAAAAAGGGTAAACAACTCAAATGTACATCAATAAAATGTAGTATAGCCATAAAGTGGAATATTACTTGGCTATGAAAAGGAATGAAGTACTAATCCATGTTACAACGTGGATGAACTGAAGCATGGATGAATCTGCTGAGTGAAAGAAATCAGATTCAAAAGGGCACACACTCCTTTTCTATGAAAACACCCAGCACATGCAAATCTATAAAGACTGGAAGCTGAAGGGTGGTTGCCAGAGCCTGGAAGTGGGTAATGGGGAGTGGCTGCTAGTAGGTCTAGGATTTCTTTGAGGGGGCTAAGTGGGTGATGGAAATGTTAAACATTTGGTTTGTGGTGATGGTTGCATAACTCTGTGAATACACTGAAAACCAGTGAATGACACACTTTAAAAGGGGATTTTTTTTTATTTGGGGTACATGTGCTTGTTTATTACATGGGTATTACACATGTAATGGTGGGGATTGGGCTCCTAGGGTATTCATCCCCCAAATGAATGTTCATAGTGCATTACACGGCTGGTAGGAATGCAAAACACTGGAAACTGATTACAATCGAATGTTATACCCAACAGGTAATTTTTCAACCCTCCCTCTCCTCCCTGCTCTTTTGGAGTTCCCAGTGTCTATTATTTCCATCTAAAAGGGGAAATGTTATGGCATGCAAATTATATTCCAATAAAGCTTTATTAAACAAATCGCTAGTAGAAAAATGCTTATTCCATGATGTGAATCCTACCTTTAATGTCTGTGAAGGACTCAGGTGGAACTGCAACTGGGTGGACTCTGACATAGGAAACATGAATCCAGTTGTTCTTTGCTTTCTAGACTCATGGGTCTGAGTGCCCCACACTGACCAGGAGCCTGAGGTCCTATTAACCATCCCCGACATCTTGGCCAATCCATTCCCCTCTGGTCATAAAACAGGGGGTTGGATCATATTTAAGTTTCCCTTCCAGCTTTCTCAATTTAGAACTTTTGGACTTGGTTTGCCTTTAAAGTAAGTCTGATGACATTTGAGAAGGTGTTCCTTAAATTATCTCCTAGTGCAAATAACAAATATTTTACTAGCCTGTATTTCCCTTAAATAGACCACTTTTTCCACACACAATGCCAATAAAGGTAGAAGTATTTTTTTAACTTTTTAACTGGAAAAAATTATTTCTTGCCCTGGGCAAAATTAGATTTCTGATTCATATTCTAGTATTTATTATTTCAGGATTTGATACTTTTATTTTCAGAATATTTAAAAGAGATAATTGGAATTTCAAAATTCCAAAAGGCCACGTTGTCAGATCACCAGGCCGACATCTTGGCTGTGAAGTGCTCCCATCATGCTTTTGTGAATCACAGGGACAATTCTTTCTGTAATGGAAATCTACACGGTCCCATCCCTTACTGCATAAAAAAGATTTTATACAAGCCTAATTGTGCAATTAATTTCAGTGGCTACTCAGAGCCATCCTTTTAACATATTTCCTTTTAACATGTTAAAATGCACCTAGTGGAGAGATGTGGCTGCTGCCCTCAGGCCACAACACAGGCCGGAAACTCAGGAGGGATTTTGGGCTTCGCTGCTAAGGAGCTGCTGCTTGGAAGTCACCGAAGCTGCCCTGTCTCAGGCATGACTATAATTTTCAAAATGAATTCTCCCTCTCCCACCTTATCCTTCCTGAGCAAGCACCCAGTCCCCATAGATTCTGTGATGACTGGTTTCTGAATCAGAAAAATAAGGGGAAAGAGAAGGAAGACCACAAATTGTTGTGTCCCCTCCCCCAAGCACCTGGGTAAATGCCTGAAATCTTCCTACATTGGAAACTGATTACATTTGATTACCAGGTATAGGTCTATCTGCTGCAGTTTCCTCTCTCAGCTCACTCCCTTTTGAACAGTATAATTAAGCCACATGAGCCATCCCTGTGCTCCAGGGGAAAAAGGAATGTTTAGGCCTTGGTCCTGAGTGCTCCAATTTGGGTGACATTAGCTGGCTTCGGGCATGAGGAGGTGCCCTGAGTAGGGGCTCAGGTGGGAGCCTGGCCCGGTCCTCCTCACATCCTTGGGTCAGACCGTAACCAGGGCAACCTGCTGCTATTCCTCACCAAGGTCCCTGACGCTGGCCCCGCTCCCGATCAGACTTCCTGTACCTATGAGTGGGAGAAAGCAAAATGTGCAAGGGAACTGGAAATTGAGGTTGGCTGTTAAAAGCCACTGCTAGCTTGGTGAGGGCGTCACGAGGCCAGCACACCAGCGGGCGGCACTGGGGGCCTCCGTCAGGGGCCCGAGCCTTGTCGTCTGCGCAGGCTGCCTGTGTCTAAGGAACTCAGGCTGGCGGCCAGCGTGGGCACTTCAAACACCACATCAACGGCCTCCAAAGGTTCAAAGAGAATAGCCTCCACCTCTGACCTGGTTGCTTTTGAAACTAAGGCAAGCTCTATGATTTTGGCTAGACCCTGAACGGACAGATCCTTCGGGCTGGAAAAATTCTTCTGAGTGATGCCCTGCCAGAAGGGCAGCGTGGGCCCTATTACCGTGGTGGGATCCCTCAGTTCAGTGTTCCCAGCCAGGTTGTGGCCAGCCACTCTGTGCCAAGGAGACCAATAAATTCTCATCCCTGCTCAGCGAGACAGCAGCATGTCCCTGGAATGATGAGTGGCTCATTCCCTTAATCTCTATCTTTAATACCTATAGGTAGAACTTTCTTCACCAAAGCCCCCTGCAAAATCCATGCCCAGTTCCTTATTGAGGCCCTGCTGAGCACAGCCACAACCTCCCCTAGGTTGGAGAGGGCAGCAAAGGGTGGCTCAGGTTGGACTCAGGTCTGGCTGCAGAGAAGAATGGTTCAGTCACTCAGAAAATGCTTACTGGGAAACTCCTGGGAGCCAGGCGCTTGGCTGGTGCTGAGTGTAGGGGGCAGGATGGGCAAGTGGAATCTGGGGGTGGGGAGAGGGGATGGGGTATTAGCAAAAATTATTACAAACCTTCCTCAACAGTGCAGGAAGACTGACCATGGGTGGATTCAAGGTGCCTGGAGTGTGGATTGGGGACCCTAGCTCACCTCTGATTCCCACCCAACTCCTGCACTCACCACCCCAACACATGCACACACACATGCACAGCCGTTAAATAGGCTGCAAATTTCACAGCAAGAGCTATTGAGGGACAGCCTATACACACCAGTTGGTGGCACAAGGGGGAGAGCTGTAGGCCCCACACCACATTGCATTTTGTATGTGAGTCCATTGTTGGCTTACTAAAGGGGAGGTGAGGCTGAGTCTGGAGGGTCGGCTGTAAGTTACAGAGGGGGCAACCTGAACCTGTGCGGCAGATCCGCAGATCAGGATGGGGCCTGGCTCTGGAGTAAGTGGGACGGAGGGGGAGGGGGCGGCGAGCTGTGAACACCGCCGCATGGCACTGCAGGGAAGGGAGAGGCCCGCTGATCCTCCTACACCAACTTTCTCAGCCGTGTGGCACGTCTATCCTACCTGGCGGGGGCTCCATCTCAGAGCCTCTGGCTGAAGTGGGCTGGGGCAGGCCTGTGCACTGGTATTTCTGAAAGCTCCCCCGGGAGTTGGGGGTGGGCGGATTCTCAAGTGCAGCCTGGGCTGATACTGCGTCTAGAGCAGACATGGTTCTTAAGCTAGGCTGCACATGAGACTCACCAGGGGCTTTTAACACTCGGCTGCTGCAGCCAGGCCCCTGACCAATCGAATCAGTCTCCAGGTGGGCCCAGGGATCAGAATTGTTCTAAAGCTCCCAGATGACTTCAGTGGGCAACCAGGCTTGAGAACCACTGAGGAGATGCTCTTTTCTGAATCTTACAAGGCACGTGATGGTGGACGGGGCTGTTCCTGTTACACCTGGTCTGAGATGAAGCTCACACACACAGTGATTGAGCTCTGCCCTGTTCTCAGGTCCCCTACACTAACCTGTGCCCTTTTTCTCCCGGTGCAAGAGCATGCACTGCTTTACCACCCTTTATCCTGGATTTCTCCCAGCAACTCAGTAACAAATCAACCCAGCGAAGGGTTATGACCATCACCTTCCTACAGGGCCCTCCCTTTCAGACTCCCAGGTGGGTTGGGACTGCTTATCCGGCTACATTCTATTTGGAATTTTCGTCTAATGGCTTTTAGTTGTCGATTTTTTTCCCTTACCTTTTCCACACATCATGAACCCTGAGAGCCCCGCTGGTGTCCAGCCTCTAGGCTGGGAGAAAGCTTGGGGGGCTCCTTGTAGGGTGGTTGAACATCAGCAGGCTTGGAGCTGGGAGGAGGGATCCGGATCTGGATTTGGCTTGCACGAATGACGAAACGCTAGACTTCTCTGTAAAGGGGGTGCAGCGGCAGCACCTCTTCTGGCTTTGGTGAAGGTGACTGAGTATAACAAGATAACTCTTGGGACATGTTCCATAAACAGAAAAGCCCCGTAGCCTTCTATGAACAGTATTCTTTTTTGTTGTTTTTGATGTTACTTTGTAAAAAACAACAGCTTTGTTGAGATATAATTCACATACCATAAAATTGGCCTCTTTAAAGGATACAGTTGTTACATAAAGTTCATGAGAGGCCACTGTTTGGATGAGGCCCTGACAGACTAGACCAAACCAGAATGGAGTCCCTCGTGCTAGGTGCTACGTCGCCATCCAACTGAACTTTGAAATAGGGCAGCTTTCCAAACATCAGGAGAAGTGCAACAACCAGTCAGAAGCGACCCGGTTTTCCTGAGCTGCCATGATAAAGAAGTCCCTTCTGTTTTAACCGTATGATGGAAGGAAGTTTGAAACAACCGATCTGCGTTGTGTTCCCTGTCTCTGCCTTCTCAAGCTTTTTTCTGCCTATAAAGCAGCCTCCTCTGCTCAGCTCCTTGGAGCACTCGTTCTATTTTACAGAATGACATGTTGCCTGATTCTAGGGTCACTAATACAAGCCAATTAGACCTTCAAATTAAATGTGTTGTAATTTTGTACTTTAACACAGTTCAGTGGTTTTCAGTATATTTACAGACTTATATACAATCTAAGTTTAAAACATTCCCATCACCTCAGAAAGAAACCCTGTGCCTATCAGCAGTCACCCCCATCTCCCTCCCCCAGCCCTCAGCAGCCACTACTCTACTTTCTGTCTCATGGATTTGTCTGTTTTGAACATTTCACAGACAAGGAGTCATAGAATATGTGGCCTTTTGTGACTGAATTAATAGTTTTTTTTTTTTTTTTTGAGAAGGAGTCTCACTCTGTTACCTAGGCTAGAGTGCAGTGGTGCGATCTCAGCTCACTGCAACCTCTGCCTCCTGAGTTCAAGTGATTCTTCTGCCTCAGCCTCCCAAGTAGCTGGGATTACAGGTGCCTGCCACCACGCCCGGCTAATTTTTATATTTTTAGTAAAGAAGGGGTTTCACCATGTTGGTTGGCCAGGCTGGTCTCAAACTCCTGACCTCAGGTGATCTGCCCACCTCGGCCTCCCTAAGTGCTGGGATTACAGGCGTGAGCCACCGTGTTTGGCCAGGCTTAATATTCTTACTCCCACTTTACAGATGAGAAAACTGAGGTTCAGGTAGGACTTTTGCATCTCCAGTGAGTTCTAAGCTCCATGTGGGAGAGACTGTATCTTCTACTTCTCTTGCATCAATGCCCAGTGATGCTGCACATAGAACAGAGGCTGAGAAATATGTGCAGAATGGCATGAAACTAAGATAAGATGCCAGGCCAGGCACTGTGGCTCATGCCTGTAATCCCAGCATTTTGAGAGGCTGAGGCAGGAGGACTGCTTGAGGCCAGGAGTTTGAAACCAGCCTGGGCAAAACTGCAAGACTCCCATCTCTAAAAAAATAAAAATAAAAATAAAAAACCAGCCAGGCATGGTTGCATGCCCCTTTAGTTCCAGCTACTTGAGAGGCTGAGGTGGGAGGATGGCTTGAGCCCAGGGGTTTGAGGCTGCAGTGAGCTATGATCACGCCACTGCACTCCATATTAAAGTGTGTAATTACCTGCAGAGGCAGCTTTGTCAGCCCTGCCCAAGGCATTTGGGTAAATGATGGGGCCAGTTGTTCACTTCCTGGGCAGTGCACTAGGCTGTGGAGGGGAGTCTTCCAAAGTTCCCACCACCTCACAGGGGACACTATGTTTCTCTAGGCAAGATCTGCCCTTGAAGACCATTTCTATGTTAAAACAGAGCCCTGGGAACTTCAAAAGCCATTAAGGAAGGCAAAAGTGAGAGGGGAGCTGCCAGCGTGAAGCAGCCGCTTTCCTGCAGCCGGAGTCTCTTCAAAGGAGCTCAGGTGCCAGCACTCCTTCTGAATATAACTAGGCGAGTCGTGGGGAATCTCAGGCTGTGCTGTCCTTGTCCATCCTCTGGGGACCCAGTTCTTTGATGGGGACTTGAGGCTGGTTGAAGAGATGGATAACTTAGAAGCGGGCTGAAAAAGGGGTCAGGAAAAATGCAGCTGCCCCTGCTGGATACAAAAAAATCTAGTCTTGTATTAGAAACTATTTTGCCTCCTGGCAATCCACTGGCTTTTCTCCAGAGCTCCCAAAGCTAAAAATTTGCAGAAATACATCTTGAGGGCTTTCTGGATCTCCCTGGAGAGTGTCATGCTTCAACACGAACCGACGAATCTTCCCACTCAGAAGCAATTTAGAACAATCAGAGCTGCAAAGGGAGATGGTGAGAGACACAGCGTCCCTCTGTGTGCTCACCCGCCCTGGCAGGGAGGGTAGAGCGGTAGCATTTGCCTGTTCTGAACGGAAGGGACCATGAGGGAATGCAGCCACACATGTGATCTGGTGGGGCTGGGGCGAGGGCCCCTCTATTGCACCCTAGCCTGCCTCTGCAGACACTCGGAAGTGCCCCCAGGGCTGTCTGGCACATGCTCGTCATCCTCTGAAGACGCGGCTAAGTAGACTCAGTACACTGCTCTTTTCAGCTGCTGGCACAACATTCTGTGCTTAGGACACACTCAGGCCTCAGATGGCCTGTGATGCCCAATAAAACTGTACCAGACTTTATCACCCTGGCCTAAGCTAATTAATTCTCTCAGACAACATACAGAGGTATCAACACCAAACTAAACAGAAGTCGTATTTACAGGCAAAACCAAATGACAACAGGTCCTATTCAGTTCTGGAAGCTTCAAACCCACTGAAAAGAGGATGGTGAGATTTTCTTTGTCACCAGATATTATCTAATACCCTGCTAACAGCCCCGTGACAGATATGTCACATAGTTTTCTCCAGACATTGCAAAACTTTCCTACATTTCTCAGACCCTGACCTTATCCTCCACCTGCTGCTGACTTTGGAGGTCTGGGCACCCAGAAATCCCATCTTCTCCCTCAGGATCACACATAATACAAAAAGTCCTAAGTTACGATAGAATCGTGGGCTGGGACCGCAAGCTCCCTTCTGGTTCGGCCATCTAAGCCTCCATTTATTTCACGAAAAATCACCCCTGTCCTTCAGCGTGCACCACTGATTTGGAAAAAGCCCCATCACTCCTGCCCATAAAACCTGGTGAGTGATGAAAGCTGCAGCTGGAGCCATTAGAGGAAAGGCCTGGAAGGGTCTGTTTCTAATGATGTGCTTAATTCAGGCTGCAGTGAGAGGGAAGTGACATTTTTTTTGATCAAGGTCAGCTGTGCCCAAGTACCAACCAGAGTCTCGAGGCTACATACCTGTCCCTGAATTAGTGAGGTTAACCACCTCACAAAGCCACAGGCAGAATATTTCATTTGTGCATTTGTTTCTATCCTCTGCTAGCCCAAACTCAGGCCTCTGCCGACAGCATGGCCACTCTTTGCTCAATTGCCTCCATCCTGGAACACTGGGAATTCCATGGCGGTAGAACTCTTTACCATTCAGGTGGGATTGCAGGGAGGGAGACGGTCCTAGTGAAGCCCCACACCAGCCTTTCAACAACCCACAGGAAATCCGTTACTACATCCAGGGCACTTAGAGCCCTTCTGCCAGGCCACTGATGGCATCACGCCTGGCAGACTCCTACACTCTCTACAACCACCTCTCCCCTTTGCAATTTCCAAAACACTTTCACATCTCTCTGCACACTGGGTACCTCAGTGAGCTCATGGTATCCCTAGTTTACAAAACTAAAACCTAAGGGAGTTAAGTGACATGCTTAAGGACACTTAAATGACAAAACTAATGTGTTTGGGGTCACCTAACTAGAATTAGTAGTAGAGTTGAGACTAGAATTTGGGTTTCCATGGGCTCCCCGTAGGGTGGGGAGGAGGGGCGCAGGAGTCTGGGGAGCACAGTCCTTTCTGCCCCTTCTAGAAGCCAACATGCTAACAGCTGATGGGTGAGAGTGTGCCTAACCAAGTGGGTGTGACAAATTTTCTGACCAACAGCCATGCTTCTTGGAAATGGAGCAGCTCATCAGGCACGAGACATGTATCTGGGCAAAGTGGATGCCCTGGAGAGTGGTTCGTGATGAGTGGGACACGTTTGGGAGCTCGTTGTCATTGGTCACTACTATTAGCCAGCCTGGAGCACTGCTATTATGACTTCTTAAACTGCATGAGGACCATGGCTACTTCCTCAAATTCAGCTTGACTCTCAACTCCCTCTTAAGTCCCTTTATTTTAATTTTTAACATCAACCCCAGTGTTGTGATGCTGTGGACCTGGGAACATTGGCTTTGGCGCTTGTCCCATCGGCCATCTCTTCCTCCCTCTCCTGCCCCCAAGCCATTTTCCAACCTTGGATTAGTCCTGCTGTTTCCTACAGATCCTTCCTCCACTCACAGAGAAGTGCAAAAACCTAATCTAAAAGCTTCCTCCTTTAAACTATTCTAGAGTCACGGTGGTTGGCATTTCAACAGCTCCACATAAAAAGAGATTTCATAAAATACTCTTAAGAAAATAATTGTACATTGTCCTTTGTTTCTCATCTCCTTTAATACTTTTCTCAGATATGGCCACCATAATTAAATGCAATATTCTGGATGTCAAACTAAAATTCACAGCTTTGATAAATATTAGGCGATTAAGCTATTTATAAAATATATAATTTGAAAATCTGGCATTTCACGTACTATGATTATTTCTTCTCTGTGAAGACTAAGTGCTTAGCCACATGGAAGGCACTGCCAGGAAGGGAAGTTAATAAGGATGTTCACTTGTGAGTTTCAGCTATTTCCGCATTTCGAATGAGCTGGAGACAAAGTCTCCGTGTGAAGAACAAAGAGAGGAAGAGGGAGAACAAGAAAGAAGAAAAAAGCCCTACAAGCAAAGTGATTACATTGTGATTTTGAAAATGAGTCTCTTCCTCTACGCATCAGTTTCCCTGCAAATCTGGGAGCTGGAGTGGATTCTAATGCTAATGGGGTGTCTCATGGAACAGCTCAGAGGGGGTGTCCTACCAGGAGGTCGACCATGTTGGGCTTGTTGTTCCTCAGTGTCTTCACAGCGTGAAAGACATCCACGGTTCTCTGGTGCCGGAGCATCTCACATACGATGCTGATGGCGCAGAACGTCCCACTGCGGCCTCCCCCGTTCCTGTCGTGAAAAAGATCAGATGACTGCACTCGGTCTGTCTTTACACTGCATCTTGCAAACACCTGTGGAAACAAGCTGTCTAAACCCTGGGGAACAGTAACAACAAAGGGCTCTGAGGCCGGGGGACCTCTTACCTGGGCAGATTCTTTTAATTAAAGCAAACAGAGCAAGCCATCCGCAGTGTTTGGCCACAGGTCACCTGACTGCAGAGCCTTTCCCAGCTCACCTCAGCCCTGGTCACATTCTCTGATACAGCAATTCATCGATAAGGGCCCATGGTAGAAAATTTTCAATGAACCTTATTTAGGTTCTGCCAGGAAAATTGCTGTGACAAGTACGGGTTACGTTCAAAGACGTATCTGGCCTTTAAAAACATCCATTAGCAGCTGGGCGCAGTGACTCACACCTGTAATCCCAGCACTTTGGGAGGCCAAGGTGGGTGGATCACGAGGTCAGGAGATCGAGACCTTCCTGGCTAAACACGGTGAAACCCCATCGCTACTAAAAAATACAAAAAAAATTAGCCGGGCGTGGTGGCGGGTGCTTGTAGTCCCAGCTACTCGGGAGGCTGAGGCAGGAGAATGGCGTGAACCCGGGAGGTGGAGCTTGCAGTGAGCCGAGATTGTGCTACTGCACTCCAGCCTGGGCAACAGAGCGAGACTCCCTCTCAAACAACAACAACAACAACAACAACAAATCCATTGGCATTTCATTATTTATCTATAAAACATAGAGGCTCTTTTTAAAGAAAACTTTTTACTATGAACCCATGTTAGATGTGCAGAAATGTAAAAATAGCATAGAGAATGCATATCCAACTTCCCTGATATGAACACCTTACTTGCCCACAGCGCATTATGCAAACCAAGAACGTGATGCTGGGACAATACTATTAACTAAACCACAGACTGTAGTCACATCTTACTAGTTCCTCCACGAATGTCCTTTTTCTGGTCCAGGATCCAGTCGTGCATGTAGTTGTCCTGTCTCCTTAGTTTCCTTCAGTCTTTCCTTGTATTTCCTGACCTTGACACTTTTGAAGAGCACTGATCAGTGATTTGTAGAATATAAAGAATGTAGAACACAGAAGTAGAAAGTAGCTGTCGTCCCCAGCCGCAATCTGAGAAGTCATCACAAACTATAACATGTAGACCATCCCTTCATTTGGGTTTGTCTGATGTCTTCTCATGACTGGAAACAAGGCCGTGCATTTCGGTAAGAAAACCAGAGAGGGGATGTTCCCTCCTCCCAGGGGTTCAGGATGTCCATCTGTCTTATTACTGGTGATGTTAACTTGCTCACTTGTTAAGATGGTGTCTGCCAGATTTTCTCACCATAAAGTTATCATCTTTCTCTTTGCAGTCAATAAATATCTGGGAGGAAGATATTTTGGGACTACGCAAATATTTTGTTTCTCGCCCACTGATTTGAGCATCCGTTGGTGGATCTTGTCTGCAACAATTAATTATCACTGTGGTGTTTGCCTAATGGTGATTTCCTGTTTCCCTCTCTTTCAACATTCTACACTAAGAAAGAGCTGTCTCTTCTTCCCTATTATTGTTTATTTATTTTATGATTTGTTTATTTCAGTGTGAGCTTATACATAATAATTTTATTCTATCAGCTAAAATCCAAGGGTACTAATATTGATTTTGTTCACATTGTTCCAGCTTTGGCCAGTGGGAGCTCCGTCAGGCTGGCTCTTTTGTTCTTTTCTGACAAGTCCCCAGCCTGTTTTATTTCTTTACTCTCTGCAACCACATAATGGTCCAGGCTCATCCCGCACTATCCCTGCATCAACTCTGCAGTCACTCTCTCCTCAAGGAGATAAGGGACCTTTTTTTTTTTTGAGATGGAGTCTCACTCTGTCACCCAGGCTGGAGTGCAGTGGCGCGATCTTGGCTCACTGCAAGCTCTGCCTCCTGGGTTCACGCCATTCTCCTGCCTCAGCCTCCCGAGTAGCTGGGACTACAGGCACCTGCCACCATGCCCGGCTAATTTTTTTGTATTTTTTTAGTAGAGATGGGGTTTCACCGTGTTAGCCAGGATAGTCTCAATCTCCTGACCTAGTGATCTGCCCGCCCCGGCCTCCCAAAGTGCTGGGATTACAGGTGTGAGCCACCGCGCCCGGCCATGGGACCTTTTTATTTTTAAACACAGTACACAGTATAACTATCATACCTAAAATAATAACATTACTGTTTTAAAATTATCAAATTTCTAGTCAGTGTTCCAGTTTCCCAGATTGTTTCTTACAGCTGCTTTTTTAAAAAATCCACTCTCAGATTGTTTCTTACAGATGCTTTTTAAAAAATCCACATCTAGGCAAAGTCCACAGATTGGATTTGGTTGGTATGTCTTGCAAATTTATTTTACTCTGTGAGTTCCTCTTTGCTCTCTCTTTTTTCTTGAGAATTTATTTGTTGAGGAAACAAGTTCATCTGTGTCCTGTAGAGAGTCCCACATCCTAGATTTTTCTCATTCATCACATCTCTGTGATATTATTTAATATGCTGCTTTCTAACTCTGTATTTCCTGTAAATCGGTAGGTAGTTCCAGGGCTTGGTAAGAATTCAAGATTGATTTATTTATACAAGGATACTTAAAGTATACTTTCATTAGGAAGCAAGCCAAAAATATCTGGTTGTCCCTTGTTTTATGGTTTTAAGAGAGATCATCGTGTTCGGATATCAGCTTGATCAGCCCATTATGAAATTCTGAATCAGTTTTTTAACTAAAGTATAATATACCTACAATAAAGACCGTAAGTAGACAGCTCAGTCAATTTTTACCAATGCATACACCATGTAACCACCATTCAGATCAAGATACAAACCACGTTCAGTCCCCAAGAGGCTCCCTCACGTTCCTTCCTCAACAATACCATCAGTATCACCAAAGAGAATCCATTCTTAAGCCTAGCATCATCAATTGTTTTTGCCTGTTTTTCAGCTTTGTGTAAATGAACCATACACTATGTCTTCTTCTGAGACTGGCTTATTTCACTCTGTGTTGTCTGTGTGAGAATCACCCACGGTGTTATATTGGTAGTTTATTGTTTTATATTGCTAAGAAGAATTCCACTGAATGAATACCCACTGTACAATTTATCCAACAGCTGATGAATGTTTGGGCTGTTTCCAGTTTTTAAATATTATGAGTAAACCTGTGATAAGCTTATCTTTTGGTAGATGATTCATTTCTGCAGTCATTTCTCTAAGAACAGAAGAGCTCAGCCTCAGACTGCGTATATGTTTAGCTTTGGTAAATGCTGTCAGTTTCCAAATGGTTGTACAGTATTTACTTCCTTCCTACAGTGTATAAGAGTTCCAGTTACTCCACAGCTTCACTAACACTTGGGATTATCATTTATTTGTCTGTCTTTAAAATTTCAGCCATTCTGGTGAGTACACAGTGGCATGTGATCCTGGTTTCAATGTGGATTTGCCTAAAAATGAATAATATTGAGTAACTTTTCTATGCTCATTGGCTATTCGGGACATCTTTATTATTATTATTATTATTATTATTATTATTATTTTCTTTTTGAGACAGAGTCTTGCTCTGTCGCCCAGGCTAGAGTGCAGTGGCACGATCTTGACTCACTGCAAGCTCCGCCTCCCGGGTTCACGTCATTTTCCTGCCTCAGCCTCCCAAGTAGCTGGGACTACAGGCACCTGCCACTGCGCCCGGCTAATTTTTTGTAGTTTCAGTAGAGACGGGGTTTCACCGTGTTAGCCAGGATGGTCTCGATCTCCTGATCTCGTGATCCACCCGCCTCAGCCTCCCAAAGTGCTGGGATTATAGGCGTGAGCCACTGCGCTGGGCTGGGACATCTTTTGTCTTCAGTGAAGTACCTGTCAAGTTTTTTGCCCATTTAATAAATTGAGTTGTCTATCATTTTCCTACTGGCTTGCAGTACAGCAGTTCTTCGACATTGTGGCCGAGTCCTTTGTCAGACACATGTATTATAAAAGTCTCCTCCCACTGCCTTGCTTCTTCACCCTCTTATTGCCATCTTTTGATGAAGAGAAGGGCTCAATTTTAATGAAAGTCCACGTTGTCAATATTTCTTTTAAGGCTATTGTTCTGTGTCCTGTTTAACAAATCTACCCGCGGTCGTGAAGATATTCTCCTATGTTTTCTTCTAGAAGCTTTGTTATTTTACTTTCCCCTTTTGGTCTACCATCTATCTAGAAGGGATTCTGTACATGGAGTGAGGGAGACCAACGTGTCCAGGCAGTCTTCCCCACCCACTGCAGTGCTGCGTTGCAATGGCATCTTTGTTGTAAGTCAGATGACGCTGAGGTACGGATCTGTCCCTGGACTGTCTCTTCTGCTAATTAGAAGATTAGCTGTTTTCTATCCTTGCCTTACCATTACACCGCTTTTCCTATCAGCTTTGCACCTAATACTTTCGGCAGCTGTTGAAGACCACTGTCTAATCTATTATTTTCATCAAGAGTTGCAAAGTGGTGAAATCTTAATTCTATCCATTTAATCTAGCTTTATTAGCTGGGAGACACATATAAAGAAAAACACTCTCTATTTGCCTACCTTGAATATCTGTGGCTCAAGGAACCATTCACTTCAAAGCACCGGCAGGTCTTGTCTCAGCCGGGAACTCTCCACCCACAGCCGTTAGGTGGCGCTACACTATGCTGAATGCCATGCTCTTACCTCCAAGAGGAAGACTGGAGTGGTTTGATTCTTTCCTGGCCAGTACTGGGGGATGCCAATGTAAACTAACTTTGTTTCTTATAGCTAAAAAAAGCCTTAGATTTAGATATATAAATGTAAACAAAAATAAACATTCTCACCAGGCCTAGGTCTCATGCCCACCTTGATGCTAAGAGAGCAAGAGACAGCCCCACATGAACAGAGGCGGGGCTTTAGGGAGGGGGGAGTATTCCAAAGAATAATCAAGGTTCTCTCAGTGGAAAATGGGAAGAGATGCTGCACAGGCAGGAGAGAAGAAACAACGGATGCCTCCCACCGTCCACTGTGAAGAACGGCTGATTGCTTTAGGTTTTACATGGAACAGCAATGTCACTGGTTAGTTCTGTGGTCACAGCTGCCTCTGGGAAGTGTGTTGTTGACAAGGTGCAGTGATTTAAGAAGTCTTTATGTCTTCTTGTTAGGCCTGTCCTGGTGCCTCAACTTCTTCGAGTCACTAGTAACTTAGTCCTGTGGGTTAAAGCACTGACCCTTTTTAGAAAGCTGCTAATCCCGGGGGGAGCGATGCATTATACATCTAGCTCCAGACGCTGGGGGTCTCCAGATGCAGGCAGGGGTAACTGCAACCTATTTTTAGTATTTTAGAAAAATCTGATATATCTAATACAAACGAACTACAATGTTAATATTCTTTGCTGGGATTGTATCATCTCAGCGTGAGCCTCTTGTTCTGATCAGAGGTTGGATCTGGATTGAAGAGAAATAAAAATAGGGATGTGGACTGCTAATGAATTCTTTTTGTCATTTTCTTGATAGAGATTTTTTTTTTCTTTTCTTTGAGATGGAGTCTCGCTCTGTCCCCCAGGCTGGAGTGCAGTGGCGCCATCTCGGCTCACTGCAAGCTCCGCCTCCCGGGTTCACGCCATTCTCCTGCCTCAGTCTCCCGAGTAGCTGGGACTACAGGTGCCCACCACCATGCCTGGCTAATTTTTTGTGTTTTTAGTAGAGACGGGGTTTCAACGTGTTAGCCAGGAGGGTCTTGATCTCCTGACCTCGTGATCCACCTGCCTTGGTCTCCCAAAGTGCTGGGATTACAGGCGTGAGCCACTGCGCCTGGCCAACAGAGATTTTTTAATGCACTGGGTCCATGAGAAGAAAGGGGGGATGACAGCAACTAGAGAAAGGTGAGGTTAATAAACTGCTTTTTAGAGGACAAAAGATTGGAACTTCTGGTTGAAGACAACTGTGGGTAGGTTCTTAAGGCTCCTTCCAAAGGAATATCAGTTTCCTGCAGGATGAGACACTATCGTGTTTTGATCGTTGAGAGGCAGGCAGAGTCCTGGGCTTCCAGGGAGACTTTGCAGGCCCGGGGTAGGAGGTGGCATTGCATCAGACAAGGGCACTGACTGGAGAGTAACCCACGCCCTGAGCCAGGTCTGCAACTTTAACTAGGCTTGATCTACCCGGAGTGAAACTTTATTTTGCCTTCAATTTAAGAGAGATCTCATTGTGTACTTCTAATGATACTTCACTGAAAAGTGACATTCGCTTATCCTTTAAATTTCCCCAAATTCTCTAAACATCTTCCTTATCTGCCGTGACTTTCTAATTGCCTGTTCTATTAAGCCGATTGCAGCTGGTTGATTAGCTACATATCACTGCCAATGAGAAAATGCAGGTGAAAGTGCTTTGAGAAACATGGCATTCTCCATTCAGTGGCTCTCAACCTTATTATCTCAACACATTGAAATCACCTAGGCATTTAAAAAAAACACCCATGTCTGGGCCCCACTCCCAGAGATTTTGATTTAATTGGTTGGGGTGTGGCCTAGGTGTGGGCTTTTTTTTTTTTTCATGTAAAGCTCCCCAAATAATTCTCAATGTGCAGGTAAGGCTGCGGGCTATGTGTAGCAGGGGTGCCCATATTTAGCACCTGCAAAACCTGCTGGCCTGGAAGCCTCATTCTGGGGACACTGGCTGTAACCAAATGCTCCCAATATACACATTCTCCCAAAAAGCATGCACGCGCGCGCACACACACGCACACACGCACACACACACACTCCAGGTCCTTTGAGACCTGACATGATTTCCAATTGAATAATCAAGTAATGTGGTGGTAAACTGGCCTTTGGCTGGTGGGAAGGAGCCCTGAGTTGTAGCATTTGTTGATTTCCATGATGTAAATCCTTCTACCATGGATGAATTCAAGTTACCAACAGTTGAAGACCCAGCTCAGAAAATTCCTGAAAACTTAACAATTGGCTCTCAAGAGCCAGTGTTTTTTTTTTTTTCCTCTTGGCAGTGGGCGGCGGAGGCAGGGGTCCTAATGAAACGGTCAGTGCTTGCTTGTGCGGCAGCGGCACACCATCCAAATGCAGAATGTGCATATCCTGTTTCCTGAAAAGCCAACCAATCCCTCACTGAGTGTCATGATCACCCCTTCACCTAGACCTACTTATTTCTTCTCCATTTCTAGTGAAACAAAAGTCAGAGAACTAGGAGGTGAGAGTGAGTGTGGGGCCTCGCTGTTCTGAAATGAAGAGCTCTGTCAAGCACTTACAAGCAGTGCACAACCGTGCGGCCTTCCCCGCCATTGTACTCCTCTTGCCACTTGTCCACCTGGCGAATGAGCTTCAAGAAGGAGCGCTTAGACACTGGTGTGTCCCTGTACATCGGCCAGCCCAGGAACTGGAATTGCTGCACCATCCGATATCCATCTTGGGGCTACGAAGAACAAGGCAACAATCGGGGAGTGGAAAGAAAACAGGCATTATTTACTGAATTCCAGTGGGCTGATTCCACTTACTTGATCTTCCCATTATTAAAGGCGAGTCCTGCCTACAAATTACCAACGTGGCTTCTGCTGGCCTGAAGAGTTATGGTTTTTAATCTCGAGCAGTTAAAAACAACCAGGGGTTTTAAATGACAGGCCAGACAAATGACAGGCCAGTGAGGCAGAATGCTTCCCATTCTGCAAAAGCCAAGAGAAAAATAACACAGCATAAGCACTGACCACATTGTCATGTTAAGTGGTAAAATAACTTCAATTACAGGTAAATTACAGGTAATGAATAATTTATAACCTGGAAATGTCTCTGAGCTCAGTGTGAAGATAGAGAACACTGCTTCCTGTGAGCATAATATGGTTTTGCTTATTGATGTTGAATCTTGCTAAGATAGCAATAGTTAATTAATCCTTAGTCATAGTGAAATAGAATTGCAGAATTCAAAAAAGTGTTACTTAGCTTATGATAGAAACATGAAAACAGCTTTAATCTGGCCACGGCTAAATCACTTGGACTGTATCTTCTGTGGCCTTCAGCAGCATCTGACATGGGTGACACTCTCTTCTTGTCAACACGCTTTCCTCACTGGCTGGTCCTTCTCCCACAGCAGTCCCTCCCTCTCTCTCTGCCTCAGTCTCCCCTTCTCCCAGACCTCTTGCTGACAGAAGCCCCCAGGCTCAATCCCTGGGGCCCTTCCTCTTCCTCTGCCTCTCATTTGATTTCATTCAGGCTCACGGCTTTAGATATTACCAATATCCCAATAAGTCATAAACTCATATATCTGGTTCAGCCCTCTCTCTTGAATTTCACCCTTATATTTTCAAAGGCCCACCTGATATTCCCACTTAGGGGCCTAAAAGTCATCCCAAACCTAGTATGTCTACAATTGAGCTTCTGATCCTCTCTCCACAATGCCCCCCACCCACAAACAATCCGGTTACACGGGCAGCCTGGACAACAACTCAGTCAGTGTCCATTCCATCATCCTAGCTCTCAGGACAGGAACCGTGAGAGCCCACTCCATTCCCCAGGATTGTGCTGGCTCTTCCTTCAGAAAATATCAGAACCTCCCCCTTCTCATGACCTCCACTCCTGCTCTCTCCCGTCTCACCATGATCTCCTCTCCTATCACTGTCATTTCTCACGGGGATTATTATCCCAACAGCCTCCTGATGCCTCTCTCCTCCAGTCTATTCTCAACACAGGTGCCAGAGTGCTCCTTTTAAAATGTAAATTACACCATTGGATTTTTGCACTCAAAACTCTGTAATGGCTCCTTATTTCCTTCAAAGCAAAAGTCCAAATGCTGACAGTGACTGCCAGGCCCTTCCAGCCGGGGCCCCCAAGCCACTGTCCTTCCAGGTGAACTGCTCACTCCCCATCAGCTACTCTTGCCTCTGCTCACTGAGCCTGGGCCATGCCGCCTCCTTGCTGTCCTGGCACTCACATGCAAGGCCCTGCCTTGGGGCCTCTGCACTGACCCTTCCTTCTGCCTGGAAAGCTGCCTCCCCAGAGAGCCTCGGTGCTCCCTGGACTCCTCCGTCTTGGCTCACAGGGCACACATGCTTACAACAGAGCTTGCTCCCCACTGTAAGGCCCTAGCACTTTCTAACCCCAGTACTTCTTTTCCTGTAGAATTTGTCACTTCCTAACTTACTACATCTATTATTGTATCTGTTATTTATTGTCTGATTTCTGACAATAATTCTTTGCTTGACCAAACTTTCGTCAGGCTCCTGAATATTCTCCTAGGCCTATCCATGAACTTCCTTGTAAAATCCAGTTTTAGCAATTTCTGTTAAGTCACCGTGGGCAAGAACCACCCACCCTTAATACCTGACCATGTTTGATATCTGATCAGGTTCCTCGGATGTCTGGTCACCTGGCCTGCCTTCAGCCAGAATCCTGTTAAGTCAGTTTAGCCAGAACCCCCCTTACTCTTCATGCCTCCCCTTAGTAATTTTCCATCCACTGACCCCCACCCTGCCTGCTGGCTATAAATTCCTGCCTGCCCATGCCACACTCGGAGTTGAGCCCACTCTCTCTCACCCACTGCAAGGTCCTGTGACAGGGGTCCCTGCACCTATCGTGATGGTCTTGAATAAAATCTGCCTTGCCGTGCTTTAATAAGTATCATTACTTTCTAAATACTGCTCCTATTAGAATGTAAGCTCCATAAGGTCAGGAATCTATGTTTTTTTGGTTCACTGACATACTCCAAACTCCTGGAACAGTGACTGACATAGAGTGAGTGCTCCAAGTATTCAGTGAGTGAGAAAATAAATGAAACCATAATCACAGGCATGACAGGCCCGTCTCTTACTCTGGCGGCATTGTAAATGCGGAATATCCTGCTGATGATGTCCTCTTCCAGGTCAGCAGAGACAAATTCCACCTGGATGGGGCCGTGTCTGTGTACTCCGTTTTCTGGCCAGTACTGTGGACACAACTGAATTCAAAACATATAAACACAAGGTTAGTTATAAGAGGAAATTTACTCCTAACAGTTTGGATAAGGTTAGTATTGACACTCAGTAATCCTTTTTTTTTAAGAGATAGGGTCTTGCTCTGTCTCCCCAGCTAGAGTGCAGTGGTGCGATCATGGCTCACTGCAGCCTTGAGCTCCTGGGCTCAAGCAACCCTTGCACCTAAACCTCTCAAGTAGCTGGGGCCACAGGTGTGTGCTACCATGCCTGGCTAATTTTTGTATTTTTGGAGACACAGGGATCTCGCTATGTTGCCCAGGCTGGTCTTGAAGCCCTCTTCTCCAGTGATCCTCCTGCCTCAGCCTCCCAAATTGCTGGGATTACGGATGTGGGATGCTGTGTTTGGAGACATCATTCAGGAATTCTGAAGATTTCACTGACTCCCTTTGTTTTCTTTTCTTTCTCTTTTCCTCCCAGCAATGTAGGCTTTTGGACTTCCTTGCTGGCTGATTCCTCAACTCCACCTGTCCTTTTCCTGGGACTTTTTCCTTCATTTTCTCAGAAAGCACCTTTTAAGCCATGAGTAATTCTGCTTTCCAACGAGGTCATGTGGATGGCAGTCGCCATGTCCCCTTTTGCATGGTGAAGGGAACTCTCATCAGGCCCCGGGGAGAGGCACTAGGTGCCACCCCAGGATGTAAGGTACTCAAGATGGCTATACAACTCTTAATGCCCAGATCTCCACGCTCTGCTGGCTGGGATTGCATGTGGATTTATAACCACTATTGGGAATAAGGCTATTTTGTGACAAGGTTTGGAACTGATAACATTGTTGGGTTGCATTTTTATGTTCCAGTCCAAACCCTTGCAGCTCAGATCTAGCAAATCTGCTGTAATAAGAATAAATGCTTTGCTGTTCTGCCTGGAAGTGGCCTAATTAAAAAAGCAATTTCCTACAGCCTCAAACTCTAGGTATTGTTGATACTGAGTAACTAAAACATTTGCATGAATGTAAATGCACAACTCAGGGCAGTAGGAGTGGTGCTGGGCATGGTGGCTTATGAAGGTGCTTATTAGCCAGCACCCCACAAAATTCCTACCCTTGGAAATAGTCAGGAAGGAAGAACTGCTAAGATTTTTTTCTTCAAAAACCCTTCTCAAAGCCCCGAAACCTTAACAGGCATTTAAAGTTTGAAATTACTCTTCCTTTGGGACTTCTTATTCCTATAACTTTTTTTTGAGTAGCATCTACCTTTTTTTTTTTTTTTTTTTTTTTTTTTTTTTTTTGAGGCAGAAGCTCGTTCTGTCGCCAGGTTGGAGTGCAGTGGTGTGATCTCGGCTCACCACAAACTCCGCCCCCCGGGTTCAAGCGATTCTTTTGCCTTGGCCTCCTGAGTAGTAGGGACTACAGGCATGCGCCACCACGCCCGGCTAATTTTTGTATTTTTAGTGGAGAGGGGGTTTCACCATGTTGGCCAGGATGGTCTCGATCTCTTGACCTCATGATCCACCCGCCTCGGCCTCCCAAAGTGCTGGGATTACTGGTGTGAGCCACTGCGCCTGGCCGCATCTAACTTTTATCTTTCTGATTTAGCTGAGGGACAGGTGGCCTATGGAAAGGCAAGGGGAGAACTACTTTATTATACAACCTGTTTCTATCCTGGGCCAAGAGCAGAGGAAGACAATCACCTAATTTTATGCAGAATGATGTGTCAGGAAAGGAGGATCCACTGGCTGAATTTCTAGATGACTTCTGTTTTCCAAAGGATCTAAAATCTCATTGTCAAAGGTTGCTAAGGTTGATTTATACCCAAGATTGCAGGATAGTTTTCAGTTAGCAGTGGGCCAATCAAAACAGCAGTATCTCTCTCTCCATCACAGAACAGTTAAGGTTGGGATTTTATAAGTAAGAATGAAAGTAGGGTAACCAAGGGTGCCTTTTATGTTAGCTATGCTGACAGTATTTTAAAAATTACATTTATTTATTTTTAAATAATGCTTCCGTGAAATATTTCCTTCCTCACCAGCACTTCCTGGTGACAAGTTATAAAACTGCCTTGTCAAATAATAGCATGTGATGTTTATGTTCTTTTTGATGCCCAAAGTGTACCCACTGTTGAAATTAATAGGCATTATGATGGGAAGCCGAGATGTTAATAAAAGCTGTAACATGTACATCTGAACCGTTCTGCCCATTTTTCTACTGCCTGAGCTTACTCTGCTTTCTGCTTGCTTTCTCAGTTCAAGCTCCTGACCAAAAGCTTGCCACTTACACCAAAGAAATATGAGTGACGTGGGTTGCACTTGCCTCTTGGCACATTGCATTCTATGCTCTGCCCAAGTAAACCATGTAGAAAATGGCTTAAATGGTGCATAACACGTCCGTGAACCGGACCTATAAATACTTAAAATAGTTGAGTGCTATTCTTGTAGAATTGCAAAGCCTTTACATTCAAATGCTCAGTTTAGTGTTCGCTAAAAGACTGAATCCCAGGAGCCTCTTTTCTCTCACTCTGAAAATCAGCTCTGTCTGCTGAATAGAACTGGAGTCTTTTTGTCTCTCCTACCCATGAGCCAGCCAAGGCTTGGTTTGAGTCCAGATAGTTCGGGTTTAGAATGCGGCTTTAGAATTCCAATGCAGTTTTTCAAAAAGAATGCACTAGAATCACTGATGTCTTGTTCACTAATATGAACAAAAATATCTCCACATTTCAGGATTCACATTAAGAAAAAAACCATCATGATTCTAAATAAGGAAGAAGTCCCTTATTCTATAAGTGTCTGCAACTTAAGACTCTAGAATTAGTGAAATTTCGGCCGTGCCACTGTAAGTGAGAAAATCAGGACCCTTGGTTCTATTTTGAGTTGGGTCTTTGAAGCTTCACAAGCCGTGGTGTCTGCTTGTCTTTATAAATGACTGTAAGCTAACCTTCTCAGAGCATCAGTGGGGAAGAGTTTTAAAATATTTAAGCTTCTTAAGCCAAAAGGACTGGATAAGAACAAAGATTATCATTACTATTTCATTAACCAGCTTTCAGGCAAGAGCTTTGACAATATAATGCAGTGCCTCAGACATAATTAAAAACCTTATAGAACTGAATTGAATGTCCATGCCATTTATGGCTGGATGATGGCAAGAAAACAGATTGTAGGAAGGAAAAATCTTGCCATCATGTCCAGTTGGGATGCCGAAATGCTTCAGACTTTTTTTTTTTTTTTTTTTAAGAAAAAGAATTTGTGTCTACTGGACAGGAAATTAATTCATTTCCAGAACAAGTTTTTTCTTAAAACACGCTAAGGTCAAACTTCCCATAATGCCTACTGTCATGGTGGTTGTCTATGATTGGTATAGGCACATCCCAAAGCAATAAATTCATCTCCTAAAGGACCACTGTGCTAATGCTTGCCTGACAACCTGCTTCAAGAAAATGTGTCTAACTCCATTACTAACATTGAGTCATCACTGTCCAATTCTTTCTCTTTAATGTTTAAGAGTAACTATGCAAAAGCCCCATTTATCATTCCAAACTTCTCTTATCTCCAAGTCCCAGTATTATTTCTTTTTAATATCTTTACTAAAGCATTGAGAAAACTAATTGCTGTGCCTTAAAATTGCTTGCCTGTCTCTGCTGTCACCCCGACACTGTCACCCTGCATGACAATCTCTACCTGCCCTGCATGACGATCTCTACCTGTAGGCTCCCGGTGAGCTGTGCCAGGAAGCACACAGTCACTCCAGGAATGGGATCTGGGCTGGGTCAAACGCTATCTTCCCTTCTCCACTGTCCTCTGGTTTGCTCATTCTGCTTTGGCTCTGCGATGTTCAGGTTCCTGCTGAGCTCCAACTCGGTCTGCGACCTTGTCAACCTCCAGTGAGTATTTCCATCTTTTAGGAACAGCTCAACTTCTGGCCGTGTCTTGCCCTGTCACCTCAACCATCTATGATTTCAGCCTGTATTTCTGGTTTCAACTGACTTTCTAACCCCTAATTCCGCCTGATTTTTAACCGTTGTGTTCAGCATCCCCAGTTCTCAACTTCAACTGGCACTTGAGATCTGGCACTAGGGCCTGCACTTCTCGGGTGCAAACAAACTCAGTGTAAAAACAAACTTGACCCCCTGGCACTAGTTCTGACTGTAAGAAGTCCGGGTCTCACCTGGGCAGGATCCACATCATTTAGCATAACTACGGATGTGCAGTGATAATCCAGGACCAGTCTCCAAAAGTCTTTCACTGTGTTTGGCAAAGGATGCTGGGTGACTATAAAAGCTGAAGGCTGTTTATAGCTCTGCAAACACAAACAAGAATGCTCCAAATATACTCAGGAAAATGGGAAGAGAAGAAGCTAGGTTATTTCATGCAGAAGGAAGCTTGTGGCACAAAACACTGAACATGTTTAACAGCTGTTGAATTCTGTCACCATTGTCAGCACCAACATAGACTAAATATAAACTTCTCTGCAGAATAATAGTGATAAAAGTCTTACTTTGATACCAAGAAAACTTAATTAGTATCTCTTATCAATTTTTAAAATATTTCTGGTAGAGAGGCAATATCGAATCTATACATAATTATCTTGATGGAGAAAATTTAACTTTACTTTTAAAATTACACATAATTAAAAGTTCTGCTTTTTCTAAAACTTGTTTGCTAGCAATTTGTATGTGTGACAGTGTTCTTATTTCTGCCGTAAAGAATACATGTACTTTTTTTTTACAGCTCTGAAGAGCTTCAAAAAAGTTCAGGTACCTTTTATGATATGACACCAACAGAATTAAAATTTCCGTGTTAGCACAGAACATACCCATTCACTCTTTGCATCAACGGAATAGCAATAAGAAAACAGACTGGCAGGAAGTAATGAGTTGAACTTTCCCCTATGTTAACTGCAGGCTAAATTACAGGAAAATGAACTAAAATAATGCTGCAAATCTATTAACCCATTTTCCTGCCATGGTGTCCCCTGTTCCCCAGCCAGCAGGTTAAAAGTCTCAGCTCTCAGAGGGCAACTGTGCCATGCTGCATTTACGGATACTCCTGGCCTGGTGGTCTTTGAGAAACGAAGGATATCAGCCCCGACACAAAAACATACGTGGAATCTGAAATCTATTTTTTGTTGGAAAAAAAAGTTTGTGTCTTAAAAAACAAAAGGGCTGGTGAGCAGAATGGGGAAGACCCAAGCCTGTTCTGCAGTCTCCCCAAACACCCCAGCCTCGGACCCGTGCGGGAAGCGGGGCACTCACGTCCATGAGGGCAGCATTGATGTAGTTGCTGCTCTCCCCATCGATGGTGATGAGGAAGGGCAGGCAGCGGTCTGGGGGCAGGATGTCCATGCACCGGTTTTTCTCATGGTTCCGGGGCAACAGTGCGATGCTGCAGTCCTCTACTCGCAGCGTTGGTGTCACCATGTTTAGCGTCTGCGTGAGAAAAGAAAGGAACATGAGGACAAGAAGCCTTGGCAGCGGACTCCTCTCACGTGCAGTTTTCGAAAGATGCAAACTTCCTGTGGCTGACTGCAAGACGGTCCCTTCCCCCTCCCTCCCCAACCCACCATAGTTCGAGTTTTCTTTCTTTTGCTCCTTGGATTTCGTCCACTGACAGTGCCCATCAGACACAGGGGCCAGAGGCAGAGGCGTAAGGGCCACTGTGGGTCCCTAGAATTAAGAGCCCTCAAGTCCCAGTGGAGTGAGGCACCTGGGGATTTGGGAGGTCAGAGGTGGGGGAAGAGTCTGGCCTTGACTCGGGTACATCTGGACAAAATGCATATGTGAGGAATACAATGGAGAGCTCTTGGTTGGAAAGTCTGAACACACACTTCCATGGTGTAACTGTGCCATGGTTATGCTGTGGACAAGGAGCCATGGTGTTGGGGACTAGTCCATGTCTGCCTTCAGAGGGAAGGAGTGGAAATGGTTGTTAGACCAGTGGTTCTCAACCAGGTATTTCTGTCCCCCAGGGGGACACCTGGCAATGTCTACACACATTTTTGTGTGGTGGTGATACCATAGACGTCTCCTGGGTAGAGCTCTGGGTTACCCAGCCCTGAATACGAACAGTGCTATGGAGGCCAAGGAACCTTGTGATTCAAGGGCTCACTCAGGTGCTGACCTTGAAATCCTTCTTGAGGAGCAAGTCACCGTGCAGTGCCCCTCCCTTAGGCATCACTTACCCGGAATTCCTCTTTAATCTGGCTTGAGTTTGTCTGTGGATCCAGTTTGTTCATGTCATAATACAGAGACCTAACTTGGGAAGCAGGCACAGAGGTGTCCCCACAAAGACAGGCTTCCAGGATCGCATCGTGGATAAACACATACTGCTCCTGGAGAAGGAGATGGAACGAGTTACTAACTTTAGAGAACCAGAGAAGGAGGAAAGACGGTATCAATTTTAGCCCCACATCATCAAGAGAGTGGAGACAGTTCCTCCAGAGAGAAACACGGTCCAAGGGCTCAAGTGCTAGGAGACTGGGGTGCAATGCCAAATATTACACAGATTGATTAAAACCAATCGGACCCAATACAAACCACCACACGCACTGCAGCACCATGAAAACTGTGGCTGAAGACCTCTGTCATTCTGATCCTACTCACTTGGAACTCAGTATTTCACATGAGGAATGAGCAGAATTTTGTCTATGGTAGGATTTGCTGGTCAAAATAATAGTGCAAAGAAGGTCCAGAAAAACTTGGCATTACTGTGAAGACAAGAAGTCTGGAAGTTCTTAATTCAAAACATAAAAGTACTTAGAAGTTCTTATTTCAGAACATAAAAGTTAATATGATTATGAAACCTCTTAGAAGTACAGAGAGCTGTTCTCATATATATCTTCAATGAGTTCACAGTGTAAATATGGGGCCTCTAATTCTGATTTGGCACTGACTTTTCTTAAAATTCATTGGTAGAGTCTTATCATATTTATTATTAATCTTTAGTTATATGGGAAGTTTAAAAAGCCTCTTATTACAGTTAATTCGGTTTTTTCTATACATAAATATGACCTTTAATTATTTTTTTTCAACAACCTCTTGTCCAACAGATTGATTCCCAAAAACAGCACACTACCAGTAAACAACACCTGAAAATGGAAGATCCAAGTGAGAAATGCGAGTGGCAACATTTGATTGACTATAAAGTACATTAAAAGATAAATTATTACGATTATTATCTTTCAAACACAGTATCCCCTTTCTAAGGAAAAGAACCCATGAAAGCAGCATTTAAAGTTTCTGTTATTTTTATGTTAGCTAAAAAAATGGGATTAGGTTTCCCAGAGGCTTTCATAAACTTAAATGCACCATCTAAATGTAAGGGATTCTTACTTCTTCTTCACTTCACTTCATGAATCATTTTCCAGGTGGTCGGTGTGACGCCTACTTAAAACAATCAAATATGAGTAAAAATACGAATGTCCTAAGAGCAGGATGTAACATTGCTTCTGAAAAAATGGAAATTCCCGATATACCTTGAATTTCCACTTACAGAGTTACTAGTTAGTATACAGTACTTCACAAAATGGGCAAATCCCCAGGACGCCAGACACTGGGCAGAATTTTTAGGGTCAGGAGGCTTCTGTTCTTCCCAGGACCCTGGGAGAAGAACAAAGTGCACAGAGATAACCCTTCAGCCACTATTCTCAGGAGCGGTCTTGCTCTGGTTACCAGCTAGTTTAAAAGAGATAATAAAAGGAAATGGTATTGAAAGTCTGAGCACTTAACAGAGACTTTTTTGGGTCCCTTAATACAGAAAAGTGTGCAAATTTGGGCTCTTGATTCTGTTACCTGGAAAACTCCTGGGTTTGTTTGGTTTGTTTATGAGAGGAAAAACAAAAAGGGGGAAGGGAGGGAGGGAGGGAAGGAACAGGGAATGCCAGGTAGATCACTTGAACAGATAATTGCCTGGATTCCTTGTGCCCTTGGCCCTGAAATGGGGAGATGCAGGAGGGAGCCCAGGGACCAAGGCCCCAGGCTAGGTGATGAGCGGGAGTACCTCTGTTTGCACCATGTTCACCCTCCGTGACCGCAGCTCCCTGACGCAGTTGTAGATGTCTACGACCCCTTCCCTTTCGGCCATGTCCAACATGATATCAATGACGATGAAACAGCCAGTCCTCCCTGCACCAGCACTGAATGAAAAGGGGGGTCTGTCAGTGGAGGAAGAAGGACCACACTGCTGCTGCTGCTTTTTAAATTTTTTATCGAGGTGAAATTTACATAATATAAAATTAAACCTCTTAAAAGGTACACTCCAGTGGCATTTAGTGCTCCCAAAATGTTGTGCAATCATCACCCCTCTGAAGTTCTAAAACATACTCATCATCCCCAAAGGTGGCCCTGCACCCATCACCCACTGCGTTTCCTTCAAGAGGCTCTGGAGCTCTGCTTACCTGCAGTGCACCACCAGTGGGCCTGCACTGGGCGGGCTCTTGGACTTGACTTGCCGCACGAATCCCAGCAGGCCGGTGGCATGGTAGGGGACCCCATGATCCGGCCAGCCAGTGAAGTGAAACTGTCTGATCTCTCGGATTTCATGCACACCTCTCTGCAGTAGTTGGTTAGCCAGAACAAGGAAGAGAACAAGGGAAAACAAACCACAAATAAGCAGGGATAGCTGGGGGAGTGGAAACAGTCCCCAGGTAGCAAGTCTAGGGCCAGGAAACAGTGGACTGCTGGGGAAAGAGGCCATCCTTAGATCTCACACACAATGTGGAAGGCATTGTACCCTTAGGAAGATGTCTGGGTATGAAAGGGGGATGATGTTTGGGGAAAATGCTAATTTTTAGGTGTAATTCCAGCAAATGGATGAATTGGTTGGGTTGTTTGAAATTCCTTTCTAAAAAGTAGACTATGTTAAAGGTTTGTCTCACTTAGATCACAAGGTGGCTGGTGAGGTGAGAGTCTGTAGAGAAAGAGGCACAGAAGAGGGGCCTGAAGAAATTAAAGGATGTCTGTGTGCTCAATACCAACTCCGTGTTGGGGCTTTCCGGCATCCTGGTACCTCTCACAGCAGGGACTGGAGTGGTGCACACTCACTGAGCATGCTCAGATGATGCTTGCAGTAGGAATGAATGAGGACACCTTTCCAACTAGACAGGTCAGAGAGCTCATTTGCATTTACAGCTCTGTTTGTTAGGTTTCTCTTTTTAATGTGGGTAAATATTTTACCCATTCATCCAATTGCTAGCAATCTGAGTGACTACACTGCCCCAGGCATTATGGGAGGTGCTAGGGCTACAGAAATATGTTTTTGAGTGGCTGTCACAGTCTGCTTGTGGCAAACAGGCATGTAAGCCAATACATACTATGGGAATCGAAAGATATTTTTGCTGGAATTCTAGGCTAGGTCAGTAAATCGAAGGGGAGCTGCCTGCCACTCAACTGTAGTGAAGGCAGAAAGAAAGAGACTTTACGGTTTGCTCTTGGTTTTAATTTACTTTTGTTTTGAGAATAATTAAGGTAATTTATACCTGTCAATTTTGTTTTCTAAGTATAAGCCTATATATTAAGACTGTGTTTTAAAGCAAAAGACTGTTTTGAAAACAAAACCGGAATCAACGCTGGATGTACATCTAGGATCAAATTAGACTTTCTTCCTTCTCTCATTCCATGATCATTTTCTGAACCATTTCTGCATTTGGTTTTATTGTATCTTAAAAGTAAACACTCATTAACCTCATCACTTTCACCATCAATCATTGTTCACACATACTTAGTGAGCAAAGAAGAAATTCAGAATTTTTATGTGCTTTGAAAGACCAGAAAAGCAAACAACTGCAGATTTCGAGATAAGACTTCCTTGGCACCCATGTGTTAACATGTCTTCATTTAATAACCCACAAATGCTGAAGCTTTACTTCTCTGTGAAAATGCCATTCTTTACTAGAGTTTAAGCTATAAGGAATTAAGCAGTCGGGGATTCACAAATGCAAATCAATATTGTTGTCTGCTAAATAGGCTCTGTGATCCCAGAGTAGTATGATTAGGTGGTTAGGAGCCCAAATTCCTTATCCCTAAAACCAAGGGAATGTTTGCCAGTGCCATGGTCTCCCTTAGAAAACATACAGCTGAGGCTGTGTCACCCTCAAAACCCCTAGAAAGCTCCCCCAGCTTTCTGCATGATGACCCACATAGGAGTGATCCCATTTTGGTGGTATGCATTCCCATATATGAACTGGGAAAGCTTATTGACGGTAAATACTTTATTCCAAAGGGGAAAAAAGGGGCATATCTTTCTCCATGTCCTGGTGGGTTTTTGGGGTGTGGGGTTTTTGGGGAGTGGGAGCATGGGGTGTGCTTCTCTCTCTAGCTTTGTTAGATTTCAGTTCCAGCAACCTCAAGTGCTGAACTACAGCTCTTAACTGATCTAAGACTCTTTTTCTGAGCAAGGTAAATATCAGTTTCTGGAAAGTAGAAAACATTTCTCAAAATTAAACCTCCACCCTTGAATATGTTTGCTATTGACAAGAGTGGCAAAGGAAACGGCTTCTGATCCAGTTTTCATTCTTGTTCATTGACATAGCAGTGTCTCCTTTTTTCTGTTTTGGAATGTAATACATTTGGGGAAGAACATCATAGATGTCATCAGTTATCACAGCCCAAATACCTCCCAATTTGATACTATTACTTCCTGGTTTTTCATCATAACAAGCATTAATGTTATATACAAAAATGTGAGAGTCACTTAATTTTTTTTTTTTTTTTCCGAGACAGGGTCTCATTCTGTTGCCCAGGCTGCAGTGCAATGGCGCAATCATGGGTCACTGCAGTCTTGAACTCTCGGGCTCAGGCGATCCTTTAGCCTCAGTCTCCCAAAGTGCTGAGATTAACAGGCATGAGCCACCACACCCAGTTAGTCACTTAATTTTGATCCAAGTCATACAATAGTCCCTGGCCTGAAGTGGGTGCTTAAGAAATACTTGTGAAATGAATAGTCATGTTCTGTCTTGTATAATACATGTTCTGTCTTGGAGACAGGAGGATCATCTTCTCATGCCCTTTCTGAATCCTAGGCAGCTCCTGGGTAGCGAGAATTCAGTGACCATTGTCAACTTTGTTTCTCCCAGAATAGTCAGGGATAGATTCACCAGACAGCCTAAATGCATGGAGACTTCAGGGGTGTCTTCCTTCTGACACTCTGGGTACTGTGTATTATTTAAAATCTGTTTAGCTTGGAATCATCAGCTATGTGGGAAATAAAAGACAACAATCAGATGCAAAGCAGGAATTCATGAGTTCCAAAGTGCATTGCATCTGCTTGTTTTGCAGAGCAGAGCCCTAATCCACTTTCACCTTTAGGTCCCTCGATGCAACATGCTCTCAAAATAGAATCAGAATTGCAGGCATCTCAAAGTACATGCTTACCTGTTCTCTTCTTTCCTTTCTAATGAGAAAGTTTAAAACCTATAAGAAATGCTCTACAAAAGTACTAATGATTTGTTTTCCTTAAAGATTCCAATTGCCCGGTTAGAAAATCACTAATGTGTCATTTTGATTTCCCCAAATGCATTAACAAGCTCCTTATTCCTTCTCTTCCCTCCACCACCTCTTCACTGGTTGTCTAGTGACTAAAATGACTGGATATTTCAGACACATTTCTGTGCAGCTGGGAATTCAGGGGAGTACAATAAGAGGTTAAAAAAAAAGAGGAAAGAAACAAACAAACCCTTCCTTTAGCTACAGAGGTGCATTTTCAGCTTATTAGAGAGCTGACTATTGTTCAAAAAAACTCCATGTTTAAATGATGGCTTTTGGATTTTTTTTTAAAGAAAAAAATATTGAGGGTCTTTTATCGCTGTTTTAATGCGGTTATTCATGAGTGCTCTTGCCAACAGCCATACAAAAATCCTCCATGTGTTTTTTTTTTTTTCCAATTCTGCCTAAGAAGGAAAAAATTGACATCAAAGTGTGAGGTTCAGAACTTGAAGAACTGAGTCAACCAGAACTCCTCATTCTTTGAAGTCTCCAAGCTTTCTGCCTGCTTATTAAAAAAGACAGGCTAAGAAAAAAAATGCTAAATAGTATGAGAAACAGATTAAAATAAAGTCTTTCCAGCTTTGTGATTCTATGACAAATTTGGATCTGCAAACCAGGAAAGGTAGTTCAAAACATCAGACTAAATTAGCCAATAAGCAGATGTTGCAATTTCCTTGATTTCCTAAAACTGGTCTTGTTCATCTAAAAAGCGCATTTAGATGCAGTGAGAATATAGAGTGGAGGCCGGGCGCGGTGGCTCACGCCTGTAATCCCAGCACTTTGGGAGGCCGAGGCGGGTGGATCATGAGGTCAGGAGATCGAGACCATCCTGGCTAACAAGGTGAAACCCCGTCTCTACTAAAAAAAATACAAAAAATTAGCCGGGCGCGGTGGCGGGCGCCTGTAGTCCCAGCTACTCGGGAGGCTGAGGCAGGAGAATGGCGTGAACCCGGGAAGCGGAGCTTGCAGTGAGCCGAGATTGCGCCACTGCAGTCCGCAGTCCGGCCTGGGCGACAGAGCGAGACTCCGTCTTAAAAAAAAAAAAAAAAAAAAAAAAAAGAATATAGAGTGGAGAGGAAGGCCAAAATCCAATTCCCTAGCAATCTGCCTATAACCCAGGTCTTCCAAGAAGACCTGCTACTATTACATGAGTAGAAGCTAACAAATTCACACCAAGATCCCTAAGTCCAGGGCAGCTGTGCAGGGCTCGGTTATGGAGAATCAACTCTGGATAGAAAAGTCTGTGGATCTTTGGAAGGCAGAGTGTTCCTCAGCCACATCACCTCCACTTTCCCCAGAGCCTACCTGTGACACTTCTCTGGATGGACTGCAGTTTGCTTCACCTCCGGCCCCTCCCTATGTCAGCAGAAAGAGGGGGAATAAGGAAATTCCCTGTTATGCCCTACAGTGCATCCCAGAGAAGAAGCCCCATCCATGCACATGGGATGAGGCAGGGCAGAACCAAAGCAGAACATTCACCGACCCAACACCAGCAACTACAAAAGGGGAAAACCAGTATGGGAGTGAGCATGAATGAATGCGCTGGTTCATGCAAGAGTGTCCCATGTCTGATGGAGATCAGTCACTTAGGTTTCCAGGTAGGTCACTTCCACCTGGAAAATCCATCAGTCCACATTAAACCAGAGGTTTCGAAAGCCACAAGGAAGTGAGAGATTCCAGGAGGAGTTAGGACCTGTGTCTCAACACTGATACTAACTCCCTACTGGAAAATGCATATCGACATACACCATGAAGGAAATTTACCAAACTGGAAGGACATTTATCAAAATTTAGCAAACTTTGTTCTGTGAACAAAGAAAGAGAGACGGGCAGAACAATATCAACCAGGGAAAGAAAATAAACAAATAGACATTAACTTTTGGTTTACTTGCAAAATATAGATTCTTATGAAATGAGAATGATTTGTTTTAAAGATGGAACTGAGCTGTTATAGAATCAGAGAGCAAGATGCAATCTTGAGAAACCATCAGATAGAGCCTACCTGCATTGAGATATGAGCATGTGTAAAGTATCCTAGGTAAGTTAATGAGGCTAGTATGGTACCACTAGTGTCTGACCATAGCTTTTAAAAGCAGTATGAAAACTTACCTTTTCAACAGCAAATGTTCTTATCACATATTCTGCCAGTAGTTCTGTTTCTATTAGGGTAACTTTAATGTCTTTATATATCTCTGTGTCATCTGGCCAGTATTTGCAGCATTTGACCTTTAGAAAACATAAAAGAAATTATGGGTTTACAGTTTGGTTTTTTTGGAGTTCCTCCCATGATGGGTCACACTATGATTTATAGGACAAAATTTGCACACAAAAGTTAATTGTATACTCAAGAGGAAGGTCTATTTTTTGTAGATCACCTGTGTTTTTATTCTTCTCAGAAGAAAACAATATTTGAGTTATGGGAGACGTAAAACCTGGAAAAATGGTCTAAGTTTAAAAAATTGTATTTTTACCACAAACATCCCAGTTACTGTAACCATTCATTTCCTGTGCATCTCTACTCAGAGAACGGCCTGCAAAAATAAACTGTGAAGGAAGTTTGCAATATTTTAGCTCTTCTTTTGAATTATTTCTAGTTTCAGAAAGTGATTGAAAACTTTTTAGGAGGAGTGGGCAGAAAATCAGATTGAACACTAAAGATTAGAATTATATTTTTTCTGAAGGAAGTAGCTAAGTCATTTTCCCAAATTAGAACTACAGATTCATTTTAGTATAAATAAATTCAATAAACAAAACTTCCTAAAATCTGAAATTGTCTTTCCATATTGTCTGAAGCCTCTAACTAATCTCAGGTGGAAGAATTTTGCATGCAAGGGGCATTTGATTTCCCTCATTTCTGAGCACTGAAGCACTCCACTGTCATATTTTTGAAATTCTCCTAGCAAATTGTATTTTTTTTTTTTTTTTTGGTAAGAATGTTTTTCTAGACATCAACGAGAGGAGAGCAGGACCAGAGGCTGGGCAGGAACACGTGACCACCTCAAAGCTCTGTCCTTGGCCTCTTCTGCCTCCCCAGGATTCCTGGCATTTTCATCTATTCCTGTCCCTGCCCCTCCATGGATGAATTTCTATTCTGTAACTCTAGCCCTGTTTCTCCATGTGCTGAATTTAATGTTTTTTATTTGTTTTTGTTTTGTTTTCTTTTTTAGAGACAGGGTCTTGCTCTGCCATCTAGGCTGGAGTGCAGTGGCGTGATCGCAGCCCACTATAATCTTGAATCCTTGGGCTCAAGCGATCTTCCCTCCTCAGCCTCCCAAGTAACTAGGACTACAAGCACATGTCACCATGCCCAGCTAATCTTTTATTTTTTATAGCAATGGGGTCTTGCTATGCTGCCAGGTCTTGAACTCCTGGCCTCAAGCGATCCTCCTGCCTTGGCCTCGAAAAGTGTTGAGGTTACAGGCATGGGCCGCTGTGCCCAACCTTCTGAATTTGATTTCTAACTTCTTCTGTGAGCATCTTCCCTTGGAGGTCCTGCCAGCACCTCAAAGACCATAAGTCTAAAAGAGAATTCTTTGCCCCACAGTCACTGCGCTCTTCCTGACTTCCTATGTGACTGCTATGATTCCCTTAACCAACCCATTCCTTCTCGCAAACCCAACCATTTGCCAAGGCTAGGAGTGTCTTTGAAGCAGCTCTCAAAGTGTATTTTCCAACTTCTTAATCCCTCTGCCACAATCCTAAATTCAGGCTCTACTGTCTTCCTGCATGGGCATTCTATGTGTCCCAATACCACAAAAACTCTCTCAATGTGTAATCCCAGTGCTATTTACTTGTTCTGCTCAAGAATCTCCTATTTCTAACTACTTTCTGAAACTAAATACAAATTATTTGGCCAGGCAGGTAAGAACGAGTTTTTAAATATGGCCCCAACCAGCATTTCCAGCCTTATCTTTTATAGCTCTCTTTTCTATGCACATATATTTTATGTTCAAGGACAAGTGTTTGCCCTGTTCCCCAAACATACCCCATGATCCAAACTCCTACTCGCACCATTCCTTCTGTTCAGAATATTCTCCTCCCATCCATTTCTTCCCAGTTGAAGATTTTTTGCATTCTTTAAAGTACATCTCACACGCTGCACTCCTTCAAAGACTCCTCCATAGATGTGAGCTCTTTTTGCTGCCCTGATGAAACATGCTTGTTCTGACCCTGGTATGATGCCCTTCTTGCACTGTTTGACTGTAAACTTATTCCTGGCCAGCACATAAAGGGTGTTGTTTTGCTTATTTCTGCAAACCCTGCAACACCTGATCGCTGTGTCCTGTGTGCACTAAATATGCAATGTATACATATAAAACTGAATTTTATGCAGAGTCATAGGATCAGTGTAGGAAGGAAAGTCCCAGACTGGGAAAGTTTACAAAAGAAATCTGAGCTGAGAGGACCTCTCCCAGAATGCCAACCCCCTGAGGTGCACTGATGTTCCCCCATGAGCTATGTGGCTGGTTATTTCAGCTGCCTCCTTGTGAAACTTTCTGGCCATGGATTCAGTGCCCTTCCAGGGAAGCCTCATTACCTTTAGTTGGCAAGACGTAAACCAGATATGCTAGGAGTTGCAGATACTGTAAAGCAGGAGACAATGATGGTCCCTGCCCTCAGTAAGTGCTCAGCCTTCTTTGGAATCTTTTCCCCCCTCATTATGGGAATATTATTTGTGACTTTATAAAGGGCTTATCTATAATATCTCAGAAATTTACATCATGGATACCTTTGCTCTATCAAAAATATCCCAGAGTAAGAGAGACCTACAATTTCTCCTTTCCCAGATGTAAAGTCAGTTTGAGCAGATCATGTATATTTGTGGAGATGTCTAATTTGACAGTAACAATGATTTCATTTCAAGAGTGTCCAGCACCATACTTTCACGATGCCAGTTAGCAAAGATGCTTTTATGGGACATACTAGATTCTTCTGTATATTGGGGGATTAGTTTTTACCTTTTTGTGACTTCAGTTATGCAAGCAGAAGGTAGTGGGATAGATATAAAACTACATATATGGTATACAGGCACACTTTAAAAATAATTATTGATGAATAAATATACACTTTAAAAATTCATTTATTTCTCTGAAAATGACAACTGAACAAAACACACACACCCGCAACGTATGTTATACCAGGTTTATCTTACCTAATAAAAACACCTTATCAAGATTTACCTTAAGTAATAAAAATGATTTTACTAATTACAAGATGCAATTGATGTATGATATTTTGGATGGTCACCTAGTCTTCCATTTAGACTCTTTAACCTCCTTGTTCTCGAATTTCAAAAATATGACAGTGGAGTGCTTCAGTGCTCAGAAATGAGGGAAATCAAATGCCCCTTGCATGCACTGAAAGCTCGGTTTCTTTGGGATTATTGGGAGATGCGCTCCCAACTCCTTCAACTCCCTGGAGCGAGCTCTGGTTCCATCCGAAATCCGACCCTGGGCCCTCTCGGGCTGGCTGTCCCCCCGCACCCAGTTCCAGGCTCTCAGGCTCCTGGTCCCCCGCGGCCGGATGAAGCCGGGCGCCCCCGCGCGTCGGCTGCAGGCAGCAGCCGCCAGGGCTTCCAACTTTGGCCGCGCTTCCGCGGAACAGGTGCCGCCGCTCTCCCAGCGAAGCGAGGGAACAATGAAAAGAAAACACCGTCTGCTCTCAACTGCTCGGCACGGTGCTGACTTCGCACCGCCCGGATGCCTCCGACCCGGCGGTAATTGCGAGGGAGGAGGCGCGGGGCCGCTTCCTTCTAGAATGCGTGCTGGGCAAGGCCCCTCCCGAGCACAGGCACCTGGCGGGGCGGGCCCAGAACAGGCGGCCCAGGCATTTCGAATCCGGTCCTCCCCATCTCATCTCCCAGAATATCCCGAAATGGTTTGCCACATCTGTTTTCAGCCTACTAAAAGCCCTTCTAAATTGGGTTTCTTTTAGTATCTTTTTAACTACTTGGACTTGTGTCAAGTTATTATTTTGCTTAAAAAAAAAAAGGAAAAGGAAGACAAAATATGCTTCGTTCTCTCTGCATTTAGAGTTTCCGTGTCTGGAGAGTGTGGGGCTCGCAGTCGCTTCCTGTCCTCTAAGGTCTGCATACAGAGATGCTGGAACTATTGGTTTGGAGGTGCCCGTTGGAGCCCAGGAACCAAGGAACGGGAGGCGTCCCTGCTCTGATCGTGCGCCTGGCTTGGCTGCCTCCTGCAGCCCAGCGCTACCTGCACAGCTTCTAGGAGAGGCGGCGCCTCCCACGCATCCTAATCACGTAAGGCGGCAGCCTCCAGCCCAGAAAGCAAGGTCCAGAAACAGATCGTCTAATTACCTTAGTGCCCTGGTGGTGGTTCCACCAGGCCATCAATCAGGCTAACAGTCCCGAGCCCTGCCACCTGCTCATTACTGCCAGAGGGCGGCAGGAATAGATGTGTGGTCCCTGCTCCAAAGGGGTGATCCTTATTGGCTTTAAAACTCACAAACACGAAACAGCACAGAAACGCTATAACTCCAGGATTTCTAACTTCCTGAAAAAAGATCTTTGAGGTGGGTCATTTTAAACCAGCAGCCCAGATAATACTCAGGTAAATTAAAGTCAGAGGATGGCTAGGGGCCAGAGCTGTGGCTCCCGAGGCTGCCAGCACATGACTGTAACCTTCAGGGCATTTGACATGACTACAGCAGCCGTTATCAAAGTGAAGCAGGCATGAGACTCCCTTGGAGGGATTCTGAATAAATTCGGTAGGTCTGACTTTGTGGGGCCTGAAAATGTGCGCTTTGAACAAGCTCCCAGGTGATGCTGTGGTCTCTGGACCACACTGTGGGTAGCAAGGATTGAGACAGCACAGCTGCAGTCTTGCCAGGCTGGAGTGCTGGCTCTCACGCAGTGTGGACGTGAGCTTGAGGGGCTCACTGGAGTTTGCTCAACTGCAGGAGCTTCATCTGTAAATAGGACATGATTATAAGTCCTATGGCAGAGAGTTCTAAGAAGTCAGCAGTTCCCAAATTTGCCTGCACATTAGAATCACTTAGCTGGGGGGAGGGAGGTCTTAACAAATTCTACAGCCCAGGCCATACTCTAATTAAATCATAATTTCTGGGGTGGGACAGAGGTATCAGTAGTTTATTGAAGCCCCCCTCTCCCCAGGCCATTCTGAAGTGTAGATACATTTGGGAACCACTGGATTAATTGATACAATGTGATGAAAACATTTAGCCATGTGCCCAGTTTATCCAAAAATGGAAATTGAACAAATGAAAATTCCGACTATTAAGTGATTGTTTTGTGATCTGGACTCTAGATGTCTACAGGAATTCAGAGGCCAAGGAGCCCATGGAGGCCTGGAGAGAGGAGGCAGGGTGTCCCGGAGAAGGAGGAGGGCAGAGGTGAGTACTGACAATTGTGCATGGCTTATGATGGTGGAGGGACAGCTAGGGGGAACCCCTGCTGATTCCTCTCTCCCTCAAACCTTATCTGACAAGAGGAGAGAGAGGGAGAGAGGGAGAGAGAGATTGGCATGTCCATTTGCCTATCAGTGTGGTTTGATTAACTCCCAACACAATAGGTGGTTTTGGGGAAGGGGATTCAAATCAAATATAGCTGCGAGGAATCTCAGAGACAGTCAATTTCCAAACACTCATTTTCAAGATCATTGCAACTCCCATCCACCGAGCAGTTTCTACTTTGAACTGGACACACTGGATGGCTGCATTCTGACATCTGTGGCCTCACTTAGTGGATGGAAGAGCATGTGATTTGCCCAGAAGAGACCTAGCAAGGGCCAGGCTGGTCTCGATCCTTTTCATTCCTTGTATTTCCTCGTGCTCTGGAAGGAAGAAGCAACAGGCAGGCCTAGGGAGTGCAAGTGGCTTGCTCAAGGCAATAAATTAGATGGTGGTGAAGGAGAGGCTGAAACGCAGGCTCTGACTCCAGCTACAGGGCCCTTTGGGAGGATGGAACTCAAGGTGCTTTACGCTTTCCTCAGTCTTACCAGGAGGCTTGGCCTCTGGAACAGAAACAAAGTAGGAAGCCTTGAAATGACTTCAGCTGCCTTTTTGGGGGCAGAACTGGAGACGGGTGGAGGGGTGGGCAGGAGAGCAGAATGCATGCTCTGAAACCATCATCCTCCTTTTTCCATTAGCACAAGCTGCTGCGTTTCTACTCTGCCTCCTGTGTCAGCAACTCTCCCCATCCACAGGAAGGAGTCTGGGCAGAACTGAAGGTGTGTTTATGTGCATGCGCATGAGTACTCATTTTGCTAAGAAACCCATGATGAAGAAGGACTAAGAAATGTACTTGTTAGCTCTTAAGTTGGGGGCACCATAATGTGATCCAATAAATACAACTTTAAAGGGGAAGAAGGGATGAAAAAGAATAAGGCAGTTACAAGTTTTGATTTCTCAAGAGTTTTTAAGAGACTCTTCTTTGTTTTGAAAGAGATATCCAAACCGAGTATCCATACTTCTATTAATAGTTGTGTTTGGGCCCGCTGAGAAGAGGGTGGATGGATATTGGATAGTGAGAGCAAAAACACTGCCATGAAGCACAGCTACCACATAGAGCCCAGCCAAGAGCAGCTGCCAGCTTTGTTTCCAAGATAACAGATTTATTGTATCCCCAAACCTTTTGGTTTAGAGGTCTCACAGGAATAAAATATTACTCATTTAAATATCCTGAGAACACAGATTGCTCTGGTCTCAGTGTGATGGAGTAAGATGCACATGGATTTTTTTTCCATCTACCTTGTGATGTTGCAGCAAGTGACTTACACCCCCTGAGCCTCAGTCTTCTCATGCGGCAGGTGACTTCCATGACTTCCACCCCGAGCCTGTTTTCTCATGCATAATATGAGATCCTATTATTAACTTCTTAGGGAGGGTGTGAAGATTAGATGAGATTTTTTAAAGTATATATAAAGTTGCTGATTAAGTACCTGGCTTATCATAGCTTTCCTAGATTCTTCCTTTCATACTGGCTTTATTTGGAAGGGGGACCTTCCTTGGGAAACATCCTTGAAGATTATTTCAAAACTGGCACTACATCAAGAGCTTCTGGAAGTCTGGATAGTTTCAGTTTGGGAAATAACTTCATATCATAAGTAAATCCCTCTTTCATGCCTTTACGGTCCTGCCTTAAAGTACCCTCACAAAGCGTCTGTTTTCCAATTGCATCTATTCGTTAATGTTGTTATTTAATGGGCATACAATACTTATAAGCACAAGGCCGCATCTGTACCCACAACGCTGGTTTTCATCAGCTGTAAAGAAACATGCAGCCTGGTCCCCTTGTGGAATTTTAAGTGTTATCCTACAAACCACACGAGAAATCTGTCTTGTTACTTTTCTCTCTTACCTCATCTTGATGAAAACTTAATCAGAAAGCAGCATCACTCAAACTACAACCAGACTTTCAGGAGACATGTTATTTCCACTGCTTGTTCCCCATCTTATTCAAGAGGTTCAGCTTGACTTTTAGCTATTCCCCAAATGTAAGTCCTCCTGCCAGGGGAGGGAGATTTGCCACCAGCAAGGGCAATAAACAGAGAGTGTCACATACTACTCTACAGATTACTCTGAAATAAGAACTTCAGAAATCTTTTGAGCAATGACATTATTAGAATACATATATATGCCGCCAGGTACATCAGAGAGGACATTTCTTAGAGTGGTACATGATATATCTGTTGAGAAAAGAAATCCGTATTTTCTGTCATTGTCAGTCTTCACATGTGTCAGGGTCACAGTATAGATCTACGACTTTGTGCCAGTCACAGAACCGTTCTGGCCCTCAGTTTCCTTATGTGCCAAAGACTAGATCACATGCTGGTGAAAACGATTCCAACTCCTAACGCTATCTGATTATACGCCCGCTCCCATTAACTTTGTGGGGTAAGTACTATTATCCTTATTTTACAAACACATAACGTAAAGCTGGGAGAGATTAAGAGATAGGAGACCTAAGGGACCAACACTGTGGCTGCAATGAGGGAAATCCTGTGCTTAGCTCCGGGCTGTGGTGTCCAGGCTGTCCTGCCAGTCATTCAGACAGCCCTGAAAGCGCATGACAAGCAGAGCCCGGACTGGGCATTGCTGGGGATGCAGAGAGCAAGGAGACATAGTTCTAATAGTCACTAAGAGACAGATGTGTAAACAACAAACTCAACTCAAGGCAGAATAAGGGGCAAGCTGACTGGTCAAGAGCACATTCCCTGGAGCCGCACTGTCTGGGTTCAAAGCCAGGTCCCATTTATTAGCTGTGTGACTTTGGCTCCATTTTCCCATCTGTAAAATGGGCTAAGAGAGTTGTTATGAATATTAACTCAATTCTTTTCCTTGTAAAGCACCTAGAACATGCTCAGCACAAGTAAATGTTCATTAAAATTTTAAAAATGAAAACTGCTGTTGGCAGTCAGAAGTATGCTAATTCCAAAGAAAGGTATGCAAAGCTTCATAAGGGAAACTACCTTACAAATGAGACAGAAATATGGAGTGCTGTTTCTATGGGTGGATATGGAAGAGAGGGATATTCTAGACTTGGGGAGTTGGCAGAGGGCAGCTGGAGTGGTCTTGAGGCTCTGGCAGGTGGGGGCTGGGAGGGCGCGATCCTCCGACAGCAGCAGGAAGCAGTCACTATTTTGTGACCGTCAGCTGCTTCTGAGGCCCTTCTTGCTGCACTTTGATGCTACACTTTGAAATAAAGGGAATTGTATTGGGAAGGAAAGTTTGTATTCAACAGGAGCAGGAAGACACAGGAATGGGTTTTCTGTAGGAGCAGTGTTTTTAAAGGGTACCTAGTTCCTTTGTGTAGGTGTATGTAATCACTGCCACCACCATGGGGCTCTCTGCAGCTGAGGCAGCTGCCCTGCTGGGATGGGCTGCTAAGTGCAAGGTGCGAACTAATTGCGACAAGGGATGTGTGAGTAGGTCGGATATGGCAGAGCTGGGAGCAGTTGGGGCCGGGGATCACCCAGGACTAGGTGTCTGGCAACCCCATCACCAGCGGCTTGCTTGGATCCTTCACACTGCTTGAGAAGAGGGCAGCAGCTTCAGGACTGGGGTGGCAGGATAACAGGCACATATCAGGGTTCCTAGAGCTGGTGAGCTCAGGCACTGGGTCTCCTGTGTCTCCCAAGTTGCCAAGATGTGACCTCTCTGACTTAGTCAAGACCTGGGAAAGTTCTTGAAACACACACACGATATTCTTTTCTTCTAGATAGAAGGATAACATTTTATTTTTAAGAACCTCGGATAAAGTTTTTGTAGCCTATCTTAAAAATGAACATTTAATGATGACACAGTGTGCTGTAACAGAAAGAAGCCTGGCAGGCAGGCAGGAGGGCTTGGGGCTAATCCTAGCTGTGTTCCAATCTAGCTCTGTGATCTTGTGCAAGTCACTGAACCATTCTAGTACTCAGTTTCCTTACTGGCAAAAGAGGATACAAGACCATATGATTGTTAAAGGTATTCTGAGTCCTACAGTTATCTGATTATGTGATTCTAGAATGTGGTTCTTTGGAAGCCTTAGGAGTCAGGAGCATGGGTTCCAGAGTTCAAATCCTGGGTCCCACATTAACTAGCTGTATGAAGTTGGACCAATTTATTAATGTCTTTTAAGTTTGTTTATTATCTGGAGAATAGAATAACAATCATGTCTATTTCTTAATCACTCTGATGAGCTAAAGACTCACCACATTGACTTACCCATAAGAAATGTCCAGTAACTGTTAGTGGTGGTCACCATCCCCCAGCACTTCTGCTATCGAGAAGGGAACAGCACTCAGTATAGAGCTCCGGGTGCTCCATTTATTGTAACACACAATGCTTTATGGTCTGTATCAGTATTAGGAAGATAACAAGCTTTAATTTCAGAGGCATTAATCAGGGCTAAATGCCTCTGAGACAGTCTGAAGTGCGTACCTGTCCCAGTTCATCTCTTTGAGGAAATAAAGGGCTCTAGGGGTGAAGGAAGGAAGAAAGGAAGAAGAATTTACAAAAGACACGGGTCAATCTGAGTCTCACCACCCTCACCCTCTTCCTTAGGTTGTCACAAGGAGCTGCTAAACAGATCAAAAGGCATTGAAGGATGGAGTGACATGATATATGACCTGCCCAATCCTTGACTGCACATCACATAAGCAGTCCTAAGGATGTGAAGTATATGATGCCACCAGTTGAATGGATTGAAGCTCCTACACGTACACTGTTGGTTTCAGATTCTCTACTCTACAACATCAGAAAAGAATCTATTTTTGGTGAGATAACAAATGTGCTATGTTACTCTAGAATAAAGACATCTGTTTACTTACAATTTTAAGTGATAAGAGTTCTGCTTCTATTTTACAGTAGACACTCTAAAGCTAAAAGATGTAAATCCAAACAGTGTCGGGTGTTGAAACATCTACTCCCAGCTTCTTTTCACATCCCCTTCTGCAGGCAGTGTTCCCCACTGTTCATCCCTGGTCTCCTGCAGTGCGTCTGTTTCAGACTGTGCTTCTTTATACAAAGTCCTAGCAAGTAATCCAGTGCAATACCAGGGGGCTAACTCACCTCTGCTTCCTCAGCTAGTATTGGCCAAGGTGACCAGTCCACTTTTGGAACTCAGCAGCACCCCCACAATTTTCAAATAATGTTACCCAAATGCACGTTCCTTGTCCTGAGCTCTACAAACCTGTAATTCAGGCATAGGGAAGCAACTGACACACTATCTTCTTGTCGGGTATGAAGGGTTTTTTTTGCATAGATTTCACGGCAGAGGTGTGTCCAGACCCGTTCCACCTTCTCACTGCTAGAAACCTGGTCCTACAGACAGGGAGTGGTAGCTTATGCATAAGTTGCTGTCTTTCTCTGGTCTTAGACATGTGGCAGGCACTTTCAGTGAAAAAATTCTGAGGCAGTGAATTCTGGTTGTCTGTAGCCTACTGAATTACATTTCTCCTTATTTATTTCCTTAGTTCATGAAACTAAAGTAGAGATACTGATGTCTTTGCCACTTTGTTAGTCTGAACGCAGTTGTGTAAAGGCTCTATCTAAAACCAGTTACTGGATTTTTCTGTTTCTTTGGTCCTATCCTCCTGGGAGAGGCCCCAGTGGTTACTCATGTATTTATGTGGCCAGACAACCCTAAGCCTTCTAAGGCAGAGGAAGGGCTCAGGGAGTAGATTTGGAAAGTAGAGAAAGGAGAAAAGAATCCTGCCTTCAAGAAAGGACCTCATTTACTGCTTTTCAGCAAATTGTTCAAGAATAGGATATACCTGCTGTGCGCAAAACGGGAGAAAAACTGACTTTCAAGGGCTCGTGAGCAGAACAAGGAAGGCAGACTATTGCAGCTCTGAGACTGTCCCATATTGCGTCCAATGATGGTGCCGGGAAACTCCAGCTGTGCACACCCGAGCAGGTAGGAATGTGCTGGAACCACACTGTAAAACCGCTCAGGCTGTGATGCATCGGTCCCAGGTGCACTTGTCCATCTGCTACACATGCAGGCTCCCTGCCCTCTGAAGCACTTTTTAGATACAAAGGCAGGTGACCACCTGTATGTACCCCAAAGACTGTGGCAGACAAAGTTAGAGGTGACAGAGTGACACAACAGAGGCCCCAAGCCCAGGCCAGTAAAATGGCAAAGAGACAAGAAGTCCAGGCACAGATGTAAGTGAGGATTTTCCAGGGTCAGCCAATTATGGCAAAGCAGCAAGAGTGTCCATTGAAGGCTAGCGACAGGGCTCCGCAGGGGTGACCATGGAGGCAGGTGCCCAGGCACAGGTGTCTCCATAGGCTCAGCTAGACAATGTGAAAGAGCTGATCTGCACCCAGCTCGCAGTTACCTGGAGGAGCCAGGAGAGCGTGCTCAGAGCAGCACTTGTTATTCAGACCTGCAAATTTGCTTTGATCCTGTAATATCCTGCCACTGTGGCAGCATGAGAGATGGCTGACACAAAAGTGTCAGATGACTTATAGCACATAAAGAATTGTCTCTGAAGCCTGATTTGTATTTCATCGATATTTGAGTGAAAACGACTTTTGCTTTTTTTGTCTTTTTAAAGGGACATAATGGATTAGGCTGAATTACCAAGTATTTAATACAAAAGGATTAATTGGGTAGGCTAAATGTAGACACATTTCTGTCATTTCAAACAGGTGTAGTGACCTTCACTCACATCCTTAGTGAATATATTATACATATTTGTATGGCTTCAGATTCAAGTCTCTTCTTCCAATGTAGAAGAAATCAACAGAAGGAGGGCAGTACACAGAAATTCCCTTCGTATGCACTCAGTTATTTTGCAGCAGCTTACATGTTCCTTTGTAATTATTCTTCCACCTCTCCTGAAACAGTCACTCATACTTTCTCTGTGTCCAGCCTTTCGGGGTTCTGCTCACAGAAGCCTATGGTCTGGCAGGGAAGGCAACATGGCAGCTGAAGGTGTTTTGTTCCTTCTCGTGTACAACCTTATGTAATACCTCTATAATTGGGTTGTACATGTCTTGAAGGATCCTCTCTTTTATTCTCTGGCTTTTGCCTAAAGTAGGCGGAGAGGTCACCTGATGCCTGCACAGTCACTAGCTGCACGCATACCAGGGAGCAGAACCAGCAAGAGAGATGAACAGACTCCAAGGGGTTAAGGTTTCTAACACTGGCAACAGCAGAGACACAGGAGGCGTGAGAAACAGATAGGAAGATGATCCTGTCTTCCCCACAGGAAATTCATTCATTCATGGTGACAACTCACCAGAATTCAGAACAAGAGAGACCATGGTCTGCACTCAGAACAAACAGTGGCTTCCTGCTCCCAACAAAGCAAAGAACATTTCTGAAATGGAGATAGGGATGTGTGTGTGTGCATGTCCAAGTGTATGCATGTGTGTGTGTGTGTGTGTGTGTGTGCGTGTCATGTGCATACATTTGGGAAGAACCTCTGATCAGATATGGGGAATGTGAAAATTGTAAAAGAGATCTAGTCTGGTTACTCACGCAGGCAAATGTGTGTGTGTGTGGGGGGGGGAATAGCTAGCCTTAAACAAAAATGTGCATGTGTAAATATGTTGTGTATGTATGTATTTGCAGGAATACTATCAGAATAAAGTTTACAGAGGTTGGGGTTGGCATATGATATGAAGTTTTATATAAGAAACCTCATTACTCTAAGTTATAAAATGCAGAACTTAGTATTTAAAATACTGAATAAGCCTTCAATAAGATTGGAGAAAAAAGTTATATGGTTTTCTCCTTGCTTTAGTCTGCGAGTATGTGTTTCTTTTAGTCTCATATTTTTCAAAATCATTACCCAGTTTGTAGTCAATTAAGTGTTTCCTGGTTAAATGAAGTTGTTTTATAATTGTATATGTTTTTGCATCTCCTTTAAACCACAGTTTACCTTTAATTAAATGGATTTGCTGTCCAAATTGAATTGACGGATGTGAAACGATGATTCTCTATTGATTAAACACTTTGAGTAAAATAGCCATTTCGTTGCCTAAGGAGATCTTCCAGAGGTAACAGTCACACTTGCAATTATACAGAACACAACGGGGCATGCATAGATATCTTCATTAAACGATCGTGAGAGTCCTCCAAAGAAACCACATTCTCTCCAAGGACCCCCTCCCTACTGCAGGCAGGAACCCGCTGCGGCCCTGCTGATCACTAGGTAAAGACACGGAAATGTGCTCACCGGGTGCGACTGATTGTGGCAGTTGACAAATTGGGGGGATAGCTTTAAGTAATTTTGAGAACTTCTGAAAAGGATATATTTCTTCAAAAATCTTAGTTTACTGTAGTCAGATTAGATTATTTTCAAAAGAAGGTCTATAAATTAGAGAACAGACTGAATATCTTTTATGGTCTGCATAAATTAAAATACAGAAGGATCACTGACAGAATTTGTCTCACTGGTACCTGATCACATGGCAACATTCCATTCCAGATCCTCTACACAATTCATGTGAAAACAGTGCAGAGGACATGGGAGCGGAGGGCTCTCTCCCAAGGGAGTGACAGTCCTCATGTTTTTGTCCTGAATCTTTCCCCTTTAACAATCCACACTCAATCGTTTTCTGCTGTTGGTGGTATTCAGAGTGTACAGGAAGCATCAAGGACTCTGGAAGCATGTGGATTAAACTGGATCTGGAGTGCAGATGCTTTTGTTATTCAAATGGATCCCGTCACCAAAATGTAAACAGCAAACAGGAAAATATCTCTCATATAAACATGGAATTTTAGAGTTCATATGGATAATTCCCTTCATTCCAAGGTTGCAAAAAGTAAGGTGTGGGGTAAGAATGGGTTGGTTTTCAGTTCACCTAGAAACGCTCACAACACCCTATTCTCCTTGGAGTCACATTCCCCTGCCACTAGTACCTGGAGGATTTGGGCTATTGGCTGTCCTGGGATTCCACCTACCTGCATCCTGTAGCCGCCAACTGGAGTCTCACTTATATCTGCCCATCCTTACCTTCTCCCCAGAGAAGAGGTCACTCCCATTCCAGGCGAACACCTTTACCTATGTCCTTGATGCATCCCTAAAATAGCTACTTCCCTTTTCGTCCAGCTTCTCAGCCCATGGCCTTGTTCCTTACTACACTGGGAAAACCACTGTTACCAGGAGAGGGTGCCATCCTGAGTGTGTTTCTGTTTGGTTCAATTTATTTAAGTGTGTCCACGCCTGTCTCTGCTCTGCAGGCTCAGAGGAAAAGATGTCATCTCTTGTAAGGTTGAATGGAGGACCTGCACTCAGGGTCCCTTCCCTCCTGGCTCCCTGGCAAAGACTCCGTCCACTTCCCAAGATGTCCAGTCTCTCCCTCTCTTCTGATTCTTTTCCTTAACACATAACTACTGTCAAGGGTCTTTCACCTTATAAATATCCTTTGATCAGAAATGCTCCTCTGTTTACAGCTGCACTCCTCTCTTTTCCCTGCAGAGCTAAGCTTCTGTCAAGTCCACACTCAGTCTATGCATCCTCATTTGCTACTCCTGCCTCAACGCTGCAGGCTGGCTTCAGTGCTTGCCGTTTGTACTGAATGCATCATTTGGTCTGTCAACATCCATTTCATCCATTCATCCTTCCTAATGGATCCTTGACTTCCTTTTGGGGAATTACTTCTTCCCTATTGGGTGGCTTGTCAATTAGAGGCCCTGGACAGCGAGGGATGAGCACATGAACCAACCTTTGGGAGTCGGAGGTTCTATCCTTGTTATTAGAATCCTGAGCACAGTGACAAAGAGACCAGAGAGCTCACTGTCTTAGCATCAGCGCCTTGACTAGACTGTCTGGCTGTGAGACCCATTTGGCTCACTAGCCCTCTGGAGCTGTTACCTTCTTTCCTATCTTTTGTAAGCCTTACTCTTCACATCAACATTTTGAGCTTATAATATTCTTTTCCCTTTTCCTGAAATTAGCCAGAGTTGATTTCTGTTGCATGTAATCAAAGAACTCAGATAGGCCATCAGTCTGAAAACACTGAGGCAAAAGGTTGCCAGTAACCTTTTCCTTGTTAAGTCAGATGCTGATTGTTCTGCCTTTGGATGATCCACTCTGTCTCTGCAGTATCTCCAGTGTGGCCCTTTCCCCTTGTCACTTCCACACCCAAATCCTTTGGGGCTCTCTGTCATTCATGAGCTGAAGCCCAATTCCTGACGTGGTATATCCATGACAAGGCCTCAGTTCTCCCTAGAATCCCCATTCCCTATCTCCCCTGGTTCATACTGAATCCCTGCAGCTTCCCTCCAGGGTCCTGTGGTTGCCTCTGCCTGGAACACCTTCCCTCCCTCCTTTGCCAATTAATTTTCATTTGCTCTCCCACCTCCTGTACTCAGCACCAGGCACCCCTTGTTCTGAGATGCATTTATTGACAAATCCCTTCAACCTCCACTCAACTCCACAGCTAGATGAGGTGCCTCTTTCATGAACTTCCACAGCATGCTGTGAAACCTTTATCACGGAATTTCATCCCTTTGCTTGATGCCCCCTCCCTGTGTACAGGGACACACTTAATTTGTCTTAGCATCCCTGGCTTTCTGTGACTGCACATTGAGTGGTGTGAATGCAGCATATGCTTATGAACTGAAGGCATCCCCTTCTGTCTTGTCTGTGATTTTCCTCTGTCACTTTTCCCCTTTTCTTGTACCTTTAGTTTGAGAAGGCAATTACATCTTCTTTTCAGACTCCCAGTTACTCTTATGTCTACTCTATCACTAAAAACACACTCCCAACCATTATAATCACTGTCTAGACCCTGTTCCCTTCTAGGTGCTGCTTCATCTCTCTCCTGTGACTCGCTGCTCCAAGAACAAGCTACATTTGCATCTTTGCTGCACACTTAGCCACTGTTCTACTGCTGCTGGATTCCTGGTTCTATCATCCCATGGGAACTTGGTACGTACCAAAGACATCTCCAGTGCTAACGGGGGGCACTGTGGAATGGGGAGAGAGCATGGGCTTTGGAACTGGACAGACCAAAGTTTCAATTCTAGCTCTATGCCCTTGGCCAAATTATTTAACCACACCAAGCCTTACTTAGTTTAAAAATAGGAATCTTTAAATGTACTCAGGGTAGCTGTGATAAGAGCAATAGGGCTTGTGAAACATTTAGCAGGATGCCTGACTCAGTACATTCTTTCTCTCTACCTTGCTCTCTGATTCCTGTTTACCTGGCCTTTCTGTAGCTCGTGACCTGGTCGCTATCCCCTTCCTGTTGAAATGCTGTCTTCTCTTCGTTCTCATGATCTGGGTCTCTTTGTTCTCGCCCTATTCCTCTTGCTTTCCTTTTCCAGACTCCATCCCAGCTGTTCCTCCCGACTGCCCCCAGAAACAGATATTCTCCAGTGTTCTGTTGTGAGTCCTCCTCTTTTCTCTTTCCACTTTCTCCCAAGAACTCTGTTCTGTTGCAGTGGTTATCACTTTGCATTATACTTTTTTTTTTTTTAAGACGGAATCTCACTCTGTCACCCAGGCTGGAGTGCAATGGTGCGATCTAGGCTCACTGCAACCTCCGCCTCCTGGGTTCAAGCGATTCTCCTGCCTCAGCCTCCCAAGTAGCTGGGATTACAGGCACCCGCCACCACGCCCAGCTAATTTTTTGTGGTTTTAGTAGAGATGGGGTTTCACCATGTTGGCCAGGCTGGACTCAAACTCCTGACCTCAGGCAGTCCACCTGCCTCGGCCTCCCAAAGTGCTGGGATTACAGGTGTGAGCCACTGCGCCCAGCCGCATTATACTCTTTTTTGTTTGCCTTTTTGTCCCATAGTTTGTGCCATGTCTTTTCATCTTGATATCCTCAGTGCAGCCAAAGCCTAACACACAGTAGATGCTTGTGAATAAAGGGGGACGCTAATATTTCATAGTTTGTTTCTGTGTCTTCAGCTCACATCTCTCTCTTGAGCTTCCTGGAAAGCACCACATTATTGCTCATTCAGCTTCTTAAACTCAGCATGTCCAAGATGAAACACATTGCCTCTCCTTACACCTACTTTTATTTGGGGGTGTGGGGGTGGGCTGGAAAGAGATACCCATTCTTGGTTAATATCCTTTATAGCAACCCAAGTCACAGTGGTAGAAACCCTGGTTCATTCTCAAGTTCTCCTCCTTCCTTATCAGCACCACCTACCCACCATAACACCCAAACTGTATACTCCTCATAAGCTCCCAACACCTCTGCCCAAACTCAAGCCCACATCATCTTTCACCTAGAGCCTTGCTCTAACCTCCTAAACGTGTCTCCATACTCTTCCATAGCCTTTCTCAGCCTTTTCTTAATGGTCACCAAGATTGCTTTTCAATACCAATTAGAACACGATTCACTACCTCAATGCCTTCCATTAAAGTGAACAAACAAACACACACACTGCCCACTTGCTACCTCTCCTTCCTTCCTAGAAACACATTTCAAATCCTCATCAACAAGCCTGCAGTTAGCTTCCCGGCCTCAGAGTTCTTCCCTCATCAGCTGCATCAGGCAGGCCACTAGCTCTTTCTCCATCTTGCCATTTCCTCCCCTTCCTGTGCTTTCCCTTCCTTATGCTGCTGAAGTGGTTACTGTCTCACTCCTGCCATTTAAAATGCTTCCTCAGCAAAGACATGGAATCAACCCAGGTGTCCATCAATGGTAGGCTGGATAAAGAAAATGTGGTATATACACATTTTCTACATAGCCATAAAAAACGAAATCGGGCCGGGTGGGGTGGCTCACACCTGTAATCCCAGCACTTTGGGAGGCCAAGGCAGGTGGATCACAAGGTCAGGAGTTCAAGACCAGCCTGGCCAAGATGGTGAAACCCCATCTCTATTAAAAATACAAAAAGTTAGCCAGGCGTAGTGGTGGGTGCCTGTAATCCCAGCTACTTGGGAGGCTGAGGCAGAGAATTGCTTGAACCCAGGAGGCGGAGGTTGCAGTGAGCCAAGATCGTGCCACTGCACTCCAGCCTGGGTGACAGAGTGAGACTCCATCTCAAAAAACAAAACAAACAAACAAACAAACAAAAAAAACCAAACCAAAAAAAAAAAAAAGAAAAGAAAAAGAATGAAATCATGTCCTTTGGTACAACATGGGTACAGCTGGAGGCCATTATCCTAAGTGAATTAACTCAGAAACAAAACCAAATATACTATGTTCTCACTTGTAAGTGGGAGCTAAACGTTGGGTATACACGGCACAAAGATGGGAATAAACACTGGGGAATATAAAAGGGAGGAGAGAGGAAGGAGGGAAAGGGTTTAAAAACTACCTACTGGGGACTATGTTCACTGTTTGGTTGATGGGATCATTAGAAGCCCTAACCTCAGCACCACTAAATATACCCATTTAACAAACCTGCCCATGTGCCCCCTAAATCTAAAATAAAGACAAAATAAAATCCTTCCTCCTACTAAGGTCCAGCTCTTTACCACGTGCTCCGAGAAGACCTAGATTGCCACAGGCAGAATGAGTCCCTTTGTTGGTACTATCACATTCTGAACATGTATCACAGTTCATTGTTGATATACGGTTCTCAATGACCACAGGTGATATTCTTTGAGGACAAGTGAATTATAACTATCTTTGGATTATTAGTGTCATAGATACAGTAAGTACAGCACTAAATGTTGGGTTAAATTGTGCTGAGAAGGGATTAAAAAGCCTATCTTTGGGCTAATTTGTGAACATGACAAATTGAGCTCTTTGGTTGAACTTTTTACAGAGGGGAACTGAGGTTTTCAGGCAGAGAAAACCTCCAGGTTCACCAGGGCAGCCAGGGAACCATCTTTCCTGGAGGAGCTGGTGTTGAGGAGTCTGTAGAAGGCCTTTCTCCTGCTGCTGATAGCTCAGTATTCGTTAGTGCCTCCTTTCTTGGCTGATGTGCTGGGGGTAGTGGCGTGAAGCCTGGCAGTGTCTGGATGGGAATCATCACAGGCCACACTGCCAATCTCCTCTTTGACTTCTAGTTTTGTGTTAAAGTTACAGCAATTCTAGTTTAGGAATTGCTGCTATTTCCAGCAGAAACAGATAATTCATGACCTACAGAATTGAAGGAATTCAAGGCAAGGTGCAAACTCCACCATCTCTGACAACAGAGAGGCCGTCCCTGTGGCCAGATTTAGGGAAAGGTTCTTGACCAATTGCTTCTACTGGGCCTACCTGGAAGGACCCACAGCCTGGTGGTTGTGCACAGGAATGGCTGAGAAGGTGAGTTTGCAGAAGTGGAAACAGGCACAACAGATGCTCAATTTATTCTGTAATCCTTACAGTAATCCCGTGACACAGAAGGGTATTAGTGCATCATTCCCTATGCTTAACAGATGACGAATCTGGGGCTCAGAGATGTTGCAATGGGCATGGGAAGAGCCAAGGCCTTCTGATTCTCTGACTGACTTACTATAAATGAGGAAGGGCTAAAACTTATACTAAAGGACAGAATATGGCAAGTGACATACAGAGAGGATGCTGATGAGGGAGATAAAATAGCCAGTTGAATAATCAGGTCGGGTTTCCTTCTTAGAAAGGGTGGAATTTTCAATTAGTATTAAATGAAGGGCCCTGGTTAAGCAGGCATAAGGAGGAAGGCAAGGAGGTGCTGTCCCTGCAATGTCCCAGACAAAAGCCATTAGTCACATGTGGACATTTCAATTTAAATTAATACAAATGAAATAAACCTCAGAAGTCAATCTCTCAGTCACAATAACCACACTGAAAATACTCAGTAGACCCCTGCGACTAGAGGCTCTGCAGGCGACTGTGTAGACCTAGAGCATTCCAAACTGGCAGGGGTTTTCCTGGAGAGCTCCACTGTGCATGGGCCAGACAGCACCAAAAGCACAAGGAATGCAGTGCTGGGCGTGTGTGGCAAATGGCAAATACTTTGTCTGCCTGGCACTTCAAACACTTGTAAGAGAATGCTGGGAAATAAGCTTGCCGTAGACTAGAGCCACACTGTGAAGGCACAGAATAGAGGGATCTTGAGGTTTGGGCTTTGTTCTGGATTCGACAGGAATCACTGAAGGATTCTGAACAGATGAGTGGTGTGTCAGGAGCCAATGTTTATAAAAATTAATGCAGCACTGACACATGGAATGGATAGAAGATGGTGTTGTCTAAAAGACCACCAGGATGGCTGGACAGTAGAAAGGAGAGCTTTATGGGGGTTATCGGTTTGCAAGCTGGGAAGAGTCTCCAGCATGGACTGAAGGTGCTCTCTCTTCAGAAAGAAGGACAGGTTGGCTTTTATGCCTCACCAGGTCTGTATCACACAACAGAGTCATACATATCAGCAGGTTTGGGGGGAAAGCTATACATATTTATAAGGGGAGCTGAGCACATGTGCAATAGGTAAACATACATGTACCATACATCCCATGTTCACTTTGGGGTGGGGTTTTTACCATGAAAAGAAAATGGCATTTGGCTCTTTACATCAAAAGGTCAGCTATGGGACACAAAGACAGTCTGTATGCAGCCTCTATGAGCTGCCGAAATGGGCTCAAGATCTACAGCTGCTTATCAGGAAAGAGTGTTTTCAAGGCTGGTCCTCTGGCCAGTCAGAGTTGCAGTGGTCTGGGTTGTGACTCAGAGCTGTAGCTCCTATTGGTAGGGAGTTTGGCCATAGGAACTTAGAGGATTTGCCCCGACAGGCCCTGAACCTTCAACCTGTAGGTAACTCTGTTTCCTTCACCTTTCTGTCTTAGTTGATAATGGGGCATCCATTTTGGCCTCTGAGACCACAACAGCACAAGGTGACCACTGTGGATGCTGGGGTGACCAGTGTGAACACCAGGGTGACCAGTGGGGACGCTGCTACTGGGACTGATATGAAAGACTGTGAATTCCCAAGCTGCACTGGAGGCACCTTGAAAACAGGAGGCAGGTGTGCTGTTCACATGGTGTTTTTATGGCTTGACATTGGATTGGGCTGAGTACAAAATGAAATTTGTTTTCAAGCCTGAATGATAAGAATAGGTACTGGGGACCAGGAGTCTGAAGATGAATGGACAAGCTTAGTTTCTAAGGTGCTTGGTTTGTGCCAGTTGTGGGACACAGAGGTAGAGATGGCCAATGAGCAGTTAAATGCCCAGGGGTAACATGCAGGAGGGAGGTAAGGCTTATGTCAGCTTCATCCTATGATAGGCGAAAGGATGACAGTAGATTGAGATGAGGAGTGTTTGCTGAATGAGCATAAATTATTCAAAGGCTAAGACTGTAATTACACAGGTCACAAAAGATCAATCTTAAATATCAGTTTATGAAAAAGGACCTATGAAAGTAACAGTGAGTGCTCAAGACGGAAAACTGTCAGCAATGTCTATAAAAACAATTTCCCTCTTCCCTTTCTTATGAGTTTGATGTCTTGGAACAACTCAAGAGATTTTGTAGTAAAAACGATTACTAATATTTTTATTCTTATAATTAACCAGTATTTCCACACTTTTTATAAAAGGGCAACCTTGCCTCTCTCTTGCTTCCTCATTGATCCTGGGTCTGGTGGCTGTTGCACAAAAGAAGATGTTTTTTTCTTGGCTGTGAGAGGGGCACCTGGAATCTTAATATACCTTCCTTGTATGTGAATTAGAAAGTTGTTAGTTCTGACGTCTAGTGTTCATAGTAAACTTTTCCTTTCATGACTCTTTTAGTGACAAGTACTGTGAGAGGAATTTTAGGGCAGGCTCCTTGGGTGGAAAATATCCAAGAATCCATGTAGGTGGTTTCTTCCCATCCCCTACTGTGATAGAGGTCCACAGCTCTGGTCCCCACTTCTCTCAGCTCCAAAACATTTTATCTTCTGTTATCAGAACTATTCAGAGTGACTCAACAATAATTTTCCTAAGTGACTGTGAGACCTCATTTGGATTTTTAATAAACAGTCACATTCTAATGAGGTCTTCATAAAACTGACTAAATATGTTTAGAAATAATTAGCTTAAATTACCGGTGTAAAAAGTCTCCTTTGGGAGTCCTGCAGATTTGGTTATAAGACTTCTGGCAGATGGAACAGCTCAATACCACAACAGAGTTTTTGAATCTCCACACAAACGGTGTAAATGGGAATGCCTGGGAAACAGGCGACTGGATTAAGAAACTAAATGTCCCTCAGGTGGGTTCATTAAAGAGGGAAAATAATCACAACACGTTCCAGCGCCATTTCAATGCCAGGTGTGCAGCCGGTGGCAGGTGCCAGGAAAACTGACAAGGGTCTCTTCCCAGAACACGTGGGCTAAAAGGGGAGGCATGGTGGTGACAAGGAAGTCTTAGATAATGACAGGTCCTGTCAGATGTACCGGGGACCCCGCTGGAGGGAAGTGCAGCATCTATGTCTTCTGCACCAGGTGCTGCGACAGGAAAGGTCTCCTGGCGGCTCCAACACCAGCAATTAGGGCCGCCTAATGCAGAGCGCTTCAGGGCAAAATGGGGGGAAGCAGGTCCCCAGCTCTGCCTTAATGAATCGGCAGCAAGTCTGTGTAAACAAACACGCATCCGCCTAGCTCATGCTTAATGCATGAAGGACGCACTATGTGCGGTACACATGTTAAGTAGGTAGCTATTGCCCTTAAAAACCATGTCATTTTGATTTCTTGGGTGGTTTGTTGTTGTTGTTTTTAAGCTAAAAATGGAGGAGCTATCTGTAAACAAATGTGCAGGATTAACAATGGGAAACAGCCTGGAACAAGGAGAGTGCTTTTCCCATGAGGGAACATGACCTCTTGTCAAAACCCCCAAATCATGCCAGACATTTCAAGGACAGATGCCATAATTTCATTACTAAAGTCAGGCCCATCCAAGGGGCTGATGGCAATGAGGTGGGGCCTCTTCAGAGCTTACCCGTGTCCCCACAAACCTGGTAAGGATTTGGAAGAAATTTTTTTTTTTAATAACCTTACCAGACCTGAAATGGTTGAGTTACTTTAAATCTACGGACTTAGATTTATGGGTAAACCAGAAACCTAGTTACCACCACCCACTTCAGCCACACCTTATTGGAAACAAAATTTCCATGGTTATTTGTCAGAAGGAATAGTTGCTGTCATAAAAATCACCAGTGACTACCCTGGATGTGACGGGTCCAGGTGCCTGATGGAAGGAACAGCGACCACCACTGCATAGCATTTTCATTCCTTTTCTAAACCCAGGTCGCTCTGAATGAAACCTGGCTCCCTGAAAATTGTGCCATGTCTCAGACACAGTGGGCTTTAGTGTGTAATTATTATTTTTTGCTGCAGTAATTTTACAGCACAATTTTCTTTTGACTTTTCAACCAAAGACTATGCTGTCCTCATCTTTCCTTAAAGTAAAAGGCTGTATCATACAAAATCAGCTTAACCTTTTAAGCCACTGAGTCCAGACACAGTGGTGTCCTTTGGAATTCCAATTAAGCAAAAAATACATGTGCCTTTATTTTTAAAAATCCAGTAATAGTTGTTATTTAGCAATTATCTACTTTTCAAAATAATTTACTGAGGACTCTTCCTGTAAGCGAGCTCCAGTGCAAATATTGAACGTGTGCACGGGTGCACAACTTTCTGGGAGTGCTGGGATTGTGAAAGGAAGGCACCCGAGAGTGGGCTCCAGGTACCTCTTTCTCCCCATCACATGTGGGTGGTCAGCAAGGATGTGTGAAGTAAATGAAGGAGTCAGATGGGACTATACCTCTCAGGGGAAGAAACACAAGCACATGAAAGCAGATGAAATGTTTAGGCTACATGAGGTGGCTCTGGTGTGCTCCGTGACACTATGGCGAGGTACTCTCTTTATTCACCTTGCTGGGCATTTGCTCAGGGCCCTGGGCCTGGAGGGAGAGGCTGCTGAGCAAGGCCATCTCTTCCCTTCAAGGAACTTGCTTTCCAGTGGAGTTGGCCTTTTTTTTTTCAATAGTCATTAATGTTTTCATAGTAAAAGTAGGTAGATTTGGTGTGCGGAACAAAAAGGGTCTTTTTCTTCAGTCTTAGGTTTGTTGGTGGAAACCTACGGTTACACTAATAGCTGTATTATTGAGTCCTCGGAATGGGCAGGAACTTCTCTAACCTCCTGACATGTGGAAACTCACTGAATCTTTACGAGAACCCCATTAAGCAGGCTGTTATGGACTGAATATTTGTGTACCCCCAAAACTCAAATGGTGAAGCCCTAAACCCCAAGTGTGACTGTATTTGGAGACAGGCCTCCAAGGAGATAATGATGGTTAAATGAGGTCATTAAGGTGGGGCCCTCACCCAATAGGATTCGTGTCCTTGTAAGAAGAGACACCACAGAGCGTGCGCTCTCTCTGACACGTGAGGTTGCCGCAAGAAGGTGGCCACATGAAAGCCAGGAGGAGGGCCTGCACCAGAAGCAGAATCCTGCCAGACCCGGATTGGGACTTTCCAGCCTCCAGAACAGGAAGATAGTACATGTCTGTTGTGTAAGCCTCCTGGCTTGTGGCATTTGGTTATGGCAGCCCAACCAGGTGGACACACAGTACTGCTAGTTTCCTCTTTCCAGAGAAAGGTCTGTGGAAGGAGAGGCCCAGCACCCTCTTCTAGGCCGGGCTGGTGGTCCTCCCTGCCTCAGTAGCCTCCTCACCAGCTCACCTGCACTCCCATGCTGGCTCCCGGCAGAGACATCATTGAAAGAAAGAAATGGTTTCTATACTTTTAGTATATAAAATATTGCTCTGGAAGTGTTTAAACTTTGCATAATAGCCCCATAGTACCTCCCCCCTTGTCTGGTCACTTATTATACCCTTTGTAATACAGATAATTTTACGTAAATCTTACTATCATACATTTTCCTATCCTATTCCTTAATATGTTGGGCTTTTGGTGTCTTACATCTGGCCTGCTTGGACCTACTGGTCTATTCATCTCTTCCTATCTATGTGTGGCACCTATAATTTTACCTTTTACTGTAGTCTTGTCTGGTTTTGATATTGAGGTTATACTAACCTCTTAAAATGAAATGGGGGAACAAGTTTTCTTTTCTGTTCTCTTAGAATAATTTTTATAAAATGTATATAATTTATGTATTTTTATATATTTATAAAATGTTATATATTTTTAACATTTACAACATTTGAATTATCTGTTCCTTGAATATTTAGTACCTATAAATACACTGGTACATTTCCATGCGTCAATTTTTAACCAGAATTCGAGTTTAAGATAATTATTATCTACTCAGAATTTCTGTTTCTTTTTGAGTCAGTTTTGGAAAGTCATATTTTTCTAGAAAATTACCTAATTCATCAAATATATTGTTATTCATATTATTCTATTGCAGTACAAAAAAAATCTGCTATTGGCTATATGTGGTTTTTCTCTATTTATTTCTGATCTGTTGCCAGAGGTCCATGTTATTAACCTTTTCACAAAACCAGCTTTTTATTTTGTTGAACTTTGTTATTGCTTCTGTGCTGTTTAGTTAATAAATTTCTATTCATGTTTATTATTTCCTTTTTTTTTTCTTTGGTTTTGCTCTGTTCTTCATCTATCTTCTTGAATTAGATGCTTAGTTGGTATTTCTTCTTTTCTAATAACAACATTTAAAAACATGTATTTCCTTCTCTGGTACCATGTTATTTGCATGTGACAACTTTAACACTATCATGATACTTTATGATTCACAGTTCTAATTATTTTCTGATTTTATTAGGTGTTTACTTTGACCCTGGAGTTGGCCGAAGTGCTTTACCCCCACAGATCCTACCTAAGTGAAAATGGTGTAACTTCCTTGCCAATTCCCTGGGCTGGCTGGTGCTCCTCTCCCTTCTCCCTCCTCCCTCTCCCTACCTCCACTTCCCCAGTTTGCCCTTTCTCTGAGGGTCTACTGTTTGTGGGTTTTGGTTCTGTGTGGCAGTCAACATCTAAATTCTTAGCATTGTACGTGTCCACATTATTTCCTGCCCTCAGTGGGCTTTAAAACCCGGGATCCAAGATCACAAAGACTGGTGCTGCCCACCCTCCCCCAACACTCACACAGAACCCCCTGCCCAGCCTCCTAAGGGTGCATGCAAGCGCTACACTCCCTAGGATCTCTAGTCCTCACTTTATTTCTGGTCTGTAGTAGCTGTCTTTATTAAGGGCTAAGCTAAACATTTAAAATATATATATTTGCATATGCATGTGATATACATATAAACATATTAAAATACATATTTATATTTTTATCTAGAATTTCCAGATGTCTGTAGGGGGATTTTCAGGTTAATGTGCCATTTTTGCTAGATATATATATATATATATATATATATACACACACACACACACACATATATATATCTCCTACTTATATTGTGTGTATGTATATATATATATATCCTACTTACTGAATATTCTCATTATGAGAGAATTGTGATGTCTTTCTTCTTCCTGGTTTGTGCCTCCTGAAACCTGAGAATCTTAAGAGACAAACCCTTTATGGCTCCTGTCTCACTGTTTCAATTCTAGGATAACCTCTAGGCTGCCTTTGCTGAGGGCAAATCTCATGATGCCAACTTCTCTTCAGTTAGCACAACCATGGAATTCAACCTACTGTAAAAAAGGCAACTGCACGCTGTGTGTTTGCTCATTTTAAAATTTCACTTTGGAAATAATCCTATAGCATACTACTACTGAGATTACAACTATGTAAAAGTTTCCTGGTTAAATAAAAGCACTGCTCATAAACAGTTACTACGGAGAAGGTAGTACAAGACCTTCAGAAAGATGATGCTTTCCATTCCACAGGTTTGGAAACTGAGACACAGGAAAGGCCAATTTAAGCAAGAGAAGATGCTGGAATTCTAATCTAAGGATTGAATCTAGAGCTGCACACTGTTTTTAGAGCCAATTTTGGGAGTTTGGGAAGGTAGTCATGTCTAATGCAGCACCCATTGAGTTTTGACACTCAACAATCAGCATTCATGCTTAGAGGTATTTTTGTGCTCTCAATATGGCCCGATAACAACTGCTTTTAAATCTTGAGTGCCTTTCCTGTCTGTTGCTATCGCAACAAATGAAAGCAATTCAGGCTATGTTTACTGATAATTTATAAGCAAGTGCAGCAAGCAATAGGAGGAGCTGGAGTAGTTAATGTTTTGGGGAGTACACATAATAGTTCAAAAGCTTGCCTCATGCCTTACTTTCTGTTACCAACTAAGCAAGGAACAAAATGGCCATTTGCAGCAGACGGTCCACTCACCCTTCCCACTTCCACAAGATTGGTCACCATGATGATACTTGCAGTGTTTTCGTGCCACACCATCCTCCAGAAGTCATAGATGGTTTCCTGCATTGGCCCTGCAGCAAAACACAACAGAAACTTTTTGTTTTTGTTGTAAGTTTCAACTGGAAAATTTCCGGGGCTTACAAATACATCTATTAATACCCACATGCAGTTCCCTCACTTGTACAGATGGACACAGGTCTCTAGTGTCAATGCAAAAAGATACTCTTTCTAAAACTGCACCTATAGAAATATCAAATTTGTCATTTGTCGCTGAATTTTCTCATGTCATCAAACATCTGCCTTTGAGCTCTTTTTACCCTTCTTAAACTACTACCGTGAAAGAAAGTTATTTCTCCATCATTTAGCTATTATCTCCATAGTACTCAAGAGTGAAATTTTAAAAAATAGATAACATTACTCTTTCTGCTAACAATTAGCAGATATCCCAGGGAAGTGGTATATAGAATGAAATGAGCCTCTATAGGAAAAATGGCCTCTTCTTGTTTCTAATATTTTTCTTATTCTGTGCTATCTGTCAAATTAATCCATTTTTTTTTCTGCTTGACTTTCTAAAGTAAGAGAGAGAAGTTAAGAGTTTTAAGCAGTTGCACTTCCTCTCACTGAACATAAAGATTCCTGGCAGAACATAAATAGCCATCTACTTCCTTAGCTCTTGGGATCTGAGCATTAAAAAGCTCTTTCCTATGGCTGGAAAAATATATATTACAAAAGGCCAGTGCTACAGAGAGAATCAGGTAAAGAAAGTTGGAATTTAAAATTTCTTTTAATCCAGATTTTAAAAAAACCCAAACTCGACTTTGTGTCCATGCATACTTGAGGGTATAAATGTAAGCGTAGAAATCTTTATAAGACATGTAGAAAGGCAAGGAAATGAGAGAAATGCAACTTCAAAGGCTTGGAGAGTCACATGATATATGTGAAATCATAAAAATGTTCAGGCACATCCAGGACCAGAACCCAATTGTACTAGGTATCTTGACATTTCAGATTGCTGGAGCTGGAGCTCAAATATTTGAATTTGAGATTTGCTTCTGCCTTTTAACTGGCTGTGTGATTAGGGGCAAGTTACTTAGCCTCTATGAGTTTCAATGTCTTCTTTCTTTATATACTGATCACAGTAACACCTCTCAAAGTTATTTTGAGGATTCTTGGAATTAATGTATACTCAGGCATTTTATAAACAACAAAGCAATAGAAAGAAAACAAGATGCATTTAACGATGTTTATTAATAGCTGTCCTTTTGCAGCAGCCTGGACACTGAATAATAGTGACACACCCAAGGGGCCCTTCAGTCACTCCCCATCCCTCTTGACCAATTAGCAATCGGTTCTTGTGTAATGTTTCTTCTCCTTCCTCCCTGTCCAGGCCTCCTTCCTTTCTCTCCACAACACAAATTCCTATCATTTCTCCCTTGCCGCTTCTGACTACACTGTTACCCTCCCCATAAAAGCTGACTTGCTCTCCTGATGTCTCTGCATCTAATCCCTTTGGGGAAGGGACCATGCACTCTGCCTCCCACAAAGCTCCACCAGCCATTTTGGCCACGTCCCTTGGCATGTGCGTGCCATTCTCCTGATGTAGAGGCTGAAGATTTCAGTGACTTTAATCTAAGGTTACAGAGGGGACAAGTAAACATCGGATTCCATCAATCACTACAGTTCTGGCTTGCAGAGAGGTACATTCATTGTGTACTTAACAGCTTGTTACTTATTCACAAGGGGAAAAAGAAGCAGTGAGTCCTTCTTTGCGCAAACAGCCCAATGTGACCCCTGAATCAAAGGGGGGGGGGCTTCACTAGGTACACAGGGCTGTGCCACCTACTCAGAAACTTCCAGAAATAGTTCTGATGACAATGGCTCTAGTGGATGAATCAGAGGTCCCAGCATCATGGACAGCTTGTGCCTGCAGGAAGAGCAAAGCCACTTCCCTTGTCAGGGCCCAACAGGGGTCTTCTCATAGGCACTCTAGGCTAGGGGCCCCATTCTGCCTCCAGCATATTCCTCACTCACCCCTTCTTGCCAGCCGACATTCTGGGATTGCTCGGTGTAAGACCCCTCCCGGAGGGGAACTCAGCCTTCTTCGTTTGCTGCTGTTTTCTTAGTGCCCTAGGAAATGCCTGGCACATAGCAGGAACCCAGTGAATCAATGAATGGATGGTAAGTCTGTATGCATGTGTGTAAACCATATTATTATGACAGTGTTATGTTAAACCCATACTAGGTACTAAGTCAAATTAAGACATGATGTTTGTATGATTCCCTTTCTCGACTTACATTTCTAAGATTATCTGGAGAAGCTTGAAAACACAGCACCTTTCCTCCTTTTCAATTCATGGAAAGGTGACATCTTCTGCAAGGATTTCTTCAGAAGGAGCATAATTATCACTGTCCTCACAGCACAGCCGGAATTAAACCACTGCTCCCAAGCACTATACAGATCACTCCTCTCAGTTTCCCCACCCAAGGCTCTGCTTTCAGCTTAGCTCAGTCCATCACCCTAGGTAACCACAGTACAATCCTAGCTTCCCAGTGACTGTTCTCTACGGGAGGCAATGTTTCTCAACTCTAGCTGCTTATTAAAATTACTGTGGAGATTTTTTTAAATTCTCAGGTCCTAACCCAAGAGACTCTGACTGAACTGGGTTGGGGTGGAGGTGGGTCTGGGTGTGTTTTCAGATCTCTCCTGATCTATAGCATCAAGGACATCGGCTTCGTCTTCCAGTATAACCATCAGGTGCTCTCCTATGGAGTTGTAACTGTGAAACACCAAAGATTTGTTTGTTCTGAATCTCCTGACTAGTCTAACCTTGCCTGCAAGCTCTGTGAATCATGGAATCCTGTTTTGCTTGGATGTAGAAGGAACTCCATTCATAACATGTCATCTAGGAACATGACCATGCCACCTCACCTCTGCGGCTGGGCATCAGTTAAGATGGCCTGGGTTTTTACATGTTTACATAATGAAATTCGCATTGTCTTTAAAATAAAGGGTGTTTATAAGCACTAGCAGCTCACTTGGCTGATAATATACACTTAGTTTTTGTGATTTTCTTATCCATTGACCTACGCTAAAAAAAGATTAGGATACAAAAATAAACTAGGTGAAATTCTTTTCAATGCTAAAATTAGATATGTGGATCCAGAAGAACAAAAAGAATTCGGTGTTAAAATCTAAAAATGAAATTGAACACAAAGATTATTCTAAATAGATCCCAGAAAGAAAAAAAAAGTACAGGCAGAGACATCTCCCTGCAGTGCAGCTGGCCTCGCTTTCTCCTGTCTCCGCTCTCCTGCAGGCGCGGGGCGCTGTGCAGCCAACACTTGGCGGCCGTTCCTTCTGCCACACGCATGGCTCCCTCCCTGGCCTGGTCACTGTGGTGGCTCTACAGTAAAATTGCTCAGGGGTGGGCACTGGTGATTCGTGGCTGATGATTCCAGGCATTTTTCCAAATGTTCATTCAAATCCTGTTTTTTGTGGGGTTTTTTTTTTGAGGGTAGAAAATAGGGAAGGTGCCCAAATAAGGTTTTTAATGCAGAATGTATCAATCCTGTTTTTTCTTTTCTCTTCCACATATTTCAAATCATTTCCCAAGATCTCAAGTATTACTCAGCTACCTGTCTCCTGGCAAAATCAGAACATACCCTCCAGGCCAGGGGAGGGGTGGACTTTACTGTCACCAAGAGCTACTCCATTTGGATTCAGCAGCTCCTGGTGGGGTCTGAGTGACCACGACCATCATGAGCCAACATCACAAGTCCAAAGATGTGAGCCTGGTACACAGGGAGGCTCCTCTTAGCACCCATGCCCTTGAAGGACCTAAAGACAGGGGGAACAGCATGGGAGGTCAGTAAGCCTTTGCCTTTGACCTCTGACTCCCAAGATCACTGTGGATTGCTCACAGAGTGGACAAACAAACAAACTCCCAAGATTTTTCAGAGCAAGGAGCTCTGAAAAGCCTCCCTCTCTCAAGGTGTGAACAGATGTGTTTGCAAGACAGGGCATTTGATTTCCGCAGTTTCTGGCTGGGGGGGAGCCACTGCAATTGCTGTGGTGGTGCGTTTACAGATGTTTGCACAATAGGCAACACGGTTAATCTCAGCAGTTGTCCCCCTGTGGGAAATCTGAAAGGTAACATCTAGAAATTTCTATAATATCAGGCCAGTAATACATTCCGTCTCCTCCAGCTGGCAGGCACACAGAGACCTCTACTGAGAAGGAAAGGTGCAGGGGGCCATTCCTGCCACCACCAAGCCCCAAAGGGAAAAAAAAGGGGGCGGAACGTTTTTTTTTTTCAATAAAAAACATTAACCTTTAACAAGCAATGAAAAGCATTAATGAAAGACATTCAAGGATGGGCTTTATTGTATAAGATGAGTTCTCTAGTTCATGGGAAGTGAGAGATATCAAAAATCATCGTTTCAACAATGTATAATATTCAGGTGATGGGTGCCCTAGAAGCCCACACTTCACCACTAAGCAATATATCCACGTAACACAACTGCACTTGTACCCCTACATCTATAAAAATGATCATTTTCAAACCTTGATGACTTGTACCCCTGCTTTTCACATTTGAATTTCTATACACTATGTTTTCTACATTAACTAGAGCTGCTGAGAAGTCAAGGTCCCTTAAGCTCACAGTGGCATTTTCGAGTTTTTTGAAGTAAAGAAAGATAATATAAGTACAAATTGGCATTCCATCATAAACAGAATAATACCTAATGTCCCTTAAACACTTACTGTTTCCCAGGTCCTGTTTGAAGTAGTTTACATGTACTATTGCATTAAATTTAGAAAACACCATCCTATGAAATAGGTCCTATTGCTCACCCCCATTTTACTGATGGAGACTGAGGCACTGGGAAGTCAAACAAGCTGTCTAAGGTCACACAGCTAGTGAGCTATAGGGCTGAGTTTTGAACCAGAAGTCTGACTGCATTACATCATACCGCCTCATTTGAACATCGGAAGCAACTCAGAAGGGCTCTACCAGACAGGTGTGTACCACACAGTCCTCACAATCCCGGCAAGAAGAAAACAGGAGAGAACCCATATTAACCACACTGAAACCACCTCTTTAAAGGTGTTTTTTTTTTAAGCATTACAATTTTAATGTAATGACATAGAACCTTGTATCTTTCTAGGTTTTCATTTTTTTTAATTTTTTTCCATATATATATATATATTTTTAAATTATACTTTAAGTTCTAGGGTACATGATCTCAGGTCACTTCCCTCCTTTAACTACTCCAATCCAAGGGCCTCCCACTGATACAGAATCAAATTCAGCTTCACAAGCACAGCCAGCCCCCAAGCGTCTGTGCTTACCCGGTAGGACTACTTCAAGAGCACAGCACACCCTGTTTCCTCCACTCCATTTCTGTCCCCCTCCAAACCCCAGCCACCATGACAACTCACCTATTTACCAAGTGGATGAATACAACACCCCAAACCCACATGGGGCCTCCCCTGAATCCGTTCCCTATCCCTCAGCCAGGGCTCATCTATGAAGACTGTAAACCCCACATGTCATTTTCCTGCATAAATCCTCCCACAGCTTTCCGCTGCTCTCAGAGTAAGCCCTAAATTCTTTAATAAGGCAAATGCGGTCCCACACAGTCTGTGCCTGGACTGTGTCAGGGCACCTGCCCCTCCCTGACCATCTATCTCCCTCACGCTCCTTCCCAGCGTCCTCCCGCAAGACCCCCCTCTGCTGATGCGTCACTTAAAGCCTGCACATCTCCTTGCTGGTTTCAGCTGAGCAGTCCAAAAGTCACTTCCTCAGGTCACTTTTCCAAGACCCAAGTGGAGGCTCCCTGTTTCTTCATGATGTTTAAAGTGAGTTGTGCTGCCAGTGTGTTTTCCATGCACATTTTCCTAACGTGGCCTCATGCCTAACTTGCTTTGTTCGTTTATACCACTGTCCTGGCCCCAGTGGGTATGAGTGGCCACCCCTGCGTGCAGCAGTTAAGCACTCAGCCTAGTGTTAAATGCCAGGCATTCTGTGAGGTATAGTAGAGATGTAAAGGTGAGTAATACATACATGGTCTCCACCATCCAGAAGCTTGAAATTTTCTGAGGTAGAGATAAGATAAGAACAGCCCACACTCTCATGTAAAGTACAGTAAGGCAAACATCCTGGGACACTTAAACCTCAACTGATGTAATTCCAGCTACTCAGAGGCAGAGATGGGAGGATTGCTTGAGCCCAGGAGTTTGAGACCAGTCTGTGCAACATACCTGTCTCAAAAAATTGAAAAAAACCTCCTCAAACTGAGCTATGCATACCCTTGGAGATACATAAAGACGATCTAAGGCATATATGAGTAGTTTTTCAAGTATTAATTTCCAGATACTTAATATCTATAAGGACTCTGCCAAAACTTATTCCCTAGGCAGGAGTCTCCAGCCTCCATATGCAATAGTCTTTCTTTTCTTTCCACTTCTTTTCTCTTTTCTTTTCTTTCTTTTTAAAATGTATTATTATATACATTTTTTTGACGATTGCTCTGTTGCCAGGCTGGAGTGCAGTGGCGTGATCTTGGCTCACTGCAACCTCCATCTCCTGGGTTCAAGCAATTCTCCTGGCTCAGCCTTCTGAGTAGCTGAGACTACAGGCACGCACCACCACACCCAGCTAATTTTTGTATAATTTTTGTATTTTTAGCAGAGATGGGGTTTCACCAACGTCTCGATCTCCTGACCTCATGATCTGCCCGCCTCAGCCTCCCAAAGTGCTGAAATTACAGGTGTGACCCTACCTTTCCCTTTCCTTCCCCTCTCTTCCTCCTTCTCTCCTCCTCCTCCTCCTTCTTCTCCTTCTTTTTCCTCCTCCTCCTCCTCTCCCTCCCCCTCCTCCTCTCTTCTTTTCTCTCTCTCTGTCTGTCTCTGTCTGTCTCTCTTTCTTTCTTTTTTTTGAGACAGAGTCTAGCTCTGTCGCCCAGGCTGGAGTGCAGTGGTATGATCACGGCTCACTGTAGCCTTGACCTCCTTGATTCAAGTGATCCTCCCACCTCAGCCTCCTGAGTAGCTTGGACCACAGGCACTATGCCCAGCTAATTTTTGTACTTTTGGTAGAGATAGGGTCTCACTATGTTGCCCGGGCTGGTTTGTAACTCCTAGATTCAAGCAATCTGCCTGCCTCATCATCTCAAAGTGCTGGGATTGCAGGGATGAGCCACTGTGTCCAGCCTCACAATAGTCTTTCATACACTTGAAAAACCACCTATCTCAAATATGACCATGGGGCACTGCCCAGGTGTAAAAACCTACAGGTTTGGGCTGGAATTCTGGCTCCAGAAACTCACTTCCCTGTCTGAAACAATTCTGTGAGGAGTAAAACTTAGCATTTTGGCTTATGTTAAGATGTTCTGAACTCAGAACCCTTGAAGCAGTAGAGGTTGGTAATATTTATTACTATTTATTTATTTATTTATTTATTTTTTATGAGACAGAGTCTCTCTCTGTCACCCAGGCTGGAGTGCGGTGGCGCGATCATGGGTCACTGTAACCTCTGGCTTCTGGGTTCAAGTGATTCTCCTGGCTCAACCTCCAGAGTAGCTGGGACTACAGGCGTGCGCTACCACGCCCAGCTAGCTTTTGTGTTTATAGTAGAGATGGGGTTTTGCTGTGTTGGCCAGGCTGGTCTCCAGCTCCTGACCTGAAATGATCTGCCCGCCTCAGCTTCCCAAAGTGCTGGGATTACAGGCGTGAGCTGCCACGCCTGGCCATATTTACTCTTTTAAATGGAACCAGAATGCTTTCGAGGAGAGCCAAATTTTCTTGGATGAAACCCGTAAGTGAAAGTTTCATGAGTTTTCTTTCAGGTTTGGTATGCTTGAATCTGTAAGGCAGTTAAAAAACACCACATATCATAAAATATTTATCTTAATTACACCAATCCTCATTTTGTCTTAGAAAGTATTTCATACTGTCTATCTCTTATTAACAAATACACTTACATAAACATGTGATGAAAGTTTTCGATATCAAACTCAAATGTTTAGAGCAGGTGCATAATTTCTTCAAACTTCTTTTGGGGATACACAAGAAGAAAAGTCTGAAGGCCAGGGTCGGTAACTGATGTATGAGGATGCCTGTGGCAGTCAAAGTCAGGAAGAGCTTAGGTCTGACTGGCGACGCAGTAGCAGGACTAGCATTGTTGAAGTCAGGTACCTGCCATAGGTCTCAAAGGACAGGGTATGACTCTGAAGGAGGGGAGAGGGGAGGGAGGGTGGGGATAGCAGGTCCTCCAGCAGGAGCCACTTGTTGCCACTTGGGAGGGAAGGAGACTCCCATGGGGCCCTCTTGTAGGAAATGTAAAATTCTGATAAGATTTGCAAGTTCAGATTTTAGGAGTGGAAGACAACCATGACAGATACTAAAAAACATGACTAAGGAAAGTTCCGGTTTTAGAATCAAAGCTCGGGAAAAATCAGAGAAAGAAAACAGAGGAAGAAGTGTTTGGTTGTTGGAACGGACTCTACGGGGGGCACCTGTACTGCAAGGAGGTTTGATCAGGTGTGGGCTCAGCCTTAGGTGTGACCAGCCATCAGCAGCTGAGGATGAAGTGGGAACAGGAGGAGCAAGGTACGGTGGGCTGAGAGAAATGGTAAACTGAGCCCAGCTATCCAAAGCCAAGTCCAAAGGCTCCCACTGAGCTCTCCTGCATGTTCTGGACAGACGCCAGTGTCCAGAGCAGAAGGGTCTACTCTTTCCATTGAACAAAACAACTCCTAAGAAACAGGAATATGTTGAATGTGAACAGTAAAGAACAGTGAACAAAAAGATGGTCCGTATTGATTAATGAGAGGCAAAGTTTAAACATATTTTATAATTTTACAATTATTATGGCAAGAACAGCTCCCTGGGCATCCAAATGGCTGGCGGAGATCTGCAGCAGAAATGTCCAGGTGGTGATGGGTCGGGAATCCAACAGACAGCAGCAATGTGGCTGCAGGTGATGGCTCAGCACAGGGAGAGCCTGGGGGCAGGAAGGTCAGAGCCTATAGGGCAGGGGGCAGGCCCTAAGCCGGCCACGTGTGGCTGGCAGGGCCAGCGTGGGCTCCAAGGCTCCCCAGTGTGGCAATGAGGCTCAGGTGGGCTCAGGAACCAGGGGATTGGTGGATAGGCTGACCTCTTGATTCAGACCAGGGAGGACTGGGGCTGTACTAGGAAGACAGTGTTAAAACCAAGGGGGACTCTTGCCATCCCTAAAGCTCTGTCAGCAATAAGAGAACCAAGGCTTCTAGGCTGGAATAAGGGGAACCCAGGACAAGGGTGTTGGACAAATAAATAGGTACAACTAGATGGCTCCCTGCCAGGCAGGTGCTGGATGCTGCTCTTTATATGCACGATCTCATTCATTCCCCAACACAGCAGTGTGAGGCACCTACTCCAGCCCAAGAAACAGGCTTAGGAGATGAAGTGCCTTTGTTACAGCAGCACTGCCAGTATGTGGCAAAGCTGGAATTCCAATTCAGGTCAGCCCAGCACCACTATTCTGACTGCAGAATGAACTGAACTGCCCGAGACCAGGGCCCGTTTGAGCGCATCACCAGAATGTTTGTTTCTAGCGTGGTTCTGGGACCTGAAGGAGGGAGTGTGTGGTGGGTGGGGGTACACACTGAATGGCAGAAGTGCGAAGGGAAAGGGGAGGGATGTTAAGGCAAAGCAGCTGCAGGAAACCTGGGCTCCCTCCTTTGGGCACTGGCAGCCAGTTCCCTCCATCAGCAATGAAGATGGCTGAAGGTGGGACTTAACCACAGAAGACGATGAGCCTGAGAGGCATTCATTTTAAAGCTCTTGCTACAGGAATAAAAGTGGTCCTAAATTTTTGATCCATGATTGCTCCTGTTGCTGTTGGTGATAATCTATAATAAGGGTTACGAAGTCAGTTACTCAACATTTAGAGAACTAGTTGTCCCTTCAGTGGTTTTCTAAGTTTTTATTATAAAGCTTTATGTGATTTTTCAATATGATGCTTCCATAACACTTAAGTCTATAATTTTACATTGAGTAGCTTTTCATTTTTACAGTAGTGAGATGTAAACGGTAAAATATGCCACCATGCTTTACAAACTGAATCTGCCTCATGTGTCACAGAAGTGGTAACAGTGACACAGAATATACTTGGCTTCAGCATTAATAATCCTTAACATCACTTATTTGATAGTTGCATTTGTTCTCCCCTGAGGCTACTTATGTTAAAATCATGCAACTTTCATGAAATATTTTTTGTTTCAGCTGCAGAAAAGGAAAAGCAAAGTTGAGATGGGTGGGTATAAGGGACATGATTTGCTCATTATCCCGAATTGCTAAGAATATCCCAAGAAAATTACCATTTAAAGGAAACAATGGAAATCAACTAATGAATTACAAGCAAACACACTGAGAATTGTTCTATGATGGGGAAAACTCGGCAATACTTTAACCTAAAATCAAAAATATAACTGGCCTGTTAAAATCGCATTTTCTAAGGACAACTCTCACACGAAAAACTCTTTATGCCTAGAATTACATAATAGGGTTAGAAGTGTTCACTGGTCCACTGGAATTTCAATTTGGTGACAGTAAAAGAAGAGAAAAGCTATAATAAAATATACCTTATTAGAAGTAGTGTTGAAAGTGATGACTTAAATAATAAATGTTAAAGAGTGTTTTGTTAATAAATTACAGTGATGCCACACAATGACACATCTCTTCTCAACTGGAGTAGGGTTTCCTGTGACAAGAGTCTTTTCCCCTCACCTGGCCCTCTCTGGTTGGCGGGTACTTGCTGTTTGCCCAATTTCTTCTAAATTGCCTTGCAGGTGTGTACTCTTCTTATACCTAAAATCAGGCATACACTTTCCGCTGTATCCACGATTAGCCTTTTCTCCAGCGCACACAACCCACATGTTGATGCTTACATTTCACTCATTCCATTCCCCAAAATTCTCATTTCAGACTGAAGTAAGAAAGTGTGACAATATAAACCATGTGACTATTTGTGGCTTTCTCTACATACTTAGTTTCATGGAATGTTTGTTTCTGGGTGTATTTCTAAAACATATGAAATCCTGATTGGACACCAAAAGGTTATGTCAAATTTCATTAAGAGAAAATTGGCATAAACCAAACATTAACGGACAGGTTTTAAATAAACACTAAAATAGCCTGGGAAACCTCTGTCTATAATATGCTATACAACCCTTCAACCATCATCTATTTTCTCTTTTCTGGTTAATAATCTTTTCTTTTAATCATTTATTCAATTAAAATGATTATGAAATGTTTAAAAACAAAAAGGACAAATAATTACATAGTAGATATTATTTAGTATGTCTTTATAATAAAGATAAATTTAATCAATAGCCATTTTCTTCCTAAGAAATATAAGGAACTTACCATGTTAAAGCTCCTCTCTAAAACACCCCTGTGTAATTCTTATCTCAGGAACTGCTTTCAATGAAGCCTGTTAGGAAGGAACTTGTCTGGTCTTTGGAATTAAGCTGTTTTCACTCACATGTCATCTGACTTTAAGTGTGCACCAGGGAAGCCTTCAGAACACCAAGACGTGGAGCTGGCGCTGCTATCAAGGCTGCTCAATTTCAGCAAGACTTCAAAAACAGAAGGAAAATATGCTTTTCCAGCTTAGGATGCAGCTGTTGTCTTTCCAACCTATGTTTGTCTACAGTTTAACAGTGAACAATGATGGCACTCTTTGTACTCTGGAGGGAGTACAGGATGTTGGTGCACACTTAAGTGGCTCCCTTTGATACATCCTTCTGGAAGGAAGCATTAACAGGTGTAGGATGTATCAGCTTTCATGAAAACTATATGAGTATACATTATACTAGGGTTAAAACCTGAACTGCTTCTCTGCTATTGAGAGATATGTCTTTTGGAACATACAAAATGATAATAACAATAAGTAGCTAATATCTATTGAGAGGTTACTTGCAGAGCTGCTATCTGAGCCTAGGCTGTGCAACTCTAGAGTGTAGGCTTTCATTAACCATTCTGCCTATCTTCTTTTAGTGGGGAGCGGACAGTCCTGGCCTAGTTACTGACATAAAACATGGTTGTATATGGAAGAAATTTTAAGAACAAGTTGAAGAGATCTGATTGTGACTATGTTGCATAAAGCAAAGAGATATCTATGGGTAAAACCAATAATGGGGTGGTTTGTAGCCTAGCATGACTTGCTCTTAGAATTGAAATGTTCCAAAGCATTTCTGGAAACTCCATCTACCGAAAGAAACCATTATTTGCATTTCATTCTTTTTGGGCGATATTCAGTCCTCTTCTAGAATCGGACCTCCCTAGCAGTTACGTAAACTATTTCAGGTTGCAGTGGTACCACTGTGAAAAGGAATGCAAAAAGGTTTCTATTATTCTTGACACAGAAAGCAGGTCGAGAAAGGCAGACCCATCAGATTTGAGTGATGGGATATGGATTAGGGCACCAAAGAGGATCTCTAATATAGAAAAGAATAAAATGGGGGTAGGTAGTGTGTGGCAACAATATGCTATACAATGCAGAGATAGAGACACTGCTTCCAGAGGGACCTTCAGTCCCTGATCCCTGGGACAGACCGAATGGCGGCATGCATGGGGAGCTAAAAAGAGGCGCAGGAGAAAGTGCTGTGGCCTCGGAAGGAAGGAACATGACAGATGTCCACAGCACAGAAGCATCCTGCTGGCGGAGGTACAGAGCATTCATCAGTGTCGGTCTCCAAAGAGAACGCTCAGAAACTGAGCTTGGGTACTTGCGCATGCTGTAAAGAGGGGAACAGAGAGACGGCAATCAAGGACAAAAAAAAAAAAAAATGAACGGCAGCCTTCAGAATGGAGGGGTTTGGTGACCCAAAGGATCTGGCTGCCTTCTGTCAAGGAAGTAAAGTGAAGGGAACAGCCTATATTCATATGCTTCAGGGGCTACTGCCAGAGAAATAAAAGCTTTCATTAGTCTCTATCTTCCTTAATTAAGCTCTTCTCAGTACACAAGTGGAATCCTCTTTTATTTAAGAAAAAAGAGAATAAATCTAATAAATGAATGAAATACAGATAAATTGGCTCCCTAGACATAGCTCAGTGCAGACAGTCTCAAATTTTCCATGGCAGTGAAGGGTGTTGCATGAGGAAATTTCCAGCAGCTTCCTTTTGAGTGAGAAGGCAAGAAAAAAAGTCACTGGTTATAGCTAGAAACTTCCTAAACTGTTTGCTGCCTTGAAAAACTGGTCCTAAACTGTGCCCATGGGTGAAAAAGAAACCTGGTGCCCAGATTTCTGGAAAAGTGGTTCTAGGGCTGCACTTGGTCTTATTTTTTCTTCTGTAAAATGGGGTAGGGGTGGAGAAGAGAAATGGCTTAAAGAAGTTCCTAGGTTGGGTGCAGTGCCTCATGCCTGTAATCCCAGCAATTTGGGAGGCTGAGGTAGGAGGATTGCTTGAGGCCAGGAGTTTGAGACCAGCCTGAGCAACATAGCAAAACCCTGTCTCTATAAAAAATAAAATAAAAAATTAGCCAGGTGTGGTTGCTTATCCCTGTAGTTCTAGCTACTCAGGAGGCTGAGGCAGGAGGATCCCTTGAGCCGAGGAGCTGGAGGCTACAGCGAGCTATGATCATGCTACTACACTCCTGCCTGGGTGACAGAGTGAGACCATGTCTCTTGAAAAAAATCTAAATAATTAAAAATCAAAATGAAGTCCCCAAATCTGTGGGTGCATTAAAATCACAAATTAGTAAGAGTTGGGTATCATTTATTTATACTCCACACTGGGTAATTCTGAAGTCACTGGTATATTCCGGATCGTGTGCTGATCCTGGCAAGTGACAGGTGCACAGAAACCTTTGTTCAATTTTGAATGAACCAGGCTGTAAAGGAGTAGCTTTGCTTTGCAAGGACTCATGTTGCCAGAGGCACGGGGAAGCCAGCACTTTGGAAAGTACATGGGTATTAGTTTCAGCTCTCTCCTTTTAAAGGGCTGAACCTGAGAGAAAGATGTAACCTCACAGTTTTTCTTCCTGTTGAATAAAAGGCCCTATGGGGGAACAGGTCTGTCTTAACATATGACGTTTCTCCTAGGTTGAACTTTGCACACACTCTATTAAAATATGAACGTTAGTCCATGCAGTTTGCAAATACTTTTGCATATATGACTCACTTGAACTTATGTGGATGAAGGTCACTTAAATATAGTTCTGCTTTAAGTGCCAACTGTTATAATAACAAAACAAGGAAACTGGACTGTGAGCTTCTTAAAGTTTCTGTCACCTCTAAAAGATTCTACAAATTTTCTACTTCAAATGAGGAACCCCTCTAAATACTCTTGAAGGTTTAAAAAGCATTTGTTTTAAGACACCTTAAATCTGAGTGCTTGCTTAACAACAGGACATCATTTATTTTCAAATTATTCTGTATTAATTTTGGTTCTCTTATTAGAGGGCCACATTTTCCTTATGGCATCTATAACAACATAGGTGGATGTTACCTGACATGCTCTATTTTTTACTTCATCTTTTAACTTTAACTCTTCCTTTAAATGTTCTCATTGCTAATGAGCAAGTTTATTTAGAGCACAGGGATGAGAAATGTCTATGAAAGTGACCATTTGGCTAATTGGCAACTATCTTTTGAAATTAATCTAGTGAAGAGAAATTATTGTTTAAAAGGAAGTTTCTGGATAAGCTGCTAATTGCAATTGTTCATTCTCTCTTGTAAAACCACAGATGGTTGGTAAAATGCAGGCAGGGTCTGTATAAACTTGGCCCTGGGTCGCTGGAATACTTACGACAGTGACTTTTATGGAGTCACTGTTCGCCTGTATATAAATCACATTTTCTCAAAGCATCCCTATTTAAATTTGGAAACCAGAGAATACTCCACTTCACTAGGTAATACTTTTAAATTAGTCTCAAATAGGACATAACAAATGAATCCAAAACATAACCTACAACTCACTGACAATGCAGGAACAACTTTGCCAGGAAGCACAGTGCTAGCTAACACAGAATTTGCACTTGAAGTGCAAGCTGCACTGGTTCTTGGAAGAATAAAAACAAAAGTTGTTTACTGAAGGCTGAGCTTTTGATTTAAAAAAAAGTTCTTTCAATTCTACTGAGAAATAATTTCAAGTGTTCATCTCCATCTGGAGGCCAGAATGCAAGAGAAAAAAGCTGCTTTACAGAGTGTGCAGAAGTTACACTGACGCTCTGAGAACCCTCCACTACCGGAATGGCTTGCCCAGGAAAGTGAGTGCAGCATTCAAAGCACTATTATTTATTGCTTCAGAGGCCTGAAGGGGAATTTTGAGCTGGGAAAATATAAACCATATTTATCTTTTTGAAAAATCCTTATTAAACCTATACCAGAAGTATGTGGAATAAAGATAGAAGAAAAACAAACTGACAGCAAAAAGAATGAAGGCACTACAACAAAGTTTGAACTGTTGTGCAGTGTTTGAGGCTCTGTAAATATTTCCACTATAAACCTTCACTCCCCACATTTTTATTATTTTCACATAAAAGTTTGTTCCTAGCTGAAAGTGTCTGGAGGGAACTTTTTAGGCTTCTCTTTTTCAAATTATGGACAAATTATAACTACAGACAAAACTGATTATATGTATGGGGACAGGGGTTACACAAACAGGGTCAGGGTAGAGCCAAGCAAAGTTAGTTTAACAAGATGGACTGTCTCTAAATACAGGATTTGATTTACTGACATATGTAAAGAAAGTGTTTCTAAGAATAGAAGCTGACCAGCCCTTAACTTGAAACAGAAATAGTCAGAGATGTTGGAGATAATGCCACCAAAATCTGCCCCAGGATTTTGGCTTTGCCGGGCCAACATGAGCCATCCTCTCTACCTGGCTGAGATATTCTACTGTCTAAGTGGTGCGTGGCACATCGTAAGTCCCAATCCATTCATTTACTCATTCACTCATTCATTCTTGTGTTCTTACTGAGCTTATGTTTTATGCCAACTCACTACAAGACAGGTGGTGCATACTTATTGAATCATGAATAAACTCTCCGACCCCTTCTTCAGATGCCCTGGTCATGATGAAGTGATCTTCTGCCAAGGCATCTTCCTCTTCACACAGAATGCCCCTGCCTGACCTTGGCAGTTCTGTCTGATGGGTGGTTACAGTTTTCATTGTAAATGACTATCTGGCATCTGGTTCTCCATATCAGTTTCTGTGGTCTTTGCCAATGTGACCTGGCATCCTCAAAGATGACACTGGGCATCTGGATCCTCTGAGCATAAAAGGAAGACAGTGATGGCGGTGATAAGGTCAATGGCATGTGGTGGGGCCTATCTGGATAGCCAGTTCTCCACAGATCACAATCTCTATGAATTGTTCCAAGGCTTCTTAACTATGCACAGTTTAAGTTTGTTCACATGTGAGAAATGAAAAGTTCATGTCACTAGCTATTTAGGGGTTTACATAAGACTACTTACATTTTGAAATGTGAACATATGCAATTAGTAAGACCTACTCTGCTTTGTCTGAGTATATTTTCAAGGTCAGCAAAAAAGGACATTATTTTGTAAATGGGCAACTTACTGGGTATTAAAAAGAAAAGGCCCCTTTGCTGGGGCCTATGTCCAAAATGCTATTTCTTAGGTTATATTCCAGGATTTTTATAGTTTGAGGTTTCACATTTAATTCTTTAATTCATCTTGAATTGATTTTTGTATATGGTATAAGGAAGGGGTCCAGTTTCAATCTTCTGCATATGGCTAGCCAGTTATCCCAGCACCATTTATTATTCAATAATATTAATAATGGGGAGTCCTTTCCCCATTGCTTGTTTTTGTCAACTTTGCAAAGGTCAGATGGTTGTAGGTGTGTGGCACCATTTCTGGGCTCTCTATTCTGTTCTGTTGGTCTACGTGTGTGCTTTTGTACCAGTACCATGCTGTTTTGGTTACTGTAGCCATGTAGTACAGTTTCAAGTCACATAAAGTGATGCCTCCAGCTTTGTTCTTTTTGCTTAGGATTGCCTTGGCTATTTGGGCTCTTCTATGGTACTGTATGAATTTTAAAATAGTTTTTTCTAATTCTGTGAAGAATGTCATTGGTAGTTTGATAGGAATAGCATTGAATCTGTAAATTGCTTTGAGCAGTAGGGCCATTTAAACAATATTGCTTCTTCCTATCCATGAGCATGGAATATTTTTTCACTGTTTGTATCATCCCTGATTTCTTTGGGCAGTGTTTTGTAGTTCTCGCTGTAGAGATCTTACACCTCCTCAGATGTCAAAAGCAATTGCAACAAATACAAAAATTGACAAATCAGACCTAATTAAAGAGCTTCTGCACAACAAGAAAAACTATCCAGAGAATAAACAGAAAAACCTACAGAATGGGAGAAAACATTTTCAAACTATGCATCCAACAAAGGTCTAATATCCAGAGTCTATAAGGAACTTAAACAAATTAACAAGCAAAAGCCAAATAACCCCATTAAAAATTTGGCAAAAAACAGGAACAGATACACTTGAAAAGGTACCATGCGGCCAGCAAGTATATGAAAAAATGCTCAACATCACCAATTGTTAGATAAATGCATATTAAAATCACAATGAGATACCATCTCACACCAATTAGAATGGCTATTATTAAAAAGAAAAAATAACAGATGCTGGAGAGGTTGTGGAGAAGATGGAACGCTTATAGAGTGCTGGTGAGAATGTAAATTAGTTCAGCCATTGTGGAAAGCAGTGTGGGAAATTTCTCAAAGAACTTACAACAGAAGTACCACTTGACCCAGCAATCCCATTATTGGCTGTATACCCAAAGAAAAATAAATCATTCTATATGATTCATGCGTGATTCAGATACATACATACATGTGTTCATCACAGCAGTATTCACACTGGCAAAGACATGGAATCAACCAAAATGCCCATGAACAGTAGACTGGATAAAGAAAATGTAGTACAAATATACCATGGAATACTATGCAGCCATAAAAAAGAATGAGATTATGTCCTTTGCAGCAACATGGATAAAGCTGGAGGCCATTATCCTAACTGACCAATCGCAGGAACGGAAAAATCAAACACTGTATGTTCTCACTTGTTAGTGAGAGTTAAACACTGAGAACACATGGGCACAAAGGAGGCAGCAACAGACACTGGGACCTACCTGAGGGTAGAGGGTGGGAGGAGGGAGAGGATTAAAAAACTACCTATCGGGTATTATGCTTATTATCTGGGTGACAAAATAATCTGTACACCAAACCCTCATGACATGCAGTTTACCTGTATAACAAACCTGCACATGTACCCCTGAACCTAAAAGTTAAAAAATAAATAAATAGCTCCCTACAAGGTAGACTATTTTCATCTTCATTTATGATGAGCACAGAGATGTTAAGTAACTTGTCCAAGGTCACACAAGTTGCCAATGGAGGAACCAGGGTTGGGGGTTGAGTTCAGACAATGTAGTTCCAGAGTCTGTGTTCCTAATGATTAAGCGATTCTGTGCTGTTTCTCAAAAACAGTAACAGGTCACGCATACATGGCATTTGCTCCATGCCAGGAATTGCTCTAAGCATTGATACATACATGAGTTAAAGTAATCCCCAAGGTCACCTATGGGAGGCAGTATAGTGAGGTGGGGAGGAGCCTTGATGCTGGAGTTCAGTGGCTACACTTGAATCTGGCCTTTGCACTTTTAGGTCTGTGACTTGGAGCATATTATTTCAAGTTTCTTTGTCTCCTTTCCTCTCATTTATAAATTGGGGACAATCCCATATATCTCCCATATTTGTGGTAAAGATGAAATGAGCTCTGTATGTGTGAGTGCTGGGAATGCTGTCTGGCACATGGTAAGGTCTTGACTATTATTACTATTTACCAAACACCAGGACTCTACCTGAAATAAGTTTAGGAAGTTCAAATACCTTTTCTGTGACAGCACAAGAATTTGGATCCCAGCCTTCTGGCTGTGGTACATGTGTTATTTCTACTACATCCTGCTTTTACAAAATAAACATCAGCTATGGGACCTGCTACTCTAGTCTCTGTCATTCAGAGAGAGCATTTTCTAATATATTATAATTGCTAAAATTGTTGAAAGGTGAGCAAAGGCATAAACTTTTCAGCACGAATGCAAAATAACAGATAGGCAGAAAACCCAGCCTGAGATGAACCGTAAAACCCAAACTGACCATGGTTCAAAATACTAACGATTATAACAATACTCTAGGGTATTTTACTACAGGGTTAGGCTAGTAAACATTTTAGTAATAGTTTGTTAAAGTTAGTAAAAATTTTGATGCTTTCAGGAATGTATTTCACATAGTTATAAACAATCTGTGACATTTTGTTAACCCCTAAGTATGGTTTTTTAAAAAGTAGAACTGCATGTTCTGCACATGTACCTCAGAACTTAAAGTATAATTTTAAAAAGTAGATTAATTAAGTCTATGGTTTCTGTCTTATCCCCAAATAGCTTTTAATGTTTCTGACCAAAGTAAAGTTCATAACCTGAGGTCCATAGAATTACTATAATTCATGAGTAAAATTGGGGGGTGGGGGTAGTCCATGAACCACCTTAAATGAAATTTTCTTTCTGGGGAAACGATCTTGATATTTCATTAGTTTTGAAGGAAGTTCTGTGTCTTCCAAAGGTGAGGGACATTTGGGCCAGAGTGCACATGGCTGGGCGGTCCTATGGAAAACATGGTTGGGGGCACAAGCGTCTCCCTGTTCTCACGTGGGCATGGGGGCTTCTGTTTGGAGATCCTCTCTCTAGTCCTGGACTCTACAGGGTGCTGTACAGAGCTAATGCTGATGGAGACAAAAAGAAACTATATATGGCAAGATGAAGGCTAAGTTCGGAACCCCAATCAGGTAGTCAACCCTGTCAAATTAGCACAGTTCAGAAAGAAAGAAATGATGAAGTGGGCATTGAGGCACCTAAACTCAAAAAAGTAACGCGTGCATCTCAACAATCTATAGCTCAGGTTACAACATTGAAGACAATAATAATTAACATGTATTTTCAGACATGACTATCATCGAACATTTGCTTTTTATTGTGTTGTCATGAGAAGCATCATAACTTAGAAAGCAGGGGCTGGATCTGGATTAACCATATGGTTTTGGGGGGTGAGCATGCAGTACACAGGAAAGACCACACCAGGCCTGAGCCTCTTTCTTGGGGGATCCCGGTGCACAAATGACTCTGGAAAATGCTCACTTAGAAGTGAGGAAGGATGCTCAGGACTGTGCAAGCCATGTCTAGAACACACTCACAGCACTTTCTTCAGTAACAGCCTTGCATGGTCTTTCCCTGAGTTATCTGACTCTTGAGGTAAGTTTTAAAATTAAAACTAAACAAAGCCGAGTGCAATGACTCATGCCTGTAATCCCAGCGCTTTGGGAGGCCACGGTGGGAGGCTCCTATGAGCCCAGGAGTCTGAGACCAGCCTGGACAACACAGATTTAGGGAGATCCTAAATCTACAAAAAATAAAATAAAATACATTAGTCAGGCATGGTGTGCAACTGTGGTCCTAGATGCTTTGGAGGCTGAGGTGGGAGAATTACATGAGCCCAGGAGTTCGATGCTTCAGTAAGCTATGATCCCACTACTGCACTCCAGTCTAGGTGACAGAGTGAAATCATGTCTCTAAACAAAACCAAACAAAAATCAAAAGAACACTTATCCAGGGCCCCCATGGCTGCCACCATGAGGCCAGCAGGTGTTCTATCCAGTCGGTTCTTATGTGTGTGGCTTCATCCAGCTTGCAGGCCACATAATCTCCAAGGTTGCATTTTGATTGTGAAATACGATCACTTCTGGGCAATCCTACCCACTTGCATGCTCTTCTGCCCATCACTTGAGCCTGCTTTTGAAATCTTCACTCTGCCCTGCCTCTACATACAGAGACATGCAGTAGTGGACATGACTTCCTCTCCTTTGAGCTCCTGGTTTGCTAAATCATAAATCTTGAATGTTACTGTTGCACTAATGTCTGGTCAGTCAGACATGATGAAGTTAATATTGGGTCATCATATATTAGTGGCCAGACAGAAGACAATTAAACCAAGGGGAGATAGGAAGAACATATTAATACTAAAAAAGCAACAGATCTGGCTTGAATGGGATGCTTTCAATTTGCAGAAACGTCACCCATTATTATCAAAGGTCAAAGTCAGTTACAGCTAGAAAAATCAATAAAATTGAGGGTGGATGGGAGGAGGAGACCCAATACTTAAATTTATAATATGTCCTCTGTATTGAAGGAACTTGATGAACATCTGTGCATTACTAACTCTTGGAAGTAAAACTGGTTGTCAGCAAATTGCACCATTTGTATAGTTTCATAGGTTCCTGCTGTGAATATATTTTAAAGAATTATGTTAGTGCAAAACACAGGACAAATAGAGCAAGAAGACATTTAAAGACTGCATCTGCCTGTTGGTCTTCATTGCCCATTTTGTTGGCCTCTTGGAGGTATTAATGTTTTGTTTGTTTGTTTTTCAACAAAGGTGATCTACGAACATATTCTACCTGTCCATGCCAATTAGTGAAGATTATCATCAGTGATCTTGATTACTGGTGATCTAAGGCTATTAGTCCATTATCTTCTGGTATATAATAGAAGATTCTAGCTTTCTCATCTGAACATCATGGTATGAATGTATTATTCTTAATATGATATGTATATTCTTGACTGCATGTTAGATTAAAAATATTCATTCATTTTCCCTCCTCTCCCTGCACCGCCACCAGCAGTGATGTTAGTACTGCCAGTTTGAGAAGTCCAATCTGCAGCCCACCTTGTACCAGGGAAAGGCTGCCACGACCTGGTAAACAGGGCATTAGTCAATGCCCTTCTCCATTAAGGGCAGACTGATTGTCTACTGCAAACTGATGACATTTGCTATTTCTTATCTGCTTACAAATACATTTGCTCATTAACACTAGAATGCTGCCAGAGAGGGTTACTGAGCTATTAAGTATCACTCACATGAATTCTGCAGAAAGTGACTTCTCTATTGGCATTTCTCTTTAAAGAATAATCTCTTACAGGGGGAGAGGGGCAGAGAGAATGGACAAAGGGAAGGAAGCCTGGTAAAGAGCCATGTCTAGACTTGGCAGTTTCAGTCTCTACTTTAGCTGTTCGTTTAGTCACCTTAATCTAGAGGGCCTCAATATTGAAAATACAAATAAGAGCAACTTAATGTTCTTGTTATCTATGAAAACATAGCTTGCTAATCAAGTTATTGGAGAGAAATGAAGCTCGGGAGTATTTTGGGTATTTTACAATCAAATTTTCACACGAATTTACAAAAACTGTTAATTTCAAATTATCATAGAATGTATTAAATCTGATGTTGTGAGGCTTAATTCAGAACATTCTGAAAGCCATCAGAATGAATTTCAAACCCCTAACAACAGGTTCCTCTAACGGCATTGATGAATTCCGTTTGGAAGCAGCAGGGTTAGGAGATGTCTAGGACCAGACTCTGACATGCATCCTTGTTCTATCCCATATGTAAGAGCTCAAGCTGAGCCTTGCTTCCTGAAGACCTCAGCAACCTCTATGTAGTAGGGCCTGCTTTGTGCCAGGTTCATACTGGAAACTCTACAGACAACTTTGCATCTAGCTAGCAAAGTGACCTTGGAAGGAGCCATTACCAACTTCAAGTCATAGATGATGAAAGACAGTGGGAGCTCCAGCAGGTCATCTAGACCTGAGTGCAGAGTAACCTAGTGGTGATGTGAGACTGTGGACTCTGTGTGGTGTCACCCAGGTTCTTGGGGTGGCTGTGGGCATGGGGCAGGATCAGTTTCCACAGTGGCTCCATTTCAGCCATAGCTGGAGCTTTTCCACCCCAAAGCTTTGCTGTCCAATGCCACCACAGGGAATAACCAAATGTAGCTATTTCTATCAATATTAAAATTTAAAATTCAGTTCCTCATTTGTAGTAGCTGTATTTCAAGTATGCAGGAGCCACATGTGATTTGTAGCTATGATATCGGACAGTGCAGATAGAGAGCATTCCCACCACTGCAGAAAGTTCTACTGCACAGGCAGATCCAAGCATTGGAATTCTGCTCTCTGGCTACAACTGCCTCTTTTCCTAAGCTATGACTCATCAATGGGACCCAGCCTCAATCTGTTAACTCCTTCCCTCTCCTCACGGTCCAGTGGACACCTCTGATTGCCCTTCGTCCAAGCCTGGACTTTCCAACCCCAATTATCTTGGCATCGTTGATTCCCTTGTCACTGACTGTCTGTGTACACCCTGCCCCCATGCCTAACCTTTGGCAGATCACATCCTTTTCACTTCCCTGCTACTGTTCCTGGGATGTAGCCTATTGCTGAAAACAATGATAAAATAATAAAATGGGGAGAACATGTGCTGTTCAGCCTTAGCTGGGTCTTCTCTGCTTCTTACTCCTTCTTCAGTTCATCCCATATTGACTCACTGACTCATCCTTTAGGATGCCTCATTCTCTAAAACCTCGCTCCCTCATGACCCCCACCATCTGCAGATGACCCACTTCATACGCTGGGAAAATCACCCAAAAACCACTGCCATGAGCTTCCTCAACATGTCCTCTAGCTCTTCTGTTTCCTTTAGCCAAGGTGACCCACCAGCTGCTTTCCACCTGGGAGAACTAACTTTCTGCTTCCACATCTTTGCTCATGATGTTTCTCCATTCACAAGGGCTCTTCCCAATCTCACCTCTGCCACAAAACGGTTTTTGAGTCATCCCACCGGAAAGCAACCCCTTCCTGCTCCAAATATCCCTAATGTTTTATCTGTATCTGTTCCTCTCACAGATGTCACCTGCCACTGTACCTACTAAAGTACATACAGGTGACTGCACATCTTCCCCACTAAACACAACCACTGTGAGAAGGGGGTGCTTGCTGGATTCAGCCTAGCTCTCCAGCAGCAACCAGCACAGTTCCCTGTGTAGAGAGCAGCTGGTGTATATTGATGGAATGGCTATCTATACATCTACTTTTGCAAATGTCCAACTTACTCCTAAGGTAGACATATTGAATTCAATAAGGAATTGATGGACACATTTCTCCTAATGATCTCAACATGAAGTTCTAACTAAATGATTTACATGACCAGAATGTCTGATGGGAAGGCAAGAGTGTACCTGCCGATGGCTAGAACCGCAATAAATGTGCAATATCTTCCTGAAGGAGGGTGAAGTGGGTACAAAATGATAGGAAGTGGGCAAAAGAAACAAAGAAAGACAACAAAGTAGAAATAAACTTACCTTGGGTAGCAATGTAATGATTGGGTCGATGATAACCCTAAAAATAAATAAAAGAGAATATTTGATAAACATAAAATCGATAAACAGCAGATAAGTCGCATGCTAACTTTGCTGAAAGGAATGTGCACACAAACGCCAATAGCTGCATCACCTGAAAGTTAAATGGCCAACCCAGCACCACTGAGTTTCTCTTAATTAGTGAAGGCGCATCAAATACAACAGTTCTGATGCTTGCACCAAAGGTGTGGGTAACTTAATCATAACTGGCTATGAGATGATGGATGAGCAAGAAACACTAACAACTTATGGATTCTCTGAAATAACATGAGCATTACTCTTACAAAGTGCAAACAAACTGAGAATTTGCAACAGAATTTCATTTGTGTTTGGGATGTCATTGGCAATATGCCAAGGGTTTAACACACATTCTGTTATACTGGTATAGACAGTTATATCAATAGTGATCCTCAAAACCATTCTTAAACACTGCTAATACCATGACATGCTACTGTAGCAAGGGCCAGGAATTTAAAGAGGCAGAAGTTCTGAAAGATTCCTTCCTTTTATCATGACCCTATAAGAAACAAGACAGATAAAAATTGAGGCCAAAGAAAAAGGGCCAGGTGTGGTGGTTGATGCCTGTGATCCCAGCACTTTGGGGAGGCTGAGGCAGGCAGACTGCTTGAGCTTAGGAGTTTGAGACCAGCCTGCACAACATGGCAAAAAGCCATCTCTACAAAAAATACAAAAATTAGCCAGGTGTGGTGGCATGCACCTGTAGTCCCACCTACTTTGGGGACTGAGGCAGGAGGATTGCATAAGCCCAGGGGTTCCAGGCTGCAGTGAGCCAAGATTGCACCACTGTACTTCAGCCTGGGTGACAAAGTGAGACCCTGTCTCAAAAAAAAAAAAAAAAAAAAAAAAAAAAAGAAGGAAACAAAAAAATTGTAGGATAAGTATCTGGGAAAGAAAATATCCACTCAGAGAAAATTACAGCCAGCTAACATATCACCATGGATCTTAATATTTTCTATTTCTGTCCCCCAAGATTGCCCAAAATACCATGCCCAAAACTGGTTGGAAAACAGAAAAAAGAAACTTGAAGAGAAAACTCAGATTTCTCAGATAACTTAAATGCACATGTTAGATCATTTTGCCCTTAAAAACAAGTTGAAAACAATGAACAACAAAAGCAAACACATTCTTTTATACAATTGACTTGCTGTAGGTCTCAAATTATAGAGCCATGACCAATATTAAATAGAACTCTTTAGACCATCACTCATTTCTCACTGGCTGCTAAGTCCCACAAGGGCAACAACCTTGCTTGACTTATCCATACTATATGTCCGAGGGCCTAACAAGGTGCCCAGTAGTTAGGAGGGACTCATCTGATGGTGAAGTCACCCAGAGAGTCCACAGTGGCCTGTATTGCTGAACATCACCATCATTTCTCAGTCCTTATCTACTTGGCCATCGGCAGCATGAGTATAATCAATCCCCTTAAAATGCTTTCTTCCCTGGTTCCATGATGTGACTCTCCTGGTTTTCTTCCTACCTACCTCCCTGGCCGCTTGTTCTCAATTTCATTGGCTGGTTCTCCCTTTTCAACTTGATGTGGAAGGCCTGGTTGTTGGACATTTTCCTCCATCTGCTCTCATTCTCTGAGTGAGCTCCTCCAGCCCCATGGCCTTCAAGCTCGTCTGTACACTGATGAATCCTATATTCTTGTTTCCAGCCTAGACCTTTTCCTGGGAATTTTGATGCATACCCACTGCCTGCTCAACACCTCCACTGGGAGGTCTAATATATATTTAAAGCTTCACACACCTAAGACTGAACTCCTCATTTCCTCCCTAACCCCTACCTGAATCTGTTCCACACACCATCTTCTCCTCAGCATCCTTGACCCCTCTCTCCCTCCTGAACCCCGTAGCCAATCTGCCAGCAAATCCTACTGGCTCTACCTTCAATGCAGCTCAAGGGTCTCGCCATTTCTCACCTCCACTGCCACCTCTCTGATGATTCCCACAGCCACATAGCAGGCTTCTCTGCTTCCTCTCCTGGCCAAGTGCAGTTCACTTCCCTCCCAGCAGCCAGATCACGGCTTTACTCAGATACCTCTAACGACTGCCCATCTCACTCACAGTAAAAGCCAAAGTCCTTACAACTGTGGACCTGACCTGGCCCATGACCTCTCCCCATATCATGGAACTCCGCAGGCCCCCATACACCATGCCAATGATTGCCTGCTTGCTTTTCTTCAAAATCGCCAGGCACAAATTCCACAACAAGGCCTTTGCTTGGGCCGTTTCTCAGCCCAGAATGCTCTTCTTCCAGGTATCTATATAGCTCAACCCCTTGTCTTCCTTGCTCACTTGCTACCTTCTCAGTGGGACTGAGCCACTCGATTCAAAATTGCCATCAGGGCCTCCAGGTCTGGCGCTCCGAGTCCCCCTTTACGGCTTTAGTTTTCTCTGCAGTACATACAACTTTCTAATTGACCATACAGAATTAACTTTTTAATTTATTGCCCATTTCTCCTAATTAGAACAGCAGCTCCACTGGGTCAGAGGTTTTTTTGGTTTTGGTTTGAACGGTTCACAGTTTTTCTGCTAGCACCTAGAAAGGTAAATAACGCACAAGTACTCAATAAGATCTATTGACTAAGAGAATAAAGAGGCCCTCAGTATTGGCTCTTCTCTCTTAAAATACAATTCAAACTCAGTAATCCAGTCTTTTCATTACTTTATAGCCTTGCTCATGTATGTGACCTCCTTGAGCTGGAATATCTTCTCTCCTGCATTTCCACTTACTCACCGGTTAAAGCTTATTCAAATTACATCCTCTATGATGCCTAATCTGATCACAATGACTCCTTCAGTGGGTGTTTCATGAAACACTTACTAAGGGCTCTCTATATTCAGGCATGTGCCAGGTGCAGGGGAAGTAAGATGCCTAGGACACTGTCCCTGTACTCAAGGACCCAGTAGAGACTGCAGGAGCTGGGACTGGAGTGTGAACGGTGTCCCCTGGAGCCTCTCAAGGGAAGGTGTGCTACAGTTGGCCTGGAGGTAAGTGGACTGGATAAGACACTCATATTTCAGCTTCTCAGCTTCTGAGTTGGGAGACTGTGAGGAGGAGATAACTGGTCTGGAACATCTGAGTACTCCCATGAGGTTCTCACTAAACATGTGCTGATTAAAAGAGTAAGTGCAATGCACCTTATGAAGAAAGCTTGCTTTAATAAAAAATAAATGGAACCTGGAGAGGGTATGGTTTTGGTTGTTATCAAAATAGTGCAGGGGTCTTCGTTTGATGAATGAGAGATGAACTATTCTTGAAATAATCATACCCCAGTCCCTACCCAAAAATCTATAACTGAAAATGCCAAATCTGTCTAATTAGCACTAAAGATAACATTCTCATAGTTATTTTTAGATAACTTTCTTAGAGATTGTGATGCTATTTACTTTTAGTAGCATCTCAGTAATATTCAATCAAGAAGCAAAACAATCCATATATATGGATCAATCCTGTCTATGGAAGTACTGATAGACTAAGCAATAGTGTGAAGGCCAAGCACAGAGTATGCCTTCGGAACCACAAGGGAGCAGAAATCTGTTTAATATAAACTCGGGCCTTGGAGGTAACAGCAACTTTCCCTTGATTTTTCAGTCTACTTTTGATTTCATTCATTCTTTCAACTGAAAACATGCTGTCTCCTAAAGAATTTATTCTAATGTAAAACATTAAGTTAACATGATGCAGAATGAACAAAGAGGCAGTCTTCAATAATTAAACAGCCTACATATTTAATGACATGTCTTGCTTGCATTAGAAGTCCTGGTGAACAGATGCAGACTACTTTGAAGACAACTTAAAAGTGCAGTGATGACAAGGGATTGCAAATCGCCGTATTAGGAATTAGAGAGTTTTGTCCCATTAATATGCAAACAAATTTTTTAAGTGTCGAATAATATGAGTTGTTGACAAAAAAATGGAAATAACATTTTCTTAGTCCACATAAGCATGAGATGGCAAAGAAGGCATAGAATGTTACAGAGAAATTCACCAACGAATGGGCTACCTTGAGAAAAGGAGTGACCGTGTCTTCACTGTTAAGTTCTGTGGTGTGCAGGGTAATATTCATGTGTTTGCTTTTAGATTGAGCCCAATGTATGTCCAACAATCGTTCAGCAGACACACAATCTGGTACATGTCAGAATGGTTGGGTTTACTGAGTTTTATACTCTGATTTAATCATTATGCATTGTATACATGTATCAAAATATCATACATAGCACCCAAATATGTACAACAATTATATATCAATTAAAAATAATAAAATACATACATCGATATAATTGCCATTGATATAGTCTGAGTTTGTGTCTCCTTCTATTGTCTGCAGCCTCACTCGGGAATGATCGTCTGCAAAGGAAAAGGGACAGAAAATAACGATTAACAAAAGCAATCTGGTAGGTGGCTCTGAGCCCCAGAATGTAAGCATATTACATAGAGATCACCCACAGACACTCTGCTTTAAAGATAAAGAATTAAATAGTACACACCCTCTACTTCCCATTTTGCTATTAAAATTGGGAAGGATTTGTAATTTTTAACATTTTACAGTAAATCTCATTAACTTATTCTTTGATCATTGACGGGCCTAAAGCATTGACAAAGGTTTGACACTTTTACATACAATCCTGTGAACCACAAACATAAGTAGATCTTGGACTGGAAGTTTGAGCAACTTCACTAAATCACATACAAACCCTGAGATGTTGAAGGCTGTGACACCCACCTTGACAAATGATGATTACAAACTCACGGTGCAGGCTTCTGGGATGTGCAGATGTGATCCTAGCCTTAGTCACTGGTGAGTTCCCTAAGTCCTATCTGTATCTGCGGGCATCAGCCAGCAAGAGCAAAGCTGTCACCATCCATCATGTGACCACAGGCCAGGAAATAAAGGCACCAAGCCTCAGCCTCCTCATCTGGAGAAGGGGATGACACTACCTGCCTCAAAGTGGGCTGTGTCCAGGATTCAATGAAAACACAAATTGACACATAAGTACTATAGAGGGCTCATATTTATGGTATTAATTAGTTATATTTAAGTATTTCCAGGGTAAAAAAAATTATCTGCAAATACTATTGATGTATCTCAATTATTTCCTTGAAAATGTATATTGTATTTTATTTGTTACCTTAATTTTTTTCAGAAATGGGGTCTGGCTATGTTGCCCACGCTGGTTTCAAATTCCTGGCTTCAAGCAGTTCTCCTGCCTCAACCTCCCAAATGCTAGGATTATAGGTGTCAGCCACAGCACCTGGCCCCAAATCCATATTTTAAAAAGGGATGTGCTTCGTATGTTGTCACTCATAAATGGGAGCTAAGCTAAGAGGGCACAAAGGCATAAGAATGATACAGTGGACTTTGAGGACTCAGGGGAAAGGGGGAGAAGGGGGTAAGGGAGAAAAGACTACACACTGGGTACCGTGTACACTGCCTGGGTGACGGGTGCGCCAAAATCTCAGAAATCACCACTAAAGAACTCATTCATGTAGCCAAACACACCACTTGTTCCCCCAAAACCTATTGAAATAAAAAACTAAAAATTAAAAAAAAAAAAGAAAGGATGTGCTAATAGCACCCTAAGGGCAGAATTTTCCTGCACTGATCACTGCTGTGTCCCTGGCCTTTAGATTAGAGCCTGGAACATAGCAGATTTACCCCCAAAATAACTTTTGAAGAAATAAAAAGTGCATTGTCGTTTTTTGAAAATATATGTCCTTTAAAAAGTATTTACCTAAATAACTGTTCCTTTTAGCAGAGGGACCCTTCCTTCCAATTAAAGTGTATGCTAAAACTCAGTATTCAGAACAGATAAAAGCCAGCTGCCCTGAAAGGAAAGCACAGGGGGGCCTGATAAGAACATTTTGCAAAACTTCACTTCCAATGTTGCTAGAGCAGTGGGAAACCCTGCTTCTAAACTGCTACTGCCTTTTTCTGATGCTAACTTTACTCAACATTTCTTTTGGGTTAGTGGGTGAGAAATGAAGCCCACAGCTTTTGAGATAAAAGCCAGGGGAGCTGCAGATGACGGACCCTTTTATCCTCAGTCACTGGAGCAACTATTGACCTGGACCCATTCCTTGAAATGCTAATGGGTGAAAGTCAAAATTTCATATTGGTTTCTGGAGTTTAACCTCCTGTCGAGTAAATGTTTTGTTTGTTGTCAACAGCACAGGCAGAAGGAAATCGGTGTCAATTTTCTAACTTTCCTTCCTTGACGGGGCTTTCCACTTCATGACAGGTAGTCACATTATTTCATGTCAGTGCCTTACCATTAGTTGGGGTGCAATAAGTTTATCTGGAATGTGGTGACAAGCTGGGCCAGAGAAGGAGAAAAGCTGAGAGGAGGTCATGTCTTCCTGCTCTGCTCACAGGAGACTATGGGATGAGCAATTTCTGGGGTCGAGTGTGTGGGTGAGAATCGCTGCTGGTGGGTTAGAATCCTTCACGTGTGGTTTTGGGCCAGTTACTTAATCTTTCTGTGCTTCCTTCGCTGTAAAATGGAGATGAAGAGTGCCTACCTTGTGGGATTACTGTGAGCATCAAAATAATACACATAAAGAGATCATAAAAAAGCCTGGTATATAGGAAGCGATGGATAGATGTCAGTTATTATTGTCATGGGCTATGTAATGGACAGCCACATTTTTCTTCCTGCTGTTTTTACAGATGATGTCCAAGCAGATAACAGCAACCCCAGGAACAGACTCACCGGCAGTCAGAATGTTTCCTCATGGTGATCTGCTTTAAGAACCAATTTCCTAGGACACATTTTGCTGCTTAAAACCAGTGGCTCCCTGTATATGTTTTCCACTGTTGGGGGTTTGGGGGAGGTGAGCTGGTGCACTGGACATGTGTAGATTGTTATGGCTTTTGTGTATCTTAGGAGAGCCAGTGCCTACATGCAACTACTGCACAGAAGGGTGCCACAAGCACCGGCAATGCCATTTGAACTTCAAGAATGAAAGATGCACCCTAGAACTGAATCACGGCTACTCCACACACACTGGGCTTTCGTCAGCTCCTCTGAAGGGAGGTCAGGTTCACCTTCCTGGATACTCAGGCTTTCCCTGGGCAGGTTTTCAAAAGGCAGGCAACCGACCGAATTAGAACCTTGCAATCTAAGCAGGCCTGTCTCGAAGATCTGTTGTACCCCCTCGTCAGATTCCTGTCTATTTTGTGCTTGAATTCTCTGAGCTCCTCAGGATGAGTGCTGCTCATTCCCTGTGATTTACCACCCATGGGCTGCTCAGGCTATTCTGGAGGGTTCTCTTTAGGGACGTCAATCTCCACCAGGACTGAATTCCTATTTCCTATCAACAGAGCCTCTGAAGTAGAGTTTTACCATCATCTCCTACAGTTCAGTTTATCCACACCCCAAAATTTAACTTGGCTGCTACTTCTCCAGATTCAATTGCCCTTACTCCCCTCAGGATGGAGAAACCTGTAAGACACATGTACAGTTGACTTCCTAACAGAATGAGATGGGTTTTGCCTTTATATACATGGTAGTATCTTTTTTCTTTTATTGATTCTACTAGATTACAATGTCCTGTGGTCAGAGACAGTGTCATATATAATCTGAACATCCCTAAGAGTACCTTTCCCCAAGGTCACATGCCTAACTCCAAAAGACTCCATTCACAGCACAGAGGCACAGGCTGCAGTCCCATGTGTGGGGCCCTGCCTAATACACAGCAAGTGAGCAACAAGGATTGAACTCTTCCCCATGCTAATGAATGGGTGGTGGTCCAGGATCATCCAAGATACCTTGAATGGGTCCACAGTGCCTTTTTAAATTTCAGGTTTTTTTTTTTTTTGAGACGGAGTTTTGTTCTTTTTGCTCAGGCTAAAGTGCAATGGCGCGATCTCGGCTCATTGCAACCTCTGCCTCCTGGGTTCAAGTGATTCTCCTGCCTCAGCCTCCTGAGTAGCTGGGATTACAGGCACACACCTCCACGCCTGGCTAATTTTTATATTTTAAGTAGAGATGGGATTTCACCATGTTGACCAGGCTGTTCTGGAACCACTGACCTCAGGTGATCCACCTGCCTCAGCTTCCCAAAGTGCTGGGATTACAGGCGTGAGCCACCACGCCCAGCCTAAATTTCAGTTTTAATACAGGCTTGTCTAATATTGTCAGAATACTGAGCTATTTCATCTTCTAGAAATCTCTTACCTAATCATTCCTAACCATCTCTAACTGTCCAAATTCTGCCAATTTTTCAGTATTCAACTCAGATGTCCCCTCCTCAGTAAGGTCTTCTCATTTATTCAGTGACTTTTTGAGTATCTGCTATATGCCAAACACTATGCTAAGTGTTGGGGATATGTAGTGTTAAACAAATTAGATTTACGGTGCTTGAGTTCATGGGACTTAAGGCAATGGAAAACACATTAAACAGTCATTGCTTAAATAATGACTTAAATACAATTTTGATAAGTGCTAAGTTGGAAAGGACAGAGAGCTATGAGAGTGAATGGCATGGGTCCTGACCTACTCTGAAGAGCTAGCAAACAATTCCCTAATAAAGGGACATTGAAGCTCAAACCATGAAGATGGAAAGTGGAGAGGGCAGAACTCCTAAATTTCAAGTCCAGGAGATAGTGTGTATTCAGGCCAGGAGGTAGGAAGGATCTAGTATGTTCAGGAAACCAAAGAAGGTTGGTGTGGTGAATGTGCTGTCAGAAGCCAGGGAGGAGAGTGGTGGGAAATGAGAACAGAGAGGAGGGAAGGCCAGGTCATTAGGACCTTCATCCTGAGCACCGTGGGAAGCCACAGGCAGGGGCGTGCTTCATTTCATCAGATGCCCGCTATTGTTGAGGACGAACTGGAAGGGCTGTGGGAGTGGGGAGACAATGGGGAGGCTACTGCAAGAGTCCTAGGGGATCAATGGCAGTTTAGCATAGAGAGGGCTAGTGGACAGGGCTGAATCTGAGGGGTATTTAGGTGGTAGGACTGACCACAATGATCAGTTCACTTATTGTGGATGAGAAGAGGTATCATGTTGACTTCTAGGATTCTGATCTGAGAAAAAGGGCAGAAGATGGTGCCATTGACTAAGATGTGAACCATGGAGAAAAGCCAGCTTGGGGTGGGTGATGGAAATGAGGCACGCAGTGTTGGATATATTTAATCTGAGGTGTTTACCATCTGAATAGAGATATGGAGTAGGTTGTTGGGTATAAATTCTCCTTCCTTAAATGTCAATAGTCCTTTGATTTCACTTTTTGGTGCTCTTATATATGGTTATCTATAGACATGACTTATTTCTCCTACAGATCAAAAATACCTTAGCTGGATGTGATGGCATATGCCTGCAGACCAAGCTACTTGGGAGGCCGAGGCAGGAGGATAGCTTGAGCTCAGGAGTTCAAGACCAGCCTGGGCAACATGACATTTTTATTATTATTTTTAGAGACCTTGTCTCTATAAAAAATAAAAATTGAAAAAAGAATTAGCCTAGCATGGTGGAGCACACCTGTAGTCCTAGGGAGGCTGAGGCAGGAGGATCCCTTGAGCATAGTGGTTTGGGGCTGCAGTGAACTATGATTACACCACTGCACTTGCCTGGGCAACAGAGCAAGACCCTGTCTCTATAAAAACAAAAACTATTTAAGAGGAGCTGTGTCTTATATTCATCTTCACCTCCTGTGTGCACACTTCTATGAAAATAATAGTATAAATATATATTGATAAATATATAATCAATAAACATTTATTTTTATCAGTAAGTGAAAAAAAGCCCAGCTTACAATGAGATACCATCACATACCCACTAGAAAGGCAAAACATTTAAGTCTGAACACCAAGTTCAGGTGAGGATGTGGAATAATATAAACTCACAGATTCTGCTGGTGGAAATGAAAATTAGTACAATCACTTTGGGAAACAATTTGCTAGTTAGTAAAGCTGAAGACATCCACGACCTATGACCCAGCCATGAGGAAATGGATACTGTGTGCATCTTGAAACGTACTGAAGCAATACTGTTTACAATTGACAAAACTATAAACAATCCAAATGTCCATCAACAGAAGGGAGACATAAATTGTACTATATTAATAAAGTGGAATGCTATTTAGTAATGAAAATGAACAAGCTACATTTACATACAACTTGAACAAATCATACAAACATAGTTGAACAACAAAAAAAGCAATACACAGAAGAGTATATACCAACGCTGTCCAGTAGAACTTTCTGTGCTGATGGAAACATTCTATATCTGTGCTCACCAGTACAAAGGCCACACTAGTTACTGAGCACATGAAATGTGGCTGGAGTAACAAAGGAACTGAAATTTTAATTTAATTTTAATGAACTTAAACAATTATGTGTAGTTAGTAGGTACAATACTGGATAACAGAGATATATGTTACATACTTTTACTTATGTAAAGTTAAAAGCCAGGCAAAATGTAACTATATTGTCTAGATCTGTACTGTCTAATAGGGTATCTGTTAGCCACATGAGGCTAATCCTAATTGTGCTGTAAGTGTAAAATACACATCAAATTTGGAATATTTAGCACGATAAAAAGAATGTAAAATACCTCATTTATATTTTTTATACTGACTGCATGTTGAAAAGTTGACATTTAGGACATATTAGATTTAATAAAATATATTACTAAACTTAAGTAATTTATTTCTTTTTCTGTTACTTAGTGTGGCTATTAGATTTAAGGACAATTTAATATTATACATGTGGCTTGCATTTATATTTCATAGTTTCTTTCTATTGGACCATGTGCTAGGGAATACATAAAACAGGAAGGGTTTCAACCAATCAGGCAGCCAACTCCAAACTCATCACACCATGCTCAAATAAGGCAGATGCCTAGCTGTAGCCAATTAGGTGATTTCTCTACTTTGCTTCTCTGTTTGGCCTACAAAAGCCTGCCACTCACACTTGTAGGTGTGGCTCTCTGAACCTCTTCTGTTTCTGAGGGCTGCCTGACTCATGAATTGGTCTTTGCTCAAATAAACCTGGCTAAATTTAATTTGTCTAAAGTTTTTCTTTTAACAGTACTTAATGGCACTGACCTTAAAAATGGTTAAGATGGTAAATTTTATGTGTATTTTTCCAAAAATAAAAAAAGTCTAATTTTTCCATCCCTCCCTTGTAATAATAGCTCATGTTCCACTCTGGTCCCTGATATCCTAGGAAAGGGCATTCATGGACTTGCAGCCTAGAGCCCTGTGAATTCTTTTGCTAGGCACATTTTCCTGAGATGGTGAGTTCCCTTTCCCTGATGAAATCAAGGCAGGAGTGACGGTGACTCTATAGCTTTCTTTTTTTTATTTTTATTTTTTTTTTTTGAGACAGAGTTTCACTCTTGTTGCCCAGGCTGGAGTGCAATGGCGCGATCTTGGCTCCCTGAAAGCTCTGCCTCCTGGGTTCAAGCAATTCTCCTCTCTCAGCCTTTTGAGTAGCTGGGATTACAGGCAGCTGCCACCATGCCCAGCTAATTTCTGTATTTTCAGTAGAGACGGGGTTTCACCATGTTGGCCAGGCTGGTCTGAAACTCCTTTCCTCAGGTGATCTGCCTGCCTTGGCCTCCCAAAGTGCTAAGATTACAGGTGTGAGCCACCGCGCCTGGCCTCTATAGCTTTCTAATAGAGGATAACAGTCATACATTATGTAGTTTATGAAGTATTTTTGTTTTAGTGATAAAATAAGGTGAACACTGATAAGTGAATCCACCTCAAGCCCAGGAGATACCTGTGTTAGCAGTGAGCGTGGGGTAAGTCTCAAGAAAGGGTCCAGTTGGGGTGGAGAACGCGGGACATGTGTTCTGCCATGGAGAGCAGCAGGCTGATCATCACATGATTGCACTTCCTGGCTGAAACAGGTCAGCACTTCTCAAGTTAATCCCTATGTCTTCCAGAATACAAGAAATAGGTAAGTATCACCATCACTCACATTAAGTCGGTGAATGTAAAAGCTAAAGAAGTGAAATGATTGGCTCTTCCAGCTCCCCCATGCTCTGCTGCTTGGACGTCTAAGAATGACTTGGCACAGAAACTGCAGATTCTTACGCGTCCTCTCTCAAACAAAGCTCTCAGATGACTATGAAAACAACAGATATAGACTGTTGGGGCAAATAAATCAGTATATGGATGCCCCTCACCATATGTTCTTGAAATATCATTCACCTTGAATCAGATGCCAATTACAAAGACAAATATGTATCAACCATTCTTTCAGGAAAACTCAGTTATTCCTTGGGGTACTCTTGAGGCTAAATCATATCAAATTTTTATGAGGAAATGCCTCACAGACATTTCTGGCATCTGGCAAATGTGGGAGACACTCAGACAAAGAATCCAAAGAAATGCCAATTGTCCAATGATAAGCCCTGTTCTGCAGGTTTGTTTTGAAGGCTTACCAGCTGGGAGGGGCCCTCTCTCAGGGCCAGGGTCTAGCCATTGGGGTTGAAGGGAGGAAAAAGTTTGGAAAACTCAACTGCCTAGGCATAAGATCTGTAGAATTCAATCAGTTTTGTGGTTAACAACAGGTCAATTACTAACCATGAAAACCACGGGGTCAAGACTATGAGGACTTGGTATTTCTGGGGCACACAGCCTGCTAAGTTTGAGAAGACCTGAGCTGTAGTTTTTAATTACCATCTGTATTTCTCTGCCAGCATGGGTGCTTTTCCTTGATTATTCCAAAGCCATTTCACATTCACATTTTGCAGGAAATGAAACTAACAGGGGCTTTGGTGTCCAAGACCATGATTTGATGCTGGCTCTACAACTCACATGCATCTGCACAAATTTGGAGTCCTGCTGAGCTTCATCTGTAAAAAGGGGTGACAAGGGGCTACTTTCCTAGGAGTTCTGGGAGGACCAAATAAGATAATGCATAGTATTATCAGGTGCCTGGAACACAGTACAGTTAGTTCCCCTTAAAAAAAATTACGCTGCCAGGCGCAGTGGCTCACGCCTGTAATCCCAGCACTTTGGGAGGCCGAGGTGGGCGGATCACCTCAGGTCGGGAGTTCGAGACCAGCCTGACCAACATGAAGAAACTCCGTCTCTACCAAAAATACAAAATTAGCCAGGTGTGGTGATGCGCGCCTGTAATCCCAGCTACTTGGGAGGCTGAGGCAGGAGAATCACTTGAACCCAGGAGGCAGAGGCCGCAGTGAGCTGAGATCGCACCATTGCACTCTAGCCTGGGCAACAAGGGTGAAACTCCATCCAAAAAAAAAAAAAAATTACCCCTTTTCTGTGAATAAAAGCAACATCTTTGTTGAAGTTTACCAATAAAATCTTCAAAGCACAAAGAGCCAGTATGCTTACTGGGGAACAGCAGAGCAGGGCAGAACTGAAAACTGGAAGCAGCCAATCTTTCAGGGAAGAGGAGGTGGAGATACTTTTAAAAAGGAAACAGGAGAAATGTTTGAAGACATGCTGAATGCTCTTCAATAACTTCTACATTTTAATCTCCTGGTATCTGCTCAACAACCTATCCCTATTTCTGTGTAGTGGAGCACGGAGGTTAGGATCCCGGGCTCCCGAGCCAGAATCCCTGTATGAATCTCAGTTATGCTGCTTTCTAGTTGTGTGGCCTTGGAGAAGTTATTTGACCGCTCTGTGCCTCAGTTTCCCCAACTGTAAAATGGGAATAACAATACTGCCTATATTATAGAGTTTTGTGAGGATTAAGTGAATTAATATAAGTAATCATTAGTAAGTAGCTGGTATACAATAAGAAGTAAGGGAAAGTTAGCTATCACTTGTCTTATTAGTGCCAATGACTTAATTCAAGACCTGATCATTTTCATCTGCACTATTTCATTTTTGCCTCTAGTTGCTTCCCTCACTAGTGAATCCATGCCAAGGACTGCTTTTTCTAAAACAGACGTTTTTTTCCTAACACCACCTTGGTAACCATTCAATGATATAAACAGGAGACTGAAGAATGGTGGGCAAACAAGCAAAAAATCTGATAAAATCATTCAAAAGGATTACCAGGCCTTTAATTTATTTACCTGGAAAGATCTCTGGGACATATTACAGAGTGAAGAAGAGCAGGCTACAAGGCAGCATGTCTAATAAGAGTCTATTTACATGAAATAATCAAACGCATTGGTGTACGTGTAGGTATGCACAGTGGGACAACTGGAAGAATGAGGTTTCTGCAGGGGATAAAATCTGGAGTGATTTTTATTATCATCTTTATGATTTTACGTACTACTTTAATGGTCCACAAGGTTTATATTATCTTTGTAATTAGAAAGAGAATAACACATCTATTCTCATTGAAAAACAAAGAGCAAAAAAAAAAAAAAAATAAAGTCAACAGCTTCAAGAGATAGAAAAATAAGAAGACTGGAATGAAACATAAAAAAAATGTTAGCAGGGTTTGAATCTGGATGGTGAGATTCTGGGATATGTTCCCCAAGTTTTCCACAGTGTACAAAGTTTCTTTAATGTGTATGAATTGGAGAAAAAGAAATCTATTTGCCATGCATGACTTGAATATGATCAAAATTAAACTCATGTTTATATCATAATCACAACTCAATGTTACCCCATCAAGAAATGTAACAAACTCTGCCACTTTGAGAAACTCCATCTGCATAAAAACGACTTGCTATTTGTCTCATATCTCTCAAAAAAAGCCTTTACTAGATGAAACAGAGAAAAGCAGATATTTTTGGGTAAGAAACAGGCACATAAAGACCTTGTCACAACAAACCAGTGCTTAGCGTTGAAGAATTATAATCCGCTGAGGTTTTCCCCCCGTGTACATAGGCATGCATTGGACTGGGGTGATGCGAGATTTAGGGCAGGTCTATGCCCCACCCTAAGTCTGTAGAACATGGTATTTCTGCCCTTTCCATCAGGTAACATTACGTTTAAAAATATCTCTAAGTAACTTCAAATATTTTAACACTTCCATATTAAACATGACGGATATTGACAATAGTCATGCAGTTTTAACTTGTGTGTGATTAGATATTCCCACAGCGGCAGAAATAGAGTGTATCACTGATAATCTTTCACCTCTAACCAATTCTTTCTCTCTGCTACATACTGGTGACATATATAAGGTAAATTGGAATCACAATTATCAAGGTAATATTTAGCCTCTGAGAGAAGGCTGGAAATTAATTTTAATTACAATTGATTTCTGCAAATAATGGATTTGCTCCTCCCGTGGCTGCATTTGGGCTGAGGATTGCTGTTGTGCTTGTTTCAAGGTAGGGTCTACAGGAGACCCAGTGTGCCTGCAACTCAGGAAGTGCTTGGCGCCTTACCCGGTGGAGATGCCACCTCCAGTGCAGTCTCCCTGCTTGTTTCCACCCGGTTCCCAGCTCTGCCATGCAGGTTCTGAGCAGGAAGTTTGAGTTCGATGATGGTGGCTCCATATGAATTTTCCTCTTCCTGTTGGTTTCATGTGGGTCTTGCCTTGTTTTCTAACTCTTTTTCTGACTGACTAATCCCTGTGTCAGAGCTCTCTCTTTATTCTTCAGAATCCTGGCAGGGATTTATTTATTCTACCCTATGCCTTCCTAAACATATTGTGTCCATCTGCTTCTCTCTTGCTCGTGCCCACCTGAATTTAATGCCAAAAGCTCGCTCTGCCAGGCCATTCTTACCTAACTATAAACTCTGGTTCCCTTCGTTCAAAGACGCTGTTGGAGTCACTCAATTAGCAGAGAGAAGCACACTGCTATAAAACAAAATGTTAGAAAAGTGAAGCCTTCAATGTGAGCAACCAAGATTGGCTCACTGGCTAGAAGAATCTGGGGTAGGTCCAAAGCTCCAGTCACTGATTAGTCACACCTCGTTGTTAGGAAATGGAGTAGGAGGGCATGGTAACCCACCTCAGAAGGGACCTCGTGTCCTCAGCACTACATCAGAGTCTCTGCTGTACTAGATCTACTAGATCTACCAACAGGACACTAGCAGCACCCCTTCTCTCCATGAGAGTGCTCCCTGCACCGCTGAGCAGTTCTGTCTCAGGACCGCCCATTATTAAAGCCCCTTTAGCTGGGTCTTGGGCTCTCTATGCCCTCCTTGCTCCCTCCACAGATCACCTCCTCCTGCCAATGGCTTCTACCACCACCCATATGACCCATGAAATGGGTCACTGATTTATAATCCAGCCCAGATCCCTCTCTTTCAGATTTCACAGCAGTCTACAGAACTGTCTGCTTGGCATCGCATTTGCATGTTTCAAAAGCATCTCAATATGTCCCCAAATCAAACTCATAAGCTGCTGTTGATCTCATGCCAACCTGAGCTCCTCTCCACAGCTGGTTCCCTTCCAGTATTATCCATCCTGGATAATACTGGAAGGGAATGGCCCATCCATCCTTCCATGTGTCTACCTGTTCAACTGCCCATCATCCATCTAACCATTCATCCTCCAGTAAGTCGGAAACGCAGGAGTCATCTCTGGCTCTTCTGTCTTCCTCACCCTGTCTCCCATCCATCTTTCGGTTGGGTCCATTACTTCTTCTGAATTCATCTACTTATTTTCTTTCTAGCCAACATCATCATCGTGTCACACTCGGGCTACTGGAAATTCCTCAACAGCTGTCCCTTTCGAACCTACTTTCTCTGCAGTCAGATCTAAATTTTCCAATGAAATTTTATTAACACCCCCCCAACCCCTTTAATGAAGTTTCCGTTATTCTTATAATAAAGACAAAAGTCCTCAACCTGCCCCAGAAGGCTCTGTAGGTCTGGCTTCCACCTCCCTCCTTCTCTTGCCCAACCCCTGTCCTTCCAGCTCCAGCCACCCAGCCTTCCTTTAGTTCTTCAGACCCAAGGGGCTCCCCGGCATGACAGGGTCTGTTCACATGAACCCCTCCCAATTCTGCAGCATCCTCCCTGCTCCGTCCCCTCTTGTTCAGTTGTTTTCCATGTCCCATCCTCAGGGAGGCCTTCCCATACCTCCTCACTCAGTCCCCACGTTGTGAGTTCTCATGGTACCATGTTAACTCCTTCTGTGCCCTTAACTTGAATTTTATTTTGTAATCATTTACATCACCCCCTTCTCCCCCACGAAATCTTCCAGGACCATCAGCTTCAGGAGGGCAGGTGCCCTGTCAGCTCTTGCTCCTGTGGTCACCCCAGAGTCCCTGCATCTCCCACCTCTGCCCCTACCCCACTCCCGCTGCTCCGGCAGCACAGCCTTCCCTGCTGTACCGGCCACCTGGGCGGCCACACTCCTCCGTCTTCTCACCTGTTTCAAGTCCTGGTTGGCATCTCATCCCCTCTGGGAGGCTTTTCTTGACCACAGTCTAAAAACATCACCCACCCTGACCAATCTCCATTCCCTGCTTCATTTTCCTTGCTGGGTGCTCACCTCCTAACATGGGTGTTGACACCCTGCACTCAGCAATTGCTCCTGTCTTCCCCACAAGAAGGTGCAGCACGACACCAGCATAGCATCCTGTCTGCTTTGTTCCCTGCTCTCTCGCTGACACCTAGAATAGTGCCTGGTGTATAACAGGCACTCAGCAAATATCTGTTGAAAGAATGACTGTGGTTTGGCACAGTGCCTGGCACATGGCAGATCAATATATACTTGTTGAATAAAGATCAGAAGAGAGGAGGAAGGGAGCCTGGGAAGCTTCTGCAGATTCTGGCTCATTATCTCCAATTGCCAGTCCCTAGAAAGAGGAGCCGGCTGCAAGGGGGCTGCCTCGTTAGCAGGGAGATTTGGTGTGTGCCTTAAGCTTAGAGTTAATTATAATTAGGAACTGTTGAGAGTATTAGGAGGGCTATGCTTGTGTGTGGAGGGGCGGTAATGGTGGGTAGGGTGTTGGTTTATATTTGGAAGGGGCTAGCTCAGCAAATTTATAGTGTAAATAAGGGAAAAGTTAACTTACTTAAGAGCAAAAGCCAATAAACAGTTTTAAGGACCATTAAAACTATTTTATATGCAAACACTGCTGCAAAAACAATGAATGTGATCATTACACCACTTCTGTGTTCTTTGAAAAGCACTAACAAGAATCTCTAAGATATGCTGACTGAATTCCCAATTCCTTATTCTAGTTAGTGGTGTTATCCCAAGTCCGAGGCTCTAGGAAGCAGACTTTACAGGCAGTGGAACTGACTTTTCTACAGTTACATAATTTTTAGGCAGGGGATGGTAATACTATTCACTATGCCCATAAAGAAACAGCCACTATGTACGTGTGAGTCATGATGTATGCGTGGGTCATTATGTGTGTGTGGGTACAGGAAGCAACAGCAAACTAGAGGAAGGGGTAACACGGATACCCAGGGAAGGGCTTCAGGACGCCATGGAAGGTGAGAGGAAGATTAGGAGGCTGGACAGAGAAGTCTCTTTTTGACACTGTCCCTAGAAAGATACAAAAATAACACAACCCAGTAAAGAAACACTAAAAGAGCACTGGAAGGGATGGGATGGAGGGCGGTGGGGGCTAGAAAACGTAGCCCCAGAGGTCATGGGTAAATGACAGCCCACCGCAATGCCCAGAAACAGAAGCCAGAGTCCCGCCTGGGCAGAAGTGGGCCACTGCACATAGACGTGCTCACTAGTAAGGAGCAGGATGGTCCCTGAATTACCTACCAGCTCATCACTTGGATCGGAGACTTCAACATGCTGATTTTTTTTTTTTTTTAATGAAGTAATGAATCTGCTAAACTCAAGATGAGTAACACAGAAGTAATGAAGAAGTGAGATTTTTTTTCAGGTAACAACGATCAATGTTCTTTTAATGTGGCATTTCTGTTCATTTCCACAACACGTGATCTTGTCAGGAAATTCTGACATTGAGAAGGCTCATGACTCACCCAAGGTCATTGAGCCAGTATGTGGTAGGACAAGGACTCCAAACTGTTCCTCCTATCTCCAAACCCTACGACCTTCTCTTTTGCCTGAGAGGTCTTTTCCTGATTAGTCTGCCACTCGTCCACTCACCCTTCTCCTGCAAGTCCCCAGTGGTGTCCTCACAACACATTCTCCATTTATTTATGGACCTGAGATCTATTATTTCATGCATGTCTTATCCTGATCTGGCCACAGACTGCAAATTCATGGTGGTAGGAGGTAGATTTAAACCCATCCCGCCTCTGACAACATTGTGCCAGACACACAAATCACATCTGATACCTCTGTTTGGGGTGCTGAAAAAATTGATCCCAAGTTCAGGGTCCTGAGAGTTGAAAACTATCCTGGTGGTAGAAATGTGCCCTGGGGGGTAAGAAAAAGTTCCCCTTGTGGAATCTGTTCTTCACTAAACCAGGAGTCAGAAAACTACTGTTTGTGGGCCAAAAGTAGCCCACTGTCTGGCTTTCAGAAAAAGTTTCCCTGGAACATAGTCAGACCCATCTGTTTCTGTACTGTCTGTGGCTGCTTTTGCATGAAAACAGCAGAGCCAAGAAGCTGAACTGAGACTGAGATTGGCCTTTAAAGGCTAACACATTTACTACTGGACCCTTTACAGAAAAAAGTTTGCCAACCCCCTGCACTAGACTGTAACTACTAGGAGGGCAGTATCTTGTGTTTTATTATCTTCCTTTTTTTTTGTTTTTTTGAGACCTCTGGAGTCTTGCTCTGTTGCCCAGGCTGGAGTGCAGTGGCATGATCGGCTCACTGCAACCTCCATCTCCCAGGTTCAAGCAATTCTCTTGCCTCAGCCTCCCGAGTAGCTGGGATTACAGGCACATGCCACCATGCCCAGCTAATTTTTGTCTTTTTAGTAGAGGCAGGGTTTCACCATGTTTGCCAGGTTGGTCTCAAGCTCCTGACCTCATGTAATCCACCCGCCTCAGCCTTCATTATCTTTTTATAGCAGTGCCTCCCACAGAGTCTGGCAAAAAGAAAGTGATGAATAAATATTTACTGAATGAAGAGATGGATTATTGGACCCTTTTAAGTACATACTCTCTGTCCAGCTGTGACGAGCAACGGGTACAGGAACAGAATTCAGTGTTCCTGTGACAAGCAGCTGTACACCAAATACCCACACGGGCCAAGTGGAGACAAATGGGCAGGATCTCTGGAGGTTTAAAGGAGAAAACCTGCTTGGAACGTGGTGGGGAGCCTGCAGACGTTTTATAGAAAGGAAACAATCAATACAGGGCCATCCTCATGTTTGCCTGCCTCCGCCTCCTGAGTAGCTGGGACTGCAGGCACGCACCATCACGCCCAACTAATTTTTAAAATTTTTTTGTAGAGACAGAGTCTTGCTTTGTTGCCAAGGCTGGTCTCCAACTCCTGGCCTCAAGCAATCCTCCCACCTCAGCCTCTCAAAGTGCTAAGATTACAAGTATGAGCCACCACACCTGGTGAAAACCAAGCCAGTGGGACCAGTCATCCCAGCACCCATCCAGCAGTGGTTATAAAAGCTGCTCCTGGGTTGGAATCCTGCCTCCATACCTTATTAACCGTGAAACTCTTTAACCCTCTTTATCCCTCAATTGCCTCACCTGTAAAATAGATACAAAAATACTACCTATTTCGTGGTGTTGTTAGTGAGCGGGTTTCGATGTGCAAAGTGCTTAGAGTAGTGTCTGGCATATGTAAGTGCTCAGCAAATGCTAGCTTTTTTCACTCATGATTCAAAAATATATCTCAGTGTCTCCATGAGGAGGTACTAAACTATACATTGGGAAGAAGCAGACTCAATGTTGTATTGGAGAAAGGCTAGCTGGATCTCTCAGCATACCCAAGGCTACACCCCTTGACATTCATTGCATTCTGTATGCTCAGCACGAGGCCACATCAGTGATGCCACAATGATGAGGTTATAGGCTCAGCAATGTCTCTTCCACTTGGTATGGAAGGGGATTCCCCACTTCACTTCCAAGACTCTCTGTGAGTTTGTTGCAGAGCTGAAGGGACTCCTGGAAAGGATGTCATAGCCATCAGGAGAAATCTGAATTCTTCTAACAGCGCAAAGCTTCAGTGGGCTCCCAGAGAAAATGAAGGAACTTGGAAGAGTCTAGATAGACCAAGAAACCATGTTTTCCTTCTCTGAGCCTCTAGAACACTGTGTACCAGGCTGCAACAAAACCCTGTGTCACGGCGCTAGACTACTGCCACAGCGATCTGACTGCCCGGTTGGGTTTGTCCTGGGGACAGGGGCACCATCTCATCTCCATGGCCTTTGCGTCCTCAGTGTCCAGTATCAAGAATGCATCCCACAAGTGTTGATGGGATCCACTGAGGAGTAATCAACCCTAGACCTCAGGACAGCATCTCCTACCTACAAAGGACTGTGACATGACCACTCCAATGCTACTAAATACAGCACGCTCTAAAACCAACCTACAAAACACATGAAGCTAGCATTTATACCTGGCAACACTGGCGATCTGGCTTTCTTGATGGCCGGAGGGAAAGCAGCATGTGCTCAGCTGGGACGTTTTGTGTCATATGTAAGCTCCACTCTACCCCCCAGTTTCTTTTTCTACAACACACTGAAATCTGTGCTGCCCTATGTAGTAGCCACTAGCCTCATGGGCTGTTTAAATTAAAAATAGTTAAAATTAAATACAATTTAAAATTCATGTTGTCAAACTCTTGAACAGCAAAAACAAGAAATAAAGTAAAATTCAGTTTCTCAGTCGTACGGCCATATTCCAAGTACACAGTGCAGCTACTCCTATGTGGCTCATGGCTACCGTCTGGGACAGCATAGACACGAAACATTTCTGCAGTCACAGGAAATTCTGTGGGCAGCACTGGTAGACAATCTGTACTGTCACACTAAGAAATGTGAACTCAGGCAAAGACAGTTTAACAGCACTTTCACAATCAATAAAGCTAATAGATTGCTCCTCTGGAATAACCAAACCTCCCAAGTTTGTTCTCTCGTAAGAAATGAGACACGAGGAGCGAGATGTTCTCTTGGCCTAATCTGCATTGTTGTGTTGCTTTTTAAAATTTATGTATCTTTATAAATAGTATTAATTATGTTAGGCGACTACAGCGGGCCTGTCAGTGCCTTGATGCAGTCATGGATGACGGAGAGCAGTTTAGTGTGGGGGATGGATAGTGCGGGCCCTGGGAGAAGGGGTTTCATCAATCTAGCGCGTGTCTCAGCATTGCTACGCAACATTAATGAGGCTGGGCTCGACTTAGAAACCATCCAAGGCATTACGGGTTGGTAACATTCAGTTTCACAGGCACTGGGAATGTCTAAGCTATAATCCTAGTTCTTTTGCTAATGAGTGTTGTGATATGGGGAGTATCATTTAACTTCTGAGTTTCAGTTTCCTGTCCTTAAAATGGGGCTATTACTGACCTACCTAACCCAGTGTCCACAGGATTAATGAGTTAATGTTTGCTGAGAACTCTGAGCTCTTTGCATTAAGGCAAGCTGTGCATCATTATTTCCATTCATTCTCACGTAGCAGCTGGGAACCATTAGGACTATAATGTTTACTCCATCCAAAATGCATTTTCCTTCTCAGCATCTTAACGTTACCTGTGTTACCCAAACCTTAAATCTAAAAGGAAAACAGGGCCCACGACAACAGTACAATGATGAAGTGGGGGTAGACAGTTATTCCTTTCTTTAGTACGAGCGTTAACACCAGCTGTTCTAGAAGGATGAAGGAGGTAATTGCACTGTAAATTTCCTCTGTATGAGCCTGGTGGTCAATCTTACTAGATGCAAAAAGGAAGTTCTACAACAGCACAATGACACTGTTGACACTTACATGCAATGATATTCCCGTATCTGTTCTTCATTCTGTTCTCATCTTTCTTAGCCGAGTCCCATGGTGCAGACTGCCCTTCAAAGAAGCTCTAGAAGGAAAGTGAGACTGAGAATTACAATTTGGCGCAGTAAACAGAGGGATCTTAACGATGGAGGATGTTCTTAAAAAACGTAGAACAAGGGTCAAGAAGGAAAGAATGCCGACAGAAATGAGACAAGGGATTATTACACTACATTTATATTTTAAATATTTCATTTAGCTTTTTCTAAACTTTGTTTTCCTTTAGTTAGTACCTTACAAACACAGGGATGGAAGCTGAAGAGTGAACCCACAATTTCTCTGTATAACCGAGTAAAAATGGTCACATGTTCATCCCCATCTCAGCTGAATATTTAATACAGAGAAATTAATGTTTCACTCAATTTCTTAATTATATTGTCATTTTTCAATATTCTTGTAAGAGATACAGTGATGTCTTTTTCTCCCTAATTGCTAATTGAAGAAAGGTTATCTTTGGTTAAAACATGAGAGTAGGTAAGCTGAGACTTTATGACTTCCAGGCTAAAATCCTGTAATAAACTCTGCCAAAGTTTTCTCTTCATTTTTAATGGAGTTTAGATGTCCATTTATTTAGGGATTTGGCACTATGATGCCTGGAGTCTTTAATCTTCAGGTTATTCAATTTTTTTTTGTTCAAGTTGTAATGAAAATGTCCCCTACTCTCAGTGGACAAGTAAAATAAAATGTGTGTCTTTATTTCCACTTTAGTTCACACTACATTTTACCTTTATGTGGTCAACTATGTGAGGAGGTTATGGGAAAAGGATGGAAGTGAACAGGATTCAGTAAAGCTATTTCTTGTTTTTGCCACGGTACTCACATACTTCCTGGCACCCACTGGGAAGGAAGAGAGAGGGAAAGAGGAAGAGATGAAGGGTGAGCAGATGAATGAGAGCACCATTTGGGAACGCTTTGGGGCCAGAGAACATGGCATTAGGGACTCGTGTCCTCAGATGTGCTCCAGGGTGGCTTTCAAGTTCTCTCAGTTCTCTCCCAAACAGAAGCTCTTCCTTCCTCCCCGGTCTCCATCTCACCTGTGGTGTTCAGCCGTCTTGGCCATTTCCACCATTTACAATATTTTCAGATTAGTCTGTCGCTAGGTAGAATGTATTTATTCCTTTTTGTGGGTCCAACTCTCCCCCATGAGGTAAACTGTTGCTTAGCACTGCTGCAGTAGGAGACACTGCTCGCAGACGCCACGAGATGTCTGTGCCCCACTCTGCCTGCCTGTGTGCTGCATAGTATTCTGACCACTAAGTGGACAGTGCCTGGCATCCTCTGTTGTTTCTGTGTCTGTCTCTGCCACCAGGCTGTGGACTCCCTGAGAGTGGGAGCTATGTGTTCATCATTTATGTTTGGAATCCAGTAATTAGTTACATAGTTTGTCAAGTCCATGTCTTTTCTGTGGCCTGGTGGATATGGACACTGCTGTTACCATACAACCGAGCTTGCATCAGAGACTGGCTGGAGAAGACCCTAGCCCCAGGTCTGTTCTGCCCTCAGGCTTCAGATCTTGTCCCCTGTACATCCACCCAATAAAACAGTTGAGCAACACCATTTTAAAACACAACACAGAAGACTGAAAAAAATAACACTACAAACCTAAGAGTTAAGAGGTTTAATCTGCTCATCTTAAGGTCCCTTAGTCGTGATCATAGGTAACACTTCATTATCATAATAGTTTTTACCTTATATTTATCATTTCAAAAACATGGTAGGATCAGATGTGCTATATATGAACAGCTGTATTAACAGACTCACACTATGCATCGCTAGTTGAAGAGTGATATGGTTTGGCTGTGTCCCCACCCAAATCTCATCTTCAATTGTAGTTCCCATAATCCCCATGTGTTGTGGGAGGGACCTGGTGGGAGGTAATTGAATCATGGGGGTGGTTACCTCCATGCCATTCTCCTGATAGTGAGTTCTCATGAGATTTGATCGTTTTATAAGCGGCTTTTCCCACCCTTCACTCGGCACTCTTCCTTGCTGTCACGAGGTGAAGAAGGACGTGTTTGCTTCCCCTTCTGCCATGACTGTTAGTTTCCTGAGGCTTCCCCAGCCCTGTGGAGCTGTGCATCAATTAAACCTCTTTCCTTTATAAACTACCTGGTTTTGGGTATTTCTTTTTTCTTTTTTAATTTGAGACAGAGTCTCACCCTGTGACCCAGGCTAGAGTGCAGTGGCACGATCTCAGCTCACTGCAACCTCTGCCTCCTGGGTTCAAATGATTCTTGTACCTCAGCCTCCCGAGTAGCTGGAATTACAGGCATGCACCACCACGCCCAGCTGACTTTTTGTATTTTTAGTACAGATGGGGTTTCACCCTGTTGGCCAGGCTGGTCTCGAACTCCTTACCTCAAGTGATTCACCTGCCTTGGGATTCACCTGCTGGGATTACAGGAGTGAGCCACTGTGCCTAGCCTTGGGTATTTCTTCACAGCAGCATGAGAATGGACTAATATAAAAAGTAAAACCCTGTATGATACAGGGCAAATACAAATAAAAACACTTTCAGGTTATTAATAAATTAACTCAATACAAATACTATCATTAAAAATCGCTAGTTGATTCCATCTAGAACAAGACCTTTATATAATCAGGGGATTTATTCAAACATGTAGCTTCTATTCTGCTACATAACATGCATTTAAAAATAGCTTCAGGGATTTTAAAGTCAGATACTCTTTTTCTGAATACTGTCTTTGTTACTCTATGAATGACAATAATTTTATAGTTGAGTAATAACTACTATTTGACTTCCAAAAATTTAATTCCACTTTGAGTTTGTCATGATTAATTACCAATTTCACTTCCCTCTGCCTTTTCCACCCATCTAAAAAGTTCTCAGATTTTGTTTTTTGTAGGAAGATGGAAGAAGAAAAGTGACTTTGAGACCTTGAAGTCTTCCAGTAAATCCACAGCCTCAACTCATACAGAAAATGCCCCTAGATTCCCTGAGCCTTCACGTGGGGACCCGAGCCACATGAGGGTCCCTGCCCTCTCTGGACACACAGAGGCTCCCTTGTGGGGAATGATGCTCACATCACAGCTGTGTTTCTTCAGCATTTGTGGTTATCACAGGACTGCCAATAGCCCTTGTATTTAAAAATAGTTATTTTAGTTGTATTATTTTCATTTAATTGGTGACCAAGAAACAGACACAAATCAACAAATGAAATAATAACCAATTGTACTGCATTTGAGCACTACAGTTCCCAGAATGTTTTCCTACAGATGGGGCCCAAGTTTTATCCATCTCTGAGCACTTATTATGAGAGCATCAAAAGTATGTGCAGATGAATGAGTCCATCCTCTCACCTGATCCTCACTGGAGGAGAGGACATGAGCTGTCCCTTACAGCTGAGGGACATGAGATGAAGACAGACACCTCAACATCTTCTAACACAACCTAGATCCGAAGTCAGTGTTTTCTGACTCTTTATCCACTGCTTTTTCTCTACCACTCTTACCCCAATGACCTTGAGAAGAAAACACTATTAAGTCAACTTAAATACACATGGCCAACAATTGTTTTCCATGCCAAGATTATCTCTGCTTGTCTCTGAAAGAATGTTTACAACAAAAGAATATTAAAAATGTCACCTAAATTTTAACTATTGATTACTTCTATAAAACAGGAATTTTTCTTCTCATACATGATATGTGTTCATTGCATGGGAGCCACTGCAGGAAAAGTTCAACTTCTTGCAATGAGCCTCCCAACTTCTTATCCAGGAATTACATGAATCACTATAAATGGCAAAATGTGTTTTTTAAAAAACAAAACAAAATTAGAAATGCTCTGAGGAAAAGGTCAGATAACTAGTGCCTCCATAGATAAATGTCACTGTCTCCTGACTCCATACAGATAGGGTGATGGTGTCTTGCATTTTCCGTAAGTGTTCCTTCAATTATATAGCCAATTTCCCCATGGATACATTTGGATTATTAAGACCACGAGTCTTTATCCCTGGCTTAGAAAATAAGTAATAAACCTATGGGAGCCCAGAGAGAAAAGGGAAAGGCTTTCTAGATTGGTTGCCTTGGCTTTTATTTCCTTTTGTTATGGAGATTAAAAATGTTTTTTTCCTAAGATGGATCCAGTTTTGAATGTTATGGCTTTTTTCTAGCATATACGTTCAAGATATCTGAGAAAATATTTACTTTAGACTCCCTCTTATGCCTAAAGTGAGACAAAAACCAATTGTTTAAATTTTTAGTTAGAAAATAAAACTTCATCTGTAGCTCTGGAGCCACTGAATATTCAGAGAAGCCATGATATGGTACGATCTCTCAGACTGTGTGCCCCTGGTTGCTTTCCTGGCTAACAATTCTCAGGGCAAGTACAGTAACTGGGATAGGAACACTGCCGTCAGTGCCTTAGAATACTGCTTCATGTCTAGTTTGCAGCCGGGACTGCCACAGATGTGCAGCTGCAGAGGTGGCAGATACACTTCCTTTATTCTTCCTTCCCTAGAGAGACTGAGGATTCTCTTAACGACCCTGTGAGTCCACCCTCCTTCCTTTTTTTTTTTTTTTGGAAGACCATGAGATGGGCATAATCACTAATAAACACAACAGTAAAATGTGCCTGGGGAAAATCAAATAACATTGGGTTATGTGTAACTTTACTATGCAATTATTCTATTATGTTCCTTTTCACATACTTTTTTACTTTTAAATATCTTTTAATAAATTAAGCAAAGTCAGTGCACATTTTGTAAGATGTTCACCCGTGCATTTTTCTTTGGGCAAGAATAAAAGGTTCTTTAGCTATCTTTTTTATCTTTAAGAGGTCAAAAGTTACACATGTTCTTTTAAAATTACAGAAACTGAATATTGAATGCTTTAAGAAGAATTCTACTCTGAACCAATATTCTTGGGAAGTAATCACCAAATAATTTATATTGTAGAAAAGAAGGGTTCCTCTCAAACTTGTTGAAAGTAAAGCTAATCAGGTTTTGAATCCTCCCAGTGCGACAGAAAAGAACTTTGTTCTTTGGAATAAGGATTTTCGAAGCATATGCCAACGACTGGCTTCTGGTCTCTGGGAGGAAATTTTGCTTATCTTCACCTTGCATCTTTCTATGCCTGAGACAAATCCTTACATTCAAGTTTAAGCACAACCTCCAACTCCTCCTCTAACTCTCACCTCAGAGTCTTCCCTTGTCAGAATTATGTTCAGGCTTGCTAAAATCAAATTCGACCAAAGCTCAGGCATAATTTTGAACAAGAGGCCCAATGAGAGAGAGCAGGAGGGATGGCTGAGGGAACCAAGGCTAAAAGCATCATTTAGCCCCTGAGGACATCCCATCTGCAGAGCAGCAACTTAAGGACAGGTGTGTGAGGCAGGCAATGATGGCCCCTGCTCCCAGCACAAGTTTTATAGGTGGGATTTTGAATATAATATGCACATTTAGGCAATATTTAGTGTTTAGGGCAGATTTTAAATATGCAGGTATAATTTAACACACCAACTATGAACTTCCTATTATGAAAAAAACACTAGATGTATTTTTGGGATTTAAGTTAATGGTCTCACTGCACCTTCTGTTAGAATTTTCATAAATATACTTATGCTTTTATTCTACTTAAAATGTAATTAAAGTGTTTCCTCTGACTACCTTAGCTCATATATACTGCGAAGAGGCAGCAGACCTGGGAACCACTCTGAAAGAGTAATAAGTCTCCAAAACAATAAAAATGAAACCAGGCAAGCTCCAGTGAATACCAATGACTTCCCCACTTGAAGATGCTGTACTCTCCATGGGCACAGAGCAGAAGGAAATTGAACATCCTGCATACTGTCATTTTTTTCTGAATAGGAAACATGTTTTTGTGATTTAATAACCTCCTTCCCCACCCCTCATACCGCCACCATTTTCCACAGGATATAATTATACATCTCAGTTGCCCACCTCAAGAGAACATTACTCCAAAACGATGCAGTCTGTTAAAAATGCCACAACTCCTAGATATTAAAAAAGGAGAAAAAAATCCTATTCAACAGAAAAGCTGCCAGAAAGAAAGGGATGCAGGTCAAGGCCGTACATAATGTGCAGTATGTTTTCAGGCAGTGCAGAGTCAAGTTTTTTAGATGCTTCTGAAATAAAATTTTTCCTCCCTTTCTCATATGAATAAAATTGTGCATGTAAAATGACTAAAATCATCACCCTGAAAGAAGGAAGATGAACTCACTGGGGCATGCAAAGTCTGTGAAATTTCTTTGTTTTCTGCTCAGACTTCTCTTCTGGTGCTTCGAAGCATCGCATTTTATTAGATCCCATATAAACTATTTATTGCTATAGCACTAAAGCAACTGAAGACACCTAACTTTGCCTGATGGGCCACAAGGCAGAGTGCCCCAGAAGTTCAGGCACAGTGATGGCAATGGTCACTGGTCACTGTCATTCTCCAGTGTCCTGAACAAAGGCAGGCAAAAGGAGCATGTGATGCTTCACGGCTAAGAGAGGTGAGGACTGGGTGAAAACAAGAATCTAGACACACGAACTAGGTTTCTAAACAAACCGAAATCTAAATGTGAACATTCACTGATCTTTTAAAGAAGCTGCTAATCTCTGGCCACTTTTTATTGCAACTTAATCCAACGTGAAATTGTGCAGAATTTTTCTGTTTTGCAGGATTCAGAGCAGCCATCATGATCTCGGCAATTGTTATCGTACAATTATCTTCCTTTACCTAATAGCTCTTTCTCTTTTGATAATGGGATTGAGGTTTGCCGCCTATATATATATGTGTGTATATATATATGTGTATATATATATGTGTGTATATATATATGTGTATATATATATGTATATATATATATGTGTATATATATGTATATATATATATGTGTATATATATGTATATATATACATACACACACATATATACATATATGTATATATATACATATGTGTGTATATATATGTATATACATATATACGTATATATACATATATATACGTATATATGTGTATATATATATATACACACACACAATGTTTTCATGCCTATAAACAGTCCCCATGATGTCTGACTGAGCTTTAGAATATGTTTCTTATTCTATTGAATATTACTCTGTATGAGGGATTTTACAAGTGCCTTTTCCACAGCAATGTCATATATTTCCTGTTGATCCATACATGCTTATGAGGTTTGTGAAGCTCTATTGGGGGGTGAGCATTTTAATCCTGTTGTATAGATAAGGAAATTTAGTATGAAAGACATTGAGTGGCTCCCCTGAAATCACACAGCTGGTAAACAGAAGAGCTGGGACCCAAGCCAAGGCCATTCCACTCTGAACTTAGTGCGCCTCCATTTGGCCTCAAAACTGGCTCAGAACCTGTGGCTTTGTGCCTGATGCATTGCACTGTGCATGTGGCACTCTGAAGTCACCCTGGCCATGGGTCTTAAGCCACCAAGGATTTCTGGTTACCACGTTTTATGGAATGAGCCAGTTCAGTGGCACAGTCCTATCACCACCTGCACAGCGATGCTTCCTGGTGATGTGAGTATGAACACCCTGGAGGGCCCCTCAATCAAGTTGCCTTTCTTTCTCTTCAAATTTGCTCCATTTCAAAAGTCCCCTTTCTTCCCACCTTCAGAAGCACTGTGGTAGTCAGCTCCCGCTAATGAAGTGACACAGCCCTCAAGAGCACTGGAGCAGAAATAAGTTGAGAACCATTGATCAAGTGGCAAGAGCAAAAAAACATATCCTTCAAGTGAGTGACAAGGGGAAATAGTCATGGAAACAGTAACTGCGGAGTGTTCACGGCTGCTGAACATTCCTTGGACAAGGCCACTGTTCTGTGGGATTATAGAGACTGACGCAGAATAAGGTGGCTCCAAAAAGGAGATGATTTTGATATAATTGGGGTGAGTGTCAGTAGGGCATTAATTGTAAGAAGCAGACGGTGGGTGTTAGGGGATATTCAACCCTTTCTTGGCCGGCACTACTCTTTTCTTTTGTTCCCTAAAAAACAGTTTAATAACAGAGACCTACATCCTCAGCCATGCCTGGGGCTCCCCCTTATCTGGAATGTCTTCTCGAGGCTGGGTGCCTCTGTCATGTTGCCAATGATGAAGCTCTCAGCTGCATTTCAGGGAGTCCTTGTTTCTTTGGCACCCCCCTTCAGGGGCTCTCAAGGGCTCATCACAAGAATATTTCATCAGTTTGGAAGTCAAAGCCTGCATTTCCAGATTACTTCTTCCTGCAAGACTCTCTGCTGCTTCTTATGGAATGAGGATGGTGTCCTGGAGAAGCTGGACCAAAGGGTTTCTATGTGTTTAGATTTATTACATAAAACTTGGTCAAAGCTGACTTTTTTGAGTTGCCTATCTCTTGATTCCCATGTATATCAATGAGATCAATCTTTGAAGATTCTGGAACTTGGATCTGCCCCTGTTCTCACTGCAGTGCCCTTGCAAACCCAAAGAGGCCATGGTAATTTAATGGGGTGTCAAAATAGTGATGTCAGTGAGCAATCTGTCACAGGTCCCCCAAAGAGGACTGCTCTGTTTTAGAGGCAGCTGAAAGTATCTGTGTTTCTATAAGTCATGCTAGGCTTAGGTCTTGTCTCTAGGATTGTCACCCCAAATTTCAGAGAGACAGTAATTTTCATTTTGCCTCTGATGCAGATATTGCCAGAGTTTGGGAGGTTCACACTACTCAAGAGCTGTAATTTCCTCCACCTCTGCACCTGACTTTGACAGTGAGCCTGTGCAAATGCGCCCAGATCCTTAGAGAGCAGTAAGAATACCTCCTTGGAAAAGGCATCTTGAAAACATCTAGAGAGCAGATGGATGTTTTTGTGGAAATTCAGCTGCTCCCTTCCTTTGGAGAGCAGCCTCCAACCCATCTCTTGCCTGCATTATTGCAGTAGCCTCCTGACTGGTCTCTTTGCCACCCTCCAGTTTATAAACTTGTCCCAGAGTAAGCTGTTATAAACATACCAGGGCAGCTGTCACTTTCCTATTTGAAAACTGAGCAAGTCTCCCTCCTGACACCATGGCCACATGAAGGGCGGTGAGACTCAACATGTGTGACACACCCAGCATGCAGCCAGTGCTCCATCAGGCCACCTGTTACTATTCTCATTCTAATATGAAAACCTGAGACCTTGATGACAGTACATCCTTACTGACTTGACTGCCAGTTTTTGCTGTTGTCTCCAAGAAAATTTTTTCCAATTTTTCCTCCCATGTCTGTATTTTTCCTTCACTGACTCTATATAGTATTTGGAAGTTGGGTGGGGGTTTTATTCTTGTCCCTCTTTTCTCTTTTTTTTTTAAAGCAAACATCCCTTCCTGGTATTTCTTGGAGAGCTGTGAAGTTTTAAATGTCCTCACCTCGGAAATCAGAGCACATAAACTCCATCAAATGTGACTGAAAATCTAAGGATACTTTTTTTTTTTTAAGAGATGACAGGCTTGGAAATGAATAAGTATAGCAGAAAAAGGAATTTTAATGTGATATTTGTGACTCTTTTTTTGACACCTATTAATTTATAAAACCCATCAGCACAATTCCCAGGCTCTTCCTGCAATACTTAAGTCATGGTAACTAAAGATCAAAATTTAGAACGTATAATTATTTTAGAAATTTAGAAAATAAGGTTAGAAATATCTTTTAAAACAGTTTAGCAAAAAATGATTACATCTCAATTTACTCTGCCAGAAAGTTCAATGCCTACTCTTAAAAGCAAACACTTGTATGGAACTTTATAACCCAAAGTTATCTGTAGAGTCATAGAGGCTCTCCTTTTATTTAAAGACTGACTTTTAGCCAAATGTCATATCTTACTGAAGAATGTGAATACTCTCACTTTAGATCACATGGATTACTTCTTGTAAGGGAAGCCTTGGCAGTCAGCCTTAGTCTACAAGAGTAAATATGAGATTCTAAATAAGTGAAAACAATGAGCCTGCACTGGTATGGAGCAGAAATCCCAGCATGGCGGAAGTTTCCACGTGGTGCTGATCACTCATCTGTAGAGTCAGAGGTGGTTCCAGCCACCCTTGGGAATCCTGGAAGAACCAATTCACCTCTCAAAACAGAGAGATCATCATCTTACAGTAGGTCTTGGGTGAATGTCGTAGTCATCTGAATGTACTCCCTTGAAACGTTACTCATTTCACTAATGTGATTTGAAATTGGGAAGTTGCAACTAGCAGATGGGAAGGAGCAAATGAGAATCCCTAGAGGCAAGTGACAAAGGCAGTCAGGAGGACTCAGCAGCAACTCACGAGGTCTTTCCAAATTTTAGTCACTCATGTACACCTTCAGCACTTCCCTCATCCCCTCACCACTTCCCTCTGTTATTGAATGATGTAAATTTAACTCGTGTATATGCAAATACATTTACAGTACTTGCAAATGAAATTTCGCATCATTTTTGAGACAAAGTCTCACTCTGTTGCCCAGGCTGGAGTGCAGTGGTGTGATCTCAGCTCACTGCAGCCCTTGACCCCGAGCTCAAGTGATCCTCCTGCCTCAGCCTCCTGAGTAGCTAGGACTACAGGTACACACAACCATGCCCAGCTAATTTTTGTATTTTTTATAGACACGGGTTTTCATCATGTTGCCCAGGCTGGTCTCGAACCCCTGGGCTCAAGGGAGCTGCCCACCTCAGCCTCTCAAAGTGTTGGGATTACAGTCGTGAGCCACCACGCCCAGCCAAGCCAAGAACTCTTTCCTCAGGTAAAGATAATAGAAAAAGTCGAGACAACAAAAATGAAGGAATAGCATCCAATCCAGCCAGGCAGTGCTGCTTGACTACTTCGGAGCCTGAGGCCAGGCCCTTCTTTGGCTGAGAGAGAACGCTTGCCTCAAACCAAGGTTCCCTGGCGAATCAAAAGTATTGAACGACAACTAACGGGAAAGCCAATCACTTTCTCACCTGCAATTCAGCACAGCTTATTCCCCATGAGTGGGCCTCCTAAAAATCACCTTGTACATCATCAGTTGTTTGCATCTCACACTTGGGGAAAACTGAATTCACTGTCTCACCTTGGCTTAAGTGGTGCTGAGGCAAAAGAATGAGATGTAGGACCAGAAGATTTGGGCTTAAATCCCAGCTCTGACTGATTCCTAACTGTGTGACCACAGGTAGGTTACTGAATTTGCTTTTTAATGTTTACAGTAGAATTTTTATAATTAAATTGTTTAACAGGATTGCTTTCTGTATTAAAACCTGTGAATGTCAGTGGAAAAAACCATGTTGGCTTGCATATATAAAGTGCCACTGAATTGGCATGTTATTAGTAGAATGTGTAGAACTTGTAGAATGTTGATGGAAATGCACATATCATTAGAGTCACAAACATCTCTGTCCTCCCCAGACTATAAACTCCACAAGGGAAGGGGCTGAGTCTTCCACATCCTCAGCACCCAGCATCTACCTGGAACATAGGAGGAGCTCTGTATGAGGAAAAATACATGATAATTATAAATCAGAAGATTCATGCATCCTGAGTGCATTCAAATTTAGTATTTTTGAGGCTTGGTTCTTGAATATGTTTTTTAAAAAGTATATACTTATATCTAGTTTTAAATAAATTACCATCATGTTTGGAACACAGAGAGCTGCCCTTGTTATCCTGTGTTATTGTTAGTATTATGTTATTTATTTATGTTTTTTGAGTCAGAGTCTTGCTCTGTTGCCCAGGCTGGAGGGCAGTGGTGCAATCGTAACTCACTGTAGCCTCAACCTGAAGAGATCCTCTTGCCTCAGCCTCCTGAGCCTGAGTAGCTGGGACTATGGGCATGTGCCACTATACCTAGCTAATTTTTTTTTTAATTTTTAGTAGAGGCAGGGAGAGGGTAATACTGAAAATAGACATTTTACATGGAGGGCATTATACCCCAAATGTTAAAAACTCCTCTAATGTTTCACAGTATAGTGTTTCTTCCCCCTTCAGAATCACAGTCTGCTGAAAGGATAACAATTAGTTTAAGTGAACCAAGGTCAGATGCTAAAAGGAGGTTGCCAGAAGTTGTATTTAGAATCTGTTGATGCTTTGAAAAATGAAGAGCTGGCCCCAGTTCAAGAAACCAGATATTAGATTAAAACCTTAGGGGCACGTGGTTCAATTTTTTTATTTAGAACTACAAGGTTTGGGATTAAACTAAAAGTAAGATGCTTCATGCTTATTAGATGTACTGCCTTAAAACATTTTCAAGAAGGCAACAGAGTTGAAAGTAAATGAAAGTAAACTTGAGGGTCAATTTTGAAATGCAAACAGCCGAGAGCTAATGCCCTTGGAGGACCCACATTACCAGAATGGACTTTCACACAATAGCTAGACTGTTGTTTCAGCAAAGAAAATTCCTGAAAGGGAATCTGAGTTTTTGCCAAGAAATGTCATAAGAAAAAAATGCAGGCTCAAACGATTTTGATGACAAAAAAATTCTTTTAGTAAAATCACAATAAATAACCAATTCAGTAGTATTAATAAGAACAATGGTGGCCAGGTGTGGTAGCTCACACCTGTAATCCCAGCACTTTGGGAAGACAAGGCAGAAGCCTTGCTTGAGGCCAGGAGAAAGAACAGCCTGGGCAACATAGCGAGACCCCACCTCGACTAAAAATAAAAAAAAAAATTAGCTAGGTATAGTGGCACATGCCCATAGTCCCAGCTACTCAGGCTCAGGAGGCTGAGGCAAGAGGATCTCTTCAGGTTGAGGCTACAGTGAGTTACGATTGCACCACTGCCCTCCAGCCTGGGCAACAGAGCAAGACTCTGTCTCAAAAAACATAAATAAATAACATAATACTAACAATAACACAAGATAACAAATGCAGCTCTCTGTGTTCCAAGTACCATGCTAAAATTTTTACCCAAAATGTCTCATAGATGTAAGCCTGTTAATTGACATAAATCCTTGCCTCATTTTGTCATTACAGTTGTAAATTATGCTCATGAAAAGAGACCCCAGCATCTTTCAAACTGAAGGTTAACCTTATTATCAGGATAATCACCAGTGAGTTAATTAAAGAATCATTATGTTGGTAACCAATAAATTTGACATAAATTTTAAATTATACTAATAAATAGATTTTAAAAAGCTTTTTATTTTGAAATAATTCTAGATTCACAGGAAGTTGCAAGGATGGTATGGAGAGCTTCCATTTATTCCTCGGTTTTCCCCAATGATTACACCTCACATAACTGTACCTCAGGAAACTGAAGCTGGTACAGTGTGTGTGTATAGTTCCATGCCATTTCGTCTTAAGTGTAGATCTCCAATCAAATAAAGAAATATCCTGTCACCACAAAAAAACTTCCTTGTGGAATCTCTGAATAGGCACTGAATATCCCCTAATTCCTGGAATCCACTAGTCTACTGTTCATCTCTCTAATTTCGGTAACATTTCAAGAAGATTCTACAAATGGAATCATCAAGTACTGGCTTCTTTTTCCTGAGCACAATGCCCTTGAGATCCATCCAAGTTGTTGTCTATATCATTAGTTCATTCCTTTTTGCAGCTCAGTAATATTCCATGGTATATGGATGTACTAGAGTTTGTCTAGTCATTCCCTTAGGGAAGAGCAATTTGACTGTTTCCAGTTTTTGGTGATCACAAATAAAGCTGTTATGGATATTTATTTACAGAGTTTTGTGGGGATATAAATTTTTGCTTCTCTGTGATAAATGCCCAGCAGTGCTATTGCTGGGTCATGTAGTAAATCTGTTGTTGTTGTTATTGTTGCTGTTGTTTTTTGCGACAGGGTTTAGCTCTTGTCGCCCAGGCTGGAGTGCAATGGTGCGATCTTGGCTCACTGCAACCTCCACCTCTAGGGTTCAAGCGTTTCTCCCGCCTCAGCCTCCCTAGTAACTGGGATTACAGGCGGCCACCACCACACCCAGCTAATTTTTGTATTTTAGTAGAGACAGGGTTTCACCATGTTGGCCAGGCTGGTCTCGAACTCCTGGCCTCAGGTGATCCACCCACCTCAGCCTTCCAAAGTGCTGGAATTACAGGTGTAAGCCACTACGCCTGGCATCTGTTTTAGTTTTTTAAGAACTGCTTAAAGATTTTCCAGAGTGGCTGTACCAGTTCACACTCCAGCAGCAGTTTACAAGAAATACAGTTTCTCTCCATTCTCACCAACATTTGGTATTGTCTCTGCTTTTTATTTTGGCTGCTCTAATATGATGTACCTCATCATGGTCATAATTTTCATGTTCCTATCATCTGGTCGTGTTGACTTCTTTTCATGTGTTTATTTGTCATCTGTACATTCTCTTTGGTGAAGTGTCTTTCATGTCTTTGCCCATTTTCTAATTGGATTTTTTAAACTAAATTTTTAGAATTCTTTATATTTTTTAGATATGAATCCTTTGATATGTAGTTTGTAAATATTTTCCCCCAGTCTTCAGCTTGTCTTTTCATCCTCTTACACAGCAAGAGTTTTAAATTTTAATGAAGTCTAATTTCTTGATTTTCTTCTTTAATGGAGAATGCTTTTGGTGTAATGGCTAAGAATTCTCCACCAAGCCTTGGGTCCTGAAAAAATAACTTAAACTTGATATGAAATATTGCAAATACCTGTAATGTCTGATAATTAAATTACTAAACTAAATAATAGCTAATATTGAATAATCAACATTGAATCTGTGATCTCAGAGTTGTTATCAATACTGGATATGTTAGGAGACGCCTTCTTCAAATGCGTCTGTGGACCTCAATCCACTTCTACCTCTAAATGAGTGAACAGGGAGGTGGCACTCATTTCTTAGGGTTATTGAAACTTTCCTGCATCCACTAGAGAAAGGTCAGGGTTGCGGAAAGAGTTGAGGCAAAAGAAGCTGTGGGTTCTTAGTTTATGGTGCAGTCAAGCACTCCTGCCCTATTCCTCCGTCATCACAGCCACTTAGAGAGAGCTCAGAACCACAAGCAGCAGTGGCCATCCTACTGCACGGCACAGATTTTTGTTGCTGTAGAAGGGCCATGCTTAAGTGATTTTGGAGTCCCTAAGATAATCCCCGCAACAAGCATCCTGCTGTAGGTGGAGGAGGAGAGACCAGGAACAAAACACTTCTAGAGGAAGAGAGTACAGTGAAGGAGATCCCAGTGGATCTGCCAGGATGTCCAAGAACCCAAGGATGTAGCGATAAATGCACAGGAAAGGCTGAGAAGGAGCAAGAGACACTAAAACATGAAAGGGAGAGAATGCAGCATGGTGTCATTGTGTGTCTCAGATAAAGAGCATGACGACATCTGGCTTCTACGCCCGCTGCGTTCCAGTTGCTGTGGGATATGATGTTCATTGAGCAGGGGGCCCTTCCTTCACTTCCTTTGCAAAGCTGGTGTAACCATTATAACTCAGCTCAAATCTATCTTTTCCATGTATTTTCTACTTTAGTTTTGATTGGTCTTTTATCCTTCAAAAGTCTATCATGGGTATTAATATGTGCCATTTAAGTTTTCTTCACATCTCTAATATGTGAGATTTAATGTTATTTTTACTGGCACAATTAGACCGTGTTGCCTGAAGAGGGGGCCTGCATCCCCATTTTTAACTTCCACAGGCACAGAGCTGGGCACAAAGCAGGCAGGTGCAGGGTGCTGGTTGCGGGATTCTTTTAATCACTGCACAGCCATTGTGCGTGGTCCCTCCAGAACAAGAACGTAAGGGCAGTTCTACGTTGGCAGAAACATTCTAGTCTGCACTGCCTGATATGATGGCTGTTAGGGCTACCTGTGGCTATTGAGCACTTGCAACGAGGCTGGGATGACCAAGGAACTGAATTTTAACATTTAATGTAAATTATTTACATTTAAATAGCCACATGTGCCTTGGAGCAACCATTTTGGGCAGCTCAGGTGGTGATTCACAGGGGACCCACCAATGAGGCTGATGCCTTGCCCAGCCCAACCTTGGTCGGGTCTCAAATTGCGAGACCTCTCAGCATTCCTGAACAAAGAATATGATTTCTCAGTGTCACAGGCTGAATTGTGACCCCCCCCCCACCCCCGACCACAAATTCATATCAATATGTTGAAGTCCTAAGCTCCCGTACCTCAGAATGTGACTGTATTTGGAGATGGGGCCTTCAAAGAAGTACTTAAGTTAAACTAAGGTCATATGGGTGGATCCTAATCCAATATGACTGGTGTCCTTTTTAGAAAAGGTGAGTAGGGCACACAGAGACCCTGGGGCATGCGTGCAGAACTGACCACCTGCAAGCCAACATGTGAGGAGAGGACGCCAACCATGCCGGCACCTTGATCTTGCATTTCCAGCCTCCAGACTGTGAGAAAGTAACCTTCTGTTGTGTGAGCCACCCAGTCTAGCAGCCCTAGCAGATGCGTACACTTCCCACTCTTAGAGATGCATCATTTCCAGTCACGGCTGCACACACATTAAATGGAAGCGATTCTGATGTGTAACCCTGAATGCCAACATATGAATTTAAAATGGGGAGATTTTCTTTCCAAGTGTCTGTTGTGCCTGCTGTGCCCTAGCCAGTGGCACTATCTAGAAAGCCAGACCCCTGAGCTGAGGCTGTGTGGTGAGCACTGGGTTGGAGTAAACGAAGCAGAAAGCTTTCTGGGGATGTCATCTTAGGGCCAGGAGACTGCAAACTCTGCAGGCATGGCTCTCCCTCGGCAGGCTGAGAGTCAGTGCTGGATACACACAGACAATCTCTGCTTCTCTGAGCATCCTCTCCATAGTGAACATTCAATGTTTTATTTCTTTTTAGAGGTGTTGTTATCACTGAGTTCTTAGTCAAGCCACGTTTCATGTGAGCAGGGAGACGTTCTGTCTCACGACTACGGACCTGTGATATGCTGATTAAAACAGGCCTGCTCCTAGAGGCAGCTCCACCCCACTGCTGGAGCCTTCAAGACACAGCGTCAAGTGAAAGAAAATGCAGTCCAGGGAGCTTACTCCGGCTGTTAACCCACTCTTCAGTAGGGCTTACTTTGTAATGACACAGGCGGAATTAATTAAGAACTATATGGGGCGCCAGCAGCAATCTGCAAAGAGCCAGCAAAAGTCCCTTTAATTAAGGGTCGGAAAAGGCCTTTCCTTCTTTCTCCAGCCCTGCTACATCAGGCTTGAGAGCTATGAAGTCTTGCACAGATGCCGTTTCATGCCTTTTCCATTTCACGTTCCTCACCATGGAAGATGACCTTGATAGAGGTCATTATTACATCATTATTCTTTCACAATGCTCATATTTAGACCATCCTTGATGGATGAGAACATTTTTGAGGATATATGATCTTCAAAAAAGGGGATCTCACAACCTTCCTAAAGAGTTTTTTTTTGTTTTGTTTATATATATATATATTTGTATTATACTTTAAGTTCTAGGGTACATGTGCGCAACGTGCAGCTTTGTTACATATGTATACATGTGCCATGTTGGTGTGCTGCACCCATTAACCCGTCATTTACATTAGGTATTTCTCCTAATGCTATCCCTCCCCCTCTTGAGACATGCTTTCAAAGAGGCAGTTACAAAACTCCTTTGGAAAAAGAAGTAAACAGTGTGTGTTATGTGCATAAATACATCTCTGGGTGGAAAAACAAGTCAAGACAACAAGTAAACATTTCAATGAACAGGAGAGTTTGGGGCTGATTGGGATACGCAGACTTGTAGCAGAGCATCCAAGGCGACCCTCCCTCTTGCCCTCTGTACCCCACACATGTGAGAGATAGATTCTGGGTTCACAAGGATGCTCTGTGCCATGACCCGTTTCTTATTTTCAGCAGCTACATGCAATTTTGCACATACCCAATAACTTCAAACGAACTTCTAAGCAATTACATTTCCACTGAAATGTATAATGTGATCAGGTCTTTCATTTATTTATTTTTTCATTTTGCCTCTGCTTTCACTGACGACTGCAGCAATCCCTCAATCAGAAGTGAAGGGTGAGGTTTAATGACTTCATGTATAATTTAGTTTTCTGCAAAATGCCTCTTCACTTTCTGTTTTGCATAAGCTTAGGAAAGTACGGCAGTGTATCAGATCTACAAGGACACTAAAGATTTATGTACATTTCAGCTCTACCTTTTTATCCTACAACTTCCTTCTTTGGAATTGTGCACTCAGGTTAAATTAGCTGTTGTAAAAATATTAGAAAAGTTCAGCTGCAGAGACAACAGATGCTTTAATACTTTGCATTGCTCCCCAAATAAACACTTTAAAGCAACTTTGCCTGCTGTATAGATATTATTTTTACAAAGATGCCAGGCATGTCTTTCTCATTAGATCCATTTGAGATCAATTTAGGTAGTTTCTTAGGTGACATATGAGTAGGTATGGAGAAATAGCTATGTGTGGTTGGCCACAAAAGAGCTAAAGAAACAGTGTGTGCCACCTGTTCACAATCTGGAAATGAAATAATATTATAGATTGAGAAACCAAAATCCTACTTTGTGGATATGCTTATGTTTTTCCATAGTTAATTTTTTTCTTCTAGCCCACTTCTCTCCCTACTCATGTGTACTTACAGATACGCACAACATATTGGCTTTTCCATTTAAATCATGGCTATCTCAAGTCTTCAAAGGCACCTCACTGCGTTAGTTAACAGAAAATATTTTTAAAGTATAGCTCTCCTAGTAGCATAGCTATGATAACCAATGGAATACCTTCCAGTTGACCATGCCATGAGAATGTGAAACACACGGAAACACACAGGCACAGAAAACAAACTTTAGAAAAATCTTGCTCATTTTCAAGCTTCATTTCTACTCTGTAAGATTTCTAATCAGTTAGATTATAGAAGTTTATATAACTGTAATATTAACTTTTGGAAGTATGTCTATTTCTATATATCAACCATTGACAAAGAATTTCAGTATCTCTTCTCCACTGCTCCTTTATGTGATCACACATATTTCACTTATTGCAAAACAGTATTACAACATTTACACGCAAAAGAAAAATACACTTTGCTGTCCTTTGGCTGCCTCCTGCAGTGCCTCTCCAGTGCTAACTCAAGCAAATTTGTGCTCAAGTCTCACTTTCAACACTAGGTAAGTCTGACTTCAACTAGTCAAAGTTATACAAACAACACAAATAAAACTAAGCCACTTTACATGATGAAAATCCTAACATCAACATCATATAGTTGCACCATCAATAACCTCAATTTCCAACATTTCTACTGTTTCTATATTGGGAAAAAATAAAAATAAAAAAGATTACAGTTTAGGAGCACTTTGGGAGGCCAAGATGGGTGGCTCACTTGAGGCCAGGAGTTCGAGACCAGCCTTGCCAACATGGTAAAACCCCATCTCTACTAAAAATAGAAAAATTAGCCAGGCATGGTGGTAGGTGCCCGTAGTCCCAGCTACTCAGGGGGCTGAGGCAGGAGAATCAATTGAACCCAGGCAGGGGAGGTTGCAGTGAAACTCTGCGTCACTGAACTCCAGCCTGGGCAACAGAGTGAGACTGTCTCAAAAAAAAAAAAAATTACAGTTTTGGCAAATCTCTACAAATCATCCTTTTTTTCTGTCATTCACAATTAGGAGAAAGTTGTCAGGTTGCATTCTGGTATCTGATGTACATAGAAGACCTGCTCCAACCTGTCCTCCAACACTTCAGGTCTCACAGACCCAAAGTCTCACAGGTCTCACAGACCCAAAGCATAGGGAAGATGAGGATGGAGATTGTATTTTTTTGTTGTAGAACGGCATGAGCCCCAGAGTCAGCTGTCCTGTGGTTCAGATTGCAGTACCTCTCATGAGCGTGGTGACACAGATATGAGATGGAGCTCTCTAAGAATTAGTTTCCTCATGTCTGCTGGGAGGAGGGCTGTGCTGATGCTTAAATGAGATCACACATGGAAATGGTTAGCTCAGTGCCCAGCCCACAGTTGATGGTCAATAACATCAACTGCTGTTAGGATAAAAATATTGATTTCTCTTCCCACCACCACGAGGAAGTCCACTACCTGGTACTAAACATTTTCAAAACCAAGAAATTATGATCAGTTGTTAAACTTAAGCATTACTGGTCTGCGTTGACCTATCATATGACAATCCTGTAAAGAGCAGCTTGTCCAAAATGGGCAGTGTGGAGACCACATCAAAGAACTGAAGGCCTCCTACTTAGAGAAGATGCAGTCCAGTTGTAACACTCATGAAATAGGCAGTAAACAGGATAGAGAGGTAGTAAATAGAGTCTAAATTAAACTGCAGGGACTCCAACATGCTGTGAAAGTTTAGAGAAAGGAGAAAACAGTGAGGGATGGATGGGTTGGGTGGGAAGACTTCAAGGAGGAGGCAGGAGTTGAGCTGGTCCTAGTGGAACCAACCTAAAGGACTTGGAAAGGTAGAGAACAGAAATGGGCTCCAAGCAGAGGCAAGTGATGCCCGCAACAAAGACAGTGGCGTGGAATTGAGGGAAAATGTGGACATGACCCAAGCGAGAGGTCTTTACCACAGAACAAGGAGATACAAGAGAGGTAGGATGGAGCTCACTAATGAGGGGTCATAAACACTCAGGGCTTTAAGTACTGTGAGTTTCTAAGCACAGGGAAGTGAATAATGTTTCAACATGACTCAGGAAAGCAAAGTCTGGTGGTATAATGACTGAATCGATCAGAGACACTGGCAGTGATCCAAGAATGAAGGGACCCAGTTCTAGAACACAGTGAAAATATCTATTGATATCTTGACGCATACACAAAATGTCATTCTCACAACAGTCCTATGAAATAGACACGAATCCCTTTTCTCGAGGAGTTAGAGGTTTTGAGAGGTTCAGCAGAAGGGAAAAGCAAACCGCAGTTTCCTATAGCAGCGTGTGCCCTATGTCAGGCAGCACAAGAAAATTGCCAGGAAAAGGCTTGAGATTTTAAGACTTTCTGACCGCATTCATGCCTCAAACAGCAGAAAAATCTCTTTACCTACCTATAAAGCTCTAAACGCAACAGAGTTTCCTGGAACCATTGAAGTCTTTTCTTTTCTTTTTTTACAGAATCTTACTCTATTGCCCAGGCTGGAGGGTAGTGGTGCAATCATAGCTTACTGAAGCCTCAACCTACTGGGCTCCAGTGATCCTCCCACCTCAGCCTCCGAGTAGCTGGAACCACAGGTGCACACTACCATGGCCAGCTAATTTTTTAATTTTTCTTTTTTTTGGAGACGGGGTCTCACTATGTTGCCCAGGTTAGCCTCAAACTCTTGGGCCCAAGTGATTCCCCGGCCTTGGCCTCCCAAAGTGCTAAGATTACAGGTATGAGCTACCACACCTGGTCCCGTTGAAACCTACATTTCCATTTTTAGCCTCCTTATAAATCAAATGGACAGAACTGAGACAGGGATGCTTTGATTTTTATGATCCTTTTAATAACGATTTCAAAATCTAGCACTAATTTTTTATGCATTTTCTTACGGCATCTACCAGTTGCAGGTTGCAGAAGAAACATGTTTCCTACAGTGACTGCAGGCTGAAGGATAATCATATATGTCTCGTAAATTAAGGGGAAACCCTGCTAGTAATCCTTCAACATGCAATGCTGGAATGGTGTCTGATGTCACTCAAAATCCCAGTGAGTTCTTCCTTGATTAACTATGCATGCAAGCTCTTGACAAGGACATTGGAGGGATGTTTCCTGAGGACAGAGAGCTGTGACTCTTATCCACTCTGGCTCAAAGTTTTGAACTTTGCTTAACAGAGTTCTGGTACTTACGGTGGTGCAAAGGGCTGTGTCCCTAAGGCTCTGCATATCTAACAGTATTTCTGAGAGTTCTCATGGGAAGGGTTTATAGGTCTAATAATTTAACAAATGCTTAGGTGGATGTCATTCTGAAAAATGGCCTTCCAAGAGCAATGCCAGCACAGCTCAGGCACTGATTAAATGGTTCTGACATAATTGCCAGTTCAGAAGAATCATGACAGCCACTACTCACACAATTTTGGAGTGAAAACTATTGAAAAGAGTCACATGGGAAAAGCATTGGAAAAGCAATTATGAAGAATCATTTATTTATTTTATGGGAACACTGATGTCAAATATTGGCAGATTTTTAAAAAAGCATTAAAATTATCTGACCAATGCAGTAGTCATAGCTAGTACTCAAACACATAAATTTAAAAATTTTATTTAGTGAAAAATAGATCAAATTCCACGTTCTGCAGCGTATCTGAGGTTCTTTAAAATGGCTAAGGGGTCAACATTAATGAGCTCTGTGCCAAACTATAAACAAGAAGTCCAACATGGAAATTGGATATCAAGACCCTAAACAAAGCATAAACCGCTGAAAACTCTATACAAGATTTAGTCCCCACCAACAAAGCACGAAACAGCATGACAGTGAGCAACACTGGTGAGCTTAATGCTCCATCTATTGGGAGAAGTACTAGTGCTACCTGGTGCTCTTGAGTACAGTGACAATGGTTTCAAGCACACTGGAGTAGGTCAGTTGCCTCCCCATTGCAGAGGAGCTGGGGGATTGAAAAAAAAATGTTACTGGACTGCATGCTGACAGTCAGAACTAATGTTTAGAGGAATTTCCAAAGGGCAGAGGAAAATGGGCAAACCATATGGGGCTTTTGAGCAAACTGCTTTTCCATCAGTTCTGAATTGTTTGGCGAGCTCCATTTTCTCCTCCTTTCTGCTCATCAGACTTACAGGACAAGTCGTATTGTTTCTAAATACTGTCAGTCTTGAATTGCAAATGTAACTTATAAAAGACCCATATATACCAATGATTCCTACCATACTGCTGAATCCCCACAACCTCTGATGCCTGAGAATATGTTTTTACTGGGAGGATCTTGTTTAAAAATTAGAGCTTTTAGACAAAGCTCTGAAGGTTCAGCAATGCAATGAAAACAAGAAGGAACAGGAGCTGTGGAGGAAGATGCATGGACCTGGCTGAAGTCTAGGCTTTGGGTCAGTGACAAAAGAGAAGATGAATGATGAGCCCAGGGCAGTAGCAAAGGAGAGGTAACTGAGCAGAGGGTATGGAACATATAATCCCATCTTTCAGAACCACTGCAATTCATAGAGGGAAAATGAGCCAGCAGTCAGGGGCTCACATAAAGATCAAGACTAGAGAGATCTATAGAATCAAAGTAAATTACAGATATTCACTCCATTTTACATGAACTTCCTATATAGGGAAGAAAAGGTAGGGTGGGGGAGAAGCCTAAGAACAAATGGAAGAAACATCTCTTACAAAATAAGGTGATAGAAATGCATTCAAATCTATCATGAACCACAATAAACTAAAAATGTACTAAGTGGTAACATGGTAGAATTTAAAGGTAAAAGCTGTGAGACTTGATTGAAATACTAAAATCTAGCTATATGTTATTTATGAGACACCACTAAAATAGAGGGGTTGAAAATATATTCTAGAAAAAATACTAATTAGAAGGAAACTGGCAAAGTTATATTGAAATTAGACAAAATAAACTGTAAAGAAAAACATTACTAAAGATAATTCTATCAGTGCTTAATGATAAAATGTTAAATTCACTTTAAAAGATAGCAATTCTAAACTTGTATTTTCCTTATAACTTAGCTCCAAAATATATTACCTCTTTCAACACACTTCTTTCAGTAACTGATAGATTAAATAGACAAAAATTAAGTATACAGAAAATGTGAACAAAAGCTTGATCTAAAAAATATATAAAACACTGTGCTCAACATTGTTTTTAAGAATACATAAAATATTTAAGAAAACATTATGTATAAGGCTCTAACTAATGTTCACAAATTGCAATGAATGTTCTGATTGTATATAATGCAATCAACTTGGAAATCATTAATAAAAAGATAAAAATCTTCCATGCACTGAGAACTAAAATATACACTCATAAACTCACATGCTTCTAAATAATTCATGGGTCAAATAATTCATATTAAAAACTAAAAATATTTAATAGTCAATGATAATAGAAATACTGTCAAACTTACTGGATGCAGGGCAAGTGTTACTTAGAGGAAAATCAATACTTAGAGGAAAAATCAATACTCTCAAATCAATGTTTATATTTGAAAAAAAGAGGGCAAGTTAATGTGTTTAGCACCTCATTTAAAAATAAGAAAAGAATAAACTCAAAGAAAGTAGAAGGAAATTAATAAAGAACAGTATTAAAAGAAATTTTTAAAAAATGTAATATTAAAGATCAACAAACACAAAAGCTATTTCTTTTTCTTTTTTCTTTCTTTCTTTCTTTTTTTTTTTTTTTATTGAGGCAGAGTCTTGCTCTGTCACCCAGGCTTGGAGTGCAGTGGCACAATCTTGGCTCACTGCAACCTCCACCTCCCAGGTTCAAGCGATTCTCCTCTCCCGAGTAGCTGGGATTACAGGCGCCCACCACCACGCCCAGCTAATTTTTTGTATTTTTAGTAGAGATGGGGTTTCACCATGTTAACCAGGATGGTCTCAATCTCCTGACCTCAGGTGATCCGCCTGCCTCGGCCTCCCAGAGTGCTGGGATTACAGGCGTGAGCCACTGCGCTCAGCCAACAAAAGTTATTTCTTTGAAAAGATTAATAAAACTGACAAACGTCTGGCAGGAATGCTAAAGGAAAAAAGAAGGCATAAATAAACTATATAATTATGAAAAAGGGATAAAGAAACATGAGTAGAAACAAATTAAAAAGATAAGAATATATTAAGAAATGTATGCCTCTAAATAAAAAAGATAAAATGTAGAAATTCATATGAAAATATTAACTATCAAAATTAACTCAAGAAAAATGAGAAATCTGTAACAGACCTATTAACTACTGAAAAAAATTAGTAATCTAAAATTTTAGCATGGGGAAATTGCCAGATCTAGCCAGTTTTACAGGTGACTTTTAAACACTTAAGGGAAAAATAATTTTAAGAGAATAAAAAAATACAGAATGTGATTCCACTCATTTTAAAAAGCAGATATTATTTTAATTCTAAAATCACAATATGAAAATATAATAAGGATAACTAACAGATTAGACTCGCCTATGAACATGAATGAAAAATGATCAGTTAACAGCACTCAGCAATGTTTAATATATATCATGACCAAGTTAGGTTTATCCCAAGGATGAAGGGTTGGCTTTTTGGTATATAATAATAATATTAATTATATAAATCACATATATGTTATATTAACTTTCTATGTTAACATACCAAAGAAGAGAAATCAAATAATTATTTTGTATCTCAAAAAATGCTAAAAAGGATCCTATCAAATCCAGTATCTATCCATGGTAAATAATATAAATAAACCAGGGATTAAAGGGAATTTCCTTAACCTAATCATAACTGACAAGCTATTAAGGGTACTTGTCAACCTATGTTTTTAAAATATTTCATGTAACATATATATTGTGAAATGATTACCACAGTCAAGTTAGTTAACACATCTTATAACCTAATTTAGTTACTTTTGTGTGTGTGGTGAGAACATTTAAGATCTACTTAAGTCTCAGCAAATTTCAAGTATGTAATAAGTATAATTAACTACAGTCACCATGCTGTACCATGCTGTACATTAGTTTCCCGGAACTTCTTCATCTAATAACTAAAGTTTGTACCTTTTGACCAACATCTCCATTTCCTCTAACCCCCATCCCCTGGCAATCATCGTTCTACTCTGTTTCTATGACTTTTTTAGATTCCACATGTAAGTAAAACCATACAGTGTTTATCTTTCTCTGACGTATTTCATTTTGCATAACGTCCTCAAGGTTCATTCATGTTGCTGCAAATGGCAGGGTAGACTTCTTTTTTTGTGGCTGAATAATATTCCATTGCATATATGCACCATAATTTCTTCATCCATTCATCTATTGATAAACATTTAGGTTGTTTCCATGTCTTGGTTATTGTGAATAATGCTGTAATGAGCATTGGAGTCCAGATGTCTCTTTAAGATGCTTCTATTTTTAACCTTTTGTGGAATCTCCACACTGTTTTCCATAATGGTGGTAAAAAATTACATTCTCACCAACAATGCAGAAGAGTTCCTTTTCCTCCACATCCTTGCCAACACTTAGGTTGATTTGTCATTCTGAAAGGTGTGAGGTGATATCTCATTGTGGTTTTGATTTGCATTTCCTTGATGATTAGTGATGTTAATCACCTTTTATTATACCTATTGACCATTTGTATATCTTCCTTGGAAAAATGTATCAGGTTATTTGCTCATTCTTAAGGATTTTTTTTTTTTTGCTATTGAGTTGTATGAATTTCTTATATATCTTGAATATTAACCCTCTTATCAGATATACGGTCTTCAAATATATGCTCTCATTCTGTAGGTTGCTTTTTCTCTTTGTTGATTGTTTCCTTTGCTGTACAGAAGTTTTGTACTTTGATATAAACCTACTTGCTACTTTTGGTTTTGTTGCTTATGTCTTTGTTTCATATCGAAAATGTCATTGACTGCTTTGTAGTGGGTCCTAAGAAAACAAACAAACAAAGAAAAAAACATTGCCAAGACCAATGTCAGGGGGTATTTCCCTAGGTTTTCTTCTAAGAGTTTTACTGTCTCGGGTCTCATGTTTAAGTCTTTGAAGAATTTCAAGTTAAGTTTTGTGAGTATAAGAGAGCAACCCAATTTCATTCTTTTGCATGTGCATATCTAGTTTCCCCAACACCATTTATTGAAGAGATTATCCTTTCCCCATCGTGTATTCTTGGCACTCTTGTAAAATATTAGTTGATCATATATGCATGAGTTTATTTCTGGGCTCCTAATTCTGTTCCATTGGTCTCTGTGTCTGTTTTTATGCTAGGATCATACTAATTTGATTACTGTAGCTTGCAATAAAGTTTGAAATCAGGGAGTCTAATGCCTATAGTTTTATTCTTTCTTAAGATTGCTTTGGCTATTTGGGGTCCTTTGTAGTTCCATACAAATTTTAGAATTTTTTTTCCTATTTGTTAAAAAATGCCATTGGAATTTCAATGGAGATTGCACTGAATTTATTGGTCAGTTTGGGTAATATGGGCATTTTAACAATATTAAGCCTTCCAATCCATGAACATGGGTATTTCTTTCCACTTATTTGTATCTTCAATTTCTTTTATAAATGTTTTCTAGTTTCCAGTGTATAGATCTTTCACATCCATGGTTAAATTTATTCTAAGTATTTTTATTCTTTTTGATGCTATTATAAATATGATTTTTCCTCTTCATTTTCAAATAGTTTGTGTATAGAAGTAAAACTGATTTTTGTATGTTTATTTTGTTTTACTGATTAATTTATTAGTTATAACAGTTTCTGGTGGAGTCTCTGAGGTATTTCTATATATAAGATCATGTTACATATAAACAGAGACAATTTTGCTTCTTCCTTTCCAATTTGGATGCCTTTAATGTCTTGTTCTTGCCTAATTGCTCTGGCTTGGATTTCTAGTACTATGTTGAACAGAACTGGTGAGAGTGGGCACCTTTGTCTTGTTAGAAGAAAAGCTTTCAGCTTTTCTTTGTTGAGTATGTTAGCTGGAAACTTTATATACGGCCTTTCATATATGCTGAGGTATATTCCTTCTATACACAATTTGTTGAGAGTTTTTATCATGAAAGGACTTTGAATTTTGAGAAATGCCTTTTCTACATATATTGAGGTGATCATATAATTTATATGCTTCATTCTCTTAATGTGGGGTATCATATTTATTGATTTGCATATGTTGAACCATCCTTGCACCCCAGGGATAAATCCCATTTGATTATGGTGTATGATCCTTTTAATGTGCTGTTGAATTTGGCTTGCTAGTGTTTTGTGGGTAATTTTTGGATCTACATTCACTGGGGATATTGGTTAATCCTTTTTCTCATAGGGTCCTTATCTGGCTTTGGATCAGGGTAATATCGGCCTTGTAAAATGAGTTTGGAACTGTTTTCTCATCTTCAACTTTTTTGGAAGCATCTGAGAAATACTAGCCTTAATTCTTCTTTAAATGTTTGGTAGAATTCACCAGTAAAGCCATCTGGACATGAACTTTTCTTTGTGGGAGATTTTTGATTAGTGATTGAATCTCCTTGCTATTGCTATATTTGAATTTTCTATTTCTTCATGAATAAGTTGTACGTTTCTAGGAATTTACCCAGTTCTTCTAGGTTATCCAATTAGTTGGCATACTTTAATCTTATCAAACCAAAAGATGTATAGGATTTATAAAGAAGATTTTGAAGCTTTATTGAAAAACATTAAAGAAGATCCAAACAAATGGAGGCATAAACCATATTAATGGATAGGAACAGCCAATACTGCCAAGAAGACAATTCTCCCAAGATTTATAAATGCATCCCATGCAATTTCAAACAAAACTATACAGAGTTTTTCCTAACGCTGACTGAATTGTCCATGTTTCCCATGGCCTTGGTGATTCTAAAATTATGGAAACACAAATACTGAGAATTAACAACATGTTTCTACAGAAGAAAGGAAAGGTAGGCAATAAAAGAGCTTAGACACATTAGTAGGAGACAAATAATAATACTCTAGTGGGTAAAGATGCAAAGGATACGAACAATTCACAAAAGAAAATTTTCACCTGGTCAGTAAACATATGAAGACATGTATAGCTTCAAATGGAACAATAAGGAAATAATCTTTTTTCACTCATCAAATTGGCAAAGATCTTTTAAAAGTTTAATAGCCATTTTAGTGAGGAACTGAAGTAACCATTCTTACAGAGTGCTGATGCGAATGTGAGCTTATGCAACCTTCATGAAAACAGGTTGTCAAAACAGGAGTATGTAATGAATCTTAAGCATTTTATATACTTCGAACTAGTAATTTCATCTCTTGAAATACATCTTTAGAAAGGAATGGAGGTAAATCTTAAGAGTTATTTATAGCAGTGTTCATAGAAAAGATAAAGGAAACATTTGGGATATAATATTAAGTGTAAAAATAAGATATGAAACTCTTTGTGTTAAGATTGTAATGCCTTAAAATATTAGGCAGAAAATTATTGAAAATTGATAGTGAGTTATAGGTGATTTTTTTAATGCTTTCTTTAAAATTTCCAAATTTCTTTTTAAAATTATATTTTTCTCTTAAAAGAAAACAACAAAATTGGGCCTGGAAAGCTTTAAAAACAAATTAAATACTCCATACTCTTACAACTATTTTTCATCATTAAAATGGAGAAAAAAAATAAAAGCAACCATTCTCTTTAGGCAGATAAATTATGTTAATTGGATTTATAGTATATTCTCTTCATGTTTCAAGAAGTAAGCTTAAAATATACTTAGTAATCAGCCAAGTAAAATATTTTGGCCATAAAATTGGCAAGGAACTCACATGCATAATTACCTAAAGCACATAAATACAATACATATAAAAACATACGCTGCGTATTTATAATTAACACTGAATACATTACAATTATTCAGTATCTCATATAGTTTCCCTGAAGTAAACAGATAAAAGGTTTTCCATGTCTCCCTAAAGGGCGATAATAGAAGATAAAGGGAGTGAAGAAGTTTTTAAAATCTATAGCATAATGAATAATATGGGTGAATTCTTTTTTTTTTGTTTTTGAGACAGAGTTTCACTCTGTTGCCCAGGCTGGAGTGCAGTGGTATGATCTCGGCTCACTGCAACCTCCGCCTCCTGGGTTCAAGCAATTCTCCTGCCTCAGCCTCCCAAGTAGCTGGGACTACAGGTACCTGCCACCACACCTGGCTTATTTTGCTATTTTTAGTAGAGGTGGGGTTTCACCATATTGGCCAGGCTGGTCTCAAACTCCTCACCTTGTGATCTGCCCACCTCAGCCTCCCAAAGTGCTGAGATTATAGGCATGAGCCGTGGCATCCAGCCAATTTGATTATATTTCAATCATGGACATAAAAGTACTTTATTTCAGAAGAGACAATAGAAATTGGAAAAGTCAGCATATTCCCTTTCTTTTCCGTGACATGACTGGTCAAAAACATGGGCTCTAATTCAATATTACTGTGTTCTGAATGATACATGTGACAATAATACGAATTTATACACTGTAAAATGTCAAACATTAAGTAATTCAAAACATTTAGTCCACATTATTTCCTTATCATTCACGATTCTTTTTTTTTTTTTTTTGAGTGGTAGCAAGGTTTACAGTGAAGAGCGAAAGAACAAAGCTTCCACAGCGTGGAAGGGGACCCAAGCGGGGTTGCCCATGATTCTTAAGAACTGGGTGAGTAGGGATTAGAGACATCATGGAATCATAACCACATTTCAGACACTGTGAGAACTTGATACAAAAGTGTGCTAATACTATAACCTTATCATCTCAATGCAGACTTCCCAGTGTTTTGGAGATGGGGTGTGGGTTAGAAGTGAGATTCGGAAGAGGCTGAAATGAGGGGAGACAAGAGGAAGAAAAGATAGGAAGGGCACATCGGGATAGAAACCACCTCATTCAGAAACTTGGAATAAAATCAGAACCAGCCACAGAGAACCAGAGAAGTGCCTGTGGATCATACGTGATGGCCATGTCCCCACACAGATCTCCAACAGCCAGTTAGTGTCGCCCACTGAAAAACATTCCATCCATGAGAATACGCCCATGAAACTGGAAATCCAGCATCTCTAAGGAGACCGTACTACTGCTAATATCAGAGACATTTTGTGAGTAGTTGCTGTCACAACTGATGGAAGTTCCTTCATGGAAGTTCCGTGATTTCCTCAATGTTCCAGTGTTAGAGAGTTCGCAGAGAGGAACCATGACCCACATTTGCCTTCTGATTCCTAATCCACTGTCCTTTCTATAACACAGCACTGTTATTTGAAAAAAAATTGACTTTTCAACTGGTTATTTTTTGTATCATTTAATCAAAGCATAAGGTGTTTTCTTGGCTCTGCCATGAGGTTAATAAGATTGTCAGTTATTTTGTATCATTCCATTGAAAAAAGATTCATCAACTTCCAGAGAAGATTTTTTAGAAAACCTTGGGCTTTCATGCCCAACTCAGGCTTACAAACTTGTCTTCTTCTTCTCTTCTCCCTTCTTCCTGCTGCAAGGTTGGTTGGCAGCCACGCAATAACCCAGGAGAGCAGCACATGGAATCTACGGCTCTCAAGAGCTGTAGCTTGGTTTTAGCCTAGAACTGGTCATGTCAGATGAGCCAGGATGGCGGATATCTTCAGAATGATTTTCCTGCATTCCTCAGACAATGAGAAACTAGAGCAGGGAGGAGCAATGTTGCAGGGACCTCATGTCACAGAGCTGAGACCCTGAGTGAGATTAATGGACAGCATCTGCTGCTGCTGAGCTGCTGAAACACAGCAGAATTGGCGCTGTCAACGGGGCCCCAGGCTGGATGGGTCCTCTGCCAAAGAACAAATCGCTGTTCAAAGCAAACACAACAGCAGAGAGGAAAACTAACATTCCTGCCTTGAAATCACAAGTCACATCAATAAAACACAAGGTTATTTCCATAGGTCTGTGTCTTCATGGAGTTTCATACAGAAGTCATGTGCTTCAGTAGAAAGAACACAGGCTTTGTGTTGCTCCAGCCTGCCTGCAACTCTAGACAGGACAGCCTGGGGCGAGTTACTTAAATTCTGACTCATTTTCTCATCTGGAAAATGGGTTTGATAGTAATGTAATAGCATTGTGGTTAGAAATAAACATCTCTGTGTGTGCTGTGTGTGTAGGTGTGTACTCTTTTTTTTTTTTTTTTTTTGAGATGGAGTCTTGCTCTGTCACCACGCAGGAGTGCAGTGGTGCAATCTCGGATCTCTGCTCACTGCAACCTCCACCTGCTGGGTTCAAGTGATTCCCCTGCCTCAGCCTCCCGAGTAGCTGGGACTACAGGTGCGCACCACCACGCCCAGCTAATTTTTTGTATTTTAGTAGAGACAGCGTTTCGCTGTGTTGGCCAGGATGGTCTCGATCTCCTGACCTCATGATCTGCCCGCCTCGGCCTCCCAAAGTGCTGGGATTACAGGAGTGAGCCACCACGCCCGGCCTGGTGTGTTCTTTGTACAGTGCCGATATAGTAGGTGTTAGTACAAGGGCAGGTACCCTCAACATCATGAAAGTTCTAGCAGCCAAGCAAGACTTATGGAAAGTCCACCCCTCAAAGCCTCACTTGCCTCTGAAATGCCTTTATGAGCTGTGAAACTGTCTATGATGATATAGAGTTTCTTTGTTGGAATAGTCATGTTATGAAATGCACTACAGTCTCATGTAAATAATTCTACATTGCTTCTATTAGCGGTTGGTAAGAGATAGGAAAAGCCAAAGTGCTTTTTCTCCTCTCACACATTCAGCCCAGCACAGAACACTGCTGTCATCAGACGTGCAGGATTTTTCCACACCAAACAACTCTCCAGTGGACATCAACTCTGTTTCCTCTCATTCGCTTCCACTCTGACACTTTCTACCTGGAGTCAGATCCCATAGGCTGAGGCCTCAGTCCCACAAGATGGCAACCCCCCGCTTCAGATGCCAGTCCCCAGTAGTAGGCTGTCATCTATACTATCAATCAAGGTTCCTATGACATCCTCCTTAGGTTTAATTTATTCACTAGAGCAGCTCACAGAACTCAGGGAACACACATTTACTGGTTTATTATAAAGGATACAGGCAAGCAACCACACGAACAGGTGCGTAGGACTGGGTATGGGGCCAGGACGCCAAGCTTCCATGCCCTCTGTGGATGTGCCACCACCCAGCACCTCCATGTATATATTCAGCAGCCCAGAAGCTCATCACAGCTTGTTCGAGTTTTTAGAGAGTGTGATCTCTAGCTGCCTCTACCCCTCTTCGCTGGAGGTTGGTGTGTGGGGCTGAAAAAGTTCCAACTCTCTAATCATTAGGTTTTTCTGGAGACCCACCCCATCCTGAGGCTAGCTAAGGGCTCCACTCTAAGTCAACATTAGCATCAAGTTAGATTTTAGTAAAAGATGCTCTTATCACTCATAAAATCCCAAGGGTTTTAAGAGCTCAGTGTCAGGAACCAGGCACAAAGACCAAATATATTTCATTCCTGCCACAAGGTTAAATAAGAAATGTAAAGCAAACATGTATTAAAAATGTTCATCCTCAGCTGGGAGTGGTGGCTCACACCTGTTATCCTAGCACTTTGGGAGCCCTAGGCAGGTGGATCACTTGAGGTCAGGAGTTCGAGACCAGCCTGGCCAACATGGTGAAACCCTGTCTCTACTAAAAATACAAAAATTAGCCGGGTGTGGTGGTGCTTGCCTGTAGTCCCAGCTACTCGGGAGGCTGAGGTGGGAGAATCTCTTGAACCCGGCAGATGGAGGTTGCAGTGAACCCAGACTGTACCACTGCATTCCAACCTGGGCAGCAGAGTGAGACTCCACCTTGAAAAAAAAAAGTCTATCCTCAAATTTTTAAACAGGTTGGCTTTCAATAAGTAAAATGACCAAATGGAACATATCTATGCTTTCCATTTTTAGGTGATCAGTATTGATCAGGTTCAAGTTGGTCCATACAGTTTTTCTGACTGGATACCCCTAGCCCACCCGATCCTATATGATGATTTGTAACATTCTGAGCTTGTATTTTTTAATAGTTCTATATCCATCTCTATCATTTCCCCAGGAACAGGTGTATGTGTTTAAATATGCAGAAATCAATTCATCAAATATGAATTACAAGGTGTAACTACATAGAAATCAATTCAGCACATATTCAGTATTGTTTGTCAAATACGTACTGAATAAATCAATTAATATATTGCCTACTATATTATCAGTTAATATACTGCCTACTGTATTATCAGTTAATATATTGCCTACTATATTATTCAAACACAGAGCTGTGAGACTGTAGGGGGAATGGTTGTTTCTGGTTGGGATCAGGGACAGCTTGGGGGGCAGTCACATCTGAGCTGTGTCCAAAGGGATTTGGCAAGTGAAGGAGGAGCTGAAGTCACGGCCAGGCAGAGGCCACAACCTGCAGCATGAGCCCTGGAGGCCTGGAGGATGGCAGGGTGGCGAGTACATGAGCAGAAGCAGAGCACAGCCTGCACGGTGGGAAGCACCTGCATTACAACGAAAGTCTGAAACACAGAGTGAGGTCTTGACACAGAGGGCTGAATGTGCTATGCTGAGGTTCTTATTTTTGGAAAGAATCCGTGGCATAGTTTTCAGCATCAGTCAAACATGATAACATCCATGTCTTACAAAGAAAACTGGTTGCAGAGTCTGGAACAGATTTGAAGGGGAAAGACTAGGTAGGAAGACAAGTCAGGGGACTCTTCCGATGGCACAGACAAGTGATCAGGGCAGGCCCTAGGGGAGGGGAGAGAGGGCAGCCACTGAAAATGGGGAGGAGAGAGAGCAGTTGGGACTTGAGCCTGCTGGTGTGGAAATGAGGGAGCGGCAGGGGCAATGGCAACCGTGAAATATCTAGTTTGACCATGTTAGTGGGCGGTGACAGCATCAAACTAATCAAAAGCAGGAGGACCAGTACCAGACACACATAAGGTCCGCAGATGCTGGCACACGGGCACGTTCACTATCCTTTCTGGGCCAGGTCCTCCAAGAAGGCACTTGTGGCTAATGGCATCTGACACTAAAAGCATGTTAACAAGTGGGAAAATTGCTTAACTTCTTTCAGGTTAGATACAGAAAATTCTAATAACCAGCTTCAAAATGGAAACCAGACAGTTGCCTAGAAGTGCTTCACACAAATAGGAAAACATCAACTGCCATGAATTATCATCAGCGGGAGCATGGAGAGTTGTAGGAAATAACAATTTTTAATCTAATTTTCTGAAGTCTGAGCTTGTATATGATGTCATCAGAGGCAAGGGCAAACGAAAACTGTATAAAAAATTAGCTGATGTGAAAGAGGCCCCGAAAGCAGGCGGACTGAGTGAAGCAGGCAACACATAAAACACACTTTTCTACTGGTACTTCAGAAAAAAAAATAAACCAAATATTCATGTCAAAACCAACTCTCTATTGCATTATTTAAAAATACGCAGAAACTTTCACCCACTAAGAAAGTACCCATAAACACATACACCTTACTTGCCCAAATAGCTTGAAGCCATCTCAAAATTTCAGAGTTCTAGAAGTGTTTATCATTTTCTTATGGACCTGGCTCACCAGCACCATAATAATTAAAGGAAAAAAGAGCGTCAAAAATCACTTGGCTGCTTCAGCCATTGGAGACACAGCCGTGTGATTCTTAATGCATTTACAGTGCCTGCCAGTGCCTCCCCACCCCCAGCTCCCCATCCTTAGCCTTCAATGGTTTGGTTTTGTTTTGTTTGTTTTGTATCCTATGGGACAGAAAACAACCTGCACTGATTGTGCCAATTGATTGACTCAGCTGGTCCCTCGAAATATGAAGCAGGAACTGAAAAGCACATCTGAAAAGTGTGTGGGCTGGAGGTGAGGGAAGGGGCGCCTCTCCCTCTGGACTGCACACAGAATCTATGAACCAGCTGTGCACAGGCAATGTTCTGTCAGCTGAGTAACACAAAGCGCCTTTGATTCCACCTGCCCCTGCTTCTTTGTGCAAAAGCCAGCGAAGGGGCTGCTGTGCACCATTCTGAAAAGTCGTCTAGAAGTGTGTGCAATTCTCCCTCTGCCAACCAACTCCCAACAAGGGGGAGCCCAGATGCCCGGGGCGCCTTCCTCCCGCGCCCTGCTGCTGGGCTGGTCTCAAAATTCCAGGGGCTGTCCTCCCCAGTTCAAGGCCTTTCCCATGGAAGGGCATCTGAAGGGAGGGAGTCAGAACTGCGATCTCTGCAGAGAGCAGGTGGCTTTCTGGGAGTGCTTTTTGTAGGATATGCTGGTGCTATGGTTTGAATATGGGTTGCCTGTCCCCATCAAAACTCATGTTGAAATCTGGTCCCTGGTGTGGCAGTGTTGGGAGATGGGGCCTAGTGGGAGGTGTTTGGATCAGGGGAGTAGATCCCTCATGAATGGGTTGGTGCCATCCTCATGCTAATGAGTGAGTCATGCTCTGGCAAAACTGGCTTAGTTACCACAAGAGCAGGTTGTTACAGAGCAATTCCAGGAGGTGGTTCATGCCTGTAGCTCCAGCACTTTGTGGGGCTGAGGTGGGAGGATCACTTGAGTCCAGGAGTTCAAGACGAGCCTCAGCAACATAGTGAGACTCTGTCTCTACAAAAAATTAAAAAAGTTAGCTGGGCTTGGTGGTGCGTGCCTGTAGTCCCAGCTACTCAGGAGGCTGAGTGGGATGATTTCTTGAGCTGAGGAGGTCAAGGCTGTAGTAAGCTATGATTACACCACTACACTCCAGCCTGGGCAACAGAGTGTCTCTTAAAAAAAATGAAAAAAGCAATTCTCCTTCTGTTTGGTCCTCTCTCACTGCTCGTGTCCACTTCCCCTTTGACTTAGCACATGGCCCTCACCAGAAGGCAGTGCCATGCTTCTCTCCTTCCCAGCTTGCAGAACCTTTTTTCTTTACAAATGACCGAGCCCCAGGTATTCTGTTGTAGCCACATTAAACAGACAAGAACAGCTGGCTTCACTGAGGTAGGAGGCAAGTAAATAAGAGGGAGATCTGGGGCCAGAGAGGGTGGCTCACACCTGTAATCCCAACACTTTGGGAGGCCAAGATGGGCAGATACCTGAGGTCAGGAGTTCGAGACCAGCCTGGCCAACATGGTGAAAAACTCTACTAAAAATACAACATGAGCCAGGAGTGGTGGCGTGTGCCTGTAGCTCCAGCTACTTGGGAGGCTGGGTTGGGAAAATCACTTGAACCCAGGAGGCGAAGGTTGCAGTGAACTGAGATGGCACCACTGCACTCCAGCCTGGGTGGGCCACAGAGTGAGACTAAGTCACAAAAAAAAAAGCAAGATTTTAGAGTGCAGGTGAGACATTTTAATAATAATTTTTTCTTAAGTTGCCACAGCTTTGTCAAATATAGACAAAGGCAGCAAATAAAACACTGAACTTGCATTTAACAAAGTCAGCTGTTTTACTTAGAAAACGGGGGAAGGATAAGAGGTGGGGGGATATACAACTCATATGTTTAAAAAAGACCTAAAAGGAGCTACAAGGAGACAGACGTGTTTAAAGAAAATTCAGGTTCCTCAGAAAACTTTATAGGCTGTACCTAATTCTGAAGATTCTGGCATAATGTTTTCAATTCCCCAGTTTAAACTGAGCTAAAAAACAATCTTCACATTCAACTATAAAATTAATTAACAGTGTTTGTGCCCAGGAGAGAGGCATAATATAAGAAAAGTAGGTGGGGCCGAGCACAGCAGCTCATGCCTATAATCCTAGTATTTTGGGAGGCTGAGGCAGGCAGATTACTTGAGGTCAGGAGTTTGAGACCAGCCTGGGTAACATGGCGAAAATCCATCTCTACTAAAAATACAAAAATGAGCCGGGCATGGTCGTGCAAGCCTGTAGTTCCAGCTTTCAGGAGGCTGAGGCTTGAGTATCGCTTTAATCCAGAGGTAGAGGTTGCAGTGAGCTGAGATTGTGCAACTGCACTCCAGCCTGGGTGACAGAGCAAGACACTGTCTCAAAAACAAAACAAACAAAAACAAAAAAAGTACGTGGAATAAAGATAATGCTTTTCTTAATATATTTAGATACATACATGTACACACACACTTTTTTTTTTTTGAAGAATAGGATGCAAAGAGTTACTTCAGTCTTTGATACGTTTCAGCTCTAGTAATTGGAAATCATTTTTTTGTGCCCCAGAGTGACACTATTAGCTAATAAAATAGTACCATCTGTGTTTTTCAGGACATCCTCTCTGGAAGTAGCCTTCAACTGACATCCTTTCTTTATCTTAATTTTACAGTTATAGCAAAACATATTCTTTCAGAATAATTTGGCTGTTTTCCTACTTAAGGTTGTCTTTCTGCTTGGATCCCCAAAGGGACTTAGAATCAGTTCAAAAATTGAGGCATAAAAAAAATAATCGAGCCATCAACAAGGTCCTTTGGGGACTGCAAAAGGGGAGGAACTCACTCTCCACTCGCACAGGATCACCACAACGTTGGACCTGACGTGGTATCAAGCCACTTACAAGGGGTGCAACACACCCTTGTCTAGGGCTGGGTGTGAGGGTTCAGGGCAGAGCTGCAGTCATGGCAAATGTCCCTGTTCAACTCTAGCTGAGAAAGGCCCAGAAGTCTGCGTGGGGCAGGGTGGCTGAGTCTGACCTGTCTGTCCCTCGTGAGTGAAGCGCTCTCTCTTCTACTTTTCTGGGAAGCCCAAAGGTTCCCCCCAGAGGCTTAGCACAGACTGCCCTTTGCTTGTCAGAGGAACCAGGCAGCTCTTCTCTCACAGCAACATAAACAAACTTGCCCTTTCTGCTCTTTCTCCTCTCCTGGAGAGGTCCCTGCACCACTCTCTGTTGACAACATGCCATTTTCTGTTCAATTCAGCATGTTTACTTCTTTATTGTGATTCATGTCTGAGTTTCTTTTGAATCAAATTATTGCATCTCCCTGGTGAGAGGTGCCATATGACTACCTTGTTAGAACAAAATCAAATAAAAAACCTGCACTGAGCTCTGCTCCATCTCATCCCCACCACATGGTATGCTCTTGTTCGGACATACTTCTGTCGGCTACTTGATCAGTAATGAATCCTTCTGGTGTTTAGGCCAATTTTGAGACACTGCTGTCTTGAAAACGATAAAGAAGAATTGGTTGAAACCTGTTCAGCAGAGAGAACATCACTACTTCAAAAAAATTTTACAACATAAATGACTGGCTTTTCCTGATAATATACAGATTGAAGAAGACCAGAAAGGCCGATGGGATGATTACACAGAGTCACAGCAACAACCAGAGCCATTCTTTAGATTTTATCCCCAAAGATGCTTCAGTACTGAAGTAATTCACTGCTTCAACAAGTCTTGAAGCCAAGCATTCCACGGCATTTTTGAATAGAGATAGAACAACAGGAACTTTTAAAGTAAATACACATTCCCTTTCTCCTTTACTTTTTTGGGGTATTACCTTTTAAGCATTGCCTGTGTGCCTCATACAAATAATATTTTAAAATTGAGCTGTTCAGACTAAATAGCTCTCCATCCAAGTACAGGAATGAGACTCAGGCTATTTGAGTCTTTCTTCTCTTTTACTACTTCTATAATGATGTCCAAACCTCTCAGTGTGACACAGGAGGTGCTTTTGGTGATTGGAGCCCTGACCACCCTCATCCCACAGACCAGCCCGTCCTGGGACTCAGGCATATAGAACTCCTGCCATTTCCTCAGAGAACCCCATTCTCCTGCTTTTGGGTCTACCTGGATGGCTACCCTCTTTCACCTTCTCTTGGTCAGCTCCCACTCATCTTCCAAGAGAGAAGTCATCCTTGCTCTTGGCTGGCTCAGGTGACCCCACTGGCCTTCAGAGTATGCCTGCGCATCTCTCTTAGAGGGTGTGGGGTTTGACTGGACAAACTACAGTCATTACCTGGCTGCCTTCTCCTGCCCTGTCAGCTTCCCCAGGGGACAGCGGAGAAGCAGTTCTCCTCTCTGTATCCCTGGCGCCATGTACAGTGTATGATTGGTAAAATTAAACTCTTCCCCAAATCCTACTTTGCCAAAGACACCAATGCAGCAACCAATAATTTTTTAGGAGGATTATGCAGTCTAGAGTTATAGTATTCCTTAGGACTCTCCAACTTAGATATGGAAATACTATTATAGCAATAAAACATGACAGCATATATTTCTTAAAATTTATTTTCTCAGTTCTTAAACTCTTAATCCATAGAATCAAGTCTACCTATTTATGTGTAAGTTACTTGTTAACGGGAATTTTTGATGATATATGGTACATGGTAAGAAAGTTATCCAGCCCTGGAGATGAAGGAAAAGTATAACCCCTTTCCATAACATGTGGCTCACTCTATCCTCAGACTGCTATGCGCAAGAGATGAGAGTTTTACTGAAACCTCAGTATAACGAAGTTTCCCTATAAAGAACATGGTGTCAACTTCTGCTCTTGGTCTTATTATACATTAGTATTTTTTTTCTTCTACTACCTAACACTTCAAATGAACACTTACTATATGCCAGATATAATTCTAGCACCTACATTAAAATGATTTACTCCTCACAACAACCTTTTGAGGTTGAGACTATAATTATTCTATTTATAGATTTGGAAACTGAGGCCCAGAGAGGTTAGATAACTTGCCGAAGGTCACACAGCTAAGAAGCAGAGCTGAGTTTGAATACAGGCAGTCGGGTGCCAGAGCCTGTGTTCCAAACCACAGCCTCTCAGTATCTGTTGGGTGGGATGGCCTCACTGAATAGCACAGAGACTCCCACTACACCAGTTAGCACTCAACACTCTTGACTCTGGGTGGGTGTTAATGAAAAGGATGCAGACTTTACAGCATGATGGAAAGAGGTCTGTTTTATTAGAGGTCTAAAAACTACATAAACTTCAAAAAAATAACTGTTTAAGGATTTGCCAGATTCTCATGAGAATAACACCTCCCTGGGGTTAGAGAAAGTGGGACATATGAGTACCTGCAGTCTGGGACCTTTCACTCCACCACCAGTTCCCAGAAGCCTGGCTGTGCCTCCATCAAGACCAGAGCATGTCATTCCATGACACACGCTTCTTAGGGGGCGTCCCCTTCTCCCTGCGGCCATGGCACAGGCATGCCCGCCCACCATCACCACTCCTCACTTCCCTGTCATCTACCCCACTAGACGACAACATCAGCATCCCTCCAGGAGGGCAGCACAAGGGGCACGGTACTCAGTGACGGGATTATTCCTAACAGAACTGCCCATTTCATACTTCTCCCAACATCTCCTTCCTATTTGTTCCTGATATCATCTCTAGTATATGTGTTTTGTTCATTATTTCCTTTCCTTCTTTTTTTTTAAATGAACAATGGCTTTAGGGTTTAAAAGTATTCACTTTTTGGCAGTCCTCTCTGACCACGGAATAGCTAAAATGAGAAAAAGTTTTCTGCAATGTACTTAATGAATACAACACTTTATTTTGAGAACTGAATTAGTTGTCAGTCATAATATGGTTCAAATTAGTATATAATATTTCAGTTTATACTTATAAATCATATTTATTCAAAAGATCTGAATGGGAAATATTTTCTACATCTTTCAAATATGCATTGTCTGTAGCATGTTATAGGAAGTAGGTATTTTTAAATAGTCCATGGAAAATTGGGCTCAGGTTATTTCATGAATTGTTATTTGAGCCTAAAACTAATCTCTTTAACATCTTTAATAAACATTTCAGTAATATCTGCATTCAGAATATTGGATAGAACCTAGACATCATCCCTATTCATTAGGCTTATATTTTTTCAATAACCTAATTTTGTCTTTCATACGATATTAAGCTTTTGGAAGTCTTACTCTTAATCCTATTAATTCCTAAGCTAGACTTTAAAAGTGCATGAGGAAATATGCAAAGGCAGTCAATTTCACTGAATTTACACATTGAATTGCTAAAGATAAATCTAAGAATTTCAGGGTTGCTAAAAGGCAGAACTTCAACTGAAAATATTTTCTGGACTTCAATTAAACCCTGGAGCACGGTCTGGATGGGATTGTTTGGCTTCACAGTCTTCTGAACTGAGGTCATTGGCAATACACCAGGATGCACATGTTAGCAGAGCAAAGTGTGTCTATGTCTGCTTTGGACCAAAGCCTTATTCCTAAAAGAAGTGTAGCACAGGCTCCGCCAACAGTGGTACCATGTGTTGCTTTGACTGCTGTAATGAATCTCTGATGATCAAGCTTGGAAAAAGAGCTAAACCCAAGACAATGCAGTGTCTGGGGCATAAAATGAAGTGTTGTGAGTGTGCCCACAGGAAGAGAAGAAACAGAGTTGGAAACTCACAGACTATCCAGGTGGTAGAAACAGATTTCAAAAACACTCTAATTCCAGACAAGATGTTTCCCAACTCTGAGCTAGTTAGGTGAATATGAGACCAGAACCACATTCTAAGGTTTAAAAAAACCACATGTCTACATAATCCTATTTTTACTCTGAGTAAGCATGCTACTTTAACTTCATCAATGACTGCGGACTGATTTTAATAACATAAAAAAGCAATCCAACTTTCCTGTCCTGCTCCCTGGGCCCCACACCACCCACTCAAGGGATGGCATGCTTCTTTGAATTAGATTTCTTCAATCAATTAATTCTCTTCAATTCTTGAATGACCTTCTGACAGAATTAACTAATGGCACAGGGTGTGAAAGGGGTAAGCCCTGTATTTTATGTATTCGGAGAATATCATTATTCCCAGAAATGTCCCTGACAGCTGCCCACACAAGAGCCCAAGACAGTGGCATGCTCTCTGGGCTGGCTGGACAGTAACAGCTGTCACTGCCATGACAATAGCCAGTCCCTGTACTGCTGTCTGATCTCCACCACATGACATTGCTGGTTGGTCTATAATTGCTTTAAGTGGACAGTTTCTTCCTGAGATAATGACTACAAAATCATTAGGATTTCATATCATAATTACAGGAAAAGCCAAGAAAGGTGATCAAGAATGGGGAGGGAGACATGAACTAAAACTTAATTCTGCCAGAGGGAAGAAGAAAAAAAGGGAAAAAAAACAGGATGGGGAGGGGAAGAGACCCTGGTAAATTTGTTTTCATTGTGTATTTGTGCAGAATAAGGTAAAAGGCAAAGCATTCTTCCTTTTTCCATGTAACGCATGTGAACTTCTTGGTAACAAGTTTTACTATCAGATGAAAGTGGATCCACGGATAAAATACAGTCGGCCTTGATATCCTAGCATTCTGCACCCGCAGATTCAATCAAATGAGGATTGAAAAGAATATATATAATATCTTTGAGATGCAAAACCCATGGATCTGGAGGACTGGATTTTTGGATTCTCAGGTTTCACAGGGCTCACACCGGGACTTGGACATATACTGGGGTCCTGGAACCAATCCCCCAGAATACTGAGGGACAACTGTACTTCATCTCTTTCTGGCATCTCTCGGGGCAGGGGGTTTTCTCTGGCTTTCTGATTGAGTTGGGAGCACAGTACCTGGCATGGAATCCAAGAAGGAATGGGAAAGCCCTGGCACAGAGCTTGTGCTCACCTCGTATTCCTCCTTGAAGCCGTAGCCCTCCGCACACTTCATCTGTGTGATGTGCTGAAGGAGGTCTGCCACCCGGATGGCGGGGTGGAGCTGCCCAGTCTGATAGGGCACGTCGGCCGGCTCTCGCTTCTTGTAAGTATGGGACTGCACCAGGCTGCTGGTATCGCTGGCCATTGTGTGGGTTTCATCTAGGAAAAGAAGGCCAGGGAGAAAATGAGGGAGAGCCAGGGAGCTAGGTCGGCATCACTGAGAATGCTAAGAAGCTGGCTCCTGGCATCCCCTCACCTAGGGGTGCAAAATTCCCTACGATGGCTCAGCAAAAAAGAAAAGTTAAATGTTTAGAAATTTAAATGGGGTTGGCAATACTGATAAGAATGCGCAGAAATCTTTCTTTTACAAAGCAGTCCAAACGATATATTGCTTTCACAAAGCTAATTGAGAAGAGCCCTTTAGCCTTCCAGTGCTAAAGTTTGTGAAAGTTTCAACCTGAAACTTCATCAAGACCTGGTGCAAAACCAGTCTTGTATTCTTTGAAACATTAGTTCAGTAGTTCGTATGATGACATAAATAAACTCTGCACAAATGTTCTGTGAGCAAAATAAAAGTGCACAAAATGGTGTGGCTTATAAAGCTAGCAATGGAAATGGGGACTTAATACATGAAATCAAAGAAGAATGGAAAAATAAAAGGGAACCTGGTTTGGGGATAACATTTTGATGAATCACTTTGCATGCTCTGGTATCAGAAAGCTTGACAAAATGTTGTGGACCAACACATCACACATGGAATGTTCTACAAAGGCAAACATGCAGGCCAGCACAGAGCAGCACCAGCTGGCTTTGTCAGAATCTACCAGTAAGACACACACTCCCACTCCCTCCACAACTCTTCCATGGGGCGAATCGGGGAACTTACCATTTATTGGCACTTTTAAGAAGATACATATCAGGAGAAAAAAGGAGGAGAAAAAGGAAACAGGGCATAAGCAATAGTACTGCGTGCATAATTACAGGTAGTTTTTATTTTATGCTTTAACTTTCCAGTTAAGTTTTCTATTCAGAGGTGGTCAGAGGGCGAAGCCTCAATTCTTCCATCACGTTAGGATGGAGGCATTGAATTTAAGTACTCCATAACAAAAAGGAGGTTAAAATTAGCATCATAATTGCTTTTCATCCCCCATGAACCAAGTAATGTCTAAATAAGTCTTATTTGTATTCAACACATTTTCTCATTTAAATTTCTTGAACAAGTCAACCAAATTGTACTATAAAATTAATGTCAAAATTTGGTCAAAGAAGCCTAAAGAGGCTCTATTTTAATGGAGGCCTACTAGAAAATTAGGTTAATGAACTGCAGAAATGGTACCTATTAAAAATGTCTTATGCAGGGAAATGCTATTAGATTAAGAATTCCACATTCTACAGGTTAACTCATTATAATGCTGAATCCCTTTAGCAGTTTTATGATTGAGGATGGGTGCTGTCAAAATATAATGCTAAAGTCACTTAAAATGAGAATGTTATATAAAACATATAAAAGATATATTCAAGTTTTAAAAATTACCAGATTGTATATCAATAGGGAATTCAGCTATAGTTATTCATATGTTATTTATTTTTTACGGAGAAGTTCAGCTCTGAAGAAAATTTAGTCCAAGGGTGCTTGATGAGCAGGGCCTGGTTTGGGAACCTCACTTCTATCTGCATCGCAAAGCACCTGGGGATGCATGGTATGAAAGGTGGTACACAAGTGTGTAGCTATGTTGCTGTTGCTGAAATGGCACCTGGATCACTACAACGTGGCTAAAGACACAAAGACAAAATAAAAAAGGGTGGTAAGTTGATTTTATGATTTTTGTTTCATTTGGATTTGCTTTGAAATTTAGCAAGTCACATGTTCCCATTTTAACAGTCACAAATAAACCTGGAAATTTTCACATCAGATTTGCTTGCTGGCAACTGCCAAGCTTTATAAACTGGGATACAGGAACCCTGCTGAAGTACCGAATCCCTTGAGCTTTGAGCCACTCCAGCAGGAAGTTCTGTTCTTTATACTAAAATAAATGGAACATTAATTAGTTTCCCCTCTGTGCCTCTCTCGTTCTCTCAGTTTTGTATCTTATGGGATGAACATAATTAACATGCCCTCCATGGTGGGCTGACCTTCTAAACTTCCCAGAAGTGATCTGGGTCCTTCACGTGGATACACCAGCAACCTAGCAATGCTCTGATCCCAGGGCTAGGTATTCTTGGAAGTTTTAAATCCATAGAGCTACATCAACTGTCACTGTTGTATGTAATCATCCTGTGCTGCATTATGCCATCTTGCCCTCATTACTAGTGTGGAACACGTCTTCAAGCATTTAAACACCACCAAGTCCATGAAAGAAGAGCCCTATTATCTAGTACATGCATATGGAAGAGGGAATAGAAGGCTTCTTGTGTGCTGCTATGAAATTGGGTCACTTATACTACTAGACATTCTTGATTCCACTAAAATTAGTGATTAATCTTCTCTAACTTAAAAAAGAATTATTATTGATAAAATATATTACTTGTCATTAATTTCCTTTATGTGTTTAAAAATTACCCATCAACAATTTTTTTTTCTACTTTTTTTTTTTTTGGAGACAGGGTCTTTCTCCATCATCCAGGCTGGAGGGCAGTGGCTCTATCATAGCTCACTGCAGCCCCAAACTCCTGGGCTCCAGCAATCCTCCTGCCTCAGCCTCTTGAGTAGCTGGGAATACAGGTGTGTTCCACCATGCCTGGCTAATTTATTATTATTATTATTATTTGAAGAGATGGGGGTCTCCTTATGTTGCGGAGGCTGGTCTTGAACTCCTGGCCTCAAGCGATCTTCCTGCCTTGGCCTCCCAAAGTGCTGGGATTACATGCTTGCACTATATAGTGCCTGGCCTCAACATTTTTTTTAATTAAAAATAATGCAGAAGAGCACATTAGAAATAAAGAAACAAAGCTTCTCACTAATAGTTTTGATGGTTTTCTAAGAACTGAAAATTAGTTCTACTTATATTCTTTATGAATTATCTTGAATTTTTAACAAACTAGCTGAAAAACCTTAAGTTGAAATGGATGCAATATATTTGAGGTAGGGTAGGTTCTGTCTGTCTATCTATCGATCCATCCATCCATCCATCCATCCAGCTATCCAACCATCCATTTAATCATCTACATTTTTGCAAGCAAATGAAGTAAAGATATACTCCAGCTCTATACATTAGGGCTGGGCATCTTAGCATGAGAGAGGTGGAGCTGAAGGTGCCAGAGAATTTAATTGTGCTGAGCTCTGACTCACAGCAAGACATTTCTTGTTGTCTTTGTGTAAATTATAACTGCTACTATCCCCCAAAACTGCCAGAGTAGATATATATATCTTAAATTCTTCCGTGGTTTCAAGTGCTAACCTCACCAATCCTTGTTACTCAATACATAGATTCACATTTGCACCAAGTAACGTGTAAGGAATGCAGTTCCCAAGTACTACCATTTGGTACCTATATAAGCCATACATGATAACAGTTATTGGTCTATCTGGGTGACTTATTTTTTACAATGTGCATCATTTTTGCTACTTGAATTGTCTGTCCAAGTGATTCCCTTTCAGTAAAGAAAACTAATCAACTTTAAAAGATGTCATTAATGTTCATAATAACAAAGCAGCGACTTTAAAGAATGATATTTGTTTAATAAGCTTGTCTTAACCCTGCTGTGAAATCTGAACATTTTCTTCCTTCTGACAAGGCACGTTTTAGCCCTCCCCACTCACGGCTCCCCCAAGGTCAGAAAATCTACTAGAGGAACCTCAGAATGAATGCCACAGCACATGAAGAAATCGCAAATCTTCGCCTATCAAAAGATTCTGCAAATGTCATTTGTATGTAGATTACATTGTTCTGGTGCCTAAGATTAGCCTGTGCCCCTCACTTATGAAAAGAATAAAATGCAATTTTCTTCCCCTTTTAATTGGTATTAAAAGTGTGTGGGCAGGGAGGGTTTAGTGGGCTTTGTTAGCCCTCAGAATGATGCAAAATTTAAAAACTCTGTTTTATATCCATTCTTAAAGTTCTATCTTAATTCATTTTTTCCTTAGGCAACAAACTTGCTTAAGCCCACAGAACACCATTAGGAAAATAAAAATTACCTTCTATACAAAAATCGTAACAACTTAGAGAAAAGAGAAGCAGAGGGGGGAAAAATCATGTTGGAAAGATATAAACCCTTGTCAAGTGAATTAGGAAGGAGAAGTCGAACAACTGAGGGTGGAACTCTTGCTACAATGAATTGTTATATACCTTGAAGTCGTTTTTGTTGTGCTCCTTTTCGGAAAGGTTAGTAGTAGAAAGAGAACACAGCCGTGATACACTCAGGTTATTTATGCGTCTCAAATGCAACAGCAGCTCATGCTTGTTTGGTTATCACAGCCAGGTAATGCCATTTTTCTCCTCACCCTTCTTATATTGGACAAACGGGACTTTTTCTGTAACCCCCTGCTGGGAATATTTCATACTTTAAATGCATTCTGCCCCACCGGGCTAACACCTTAGTTCATTTCTAGTGACATCTGACACATAATAAAGCATATGATTATAAGTGCCATCTTGTCATTTTGCTGTTCAGATCATCAGCTCCTTTGAAATTCCACTGTGTGACAGACACTTTGGAATGTTGGTGGGGGGGTGGGGTGCCCTGAGTGGCACCGAGGATGGGTAGAGGGCCAGAAGTCCATTGTGATCATTTTTCTGCATGACATTTGGCATAATTAGAAAAACGCTACTTTTAAAATTGAAGTTTTTAGTGCTTAGCAATAAGTGAAAATAATGAGAAGCTATTTTCACTTTTATGACTATCACACTAGACAGAATTCAGCTCTTGGAAAGTACACAGCTGAGTGATGACACCTTGTTTTTTTCCCCTGGGATCAGACCTAACTTTAAATTCTGAACACAGAAAGGGAGAATATTGGGGCTGAGATTGTTCATTTGAACCTGTTGGTATCATCCCCAAGATACATGCAGCAAACCCCTCTTATTAATGGCGACTGTTTAGAGAAAAGTCTCTTTTTCCTTTAACCCCATGACCCAGGCCACCCACCTCCCACATGTCGTGCTTATAATCACTGCATTATACAGAATTAAAACTCCAATCTCCTACAGAGTGGTCACTGACTTTCTAAATTACTCCTGCAATAAACTGTGGTAAAGGGAAATGTTCTCACCTAAAATTGCAGTTGGCACAAATGGGTCTGTCATACACCGTAAGCAGGTCAATGCAGAGAAAGTAAAAAGAGAAAGAACAGTAAATGATTGATGAATGCCCACCCCTATTTTCTGCATAGAAAGCTGTAGAAACGCATTGGGTTACAACATCTCAAACACAGTAAGCCCCTCAAGCACCAGGGATAGCAGAGAGAGGGCGGAGTGATTCTGACTGCTGAGGAGAGAGCAGAGAGGAGACAATGGAAAAAACTGTTACCTGGGTAATAGGAATTAGGCACCGATGTGCTCAGTGTATTTGTTTTCATTGTGAAGGACGATGGTGAAGACACAGCTGTAAATAAAAGAGAGGCTGGTCAGGGGCAGCAGAGAGGTAATACACTCTGAACACACAATGCTCTGAGACCACCCATGGTGACTCCATGCTACCCACGGTGACTCCGGGACTCACTGATGTCTATGTGGGAAATATCATCATTCCCAGTTGTTTCTGAGTACTTACTTATCCTTTAGAAGACAAGCAACCTTTCGTCACTTAAAGACTTTTCTTACCCCACAAATAAAGAGAAAGCCCACAACCACAGCCACCATTTTGGATAGAGAAATTCATCAGACTTCTATTTTGACTTCTGCCCTTTGCTTATAGAAATCTGCTCTCAGGCCAAGCTGAATTTTACAAGTAAAAGTAGAAGAAGGTGTCTACACATGGCTTTTGGAGACGATTCCCAATGTCAATGTTCCCATAGTTTGCTAAATCCTCTCCTTGCTCATATTTGGATATGCAGAGAATACTCCACAATGCTTTATGAAAAACAAAGGTGGTGCTCCATGCGTGTTCCTTAGTATTTTAAATCCTTACAAAAATGCTCTTCTTTAAAATATTCCTCTGAAACACTCAAGACTGAATTATTGCACCTTCTCTTCCTCTCTTTTATCAAGCAGGATAGTCAATCCCATCCAATTTATCTGATTTCATTAAAAATGGGTATTTCCTAATTTTAAGAGACATTTTAAAACGCTCTTCATGGATGACAGAGCCTTGATAGAATAATTTTTTTAAGTAAAAAAAAACCTCTTCAAATGTATTAATTGATTAGTGTTTTTAAAACAGTTTAATTTCATTAAAGTATAAAGACTTGAAAGTTGCTCAAGGTGGTTAAACTTAAGTCTAAATTGTAACTCCTCTGATGTAGTTACATGATCTGTTTGATGCTAAGTTCCTCATCAGGACACTAAGACACAATTATACCATTATATTTATGGGAAGCATGACCAAATCCCTGTGCATACTGGGTAATTATTCTGATGACATATTAATATATTTTAACTCTCCAGGAGCAGTCCGTTTAGGAGAGTGCATTTACCTGTGTTTATATTTTTAAAGTGTAGAATCAGTACGTGACAGAACAAAGACCAGAACTCAGGCTGCCTGTCATTTACAGGTATTTTTACAAAATAGAAATGTATCACACTTACAACGCATGTTTATGGTAAGAAGCCTGGAAAAAGAGCACAATGGATGAAAATAAGAATGAAAAAAATGAGTACCAATAAAATATGCCAGGGTCAGTGAGAATAAAGCCTTTTTATTAGCTGCAGACATTTTTATGTGGTTGGTAAAGATGTGCACAGCAGATATAAAATAACTGTGTTTATCTTCACCTTCCTGTCAAAATATTTTAAAAATATTTTCATCTTCTAGCATAAAAACTAAACCCATTCCCACTACCTGTATCTATTCTCCCCTTTTTATAGCATATTAAAGCAGATAGTGCAACTCATACTTGCTTTGCTGGAGAGATTAATCCCCATTCTCATAACTGTGGTCATGCTTATTTTTAAATTCTCCTATTTCGTTTTTCCCCTTGTCTCATTTCTAAAAACTGCTCACTTCACAACTTCCAGCACTTTCTCCCAACCCTGAAAGAGCTCATGCATACCCACACTTGTCATAGGTGTGGTGCTGGCAGCCTTGTGGTCTAAGGAACATCTTTCCTGAAGGTTTCCTCCCCAGAAACTGCTGTCTTATTTCAAAGACATCAAGACAGTATTATGATATCTACCTCTAGGGTCGCTCCTATCAGATGAGATCTGATGAGAACTCATTGCTCAGAGTGGGAGGAAAATGGAAAGTCTACTGCTGTGTTCCTTCTGTTGGCTTTATTGAAGGAAGGCAAAAAATAACGTCTAATAGCCGATCAGTTGTGGAAGCTCCGTTGGCCTCTGCAGCTGCCGTTTGTACATGAACATTTTTGGATTTCCACAGATACATTCACTTTCAAAAAAGTAACTGCCAAATTAAACTTCCTGTCCAGAAGTGAATATTCTTGTTGTTCAAACTTCAAACACCTAGAACTACTAAAGAAGATTCTTGCTTTTGGGATGAGTGATTCTAAGTAAATTGATTCTTGAGGAATTTCACCATGAAATAGAAGATTTGGAACGTTAATGGGTTATACTGCAAAATGAAGATGTATCTGTGTGGTCCCCTTCAAGGAATACCTGCTACTACAAAAATTCTAATCCTGTGTGTGGCCAAAAGGGCTTCTCCAATTCCAGCCCACAACGAATGCATCATAGGTTGCTTTCTTATGGCAGTTAAATAAATTATACATACATATTTTTAAATGAAAAACATTATATCTGCCACAAAAAAAGCAGAGAGAACTCTATGAAAAAATGGGAAGGAGCTTGGGTACACTGAGACCCCATAGCTTCTATTTCCTGCACTGAAAATGACAGGAAAGGGTAAAGAAAGAAGATCAAGGATGAAAGCAACAGTGCTGCCCTGCCCATTGGTGCCAAAGCAGCACCTGTGCATGCTCCACTGGGCCATGTGTGTGTGTAGTACAAACTGATGGAGGAGGATGAAGTGGGACAACTGCAGCCGCTACAAGCAGAAAAATGTAAGACTGAATTCGGAGCTCAGCCGCGTGTACGAGAAACGCAAAGCTCAGGGACAGGCACGTGCATTGACCACACTGTGATCTGGAAGAGGAGGAGTGGAGGGGAGCTGCAGTACCACACTGACCACAGTGGGTATTAGGACATGAGCCCACACCGTCCAAACTGCTCCCAGTCGCCCCACGCCAGATGCCATTTCTGTGCTCCTCACAGCCACAAGGCCCACCGGCCTTTAAAATACTACGATTATTTTTTTGTAACAGGAATAGCTGCACTTTAATTCCATCCCCATGCTGACCAGAATCCTGGTTATGCAGCTCAGGCCTGAGGCACAGATTTCACACAGTAAAGAAACCCCCGACCTTGAACTCACCAAAGTGTGCCCTAAACCACAGAGTGAGGTATCTCCCTCTGGTCTCCGAGATTACCAGGGACAAAGCAACTACTCCTTTTGTGCTTGATATAATCAATCTAATTGTTAGTTTCCTAAAATAATGCCTTCTACCTGGATCACAGGTAGTAGTATGGGAAGGCAGTAGCTGAGGTTGGTTTACACACCTGGTATGAAGCATAAGACTTGTGAAGCTGAAATAGAGTTTAATTTATTAATTGACACTGACAGCCCTATAATAAAGGCAGAACCTGTCATCTAAACAAATAAACAATTAACTTGTTACTGCCATTTAGTGAACTGTTTTTATAACAGGCTTCCCATGTGTAATTCCACACCTGGATAGTTTACAAATGGGATCTAAACAACAAGAAGGATGATGAGAAGCAGGTGCCTTCTTCCTCAAAAGAAGGAAAGCCTCGTGTCACTGCTCTCTAAATCTTTACAGAAACTGCACTGTGGTTTTCTGGACTCTCTGATCTGGTCCTATCACCTTTAGAACATCTCTGCTAAGCAACCTGTGGCACAAAGGATCACTGAAAATGACTGAAGAAACCAACACGGCATAAAAATTTCTTCAGGAAGCTTTTTTTTTTTTTGAAATCCCCTAGTACCACCTGGAATCTTGCAAAACCAAGGAGATGTGTTAGAAGCCAAGAAACATATGCACTTACATCTCCCATTCAGATTGTGCGTGTCCATGAATGAGAAAGCCTCGTCGCAGTTTGTGCCCTGCTCAGCATAGCTCTTGTCCATTGAGTTCACCATCACAGTCATCTCCTGTCGGGTGCTGCTCATGGTCTCTTTCCGCTTCTTGGCCAGTTTCCTTAGGATAAAGAATTCAATTATGTAGGCATGCATTTGAACGGGATACAGAGCTTTGGCATGTATATTGACAGATGTTCAGGAATAACATCTACTGAATTAATCCTATTCATTCAGAGATGGATGTATAGTGCCTTATTTGTGGCAAGCACTCTGCCAGGCTGCAGACACAGAGATGAAAAACAGGTACTGTCTATCCTCAAAAAACAAAACAAAATAAAAAACCCCAAACAACCAGAAAGATAAAACACCACAGCCTAAAACACTGTTTCTCCTATTATAAGCTAGATTAAAATGACCAATGATTCTAGTACAACACAATCATAATCTAATTGTTACACTCCTAGAGTTACTAAGTTTTTACGAAATTATTGTCAACATCACCATATACAGTGTCAAAGAGAAGACTCCCTTGAGTAAATATTTTCCAAGCAAAAATGAAATAACAGATGAATCTAAAAGGCACATTGTTAAAACTAAAGAACAGAACTAGGTGAGGAGTCAAGAACGTATAATTGGAGTATGTTCATACAGGGAGCAGAACCTGACACAGAACCTACAAAGCTCAGAGAGCTCAGGCTGTAGGAGGATCAAGGGGAAGGTACTGAATTCTCAAAAGGCTATGACCCTGTCCCAAATCCCAAATGAACCCAGATTAGTTCCCATCAAGTTTTGTCAACCCCTACAGAGCAGAAGGTTAAAAAATGTCATGTCGCTGGGTTCCCTGCAACGTTCAGCAGGAGTAAGGCTTCTTTGTTCCCTCTTTCAGTGGAAGAGAATGAAAAAAAAGCAGAGAGATTTCTAATTCTTTTGGAGACATAGGTTAATCCTGGCCTCTGCATCCTGCTCGCTGACCATCAAAAACTCAACATCTAAAATGACTGACACCTGTACAAAAGCCAGAAGACTTAAAGGGAAACTAACATAAATAAACAGGTAACACAAATTTTTATAGATCTTGCTACCAGAGATTGTTTTGTGTACCCAAGACAGACAAGATGAGAATTAGAGATGCCTAAGGAGAAGGTATACAGTGAGAAGGTTTAAGAACACCCACAGCACGATAATACCAAATATACTATGCCCTAAAATATTCTAATTGTGCCCAAGCACTTAACAGCATCTATGAAAGAAAACCGCACCTCCTTCTAGTAAATCATCTTGACACTGATTGACCTAGGACACAGAATTTAAAATGAACCACATAATCAAAATCACACTCATATTAGGTGATTGCTAATGCAATGTAAGGCACTGACAACATAAGACCATACGGATAATCTTTATTACCATTTCTAAATGACACATAATCCAAATGCTTTCTTGCCTGTAGTTACAATAATATTTTAATTTCATACTTTGAAGGCAGAAGGGTTTCATTAATAAGTTGCCTTTTTATTGCTAAAAGCTGTTAGAAAAGAGACATATTTTTAAACAGAAAAATGAAAATTACTTATAACATCTCTGACAGTGTTAAAGCTACAAAGATTTTGAAAGATGAGCCAGCATGACTCCTCTGGGCACTGACACCACCCCTCTCTTGCCCCGTGGGGATCATGATCATCCCTTCTAGAGCCTCTCTCCTCCCAGCTAGCCATGCTAGTTGAGCCTGGGTGTTCTCAACACATGTTCTGGACAGAGGCAGCACTGGACTCCATCTCCATAGCTGCACTTACAATAATACATTTTCTCTTCACTTCTGAATCTGCCAGATCACTGGAAAAACATTCTCAGGCCAGGTCTCCTCAGGAACACTGAAGTGGAGGACTGAGATCATTAGCTCCATAATTCAGGCAAAATGCCTTCTTTTTGCTTGAATTTCTTTGATTTGCTTTGGACTGATTTATGCCAGTAATTGCCTCAATATTCTTTTTTGTTCTGCCTATAAAGAGAAGCATTGTGAACTTTACTAGGCTTTCCTCTTTGCCTTTTCTTGCTTGAATTCCTCTAATCCTAAAGGTTAGGAAATGACAGGTACTGTGCTTCTTGTGTGGTTGGCTGGGAGGGATATATGTGCCAATAAAAGCTATGCTTGTACTGGAAAAATTCTTTCTCCCTTCTAATCCTCCACGTGCATAAACTAATTTCAGTGATGTCACACTCATCACTTAATTGCTGATCTTTAAGCACAAAAGAAGCCCTGTAAAGACTGTGAGAGCATGCTCAAATCAAACAGAGGTCCAGGCAGACACCACAACATTAAGCTCATATCCATAGGACATACTGTATGTCTGTGAACCACCTTCTAAACCCAGTTCTCAATGTCTTCTGCAAGCCTTCATGCATTAACCCTACACATTAGACACCTTTTTACTTTCAGCAGATGTCATAAACATGAATGTCTCCCTGGGACCAGGCAAGTAATATAAGTGGAGGAAGACAGTGTAAGACAATAAAGGGTTGTGGAGAGCTGGAGGGGAACAGTAACTCAGCTCCTGCACACTGATGCCCCATGGAGGTTCAAGTCATTTCAAGTTTCAGGAGAAACTAGACCCGACTTTATATCAACTCTTAATTTTTACGTGTTGTCAAATAATTCAAATTTAAAAATAAATCACTACACAGCCCAAATAAAGCATGTTTGTGGGCACTTTTGTTTTTCATCAATAACAGCACTTTGGAAATGTCATTGTATTGGAACTGAAGGAAGTTATAATATAATTATCACCAAATTGCTTTCATTTTCTTTAATTTTTAATTTTAATTTTTTATTTTTTGTTGAGACAGAGTCTCATTTTGTCATCCCAGGCTGGAGTGCAGTGGCACAATCTTGACTCACTGCAACCTCCGCCACCCAGGTTCAAGTGATTCTCGTGCCTCAGCCTAACAAGTAGTTGAGACTACAGGTGTGAGCCACCACACCCAGCTAATTTTTTTGTATTTTTGTATTTTTAGTAGAGGTGGGGTTTCGCCATGTTGGCCAGGCTCGTCTCAAACTCCTGACCTCAGGTGATCCGCTCGCCTCGGCCTCCCAAAGTACTGGGATTACAGGCATGAGCCACTGCGCCTGGCCACCAAATTGCTTTCAAATATACATCATCTATCACCCCCAAGTTCAATATGCTTTGAAAAAGTTTAAAAGTGCCTAGCCAATGCTTTACACAAAGCTGTTGACACAGGGACAGAAAGTGAGCACATGCTGTAGGAAAAACGGTGCTGACAGACCTGCTCCATGAGGGTTGCCACAAACTTTCAATTTCTTTCTTTCTTTCTTTTCTTTCTTTCTTTCTTTCTCTCTCTCTCTCTCTCTCTCTCTCTCTCTCTCTCTCTCTCTCTCTCTCCCTCTCTCTCTCCCTCCCTCCCTCGCGGGTTGCCACAAACTTTCAATTTCTTTCTTTCTCTTCTTTCCTTCTTTCTTTCTCTCTTTCTCTCTTTCTTTTTCTTTCTTTCTTTCTTTCTTTCTTTCTCTCTCTCTCTCTCTCTCTCTCTCTCTCTCTCTCCCTCCCTCTCTCTCTCTCTCCATGCAGGTTGCCACAAACTTTCAATTTCTTTCTTTCTTTCCTTCTTTCCTTCCTTCCTTCCTTCCTTCCTTCCTTCCTTCCTTCCTTCCTTCCTTCCTCTCTCTCTCTCTCTCTCCTCCCCTCCCTCCCTCCCTCTCTCTCTCTCTCTCTCTCTTTATTTTTGAGACAGAGTCTTGCTCTGTCACCCAGGCTGGAGTGCAGTGGTGCGATCTCGGCTCACTATAAGCTCTGCCTCCTGAGTTCACGCCATTCTCCTACCTCAGCCTCCCCAGTAGCCTTTCAATTGATTAAAAATACAATATACCCAAAAGAGCCATAAAGTGAAGCACAGTAAATCAATGTATGCCTGTACAGGTCAAATGCTTTTGTCCATAACTACAGATGGCTGAAAGGGTTACATCAAGAAAGAGACTCTGTTAGGATTGTCGATAAGTAATAGTTTGTTTCTCTCTTTTTCTTTCTCCCTCTTTTGAGCCTCCCGTTTCAGACCTTACTTTTTTCAAGTGAAAACTTGGAACACTATCAGAAAAGCTTTGTGAACTTAATGAAACAAAGTCTTTTGTGTAGGAAAACTAAAGTTGAAACAATTTTCTTTGCAATCTTATGTAAAGACACAAGTAAATTTATTTTCCATTTTGATTTACAACAAATGGTTTGCCGAAAATATTTTAATCTCCAATCTCCAAACTTGCACTGCATGAATCTCAAAGGCCCTTAGTAATTAAATTAAAGGTTCTTACGAATATCTATAAATAGATCATTAAAATTTAAAGAAAGGACTTGGTGGTTTCTAGCCTGGCATGAAAGGAGTTTGGAAGTCATAACTTTTTCCTAACAGTAAGTCAAAGCTGAAAAAACTGAAAATTAATAACTTTTCTTAGATTTGTTGGAGAACTGAGGCTACAGGGCAAACCACTGCCCCCCAAATTGGAGAGACCAAAAGGTAAATACAGAGAATCACAACTTACTGGAGCTGAACTTCATGAACAGAAACCTCTGTGAGAGCCAGAACCTAGCCAGGAAAACCTAAACTGTAGCTGACAAACTGCTGGAGCTCAGTGTGGACACATCTTAGAGGTAAAAACTCCAGGGGGAATTAGTTTTAAGGGGGCTCACACAGTTTTGTGAGTTTTACCTCCAGGAACCCTACCAGGTTTTCACAGAGAAGATTTGAGACAAATCCCCTCAGGCCTCCAGCAAGAAGCACTGGTAAGTAGCCACTCTGAAATACATCAGCAGTCAGCAGGTTTGTTCTGTTCTTAACAAAGCCTGCTCTTAAGAGAAGCTATGTGACATGGATGAAATTGGAAATCATCATTCTCAGTAAACTATCGCAAGAACAAAAAACCAAACACCGCATATTCTCACTCATAGGTGGGAAATGAACAATGAGAACACATGGAGACAGGAAGGGGAACATCACACTCTGGGGACTCTTGTGGGGTGGGGGGAGGGGGGAGGGATAGCATTAGGAGATATACCTAATGCTAAATGACGAGTTAATGGGTGCAGCACACCAGCATGGCACATGTATACATATGTAACTAACCTGCACATTGTGCACATGTACCCTAAAACTTAAAGTATAATAATAATAAAATTAAATTAAAAAAAAAAAAGAGAAGCTATGTTTACCAGTACCTAACCTGCCAGACTTTTGTCAGAGCCTAACTGACCTGGGGGAAGAAATACAACTCCATCCCACGTTAGCCATCCTATCCCAACTAACGGTGGGGGAGAGGAATAATGAGAAGTATTTGTGAAGTCCACAGTCCAGAGGCACAGGTTCACTATAGACTAAGACCTAATCATATGACTACAGAGTGCCTCCCCTCCCCCCACACCTTACACCATGTTACTAAAGGCCTATTTACCACAGTTCCTGTTACTCAATACACCATGTGTAGCTTCGCAAAAAAAAAAAAAAAAAAAAAAAAAAAAAAAAACACACAAAACAGTGTGAAGAGACAGAGCAAACAACAAAACCAGACTCTGATATGGCAGAGGCGTTGGAATTAACAGAGTGGGAATTTAAAACAACCACGATTAGTATGCTATGAGCTCTAATGTCTAATTGATAAAGTAGATAGCATGCAAGAACAGATAGGTAATGTAAGCAGAGAGATGGAAATTCTAAGAAAGCCAAAAAAGAAACGCTAGAGACAAAAAACGTTGTAACAGAATGAAAACGCCTGTGATAGTTCATTAGCAGACTGGAAATGGTTGAGAAAAGAATCTCTGAGCTTGAAGATTATCTCAGTAAAAACCTCCAAAACTGAAAAGAGAAAAAAGACAAAAACAAAAACAAAAACACACAAAATGTCAGAATATCCCAAAACCATGGGGCAACTACAAAAGGTGTAACTTACATGTAATGGGAATACAAGAAGGAGGAGAAAGGAACAGAAGAAATATTTGAAGCAATAATAACTATTTCCTAAAACTAATGTTTAAAGCATGTCATTTATCTTCCAAACATTTTGGATTTTTCCAGTTATTTTTCTATTACTGATTTCTAATTTTATGAAACCACAGATCCAGGAAGCTCAAAGAACACCAAGCAGGATAAATGCCAAAAAATCTACACCTAGTAATATCATATTCAAATTGCAGACAAAGATAAAGTCTTAAAAAAAATCCAAGGGGGGAAAACACGTTACTTACAGAGGAGTGAGGATAAGAATTACATTGCACTTCTCCTCAGAAACCATTCAAACAAGAACAAAGTGAAGTGAAATATTCATTATGTTGAAGGAAAAAGCCACCAACCTAGAATTCTGTGTCCTGTGAATTTATCCCTCAAAAGTGAAGGAAAAACAAAGACTTTCTCAAATACAAATTGAGGGAATCTGGGCCAGGTGCGGTGGCTCACACCTGTAATCCCAGCACTTTGGGAGGCCGAGGTGGGCAGATAGCTTGAAGTTAGGAGTGTGAGACCAGCCTAACCAACATGGTGAAACCCCATCTCTACTAAAAATACAATTAGCCGGGCATGGTGGCGCATGCTTGTAATCTCAGCTACTCAGAAGGCTGAGGCAGGAGAATCGCTTGAACCCGGGAGGTTGAGGTTGCAGTGAGCTGAGATCGTGCCATTGCACTGCAGCCTGGGCAACAAGAGCGAAACTCTGTCTCAGGAAAAAAAAAAAAAAAAAAAAAAAAAAAAAAATTGAGGGAATCAGTTGCCAGCAGATCTGCCTTCTACAAAATATTAAAAAGTTCTTCAGAGAGAAGAAAAATGATAGATCAGAAACTTGGAGCTACAAAGAGAAAGGAAGAACATGAGAGAAGGAATTAGTAAAAGTAAAATAAAACATTTTTTAAAATTCTTAATTGATATAGCAGAAAGAAGTTTGTTCAAAATAATAACAGCAACAAAGTATTTGATGATTATAGCTATAGACAAGTGAAATGAGTAACAGCAATAAGATAAGGGACAGGAGAGGAAAATGGAATACTTTGCTATTATAAGAACTTTCACTACCTGTGAAGTGGTACAGTGTTATTTGAAAGTAGACTTGGACTAGCTGTAAACATATGTGAACTCTAGGGCAACCACTGAAAAAAGTAACAAAACATTAAACTAATAAAGAAGACAAAATGGGATAATATAAAATGCTCCATTAAAACCAAAAAAGGCAGTAAAAGAACAGGAACAAAGAAAGAATAAGAGCAACAAATAGAAAACAGTAATAAAAAAAGATATCCAATGTTATCAATAATCATGTAAATGTCAGTAGTCTAAATATACCCGTTAGGCTATGCACTAGGTGGCTCACACCTATAATCTCAGCACTTTGGGAAGCAGAGGCAGGTGGACTGCTTGAGCTCAGGGGTTCAAGACCACCCTGGGCAACATGGTGAAACCCTGTCTCTACCAAAAATACAAAAATTAACCAGACATAGTGGCACACACCCATAGTCACAAATACTCGGGAGGCTGAGCTGGGAGGATTGCTTGAACTCAGGAGGCAGAGGTTGCAGCGAACCAAGATTGCACCAATTCACTCCAGCCTGGGCAACATAGCAAGACCCCATCTCAAAAAAATAAATAAAAAATAAACCAATTAAAAGGCAGATTATCAGATTAAAACACACAACTCAACTACATATGATCTACAAGAAACTTATTTAAATATAAAGACACATAGATTAAAAGTAAAGAGATGGAGAAAAATGTACCATGCTAACACTAATCAAAGGAAAACTGGAATAAGCTGTATTAAATTCAGACAGAGCAGACTTTAGAGCAAAAACAATTACCAGGGATAAAGAAAAGCATTACATAAGGATAAAAGGGTCAATTCTTCAAGAAGACATAAAATTTTTTAACGTGTATGCACCTATACCATAGTGTCAAAATATATGAGGCAAAAGGTGATAGAATTGCAAGGAGAAATAGATGAATCCACTACTATAGTTGGAGATTTCAACCCCTCTGTCAGTAATGGACAGCTCAGCAGGCAGAAAATCAGTAAGGACATGGCTGAATTCAAGAGCACCATCAATCAACTGGATATTACTGACATCTTAAGAATCCTTCATCCACCAGCAGCAGAATACACATTATATTCAAGTTCACAGGGTACATTCACCAGATAGACCGCATCATGAGCCATTAAACACAGCTTAACAAATTAAAAAGAATAGAAATCATACGGTGTCTGCTGTTAGACTACAATGGAATTAAATTAGAAATCAGTAACATGAAAATGGCTGGAAAAATCCCTAATACTTGGAAGATAAAAGATGCATGTTAAGTAAAACACAGGTCAAAAAAGAAATCTCAAGAGAAATTTAAAAAATATTTTGAACCAAATGAAAATTAAAATACAACTTATCAAAATTTGTGGTATGTAGCAAAAGAGGTGCTTAGAGTGAAATTTGTAGCACTGGATGCACATATTAGACAAAAAGAAACATCTAAAACCAATAATCTAAGCTCCCACCTACGGAATCTAAAATAAGAAGATAAAATTAAATCTAAAGAAGGTAGAAGAAAATAAAAAAAAATTAGTGCAGAAATCAATGAAACAGAAACAAGAAGTCAATAGAAAAAAATTAACAAAACTAAAAACTGGTTGAAAAGATTAGTAAAATTGATACACCTCTAGCCAGGCTAAAAAAAAAAAAAAAAAAAAAAAGAAGACACAGATTACTCATATTAGAAATGAAAGAGGGGACATTATTACAGATCCCATGGACATTAAAAGGATAATAAAGAATATTACGAACAACTCTATACCTACAAATTTGATGACCTGGTTGAAATAGACCAGTTCCTTGAAAGGTGTAATCTGCCAAAACTCACACAAGAAGAAACACACAATCTCACTAGGCCTATAGCTATTAAAAAATTGAGTCAATAATTAATAACCTTTCAAAACATGAAGTACCAGGCTCAGATGGTTTCACTGTTAAATTCTACCAAATATTTAAGGCAATCATACCAATTCTCTACCATGTCTCCCAGAACATAAATAGAGAATACTTCCTAGCTCATTCTAAAAGGCCAGCATTTCCCTAATACCAAAACTGAAGACATTACAGAAACAGAAAACTGCAAACCATAATTTCTCATGAAAACAGATGCAAAAATCTTCAACAGAGTATAGCAAATTGAATCCAACAATTTATAAAAATAATTATACACCATGGCCAAGTAGAATATATTTCAGGTATGGGAGGCTGGTTCAACATTTGAAACTCAAAAAATGCAATCCATCACATTGACAGGCTATGGAAGAAAAGTCAGATGGTCATATTAATAGATGCAGAAAAAGAGTTGACAAAATCCAATACCCAGTCTTGATAAATGTTTTCAGCAAAGTAGGAATAGAGGGGAACACCCCTCAACTTGATAAAAAAAAGATCTACTAAAACGCTATAGCTAATATTATACTTAATGTTGCAAAAATAAAAGCTTTCCCACAAATACCAGGATCAAGGCCAGAATGTCCTCTCTCACCAATACTTTTCAATATCCTCTTGGAAGTCTCAGTTAGCTAATGCCATAAGACAAGAAAATGAAAATATCAACAGGTTAAGAAGGAATGAATGAAACGCTCTTTGTTCACAGATGACATGACTGTCTGTGTAAAAAAATCTGAAAGAACCAACAAAATTAGCTCCTAGTACTAATAAGCAAATGTAGCAAGGTTGCAGGATACCAGGTTAATATACAAAAGTCAATACTTTCCTATATACCAGCAATGAGCAACTGTAATTTGACATTAAAGACGTAATACCATTTACATTAGCATCTCCAAAAGTGAAATAATTAGGCATAAATCTAACAAATACGTACAAAAAGTATAGAGGAAAACTGTAAAATTCTGATGAAAGAAATCAAAGAACTAAATAAATGAAAGATTTAATATTGTCCACATGTCAATTCTTCCCAAATTGATCTATAGATTCAGTGCAATCCTAATCAAAATCCTAGAAACTTATTTAGGGTTAATAACAAACTGATTCTATATGGAGAGGCAAAAGACCCAGAATAGCCAACACAATACTGATTAGAAAAAAGTTGGAAGATTGATACTACCTGACTTCCAGACTTACTATAAAGCTACAGTAATCAAGACAGTGTGGTATTGGTGAAATAAGAGACAAACAGATCACTAGGACAGAAGAGAGAGAACAGAAAGAAACCTACATAAATACGATCAACTGGCAAAGAAGCAAGGGTACTACAATGGACAACAAATGGTGGTGGAACAACTAGACATCCACATGCAGAAAAATGAATCTAGACACAGGCCTTACACCCTTCACAAAAATTAACTCAAAATGGATTATAGACCTAAATGTAAAATGCAAAACTATGAAACTCCTAGAAGATAACATAGGAGAAAATCTAGATGACCTTGGATATGGCAATGACTTTTCAGTTAAAATATTAAAGGGATAATCCATGAAAAAAAATGATAAGATAGACATCTTTCCAATAAAAATTCCTGCTCTGTGAAAGACACTGTCAAGAAAGAAGCCATAAACTTGGAGAAAATATTTGTAAAAGACATACCTGGTAATGAACTGGTATCCATAATGTTCAAATAACTCTTAAAACTGAACAATAAGAACACAAACAATGGGATTAAAAAATGGGCCAGAGACCTTGATGCCTCACCAAAGATGTACACATAGCAAACGAGCATATAAAAAGATGCTCTGCACCATATGTTATAAGGAAAATGCAAATCAGAACAACAAGATACCACCACACATCTGTTATAAGGCCAAAATCTAAAAAACACTGACATCACCAACTGCTGGTAAGAATATAGAGCAACAAGACTCCTCATTCATTGTTGATAGGAATGCAAAAGGACATAGCCACTTTGAAAAACAGTTTGGGCCAGGCACAGTGGCTTACGCCTGTAATCCCAGCACTCTGGGAGGCCAAGGTGTGTAGTGTGCCGGCAAAGGGATTGTGACTAGCTCAGCATTCCACTGGAGGCTATATGATCAAACAGCAAACTGTTTATCATGAATGCAGGATGTGGGCAAACTCAAACTGCTCCTGTCGCCAAAAGGTTTGCTGAGGACCATCACTTCCTGGTGCGGGACTCCTTGAAGTTATCTCCTGAGACATCTAGTACCCATTGTTCCAGGAATGCAGTCTCACAAGCCTGCTGTGAACCAAATGGCCGACTGACAATTACCTGACAACCACCACCCCCCTCCTTGCTATCTCTTTTGCCTAATAAATATGGAAGGCTGTGTACAGCTCAGGGCCCTTGTTCACTAGAAGCAAGGTGCCCCCTGACCCCTTCTTCCAAATATACTCTTTTGTCTTTGTCTTCTATTCCCACGTTCGTCCTCTTTTGTTCAGTCCAATATAGGGTCGTGGGGAGCTTCACAAAAGTGGGTGGATCATTTGAGGTCAGGAGTTTGAGACCAGCCTTGCCAACATGGTGAAACCCCATCTCTGGTACTTGCTACTTAGGAGGCTGAGGCAGGAGAATGGCTTGAGCCTGGGAGGCGGACATTGCAGTGAGCCAAGATCGTACCACTGCACTGTCACTGGGTGACAGAGTGAGACTCCATCTCAAAAAAAAGAAAAACAGTTTGTCAGTTTCCTACAACATTAACATATTCTTCCCATATGATCCAGCAGTTATGCTCCTTGCTATTTACCCAAAGGATTTGAAAACTTATGCTCACACAAAACCTCCATAGAGATGTTCATATAGCTTTATCCATAACTGACAATTTGGAAGAAACCAAGCTGTCCTTCAATAGGTGAATGGCTAAACTGTGGTACATTTAGACAATGGAATATTGTTCAGTGTTACAAAGGAATAAGCTATGAAGCCATGAACAGGCATGGAGGAAACTTAAACGTGTGTCACTAAGTGAAAGATGTCAATCTGAAAGGCTACATAATGGCAAAAAATGCAATTGCTTTTGCACTGACCTAATATTTTATTATTCCAACTACATAACACTCTGGAAGAGGCAAGACTATGAAGACAGTAAAAGGATTAGTGATTGTCAAAGGTTAACGGAAAGGGAGGGATAAACAGGCAGAGCACAGAGGAGGTTCTAGGCTGTGATCTTATTTATATGATACTATAATGAAGGATGCCTGTCATTATAGAGTTGTCAAACCCATAGTAGGTGCATTATGAAGAATGAACCCTGATGTGAACTACAGCCTTTGGTGATAATGATGTGGCAATAGAGCCTCACGGATTATGATAAATGAGGATACTGTGTGTGTGTGTTGGCAGGGGGGTGTTAGAACTATATGGGAACTCCGTATTTTCTGCTCACTTATGTGGTGAAACAAAAACTGCTCTAAAAATAGTTTATTAAACATTGCAATACTGTTTAGAAAAATAATTGGAGGGAGAAAAACTGTCATAGCTCAAAAACTGTAAAGTAGAATAAAGGTAGGACAGGAGAGAAATGCGCGCTGAATTCAAATTAAAGGAATGGTTATTATACTCTACTATTTCCTGAGTATTTCTTTTCTACAGTAAAAATGTTTAAAAGTATGAAATGGAAATAAGGGAAATGGAAGAAAAACCTCTTGGCAAGTTATTATGTTTATGATGGGTATGAATCACAACCGATAAAGAAACCATGGTGAAGAATGAACTCTTCAGTAATGTGTCCTATGGGAGAGCTGCAGGACAAATTGCTGCCAACTAGGAGAACAAATTGCCACCTGGCTGGAAGGAAGAAGAAATCACTCCTCCTCCAGTTTCCCGCTCTGAAACTGGACTGAGTGGCAATTGGGAGAGGAGCAGGATGGATGGGCCCGTCTGCCATGGGTATCAGTGGATTCAATATGGATGCTCCTCCCAGTCCTGGTCTATTGCCATTCAAGGTCACAGGCCATGGTTCCCCAGAGCCTGATTACCCCCACCCTCTGTGATAGACCCTGCCATGCTAGGTTATGTCAACAGATTGTCACTGGGGAAATGCTTATTAGCACTGAGCCAAAGATCACTGTTGGCCACAGAAAAGGTGTTTTTCAAATACTACAGGGATAGCAAAACTCATGGAAAGGTAAATCACATATAAACTAAGAATGAAAGGGTAAATGGCTCTTTGGTCCTGGCATCTACAATTACGTGTGTGCTTAGACTTAATTAAGGGCTGCAGTAGGAGCTGGTAACAAGAATAAGTGTTTATTTTTTATTAAAGAAGGGATGAAATTATTATTGGTTTAGTCAAACAATGCATATATTATACCAAATTACAAGATCCACTTAAATAAACCAGAATGAATAAGAGGTTGTCACATTAAAGATGGATCTGTAAGAATTAGCAGATCCTGTTGCATTTAAAGGTAAAATTTTAAGAAAGAAACATAGTGGTCTGATATTTAATTATTCCAATTCAAAAGAACCAGCACTGCAACAGTTGACAGAAATACAACATGAAAATAGTAATTACAAAAATTTATGTAGGGCTTCAGATTAGCCATGCCAGGCACTTTATGTTCATTAATTCGTTTAACTCTTACAAAAGCCCAATGAGGAAACTGCCATTATTATCCCTATCTTCCAGAGAAGGAAACTGAGGCACAGTGGTGCTAAGCTGTCCATGGCCACATGGCTAGAGAACTTTAGACATCTGGCATTATTTTCCCATGTTGAGATAAAATGATCCTGGGAATCTGGAATCTATTGGCATCACTAGCTACACTTATGGTTGCTTATGTCTGGACACTGTCCATAAAGTTCCCAGCTTGGACTTTATAGCTGTTGACTGAGGTGAAAGTGTTCTTCTAACATCGCTAACTGTATCATCACTTAAGAAGCCCACTCTAGAGACAACAAACTATGGCACACACTACCTACCCAGCCACTCTCTGTTCTTCATTCACTAGTTAACAGACATACATTTATCACAAAAAAACAGTTTTTTTTAAGACAAGTCAGGGTTTTTATCTTTGTTGGGCCTCTGTTGTAGAGTTCACCTCTTTACACCATGGGGTTATATCAAATGACAGACTGAAGGACTCTTAGAAAGGCTGATAGGCTAAAAAGAAACCAGACAGAAGGACTTGGATATGTATCTTCCTACCTCACCAAGTGAGAAACGGGTATGGGTTTTATTCACATATCGCTTTAGGCTACAACTTTATTTCAGATGACCTAGTGGTAACAACACCACACGATGAGTCACTGGTGAGGAAAGGTGTCTGCAAATGAACTTGCACCAGAGCAAAAGAAGCAAAGAGGTGTGTGGATCTCTTCAGCAAGTAACTGTCAGGATCTCTTGGTACATGTGTGTATACACACATATATATATAACCATGTGTACTTCATGTTGAAGAGGTTCAAATAATAGTCATATTATACAAATATAATAAAAATTAGTCTTTCTCAAACTTACAAGTTGAAAATCAAATATTTGGAAAAGATTGGCTTTCTTTTAAAACAAGTTGAAATTACATGTATCTATGATCACCTCAAAACCATGACACAAATGTCTTGCATGACTCTGAGATGATAATTAAATTACAATAAACAAAAGAATCATGATGATGTTATTTATGGCAACAAAATTCAAGGAATCATATGCTAAACCAACATGTGAGATAAAAAATACACCCAATATCCTTATATGTTAAATAATTTTTATTTTCAGAACTAAAAAATTAAGAAAAGAGCCTGCTGCTTTCTGGAGAGGGCACGAGTACCTAAAGTTTTCTAACTGTAGAGTGTTCAATGGATCAAAAGGAAACATTTTCCTACTCTTTAATTTCAAAAGAATCTCTGGTTAGTAAGCATTATCCTTACGTACTTGGAAGCCACTGTTTTTGTTCTTAGCCAACAGGTATTTTACTATGCTCCTGGGCAAACATCACGTGCCAGCTGGGTGAGGACAGGGCTTTATGCCTCTTCTGTTCTAACATCTCCTGTTAGAAAGTGCCTGGCATGTGGTAGGCGCTCACCAAACATTTGTTTGTTCTTATTCTGCTTGTCTGATTAATCTTAATACCTTACTTCCTGATCATAAAAAATATATGATAAACATAATCGTGCATAAGAGAGAGGCATGACAGACAGACAGACGGACACTGACTGATGCATGTCTAATGATCCTGAAGGTTCCAGCTCAGGGCTTGGTGACGACTCTCACATTTCATGGCTTGATCCTATGGTCTACCACTTTTCAAGTTGTTGAAAGAAAAAGACCTTGGAAGTTGAAAACACCTAACCACTTCATAGGTATATATATTTTAATTTCTGAATTTTTCTTTTTCTTTTTCTTTTCTTTTGAGACGGAGTCTTGCTGTGTCGCCAGGCTGGAGTGCGGTGGTGTGATCTCGGCTCACTGCAACCTCCACCTCCCAGGTTCAAGCGATTCTCCTGCCTCAGCCTCCCAAGTAGCTGGGACTACAGGCGTATGCCACCACACCTGGCTAATTTTTGTATTTTTTTTTTTTTTTTTTAGTAGAGTTTGGGTTTCACCATGTTGGCCAGGATGGTATCGATCTCCTGACCTCGTGATCCACCTGCCTCGCCTCCCAAAGTGCTGGGATTACAGGTGTGAGCCACCACACCCAGCCTATTTCTGATTTTTTCTAAATGATAAAGAGGAATATAAATACATATACACACACATATACACATATTTTAAAACAACTTCATTTATAACTTGAATTTAATGTTATTCATATGACAATATAACAGCCCTGGAAAAAAGCCTTTGGGTCGATCTTGAAATGCACTTAATCATCACTGTCTCTCATTATATATCTGGCTGGGGCACCTTCCCTAAGTCCCTTAGATATCGTTCCCACCAAGGAAAAACTTGTGAGCTCTGTTTCCTCCTTTCCCTCTCATTTTCTATCAGTCCCTGGGCCTGGAGCAGGAGTGCCCCATACAGATCAGTTCCACCGTGTCTTCAGCTGGGCTCCTCTGAACACACAGTGTGGCAAGACCTGCACATAAGAGGCATTCTGCCCTCCAATATCCACCTGCAAATAGATCCCTCCTGAAACAACACCCTCCACTTGGGAGTAACCCACAGCTCACGTGAGCGCCTAACGCCATTCCCCAAACCAACCGAAGATTTTTAAACACTGAAATAAGTCAGCCATAAAAATAATAGATGTAGTATCTGTCATCCTTAGTAATATTTTGTTTAGTTTTATTTCTCACATCACAGCAATATGAATCCAGAGGGGCTGGAACCGGTGACAGTGCAAGAAATATGAAACTGGTACAATCCATAGTCAAGCAAGATGGGAATCAAGTGACATTAGTGATAGTGGGTCCCCACTCACAGCTGGCTTATGCTGCTGAATTCCACATGTGCACATTATCTGGAAATTTAATGGTTTCAAAAATGTCACTCTGCAGCAAGATTAAATTGGTATACTGTTGATCCTCTATCAGACTATAAATATAAGTGAGAAAGAGAAGAATTTTTAATGCATGTCATATTGGAACACTACCTCCACTTTCCTCTTGATGATGTTTGTTAAACTCGCTAAAAAATTCTGGAATGTCTCTATGTAATAGAAACAAGGCAAGCCACTGATGTCTGCACATAGGACAATGGGGGCCTGATAAAATTGCATATTCTGGATCCCACTTTAAGCACTGACTTCATAAAATCCAAGTGATCCCTTGGATGTGCAGAATTAAGTATCCAAGCATCTCATAAACACAAAGGATGAAAATTTTTTTTAAAAAACCTTTCTATTCCAAGTTAAAAACATAGATGCTGATTAATTTATGTGTGAGTAAATACTTCCTGTTTGTTCAGGAGCCCTGGCAACTGGCATGGAAAGCAGTAACTAAAAGAGGTTGCTTCAGGTGCATGAATGATAACCCAGAAAAGGATGTCTCTTTTTGGAGGGCCCAGATCCCATTCACTGGGCAGAATGGTCTCCTGAAGGCATCCACCTACTAATCTCGAAACCTGTGAATATATTTTATTAGGTTGGTGCATAAGTAATTGTGGTTTTGCCATTAAAAGTAACGACAAAAGTCGCAATTACTTTTGCACCAATCTGGTACATTACTTGGCAAAATGAAATTAAAGCTGTGGTTGGAATTGAGGTTGCTAATAAGCTAACTTTAAAAAAGGAAGATTATCCTAAATTATCCAAGTGGGCCAGTGTTATCACATGACACCTTAAGAGGCAAAACAGCAGGTCAGAATGATGGGTGTGAGGAGCACTCAACCCACCCTTCCTGCCTTTGGAGATGAGGAAGGGGCCACAAGCCAAGGAATGCGGGTAGTCTCCAGAAGTGGAAAAAAGGCCAGGAAATGAATTCTCTCTTAGAGTCCCAGAAAGGAACACAGCCCTGCTGACACCTTGACTTTAGCCAAGCAAAACCTGTGTCAGACTTCTAACCTACTCAACTATAAGATAATTATTTTGCTTTAAGCCACTAGGTTTGTAGGAATTTATTTACAGCAGGAACAGGAAACTAATACAAGGCATATAATCAAACAGTGTTCAGAATTTTAATATTTTATTTCCTACAGGCATTTCTGTGGTCATTTGACTAACCATTTGGCTTTTCTAAAACACCCATCTATCAACAATTCTTCCCAACAAGGGCCTACATTTTCTTATTAATTTATCCTAAACAACTGTCACTTTATTGTAAAAAATGCCTTTTTCTCCTAGGAAAAATATAAAAATCACACTTTAAAAATCTTTAGATCTGATTCTGAATTTCTTGTTTCACAGATATAGATCTCAAGATGAACTAGCTATATTGCAGAACTTGAGTATACTGGTAGTGAAAGGTTCTTACTTGTTAATAAGAATGTAGAAAGCAAACGATTTGGCCTTTACATGCTATTTATTTGTGTTTGTATGTATGTGTGTGGGGGGGATATTGGGGGCTAGGTGGGAATGATGGGGAACAGAAGGGATTGCTTTTTCAAAAATTAAAATGAAGTCTCAAAAGCATCACCAAAGTTGTGTTATGTTAACGGAGTGATGCATTTTTTTTTTAACCACACATTTGCCAACATTTGCTATCTGTTACAGAAACGTTCCTCAATCTGATGGGTGAAAAGATGGCATCTTATAATTTGTTGATTTGCATATACTTGATTATATGTGAGGTTTCACATCTTTTCAAATGTTATTCAGCCTATATTCCTACTCTGTAGTTGTCTGTTTATATATTATATCCCTTTTTCTATTGGGTTGTTATTGTTTGTTGATGTCTACAAATTCATTATATTTAGGCTACTGATACTTTGACATATAAGTATTAGAAATGTTTTCTCCTAATCTATAGCTTGTTTGAAATTTTGTTTATGGTTATCTTTTGGTATACAGAAATTTATAATTTTGATATACTCAAATGTATCAATTAAGTCTATTATGATTTTAGGACGTTCCCTACCCTGAGGTCATAAAGATATTCTCTTATATTTCACTATTTACCAATGGTCTTTCTCTGCTTAGTGAACACAGACAAAGGGGATGAGTTAGCTGCTGGCATGTCAGGTAAGCAGACAGCAGGGCTACCGATGGTGAAAGTGGCTGATGTGAGCCTAGAAGCAACGGCTGACCCACTTCAATGAGCTCCCCTTGTGGTCAGATTGTGGTCTCTAAATGCCATTTTCCAGTAAAAGAAACCAGGGTTTATTAGAGAAATGACTGATTCCAGCCATGGGGCAGACAATACAGAAGATGAGCTAAGAACATCCTGTTGTACCAGAAGCTCTCCAAAGTTTTGGGGTTATGTTAAAAAAAAAAATACAAGAGACAACTTGAATGAACTCCTATTGGCCAAAGGTGAGATACTCTGAACATCCAAACAGTAATTACTCTAAAATATTCAAACATATCACATATGTTAAAATCACTGATAATGACACTACTGGTCATCTTACAAAATCCTAAGGCACCAACTCATTCTGAAATTGGTAAATAAGAAGAATAAACTTCAGACATTTATCTTGAGTTTCCTATATGAACTGCATTTCACAGTAACCTAGCAGGTGAGTAGAGAATGACACTTAATAAATACAGAAGGAATGACAGAATTAAGATGTCACCATTTTGAAATCCCTAATAAAATAATGTATCAGGCAATCATCACCAGTAGCTTAAAAAACCATTAAGTGAAGGGCTGATGTGGAACTTTAAAATGGATGGATGAGGTTGGCAAAACTGCAACTCGCTAATCAAGTTCAGCCTTATATGCTTCCTAATGTAATGCAAGAGGAAGTACAGAACACTACTTATGAAAAATTCTTACCAAAATAAGAAAGTTGAATCAATTAATCCTCTAGTGCTAGCCCCAGTTCACAGCAAGTCCAGATAACTGAGGGACGCGTTAAATGACAGCATAAGAATGCATCAGTGAGTTTGGAATGTGGGGGAATTCTACAGGATGAAGGGTTTATTCAACAAATAAGTAAGGTAGGGATGAACCATATTATGCCACATAACAAATAAGGAATCATATATAAAAGGTTATGTGACTTGCCCTGGGTCACAAATGAATCAAGTGTGGGATCAGAATAAAAATCCAGGTCTCTGTTACTTTTATTCATTTTTTTCCCCAATACATTCTGACCAGGATGGCTGGCTTGACAAGCTGAGTCAGAACCAGCTTTCAAATGGGCAATCTGGTTTTTCCAAGTCTCAATGGCAATCTGTAGAGAAATGAATTGAGATGCACACGCCATATGAAGCCACTGAAGAGACTGTTCCAAATGTATAGTTCAAAACATAACAATAAGGCTGATTTTTGAAAACAGAAATATAGCTGCACTTGTAATTGAGTGTTTCATCCTGAAAGAGGGTTCTCCTTTTCCTCATTGACTGTCTTTCCCCTTTTCTTGTGATTGAAGAGTCACAAGATTTAAATAAAAAGAGAAAACTGGAGCCTACTCAGGTGGCAGTTGCATGATTCTTAGAAGCAAATGACACAGACACAAAAGACATTTCCTGCAATGTACAGCAGACTTTCAAATTATCTTTCTCTAACTAATTAGCATTGTAGAAAAGTGGGGTTTCATCATTAAAGAAGCCATCTGCTTATCTGGGAGCTGTCTAGCCAAAAGTGCTGGCAACTTTCAAGGAATACCTACCAAGCAGGTACTGTACTTTCTTTTGATTTCTGAAGTGAGGAGAAAGACTCTACCATACTTCTCCCCAACCCAAGGAATTCAAACACAATGACCTAGTCTGTGTCATGCAATGGATGAAGCTTTTCACTCACATCAAGAGTTAAGAGAGAACACTAGGAAGAAGGTACTCGAAAGCTCTCCTTGTATATACTATACATACCAAGAGAAAATTTATGGTTTTGCTTAATTTCTCAAACACCTATCACTCCCCCCACCATATTAAATGTTATGAAAGCTGATATAGATTGGCGTTCGACATAAACCACAATTCCTAAACTGTGTGAAGTGTTATCTTGAGCAGTCTGAACAGCTTAGACTTCTGTGGGGAGAGGACAGCAAAACTGAGCCCAAAGCATCTTCAATCAGGTGCAAATTTCTTTTTCAATCATGTAACTTTGGACTGCGCTGGTGGCTGGTGATAGGCATGCTGCACTGCGGATGGGTCTGTCCACTCACTTTGTCACAAGGAGAGCATTCGGCCTTTCATTCTGCTCATGATGCTTGAAGACATACTTCTTTGAAAATAATTCTTAGTCCTTTAAAAATAAGTAGTTCTTTAAAAAATATCTGTAATATTTGAGGTTGACTTAGATGAACAGAAAATAGAAAAGCCTTTTGTTAATCTATCCAACTTTAGGCCACTGACTTGATGTTTCCTTAACATTTCATTTTGATAAGACACAAGAATTAACTCTTGACTCTTAGAATTACTACCACATGGCTATGCATTTCAGTTTATTTATAATTAGTCAACCAGTTTTTATTTATTACTTATTTATTTATTTTTGAGACAGAGTCCCGCTCTGTCTCCCAGGCTGGAGTGCAGTGGTGCGATCGTGGCTCACTGTAATCTCCACCTCCCAGGTTCAAGCAATTATCCTGCCTAAGCCTCTCGAGTAGCTGAGACTACAGGCATGTGCCACCACGCCCGGCTAATTTTTGTACTCTTAGTAGAGACGGGGTTTCGCAATGTTGACCAGGCTGGTCTCGAACTCCTGACCTCAGGGTGATCTGCCCGTCTCAGCCTCCCAAAGAGTTGGGATTATAGGTGTGAGCCACCACACTAGCCTATTATTTATCTATTTTTGAGATGGGGGGTCTCACTATATTGCCCAAGCTGGTCTCGAACTCCTGGGCTTGCAATCCTTCTGTCTCAGCCTTCTGATCAGCTGGGATTAAAGGTGCAAACCACCATGCCCAGTTCAAAAAATGCTTAGAAAACCAAATAAGGCATAAGCTGCCTATAGTGAAACCCTGGTGTCATTCTGTGGAATGCCTTGGAGGCAAAGCTGAGAAGTGGGTACATAATTCTTAGACAAGGAAAGTCCTGCTGAGCAGGAGAATAATATGACAGACATTACATTTTAGGAAAACTGATTTTCCCTTTTCTCTTACCTCCTTCTACCTCCATTAACCATTCTCTGTCCCCGCTCAGATGAAAACTTATTTCAATGAGTAAATGGCAATCGGAAGAGATCCCGTCCCCAGCCCCCATACTCTGTCAGTTCCGGCTTTCCTTATGAAAGAGATGGAAACTTTGTAAAATCTTGGTTTCCTCATATGCTTGACAGAGAAAGCATGTCATCTACTTTGTAGGGGGTTGATGAAAATGAAATGAGAATACATGTAAAGCACAGTTCCTATACCTGGTAAGGACTCAACAGATAGGAGGGAAAAATGAGACAAAAACTTTCCCTAATGGCTTAATTTTGTTTTAAACAGCACTGTGATTTCTTCTTGGATATCTGGATACCCATGAAAGGTGTCTTTTCCAGTATTCATTCTGTTAAATCAACCAAAATCTGGCCTGAAAAAACCTCCATATTTGCATACTTGAGTTCTTATGGACAAACCACAACTTATCTTAGCAGGTCAGTGTTAAAAGAAAATCTTTAGCCAAATTAAATGTAATGGAGTTTAACTGAGCAAAGAATGATTCTTGAATTGGGCAGCCTCCCAAGCCAAAGTAGGCTCAGAGACTCCAGTGCAGCTACGTGGTGGGAGACAATTTATGGACAGAAAAAGAAAAGTGAGGTACATACAGAAAACTGAAGTGAGGTACAGAAACAATGAACTGGGTACAGTGTGGTATTTGCCTTGCTTGAACCCAGTTTGAGCAGTTGGCCACCTTTGGCCAAGACTTGGTGATTGGCACAATCACAATCATTGGTAGGTTACAGTCTGTTTAGGTTACAGTTCACTATGCACAGGGAAATCTGTAGGCCAAAATTAAAATATGTAAGGAGGAAGGTTTAGGCTAAACTTGATTTAGTATCAGCGGACTGAAAACCTGAGCTAGGAGTGTGCTTCTGTAACAATAGCCGAGCCCCAGACAAACTCAGCACCAGACTTCATCCACTCACAGGCAAACAACTGTTCAAACAAGGCAAATGCCAGGCTGTAACCAATGGAGCTGTTGTACCTCACTTTTGTCTTCTGTGTGTCACTTTCGTTTTTCTATCTATAAATTTTCTCCAACCTCATGGCAGCATTGGCTCTCTCTGAATCTGCTCTTATTCTGAGGGCTGCCTGATTCACTAATCATTTTTCCTTGCTCAATTAAACTCTGTTAAATTTAATTTGTCTAACATTTTTCTTTTAACAATCCATTCAACATTGCATAAGCATCCCCTGTGAGCTCAGCACTGGGCTAGGTACTTGGGATGCAGGGTGACAATGACAGCCCTGGCCTCTGAGAAACTCACAGGTACTGGGATAGACGGCATGTGAAACCAACCCCCACAGCGACAACAATACAGGCTCCACAAAGTGCCAGGGAACACAGGGAAATGGGTGAGTAAACTTTGGGTTATAATTTGGATAATGCTTTTCTTCATGACCATTGCTATCCTAGTCTTCCTTGACAAATCCCTCCAATCATATTTGCAAAATAAACACCCTGTCAAATCTGCAATAGTTTAGTGGGAGGAAAAACAGAAAAAAAAAGAGACTTCAAGTCTAAGTTGTATCAAGTGCCTCTATTTTTCAAGGGCAATCACTTGACTATTATTTCATCTGATTATTCTCATTTTGTTCACTGAGATCTTACCTCATAAGGGTTTTGTACAGTCTGTTGATGAAGAAACTGCCCTCATGCTGATGGATCTCATGAATGATTATAAAGGAGATGTAGGGTTTAATAACATCCATCAGCACATAAATGCTTACATTTAGCTCAAAGAAAACTTAGGTATTAAGAGCATCGATTCAATGTAATTCAATGGTAATTGAATTAAAGGTAATTCAATGGATGACCAAAGAAAACACCCCTATTACAAAGCAAACCAGCAATTACAGACACAGGTGTCAAAACAGATACCCAAGAGTTAGATTAAGTCTTGGCTCTTTTTCTCAAAGGAGTCTTATTCAGGAGGAACTACAGCTTTCCTAACTCTTTCCTAATAAGCTTTCCTCACTTAGTGGATCCACCCACCACACACTGTGTTTTATCTTGATTCTCTCCTTGACAACTGGTTTTAAGTGGGACAGGTTCACATAAAGAATGCCCCAATCCTGCTGGTGGAGGCATACATTTCTCAGCCTTTTCAAAATAGCAAAAGAAAAATGAATCCCTTTGTGGGATATATGTGTGTGTATGTGTGTTGAAAAGTAAGAGTATCTTATGACTGTTCTGTGCTATGTAAAAGAACTCTGATAAATGGCTTGCATTATGTAATGTCTGCATGCTCAAAAAAGCAAGTTGGTACACAGTTTGAAGGACATAAATTCAGAAGCACTAAAAATACTTTAAAGTTCGGAAGTCATCACTCATAGTTTCCACATCTTCTTGGTCTTGTTTTTTCCTTCATCTCTAATCTTTTATCTCCTTCCCCTTTAATTCTCACCATGTTTCTTCAGCAATTTCATTAAAATTTGCAATTCTTTATAATGATCTAGTGATTGTACCATGCGGTAAAAGAAAATCCTAAGCTCCCCACTGACTTGTAGCCAAGAGGAACTCAGAAAAATCTTAAAAATTTTCCTGAGTTCCTGGATGTGATGGGGAGGTCAGACACACCTCGTTATAGCGCCCCCTTTTGGAGTTTAGGCACAATAATTGACCAGCATTAATGTTAAAATAGAGATCATAAGATTGACTAAACATACTCTTTGTGGTAATGATATATCAAATTATAAACAATACCTAAGGCAAGGGTTAAGTCATGCCTGCAAGCCACTGCTTTTGTTAAGCAGGTCATATTGTGGCTGACTCTGACATAGCATGCTTATCTTAACTTAAAACATTCCTTTCTGCTAACTCCAAGTTTTTAGACCAAGTTTTGTTCCTTTAACCAATTGCAAATTAAAGAATCTCTGAATCCATCTATTGACTTGTAAGCCTCCACCTCAAGATATCCCACCTTTATGGGCTAAACTAATCAATATCTTCCATGTATTGATTTATGTCTTTGCCTGTAACTCCTTCCTCTCCAAAATGTAGAAAACTGTAATCTGACTCTCTTGACTTTGTCAGGATCTCTTAAGACTGTTTTTCCTTGGGCCACGGTTACTCATATTGACTCAGAATAAGTTTTTTTTTTTTTGAGATGGACTCTTGCTCTGTCACCCAGGCTGGAGTGCAGTGGCCTGATCTCGGCTCACTGCAACCTCTGCCTCCTGGGTTCACGCCATTCTCCTGCCTCAGCCTCCCGAGTAGCTGGGACTACAGGCGTCCTCCACCACGCCCGGCTAATTTTTTGTATTTTAAGTAGAGACGGGGTTTCACCATGTTAGCCAGGATGGTCTCGATCGCCTGACCTCATGATCCACCCGTCTCGGCCTCCCAAAGTGCTGGGATTACAGGCGTAAGCCACCGGGCTTGGCCAGAATAAGCCTCTTAAAAATCTTTTAGAATTTAGTTTTTCCATTAACAGAGCACTGGTTCCTAAATGTACTCTAAGGTAAGCATCAGGAGATTAGAACTTGCATAAACACTGAAGCTAGAAACAATGCCTTCACTGGAAGCAAGGGGACTTCCCACGCCCTGCAAGTCTCCAGGATGTACTGCATGATGCAGAGAGCTCCATCAGTTTCCCTCCACACTCTCAGCCCTCTCTGGAAAGAAATCCTGGCTATGATCATTCATGGAGAGGTTTTATCTTCCTGAGTTCTAAGAACCAAGAGTTACTACTCTTTTCCCAAGAACATGTTCTGAAAAAGTAGCCAAAGAACCTAAATTCAACTTATTCTTTGGGGGCATCACACCAGTGTTCCATGCAAGAACTGCCAAGAGAAATGTCAAGGCGGGCACTGCTCCTTTGTATGCGTGTAAGTTTTAAACATGTAGAAGGTTTTGACAACCATTACCCATGCTTCATGCACAAAAGTAGGAAAGGAGAAGACAGAGGGCAATTGAGAATCAAAAAATCTCTTTCCTTTGAGCGCTACACTGACCCTCTCCCATGGCTCCCCTTGTCCCCCAAGAGTGCAACAGATAATCTGCTGTTTATTCAAAACCACCTACAGAAGTTAATAGACAGTTATAAACTAATTGAGTGCCTCTGTGGTGCTGTCTCCCCATTCATCTTGCTTATTCAATTTAACTCCCTTAGTCTTCCACAAGGCACAGTGTCCCTGCTGCTCCCAATAGTTGCTTGCTGCAAGAAAGGCCCTAGAACAACAGGAAGCTAATAGTTTAACCGTTCTTCTAAATTTGTTTGACAAAACTGACATTTAGTGCATTATGTCACGTTGTTGGTAATCTGCAATTTACCCCTGGGCGTGCAGTGGATGCTCATTTTATTTACCTCTCATAGTTAAAAGCGTAATTAATATTCCACTCTGTAACAAAGATTAGAGATTTGACAAACATTGTAATTTAAATTCTCCATTATAGCAAACATTAAAATCAAACATCTTCCACACGCCCCACTGCATAAAGGACATGTGTAGCTGTAATTTAACTTTTTAGTTTTTAATACCACAATCTAATTTCTGCTGTCAGTTTAATGAGCTGGAAAACACAAATCTTGTTGCTCTCTATGTGGGAACGGGCTGGGAGAACTGAACCGAAGGGTAACAGCACACCAATTTCTTTCAAAACATATTTCTAAATGTGCCAAGCAGATTGTATTTCTGTAATCTTGTAAATACAACGCGATACTATGGATCCCTGATACCATGTTAATGGTTAAAAAAAAGTGCAAAAAGAAAACATTTCAAGAAAGAAACAAAGAAATTAATCTGGCATTTTCTGAAGTAAAGGTGTATACGTGTAGTGATGTACGGAAATATATGAATGCTGACCACAAACAAAACAAAACAACACAAAGCCTCACTGGGCATACTGAGACTCAGCTATGAGCAAAGTGGTCTTTACTATGTAAATTGGTGACATGGAGTCATTTCCAGGGCACTAAAGGTGGAACAGTGTAGCCAGCCTGCGGAAGGAGTTATCAAAGAAACAATATAACCATTCTAATTTTCCCTGGTATCTCAGCTTCATCAATTTTATATGACTGATTAAAATTGCTATGTAGAATACCTTTAGGCAGCTAAAACGGCTCGTTAAACAAGGAAGCTAGCTGGGAATTACCAGTAATGTAACGAATTTGTATACTAGGAATTTGATGTCTTTAGAAAGAATGTAGGTGGAATATCTGTGGTTAAATTCCCCTCCTCCATCAGAGCTGGGCACAGGGGGAAGAAGGAAGAAATGCCTAGACCCCAGGGGCTCGGGTTCCTCTGCTCTTCCTTCTTGATACGCAGAAACCTACTGACTTGCCGACTTATGCGCAAGACTTCATTAGTCACTGCCAACTTCAATCTGTTTCAGTTATTTTACATTCAGATCCCAGGAGGATGCGTACTCTCTGCTGCAATTTCAGGCTAAACCAAAGATAAACTGATTCACTTTAGAAAATGACAAGCCAGCATGTTCCAACTTAAACTAACATCTCACAACACAGAAGAAAGTATGTGTAAATATTATTAACCTTGCCACAGTATTAAATGAAAGAGATAGAAATTTCTAGGGAAGAGGGTTTCAAAATGGACTAAGAGTTACTCTACGCGAAGCTATTTCCATAAGCAACATGGTTCTAAAGTTCAACACCTCCATTTCCTTTAAACCAGCATATATGCAAAAACCCTCCTTCAACAGATTCTCCAGAGAGGGAAACCTTGCACTCTCTCAAGAATCCCATCAGCTTCACTGGACGAGTTACTTGATTACTCTTGCTGAATATTAACAGCATATTGGTTAATAGCATTTAAAATAAAAATATTGGTCAAAAAGAGCATCTACTTCTGTGAAATACATGTAATTTCCCACAAAATGCCTAGGCATGCCCCATGGAAATAATATGTTACCATATGTCTCAGAGAGAGTATGTCAACAGTTGAAAGAAAAACAAAAAACAAAATTTTTGAAAGGGGTAACCAAATGAAAGTTTTGGTCTTTCAGAAAAACAAAACAAAATAGGAAAAATGATCAAAAATAAATTAAAACAGGTGTATTACCACCCTGATCACAATGAATGAGAGAAAAAGTATTGAAAACAAAGACATCAGCAGAATGTGTTTTCTTCGCCTTACAGGATGAGCAATAACAAGTTTTACATATCTGAACTGCTATTACTGTTATATGTAGATATGACAGACTGTGGTTCTAGAATTGAACAAGTTATTTGTTATTGAGATTAATTAAAATAGGATGCCATGATCCCTTTCAAACAAAAATTCTTGTTATTCAAAATTTTAGTGCACAAAAATGTATACCCCCACATATTTGAAGTCATTGGGACAATTCCAGATACAGAGGATATGCATAAACAGACAATCTTGTTGGAAAAACGTTAAAGAAAAAGAAAAAAGAGAGAGAGAGAACCGGGGTTAGAAATAGAATGACCAGGTTTTTATGACTTCCATGAAAAGAAGGGAAAAAATAAAAAAAATTAAAGAAATACGGGTTTTTGCAACAAAACCAATTAATATGAAGGGAAAGGAGGAAGACAGAAAGAGAACTGCACTCTCCTGTGAGAGGCCCTTAGGCCTGTGCTTTAGCAGGAAGGAATCACAGATAGAGCTTAGGCTAGGGAAACCTGGTTATTGACAGACAGGGGGCTGGGTTAAGTGAAATAGGTTAAATGATGGTTATTCCAAGCCTTCTTTCATTCAAAGCAGCCCGGTTACTCTGCATCTCAAGGAACCAGATAAGAAGCAATAGCTGCCTGGTGTGGTGATCCTGTAATTGCAGCACTTTGGGAGGTCAAGGCAGGAGGATCCCTTGAGTCCAGGAGTTCAAGACCAGCCTGGGAAAAATAGGGAGACCTGGTCTCTACAAAAAATGAACGAAAAAAAGTAGCTGAGCCTAGTGGCATGAGCCTGTAGTCTCAGCTACTCAGGAGACTGAGATGAGAGGATCACTTGAGCCCGGCGGGTATGGGCTGCAGTGAGCTGAGATCATACCACTGCACTCCGGCCTGGGCGACAGATCTTGTCTCAAAAAAAAAAAAAAAAAAAAAGAAAAGAAAGAAAGAAAGAAAAAAAAGCACTAGGTAGGACTTAAGGAAAGAATTAAGGCAAGGAGAGAAAGAATAACTGAGTCTTAAAACCAGAATGACTCTGAACAATTGTCTATCACAACAGACACATGGGAAAATAGGCATATTTCCAGAAATAAGGGAGATGCTTTTATAAGTATCTTCATGAAATTTTGGAAATGGCAGATTCTTGAAAAGTTTCTGCCAAGCAGGAGATGGTAAATACGAACTACTGAATAATATTTGTTATTACTATTTTAAAATATGTTTATACAATTGGCGGACTGTTTATGTGGTGCTTCACCTTTATTGTATTATGTGGAATGAAGAAATAACTATTTTCGGGTTCTCACAGGTCACCTATTGCTATTGCTTCCCAATGTTGTCCCTCAACCATGAATTTTCCTATTTATTATTTTTCAGAAACCCAGTTCTGGATGTAGGGAAGGTATTTTTTAAAAGTATGACTGTTATATTTTATCCTATTTGCTAGAGTTAATAATGTGGTCAAAATGGTGTCAAAGATAGTCAAGCTTAGTCCTATGGAAAAGTGGATTTAAATCATTATCAAGGATGGCCAGGCGCAGTGGCTCACGCCTGTAATTTGGGAGGCCAAGGGGGCAGATCACTTGAGGTCAGGAGTTTGAGACCAGCCTGGCCAACATGGTGAAACCCCATCTCTACTAAAAATACAAAGATTAGCCAGGCACGGTGGCGGGTGCCTGTAATCCCGCTACTCAGGAGGCTGAGGTAGGAGAATCGCTTGAACCTGGGAGGCTGAAGTTGCAGTGGACCGAGATTGCGCCATTGCACTCCAGCCTGGGTGACAGAGAGAGGCTCCATCTCAAAATAAATAAATAAAATCATGATCAAGGATGTTCTGAATTTCGTATTAGAAATACAAACCAACTATTGAAAACTTAGGCTGGATTTAAAACTTCAAAGAGACAGGGTCACTGCAGATAAGAAGAAAAACCCATTAATAGATAAAGAAAACATAGAATACTATAACATAAAAAACTCTCACTTAATGAAACCTAAATGTTCTTTGCCATCATCGGTAATAACTAAACTTTTTAAAAGAATTTAATAAATGAAATTGGAAACACCATTGCTCAAATTTTCAAAGCTGTGGTTCAGAAATTGCTACCTAATATTGTCACTATGTTGCTATAGATACAACACCAAACAGAAGCAGACATTTATAGGAATCCAGAGTCATAATTTTTTAAAAGTTTTCTAAAATTTAAGTTTCAATTTCTTGCAAAACAAGTTTTTATAATAGCTTTAGGGGAACAAGTGGTTTTTGGTTACATGGATAGCAATGAAGTCTGGGATATTAGTGCACCTGCCACCAAAACAGTGTACACTGTACCCCAATAGGCAGTTTTTCATGTCTCACTCCCCTACCTGCCCCCCTCCGAGTCTCCAATGTCCATTATACCATTCTGTCTGCTTTTGCGTACCCATAGCTTAGCTCCCACTTATAAGTGAGAACATGTGGTATTTGGTTTTCCATTCCTGAGTTACTTCATTTAGAATAATGGCTTCCAGCTCCATCCAAGTTAAAGCAAAAGACATTATTTCATTCTTTTCTATGACTGAGTAGTAGTCCATGGTATATAAATATTTCTATAAATATTATTTATCCACTCATCGGATGATGGGCATTTGGGCTGATTCCGTATCTTTGCAATTGTGAACAGTGCAGTGACAAGCGCATGCATGCAGGTGTCTTTTTGATATAATGATTTATTTTCCTTTGGTTACATACCCAGTAGTGGGACTGCTGGATCGAATGGTGGATCCACTTTTAGTTTTCTGAGAAACTGGAGGTCATAATTTCATCCAGTGACCACAGTGAGACTTTCTGCACTCTTCAGAGCTTTCATGTGCCCTTCATGAAGGGCTGTTGCTGTAGGATCCTGGCTCTCATTCCACCAACTGTCACCACCAGAAGCCCTCTGTGGGTGTGAACTGACATCTCAATTGTGGGAGAATTCTAGTAGCTTTGGGAATTCTTTCTCCATTATTTTCTGGGCCTGAATTTATAGCATGATTTAACTAATCCCCATCCTAAAGTTTCACCCATTCAAAAGTAGTATAAACACGGGTGACCGTTAAATATCTGAACCATTGGAATCTTCTCTTGATGACTTTTGTCATTTGTGAAATATCAAAAGAATGCTGACAAGGAGTCCAGTTTATGAGATTGCACATTACCTTCTGCAGCCTGTTCTCCTCTGCAATGCCAAGGCCTTACCATATCAAGGTCATGCTGTTACCTTTCGTGTGCAAGAATGATCCTCACAGAATATACTTAGCGTAAGTGGCCTCTGTTATTTTTGTGATTAAACATCTATAACAAAAAACTGTAAACCCTATGATGAAATGTTCATGACTCACAGGCAAGTGGACAGGGTGCCCCATCATGCTGTGCATCAAGCTCTGTCCGTCACATCATTCTCGACAGTGCTGCACGTTATTTGGCAGGAACCCAGACTAAACATACAAGAGCTTGAGTTCTCTATTTTCAGGCTGGTCTTCTGGAATACTGCATGAAACCCAGCAGATGAGGAGTTGGCCTAAAGGTGGCTAGGAAGAATGTTCATAAGATCTGAAGAAGGAAATTGGAATGGAGACGGGTGGTGGGTAGGGGGAGGAGACAGACAATATGCTTTTGTTTTATATTTATACAATGTACACATTAGTTAAATTTTTAGAAACCAGGTCTCACTCTGTCACCCAGGCTAGAGCGCAGAGGTCAGTCATAGCTCACTGAAGCCTTGAAATCCTAGGCTCAAGTGATCCTTCTGCCTCAGGCTCCTGAGTAGCTGGGACTACAGGCATGCACCATCACACTCAGCTAATTAAAAAAATTTTTTTGCAGAGACAGGGTCTCGCTATGGCACCCAGGTTGGTCTCTGACTTTTGGCTTCAAGCTATCCTCCTGCCTTGGCCCCCCACAAAGCACTGAGATTACAGGCATGAACAACTGTGTCCAGCCATAGATAATTTTATAATTTCTTACATATGTAAATATGTCATTGTTACATACATAATTCTCGTGTGTGTGTGTATACACACACACTGGGAGTGACAAAGGAGCATTAAATTTATAATTAAGAAATAATAATTACTATTACTAATCCTCAGTAATGAAGAAGGCAGTTTCTAGGCCTGTTGGTAAGTGCATTACCTGCAGGCCACACCTGTATTGCCGCCTCTGGGGTGGCACTGGCACACAACATTCTCTCCTTGGACCTGCCCATTCCTCACCTGCTCATCTGTCTGTCCAAATTTCCGTTCATGCTTTAAGACTTTTCCTCTTGGAAGCCATCTTGGTCCTCCTTCCTACCAGGCACAGGCACCTGGTCCTCTTTTGCAGTCCTGACTTGAACTGTTTGAGATGACAGTTTCTTTTTTTTTATCTTTGCCCATTCATTCAACAAAGGTCTTGACATCTTCTGTCCTGGTCTCTCTTCTCACCCAGCTCACCCTACAGCCAGTCATGCCCATCATTCCCTCACAAAACCCTCAACTCCCCAGCTTACCCCTGACACCTGGTCACAGCCCTGCACCGAGTCCACTCCCCTCTGGCTGGCATAGCCATGCTGACGAGTGCATGGCCACAGCCTCCAGCGAGCCCTCCATGCTGCCTGGGAGTTGTGCTGCCCTTCCCAGTCCATTCACCCTTCGTTTCCACAACAGAACAATTTCATGCCTCCCCCTCTGTCTTCAGATCTCCCACTCCACATCTTCACTCTCAGCTGATGACCTTGCTTCCTGTTTCATTGAGGAAAATGAGTCAATCAGAAGAGACCTGGCTGGGCACGGTGGCTCACGCCTGTAATCCCAGCACTTTGGGAGGGCGAGGCAGGCGGATCACGAGGTCAGGAGTTTGAGACCAGCCTGGCTAACATGGTGAAACCCTGTCTCTACTAAAGATAGAAAAAAATAGCCAGGGGTGGTGGCGGGTGCCTGTAATCCCAGCTACTCGGGAGGCTGAGGTAGGAGAATCACTTGAAACCGGAAGGTGGAGGTTGCAGTGAGCCGAGATCACACCACTGCACTCCACACACTCCAGCCTGGGCGACAGGGCGAGACTCTGTCTTAGAAACAAACAAAAAAAAAAAAAAAAAAAAAAAAAGAAGAAGAGACCTACACAAGCTTCCCCAATTCCCCAAGGTTCTCCACCTTCCACCCTGTTCTGATGCTGAGATGACTGTGCCACTGAGACGGGCTCTCCCCCATGCCCCACATTTCACCCCTTCCTGTTGTGCAGGAGGCCGCCCTAGCAATTCTCTCTATTCCTGCCTGTGCAACTCTCCTCCAGTTATTCCTCCAGTTGGTATCCCATTGCTCTGATGCTTTCGATAGCCCAAGTCTTCTAAAGAGCTACTTATTCTCCATCTCTAATTCCTCTCCAAGTTTCTCTGGAACTCGTTCCAGTGAGGATTTTGATCCTATCTGAATCGATGAGTGTGGATTTCTTGTGACCTCCATGTTGCTAAATCCAATGGTCACTTTTTAGTCCTCACCTTACATAATGTGCCAGTAGCATTTAGTCAAGATGAACATTCCTTCCTGCCAGTAGCATTTGGTCAAGATGAATGTTCCTTTCTCCTTAGAACACTTTATTTACTTGGGAACTATCCTTCCTGGTTTGCCTCTACACCACTGGCAATGCCTTCAGTTTGCTTTGCTAGTTCCTCCTCAACTCCCAAACCCTTTAAAGCAACAGTTCCCCCAGGGCTCACTGTCTATACACCTTCAGAACGTCATACAGTCTCGTTGTTTTAAATATCATCTGGTGAAAACTCCAAATTTTATTTCTCTAGTCCAGATCTCTCCTTTGAACTCTACAGTTTCATATCCACCCATGACCTCGGCTTTCCCACTTGGATTCTGTGCTAATTTCCTAGGGCTGCTGTAAAAAGTACCCTAAATTGGGCGGATCAGAACAAGAGAAATTTATCTCACAGTTCTAGAGCCCAGAAACCCAAAATCCAGATGCAGGTAGAGCCATGCCCTCTCTGAAACCTGTAGGGGAAGGACAATTCCTTGTTCTTTCAGCTTCTGGTGGCCCAGATGTTCCTTGGGTTGTGGCAGGACCCCTCCAATCTCTGCCTCTGTCCTCCCGCAGCCTTCTCCCCGTGTCTCTTCACATTCTCTCCCTGTGTCTCAATTTCCACCCCACCCCCAACCCCTTTTTTTGAGGCAGAGTCTCTCTCTGTCGCCTTGGCTGGAATGCAGTGGTGCAATCTCTGCTCATGGCAAACTCCGCCTCCCGGGTTCAATAGATTCTCGTGCCTCAGCCTCCTGAGAAGCTGGGATTACAGGCCCTTGCCACCATGCCCAGCTAATTTTCACATTTTTAGTGGAGACAGGATTTCGCCATGTTGGCCAGGCTGGTCTTGAACTCCTGGCCTCAAGCGATCTGCCACCTCAGCCTCCCAAAGTGTTGGGATTATAGGCATGAGGCATGAGCCACCTTGCCCGAGCACCTTTTTTTTTTTTTTTTTTTTTTTTTTTTTTAATTTTACTTCAAGTTCCGGGATACATGTGCAGAAAGTGCAGGTTTGTTACACAGGTATACCTGTGCCATGGTGGTTTGCTGCACCTATCAACCCATCATCTAGGTTTTAAGCCCCACATGTATCAGTTATTTGTCCTAATGCTCTCCCTCCCCTTACCCCTCACCCTGACAGGCCCTGGTGTGTGTTGTTCGCCTCCCTGTGTCCATGTGTTCTCATTGTTCGACTCCCACTTATGAGTGAGAACCTGCGGTGTCTGGTTTTCTGTTCTTGTCCTTATAAAATATTGGATTAGGGTCTACCCTAATTGCCTCATTTTAAATTGATTATCTCCCTAAAGACTCTGTTTCCAAATAAGGTCACCTTCGGAGGTACTGGGGGTTAGGACTTCAACATCTTTTTGGGGGGACACAATTAAATCCATCACAGATGTCAGAGACATTTCAAATTTCTCAGTCCCCAAACAAATCCCGACTTCTTAATTTCTCCTCATCTCCCACCCGGACCTCATTTTCCTGTAGTTTCCTTCTCAGAAAATGGCAAATCCATCTTTGTAGTTGCTCAAGCTGAAAACCTCAGAGACATCCTTGATTTTTTTCTTGACACTTCAATCTATCAGCAAACCCTGTTGGTCCTACCTTGAAAATACGTCTGAAACCCACCCATCTCTCTCCTGCTACCACTCGGGACCAGCCATCACTGCCTCTGGCCTGTGCTGTCGGTGCAGTCTCTTCGCTTGTGTCCTTGCCTCCTCCCTTGCCATCTCTTGGTCTATGCTTAACACAGCAGCCACACTTAGTCCTCCAAAAGGAACTGGAGACAAGCACAGAAAACTCTTCTGTTCTACAGTAGAAAGCAGACAATGTCACGCCTTTTTTCAAAACCTTCCGACGGGACTCCATTGCATTCAGAATAAAAGCTGAAGCCTTTTACAGCAGCCCCTATGCCCTATCTGACTTCACTGGCTTCCCCACCAGCACAGACCTAAACTGCCAACACTCCTTCCTCTGCTTATCCTGCTCCGGCCACAAGGACTCCTTGCTGTCCCCTCCCAGAGCACGCATGCTTATGCTCTCCTGCATGCACTGCTGTCTGCTCCCTCTGCCTCGAATTTCTTTCCCCTGATGTCTTCATGGCTTCCTTCCTCTTTATGAATCACGTGCTCAAAAGTAAGGCCTTGGCAGGATGCAGTGATTCACACCTGTAATCCCAACACTTTGGGGGGCCAAGGTGGGAGGATTGCCTGTGGCCAGGAGTTCTAGACCAGCCTGGGCAACATAGTGAGATTCTGTCTCTACAAAATTTTTTTAAAAAATTAGCTCAGGGTGGTGGCTCACACCTGTGGTCCCAACTCAGGAGGCTGAGATGGGAGGATCACTTGAGCCCAGGAGTTCAAGACTGCAGTGAACTATGATGGTGCCACTGCACTTAAGCCTAGGTGACAGAGTGAGACCCTGTTTAAAAAAAAAAATAGGCCTTGCCTGGCCACTCTACTTACAAGTCTCACTTACCCCACTCCTTATCTACCTTCCCAGCTTTATTTTTCTCCATAGTACAAATAAGCTACTTATTTTAGTTACATTCTATCTCCTCCCATCAGAAAGCAAGCCCCACAAGAGGAGAGATTTTGTTAATTTTGTTCTCCAAAGCTTAGAACCTTGCCTGGCTTATCACAGCTGCTCATGTGGAATTTGTTAAATGAATGAAGAGACACATATTCAGCATGTACCTGTGCACTAGTCATACTGAGGGTGTTTACTGTGGGATTTAGATAACTCGCCTGCACTAAAATGAACTGTGTACAAGTGGCGTGGCTGCACAGGAGAGCACGCATCAGGCCAAGGCCTGCAGGAGTCTGAAAGAGCTCAGCTTACGGTTATGGTTGCTGACCATGCCCATCCTTTGTTGCTCCCTGAGGTTCTAGACTCTGCTCATTTCCTCTGACCTCGGTAGTCCCTGTTTCTCCTACTATAAAGAATGCTTAAAGTTTTCTTTTTTAAAAAATATGGCACGTAATTTCTGAATATTTGTTGGCAGATATATTTCTTTCAAACTGCCAAACATTTTTCCTAGCTTTACAACACACTAACACACACAAACATACACTTTTTTATTCAGCAACCTCATTGCTGGTCCAGGGATAACACTGGCATTTACTGATTCATAAAATCAGTCCCTCTCTTTGGGACTCCACTCTACCTATTTTATTTTTTCTGTCTCAATAAATTGTTAAAATACAAGAACATGTAATATAATTTCTCTAAAAATAATTCATTTTCATTGCATAAAATCTAAAACATATAGAGAAGATCTAAGAAAATACAAATCATTATTTCACTATTCAGAATTGCTAACACTTCAGAGTATTCCTATCCAGTCTTTTTTATACATTTTTATTTTAAATGACATTTGGATTTTACTGTACCACTTATTTCATCATTTCTCTATGTCATGAATTCTTTTCCTGAAAACACAGGATTTAATGACTAACCGCACTTAATGAAATGTGCACCATCATTTATTTATGTCACCATTATTGGAAACGTAGGTAGTGCCCAAATATTTCACTGTCATATATAATCCCGTGACCATCAATCCTATCTATAAATCACTGCATTGGAAAATTCCCTTAGAAGAAATTCTAAGTATATTAATTTACCTGAGACTCATGTTTGAGTAGTGGTGCAAGCTATAAATTGCTTCCCCACAAAACTGTACCAATTTCTATTCTGGTGAAATATCATCCGGTGAAAACTCCAAATTTTATTTCTCTAGTCCAGATCTCTCCTTTGAACTCTACAGTTTCATATCCACCCATGACCTCGGCTGTCCCACTTGGATTCTGTGCTAATTTCCTAGGGCTGCTGTAAAAAGTACCCTAAATTGGGCGGATCAGAACCAGAGAAATTTATTATCTCACAGTTCCAGAGCCCAGAAATCCCAAATCCAGATGCTGGTAGAGCCATGCCCCCTCTGAAACCTGTAGAGGAAGGACCCTTCCTTGTTCTTTCAGCTTCTGGTGGCCCAGATGTTCCCTGGGTTGTGGCAGGACCCCTCCAATCTCTGCCTCTGTCCTCCCGCAGCCTTCTCCCCGTGTCTCTTCACATTCTCTCCCTGTGTCTCAATTTCCACCCCGCCAACCCCTTTTTTTTGAAGCAGAGTCTCTCTCTGTCACCACACACAAGGATGCCCTTTTCACTGTACCCTAATGGGATTTCAAAAGTTGTCAATATGATGTGATACCTAGCATTTTACTTTGAAAATTTCCATTTTGTTGCTTATTAATGAAGTTGTGCAGCCTTTAATACATATATTGATCATCTGCATCTCCTCTTTTATAAACTGATGGTTCATGTCCTTTGCCTATTTTTCTATTAAAGTATGTGAATTTGAATGGATTACTTTAGGAACATCAGTCATTTGTTGCTTATTAAAACATTCAGGGCCAGGCGCGGTGGTTCACGACTGTAATCCCAGCACTTTGGGAGGCTGAGGCGGGCAGATGATGAGGTCAGGAGATCGAGACCATTCTGGCTAACATGGTGAAACCCCGTCTCTACTAAAAGTACAAAAAATTAGCTGGATGTGGTGGCGGGCGCCTGTAGCTACTCGGGAGGCTGAGGCAGGAGAATGGTGTGAACCCAGGAAGCGGAGCTTGCAGTGAGCCGAGATGGCGCGACTGCACTCCAGCCTGGGCGACAGTGCAAGACTCCGTCTCAAAATAAAATAAAATAAAATAAAAATTCAGCCTTGATAAAGTCTTTTTGTGCCTCCAGTCTTCTCTCTCCCCCTCATCTCACTCTGCATTTCTCTCTGCTTCTACTACTACAATAGCCATTTCTTGGTGCATCTTCACATTTTGTTCATCTTCATGCATCTTCTCTTTTGGTTCATAGTAACCTCTCTTTTCGCTCAACTCCAAAGCAATCATTATCCTCAACTCATCCCTTATTTTAAATTAATCACCTTTCAATATGTATAGTTCTTATGAGATCCATTAGGTTACAGACCATTTCCCACATTTCACAGACCTCACACGCTGCCACCAAAGAACAGTGATCCTAATCACCGGGCACTCCAAATATGCTGTAATGCCAAAATGTGAGTGCTGGCTTTAAAAACGTTAGCAATTTTTCTCTCATTAAAATTCATTTTCTCTAAGAGGGAAAATGCCATCAAATATAAACAACTCTCAGATAATAAAATTCATTATGCAACTAGATAAGATTATTTTATATTACATAGTACAATCTGACACTATGTCCTGAGATGAACAAGTAAGTAATTATGTATGAGAGCTAGCAGTGTGTAAATGGAAATATTTCTGGCAGGCATGATATCCACTGAACATGTGTTATGGGTAGTGGATGTGTCAAATTATTTTTCTAACTCAAGCATAACGTATCATTCCAAATATAACTATATGTGGATTACAGCAATACAGCACATTGCTGTACTCTAAAATGTCAAAATACTGAAAGTTATAAAGTACGTGATCAATTAAACATATAATAAAGAAATAAAGAAAGCAAACCCAAAGGACTCAGTGTAGTTTATTTCTAGTGATGAAAACCATATGCATGTTTTGTATATACCTCAAAAATGAAATCATAAAAATATAACCTAAGGCTATACCTGTATGTAGGGATAATAGGGATGTTTGTTTGGAGAACTCACATTGCAGGGTTTTTTTTTGTATTGAATTGTTAAACTTGATATATTTTCCTTTTATGTGCAGGAATAGAATTTAGAGCAGCGAGAAATGACTGTTTCTTTGCATACTGAGTGAATAGTTCTTAAAGCTTTCTATTTATTAATGTTTTAATATTTCAGCTTTGAACTTTAGATCACATTCTTAATTTTTTTATGATGAACATATTTTGTTCCTAAGGCTAGAACGACTGTCTAATTGTCAAGCAAATTAGATAGGCTGAAATCATTTAGCCACACAATATTTTGTTTAACAGTGTAAGAGAAACGCAATAAAGAAAATCTAAGCACTTAGCGGAAACTTAACCAGTAAAATATCATTTCATGTCTCCAAATGCATATGAAGCAAACAGAATATGGCCTGTGCTGATAGCCCAAACTCTTTCCACACTCTGACCAGAAGTATCACAAACCCTGACATACTAGAGAGAAAACACGAGCCTGGTAATCCTCAAAAAAATTGGTTTTGTGATGGGAAGTGTTAGGGTTTTTGTTTTTGTTTTTTTTTTGTTTTTGTTTTTTTAGTTACCATATATGGCTTACTTATGAAGAAGGGCTCTCAATGCAGTCATTTTCTGTATCAAGTCCAAGTGTGATTGCTGAACACTCCTCAGTGATGCGAAGAACAGAGAAAATGGCCCTCCTAGCACATGGCTCCCCTTCTTTTGCTAATAGGACTCCTTGTGGAGGCAGCTGTCAAGCTTGGGTCATCTCCCTTCAAGGTGGAATCAGTTTCTCCCCCAAAGCTCTGACATCAAGGTACAGTCTTCATTTTTTTTTTCTTTCCTCTTTTGGTGTTTTCTAAGATGGCACTGTGCTTTCAAAACGAATCTTCCTTCTATTTATATTTCATTAATAAAACCTTATCAGAGTATTTCACTAAATGACTAGAGGGATTTAAAAAGAAAACAAGCCTATTTTACTTCAAAATGTTAAGACTCAATTCACTTCCCCACACAACTGAACACACACACATAAAGAAGAGGATAAAATACCTCCCAAAGTATGGTAAGTGATGACAAGTAAGAAGTGTCACATTTAGGGGGAAGCTAGGCTGCTGCTGCTGAAACTGCAAGCAGAAGAGGTGTTCAATAATGAGTGCAATTCCCCACCCCCAATCTCATTCTGCTCACAAACCAGAGAGCTACACAGCTAAAGTCTGCAATCTCTGTTTAGATCCTTTGACATCAAGTGATTTGAATTTCTTGGGTTTATTTTTCCAAGAAGTCTCAGAGAAAACCATCTTGTGGTTGGCATGTGGCTTAGGTGAATCCTGCACATATGGAACCAGTGACTCTGGAGGTCGCTGGGTGTACTGTTACGATGTATTTTCTACCCCCTCCTTGACAGGGAAGGACTTAGGTGGGCTTGCCTCTCCCATTTAGCTTTCCTGACCGAGCATAAGAAAAATATTTTATTTATTAGTAGGAAAGCTAATTTAGAAAACTTTTACTCGATTAGAAGAAATAAGGAATGACAAAAATGAATCTTTGCAACTTCTATTTTTCACTATGCATGTGTGTGTGTGTTTACTTTCTCACACACACACTATAGACATACATACATATATACACTTATTTTGCCAAACCGTTTGAAAGTTGAAGACATTATGACAATTTCCCCCAATACTTTAGCATGTATCACCTAAGAACAAGGAATTCTTCCATATAACTGCAGTATTACTACTCTCAAGAAATACAACATTGATACAAAAATATTATCTAATATATATGCATATCTACATCTTCCAAATTTTCCCAATGTCTTTTAAACTTTTCATTTTGCTCAAGAATCAAGGATCAAGCACCACATTAAGTCATCATGTTTCTTTAACCTAAAACAATCCCCAGCATTTCTTCCTTTAATGACACCAACCTTTTTAAAGAATGAAAGCCAGTTGTTCTACAAAAACTTCCGAAATTTGTGTTGTTGTTTTCTTTTAATACAACACATACCCAGAAATTCAGTCCGTAGTAGTTTGTATCATACTTCTCTGATTTCTAGCTATTTTAAACAGCCAAGGAACTCTACTAATGTTAATGTATACAATACCAGTTACATCGTGTTACCCTCAAAGCCCAGAATGGTGCTACCCTAGAGCTGCTCCATATAACTGAATCAGATGGGAGTCCCTCCTTGCATTTCCCAAGAATAATCTCAACTACGTAGATATACATTCGGTCATGTAACTCAGTAATTGCACAAATATAATTCAGTTTGATTCGCCGTAACCAAGAAAATATATTTTATATTTATAAATTAAAGTGCAAACTCATTTTTCGGGGTGATGAATGGGAAAGCAATCATAGCCCTATGCTGCCTGAGCTGAGTTTAGCAGTCCCTTCATGGAAGAAGAGGAGGCCTGTGGAGACCTATACACTGGCTGGCAGGGAGATCAGTCCACAGGCTAGGCTGGGAGGCTTTTCAAATAGAAAGAAACGTCTACCGGCCCAATTATATTTTATTAAGATAAGGTAATTGCCTAGGAGGTGAGAGAGAACAGGACAATCGAGACAGAGTCAAGGAGAAAAATGCTTAAAAGGATGATGGTCTTGATCTGTAAAGAAATAAAAAGCTGCGATGAGGTAAGGAACTGAGATGGTAGACAGTTTACAAGAATTATCAGTAGTATGGTAAACACAGGCAGTTCCGTGAGAAACCTGCCAATTTCTTACCATTAAAAAAAAAAAATCAGAGAACAAATGAAAGTGGGAAAGAACTAAAAATGTGACTGAAACCAGACAGAAACATCTTAATCTTTCTCCCCTCTCCCCACTTTTTTGCATATGGAGAAATTTCTGCATGCCATAGGCAAAAAGTAGAGGTGCTTACTGACTGTTTTTCAGTCCTCTGGGCCCACACTGAGCAGAGAATGAACAGAAATATGATAACTAGAATATGGCAGAGACGCCCCTCTTCTTTCTAGCACCACTTCAAAACATGTCTATTTACTGTAAAATAGGTTTGTATAATATTTTGAAATGTGACCACTAGGCATTGCCAAGGGAGGGCTGGGAAAATGGAATTTGATTTCTGGTTAATCTTTATTTTCCATTCCCTTCCCTCAAAATAACTCGTATGAGATCTTATAATAATCCAGTCTGAGAAACTGGAAGCTCTGTGAGTCTGAAGACATGAAGGTCAAGCCCATGATGTGCCTTGCCTTGAAATTCAAGCATCAGCATCAAATTTGAACAACACATTTAATATTCCAGTACTTTTTCCAAAATGTTTTATGTTGTTTAAGGAGGAAGAAAACTTGAAAAGCACAATGAAGTCAGTAAACATGTGGAGAAGAATCCATGATAATGTTTCTGTCAAGGGTTCACCACGCCTTTAAACAGCAAAACACATCAAAGGAGGTATCATGTGCTTGAAGGTGTTCTCCAATGATGTTGAAATGAAATGACGGACTGTGCACTATGGACTGAATTGTGCCCCTCCAAAATTCATATGTCGAATCCCTATCCTCAATGTGATTATAGTTAGAGATGGGGTATCTAGGAGGTAATTAGAATTAAATGAGGTCTTTAGGGTGGGTCCTAATCTGATAGGATTGGTGTCCTTATTAGAAGAGGAAGAGAACTCTCTTCTACGAGAGGGCACAGCAAGAAGGTGGTCATCCACACACCAGGGAGAGAGCCCTCAGCAGGAAACGAATTGGTCAGCACCGTGATCTTAGACTTCTGGCCTCCAGAACCGTGAAAAATTCATGTGCATTGTTTAAGCCACCCAGTCTATCGTATTTTGTTATGGAAGCCTGAGCAGACTAATAAATAGATATAGTAATAGCACCACAACCTAATTTTGCTGTGGTATTCATAAGTGTTTTTAAAAGGACACAAGTACTAATGAGCCATTCACATATTTAAAAAAATTATCACCTGAAAAAGAAACAATCATTAATATATATGTAAAACCGAAGATTATATTTTAGTTTTTAAATCTTTTCTTTTTTGTTTTTGGAGACGGAGTCTTGCTCTGTTGCCCAGGCTGGGGTGCAGTGGCACGATGTTGGCTCACTGCAACCTCCGCCTCCCAGGTTTAAGCAATTCTCCTGCCTCAGCTTCCCGAGTAGCTGGGGCTACAGGTGCGCACCACCATGCCTGGCTAATTTTTGTATTTTTAGTAGAGACAGGGTTTTGCTATGTTGGCCAGTCTGGTCTTGAACTCCTGATCTCAGGTGATCTGTCTGCCTCAGCTTCCCAAAGTGCTGGGATTACAGGCGGGAGCCATCGTGCCTGGCCTTAAATCTTAATTTTTCTAATCTCCATGTCATAGTATTATTAATCATATTAATTAATAGGAGAAAAAACTTATTTTACCATTTAGAGTAACACAAATATACTTTATTAAATTATTGAACATTATAATTTATGTATTGCAGTTATGTAAAGGAATATATGTTTTATCTTTTAGGAATTACTCCCAGGTATTTAGGAGTAAAAAGGCTTCGTGTTTTTTACTTTCTCACACATATACAGAAACACACAAATGTGAAATTTTAATAATTGGGGAATCTGGGTAAAAGGTATATGGCAATTTTTTGTACTATTTTTATAACTTTTTGTGAGTTTGAAATTATTTGAAAATAAAAAGTTTAAGTTAAAATAAAAGACTACAACTTGCATGATGTATAAATGTTAGTGTTGTCGCCGCTGGAACTAGTGATTTGTGCTGCGTGGGTCACGGCACAGGCCAGATGGGCTGCGTGCGGTGTGTTCAGTTCCCCAGAACAGAGACTCCAACTTCCTCCCTCTAACATTCAAGAAAGAACAACTGAATGCAGTGGAAAGGCCTCACAGGGCCAGCCCTGAGCCTGAAGGGTGAAATCAAGTCAAATGCGTAAAAACAACAATGTCTTGTGACAAGGTGCCAGTCATTTGCCCCACCTTCAGGCTAATCTAGCAGGGTCGTGCCCCCACCCTGGTTTTGCCCCACATGACTGCTGAGTCACATCCCAGCTCCCTCCCCACCTCCAAACTGTCCACCTGGGTCTCGGTGGGGGCACAGCGATGGGATCATAGAGAGGCCCCTGCACCACGGCAATGATGTCTGCCATCCCAGGCACTGCTTTTGAAGTCCCCAAACTTGCTCTACTTTGTAACCTCTTAAGGCCTTGTAACTGTAGAAGTTTATATTCAGTCCCAAGGACACTGCTATCAGGTGAGTTTCAGGGCTTCCCCAAAGCTCTGTGAATAGTCTGTAGCCTGTAGACCAGTCATTCGTCTAGCACAAGGACAGTTGTAAAGTCTCTTTTTGGGCATGAGTAGCAATATTTATCATATGTGACAAATAATACCCATATATTATTTAACAACAAGATTTTTTTTTTCTGTTTGGAATTGGGGCTTTGACTCAGAAAACTGGGATACAGTGTTAATTTCTATTCATTGTAATCTTATTTATACACACAGCGCCAATAAAGCCTGAACAAAACAAAGGTAAGAGAATCTTGTTAAGGGAGGGAACAAAACGCACTCTTTGGACTATAGAGGCATTTGACAGATGCAAAAATGAATCAATCACTGCTCCCTCTCCAGGGAGAATTTGTAGGATTTATTTAGGCTCATTGTTTCCCTGTAGGACAGTTGGAAGTGAAATACCTTCACTTCAATGAATCTTGTCCCTGTGATGTATTACTTAAATAAATAATAAATGAATCTTCCTGGGCAACTAAGCTGTAGGTGAAAACAGAAAACCATGGTGTAGATTTTTCTTGAGGAGACCTAGAGCATTCCCTATCTTTTGTTATGGAGCTACACTGACCTCAACTTTACTTTGCTTAGGTGTCTCCTACTAATATCATCAAAGAGCTCTGCTGACCGGCAGACACAGCGCACTATCCTTTTGCAATGTTATTCAGGGTGTAAACGTTCTCTTTTTCTTCCCAAGACCTGTGAAGCCTGAAGCAGGATATGAGTGAGGAGCGCAGGCTCTGCGTCACAGTGCCTGGCTGTGGGTCCCTGCTCCTCTGATCACTGCATCTGTTACCTTGGGCCAGTTACTTAAACTCCACACTTCAGTTTCCTCAGCTGCAACATAAGGATAATACTAGTGTCTCCTTCACTGCATGTGGTAAGGCTGAAATAACTTAAGGCATATAACAGCATAAACAGCTGACACTTACAGTAATGTTAGCACTCAAAGGATTTCAGTGTTATTATTATGAAGAAAATCAAGAGGACCATGCAGATGGGGGCGAGAGAAGATGAGCCCGCCGAGATGGAGCAGGCATGATCTGATCTCTCCTTATCCTGAAGCTGTCCTCTGCGCATCTGAGGAGGGTCTGGCCAGCCTCCTCCTCCTCTAGTCTCAGGCCCCAGATGGGCTTTTGCTGCCATCATTACCTGAGTTTGTCTGCTCAATAATAATTGGTAACATGGACAAATTAGCCCAGCCAGCCCAGTTAAATATATCACCTTAATGACTGAGTGATTTCATTTATTCTGGAATCTGGCATTTTGGGGGGCTATCGGTATCTTAGCCCATCTAACTGGGCAATATGTCCACCATATCTAGATAAACAGAGTCAATAAGACAGCAGTCAATCCCACTGGTTGTAGCCAAAAGGGTAAGGTGGAAAGCCGTCGGTTCGTCATTAAGAAAGACAGATGTAGCCCTTTGGATTACTTTCTGTTTAGATCCTCTCCGCAATACAGAACCAGCACTGAGCAGACAGTGGAGCACAAGCAGGAGCTCAGTGAATACCTGATGGGATGATGATCCCATCTGATTTCTTAGAAATACGGAGGTATGGCTTTCATTTTAAAAAGATACAACTTCAGTCTAAAATAATAATTCAATTTCTAAAAATCAGCGGCAAAATTTTGGCCGGGTGTGATGGTTCATGCCTGTAATCACAGCACTTTGGCAGGCCAAGGTAGGCAGATCGCTTTAGCCTAGGAGTTTGAGACCAGCCTGGGCAACATGGCAAAACCCTGTCTCTACAAAAAAACACAAAAGTTAGCCAGGTATAGTGGTACACGTCTGTAGGTCCCAGCTACTTGGGAGGCTGAGGTGGGAGGATCACCTGGGCCTGGGAAGTCGAGGCTGCAGTGAGCCATGTTTGTGCCACAACACTCCAGCCAGGATGATGGGAGTAAGATCCTGTCTAACAACAAAGAAAAGGCAAAATTTTACTTTAGTGAAATGAATGCACACCCTCCCTCTAGTTCATAGCCTAGCAAAAGGAACTAATCTTCCAACAGGTACCCAGTTACTAAAAATTCCAGAGGCAGAGTGTCCACACAGAAGAAGGTGGGAGAGAGCAAGGGTGGCTGTTTCTACCCATCAGACTCAGGTCACTCCATCCCACCTTCTCCATGATCCCTTCGAGGCTGGGATTCCTGGAATGAGCTTCTAATGACTGGTGAAGTCCTGCATGGAGTTCCAATGAGAGTGTGTCGGCAGTCAAATGCCTTGGCTCTATTTTCCTATCAAAGAATTAGAGAATATTATCTTGTTCAGCAACCATGACAGAAAAACTAAACTTCTCTTTCACTATGTGTGAACATTTGCCTGTTAGGACTGCTTACCCACTGCTCCGTAAGGCTTTTTGTGTGTGGTGTGAAAGAGAAAGTGCTGATGTGACTGAGGAGTATATTAGTGAAGCCACAGGACAGCATGTGGCCTGATTAATCCTATGAACTCAGCATTAACGTATCGCTGAAACATAATGCAGATTATAAATTTATGAATGTCCAATACCGACTCCCAATAAACAGAAAAGCCTACTCCTAAGCAACTTCTTAATTCTGTTTCTTTTAACCTTGTCCTGTGAATGGAAATGAAAGTTCTAAACTAGTGACTCATGAAATTCTACTAAGTGATAAAAAGTAACATTTTTTGTCAGTTTTCCTATCCTTTAACTATAAAGAAATTTAAGAGTTGATGACCACATTGAAATTTGTATGTAATAGTCAACTGAGTGATTATCAATAATGCTTCATAGATGCTTAGCTTAGTGACACGGAATCTGTAGAGCACACTATCTTCCGTGAAAAAACACTGAGTAAATAGCAACATCCTTACCTAAAATAACACATTATAAGAACCTTAAATAATTTACCTCATTACATAGAACATTGGCCTAACGCTCATAAAGACCATGACTATAATGTTATTTAATGCCCTGCTGTTCACTCACACACTCAACAACTATTTCTGAATATTTCTTATGGGCATAAACTACTCTAATCTCTCAAAACAAACCAGAGTTAAATATTGTCCTTTACCTTGAAGTGCTTGAAATAAGCATTTATTTGGCTTTCTACATAATACACTCCCAATTGGCTACCCAGACACAGTCAAAACTTAGCATCCTTCATGGTTCTTCCGTTTGCCTGTTTGATGCCTTCAAGTCAGACGTTTGCCCACGGTATGATACAGATAGACATCCCACCACGCACTTTAGGCAATTTTGAATTTCTGAGTGCTAGCAAACTGCCCTGAGGTGACATCAAGGTTCAAAAGAACAGTGACTTCTAACCCAAGCTCATAACAAGGGAAGTAAGGAACATATCGTGACATATGGGAACATGTCAACGTCACACACAATTTAGAAACGTCAGTGCTGGGCTCCCTACAAATGATAAATGTTTTCCAAACTGCTTTTTGACATAATCTAATGGTCTTCCTTAACTGACTTCGTGTTGAATTTGAAAAATAATTTGAAAGCCAGCTAAAATGAGTGTTTTTCTGCCAATCTCTCTACTGGGCACTAGTCCTAGACAGCTGAATATTTTCAGCAAATGCTATGTGCAAACAGGATAGTTTCTGAGTTGTACGAAACCAGTATGCTGGCGCACTGCTGACCTGCGCAGCACCTCCTTGTATTGGCATAGCACTTTCCTTCAAGGAGGTAAACACTGCTCATTCCACTCTCTCCTGTTCCCATCTCTCTAACAGTAATAGCACTAAGGAACAGAGGTATAGGACTTCACCTGAAAATAAAAGCAAGCATCTGACAGCTCTTGTTACATCTGTAGTGATGACCTTTTCCTGATCTAAGGCAGCCTAAGGCAGGCTTACCTTGGAACTTCTGAAAGGGATTAAGGTGACAGGCCCCACTCCCCGAGTTCTTAAGAAATGCTGAGGCAAGATAATCCTACAAAACTTCCTCACTGCCAGCTATATCCAAGCCAAATTACGGTTCACACTCTAGGGGATGGCTCATTGGATAGAAGCAGGTGCTCAGTCATTTTAGTTCTTTAAGACCTTTCTGAAAGATTGTTACCTCTAGCCAGCTGGTCAGAGTGCTTGAGTGGAAAGGAATACCAACTAACTAGTAACGATAATTTTACCTAAGTTTAGATAAGGAGTCAGCTGTGTTCTTTTCATTTTTTCTCATATGATGTGAGGATTGATTTTTTTGTCTTTATTTTTTATTTGTATAACATTTAATGGTACAAGTGTATTTTTGTTACATGGGTATACTGCATAGCGGTGGAGTCTGGGCTTTCAGTGTAACCATCACCTGAACAGTGTACACTGTACCCATTAAGGAATTTCTTCTTCACCCGACGCTCACTCTTCCACTAACTGGAGTCTCCAATGTCTATTATTCCACCCTCTATGCCCAAATGTACACATTATTTAGCTCCCACTTGTAAGTGAGAACAGGTGGTATTTGACTTTTTGTGTCTAAGGTGTTTCACTTAAAATAATGGCCTCTAGTTCCTTCATGCTGCTGCAAAGACATGACTTCTTTCAGTCTTTAATGGCTAAATAGTATCCCATAGTGTACAGATACCATACTTTCTTTATACAATCATCCACTGATGCATACGAGGTTGATTCCACATCTTTGCTATTGTGAATAGCGCTTTCTTTTCCTTTGGGTAGATAACTAGTAATAGGATTTTATATTTCTTTTTTACTGTTCACTAACCCATTCAAAATGGTGGTGCTGGCTGAGTCAATCCACACATCCATCCTAACAGTTGCTAACCCTTGTTAAAGGCAGCCATCACTGGGTTCACCTTATACTAATTTCATGTGAGATGGAACCACGAAGCAAATACATACTTAGGCCAGAGGTTACAGGTAGCCAATGAAGTCCTTGTGAAAGGCCTCTGTAACTAGCTTTCCCAGAACATTATTTAAAAAAAAAAAAAAAAAAAAAAAGAACTTCTAAGAGCTGAGAATTGACTCAACTCCATTCTAGCTACTTCCCAGTACTCCTGGCCAAAGTGTGGATGACAATTCTGTAGTTTTGAGAGGTTTCTGTGCAGAATGTTGTCCTCAGGGTGGATGCTGTTTGCATGTAGAGTCCTGCCTTGGGATGGTGGGGCCCTCAGGTGCTGGGGAGGCAGTTTCTCATGAGAGCCTTCTTTGATTCCTGAGAAGAAACGTTTGTATGCCCAATCCTTACAAGAATAAAAGAGGCGAGTGCAGCTCAGATCTGACAAAACAGAGATAACCACCAAGTCTTGGGCTGACTGACACTGCGTCACTCTAAGTGACTCCCAAACAGGAGTACTGAACAATGCAGTATTTCAAAAGCAAGAAAAATTAAAAAGCAGCACAAAATGTCATTAAGAAGTAGATTTCTACATTTCCTTTGAACAGACAGGATATGTTGGATGAATACAGCCACGGCTGTGCTATGTGCTGCTCATGTTATTTCCAGGCTGCCTATGCCATAAATCATGCTGATACTGCACTCACAACAAACCAGTAAGGCCTAATGAATGAGCACGCACAGCTACCATGGATGGAGCTGGAGCTCCTATTCATAAAGGGGCCTGCCTGTTTCCAGTGTGGATTTCAGGGTGCCCCCTCAGTCCTCACACGGAGCCCTGAAAGCAGAGTTACTCTATGGACAACTTTCCACCGCCGTCACTTTCTAGTGACACTGTTTTAATGCTTGTTTTCCACATATCAGCTCTTGGTTTTGAACACCTCGGCCATGATTTCTTTCCCACCAACTCAAAACTCAATTGGCTAAAATAACCAGTGTTCTCAGCTACCATAAGCTACCACATTTACTACAAAACCATTATGGATACAACCAGCTTTTGAAATAGTCAAGCTACCAAGGGAGATGAAGGGGATGAAGACAGAAATGATAAGAAGAGGAGATGGCATTAAAGTTTTAGAACCAAATTAAAGATTCTAAACATATTTTGAACTGTGGTGTTTAGACACATAAAATAAGGGGGAAAAGATTAAAGGACAGATGTCTGGAGAGAAAATTTGGTTTCACGATGGCCTCTCAAGGCCCCCTGTCTGACAAGGAGGATCTTTGTAGGAGTGTGACATTACAGAGTGTCACGAAGATAAAACAGTCAATGTCAACCCAAATCAGCCATGTCAGATTAATATGGTCTGGTGCGTTTCTTAATACAGCATCCATGAGAACTGGAAATTGAAGACCCAGTGTGTCTGAAACAATTTGGAAAACACACAGTACTTTAAGAAGACAGGCCAAGGTTCAGCGACACATAGCAGAGTGGCCTGGGTGCTGTCCCTACAGCCACTGTGCCTGGAGTAGAGACAGGGGCAGCTCTTTCTCTTTAAGCCTTGGCCTGTGGCCCACAGTCTCTCTAACTCAGGAAGCCCTGGGTCCCTCAACACTTTCTGCATCTTAATCAAAGCAGAAGGCTGCCAGCTGTGCACTCACTACTGTGTTCTGCTCTCTGCTCCACACTTGTTGGGCCCAGGTGACCAAAGCTCCCTGAGTCTGCGCGAGAGGCCCCTGTGGGGAGGGCATCTGGCCACAGGCTACAGGACAGTTGATGTTCATTACAGCTGACCATAGCTCACTGGGGAAGAAAACCCTTATGCTGTCATTTAATCATATTTTTTAAAGGGCTTTGGGAGTTACAGACATTTTGTTGACTTTTATACTGGAAAGTATAAAATTGGAAAGAAGAATTAAAATTACACATAATCAATTTGTAAGCACCTGGAAGAGAAAATGAAGCTGTATTACTGCCCCTTGATAGCTTTCTTCACCACAGCTTCTCATTTTGAACATCCTCCCCTCCACAGTAAAGGCAAAGGAGCAGTATAACACACACCTGAATACCCTTTGCCTGGTTCCAGCAGTTGTTAACATTGGCTTTCTCTTGCTGTTTCTCAATATCTCTCTATCTATATCTTACATAGAATTTCCCCTAACCATTTGCAACTTAGTTTTAGATATTATTTCTATCCCTAAATATGACTTCAGCATGGATCTCCTATATAACCACAATAATGTTATCACAACTAAGAAAAATGATTTTACAATATCACTTAATGGGAAGCCTACATTCAATATATCCAACTGTCCCCCACATGCTTTCTGTAGCTGCTTTTTCTTTCCTACATCCAAGCTCAAGGACATAATGTGAAGCTGTATCACTACTGGCTTTGCTAAATTTGAGCAAGGTGTTGACTACTAGATTCTTCTATTTGTTGTTAAGGCTCAGTTTTCCATCATAAAAAAGAAATTAAGTAATCTATAGGTGACACTTGAAGGTCATGTGAATATTGTGACTCCCAGAATATCTCTTACCTGGTCATTTTGGCAAACACTGACAATTCTTATTATTAGATCTTATATTGGCCTTTGCAAAATAGTCATTCTCTAATCTTATCATTTCTACATTTATTTCCTGGCATTACAGTATGCTGTAAGGAAAAACATCCCCCATCCTTTCTATTTATTTTCAGTATTTTTGATTTTTTTAAGTTTACCATAGATGCATATATTTATTAAAAAATTCAATGTGTTATAATCAATTCCTGTCAATATTCTTTGGGTGATCAAATTGTCCCAAATTTGGCCTGTGGGAGCCCTTTCATGCAGGCTCTTGTGTTCTTTTGACATAATCTCATTAGTCTTTGAGTACAACCTTGATTTTGGCATAAAATGCTATAGGTTCAACTGGTTTATCCCTGACCAAGATCTAAAATTCATTAGCAATTTCTCCAGGAAGTCCTGGTTTCTTTTATTGGGGAGTGGTATTTAGAAAGCAAGATCTAGTTGTAATACATGCTCACTGCTACTGAAGTTTCATAGCTTCTAGCTCATTCCCATGAATAAAGCCTAGAATATGTGTGCGAATATTGATATGATTTTGTACTATTTCCAATTCAAATTTAATATTACAGAGATTTTCCTTACTTTTAAACAAAGTATCTGCATCTTTCTTACAGTGATAACTTAGATTCTTAATTACATTAATATATTGGCTTATTTACTTAGTCCTACTATATGTAAAATAAGTTTAGAATAATAATATCAATATTATTAATAATAAAATAAATCTAAATAAAGCTTAAGATTTCATTTCAGTTTTTTGTCCTTAGACTACATCCTACAAGAATATATAGAAAATGATATGTGTTCAGAAGTTACTTGAAATCTTTTTTTCCCTGTAGGTTGGTAATACTGTCAATTTGCTACATAGTCAGATTCATCTGCTTCCATCTATATACAATCTCAGGGTGAGCTTGTTTCATATATTCTATTTATTTCTGGGATATGAAAAACATTTGGTTCTAAAGTCAAAACTGTATTAAAAAATGTAGTCAGAGGAGTCTCCTGTGCAGCTCTCACCTTTATTCCCTCCTCCCCATTCCCCTGCTCACTCATCCCCATAGGCAGCCATTTTCCATTGCTTTGGGTTTATCCTTCTTGGGTGTGTGTGTGTTGGGGGGATGTGTGTGCACATGCATTTGTGTGACACAGGTGACAGACATACACATACACTTACTCATACCCCCTTTTTCGTTACACAGAAGGCTTGGCTCCATGTACAGTCATTTGCACCTTGTATTTCTCAGGCCTTTTCAGCATGGTGGTTTCCTATTCCCTTGCCTCTTCCACATTTATTAGCTGGCATCTTTCTATGAAGAAGAGATGCTTCTCCTGCGTGTCACCGTCTCTGGAAATCACCCCACTCCTGTTCAGAGAAGTCCTTTCCCACCTCCTCTGTAGCCGTGCAGTACTCAAGTATGTGCTCCCTAGGCCCCTCAGACGTGTCTGTGTTCCGCCAATCTCTGCCTTAAACTAAGTATCAAATGATATGGCCCATATTAAGAGTTTGCAGGGCACATTACCAAGGCTGAGGCCATAGGTGGCTCAGGGTGAGTATCCTTGGCTGGCTGGGCAAGCCCATAAAACAGGCTCTGTGTGACTGCAGCTTTTCTCACCAACCCTGCCAACTTAAGGTTCCCTTTCCTACTCTGTGCCCATCCCCATTCCTCCAACCCCTTCTTCCTGGTAACTCCTTTTTAGACAGACTTCTCCAGAGGCTCACCCAATTTCCCAGCTGTGTCCTTAGCAGGCAGCAGGCTTCCAGCTGATAAGATATTAATTAATCTTTCCTATGCAAGTCTGTAACTGCTAAGGTATGACCTATCCCACCAACATTCACTCCTCCCCAACACACAATTTTTTTTATTAAGAGGAAAGTCATTCTAGTAATAATATCAGGAAAAAAATTGGCCATGACAATGTTGTTTTTTGTATTTCCCCACATATATTCTCTGAATTACAACTATCTTCACTCAATAAAACCATCATCTTGTATATTACTTTTAACATTTATGTATTTGAAATCTAATTTATCTATGTATTTGAAATCTAACTTATCTATTAAATTAACTGTATTTTATATGAAATTACTACAGATAAACAGAACATAGATTTATTATTTCCAAACAGGGTGAAATAAAACATACAATATTTAAATAAAATTAATTTAGTCACTGATTCTTGAACAGATTGTATTATCTCTGTCTTTCTGAAAGGGAAGGAAGACTAGAACAACTACTCAAAAAGTGACGTGAGCAGCTATAACTGTGCTATCATTTACAAAAATGGGATAAATTAAAGGAAATTCTGTCATTTGTGACAATATGGGTGAACTTAGAGGACATCACGCTAAGTGAAGACAGGCACAGAAAGACAAATGCCTCATGACCTCACATATATGTGGAATGTGTAAAAACTCAAGCTCATAGAAGCAGGGAGAAGATAGGTGGTTACCAGAGGCTGTGTGGGGAGGGAGGCTGGAATGATGTTGGTCAAAGGACACAAAATTTCAGTTAGACAAGAAGAATAATTTCAAGAGATTTACTGTACATCATGGTGACTTTAGTTAATAACACTACATTGTACATTTGAAAATTGCTGAGGGTAGATTTTAAGTGTTCTCACCACAAAAAATAAGCATAATTAGCTTGATTGAGCAGTTTCACAATGCATACATATATCAAAACATTATATTGTACACCATAAATATATATAGTTGTTATAAGTCATTTAAACAATTTAAAAAGTACTCTACAAGTAAAAAAGATAACTCGGTCTTAGAGAGTTGGTATTGAATATATGTTTAACATATAGCATTATTTTAATTTTTAAGTAAGTAAAGTAAAAAAGTGACTGCAGAGAAAGACTGATGTATTTCTAAGAATTTTAAATGCAAACAAATTATACGTCAATAAAATAAACTGACGAACACTATCTTGTTGGATTTTAAAAGAGGGCTCTTTAAAGTCTCCAGTGATGGGTAACCCAGCAGTCACTCAGGTATTCCAGATGGAAGTCTTCCCTGGATATGCCAGGCCAGCTGAGGAGGGAGACCTGTGGGCAGTGCCAACCCCAGGCTCCTCACTCAGGTAAGCCACCTTCCCCTATACTCCACCCCCAGGGAATAAACGAATAAAGAGCCCACATATCAGCTCTGAAGGATGCCAATTCAGGCATTGATAAATCATCCCAAAAACTTTCTATGGCTTTATTTCGCTTTGGGCTGAGGATAAAACAAAATAGGCTTAATTCTCAGTGGGAACATTTTTGCTTTTATAAGGTGGAACAGGGTGACAAAGCACCTGTCCATGGAGATGCAGAGTGGACAGAGAAGGACATCAGTATGCCCTTCCCCTTACCACTCAGAAGTAGCAGAACCCCCCGTGAGCTGATCTCTCCAAAAACAGGGGATGTTTTCTTCATTTACCTTTCAACCCTGAGACCTTTTTTTTTTTTTTTTGAGACGAGTCTTGCTCTTACCCAGATTGGAGTACAGTGGTGCCAGCATGGCTCACTGAAGCCTCAGCCTCAGACTTAAGTGATCCTGCCTCAGCCTCCTGAGTAGCTGGGACCACAGGTGCACACCACCATGCCTGGCTAATTTATTTTTTGTAGAGATGGGGTCTTGTCATATTGCCCAGGCTATGAATTCTGGGCTCAGGTGATCCTCCTGCCACGGCCTCCCAAAGTGCTAGGATTACAGGTGTGAGCCACCACGCCCAGCCTCAACCCTGAGATCTATGAATGAAAAACATACAAAAATAATTTATACTCAGCCATCTTTGGAAAAGTATTTTCTGAAAAACTGGTTGAATGTGGCCACTGTTATCTTAATAATCCAGTGGCTTATGACTTATATTTATGCCATAAAATTTCAAATAACATGCTTTTACATCATCTCTGGTGATGTCAGGTAGGTCTTAGGTCTGGGGTGGAGTCTGGATCTCTGTATTAAACATAACTCCCCCACCCCCAACACACACACAAAAGCCTCTTTAGGTTCTTCTGAAGCACAGCCCCTCATTTTAAGAAAATTATATTTTGCTCTTTAATCTAGTTACAGTGAAACTAACAAAAATTTTACAATAAAACCATCAACTTGATGGTCTTCACCAATAAGTCATTTGCTGCTTAGCAAATTTAAATGACCAGGGCATTACTTGGTCACTGTCTTTCCAGGGCTGGGCACAGGCAATAGGTCTGAGCCTGAGCTCTATGTGCGTTTCGTCACGGTGTGGGGCTAGTATTTCAGCTGGACATTTTCTCGGACATCATGGTAACGCACCACCTGTTACATACAGGAAGTGTTCAGTCCGTGATTCATCACAGAGCAGCATTATTCACTTACATATTTCCCAGGGAGCTTGCTTCAAAATGATGAGTTGGTTCAGTACTGCAGAATGCAGCAAAATGTTGGCTGCTGCCACAGGGAAGGACTAAAGGTTTCAGCTGTGTACATCCTTTGTCCACAGTATGGGAGGAGCCTTTCCTCTGACTACATGGTATTCAAATTTTATGCACAACTGTGATTAGCTTTACGCTGAACTATGTGCTTCTGGATTTTTGTTTTGTTTTACCTTTTAAAAGTGAGATACTACTGAACATTTCCTTTCTGCCTCTCCATAAATATCTGAGAAACAATTAATGTATGTTTACCTCATTTGTGAGATTTAGGAGCCTACAATTTCTGACATAGTTTCTTCTGTTTATGGAATGAAATATGTTTTTAGCTCATGGAATGAGAAGCTTGTATGCTTTTAAGAATGACTGGAAAGAAACAGAAAAAAATACGATGTTTAATATAAGCATTTGCAGTTGCCATCTGCATACCAATCTCCAAAAGGCGAATGGAATGAGCAAGATGTATTATTTGATGTGCCCAGTGGAACTGCTCTTCAAGGTTAAAGCAATTCCTAAAAAACATGTGGTAATCTCATGAAACCAACTCAAAGCCTGTACACTCTATGGTGGGCCAAGGTTCCAGACCCCATGGTTGCCGTCACTGCTATTCCTCCTGTACAGCTGGCTCTATCCAAGTCCCGTTAACTTCACCTCTTAAATCTCCATCTCTTCTGTTGCCAACTTAGTCTAGGCTCTCACCTACTCTTGCTAACGTTTTTCTGCTGATCTCTCTGAAGCCATACTGGCCTCCGTGCTGTCCACACTGTTACCAGAGAGCACTTTGAACACAAATTTGATCACATCATGCCCTTACTTAAAACACAATAGAGGTTTCTACGCTACTTAAGATGGCATGGAAACTCTTCCACCTGACCTAAAGGCACCAGGCAGTTCAGGCCCAGCCCACGTCTGCCACCGCCTTGCCCACCAGGCTTTGCCCGCTCTACCAGTGGCTGCTCTCTTGCTGGCCTTTCTCCAGCCCCTAGATGCACCATATTCCCTCCCACCACAGACCCAAGACAGATGTTGCTTCCACAGCACAGAATGCTCCACCTCCCAGTTCATCTCATTAACTCCTTTTCGCTTGTAGCTATCACACAAATCCTTTGGTTGGGCATGGTGGCTCACACCTGTAATCCTAGGACTTTGAAAGGCCGAGGAGGGTGGGTCACTTGCAGCCAGGAGTTCGAGACCTGCCTGGCCAACATGGTGAAAACCCTTCTCTGCTAAAAATACAAAAATTTGCCCAGCGTGGTGGCATGCGCCTGTAATCCCAACTACTCGGGAGGCTGACAGACGAGAATTGCTGTATCTGGGAGGTGGAGGTTGCAGTGCGCCAAGATCAAGCCACTGCACTCCAGCCTGCACAACAGAGCGAGACTCTGTCTCAAAAAAAAAAAAAAAATCTTCCCAAGGGAGGCCCTCCTTGCCCACTCTAAGTCAATCTCTCTATTATGAGCTTGCAGACAGAACCATGCACGTCACTCCTCTGTTACCTGTGTCACAGTGCATTTGTACATTTAAATTTGTGATTATTTTATTAGTATCTAGATGTCTTTGAACCTCAAATGTAAGGCCTAGAAGGGCAGGAATGCCTCTGCCTCAGTTTCCCCCATGTCACCTTGCGCTGTGCCTGACACATGAGTGCAACACAGTGGCTGGACAGACATGGTGGAGTCTCTCAGCCTTGGTTCAAATCTTAGTGCTATGTGGAAAATGAGGTGAGAGCTGGCAAGAAAGAACAGCTTTGAGGGCCATGCACAAGAGTGCAGGGCAACTGTTGCTCTGAAAGCAGAAACAAAGCAGAAGAAAATCCTGGCAGTTGCCCACATTTCTGTCAAAAAAGGAATGTTAAAATACGAAGCTACAGCTAAAGTTGAGGTAGATCAATATATCCTGGTTAACATGGAAAGAGCCCTCATACATATTAAGCTAAATAAAAAGTCACAGACCATCAAGATGGGGTGATTCAGCTTACAAAGAAACAAAATACTTTTCATTCTTTTTTTTTTTTTTTTTTTTGAGATGGAGTATCGCTCTGTTGCCCAGGCTGGAGTGCAGTGGCACGATCTCCGCTCACTGCAACCTTCGCCTTCCAGGTTCTAGTGATTCTCCTGCCTCAGGCTCCCTAGTAGCTGGGACTACAGGTGCCCGCCACCACGCCCAGCTAGTTTTTGTATTTTTATTAGAGACGGGGTTTCACCATGTTGGCCAGGATGGTCTTGATCTCTTGACCTCGTGATCTGCCTGCCTCAGCCTCCAATACTTTTTATTCTTAAAAACCTTCTGTGTATCTCTCTTTTTACAAATGAGATATTCTGCATAATATTTCTTTCCTATCTCTTCACAAAATGTCCAACAAATAACAAATAGAAGTAAATATACTTCCTTTTCCAGATTTAGAAACCAGATTTCCCCCTGGGGAACAGGACTGTGTATGGAGGAGGTAAGGGGCAACATTGGGAGACACATTTCATTTATACGTTAACATAGTACCTATGTATTTTATTTTGTTTTTCCTCTGTAGATTCTTGTTACCCAGGAATTTTGCCTCTTCAGGTGAAGGCACTAGGCCTCCAGTGGTCACATGATTTTCACACTCTATTCCATATGCCTGCCTAGAGAAACTTTTCACAAAAGGAACATATGTTTTTATGCAACTCATATACTCCCTGGGAAACATCTATTAACAAGACACACAAAGACGGGTCATAGAGATGAACAGTTCAAATCGCTCTGTACGGTGGCCACAGACCCAGAGCCACCTGAGGCCACTGACCTGCCAGGCCCTGTGCCAGACGGTAATGTCTAGTGACAAACCTGAATAGGGAGACAACTACCAGGAGGCAGGCTGGTCAGGGCAGAGGCCCAAACACCACACTGCCTGGCTCGCGACCCCAGCCCCACTCCTACTAGTCACAGGACCCCGAGCAAGGTGATCAGCTTCTGTGTCTCAGTTTACGCGTGTAGAATATGGAGATCATGCGGTGCCTCCTGGTGGGGCTCCTGGGGGGCCTGGTGAAGTGTGGCCTGCACAGCACAGGGTGCAAGAATACCCAGCCAGCCTTACCCTAGAGGACAGAGAGCTGAGCCCTACAGGAGAGATGGATGTCTGGATGGTCATGTACAAATTTTGAAAGTATTTGGCATGGATAGAAGGATAGAAACTATCTTTTTTTTTTATTTTTTTTAACAATTAGTAATCAGATGAAATTAGTGGGTTTAATTCTATCTTTGCATGTAAAATATACCATTGTCTACTCATTGGCAAAGTACATTTGCTGTTAATATATCTCAAAACTACAGCAACTAACTTATTACTCTTAAAAAAAGAAAACCAACAAGATAGTTAGATTATACTTGGTGAAAGAAAGTGGTATCCTTTGAAAGTCTGCATTAGAATTCAAGGCCCGTGGCAAGACCCTTTCAGGTGTCTTACCTGGGCAACTGCTATCTGTGAGGCTAGCCTGGACCTAGGACCAGAGGACTAGGACAAAGGGACGCTCTCACTCAGCACTCTTTACTAACACTCATGTGGTAGGTGACAACTTTTAAAAATTTAAGAACTGAAAAAAATCTAAAAAAGGTTAAACATCAAAAATAAATCCTAAATACATAGGGCAAATCCTCATATAACTTTTTCCTAAAAATGATATTTGTTCAGCATAGGCATTTGTTCAGCTTTAGGCCAGTGTTATAGATTAGGGCAAATTGTCTTCCTTAGCTTCTTGGTATATATTAAAGTAAAATAAGTCATTAAACCTTCGTCACTTGTTCTTAGCATTACATCTATGTTTCAGCCTATGATATGGGCTCGGGCCGAGGCTCCCCTTCTCTTCTCCACCCAACAGTCCAGTGGGGTCTGTGCAACCTCACTCATCTCACTCGTCTCCTCTGAAGGCACAGAGGACAGGGTATCCAAGACTCTCAGGACAGATCTTTTTAATGGACTTATCATTAAAGTCAGTGGGACTTTACCCTCTGACTTTCAAAAACAGCACATCCCTTTCCTTTTACATAGTTGCAGCAGGATAAAACACATCAAACCAATCAGTGAAACAGAGAAGATGAAATAAACTTGAAACAGATTTATTCGTGCTCCAGAATGGCAAAATGCTGGAGCTCAAGACCAAAGATTGTCCACTTCAGCAGGGCAGGCCATGAACTTGCCTGCTTGAATACTGTGTCTGTGCAAAGAAACGGAGGGAGCAGGTGGGACAGAAGATCTTCTGGTTAGGGTGGCAGTGTGGGTGTGGACCTGGGCAGGAACTTTGGGATGAGGAAGAGGATGCAGTACAGGGAAATTCAAGTTCAAAGTGGTTGCCTGGTCATTCCAGTATCTTGGGAGATCAGCATAAAGACAGGGATAGAACACAGAAGTCTAAGTCATCCTTCACAGACCCAGAGTGGACTTCTACTCATGGGCCAGAATTGGCCACCTGTGCCCCATGTCAGATTTCCTGAGCTGGAGACAGCCTGGGGCCCAAGTGGCAGGCCGGTTCCACCTAGACTTGGGACAAATCACCTCTGAGGTTGAGGATGTAAACACCACATAATACCCTTTGTCTACCTGTTTATTTTTAGTCTCCCCAAAACTGACAGCTTCATGAGGGTGGCAACTTTGACTATTTCATTCCTCCCATTGATTATTCCATTTTATTCCTCCTACTTTATTTTATTCCTCCCATTGGTTAACTATTTTATTCCTCCCATTGGTTAACACGGTGCCTGGAATGTGACTCAATACATATATTCCTGCTGAGGATGAATGAGATTCCGTACGAGGCTCCTGGAGAATGAACGAAGGAGGAGAAGGGCAAAGAAAGGAGGAAAAAGCAGCCAGGAAACCTCTGCTGAAAGCAAAATGAAGCAGATATTGCAGGACAAACAACACAGCATTAGCTTCTCTTCCTTTATGTCATCGCATCACAAGTTCACCGCTTTCCTGCCTCTTTTTTGTCTCTCCCGATTGATTATATTATGAGCAACAATGGTGATTCTGATAAGAAAGTCACAGCATCAAATCTTTGGAAATAAAATAAAAAATTAGGATTTTAGCCATAACAGAATTTAGCCATATTTAAATAACTTGTAAGAGTTAAATATTTTTAATCAAGAAAAAAAAGTGACATACTTGAGAAGGCTTTTAATGTCTAAATCCATTTAGAAGCTATGGTTTATTTTGTTTAGGTTTTGGAAACGAGGAAGTCCATGACTTACAATGAAAACAAAGAAAGTTTTGAAACAAAAGTAAACTTATCTAATTATAAGTGCTGTGTGACTACAACCTTAACTGTAGCTGAGTCTGGGGGGATTATTAACAGTACATCGTTAAATACAACTCTTGGTGTGGCAAGATTTGTGACACACTGCGCGAAAAACAATGGGCTATGAAACGCACATAGAGCACTGTTCTCCCTCCAACAGGGAGACAGACTGACAGATGCATACCCGTGCACACTCACAGTGCTATACGAAAAGAGGGTCATCAGAGCAGTCACAGCACTTGGGGGCAGGGAAAGATGATAGATTATTTTACTTTTTTCTTGGCACTTTTCTGCTATGAGTCAAGATTTTATAATAAACATGTATTAGTTTTCCAAAGACAAGAAAGCGATCAAAGTTATAATTTAATCATAGTGATTTTACAGCTGCAGTATGTATTTTTGAGTAGAGTGCAATAGTGGTCCCCAAGTAGGAACTATGATGCTTTCTAAAAATAAAGATTCCTGTTTATTCTCTATTTGGGCAATTCAAAGTGTGGGCTAGACATCTATATATCTGAAAAGTCCTTTAGGTAATTCCGATTTGGAAGTCAGCTTAGCAACAAATAAGTGCAAGAGAAAAGGGTACTATCACTAGTGTGACATTCATGACAGGTCACTTTAGCTTAAAATATTTAAAATGAACTCAAGTTTAGCTTGCGTAATGTCTCCATTATTTCAAAATACATGAGATATACGAGAGTCTTGAGGAGGGAGGGTGTGGAGCAAGGGCTGGAAAACTACCTATTGGATACTATGTTTGCCACTTGGATGATGGGATTACTAGAAGCCCAAACCTCAGCATCATGCAATATACCCAAGTAACAAACCTGCACACGTACCCTCTGAAGCTAAAGTAAAAAATAAAATAAAATAAATAAAAATAAACATTCAGGACCATAATCATATAAAAAAGACATTTTTGAATATATTCAGCAACTATAAACATATTCACACGCTGCTTCTCTACAGTGAACAATATGATGGGTTTATGAGGGAGTTTCCTTTCATGGTACAATAATGGCATAGGAAAAAAATAGTTAAATTAGAATAAGAACTGAAAGCATCAAAGGCAGCTAGCTCCTAAGGTAAGCCACAGACCAGCGTAATTAAAGACCCCCAACAAATGCTACTCATCTTCATCTTAAAATTGAACCATTATATTTAAAAGAAGGGGTTTCCTTTGAGTTCCACTTTTTCTTTTTTAAGGTATTTTTTTTTTTCACGTATTAAAAAGCTAAATATTTTAAAGGGCTCAAGAGCTGAGAATTATCTTTGCAACACTGCCAGCACCGATGAAGGAAAAGTGGGTTCTGAACTGTTAAGCTGGGGAAAGCCTGATGCGGATTCATCTTCCCTCAGAGACCCTCAGCTTGTCTGATTCAACTGAGTGTCATGAGAAGTCATGGGTGGAAATAGTTCACAAAACGATTTTACTCTTCTAAGATGCACAAGCAGCAGAAAATGCTATTAACTCCGGCAGAAGTACAGTTGCCCAAGACAGAAGGCTTTCTGGCACTTGGTCATTTGTTTGGTCCGTGGAGTCTGGTTCAGGCTCATTTCCTTTTTCGCCCCTCAGTCTCAGGATGGATAGCTCGTCTACTTCCAGAGGAACACAGGCTTCCAGTGAGGCTCTGATGTGCGTGATCCGCAGAGGTCGCCGCCCTCTGTGATAGGCTCAGCAGAAGCCACTCTGCCCACCAAAGTGGGCTCCTCAGAAGTTGCCTCCAGCAATTGCCACGCTTTCTATGGCCTGGTTTTAGCAGACTGTGTTAATTTAACCAACATTACCCAAAATAAAAAAGACGGGGTACACTTGGAGAAAGATGGAATCACTCTCAATTCTCACTTTTTCCTCCTTGATGATCGCTCAGAGTAAAACATCTGACATAGCTTTCAAATCTCCAGAAGGGCAAAGATTTCTGTTTGTTTTGTTCATGGCTATATCTGCAATGTCTAGAACAGTGTCGGACATGTAGTTAACTAAACTAAATTTGGCTTGAGTATGCCTCCATACTTGAGTCCTTTCCTAACCAACTGCAACTGAACTTAGCAGTAAATTAACTGAAAGCCTAACTCAGGAGTGTCACAGTAGGTAGCTAGTCAGACACAAGTAGGGCAGGAGAGGGCCCCCCCACCCGCCATCAAACTAAGAACATCAGTCGACCATCAGGTGATGGTCAGGAAGTAGTTAAATGTCTCACTAAAATAATAATTGGTCATAGGTGGCACATGGGAATGGCAGTCTCCCAGTAGACAGAAAAAACCTGAAACTGGTGATCAGCAGCTTCCTAATAAGATCTCAGGATTTGGGCAAGTGGGCTCAAGCATGTGCACTAAGAGGCAAAATGGTGGAGTTTAACTGGTATATGACCTTCCTCTAGGAATAATGAACCGGTAAGGGAAGAAAGCTCAGGTGAGCATGCATACAACTCCCATAAACACAGTGTACATGCAGCCCCTCCCAAGTGCCGGCAGGCCACTGCGCATTCGAACAGCCCACCCCAAGGGAAGAATCAGGGAGAAGTAATGCAAGACCTGGAAGCATGCCAATGTATAAAACCCCAAGTCAAAGGTCAAAACATGCACTTGACTCTCTCAAGTTGCCCGCTTGACCCTTTTCCAAGTGTACTCTATTTCCTTTTGTTTCTGCTCTAAAGCTTTTTAATAAACTTTCACTGGTGCTCTAAAAGTTGCCACAGTCACTCCCTCTGTCTTATGCTCCTTGGTCAAATTCTTTCTTCTGAGGAGGCAAGAACTGAGGTTGCTGCAGATCCTTACAGATTTGCTACTTCTAACAAACTTTGGTGCTGCATGACTTGGATATATTCTCTAGTGGTAATATACTTTGATGCCACATGACTCTGATACATTCCCCAGTGGTAAGACACCTCTACACCTTGCCTTCTTTGGCTGCAGGTGTTCAACCTCCATACATGTTTTTTTTCCCCTCCCTTTCACTCTCCTGCTTACTAATCAACCCCTAGAACAATTCCTCTTGGCCACTGTGGTTCTGCTCTTCCAAGCTGATTTTTCAGGTCACCCCAACGGGTGGCTCACATTAGCAGTCACAGTACGTAGATAACCTCCACATTTGCTTTCCCTACACAGGACTCACACAGCAACATGTAGTACAAACCATCACTTCCTAATAGAAGGAAAATGACTGTTGTCTAATTCAAAGGTTATAAAGGTAAAGAGGTATTTTTGGTAAGGAAGGTTATAAAGAAAATAGATTTTATATGAGAAAGGATCTTGTATGGTAAATTGTTGTCCTAAAGTAAAATGACTGGTTGTTTAAAAAGAGGGATATTTAGGCCGGGCACAGTGGCTCATGCCTGTAATCCCAGCACTTTAGGAAGCTGAGGCGGGAAGATCACGAGGTCAAGAGATCAAGACCATCCTGGCCAACATGGTGAAACCCGTTCTCTACTAAAATTACAAAAATTAGCTGGGTGTGGTGGCTCATGCCTGTAGTCCCAGCTACCTGGGAGACTGAGGCAGGAGAATTGCTTGAACCTGGGAGGCGGAGGTTGCAGTGAGCTGAGATTGCACCACTACACTCCAGTCTGGTGACAGAGCAAGGCGCCATCTAAAAAAAAAAAAGAAAAGAAAAAAAAAAAAGAGGGATATTTAGGACAAGTCAGAAAGTCCAAGAATGGTGTGTCATGAATATCAAGTAGAACAGGAGTTAAATGTATGGACTGAACTAATAGAAGACTGAAATAATCCTTCCATTTAGAGCTTTTAACAATTGAGTAAAGTATATTCCTACAAACAAAATTTGGAGCATATTTGTTTCTCTGTACCTGATTTCTCCAGAATTTGGAAACTATTTTTGTGTATTCTTAACTTGTGGCAAGAAAAAGTTAACTTACATTATTTGCATAAGTGCAGTAATAATCTGACTTCTTTCGCAGCAGGACACAATTGGAGAAACTGGTTGTTTTACCAAGGCTTTGAATGGAATGGCATGCTTTCCTTTAAGGAATCAAATCTGACTTATAGAGATAATAAAAGTCCCTTGGGAAAGCTGGCCTCATACCTTCTGTATGCAGTCCCTGTACAGTGTTCCTGACCTGTGGTAAGTAAAGAATATCACTTTCTCACAGGCCTAGGAGCACCAAGTTATCTTGGGACCTTAAGAGGTGAGGAATGTACCCAACTCATACAGGTATTTGATGGTACAAACCCACAGCTAGGCTTATGGCTTTAAAACATTTTATCTGAGATCCTAATGGAACAAAGTTCCATCAAAGCCAAATTTATTTTTTATTTTATTATTATTATTATTTTTGAGACGGAGTCTTGATCTGTTGCCCAGGCTGGAGGGCAGTGATGCGATCTTGGCTCACTGCAACCTCCACCTCCCAGGTTCTAGTGATTCTCCTGTCTTAGCTTCCCGAGTAGCTGGGATTACAGGCACATACCACCATGCCCAGCTAGTTTTTTTTGTATTTTTAGTAGAGACGAGGTTTCACCATGTTGGCCAGGCTGGTCTCAAACTCCTGACCTCAGTTCATCCACCTGCCTCGGCCTCCCAAAGTGCTGAGACTACAGGCATGAGCCACCGTGCCCAGCCCATCAAAGCCAATTTTAAAAGGAGCCTATGTGGCAAATAATTATTCTTGCTGTGATTTATGCAAATAATCAGGCCAAGTATAACAAGACTAAAGCTTATTTTGCAAACAAATCAGTCCTATCATGATTTGTTTTTAATGAAAATGGAGATTGGAGGGAGAAAAATTGTGTTTCAAGAATGACGGCAAACCTGTTAAAAGATTCTAGTCTCATCAGTTCTTTTTGAGTTTTTGTCTGCAATTTAGACTAACCTTGCTTATTCCTGTGAACAAACCAATGATCTCTGGCTATAGCTCAGAAGAAACGAGAGGGTGGGTAATGTAAAAATTTGGATTAATATTCTAATTCTAGGCACATACTAGAATCGGCTAGCAACTCCATGCACCCAACATCTGAAACTGGTGATCAGCAGCTTCCCAATAAGATCTCAGGAGTGGGGCAAGTGGGCTCAAGCATGCACACTAAGAGGCAAAGTGGCAGAGTTTAACTGGTATATGACCTTCTAGAATTGTTCAACTGCTAAGGGAAAAATGTCTTAAGTGAGCATGTGCACAACTCCAGTAAACACACTGTGAATACAGCCCCTCCCCAGTGCTGGTAGGCCACTGTGCATACAAACAGCTCATCCCAAGGGAAGAATCAGGGGAGAAGAGACACAAGACCCTGGAAGCATGCCAATATGTACAACCCCAGATCTAAGGTCAAACCGTGCACTTGACCCTCTCAAGTTGCCTACTTGGCCCTTTTCCAAATGTACTCTATTTACTTTCCTCCCTGCTCCAAAGCTTTTCAATAAACTTTCATTCCTGCTCTAAAACTTGCCTCATTCTCTCACTCAGCCTTATGCCCCTGGGTTGAATTCTTTCTTCTGAGGAGGCAAGAATTGAGGTTGCTCCCAACACTTACTGATTTGCTGCTGCTAAGAGGAGTATACTTTTGTAACAAGTATAACAAGCCTTAGCCAATCACAGCAGCTGAGCTTCCGTCAATCACAGGAACCAACTAATCAGATCACTTTCAAATAAGGGAAACACTGCTGTAACCAGCCCAGCCTTTCTGTACCTGCCTTCTGTCTCGCATTGTGAAGGGGAACTCTGTGAACCTCTTCTGGTTCTGAGGGCTGCCAGATTTGTGAATCATTCTTTGCTCAATTAAACTCTGCTAAATTTAATTTGTCTAAAGTTTTTATTTTAACAGTAGGTTCTCAAAAAATGTGTTGAATGAATAAACAAAGAGGTGTGGAAACTGCAAAGAATTACTAAAGAAACTACTTACTTTATTGGTTGAATGGTTGGCTGAGAAAGTGTACACTGTGATTCTAAGAATATGCTTCTCATACTTTTATAAAGGTTAAAAAATACTTAAGTCATTTAGCTTTTTCCAAAAGGCATCAGTATTTGAACAAGTAATAAGAAAACACATCCCCTCAGAAAGGCAGGAGAAAATGGGGTTGACAGAAGAAATATGAAAAAAGTAAAAACATAATTGAGAAATCAGTGCACATTTTTTAAAAGGGCAGAAAAAAGGAGGGTCAAAAGACAAGATAGAAAAGAAGCAGATGTATTTCTGCTCAATCTGATCCACAAATAATTAGAACTAAACTGTCAACAGGGCTTTCAAGCTAGAGTGAAGGATATTAGTCACCAACTCTGCATGAGACTGGAGTCCTGACAGAGTGGCAGCCTTTATTATTGCCGAGGTTGACTTCCCTTCTGGAAGGTCACTGACCTTGATCTTTTTCCCTGACTGGCCTTCAGTGCTTTGCTAATCAGAGCAAAATCCTGCTTCAGTACCAACCGGGTGCGCCTGCAGTTAATCTTCCCATGACCTTTCTTCCAGACTCTCCTGCAAGTCATGTGGACGATCAAAATACATCATAAATTGCCATCCTGTTGGGGATGATGTGCACTTTGGTTCTCTTATTAACAGAGAACTTTCTTTTGGGTTAAGCTTAATAGTTGACAGCAATGTTCTATAAAAGGAGTACTGAATCCTACATATGTATACATATATTTTTTCACACAGGGACATTGTGAATAAAGAAAATCACATTGTCTGTGTTTATATTTGATGAATAATTAAGGGAATGAGAGATGTGGAAAGGACTTAAGAAGTCACCAGATCCAACTCCCTGCCTTCAGGCACATCCCTCTGAAATCACTGGCAATAGATGGCTATTCGGCCTATTTTTTGAGATTGCAGTAGATAGAGATTACACAGCCTTCTTTGTTAGCTTGTTTCCAAAAATAACTTCGATATTATGTCTAACTGTACTCTCTCTCTCTCTCTCTCTCTCTATTATACTGCCATACAACAAGCAATTCATTAATCGCTCCAAATACTGGATGAATTTTCCCTCAGGAAACTATTAACAATATAAGCTCATAAATTTTTAAATTTCCCAATTTGACATTAGATGGACTAAATCTTTAATTTTTAATACTTTGTGAATACTGCTTCTCTCAGTTAGCAATGCAAAGCCTTTAACTCTTAAAATGCTGCTTTCTGAACCACTTTTTAGTCATAAGAAGAGCACATGCTTGTTCTTTAGGCTTCAGCGTCTAAGGAATGAGAAGCAAGTCAGAAAACAGCAGCATGGGGCAGACAGTTCATAAATAAATCTGCTTTACATTTTCAGCAAGAAAACCTAATTCTCTGCCGGTGAGACAATTCTCACGCTAAAATACGTAATGTTTCAAGGCAGAAATCCTTGTTATAATTCTAAACTATGTGCAACCAACGAAATTACCTTCAAGATGCCTACTGGACTCAGCACACTAAGCCAGGCCACCCTGCTTCAGGCTATTTCCCTCATATAAGCAGAATATAACGAGCTACAGTTCATTAGCTTTAAACATTTGGCCTAAGGGATTCATAGGTGAAGCCTTTAAAAACAAGAAAATCATACACTGTTGAATTAAACTCCCATTTAAATGCTGAAAGTTGGGAAGTAGGTATTTCTAGATTGCCGGTGTGATTATATTATAGCATTGACATATTAAGAAACAGTACCTTCTGGATATAAAACAAAAATAAAAACAAAGTAATTATACACTGAAGCTTATATAGGAATTGTGGAGTCTTTTTTGTCTAAAACCTCAAATATACAGATTTTACCTCTAATTTCCTCATGGGGTGAATATTTATTCACTCCAGTTGTAGAAGTCTTCCTTAAGCACAAACATCACTTCCTTATTTTACACTATTGCAGGCCACCAAAAAGTTGAATAATAATATTACAAATTAATTTGTCTTGACTATGGCATAAGAACCATAATTAGCAGCAAATCCTTTTGCTCTATTTGCATGTGGTGAATTTTCCTTAATTAGTCTGCAGTCTAATTACGAAGCTCAATCTAGAGAACTCACAAAAGCCAGTGATGCAGAAAGCAGAAGACAGCATATTCCACCTCCTGGATTTAGTGCTCCAGAATCCTATAGCAAACCAGTTGGAACAGACTCTATTTGTGAGGGCATTAGCATGTAAACAGTGTCAGCCAGAAGACACATGGCAGCAACTGGCCATGCTAATGGAAAGTGATATTGAGTTTACTAATTCAGATAAGAGTGCACAGATTGCCTTTTCTCCAAAGCACAGGGACTGTCAGAGAGACAAATGCGTGGACCATGTTGCAATTAATTTGATTCTTGTTCTTTTAAGGCTCTACTTGTAGATTTAATTAAAGCTTTCACACACTGGGCACATGCAGGAAGTCTGTGAATTTAATGGCTTCTTTTGAATGAAAGCAGCAATGGAGGTTATGATTCAAACAGTAATAGGCAGTCATATGACAAAGATTTTTTTTAAAAAAAGTATGTGCATTCTTACTCAGGTAGCAAGGCATATTTTTATTTTAATAAGAGACAGCAAATTGCACTTTCCCTATAGATTTCCCTCGCCTCTTACTGCATGACTATTTCTGAGCTCAATAATCCTCCACACTTGGTCAGTATTGTGCTTATACTGCTTGGTTGATAATTCTTTCATCAAATCAACTATAATATATTACAATTCTTACATTGTAAAACCTCAAACCCATATGTCTTTGCTCTGATCTTTTGGTTTTAAACTGCCTTTGCAAAAATTATAACAGTGAGGAAACTATGACAGTGAAAGAGATCTTAGCTAACCAACCCCCATATTGCCTTTAAGCTGTAAACTGTCCTTAATTATTCCTAGACTTAGGCCAAGCTAACTTTGGGAGACATTTCTTTTATAGTTTAAATGATAATAACCCTTCCCCAAAACTAAACCACCTTTGTAAAGCTAATGAAAGACCACCAGGTTAGGGGGATGAAGAGCCAGAATTCTGCTAAAGTGTAAAGGAAAATGGTTACCAGCCATTATTCTGGAGGTGACAAGATTTGCAACTTCCCTTTACTCCTGTGGATAACACCACTATTGTAAAATCTAAGATTGGCCTTTTTTTTTTTTTTGAGACAGAGTCTCGCTCTGTTGCTCAGACTGGAGTGCAGTGGCGTGATCTCAGCTCACTGCAACCTCTGCTTCCCAGGTCAAGAGATTCTCCTGCCTCAGCTTCCAGAGTAGCTGGGATTATGGGCGACACCACCACACAGGCTAACTTCTGTATTTTTAATAGAGATGGGGTTTTGCCATGTTGGCCAGGCTGGTCTTGAACTCCTGACCTCAAGTGATCCACCCACCTCGGCCTCCCAGAGTGCTGGGATTACAGGGGTGAGCCACCACATCCATCCTAAGATTGGCCTTTTGAGATGTCTTTTGAAGTTTTTGCATTGCTGGCAACCCATGCCCCACACAGACCCACCAACAGATCCTGTGGCCCTACCCAGAAGCAGACTCTCTGGCCTGCCAAGCTATTCTTGAAACACCCCAGCCTCTAAATGTTTGGAGAGATTGATTTGAATAATAACTCTGTCTCCTACATGGCATAGCCGACCTCGTGTCAATTGTGCTCTTTCTTTATTGCAATGCCACAGTCTCAGTGAATTGGTTTTATCTGTGCAGCAGGCAGCAAGAACCCACTGGGCAGTTACGAGTTTACTTCCAAAGTCATATTTAATCTTTTATTTGTTTTATAAATTGACTCATATTATTTGTCTGACCCTGGCCCGATTCTAACACAGCAAAATAGATGCTCTGCTGGTTTTACCAAGTGTTAAGAAATATTGTGAAAATAATAATCATTCATATGCTAATACTTGTTCCAACAGCATATATATCATTACCATTATATCTGAAAATTTCAACATAATTGCCACCACCTTCTTGCCAAATTCTTCCAACTGAAAGCCAGTTTTCCCTCTGAGCTTGTGAAGCCTTTACCCACACATCCTATGGTGTTTTATCATTTTCAATCTAAAATTGTCTAGGTACATGGTTAATGGTTCCACTTAGACTATAATACTCGGCACCTAGCTTAGGGCTTTGAGTAAGTAGTCATCTCAAGTATTCTTTGAATGAATCAATATGTCTCTCTACCACTCCTAATCCCTGAACTGAGTACAGTTCCTTATTAAGAAAGATGAAAACTTAAATAAGCACAAGAAAAACATATGTGTTTGTGTGTATATGTAAGTAGATATACATACATACACACAGTGAACATTGTTTCATGCATCATCATACTCTGGTACAATTAATTACAGTGCCAGGTGAGTTAGTTCATCTGGGACCCTTTCGAGACCAAACCATGGTGTTTGCTGGTGAGATGATCTTAAAGCAACAGCAGAATCAGGACCACAGATTTGGGTTTCCCTGCAATTTTCTTTCTGCTTCAAATGGGCTGAGGTTAAGCAGAAGTTTTTTTTTTCTTTTTTTTTTTTCTTGTGTTTACATTAACATTCTATGGTTAAGAACCTTCCTCACAATTAGGACACAAGAAATGTCGGCAGCTGGCCCACCCCTCTGGAGCAGTGGTTGTTAAACATCAGTGAGGATCCCTATCACTGGGGGAACTTGTATAGATTCCTCCATCCTGCATTCTGATTCAATATGCCTGGGGTATGACAAAGAAGTATGCACTGTTGTAAGTACCCGGATGATTCTGAGACAGGTTCCTTGGACTATTGAGGAACACAGCTCTGGGTCTTGAAACAGTGCCTTCCTGTACAAAGATAAATTTCCCAGTACATTGAAGACACAGCTACTAACAGGCTATGAATTGCAGCAAGACCATAAAACAAGATCATCTATACCCTGAATGAGTTGCAGGGAATAGGTAAGTCTGTAAAGTTATAAAAAAAAAAAAAAAAAAAGGTCAAGACTTGAAATGTTATTCAGGAACAGTGCTTTATCTGTATCTTTGCCACCTTTCTCACCTTCCGCCATAATTGTGAGGCCTCCCCAGCCACGTAGAACTGTGAGTCCATTAAACCTCTTTCTTTTGTAAACTGCTCAGTATCGGGTATGTCTTTATATTGCTGAAAACGAGAATACAGCAAAAGCAATTGTAGACGGTCCCTGACTTATGATTTTCCGACTTTACAATGGTGCTAAAGCTATCCGCATTCAGTAGAAACTGTACTTCGAGTATCCATACAACCATTCTGTTTTTCACTTTCGGCACAGTATTCAATAAGTTAAATGAGATATTCCACACTTTATTATAAAATAGGTTTTGTGTTAGATGATTTTCCCCAACACTTAGGCTAACCTAAGTGTTCTGAGCACATTTAAGGGAGGCTAGGCTAACCTATGAAGTTGGGTAGGGTAGGTGCAATAACTGCATTTCTTACTTATGATGGGTTGACTGGACCATAATCCTATCAAAAGTCCAGGAGCATCTGTATAGGGCCATTCAGAGGATTACCACTGGACAACAAGAAAGACTCGGAAAAATCTCAGCCTCTATTTAGCTTTCTCCAGATTCAGACAATTTTTCTGGATCTCCGTCCTAGACCCAGCCTCCCATTTTAAATGAACACAGGACATGGACATAGAAACAAACACATTTACCCCCAAACTGCCATGTTTTCTCTTGGTTGTGATTCTCTTTCACTAAGGACACAATTTTTTCCCCTACTCACAGAGGTCCAAGCTGTTTACAGAGTGACATTTCCTCATTTCTCATAGTCCCACATCTATGGCAGACCAGTGGCATCTGGTTCAATATTTCATTAAATCCTCCTGAAAACTAACAGTTCAATCTATTGAAAAACTACAGTCCCTGAGCAACGTAAATTACCTAGCAGGCTGTGGCTGTAGCATGCCACACAGCCCATTTGCTGCTGAGACATTTATAGCTGTAGAATTTCTGCACATTCTGGATGCAAGAAGCATAACCTTTATAAGCCTTCCTCAGACAGTAAACACTGCAACTTTTTAAAAAAAGTTCTCTAGCAGGAAAAGGTTATTTAGGTCCAGAATGAATGAGATTTGTGTTTTGCCTTAATTATCCATGAATCTAATGTAGAATCTTTCCTTGGGAATATTTCAGTTTTTAGCTACTCCTATAGCCCAAGGGTCTTACCCTCATCTCTTAGCCCTCAGCAAAATGACTGAAGAACATTCACACAGAGGCCCCATCGGAAGACTGTGCTCAACAGAAAATTTAGAGCTAATTTATTTTTGCTGCAGGGCATCTGCAAGTTATGTGGCAGAAGTAAGTATGGATGAATGGTTTTATTTTGGACTAGTTTTGACAATCAGTGGTCAGTCTATACCATCTTCAAATGTGGTTGTCACTTCAAAAGTAATAGAAGCCAGTCACCTTTGATGGCTATCGGGAGCTATGGAGAGGCTATGATCTCATGGCCTTCTACTCAGTTACAATAATAATGCCAGGGCCAGACAAAATTAAAGTGCCTGGACTGGCTCAGAGACTGATTCTTCAGGAATCTCCCTGCAATTTGCTCCCTTAATGAGTTTCTCCTCCTTCCCCAGGCCATGAGTCTTAACATTTATTTGTAAGAATACACAGAAAGGTAGGAAAATCTTTGTATATTTCTTTTAAAAGCCCCAAAGAGATTACCTATAGGCCCAAGACTACCTATATATAATTTAGGGATGCTTTTTTTTTTTTTTTTAACCCTTGAGCAAGTACAATGTTAAGTGCTTGTTGCACAGAGAGAATGGTAAAATGAAGCTTTAATAACAACAAACGCTCAGCTCATTTACAAATTTACTGCTTGATAGTTTGAAGGAGCAAGGACTGTAACTGACTATAACTGTGCGGCCAGCACAGCCATCAATCACACCGGGACCTTTTCTTGGCTGAGAACTTTCTCTAGATTTCGGGAGGCTCTCACAGATTAAGACTTCTGTCTTAAAAGAGCCCACCTAGCTGTACCAGAAAAATACAGATATCCTCAAATTCATCGTGTGGTCCTTGTATTGTCACTGACATGTCAGGACTTTAGCATAGCTGACATCACTCTGTTAAGCAGTCATCAAAAAAGTCACATTAAAGAAATGTGTGCAGAAACTGTAAATTAGGATTCACAGCTGTGGGTTTTCCCCTCACCCAACAGAAGCATCGAACCTATCTGGGTTTCTGTTTTTTCATCTATAAAATGAGAGGTTAGCAAGAGATGAACTCCAAGACTCTTTCTAGCTCTTTAAATTCTTTGCCTTATTTAGTTTGAACAAATATGTGCATCAAATGCATTCCAAAAGACAGGAGTGTAAAGTGAATACTTGCATACTAAATCATGTTTCCAAATTACTTACACTGTTGTTTCAGAAATGAGTACTTACAGAAGAAAAAATGGACCCAACATTAAGAAAAAAATAACATCTTGGAAAATTTGTATCCATTGAGCATATATGAATATATATGCTTGGTAGTTAAAAAATAGTCTCATCAGCAATCAATCCATGTGATTCCTGAAGACTAAATAAAAGTACACGCATACACCATGCTAAATTCTTGCCTTGGGTGAAATTCTTACCAATTCCATGAATTATACGGAATCTCATAATAGCCATCAATTAGACAATTAAGGTTTTTTTCTTCCTTGTTACTGATAATGTTGTTTCTATGTCTAAATCACTGCTATCTGAAAAGGCTACATGGAGGTACACTTTATGAAGTGTTCAGAGAGTGTACTCGGCAACAGGGGAAGTAGACCTATTACTTTTAGACTTATTATTTTTATTTTCCTTCACCCCCACAACTGCTGCCACAAAAAGCAAAAGGTTTTGTCTTACTAATTTGATAAGCATTTTTTTTTTTTTTGCCCAAATCAACATGGTATTTTTGAAGATGTAACTTTTTGGGCAGCCATTTGTTAACATGTGTCTGTGATATACTGCTATAGGACCTTTTAAATTCACTTTTCGAGCGGAAGAGAAAGAAAATGAATATACAATGGTTGGAGAAAATAGGACTCGGGTCTCTTCTTGCTAGGTGTGGTGTTTCTCATTGTGCTATATCGATGACATTTATCCTTTTCCACCTTCATTTTCCTTCCTTTCACTCACAAGATTTCTTTATCTAAGGAAACTATCTCCTAGGAGCGTGATAAGATATTTATAGAGAAATTTAATTCCAAAGTCAAACAGGAAGGCAATATATTTAATTTAACTTCTTCCATTGAGTCTAGGCAGAACTTACATGCATAATATTATAGTGAATCTGGATTATGGGTGAGCAAAAACTCGTCTTCATAAACTATCTACCATGGCATGGAGTCTGTGCTATAAGTAAAGGTGTGAACACACCATGATAAGGCCCAGTGAGGGGCATTCCATTGCAAAGATACTTGTCACTATGTAGGTTTGAGATGGTTAAATCCTGCTCCATACAATTTATAGTAAGAAAGGAGTAGATGGTCCATAAATCAGCTTTGTTCCACAAAATTCAGCACTTTTTTAGTATCTAAACAATTTGTGATTATCTATTGTTTTAGTTGGATCTCTTTTCTCCTCTAGTAACACAAATAATTTAGTGTTGATTCCACTTATAAACAGAACTTTAGAAAACAGTTATTTTAAGAAAAGTGAATATGGAACTAACTTATTTTTCTCACAAATTAAGAAGAAACAGTCTACAAATTAACAAATTTAGCAAATTTGCTAGTGAGAGAGAGAAAAAAATTAAAATCAGGGGTATCACAGGCTCCAAATGTAGTCTATACACTTATTTTTGCTAACTTTAATTTTACATATTTATGATGATATTTCAAAGCATATTTTGTAACAATTACAAACGATGTTATAAGGCCCTGCCAGTTTCCTATTACTTGGTTTGGCTATAAAGTGGTCTGGAGCTGCAAGGTTTAATGTGAAAACCAAATGGTTTGGTATAAAACTAAGATTAGCTGTGATTAAAAATGAAAATACGTCCTTGTCAAATTTATGTAAAAATACTTAACAACTTTCAGGAACTACTTTTCAGACTAATACTAATACTGTCGTAAAGTAAAATAATATTGAAATACATGAAAAAAGGCATACTAATGCCAGTAAATATTTTTAACTGAGCGCTAGAAACATACTCAGCATTGTCCAGGGTTGAGAAGCAGAGACCATTTCCTGCTTAACAGAAGATAATGCTAATGAGAAATACCACTGGGAATACACAAGCAAGGGCAGAAAGCTGGGAAGAAAATGAGTTTAGAGCTCTAATGCCAGCCAAAATGGCAAGGTGCAACAAATCACCATAAAGGCTTAACATGCCACTTCGCGACATCGCTGGAAGATAATACTTATCTCAGCATCAGGTGCCACACTGCATCATCAGGGGCAAAGAACAGGAACTGCTGTATCACATTCATCTTCACCAACTGCTCCCATATCAGAGCCACATACTAACCGTGTCTGTTTCTGAAGGAAGGGTTCACAAGCCCACAATATTTCACTTGCTAAAGTGCAATTCCTCCTGCTGCATGGCATCTTTTCAGTCCAGAGTTGAGAATTCCTGCCTTTGGACCACAGATGCTTCCAAGAACACAAGCAAGTGACTCCTCATTAGTCCTCAGAGGTACAACTACAATGAAAAGGGCGCTGGAGCCTGCTCCATCCACAGACGGGCAGCCTTATTTGCTTCTCTCAGAATCTAACAAGTGACAATGGAAGAAGTAATAAGAACACAGAAGAAATTTCAAGTCCCAGTCTTTGCTGTGGGTTGGAAATGATGTTAACTGTGACTCCTGAGTCACCAAGGTGAGCCAAACCACTAAGAGTGATGCTGAGAAGTGTGGAGCCTGGTCCCCTGTGACAATGAAGTGTACACAAAGCAACAACAGGCTTTGTTTGTGGGAGTCTCTGGCCTAATGCCATGTGGTACCAGATAGGAGGAGGGAAAGAGTCACCGCATGTGGGTAAGACAGGCTGCTGCACCAATGTGGATTTTACAACATGCACACATACCATGGAGGCTTGAAAACTATTGGTGCGTGAAGATGACCATTCATTTGTGGCATATTTCAAGCCTACTTAGATGCTTCATATGCTAAAGGAGCTTCCAAAGGAGCCAGAGGCACCCAGGTCTCCTCTCTGCTTCCTGACCTTAAGTGAGCAGAGCCTGTGTCCAAGAGTAGCTTAGAGCCTGCACACTTGGCTTTGCAGGGTGCTTCTTTTATTAACTGGGTGAAGGGAGAGATATGAGTATCATAATAATTCAAGTCACAGAATTTTCAGCTGCTTTCTTTCCAGCTCAACAGGTAGATCTTGTGTCTATCTTTGCCTAGGTCTATTTTATTTCAACCAAAGTATCATAATGGCTCAGAGTGGAAGCTCTGGAGACCAGCAGCCTGGCTTTACCCCTTGGTTCAGTTGCTTACTGACCATGCAACTTTAAGCAACTTAGTTTGCTCAGTCTTGGTTTCCTTGAGTGTAAAACAGGACAACAGAATATGTGCTACAGAGTCATTACAAAGCGAAACAGTGATAATACTCGTAAAAAGCTTACAGCAGGGCTTAGTAAGAGGCAGATGCTTAACACTTAATATATATTAGCTGTCATCATCATCACCAAATAAGTAATAAATAATACAAGTGGCAAGACATTTGTTCATGGATGTGTTATTATTAATTTAGATTATGCAAGGTAAATCTGGCTTTTATTTTTCATTTGGTCATTATTATCTCTGCTGGTTAATAAACTTGTTTGAAGGAAGGAAGGGCTCTGTAATAGGTTCCTTACAGATGTCACACATAATAAATATAAACATATATGGTCCTCACATGGGGAGAGAGGCAAAATTCTATGCTCTGGGCATGGTCTTCTTCAAGGTGACTTCAATTACAGAAAAGAGGCTGCAGCCCAGGGAAAGCGGGTTGCAGGGAGAAGTGGGAAGCAAGAGTATGACTTGTTCCTTGCCTCAGTAATGACGTAAAGCGCATAGGTTGGAGTCCGCCAAGCCACTTCTCAGAGCTGGGAGGAGAAACCACACAGTAGGCAAGGCACCAAGGCACTCCCATAGATAGGATCTGCGTTTATTCACTCATTTCTGCAGTGGATCAATAAACATTTATCATGTGCTTAGTCTGCTTTAGGAATGGGAGAGACAAACATGATCAAGCCATGGCTCCTGCCCTCTGTGAGTTTCTAGTTCACAGACAGCCACAAGAATACCCTGAATGGAAAGGCTACTTAGAAACTACAGAATAAGTCAAGATGCATAATTAGAGCTTCATTCAACTGAGAGGGACCCGAGCCCTAAGTGTTAGGTAGCAAATGCTGAATATCTTTTCTTACATTTAAAAAAAATCAAGCCCATAAGGGGGGAACTGCACAATTCTGCACGTGGGGAGCTGTGTGGATTTGATTTGAAGCACTATAAGCTTCCAGAATGCTGGGCACATTCCTATTCTGTCCATGGATAATTTGTGCCACCCTCACTGTTACTAGTAAAGAAGATCAAAAATTGATAGCCATGGAAGCGACTGGCCTGACACTACCCATATTTCACTCTCTGGTGCCTAAAAATAATGCAGCAGAACATATTGCTTTCTTCACTTGAGACTGCAAGAATCTGGGCATCACCAGTGTTTTGGCGGTACACGCTGCCTAACTCTGGGGTATTGTGGTAACAATTCAGGAGGTGTTTTTTCAAGGCAGTTTGGTTTTCTCACTGTCACCACTGTCAGTAATAATGCTGGAATACTGCCGGTGACATGCTTCAAATGTAGCTTTGTGCATTTCTGTGGTCTCTGGTAGACATGTACCAACAACATAAATATTCTCTTGCTATCGGCTGGACAGTAACTTTCTTAGCCATCCTTGGCCTAACAGTCTAAAAGGGAAACACTTGATGACAAGCCAAGTGTACAAGTACCACTGAGTGCTCCAATGCTCAGAGGCTGACCATTGATTAGAATGATGAGCGGTGCCAAGAATTCAAAACCTGTCTAAATCACTCTACCAGTATTAGAACATTTCTTTCTTTCTTTCTTTTTTTTTTTTTTTTGAGATGGAGTCTTGCTCTGTCACCACGCAGGAGTGCAGTGGCGTGATCTCCGCTTACTGCAACCTCTGCCTCCTGGGTTCAAGCAATTCTCCTGCCTCAGCCTCCCGAGTAGCTGGGATTACAGGTGTGTGCCACCGTACTCAGCTAATTTTTGTATTTTTAGTGGAGACGGGGTTTCCACTCAACCAGGATGGCCAGGATGGTTTCGGTCTTTTGACCTAGTGATCCGCCCACCTTGGCCTCCCAAAGTGCTGGGATTAGGCATGTGCCACTGCGCCTGGCCTTAGAAGATATTTATTGTAATAAAATATATAACTTAAAATTTACCATTTTAACTATTTTTAAGTGTATAATTCAGTGGCATTGAGTCATGCACATAGTTGTGCAACTATCACCACTGTCTGTCTCGCTAATTTTTCATCTCAAACTGAAACTCTCTAGCCATTAAACATCAATTCCTCATTGCCTTCTTCCCCAAGCCCCTGGCAGCTACCATACTACTTTCTGTCTCTATGAATTTGACTACTCTAGGTACTTATATAAGTGGAATGATACAGTATTTGTCTTCCTGTGACTGGCTTATTTCATGTAGCATGATGTCCTCAAGGCTGATCCATGTTGTAGCATGTGTCAGGATTTCCTTCCTTTTTAAGACTGAATAGTACTCCGTTGTATGGATAGACCACATTTTTGTTTATCCACTCTTCTGTCAAAGGACACTTGGTTGCTTCTAACTTTCAGCTATCATGAATAATACTGCATGAACAGAGGTATACAAATATTTGTTTGAGTCCCTGTTTTCATTTCTTTTGGACATATACCTAGAAATATATTTTTGTAAATAATGGCGGTAGGGCTGCATTTTTGGGTCCCAGCATAGAACCTTTTTCACTGAATGCACACTTAAAAAGGGACTGCATGCTGTTAAAGAAAAATGTTTTACAGACTGTATTTGCCAAATCACAAAATTAACTAAGCAAGAGACTTCTTGGCTAACACAGTCTCATCCAGTGAGGTCAACTTATGATACTAAACAACATTTTAGAATCTAAAACTCGATTTCTTTTCTTCTATTCTTCTTAGTTGCTCTCTTAACTTATGGATCTTTCATAATGGCTATTTCATTTACCCTGGCTTAACTAGATTGTTACTTGCACACAGCTCTGGTTTAATGGTTGCAAGTTCTTCACGTATTATCACTAAAATTAGCAGTATAACATCTGAAAGAGAAATGATTGCTAGTGTCCTCGATTTAACTAAAAAGTGCTAAAGCTAACACAGTGGTCAGGATAGTAATTAAAGATGTTTTTGAGAACTCAAAATTGTGTAAGTCATAGAACACATGGTATTTAAATAATTGTTGGTGTTAGGAAAAAGTACTTGAAAATCAATGGAGCATGTTACACTGCACATAATCAGATCTGTAATTTTGACCACTGAAACTATGAACTTGTTAATGGTGCTCATTAATCAACCACCCTCTTCACATAATGAATTATCATTCTACTTAGGTACTCATAACTTCAGTTAATTTTAATGCTATTGTTGTTCTTTATATCAGTGTTGATCATAAAAGTGAAAAAGGTACACAGGATAAGAACATTTATTTATGCTGTGTTCCTTTGGTAAAATATTGTCCTCTGTGCTTGGCAGACTTCCCTTGAGAGACATGGCTAACAGCCTGGGTATTGGCTAAGGAGGGCAGGGGACACTTCCCGCTAATTATACGGTGAAAGAGACTGGACCTCACCACTGGCAAGCTGAGGAATGGTGAGTGTGTTTCTTGAAGAACATTCGACAAGCTAGACTTAATCTAGAGTCAGGCAAAATTTAGAAAATCAGGCTAGCATCCTGAAAGTTCCAGGTTAAAAAAAAAATCACAACTTTAGAAGTTAGGAAGTTTTGGAACATGAGTTAGAAGTTGTTTGGAGATTCAAATGAATAGGAAGTTGTTTGGAGATTCAAATGAATAGGTTGTTTAAGTCCAGGCACCAGCACAGCAATTAGGACAGCAGAAAATTAAACTGATCCTGAAGCTAAGCCTGTTCAGCTCAGGCACTTGAGCAATTGCCTGCCAAGGAGTGAAAGTGGATTGGCTCAGTCCTTGGGAGCTAGCTGTCGTGGGGCGTGTGGACACTGGTTGCAGGAAGGCGCTAGAGCTGGCTGAGGGCAGGTGTGTGGCTGACGGCTGGCTCTGTTAGATGTGCCCTGAGGGCTCCAGTGTTTGTTTGGAGAAGCAGCAGAGCATTTTTACAACTGCAGCCTGATGCCAAGACCACATCAGCTCGCCAGGCTGTGGATTGGACACTTAGCAGTTTAGAAACTTCAGGGCCCTGGAGACTGTTTAAATTTTTATTCCCTCCCCACCTCCTGAAACACACGTAAAGATGTGTGTATGGGGTGGAGAGAGGAATGGATACATAGGGAAATATGCTATGTACTTATTCTCAGATAAATCTTACTCCTCAAACCCGGCATAAAAGGGTACATAAAGAAATCATCAGCCACGTGTTAGCAACAGCCTTGTTCTTAGATGATCTCTGGGTCTCCGGCCTTGGTCACCTGTGTTGAGGAGGTAGCGGGTGGTCCCCAGCACTCAGTGCTCAGGGTGAGGAGCCATGCTGGGGTGGGCTGGCTTCCCTCCTGGGAACCATCTGCAGAAGTGGGCACAGCCAGGGCCACCCATTCCTCTTTCCTACACTGGCGGAGTTGTTTTCAAAGTCCAGAAAGACCATTCATGTAAACAGAATTTACAAAATTTAATTTAGGCCAGGCGCGGTAGCTCATGCCCATAATCCCAGCACTTTGGGAAGCCAAGGTGGGCGGATCACCTGAGGTCAGGAGTTCAAGGCCAGCCTGGCTAACATGGTGAAACCCTGTTTGTACTAAAAATGTAAAAAATTAGCTGGGCGTGGTGGCATGTGCCTGTAATCCTAGATACTCAGGAGGCTGAGGCAGGAGAATTGCTTGAACCCAGGAGGCAGAGGTTGTAGTGAGCCGAGATGGCGCCATTGCACTCCAGCTTGGGCAACAAGAGTGAAACTCCGTAGGAAAAAAAAAAAAAAGAAAAAAACCCCACAAAATTTAACTGTAGTCTTATGAGAAAAAGTATTCTAACAGATATTGCTATCTGAGGCTCAACAAGAGTCCAGAGGAATTCCAGCTTGGATTAGCAAGAAATAACAGGAGTCAACAGCAATCCCAGTGCAGAACACAGGGATGAGCTCTAATTAGAAATGGGAGGCACACTTATTCCAAACCATCTGGCCATATCACCTACAAGATAACTGATGCCTAAGTTCTCTTGGATTTCTGAGCAAGAACCAGTTATCACGAAGTAGGATGCAGGCCAGTGGTGCCATTTGCATGCATCACAGGGTATGAATGAGCACGTGGGTAAAGGGGTAGCACGACCAGGAAATGATCCGTTGTCCTTTCCTGGTTGGTATAAGACAACATGTGTAGCCAGAGACATGTAAGTGACAGAAGATTTTTAAATGTCTCCTGCTTGGTTTATCTTAAAAATACAATTAAGAATCACATGCGGGTGACTGGATATCTATTTTATTTGGCCAACACATACTTTAAAAAGTGATTCATTGCCAACCAAAAAGTTAGAACACTTAGTAAAGAAATCAAGATTTCTCCCTTCCCTCAGGGGAGATGGGAAGATTTGTGACACTGTAATATACTTGCCTGAAGCTGGACAGTGGGTGCCTTCTCACCACACTCTCTGCACCAGGAGCTCATCCATACACAGGTCAACTCTACTGGCCCCCCTAGGCAGTTATGATTTTAACCCTTCTATGACCTTTAGGATCTGAACTCAGAGTCAACCTTAGCCTGACAAATTATTAAAGAAAAATCTTGACAATTGTGACTACAAAACTGCAACCAACAGATGCAATTACAATAAGGTAATTCTCAGCAAAGACACCCTCAGGCATCCCCAAGTGTCCCCCAAGGAGCCAACACCACTCCTGCATGACAGCTTCCAAGTTAATATTTTCAGTGAATGCTATGTCACCTCTTCATTTTGAAGATCTTAATATATTTCTGAGATTTTCTTCCTTTCCTTTTTAATAAAAGTTAAACCTAAGAATTAGTCATTGATAGCTGAACATATCTTTAGAGAGTGGCCAATTTCTTCAAATTCTGACCACTGACTCCAAACCCACAACTCAGGCTTTTATAGAAATCAGGTAAAAGGATAAAGAACAAAGAACATTTTGATAGCTCCCAATAACTAGGCACTTACACTAAGCGGCCTTTTCCTGAATTTGTTCTTATTAATTAATGCTTTCTTTCTGGCAATGGGAACAATGAATCAATGTTTATCACAGATGCTTATCAAACACCCTTGGAGGAATAATACCATACAATGATGCAGTGAGACAGCTAACAGCGAGAAGAGCTGCCTGGAAATGCTAAGTCCTGAATAAATTACTAGGCTGCAGCCTAGCCACTGAAGACGGAAGTCTAGATATTTCTGTTATAAAACCACTGAATAGAAGACTTGAAAAACTAGATATTTTAACTTAAGATGCCCACAGTATAAGAAGAATTCATCCTGGCTAGGCATAGTGGTTCAGTGCCTGTAATCCCAGAACTTTGGGAGGCTTACGCAGGAGGATCACTTGAGGCCCTGAGTTCAAGATCAGCCTGGGCAGCATGGCAACACCCTGTCTCTACAACAACAACAACAACAAAACCCCAAAATTTTCTGGGCGTGGTGGCGCATGTCTGCAGTCCTAGCTACTTGGGAGGTTGAGACGGGGGATCACTTGAGCCCAGGAGTTTGAGGCTGCAGCGAGCTTGTGTCACTGTGCTCCAGCCTGGTTAACAGAGCAAGTCCCTATCTCCAATAAATAAATAAATAGAAAATACATAAAAAGAATAAAGTTCTCCCTGACTTCCCTTAAAAAAATTTCATCTTAAGGAGGTTTATTCGTTTTTTTGAACAAAGGACTTGTTAATCTCAATTGATGTTGGTTATAAAAATGCAATGGAATACACGATTTATAAAAAATATTTCAAAGGTGGCTTAAAAATAAATGATCGTTTAAATAAATGATAGTGATGAGCCCATTTTTCTTTTGAATTAAGCTGTATCTGAATTTAAAGGTACTCCTATTCATTTCAACTATTTTAATATATTAAATTTTTAATTCAAATAATTATTATTCAAACTTTAACAAATTCATACTACTACACGTAGGGAGTCTGTCCATTATAATATCTACACTACAGAAAAATTAAAACATCTTATAATATTATGAAACTTACATCCCTGAAATTTTTTTTTTAAAAAGCAAAGCTGTTCAAAGTCCAGTGCTGCACTAAAGGGCTTGCATGAAAGAAGAGTATTTTTCTTTACTGACGGTATACTCCATGTCTTCTATGGAAAACACTAGACTAGATGTAAGAATAGGATGTTGAAGATGATTAAAAAGGATCTAATAGAAAAGACATATGGTACCCAGATCATTCAGGACTGTGAATGCAGGAGAGCGTACTGTCGGCACTGTCGGGAGGGACACAGTAAGCAAAGCACTAAATCCCAGGTGTCCAAATTGGAATTCTGGTACTCAGGCAGGTGCTGCCTAAGTCATCACAGAAACATAATAAACACCGGAATGAACACTGGGCCATCTTTAGACACGATAACATGGACTACAGTTTTGTCAAATTTTGTTTTGTTTTTACAAAGAAATAGTATGTTGGGATTTAATAAATGAATCCATTTTTACTTGCAGTAAAACTCATAAAAACAGTTTCACTTTAGTTCCACCACAGCAGTGCCATAAGCAAACGGCACATATGAATATAACAATGATAAGAACATCTTCCAGGGGATCCAGTGAAGCTTTATTTACTTTAAAAAGCACACTCTGTAAGGATACCAGGCAAAATTTATATTACTATTCAAGAAAATATAGTACTTAATATAATACTACATCTTATAATGCTGAGATCCATCCAAAATATTCCTTTCTCAATCAACACAGTGGCGCCTCTGTATCCTTCTTAAAAATTAATTTTATGTAATTTTCTATAAATGAATCTAAATTAAAGATTCCAGAGGTAAACCATTTCCCTGTTAAAAAGAAATTTAGATTTATGTTAGAAGAAGAGGTGTCATGAATCTTGCTTGACATGGTTTGCAGGATCTTTGTCCCCCACATCTCATGTTGCAATGTGATTTCCAACAGTGGAGGTGGGCTGGGTGGGAGGTGTCTGAATGGTAGGGATGGATCCCTTTTGAATGGTTTAACACCATCCCTTTGGTGGTGAGTGAGTTCCTACTCAGTTCACATGAAATTTGGTTGTTTCAAAGTCTGAGACACCCTCCCGCTCGCTCTCGTGCTCCTGCTCTTGCCATGGGACACGCCTGCTTGTGCTTTGCCTTCCTCCATGATTGGAAGCTTCCTGAGGCCTCACCAGAAGCTGAACAGATGCTGGCACCATGCTTGTAAAGCCTGCAGAACCATAAGCCAGTTAAACCTCTTTTCTTTATAAATTACCCACTCTCAGGTATTCGTTTATAGTAACACAAAAATGGACTAATACATTGCCCAAATAAGTCAGGTTAGAAATTGGACTATTTTTTTCTTAATGCATATATTTCTTTCCTCATACTCTTCATTGTTTTACTTATTAATATAAAACAAAACTGGAAAGAGTTGGAAAAGTGGTATTATTAGGTTTGAATTCCTGGATTCGATAACCAAGATACAAGTTTAAACGATCATCCCAAGAAAAATATGCTCAGTTTTTAACGCTCTTATGAACTAGAAAGTGAAGTCACATCAACATGAATCAAAACACACACCCAGTAAAGATCATGAAGCACTTGGGTGGGACTGGGAATGTCAACACACTCCATCTTGAGACATCAACTGTGAAGAATGATCAATTTTAGTAGTAATTATGCAGCCCTCTCTCAATACCCTTTTAAGAAGTCTAGGGCTTGAGTTTAGGAATTAAGAGACACAGATAGAACCAGTTTTAATAAGCTATGCTAATAGATAGAGGTTAAAAATGAGTGGAGTTACCAGGCATTCAAATGAGGAATCAGTAGGAAAATTGTGCCCTGAGATGGCTGGTGAGAATTCAGCCCTGCTGAATGTGGTGCAAGTTCAGGGCTGGTGCCTGGCCACAGGGCCTTCGACCTCCTGCAACTGTGGAAGGTGAACAAGCAGCACTGAGGAGAGGCTCAGGGAGTCCACACAGATACATGACAAGGCCTTTATGCACACCGAAGACAGTGATGCTGTCCTTCTGTTCCCACCCCAGGTGGCAGACCACTTGGCACCTTGCTGCGTCTGGGTCTGGAAGGTTTTAATACCCAAAGTATTTGCATTTAATGCCAATGCCATGCCCACTCAGAAGCATTTGGGGTTTAGAGGACGTTCCCCAAGCATGGTAGTATTGATGCCCCAGGACCTTTGGTTTACTTATCTGCAGAGAACAATTTTTCCTATAATCCGGCTCTCCACTTGACTGAGTAGGAGCCTGGGCATAAGGAATACTAGTGGCTGAGCATGGCTGAAGAATGATTTTACTTTGTGCTATCAGCTCTGGCACCTTCACCAAGGCATGGCCTTAAGGTAAGGAGAAAATGAGCTGTCTCATTCCAGCTAGCTGTGTTCCTAGCTAGCTTCATAATTAAAGACCCATCCCGTGTGTTTCTTTGGGTACAAAGAAATGATGCTCTCCATGGGAAAAGGAGAGAGGACCCCCTCTCAAGGGGAGACAGCTCCGTTCCTTGGTCTTCTCCCATGTCCGGACACAAAGACTTCGAGGCACGCAAGCCATGAGCATTGAAACCAGAGAGGCAGCTACAGCTTGTATACTGGTGTATAATGCATATTATCAATAGAGTTAATATTTACTGGGGCCAGCACTTTAAAGGTATCAACTTGTTTTCTTGTCATAACATTTTATGATGTAAGAACTATTATTATGCCCTTGGAATAGCTGGGGAAACTGAGGGACACCGAGCTAGGTGGCTTGTCTAAGATCACACAGCCAGTAAGCCACGGAACCAAGGTGTGGGCATAAGGCAGCTGTCCCCAGGGTCTCCACTTTCACCACGGAAGACCCCAGCATTTGTCTCTGAGGAGGAAAGGTGCAGCTAATGCTCCCCTGCTTTATGGCTTCCTCTAAAACTTAACAAGATTCTCTTGTTCAGTAAACCAGACAAGAGGATACAGCATCCTCACCATTGAGAGTTATCAGAAGTAAACTCAGGAATCAACAAATGACACAAAATACAGCTATTCAAAAGAATTCTAAAAATGCTTCTGCAAAGGAGGATACGAAAAAAGCATTTATTTAGCTATTCTGCAATGATGGCTCAAAGAAAAGAATAAGACATGCTGGCAGAATTTCAAATATTTATAGACTTAAAGCAATGGTAAACTGCAACAAGCTGATGACTGCACGGTGTTGTCAGCTAATTATAAAGAGTACCTGAGCTTTACAGAGCAAGGTGCATGTTTGAGTTTTACTTGCCTGAGCCAGGGTAGCAGGGCAGTTAAAAGTCAGATGCACTGACTTAGACTAGGCCCTCCCACGGACTACCTACGTGCCCTGGGACAAGTTCTCCAACTGCTGGGTTCTTAAGCTATTATCTATCAAAGACCAACTATGTACATATACCATCTAATTTTTACCGCATCCCCTATGCAGTACACATTATCATCATCGTCACATCTCACATGTGCAAAATAGTTCAGAGGTGTTAAGTAACTCATTTAAATTTACAGTGCCACAAAGTAAAGAGTTGTGGTGTAAAATCAGGTTCGTCAGATTCTAAAGCCATGACTCTTATCATTCTCTGACACTTTCCTCCTATAAGATGAAAAATTGGTAGCTATGTTCCCCACACTCTTTTTTTAAAATAAAATCTTCTTTAAAAAGAGTTCCCATTAGGTTGAGTCAAGAAATAGGGGTTACTTTAGGAACTGTTACAGTAATCATATAAAGTCCAGCTCAGAAGAGGCCTTTACAAAAGTCAATTTGTTCAACTTACCCTTGTACCTCAACCCTATTCAATTATCTGGAAACCTGAAGGACGGCAGCTAATTGATAGACTGAGATAAAACATCCATACATGTTTGTGTGCACATATGGCCTGTTCCAAGCATGCCAAAGTATGTGCTAGGCAAGATCTCAGCATCTGGTTCATACTTATAGGACTGCATATTAAAGCCACATATTTTAAATAATTGTCACAAAGAAACATCTATGTGTGACTTTCTCAGTGTAGTCTCAGGAAAGGTGATTTTGAAATAAAACTTTGAATAATGCATCCAGACCTAAGCTATTTTCCACACAGAAGTCACACTTACTTACAGTGGAAAGAAACTACCTCACATGTAAATGGATAGGCCGGGGGAACTATAGTTAATGTCAACTTGCCTCCGGCTGCATGCTGCAGGCATCTCTTTGAAAATGGGGCTTTCATCAAATTTTCCCTCTTATCTTTTTTGTTTCATGTTGTCTTCAGAAAAACTTCCCATTTTTATTGTGATTTTTCTTGGTAGTGCTAGCATTGTTTAAATATAATAGAATGGGTGCCAAATATTTGATAATATGCTGCATTTGCAAAATGTACATCTGTTTAAATGTGTTATGGAAAGGAGATGGAGGTATAGTGTTTCAGAATTAAAATAGTTATATTTACCTATAACAGGTATTTATGTAATATAATAGCTACCACTTGCTATTTTGCCCCAGAATGCCTAACTCTTTAATTATTTTCAATAGCTGCAACTTCTGTGATTTCTATGTACCACAGTGGCTGAGACAGGAATATTACTATAATTAATACAAATGTTCTCAAATTCCTGAAAGATCTATAGCTATTTTAGAAACAATCGTAAATATAATTAATCATGGTAAAATTGATAGTGCTTACATACTAAGTTCTGTCAAACATGTTATTGAGATACATTATTCCTTATGAAAAATGTTAAAAATACAGGTATTTTCATTTATACAAATATATCTAATTATACATGGATGAAACCTGGTAAAAAAAATATGTCCTATTCAAGTTATTTTATATTAATTTTGAGAGTACATTGCCCCGTGGTTCTGTATAAAACATTTATTTTGTAGACATTTATCTCACACCTTTTCTTAACATTTGCTGCATCAAAATGTCAAATCTTTAAAGGAACACATAATTTGTGGGACGGAAAATAAAAAATTGCTTTGCTTACATAATAAAGTAAAAATAAGTGTATACATTTCATAAAATGTTTCAAAGAAAAGAAGGTTTCAGATGATATTAGTCCAGGTAAAGGCCAAATGAATTAATATACATGAACAAAAAATTAGTTGTTGCTTTGTGATAGGTTTGTAAAACATCCTAAAATAAAGCTGATGGTCATGTCAGTTTTTAGCCATTATTGCCTATATGTTAAATAATTCCATGTACTAATTAGTATGAACTGAACAGACTTTACATTTTCTGTTAAAAGCCCACCTTCCACAACTATTTTTTTATAGAGGGCCAATTCTTCAGAAGACAAAACAATCTTAGCTAATAATTGACAATGCCTCCCAATAAAATGTCAAGCAATTTTCCAGTGTTTGAATTTGCTGTCCTCCTGCTCCCAAGCTAGCAGGCGAGCTGGCCTGGCATGTGACAAGTACAGACGATGGCGGCTGGCTCATCCTCTGTAGGACAGACTTCCCATTTTATTTCTAGAAGGAATGAATGAATTTGTTTCACCCACACTGTCTCTTGGGCCCAGTCTGTCTTTATGACCAACAGCACATATTTGAGGTGGACGACTCAGAATGCTGCGGTAGAGGAAACATAGGCTAACCAGTCCACACAGGAATGAGTGCAAAGTTTCACAGCATTTGCTTCTAACTGACAGTAACAACTAATAATATATTGAAATCCACACCCGAGGCAGTTCCTTTCCTTCCCTCTCTCTCATTCCTTTTTCCATTTCCCTACGGCTTCCCTTTTAATTGAGGGCCTCCTGTGTGAAGGTCGAAAACATGTAGCTGGAAGATAAACCACTCATCAGCCATCACCTCTGGGCTTGAACTGAACTGAGAGAGCCTGGGGAAGAGCTGCTGCAGAGGTTTAAGTAGGGAAACACAGTAACAAAACACATGCGGTACTTCTAGAATAGCAAATGCGTAGTAGTGTCACCAGTGGCTACTACCTACCAGGAAACCTGACATTTTGGAATTGAGAAGGTCTTCAGAGATCATCTAGTTGAGTTTTCTCAACTTACAAAAGAGGAAACTAGGGCCAGAGAAGTTCAGAATCACAAAGTCAGTTAAAATACAGATCTAGGAATTCCACATCTAAGTTCAGTGTTCTTCTAACCAAACAATGTGGTGATTACCTATCAATAACACCCCAACAATTTTTCTATGATTAATGTTATGCTTTAACTTTTCTGCTTAAAAACACTACCTTTCAAATTTAGACTTGAAATTTGGTAAAAAGTCCTGGACAATTAGACGTTTTAAGAATTTCTATGGAATATGATAGTTTGTACAAGACTGCTCAAGTCTAAAGATAATAGCAAGTTTTGTATTTCTGAGCATGGTATACTGGCTAATTCATCTGACAGAGAATATACTCTATTTTTCAGAAAAAGCAAATCCCAAAGTGGCACATGCTGTGAAGACAACCCTTTTAAGATTATTATCTAGTAAATAATCATGTAAATCTGACATGACTTGTTGGCATTTAGTCTAAAGTTGCATTAAGGCCACGTGTTACCAAAGGCATCTCTTCAATGCATAATTTATAACATAACCTCAACGACTACCAGAGAGACCCAGGTAGAATCATGAATTAATATTGCAGAAATAGACCCTTGGAGGATTAGTTGACATTTAGCTAGGGTCACAAGGGCAACTGGATTAGTAGTTGCAGGCTATTCCTCACAGAGAACTTGCCAGATGACAAAATATATCCACCATATTCCCGGAATTAAAAATAAACCTCTTCAAAATGTTTAGTTTGGATGTCCAGGCATGGAAGGGCCTATTGTTCCTTAGGACTTACACTGGGTCATATGTTTTTAAAAAGTACAAACTACTGGTGCCAAAAATAAGCTATCTACATACACATTGAGGTGGGGAATGGACGAAGAACATCCAGGAAAGGCCAGGCGCAGTGGCTCATGCCTGTAATCCTAGCACTTTGGGAGGCTGAGGCAGGGGGATCACGAGGTCAGGAGATCAAGACCATCCTGGCTAACATGGTGAAACCCTGTCTCTACTAAAAATACAAAAATTAGCTGGGCTTGGTGGTGTGAGCCTATATTCCCAGCTACTTGGGAGGCTGAGGCAGAAGAACTGCTTGAACCCAGGAGGCGGAGGTTGCAGTGAGCTCAGATCGTGCCATTGCACTTCAGCCTGGTAACAGAACGAGACCCTATCTCAAAAAAAAAAAAAAAAAAAAAAAAGAGGTGAGGCATAAGAAAAAGAGAAAGAAAAAAGGAAATATGGGAAATATGGAGGAAAAAGGAAATAAAGAGAGAAATAGGTAAAGAAGGGTAAAGAAAAGAGGGGTAGAGAGGAATGGAATGAAAATAAATAATGAATGAAAAATAAAGATAGGAATCACACGATGGGTAGAAAAAGAGATAAACGGCACATGACAAGTGGGGAAAAACAGTTGTAATGGTGGGGACCAAAGACCAGGGATGCGCACAGCTGTGACAGAGCAACGGTTTGTCCTGGGGCTTGACTAGAACAGAACCATAAATGGAGGGAGACTCAGAAAAGGAGTAGATGCATGTATCTATACTGGAATATTAACTCGCCCTGAAATATTGCTGTTGCCAACGGTTTTACCTTCATCCTTGATATTCCTTCTTCTCACTCTACAAAAACTCTGAGGAGCCTCTTCCAAACCTATGGCTTCAGCTCCAGAAATGTTGATGACTTTCAGACTATGGAAATTATTATTTCTAGTCCACAGTAGCATATTCAACCTCCCAGTGAACATCTCCACTTAATTTTAAAGGAGTATTGAACTTAAAATGTGCAAAGCTGGGATTGCTGGCAAGATGGCTGAATAGGAACAGCTCCGGTCTGCAGCTCCCAGCGAGATCAACACAGAAGGTGGGTGATTTCTGCATTTCCAACTGAGGTATATGGTTCATCAAATTGGGACTGGTTGGACAGTGGGTGCAGCCCATGGAGGGCGAGCCGAAGCAGGGTGGGGTGTCATCTCACCCGGGAAGTGCAAGGGGTCGGGGAATTTCTTTCCCTACCCAAGGGAAGCCGTGAGGGACTGAGCCTGAGGAACCCTGCACTCCAGCTCAGATACTGCGCTTTTCCCATGGTCTTCACAACCCACAGACCAGGGGATCCCCTCTGGCGCCTAACCCCACCAGGGCCCCGGGTTTCAAGCACAAAACAAGATGGCTGTTTGGGCAGACACCGAACTAGCTCCAGGAGTTTTTTTTTTTTTTTTTTTTCCATACCCCAGTGGCTCCTGGAACGCAAGTGAGACAGAATCATTCACTCCTCTGGAAAGGGGTGCTGAAACCAGGGAACCAAGTGGTCTGCCTCAGTGGGTCCCACCCTCATGGAGCCCAGCAAACTTAGATCCATTGGCTTGAAATTCTTGCAGCCAGCACAGCAGTAGTCTGAGATTGACCTGAGATGCCCCAGCTTGGTGGGGGGCGGGGGGGGGCGGTGGGGTGCCTGCCATTGCTGAGGCTTGAGTAGGCGGTTTTCCCCTCATAGTATAAACAAAGCCACCAAGAAGTTCGAACTGGGTGGAGTCCACTGCAGCTCAGCAAGGCCACTGTGGTCAGACTGCCAGATTTCTCCTTCCTGAGCAGGGCATCTCTGAAAAAAAGGCAGCAGCCCCAGTCAGAGACTTGTAGATAAAATCCCCACCTCCCTGGGACGAAGCACCTGGGGGAAAGGGCAGCTGTGGGCGCAGCTTCAGCAGACTTAAATGTCCCTACCTGGCAGCTCTGAAGAGAACAGCAGATCTACCAGCACAGTGTTGAAGCTCTGATAAGGGACAGAGTGCCTCCTCAAGTGGGTCCCTGACCCCCGTGTATCCTGACTAGGAGACACCTCCCAGTAGGGGCCGACAGACACCTCATACAGGAGAGCTCTGAGCGGCATCTCGTGGTTGCCCCTCTGGTATGAAGCTTCCAGAGGAAGGAACAGGCAGCAATCTTTGCTGGTCTGCTGTCTCCGCTGGTGATACCCAGGCAAACAAGGTCTGGAGCGGACCTCCAGAAAACTACAGCAGACCTGCAGCAGAGGGGCCAGACTGTTAGAAGGAAAACTAACAAACAGAAAGGAATAGCACATCCACTCAAAGACCCCATCTGAAGGTCACCAACATCAAAGACCAAAGGTAGATAAATCCATAAAGATGGGGAGAAACCAGCGCAAAAAGCCTGAAAATTCCAAAACCAGAATGTCTCTTCTCCTCCAAAGGATCATAATTCCTCGCCAGCAAGGGAACAAAATTGATTGGAGAATGAGTTGACGAAGTGACAGAAGTAGGCTTCACAAGGTCGGTAATAACAAACTCCTCCAAGCTAAAGGAGCATGTTCTAACCCAATGCAAGGAAGCTAAGAACCTTGAGAAAAGGTTAGACAAATTGCTAACTAGAATAATCAGTTTAGAGAAGAACATAAATGACCTCATAGAGCTGAAAAGCACAGCACGAGAACTTTGTGAAGCATACACAAGTATCAATAGCCGAATCAATCAAGCAGAAAAAAGGATGTCAGAGACTGAAGATCAACTTAATGAAATAAAGTGAGAAGACAAGATTAGAGAAAAAAAGAATAAAAAGGAACTAACAAAGCCTCCAAGAAATATGGGACTATGTGAAAAGACCAAATCTATGTCTGATTGGTGTACCTGAAAGTGACGAGGAGAATGGAACCAAGTTGGAAAACACTCTTGAGGATATTATCCAGGAGAACTTCCCCAATCTAGCAAGACAGGCTAACATTCAATTTCAGGAAATACAGAGAACACCACAAAGATACTGCTTGAGAACAGCAACCCCAAGACATAATCGTCAGACTCACCAAGGTTGAAATGAAGGAAAAAATGTTAAGGGCAGCCAGAGAGAAAGGTCAGATTACTCACAAGGGAAGCCCCTCAGACTAACAGTAAATATCTCTGCAGAAACCCTACAAGTCAGAAGAGAGTGGGGCCCAATATTCAACATTCTTAAAGAAAAGAATTTTCAACCCGGAATTTCACATCCCGCCAAACTAAGCTTCATAGTGAAGGAGAAATAAAATCCATTACAGACAAGCAAATGCTGAGAGATTTTGTCACCACCAGGCCTGCCTTACAAGAGCTCCTGAAGGAAGCACTAAACATGAAAAGGAACAACCGGTACCAGCCACTGCAAAAACATACCAAATTGTAAAGACCATCAACACTATGAAGAAATTATATGAACTAACGGGCAAAATAACCAGCTATCATCATAATGACAGGATCAAATTCACATATAACAATATTAACCTTACATGTAAATGGGCTAAATGCTCCAATTAAAAGACACAGACTGGCAAATTGGATAGAGTCAAGACCCATCAGTGTGCTGTATTCAGGAGACCCATCTCATGTGCAAAGATGCACACGGCTCAAAATAAATGGATGGAGAATATTTACCAAGCAAATGGAAAGCGAAAAAAATCAGGAGTTACAATCCTAGTCTCTGATAAAACAGACTTTAAACCAACAAAGATCAAAAGAGACAAAGAAGGGCATTACATAATGGTAAAGGGATCAATGCAACAAGAAGAGCTAACTATGCTAAATATATATGCCCCCAACACAGGAGCACCCAGATTCATAAAGCAAGTTCTTAGAGACTTACAAAGAGACTTAGATTCCCACATAATAATTGTGGGAGACTTTAACACCCCACTGTCAATATTAGACAGATCAATTAGACAGAAAATTAACAAGGATATTCAGGACTTGAACTCAGCTCTGGAAAAAGTGGACCTAAGAGACATCCACGGAACTCTCCACCCCAAATCAACAGAATATGCATTCTTCTTTTCACCTCATCACACTTATTTTAAAATTGACCACAAAATTTGAAGTAAAACTCTCCTCAGCAAATTCAAAAGAAAGGAAATCATAACAAACAGTCTCTCAGACCACAGTGCAATCATACTAGAACTCAGGATTAAGAAACTCAATCAAATCAGCACAACTACAGGGAAACTGAACAACCTGCTCCTGAATGACTACTGGGTAAATAATGAAATGAAGGCAGAAATAAAGATGTTCTTTGAAACCAATGAGAATGAAGACACAACGTACCAGAATCTCTGGGACACATTTAAAGCAATGTGTAGTGGAAAATTTATAGCACTAAAGGCCCACAAGAGAAAGCAGGAAAGATCGAAAGTTGATACCCTAAAATCAAAATGAAAAGAACTAGAGAAGCAACAACAAACAAATTCAAAAGCTAGCAGAAGACAAGAGATAACTAAGATCAGAGCAGAACTGAAGGACATACAGACACGAAAAACCCTTCAAAAAAATCAATAAATCCAGGAACTGGTTTTCTGAAAAGATCAACAAAATAGCTAGACCACGAGCCAGACTAATAACGAAGAAAAGAAAGAAGATCAAATAGATGTGTAATAAAAAAAGATATAGGGGATATCACCACTGATCCCACAGAAATACAAATTACCATCAGAGAATACTATAAACACCTCTATGCAAATAAACTAGAAAATCTAGAAGAAATGAATAAATTCCTGGACACATACACCCTCCCAAGTCTAAACCAGGAAGAAGTCAAATCCCTGAACAGACTGATAACAAGTTCTGAAATTGAGGCAGTAATTAATAGCCTACCAACGAGAAAAGGTCCAGGACCAGATGGATTCACAGCTGAATTTTACCAGAGGTACAAAGAGGAGCTGGTACCATGCCTTCTCAAACTATTCCAAACAACAGAAAAAGAGAGAATCCTCCCTAACTCATTTTATGAGGCCAACATCATCCTGATACCAAAACCTGGCAGAGACAACAACAACAAAAAAAGAAAATTTCAGGCCAATATCCCTGATGAACTTCGATGCGAAAATCCTCAATAAAATACTGGCAAACTGAATCCAGCAACACATTAAAAAGCTTATCCACCACAATGAAGTCAGTTTCATCCCTGGGATGCAAGGCTGGTTCAACATACACAAATCAATAAACGTAACCCATCACATAAACAGAACCAATGACAAAAACCACATGATTATCTCAATAGATGCAGAAAAGGTCTTTGACAAAATTCAACAGCCCTCCATGCTAAAAACTGAATAAGCTAGGTATCGGTGGAACACAACCCGAAATAATAAGAGCTATTTATGACAAACCCACAGCCAATATCATAGTGAATGGGCAAAAGTTGGAAGCACTCCCTTTAAAAACTGGCACAAGACAAGGATGTCCTCTCTCACTCACTCCTATTTAACATAGTATTGGAAGTTCTGGCCAGAGCAATCAGGCAAGAGAAAGAAATAAAGGGTATTCAAACAGGAAGAGAGGAAGTCAAATTATCTCTTTGCAGAAGACATGATTGTGCATTTAGAAAACCCCATCGTCTCAGCCCCTAACCTCCTTAAGCTGATAAGTAACTTCAGCAAAGTCTCAGGATACAAAATCAACGCAAAAATAACAAGCATTCCTATACACCAATAACAGACAAACAGAGAGCCAAATCATGAGTGAACTCCCATTCGCAATTGCTATAGAGAGAATAAAATATCTAGGAATACAATTTACAAGGGATGTGAAGGACCTCTTCAAGGATAACTACAAACCACTGCTCAAGGAAATAAGAGAGGACACAAACAACTGGAAAAACATTCTATGCTCATGGATAGGAAGAATTAAGATTGTGAAAATGGCCAGACTGCCCAAAGTAATTTATAAATTCAATGCTATCTCCATCAAGCTACCATTGACGTTCTTCATAGAATTGGAAAAAACTACTTTAACTTCATATGGAACCAAAAAAGAGCCCACATAGCCAAGACAATCTAAGTAAAAAGAACAAAACTGGAGGCATCATGCTACCTGACTTCAAACTATACTACAAGGCTACAGTAACCAAAACAGCATGGTACTGGTATCAAAACGGATATATAGGCCAATGGAACAGAACATAGGCCTCAGAAATAACACCACACATCTAGAACCATCTGATCTTTGCCAAACCTGACAAAAACAAGCAATGGGGAAAAGATTCCCTATTTAATAAATGGTGTTGGAAATAGCTAGCCATATGCAGAAAACTGAAACTGGACCCCTTCCTTACACCTGATACAAAAATCAACTCAAGATGGATTAAAGACTTAAACATAAGACCTAAAACCACAAAAATCCTAGAAGAAAACCTAGGCAATACCATTCAGAGCACAGGCATGGACAAAGATTTCATGTCTAAAACACCAAAAGCAATGGCAACAAATGCCAAAATTGACAAATGAGATCTAATTAAACTAAAGAGCTTCTGCACAGCAAAAGAAACTATCATCAGAGTGAACAGACAGCCTAAGAATGGGAGAAAATTTTTGCAATCTATCCATCTGACAAAGGGCTAATATCCAGAACCTACAAAGAACTTAAACAAATTTACAAGAAAAAAAAAACAATCCCATTAAAAAGTGGGCAAAGGATATGAACAGACACTTCTCAAAAGAAGACATTTATGCAGCCAACCAACATATAAAAAAATGCTTATCATCACCGGTCGTTAGAGAAATGCAAATGAAAACCACAATGAGATACCATATTATGCCAGTTAGAATAGCGATCATTAAAAGTCAGGAAGGCTGGGCACGGTGGCTCACGCCTGTAATCCCAGCACTTTGGGAGGCCAAGCAGGCGGATCACAAGATTGGGAGTTTGAGACCAGCTTGACCAACATGGAGAAACCCTGTCTCTACTAAAAATACAAAAATTAGCGTGGTGGCATGCATCTGTAATTCCAGCTACTGAGGAGGCTGAGGCAGGATAATTGCTTGAACCTGGGAGGCGGAGGTTGCAGCGAGCTGGGATCATGCCATTGCATGCCAGCCTGGGCAAAAAGAGCAAACAACTCCATCTCAAAAAAAAAAAAAAAAAAGAAAAGAAAGAAATAAAAAGTCAGGAAACAACAGATGCTTGAGAATATGCAGAGAAACAGGAACACTTTTACACTGTTGGTGGAACTGTAAATTAGTTCAACCATTGTGGAAGACGGTGTGGTGATTCCTCAAGGACCTAGAACTACAAATACCATTTGATCCAACAATCCCATTACTGGGAATATACCCAAAGGATTATAAATTGTTCTACCATAAAGATACATGTATAGGTATGTTTATCGTGGCACTATTCGCAATAGCAAAGACTTGGAACCAACCTAAATGACCATCAATTGATAAAGAAAACAGACTGGATAAAGAAAATGTGGCACATACGCACCATGGAATACTATGCAGCCATAAAAAAGGATGAGTTCATGTCCTCTGCAGGGACATGGATGAAGCTGGAAACCATCATTCTCAGCAAACTATCACAAGAACAGAAAAGCAAACACTGCATGTTCTCATTCATATGTGGGAGTTGAACAATGACAATGCATGGACACAGGGAGGGGAACATCACACCCTGGGGCCTGTCAGGGGGTAGGGCGGTAAGGGAGGGATAGCATTAGGAGAAATACCTAATATAGGTGATGGGATGATGGGTAAAGCAAACCACCATGGCACGTGTATACCTATGTAACAAAACTGCTCATTCTGCACATGTACCTCAGAACTTAAAATATAATAAAGAAAAAGAAAAAAAATGTGCAAAGCTGAACTCTCCATTTTTAGTGCCCCCACCCCATTTTGTAGTTCCTATGTTCCACATTTTGGTGAACAGAAATATCTCCACTAACTTGCCCAAACCAGGAACTATTCTAAGTCTTTCTATATTGTCCCTTCTCTCTCCAAATGGCTACTAAAATTTAACTCTTAACTGTTTCTAAAGTTGCTCTTTCTCTTCCTTCTACTGGTCTTCCTGATTTGAGCTCTCTCCCCTCCTCACTGTGTCCAATCCTAACGTTAGAGTTATATTCCTAAAAATGAGATCATGTTACCACCTACTCAAAGGCCATCAACAGTCTCAGGCCCAAGGTCAACCTCCTTCCATGACCAGATCAGAGTTTCTAGTCTTCACTCTGCCAACCTCTCCACCTTTACCTTCTCCCATCCATGAACTCACTCTCAATGCATGACTACAACTGTTTCGAAACAATAGAGAAAAGAACAAGATCCACATATTCCCTCAATTTGGGAAACTTTATGCCATCAATTCTTAGTATCTATATTTTTGTATTGATTTTTACATAAATCGAAGATTTTATTATTAAGCAAGTTTTTGCTTGTTTCCACAAAACAAGACACTGCATAGTTTTCAAGTATGGGAGGTGAGGATCACTTATTATGGCCATATCTGTTTTTCTCTCCCCCAGACTATCCCTTGGCTCTTGTAACACACAACTTTGTTTGTTTGTTTGTTTTTGGAGACAGGGTTTTGCCCTGTTGCCCAGGCTGGAGTGCCATGGAGTGATCATAGCTCAAAGTGATCCTCCCATCTCAGCCTCACCAGTAGCTGAGACTACAGGTGTGTGCCACCACGCCCAACAAATTTTTGTATTTATTGTAGAGACAGGGTTTTGTCATGTTGCCCAGGCTGGTCTCGAACTCCTGGGATAAAGTGATCAAATGATTCACCTGCCTCCACCTCCCAAAATGCGGGGATTACAGGCATGAGCCACGGTGCCCAGCCACACCACTTGCTCTGTGATTTGTTCTAACACGAGCTGCTCCCGCGCTGCATTTTTCTGTCGGGCTGTTTTTGCGGGTTCTCTTTCTCATGGATGTTGTGCTGATGACCTTCCCTAGCACGGTGCCTACATATAACACAGGCCCCATAAAATCTGTCATCATCATCATCCTCACTATAATAAAAAGTAAAGTCTTCTCATATCTTTGTGATTACCAAATGTCTTAGTATGTTGGAAATCAGTACTAAACATTTCCTGGTGAATAAGTGGCTTCTAAGATTTTGCAGAGCTTTATCTGCCACTGTGTGGGAAGACACAGGATGGTTATTCTGATATGATATGCTTTGCGTATTCACACAGAATCATAGCCATTTACTCTAAATTTTTGTCCCATAACCTTCCATGCCACATGATGAAAAATGTTAACAATCACAGAGTCACAGATGTGTCTGGGTTATCAAAGCCAGTTCAGTAACTGAGAATTTTCACACACACAAAACATTCCAGCAAACAATGGGATATAACTGTATCTTTGGCAACAGCTAGGAGCTCACCTTTTCTTCATTACCAACACAACTCCAAGAAATATAATCACGAACAGCAAGATGCCCGCGATGACTCCAGCAATTTTAACTGTATGGTCTGTCTGTTTCTCGGGTTCTGGGACTGGTTTCGGAGTGGCAGCTCCTGAAGATGAAAGGAAATGAAAAAGGAGAGACTGTAGGTAAGAGAGAATAAAGATGCCACAGTTTAAAAAATTTCGCTGCATTTAACAGAGTAATAAGACTTATCAGAGCCAGCAGACAGACAAGCTTTGATTTTTTAAACAGCTTTCATATGCACTGAAAGCAGCGTAATTGTTCACATTGTTCTTCAATATTTTACTAAACCATATACAAGCTGGATAGCACACCCATGCCTGACCCTTTTCTATGAGACTCTTCTCAAACATTTTTTTTTTAGAAAAATATTATTTTATTATCTCTATTGGCTCCTGCTCTTTCTGCCATTTAAAAACTTACTAACAGCACAATAGCTATCCCTAAGCCTTTATCCAAATTTGATTTGCTGGAACATTTTCCTCAGTTATTTTTCATAAACGAAGCAGTAATTCCATAACATATTAGTCCAAACACCTGGAAAACTGAGATAAGCTCATTTACCATGCATTTTTACCAGCAATTGTTTTTTAACACAATAGAGTTTTTTCCCCCTGCCTTTGGAAATCTAAATCTAGGTCACATCTGGTAGGCAAAAGACTCCTTCTAAGCAATTTATTCACAAAGTGGAAGCGGCTGATGATCACACCACTGGCACCCACATTTAAAATCTGTTTAAATGAGATAACCAGGGTCTTACAGTGGTGGTGGCTGTCTTAGCTCCCCTTTCTCATGTCTAAAACATGAGACATGTTTGTCCCGTTTACTACAATGTAATGGAATGTCAAATCCATGTCTGATGAAATATACGTTTCCTCTGCTAAGTGCATTCAGGATGAAAAATATTAGGAATGCAATGTTCAATTCCCTAAAAAGACTCCTTTGTAAAAGGGCTTGTACTTTTAAAATCAGAATGTGATGATGCTCTGAGCCACACCACCCTTACTAGGTGACAGGTCATTCCGAATGGAGGAATTTTATGTCCAAATTTTCCTCCTTAGAATTTTCTTTTTGTGTTGGTAAAAATGTAATTAAATCGGAGTGTTTGTAAACCAGCTCTTTCCACTCTGTCATGAGGTTTTCCACTCCTACGTCACCTGACTCACGAAAACCTTAGTTGTCACTGTGTCTGAGCCCCCAAGACCAGGAGGACAAACTCTAAAATGAGTTATCACTGAGAAAGAGGGAGTGCCAGATATCACCTTCCATCTGTTTTTTTGTGTCCTTTGGGAACACGTAAATGATGTTTCTTTCCAAAGTTATTCCTGGTGAGATTTTATACATGAGGCCCTGCATTCTGAACATGGCTGTAGTCATTAGACTGACCCCAGGAAGTGAGTCAAGGTCAGGGAAGAAGCAAATTGGAAGCTCGTCAGTGTTTCCATGACAAAGCATATTCCAATCATTTGAGAGCCGCAACAGCAGCAGCCATGATGCAAAAAACACACCTTATGAAATAAAAACCCTTCTGAAGAAGCCTCTACAGGTCAATTTTATTTCTGACAATGTCGAGAATAAGTCCTGCTATTTTGATTCAATGAATATCCCTCAAACTAGTTGTTCAGTTAAATCTTTAAGGTATTAATGTTAATTATCCTTTATGGTAATTACATCTGAAATACACCACTCCAATATTCTATTGGAACATATCACCAGGTGGCTGACTGGGAGGAAATTGTCACATTAAACAAATTGCTAAGAAAAACCTAAAGATAAAATGTGTATGTGGATAAACAAAATTTTTTTAAGTTAAATAAGCAATCTATACAAAAAGAAGTAACATTTGAAATTCACGAAACTGAAAAAAGTCTGTTTTTCCATTTTGATTTTGTGTCCAATTAAAACAAATTTTTAAAATAAAATCAAATTGGTTTTATTCTTCCAAATGTTGACATACTGGAAAGCCATTCCATTTATCTCACTAGTTATAGATAGCTGGCTCTCCATGTATATTTCCTAAATAGATGAGTTAAGGTATGTTTTGTAACTAAGTTATGTCACTAAATGCAACACTTGGGAAAAAATGTTTAGAAAAACTTATTTACCTTAAGACATTTTAATATAAAAATAGCACACATGTAATGCATACATTGTGAACACTCAGTAGAGGAGGGTCTGGCTCTGTGGGAACTGATGAATGACTATTCTGCTTTGGGCCAAGGAGGGGTGGTTACCTGCAGCCTTTCATCCCCTTTAGGAAGCAGCATGCACATTGCTATGCAGCCTGTGGAAGCTCAGTATTATCATTTCTTAGCACTGACTTTTAACTCATTTCACATTGCAGGTCAAGGGAATGAAATGTTCTATCTTGGCCTGACACAGTTGCAACGTGATGACGGTAGCAACCACGCTAAATGGGACAGTGACTCAGAAAAGGTGGGAGGGCTGCCTGGGAGTGGCCATCCGGTTGAGTCGGGTGTTTGGGTTTAGGACTCTGCAGAAGCATCAGTGTAAACACAAACAGCCCTCGGATAACCTGATGGGTGGGTGTCACTGACTCCAGACCCCTTGCCCAGGAAGTTCCTGCTTTCCTGCCTGTGCCCTGTCCCTCTATCCCTGCCTGAAATGAACATCTTTAGGCTCTCCTTAAATAGGATGCTCCTCTCTCCTCTTTTATTGCTTTGGGAACATGTGGTTCTGGTTATGACCTGTCAGCGGGCCTTGGACAGGGGATATTTTTGACAGAACATGGTTGCAACTGATGGTTGTTTATTTTTCCTCACCCAAATCTATGAATTTAACAGTATAATTTCTAAACTGCTTGGCAAAAGAGTTGTTTTCATTCTATTTCCCCCTCGGTCTTGTTATTTTCTTGCCAGGTTTCTCATGGTATAAACTTTTCCTTTTTTTCGTATAAATTTTAATTGCTTATTAAAAGGCATTTTCTCTTCTTGTGTGTATTCTGTTAGGACAGCAGTGTGCATTTAGTTCCTTTTGAAGAGAATAAACTTGCATGTGTCCATTTATCAGTGGATATTATCTAGGCCTGCTACTGTATCGTATTCATTGCACTGGTGAATAAGCTAAATATTACAGGGAGATTAAGAGACTGCTAAAATCATAGAGCATAATCCTCACAGATGCCCAGTCTACTGACTCCTAGTGATAACGCTGGTTATTATTTTTATAATGGCCAAGAAAATAAAAAAGAGTGGTATTCCAGTCAAATTGCATTAAGATTTCAGTTATAACATCTAGTATGTAAAACAAACAAACAAACAAACAAACAAAAAAACTCAAAACAAATGGAATGATTAACCAATGCAGTATTTAGCTGGTTTTCAACTTGGCAGAAAACAATTCCACTTTGGCCCAGTGTTCAACATTAAATTAAATAACAGCAGCAAGCCAGGCTGAGAACACGATGTACTCAGCCACTGGCTTGAGGTCTGGGCCCAATTTTGACTACTGAACTGGCTGCACAAATTTTCCCAGAAGATCCAAGGGTACAAGCCCAGAAGGCCATGAAGGCTGTCAGTGGTGCCCAGAGCTACTGACCATGCTGCCCACAGCACGGGCTGCTTTCACCCCGAGTGAACGGGAAGCTTTCCCAAAGGGAGGGGAGTGGCAGGGTTAGGAAGAGCCGCAGGGACAGCTCAGCTGCAGAACTTTGCACGGTGGTGACTAGTACGAGGTTGACCTTGAATGTGGAGGAAAAAAATCCAGCAATATTCTTCATTTATTCAACAAGCATTTATTGAGTAGCTAACTGCTTGCCAAGCACTGTTTAAGGAATACAGTGGTGAGCAGATGGACAAAACAAAAACTTCTGACCTCATGGAACTTAAATCCTTGTGGGGAAGACAGACACCAAGGTAAACCAATATTGTAGGCAGTGTCTGGCCAGGCTAGCTGTAGAGAAAAATCAAGGGGAGTGGGCTGGGGGGTGAAGGCAAGGCAGCTATTAGGATGGGGGATTGGAGAAGGAATTACTGAGAAAATAACATTCGAGCAGAGACCTGAAAGAGGAAAGGGAGTGGGAGAGTGACATCCAGGGAGGAGAAAAAGGGAAAAGGTGCAAATGAGACTGAAATACTGAGTGTGACTGGAGTGCGGTGAACTGCGGAGAAGGTGAAGCATAATTTTAGGGTGGGGACACCTCCTTAGATAGCTGGAAGGACTCTCTCTGCTTGAGAAGCCTTGGGAGGATTCTGAGCAGAGGAGGAACTTGATCTGGCTTATATTCAACAACACTATCCCGGCAGCCGTGTGTACTGCAGGCTGTAGCGGGCCACGGTGGAGGCAGGGACCTCAGTTACGAGGCTATTACGAAGATGCAGGGAAGACACTCATGGCTTGGAGTGAGAAGGTAGCAGTGCAGGTGGCAAGATGCCATCAAACTTGAGACACGCTGTGACAGTCCAGCCATCAGTTTTGCCGATGAACTGGATGTCGAGTGTGTTAGGATAACAACCAGATTTCTGGCAGGAGTCACTGGACAGACACAGCTGCTACTAACTGACAGGGCGAGAACTGCAGGAGGAGCAGGTTTGGAGGGGTGGGTGGGCAGACCAAGAGTTTAGTTTTGGACCAATGAGGTTTGAGATATTTGACATACAAAAGAGATAGCAAGTAGGCAGTTGGATGGATATACAGGGGAGAGATCTGGGTGTAGAAGATAAATTTGAGGTTGTCATAAAAAAGATGGTGATTACAGTCATGAGTCGGCCGGGGGACACTTAGGAAGTGAACAAGGGAAACAATGGCGGGTCAAGGAGGATGGAACTCAGCCACATGGAGGCGGATGTCCAGGCGAATACAGACACAGGGAGCATCCGCACGGAGCAGCCAGAGAGGAAGAAAGGGATCACGAAACAGTCTTTTTTTCTTAAGATGGGAGAAATGACAGCATCTCTGAATGCGAATGCTAATGATACCATAGAGAGGGCAAGTTGATGATGCGGGAGGGAAAGGAGCTGCCTGCTGGAGGGAAGCCCTTGCAGAGGCGGGAGGTGAGACCAGCGCGCAGAACCACGAGGGCTGATGTTTCACCCAGAGGAACAGCAGAAAGCCACACACGCAGCAATGCACAGGCTCTTGGCAGATGCGCTGGTCTGGGAGCAGAGCATTTGAAAGGTCTCTTTTGATGGCTTCATTTTCCCAGGGAAAAAGGAACCAAGAAGATGAGGGGAGACTGAGGACCAGAACGGAGGTGTGAGAAATCTCAGGCCAAAAAGTTTTGAAGTTGTCTAGAAGAGGGAAGGGAGGGATGTCCCAGGCTGGGCATGGGTGGGATCTGCTGGTAGCCAACCAGGAGTTCCAAGGACACAGAAGACAGGGTTGGAAGGGGGCTAAGGCGTGAGAGAGAAGGGGAAGGTGGGCCAGTGAGAGCAATCCTGATGGCCACGAGCCAACAGTGAGGGTGGGAAGTGGGGCTGTGGCTGTATCCAAGAGCATGCAGAGCCCTGGGCCGTCTCTTCACTCCTCCTAGTTAGGATGAAGAAGGGGAAGAGGAGGGAAAAAAAAAAAGGTAGGGGGTGATCCCCACTCAGACTTACATTGGGGAGGGGTGTGACCAGTGTTCAGATCAGAGATACAGAAGCATCCCTGTGACACTTGACGTTCCCTCTAAATATAAGGGATGAAGCCGTGAACGTGGGCCAGCACTGTCCTGTTCATATGTGTGGCTCATGTTGGCTTCCACAGCCTCCGAATTAGCAGCCCCTTATTTAGTACGTTTTGTGCTCAAGGTACTGGAACAAGGCTCTGCAGGGGAATTAGAGTTGAGTATGTGCCTCTTCCTTCAGGGAGTTGACCACAGTAAATAAGGCCAGAAGCCTTAAGTGTCACAGGTAAGCTACAGAGTCCAGCTGGGGAAGAGTGGAGGGGATGAGGGAGGGCTCCTTGTCAGAGGCTGCGATAATGAATGGGCTGGAAGGACCGGGAAGGCTTCAACGCTGGGTGGGAAGAGTGCCTCATAAGCCAGAACAAAGGGGCCTCTGGAGTCACATACTAGCTTCAAGGGCAGGGTCTGGAGCAGGGGCTGGGGGTGATTGGGAAGAGGATTTGGAACTGAGGCTTTATGGTGGGATGGGTGTTGCTCACTGGGTAGGACAGCCCAGATTAAATTTAGTAAATAAGGAACCACAGAAAATAACAGAACAGTACCTTGAGAACAACTGGGCAGCAATACGCAGGCTCACTGAAGAAGGGAAGGGAAGGAAGTTGGGGAGCCATGGGAAGGCTACTGCCCCACCCAGGCCTGGAGCCTCCCCTGCCTGAATTGCAAGGGTGGCTGGAACGAGCAGGACACAAGAGACTCACAGAGGCACAGTCAGCTGTGTACAGGTGACAACACCCACAATGGCTCTGGGACTACATGGCCAGCTGGGGCTGTGTGTTGGGTTCAATGTCTGAATTGAACCTGAGCAACAAACTACCCCATTCACACCACATGCAAAAGGTTTCGGTGGCAAACCAAATACCACAAAGCCACTCTTGGTATTTTGGGGAGAAAGGAAGAAAAAAGGGGCTAAGGACAGTAACAATGGGAACTGCTGAAAAGAAAAGCTGAGGAGGCTGAAAAACCTTAAGAGATGCGACAGGGAGAAGAGCTAAAAGTAGAAAATAAAATGGAAGCAGTGGAAATATGTAAAAATATTGTTCCTTCAAGTGCGTTTCAAAGAGCACTGGTCCCAAAAGATAATCTAAAATTTAAATTCAGTACTCCATCACTTTGTGCTAGCATTTTAATGACTTTCATGGAATACTCTATTTTAATTAATTTTCCTTTTGTGTGTGTGTGAACATATGCAGAGGTAAATTTCTATACTTTTTCTTAAAAACAGCAACATCCTTGTTTTAAAGATCATTGTGAGACAGTTCATTCAGGTCTTGTTGCCCAGAGAATTAAAATCCTTTGCAGTCTTGTTTAGTTTTTTCCAGCTGTTCCTTCTTCACATTATACATAATCACAAAACACCTCCTAGATTTTTCATTTAAATTACATATTATTGTTTTTCTTCCTGGGAATGCGAAGTCAATCACTATTCCTGGAATAATCTACAGTCACATTTTGTGTATTCTTTGTAACCTGATTATGCTTTTGAATTTATAACTCTTCTTCTGTCCCTAATTTCCAGTGTAGGGCAAACAGAGCATATACAATGTACAAGTAATAATCAGAAACATAATTTTTCATATAAGACTGAGATAATGGATTGTTTGATATATATCTTCTCTAAAAAAATCAATCTTTTTTTTATTTTTGTTCTAATTTCATGACAGTTACTGCCTCATTTATTGATGTGGCTGACGCCCTGTGGAGAAGATGATCTATCAAAGCCTTATCACTTATCATCTGGACACTAAAAGTCCAAGAGAATTATTACTGCTCTTACTATTTTGATGAAATAGTTTTATTTTTTCCATTTGAATTTCTCAAATCATTATCAAGTAATAAAATAGGGAAACAAACTGTCAATAATAAGTTATCAACTGTGTGCAACTTTCACATAAGTGAATAATCAAGAAAGGAAGTGGGGGTGGCTGCTTCCAAAACAGATGATTCTTGAAGGTGATGTAGTTCAGAATGGAAGTTTCCAACCATTTGCTTGAAACTAAACTTTGAAGGCATTAAAATGGAAACCTACTGTCTCTCAAAATTTCTTCCAGATTTGTATTTTAGGTCATGGTCTAGACCTCGTGTTTACCTCTTAACATTTTTTCCTGTGGGAGAAAGGATCACCACAGCTTCCTACACAAAGTAGTTGTTGTTTGCAAAAACCACTTAGAGCTTTTCCTGCTGTCTGAAATTTGTCATTCACCATCTCATCAAAAAGTAAGTATACCTAGTCTATTCTGTATGCTTGCTAGAAGTATCAGTATTTCTGAGGCTCAAAAAATGTAGAGCCTAGCAAATTGCATGAGATGTGTGACATGACTTTCACAGGGCCTAAGAACTACACACACAAAAGATGGCCTTTTAGAATTGTGATGAGGACTCACACGGTCTTAGGAGAGAGTGGAAGTCATGTACTCTCCAGACTCTCATTTAGTAAACACACAATAGTTCCTCAAACAATAAATGGCTTTAATAAATATGGCTTATATTTATTGTGGCGTTGTGTTTAATATATTCTAAAACAGAGGGTCTCCAATTATAGGAAGTTTAAAACTCAGGCTGGGTGAAGAATCATTTGGAGAGCTTTGAAACATGCAGATGGCTGGGTTCCCCGTGGATTCTGGATCAAAGGTCTGAGGTAGGACCCAGGAATCTATGTAACACTTTTGGGGATTCCCTACACAACATGGAGAAAAAACCAACTCTAGAACTATGGCTCCAAAGTATGAGTGGGGAAGTTTTTCAGACTATGGCAAAATGAGAAAAAAAATGTAATTGTGTTGTTATCCTTAAAACATCTCCTAATATAATAATATCTTACTTTCTCAGCGATCCAATTTCCATCATTGATTGCACTATTTGAAAAGATCCTTTTATACAATGAAGAGGCAAACGTGGTGGAATCAAATCCTCATTTATGACTAGCCCCAGTATGTAGAGATTGGAAGACACTCTGAATTGTAAAGGAATTTAAAGTATATTGATCAACTGCCTGGGTGCTACTAAATAAGATAGGAAGGAAGAAAACTAATCTTTTTGAAGACCTACTTTATATGCTGGGTAACTTATATAATTTTTATTTAATATTATACCATGAAGTATAATTAATACCAGTTTACAAATGAGGAAACTGAAGCAACAGAAGCCATCAAGATAAACAGCTTGTCCTAAGTCAGTGAAAGAGAAGGAATGGTGCTATACTCTGAACCCAGGGTGTCTGACTGTGAAGCTGACTCCTATTTCATTGCACTACAGCATTCCCCAATATAATACAGAAAACTCAAGTGGTTATTGCTCATGCTATGGAATACAAGACTCAAGTTAAAAGTGATCTTGGTCAGTTGTAAAGAGGAGGGCCTAACAAAAGAATGAAAAAGGAAAGAATGAAAAAGGAAAGAATGAACAATTCAATAAGGAACTAATAATTCCGAAAGAAAAACAAGAGGAGAAAGGACTTCCTGGCCAAAGTGCAGAAAAGAAAGATCTGGTAATATGATCAATACAATTCTGAAATGTATGAGAGTAATGGCATGCACATAATCCTGGAGCATGATATACTAGTCATCATGTGGATGAGGAAAAGGAATCAAAGAAAAGAAGCACAAATGATCAACGAGGTAAAAAAGAAGGACTACGAAGAAGGATAAAAGGAACTAGGGTCATTTATCTAATGCAGGAGAAGGCAAGCAGGTGACCTGCCATCGGAGCTTCCCAAGAGTAAAGATCATTTCTTACCACCTTTGCTGTCTAGTGATTAACAGTCTCTTTAACACGGTGGGCATTTGACAAGCCTTTACTGAACGGATATTGTAAAAGACACAAGAAGCATTTGTAAAGAGAACAATAACCATGAGTGGTCTGTGTATAGATGGAGAAAAATATTTTTGAACATATAAGTGTAAAAGCAGGAGTTCAAGTTTGTACAGAGAAAGGCTGAGAGAGGCTTTCCCCTGTCTATGCACAATGTAGTCAGTATTCAGTAAAAGAGCAAGTAAATGAATTTTGGTTGTATTCAGTCCATGAAACTGGAATAAATTACAAAGGAGGTTTATTCCGCCCTTGGGTTAAAGAATTGTCATCTGACACTAGAGAGGTCAGTTATTACTGTCCTTCCCAATCTCTAACAAGTCTAAAAATGCTACATATTTTTTTCTTTATTCTCACTGCCATCTATTTCTCTTCTGGATTTTTATGCCTGACTCCCAAGTAGATACCTTAGCCAGTGTCTTTGACATAGTGCAGCCGTATGGATCTTCCTAAATAATAGCTCCAATCAAGTCACTCTTTCATTTAAAAAAACAAAATCAAATCCAAGAGCTTCTAAATGATTATTTCAAAAGGCCTTCCATGAGCTAACTCCAACCCCCTTTCCTAATATTATGCCACCCTCCTTTCTGAAATACACCAAACGGAAATGCCCAGTTTCCCCAAACCCTCAATATTTCCCTTCCCAAGGCCTTTGCTCCTGCTGCATAGGAGCTTTCCCTACTCAATTTGTGTAGGTTCAAATCCTATCCATCTTCAAAGGCCACACATTCCAACTACTGCTCCTAATTGCTTTGCAGAAAAGTATTCTCTCTCCTGCTGAACTCCTAGAGCACCTTGCTTGTCCCCTCTTGCACAGAACTTAACTATTTTCAAACTCAAGTTCAGTTATTTTGGTAAATCTTTATGTCATACACTAAACATAAATTCCTTGAGACAAAAGTAGTCTTACTCATCTTTGTGGCCCTCACATGCTAAGAAAGAAGGAAGATGTTTGAACATGAGCTCCACTGAGGATGCCAAGAGATGGCCAGGAAGAAAAGAAGGGTTTTTCTTAGTATGGTGATGACAGATGAGAGTCTACTGTGGTTTGAATGTCCTCTGCAAAATTCATGTTGCAAATTTAGTTGCCATTGTAAGAGTCAGTATTAAGAGGTGGAGTCCTTAAGAGATGATTAAGTCATGAGGTCAGAGTTCTCATGAATGGATTAATGTCATTATTGTGGAAGTGGGTTTCTGATAAAAGGATGAGTTTGGTCTGATTTCTCCTCTCTGTCTCTCTTGCTTGCTTCTGCCTTCTGTCATGAGATGACCCTACCAGATACCAGCAAAATGCTCTTGGATTGCCCAGCCTCCAGAACCATGAGTCAAATAAATTTTTATTGTTTATAAATGACCTGATTTGTGGTATTCTGTTACAGCTGCAGAAAACAGACTAAGACAAAATCCTTACCAGAAAATTTGCTGGCCAAACTTTCATCAATGATAAAAAGAGACTAACAGGAAGTAAGAGCATGGAAATAAATACTAGTGGCAAAACGTTATATCTTCAGCACTCAACGCTGTGAAATATATATCCAACAATGACTAGAACGTTAACTAGGTACATATCAGAGAGACACAAAGTGAGTATCTGTCAAGAATAAAGTGTTATAAACTCAATACTTGCAATGATTAAATAGATATAGGTAATTTGTCATGATTGTATATGGAGTTTGTTTTAGAAGTCTTTAAACTAGCCAAAATTTCTGCTGTATATTAATTACAATGGTCTGGGGCTCTTCAGAAAGTAAAAAACAGAGAAATGTCTAATAAGATAATTAGTAGGATTCAAACTATTAAAAGTAATTTTATTTAACAAAATGGCTATTGCAGTCCTATGATCCTACCATGGGAGCATTTTCGGACTTTGTTACTCATAGAAGTAAGGCAGAAATATAAATAATTCCCTTTATTAAGTCCCTAAACTGGCTAAAAGACACATGCAACTCACTTTGATGCTGTCTTTACCTATGTGCACGTGTGTGCATTTGTACATAAACATATACCAATATCTAAAGAAATTATTCAAAGACATATAAGGAGAACCCACTGAATTGGTACTACAATCACAAAGACTTTTGTTTATCATGTTTACTGTGAAGAGGTATTACATAAAATCCTGAGTAAAAAATACCAAATTAAATCACTGTAAGGACAACACCTACACAAAATCTCAGACAAAAGTTGGTATGCCAGTATGTGTTTTGACTAAGAGCTCCAACTTGAATAAACTATGTTATAATTAATAATAAGCCATAATTAATAACTGCATCATTAGCAACACCAATAAGTAAATTACACATATTAAACTGAACATCAGTTACACTGCTAAAGTGATGCATTGCTTGGATATTTACTAGAGCAAATGGAAAAGCTCATCAGAGATACTGATCGATATACTAAGCAGATGCCATTTATTAACTCCTAGGCAGGTGCCAAGTTTATTTTCAAACATTGTTTCTCAGAGACAGTTATTTATTCCTCTAAACAGAAAAACAGCATGTTGAAGAAAATTCGTGGCTAAGCCCTGCTTCTAAGTAAGACTTCTCATTCCCTTACAAATAGCTTTATATTTGTCTACTTTCATACTTAGTGTCTGAAAAGGTTATTACATAAGATATCTATAATCCATATAATAGAGTTCTATTAAAGTGCATCCCCTCATGCTCTCTTGAGAACTGATGCTGTTGAAATATAAACACAAAGAAAGGCATCCTCATCTAAACTAAGGACGCTGAGGGACAAAGGAACCTCAAATGGCCAAGAAAGGGAGCCTGGTGTTCTATTCAGTGTGCTGGGTGGCAGGGAAGTATAAAATAGGTTATGCTCTGTTTTGGGCTATTACTGCTTGAAATAAAATAGCTGTATTTGAAAATGCAGTAACTTTATTCATCAGCATCACCAACACCAGCATTGCTTATCATTGCCAACAGCAAGGTAACAGCCTGGGTCATGCTGATGCTGCTTTTATCCCAAAGACAGGTAAATGGAAAATATCATCAGTGGGAGACTCATCACAGGTCTTCACATGTGACAGAATAATAATGTCCCTCTCTTGCTTCGGTGCTCCTGGAGACCACAGCATCCACATGGTGTTCAAGTAAATAATACCCTACATACTATCAAGAAATCCATTCATTTTCCCAGAAGTTCAATTTTGAATGTCTCTGAAGAGCTGCAGTGTCAACTTGGGACTGGCAGTGGCCTGGATTAATTACTGAGTCATCTTGAAAGCCTCATGGGCCATAAAACAATCCTATATTAGAGTAACAACAACAAAGCCACATGAGAAGCACCAGCAACTGCTATTTCCACTGCCTTCCCTTGGAGCCAGGTTTGTGCTCTACTCTACGTGCATTTTTGCACTCGATGTCTCACCACTAACTATGAGGTAAAGAAATAGTATTCTCCCTGTTTTACAGATATGGAAGCTGAGATGTTGAGAGATCAAGAGATTTCCCCAAGAAGCCTGGACTTGAACCCACTACTTGCTGTGTACATGCTTTCTAAACTGTGTGCATTGGGTTCCAGAGTTCCTGTGTGAATTTCCCTTTTAAAATCACAGTTAGGGGACTGTTAAGTCCAGATTCCTATCTAACATGTTAGAAAACTGCCAATGAAGTGGGCCATGTGGGTTTGAAAATGATCTGGAGTCTACCCCTGAGGTACACTTTCCTATCATCTGTACCATTAAGGGAAGGAGAGAGAACAAATTCCAGCAGGAAGCTCAGCTTTATCTTAGGTGGCCCACTGCAAGCTTGACATTTTTATTAAGACTGTCGATCTTTCTTTTAAGACTTTTGATCTTTCTAATAAAGCATGCAAATGTTGCATTTCATTCCACAATACATCAATTTTTGACAAAAACGTTTTTGCATTATTTATCATCAAGGAAAGTGATGCTCCCAGAAGATGCACCATGCTTGGCCTTGCGGTTTCATGGAGCCCAGGCTTTCCAGTCAACAAGCATTTGAGATGGGACAGCAGCTGGACAACGGCTCTCACTCAACAGTTCCACCATGGAGAGCGACCTCTCCTCCCCTTTTCCTAAGGACAACCTCCCCAGACAGAGAGAGGTTATTTCAAGAATATAGGGTAGCTAAGCTGGAAAAGCCATGACTTGAGAAATAATCAGAAATGAACGCCAAATCCAAGATCCTTTCACATTAAAAACAACAGCAGCAATCCTAAAAGTAGAAAAGTAGTATGTGCATGTTGCAGAATGGGGAGGTAGGTGATATTTTTAACATGATAGAATCTTAGAAGACAACTTTTAAAAGACTTTGGGCCTCACTCTCAGCCCATTGGAGACATGGAAGAACACGTTTCACACTGATATTGCTGAAAGGGCAAATGAGGTGCATCTCCTCTAAGGACTGTGCTTTTTCTCTTTCCATTCACCAGCCTGACTTCTCCCTTGATTTTTTGACAAGGTTGGTGAAAGTATTTAAAACAAGAATCCTTTCTTCAAAAAGGGGTATCATTTATTCTAAATTAATTCTTGATATTTTCTTGATCTGTTGCCTCCTCTACATCCTGCTGTCTTATGATGATGAAGGAAATTCTGACTTCCTTTCCATTCTGAATGGATCTAATATATTGGAACACAACCATAAATATTTTCAAAGAACTCTCACAAATACTAGGTATTTTATAATAATAGTAATCTAAAAGTGTTTATGTACAAGAGAGCCTAAATCCAAAGTCAACCACAACGTTAATCACACAGCAGTACAACACAGCCATTTGCCTACAGATGCTAAGGGACATCACTGGGATCTTTAGACTGAAAACTGTTAGACTGAATATTGATTCCTTATACTTTAAATTGTAGTAATAATTTCCTAAAATAAATAAATGGATGAAAATCAAAATATCACAATTGGTATCTATCAACAGTACAGCCAGGGAACAGCAACTATGTGTCTAGTTCCATGCTAGTCACCAGAGTAAAGATAAAGAACTAGTGACACAGATATTGTTATTCAGCTTTGATAAATACTTAAAAAACATTCAGCCTTTCTCATTTTTATTAACATCAAGAATGAACTGGTTTAATTTTACTTAAAAATTGAAATAATATATTTCCTTATCAAAAAGGCAAGAACAATTTCACTATCAATATAAAATCTTTCATGCAAAAATCTTCAAGTGTTTTTTAAACTGAAAGTACTTTCTTTTTCATAGTATTTCGTATCTTTTACCAAACTCTTGGCTAATTTTGAGCTCAAAACTTTCTTTTCAGTATTCTTTTTGGATATGCGTAATACACCAAATTAACGTCAAAATTAAAAGTTAGGTTTCCTAAAATATGAAATTTCAATATATGCCATTCAAGCCAGAAAGCTCTATGCCTTAAGCAAACAAAAGACAGTATAAAATATTGTTTTGGTTTCCTTCATCACACTGCTGATAGAAAAGAAAACCACAAAATGGTATCAAAAAATTAAATTGTTTTTATACATTGAAAATCTTTTACATAGAAATTCTTAAGTTTACATAATACAAATGGAAAATAATACTATTTCAGTGCAATATAGAGATTTTAAAATATATTGTTTCTGAAATCAAATACTTGACATTTGACTCAGTATTCCATTCCAAAAAATGACAAGAAAAAAGCAACAGCATCCCTCATGGCATGCCTGTATCCTCTCACCATTTTCTTGTAACTATACTGTTTTATAGATGAAACTGCCACAGCAAAATGACAAATATAACACATAAAAGAACAAAAAGGGCAATAAATCAACAGTGACACTATAGCCCATTAAAATGCAGTCAGCTGGTATTGCAGAAAGAATAAAATTTTACCCTCATTTTACATTCTTTCTAGCCAGAAAGGAAATTTCAGAATCCTCAAGCAGCCCTTGAAAGAGATGCTGAAAATCTCAAAAATCTCAAATTCTCCTCACACCAACCCTCTATATTAACTTCCGTAGCTGAAACACATAGCACTGATATCCCCCTCTGCCATTTAATATGAAATGCCCACAACAGTGTGTGTGAATTGTTAATCATCTTATATTTACAGAATACTACATTTGACAAAAAGTAAGATACCTAGTTAGTTGGAAAATGGTAGTTTTAAGTTAGCCACTACTTTCAATCAGTTGGTTATCTGCTTAAATGAAGAGTTTAGCCATCTTTTATTTACAAAGAAATCTAAAGGAGGCATTTTCTTCCCTTAATTTTTATCCAAAATTCTCTCAAAAGGTTAAATTGAAGCTTCTGACACTGAAAATGACTCTGGTATCATAGAGATAGTACGTTTTCGAGTGCAACTGAGTATATGTTAACTTAGTTCATTACCCACTTACCACTATTACAAATAGTTCAAGGTGTTGGTAAGCTTATGGAAGTGGAGCATTTATTGAACTGTTTATGTTGGTCTTAACAAAGGCACTAAATATAAGTTCCTGCAGAGCAAAGAGCATACCCTACACTTCCATGAATGTTCCTCCTCTCTTATGTAGAGCTCATGGTAGGGCCAGCTCTCCTAGGGGGTGAAAGCGCATCGATGGAAACAATGAATGAGTGAATGAATGAATGAATGAATGATAGCTTCTCTAGTAGTAGAGGATAGTGCTCACAGGACAGCTCCCTAAAGCTACATATTTCAGGGACAGAAAGCTGCAACTTTGGTTTCTGTCAGAGCTAAACTGTATGCACCGTCTGAAGGAAGGCTAACTGGAGGGGGTCTGTGTAGCTCTTGGTCCAGTTGCCCCTCCTGAAACCACATTCACCCTGACTGCAGTCACAGGTGGAAGTGCCACTGTGGCAAGGATGTTATTTTTTTTAAAAAGCAGTGTGAAAATTAGTTCACCCTTCAAGGGAATTTTATCTTTTACAAATAACTTCATCCCATCAAAAAAAAAAAAAAAAACAATACAGCTGGACTCTGAGTGCCGTTCATGTGCCAAGCACTGAGTGGCAGGCTGAGGAAAGTTTAAAGATATATAAAATATGGCCCCTGGAAGGGATTCTAAGCATTCCTTTGATATGGCTGACCCTGTCCCTTAAGTTCCCTAGCATGTGCTCCTCCATGCTGGCTGCAGCTGATCCATTCCCCATGACCAGTACTTACTGTATTAATTCCTGGCTTTTACCTCTTCTATTCACATCTACTTACTCTGTTCTTTTTTTTCCAGTGTGTTGGACAGTCTTCCATTTCTTATAGTTTTACTTTTGGTCTTTTGGCCTTTTTCATCTCTTCTCCAATGTTTCTAGTGTGGCTTGGAGTACACAGTGCAAAACTGATCCTTTCTGTCTCTCCTAAAACACTCCAATTGTTTCCCACTCCTCCTGGGATCAAGACCAAAGTCCTTAATGTAAGGTACACGGTCACAGTTGGCCTTGCTCTGCCTGTATCACCTTACTGCTCACCCCACACATCCTTTTCGCTCTCTGCTCTCCAGCCATGATGACCTTTCTGCAATTCTTCATATCTGACCATGCTTCATCACACCACCGGACCTTTGTACCTGCTGTTACTGCTACTAACTAAGCTAATGTTCAGTAAACAATCCCACCATCTTCAAGCCATATACTGTCCTCCTTGCTACTCAGTGTGGCTAAGATCCAATCAGTTATATCTTCATCTTACAAATAGAGAACCTTGGGTCCCCAGAAGGACAGACATTATCTACCTACATCTTAGCTCTGCCACGGTTTACTGAAGATAAAGAGGACTTAGGATGTGAAATGGGATCTGACTGGTGGGAAGTAGAGAAATGGACAGACAGTCAGCAGAGTAGGAGGAAAACAGATAATGTTGGTGGGAGTGGCTGGGTCATTCTCTTAGAAAATCAATTAACATTCAACCTTTTTATGGCTCTTGCCAAAAGAAATGGGTGATCGAAATTATGCTTTTGTAAGTGGGTTGAAAAACCATTGGTTTGTTTTATTTGCAATGGAAAAGCTTATTAAATTTATATATATATACATATTAAAAAGAGATATTTTGTAATCTTGCATAAAGTAACATAAAATCAGTCAAAAGAAGACAAAATAAACCAATTTCAAAATATTCCTCCCCTCAATCAAAATTTACTCACAATAATAAATGAAAGCTATACAATACCTAGGAATAAATTTAGTAAGACAGGTCATCAACTGTTATTCATTCAGTCATTCAGCAAACAATTTGAAACACTTCCTGGGTGCCTGTGGGCTACACTGGGAACAAGACAGACAGACAATGCTGTTTCATGCTTTTGTGAGTTGAAACACCTAGGATTTGTTTTATTTGCAATGGAAAGGTCTACTGATTTAAAATATATATATATATATATATATATATATATATATATATATATATATATATATGTATACACACACATATAGCATTCTCCACAGCATGTCAGGGTTGGCTGGGTTATTAAATCATAAACAAAGATATCTTAATTTAAAAAGCCTAGATATATGTGAAAAATAAAAAGTTTTTAAAGAGAAATTCCTACCATGTATAGCTTTCTACTTTCTTCCCAAATCATTTCTGTATTATGAACAGTGAATCGCGAGATAAAAGGAAGAAAGAGACTAGGGGCATTTCCAATTTCTAGAACTTACTCTGTGTGTACTCTTTAGAGTAGGATTTCTGAGGTAGACAGAACCTTCATTCCAATCAGACATTCCACTCCCCTTTACTATCTCCTAAATCTAGTTAGTAACTTAGCAAAGCATTTTTTTAAAAATTGTGGATGACAACTCATTAACGGGAAATGAAATCAATTTAGAAGGCAGCAACCAGAATTTTTTTTAAAAAAATGAAAAAGAATAATGTAGAACAGAATACAAAAATCAGGGTATATCTTATGTTTGCAGTGAGTAGTGTTGGAAGTACGGTTCTAAAAGTTTTCATTACAGTTAAATGTACATGTATGTATATGTGTATATACAGTACTGGGTAGTTATGTATTTCTTATCATTGATTGGGGTCAAGAAGTTTAAGCAACACTCCCTAGTGCAATGACAGGACTGCTCATGAAATGTCCTAGCATTCCACAAATTCCTTCTCTGGAACCCTCCTGACAACTGGGCCGTTCAATGAACTCAGTCAAGAAATATTTATGAGCACTTTTTTTTTTTTTTTTGAGACAGAGTCTCACTCTGTCACCCAGGCTGGAGTGCAGTAGCTTGATCTCAGCTCACTGTAACCTCTGCCTCCCGGGTTCAAGCAATTCTCCTGCCTCAGCCTCCTGAGTGGCTATCATGCCTGGCACAGTCCTAGGTGCTGGGGTCAGATCACCAAGGTTCTTGTTTTCATTGGTGGTAGACAAGTAGGGGAGGGCCCACCTACACCAAGGGAAACCTAACCAGCAAGCACCACGTACCAGTACAACAGGGACAGCAAGGCAAAGGACTCATCATCTCACAAAAGCTTCCCAGTGCAAGTATAGCATCAAATAGGATTTTTAGGGGCAAGATGTCAGCACAGTTAGAACAAAATGAACAAAAAATGGCTGAAGACTTCAGAATGTATACCTCCTATATCTTCTATTGGCTTCTGGAAGGGACAGGATTGATCTATTAAACACAACGGTTGAATGGGTCACAGATAGAAAATGTTCAGAGCTGTCACACCGACCACTTCCTAGGCTGTTTACCACAGTGAGAAACGGTTTGAAATACAGGTCCTTTGGTTCCCATCAGTTATAAAACTGCTGTCTTTTCTTAGCTTTGCTAAATGATAAGTATGATACCAATTTTTCACTCATCTGAGTATGCACTTATGTAGGTTTTGGGGTTACTAATGCAAATGTACTTGATGCCAAGGTGTCTAGGCAACCATACAAAGTAAAACTCCTGAAAAGAGTTGGTCGATTCATACCTGGCACACATAAGGTGCTCAATAAATGTCAAATAAATGACTGAATGAATTAAGTCTCAGGCTTGCAGTATGACTCATGAATAAATCCCTTAAAAAAGACAGTGTCACTGCTATCGAAGTTGATGGGTGATGCAAATGGAAAATGCAAAAGAAATATTATTTGAGTGTGAATTTATCTGGGTAAGACTAACCATCATTAAAACCAGCAGTAAATACTGAAGAAAGAACAAGAGTAGTTTTTTACTGGTTTTTGAGGCTTATTCTGATACACCATCATTTTAATCCCTAATAAACCAAAGTAAATGAGGTAGATCACCTGTAGCCCTTAGGAGGAATAGCAGCCATGCACTGCAGTTGTGTGTGTGTCCTTCAGACTAGCTCCAAAATAATGACACTCACTGTGTCTAAATGCCTTACGACGGGGGCTGCTTTATGAAGTATCTTCTGAATCAGGCGAGTTTTAGAGTGAAAACTATATTCAGAAGCCTCGCTTACTTCATTCCTAGTAAACAGCATGCTTCATCTGAAGTTAGTGGATTATAGGTAAAGCTTGGTAAAAGGACTACTGAATTATATTTCGTAAGTACTTGTTTTATGAAGGTGGGAACAACCCATTTTTAACAATGTACTGATGAGTCTGGGGCCAGCTCAGACACAATGGGTGGTCAGAGTTGCTGAAGGATCCCAATAACCTTCAAGATGGACTCCTAACCCTACACAGAGTGCCACAGGCCAGTCCTGAAAGGTCAAGGTTTTAGAGGGGAGGACTTATTAAGAAAGGCACTGTCCCTCAAATACTTTTACTTGTGGGAAGAACACTTCAGAAGTTCAGGAGCAGGAAGAGTCTGTAACAAGTAGAACTTCAATCAGGAAAAGAAATACTCTTAAAAGAAACTTGCAGGCAAGGGCAACAGAACTGTCAATAAATTGATAGCTTTAAAACTGAAAATATGTACAGAATTCCAGTGGAGAAGGAAATAGAATTATTTTACATTTCTTTACCTTATAACATCAGTCTACAATTTTCCTGAGGCTTAGTTTTCTTTACTGTCCAAAATAATAAGTTCACAGAACAACTTAAACATTTGTAATTTACTACCATGAGTTAAGCTTTACCATTTTCTTAAATGTTAGGGGACATTGCCTAGTTTCACACACAAAAAACAATTGCTGGAGTGAAAATCATATAGAAAGTAGTTTCTGCTTCTTACTTGGCTTTCATCAGGCCTAGACTGTAAGCAGGTGCTTCTGAAACCAGAATTTTGAGTCCTGCCCAGGTAATCATGTTAGAAATCTTGACAATGACTTGCCTTTGCTGAAGCAAAAAAGTTTGTCTTTTGGAGTTCACTAACTACTCACCTTCAATCTGAAGTAATTTACTGGACTCTTTTCCTATATGAATGTATAGAGATGTCTATAAGGCTTTAGAGGGAAGAGTGAACAAGCTCACTTCTCTTGGTATAAGGAAGCACAGTTCAACTCCATGACTCTAAGCCATTCAATTTTTCTAAACTTTCCTAAATTATTCAAAGCATTTGACTTGCAGATATGCCACTGCATGATTTATATAAACACTATGCTTTGAAACAAGGATCTATAAGGAATGCAATCAGCTCTGCAACTATTGTACATACACACAAAGCTGTTAGAACACTGCCACCCTAAACACCTTTGGGGGGCTTCGTTTAATACTACTGGCAGCCAAGATTGTGTATAGCTAAATGTATGTGCAAACTAGACCAGGCAAGGTAAAAAATAAATCTCTTGCACCCTCAAATCTGAATACCATTTTAGACTAATTTGGAAAACTAGGAATATATCTTTATGTATTTTGTTGGAAACCCTGTTTGATGTTATTGCTATTTCAAGTCCAGCAAATTTCATTTCTATATAACATTAGTCTAGAAAGAAACATACCAACAGACCAAACACACAATGAAAACATGCAGTGGAGTTGTACTTAATGCATGGATATAAATGTGCACACAGAAGAGGCCAAGCATGTCACTTAATTTAATACGAGCAAAGGTCTGTACCAAGGGTCTGAAACATTGTAAACAGGCCTTAAGCAAAGGAGGAAATGTAGAGGGGAAACAGAGCTGAGAAAAATGAGTGGGAAATGGGCAAGATGACTCGTCTATACTTGAACATCTGACCTGTTAGTTGGCCGTCGCCTGCAGCGGGGGCGATGCGAATGTAAGGTGTTGTAAGCTGAGTCACGATTATCGCAGCTAAGGCAAAGGAGGATTTCCAGGTCAGCATGCATGAGGGAAAAAAAAGCCAGACTGAAGCTAGGCTAGCAAGAAGAATCCCCATCAGTATATCAAATTGTCTCAACTTTGTTCTAACAACAACAAAAAGAAAAGGAAAAAAAGAAAAAAAAAACATAGCAAGGTGCTGAATATTCTGAATTCTTTTCCCTTAAACAAGCTCTAGTCAGGCAGTTGGATTTCTAACTATGACACAGTTGCAAGGTTTGGCTGAGATCTTGGATAGATCAACTGAAGAAGAAAAAAAGGAAAACAAAACCAAAAACATTCATCCTAAATAAAGGTGAAGACTGAGCAGTGTTTCCAATTGAAATTGAGTGTGGTGCTGAAAGATTCATTGTTAATTCTGGTGATCCAAACTTTAGGCTTTTAGAACGTATTAGGTTTTTCAACATTCTATTGTTGAAATCACAATGTTTTCTCTTCTTACTAAATCCCTTTTGTAAAGAAGAATATTACACTCTTTCACTAAAAACGTTTTTATGTAGAAAAATTTCTCTGATATCTAAATTTCATGCAGCTTTCCATTCAGGAACTTTATTTTTTCACTTTAAGAGAATAAAAAATGCATCTCCAAGTATTGGTTGGAAAAGAATAGAAACTACGAATTGCCTTTGCTATAGTTATCATGGTTAACATGTGAACAAAGAAATGATTAAGAGTCTTGAAGCAGACCAGGCTGGCTTCTTAGTTTGCCTGCACAGCTCAGCAGTTGTGTTTAAGTGGTTAACATTAATGACACACAGATATTTAAAAAAAATAGAAAATTAAAACATCAGTTCTAACATGATACAGCTGGAAAATGATGCAAAAAAATATTGGAAAATTAAGGACAGGCTTACATGAAAGATTACTAATTTACATGGAACAGCCTGGGTACTATTAGAAATGTGGCAGCGAGTAAGGAAAATAGATCATCTACCATCTGCAGACAATTAAACCCAAAACTGCTGCTGCATAATATTTTGAAATATCCCTCTGCACCATGCAAGCAGTGCTGCTTACAACTAGACAACTGCAGCAACTGAGTTAAAAATGGTGTAACAGTCTTTCACACATTATTAATGAACATATTCTAGTTTTGTTAAGTGAGATTAACAAACTAACAGTTTGGTCAGAGAATAGGCAGCTCCCAGTGCATTAACGCATTACAGAGATAATTTTCTTAATATGACGTATTATGCAATTTTGAATACTGTTATAATAAGCTGTACACAGTAAAATGTTATTTCTAAGATGGTTACAAAGTTGGTACCAATTCCAAGTTTTATACACATAACATTTTTGTTTGGTCATAGACTACTGTTGCTCCAACCAATACTCCTATGCAGTTCCGCATTATCTGTAGGAGAGTCTGACCTGTTCTCCTTTTGAGAAAAATGAAATTGTTTTATAGAAAAACAGAGCAGGCCAGGTGCCGTGGTTCACACCAGTAATCCCAGCACTTTGGGAGGCTGAGGTGGGTGGATCGCTTGAGCTCAGGAGTTTAAGATCAAATGAATAACATGGTGAAACCCCATCTCTAAAAAAATTACAAAAATTAGTCTAGCGTGGTAGCTTGCGCCTGTAGTCCCAGCTACTTGGGAGGCTGAGGCAGGAGGACTGCTTGAACACAGGAGGCAGAGGTTGCAATAGTGAGCAGAGATCGCGCCACTACACTCCAGCCTGAGCAACAGAGGAAGACACTGTCTCAAGAAAAAAAAAAAAAAAGAAAGAAAGAAAGAAAAAGAAAAAGAGAAACAGAGCACCTAATATCCAAAAAGGTAAACAATATGAACAAAAAGTTACTCGAAAATAGCTATGTCAGTCAGCCAGGTATTCACAAATAAAAAGGAACTCAAACTATAATCAGAAGCTAAGTCTACCATGTAAAAAGTATATTATAAATACCAGGAAGGATTTTTATATGATCTCTATGTTCTGCTTTGTAAAGTGTTTATTTGTAACTATTATTTTTAGTCATGAGGAAAAAATTTGATTATGCTATACTTTATCTTCAAATGGGCCAGCAGGCCTACCACCTGCTTTTGCAAATAAAGTTTTATTGGAACACATGCTTAATTGTTAATGTATTGCCTATGGCTGCTCTTGCCCAGCAAGAGCAGACCTGCGTAGTTGTGACAGAGACCATATGGCCCACAAGGCCTCAAATATTTATTATCTGGCCCTTAACATAAAAAGTTTGCTGACCTCTAACTTAAAATATCAATAAAGATGCATTATAAAAGAGAATTATCACTAAGTTTGGTGATATTCTCTTTTATAATGAAAAAAGATAAAGGATTTATCAGCTCCAGATATTGTCTTCAAAGTATAAAATTGGAATAAAGACAGAAATTCCAATCCTACACTTTGAAGACAATATCTGGTGCTGATAAATGTAAGGTCCCTGTGGATCAGACTTCTAAATGGTCATCTCAGTTACGTGCAGCGGGATCTCCTGGAAGCTTGTTGAGCCAGCATTTACCTAACTGCATTTTGCATGACTCCAGTGTTCCTTAAAAAATGAATTCGGATCAAATAAATTTGGAAAGCATAGGGTTTTTCCGGATTCTTTTCTTTAGGAACTTCTCAGGGGGCCTTAATATACTCATGATGTACATTATAAAGACTATTTCAGACATGAAAAAAGTACATTTTCTCTATAAAATGCTGAACGATGAATGTTAATGTTCCTATTTCAAAATCCAAAGCCTAAATAACAGCAGATTAGCATATATGAGTGGTCTTGCTATATAATTGGTTTTCTCATGTAGAGAATATGAGAAATTAAACGGAATCTTAATTAGCTTTACATCTCAACAGACATTCTTTTCAGTTCTTTTATCAGCGCTCTTTCATTCTGTACCATTATGGCCTACAAAGGATGGTATTTCATTGAACAAAACAGTGAACAGAAAAACAGTCTGTAGAAACTTCTCAAAAAGCTTAGTGATTAAAAAAAGAAACATTCAAATTTCTGAATCTAGAAATTATATCAGGACAATGGAAATCCTTCAAAGTTTCCTCAAGGTCTTCCAATAAGCCATATTCACATTCCATTACAAATTTAACTTAAATAAAATGTTACTTACAAAAACAGTGAAATGAATAACTTTTTCATGAAAAAGTCCCTTAAAATATAACATTGAAAAATGCTTTGTTTTCTTTTTGTTTAAGGCTTACAGTCTGATTTTTCTAATAGTTTTGGAAAATAATTCAGCATGTGTTTACGTGAAGTTTTTGCTTTGACTTCTAGCTAGACCAGGGGTGTCCAATCTTTTGACTTCCCTGGGCCACCCTGGAAGAAGAAGAAGTGTCTTGGGCCACATGTAAAATACACTAACAACAGCTGATGAGCTTAAAAAAAAAAGCCCATGTATAAATCTCATATATATATATATATATATATTTTTTTTTTTTTGAGATGGAATGTCACTCTGTCTTCTGGTCTGGAATGCAATGGTGCAATCTCAGCTCACTGCAACCTCTGCCTCCCGGGGTCAAGTGATTCTCCTGCCTCAGCCTTGAAAGTAGCTGGGATTAAAGGCACCCACCACTGCGCCCGGCTAATTTTTGTATTTTTAGTAGAGACGGGGTTTCGCCATGTTGGCCAGGCTGGTCTTGAACTCCTGACCTCAGGTGGTCCTCTTGTTTCAGCCTCCCAAAGTGCTGGGATTACAGGCGTGAGCCACCATGCCCAGCCAAATCTCATAATGATTTAAGAAAGCTTAAAAATTCGTGCTGGGAAGCATTCAAAGCCATCCGGGGCTGCATGTGGCCCAAGGGCCATGGGTTGTACAAGCTTGAGCTAGACAATAGTCAAATAACAGCAAGGAGAGGATCAAATTAACATATATGACTGCTCCCCATATATCAAAACCCAAAAAAACCCCAAAGCACTTTTATAAATCAAGGAGGCACTCAAATAATTTTTAAATGAACAACAGGAAAGCTCCCAAATGGCTATACTGCCAAGGACAAACATGCGGTGCTAACATATTATGAAAAAATCTTATTTTATGGAAGATTAATATAATGTGCATACTTTAAACTGATTGTTACATCAATTAGAATGAATAGACCTCATTCAATATAAGAAATTAACTTACTAATAACACATTTGGATTTTTTAGTGTACCCTACAAGTTTAGAATTGATCATCAATGAAGCCTTCTAAAACTAGCTGCAAAGAGTTTCCACCCTACTAGTTACCATGAGACCACCATGGTGAATATAAAAGCTAAAGAAAACACATACACTAATCACTAAAACACAGTTGGACCAAATGGTCATAAAAAAATCCAACTATAAAAATGTGAATGTTAATGAAAAATACAATTTCATAGATTTTAAGAAATATTTAAAAGCTACTCTATTCACTCCACTATACAATTAAAAACAATCCCTTGAATTGGGCAGGTAACACATAAACATCACGTATACCCTGGTTTATGGTGTCTTTATCTTTTAACTCAAGAGAGAATATTCTGTGATGAGTTTGCCTATAGTTAACTTGTACCTATAGGAAATTCATCTAGGTGCATAAACGAAGAGGATGCATAAAAATATAGGCAATCCCCCACACGTATGGAGATATATAATAATACAGCTTAGGTTTTTTCCTGTCTAACTTTTATGAAGTTTATATTTAAGATGATGAGTGTCAAAATATGTCTTTGGAATATGATTAAAATAATCACTGCATTAAATTTATAAATAGTATGAAATATATTTTTAAGAGACATACCCTTACTTTAAATTATAAGCTAGCTCTTAGTGAAAACAAATCCACCTCCATACTTTCTCTATAAAGATACTTGTCAACAGTTGTTTCAGGAGAACATTGAAATCTTTGTACATTCAAAATGTTGCTTAGGAAAGCAATTCTGTATCTGAAAACTCAATTAAGCCATCGCACTGTGAGCAGTATGTGGCAACACACACTCAGGATGTTTGAACTCTTCTACATTTTAAACATCTTTACTCTGTGGTATCAACAGTTATTAGATCTTCCTATTTCTCTGTTTTGACTATGTAGTCAAGATGGAATGGCTTCCCATGTTGCAAGAGAATTTCTAGTATCAATAGGGACACATTTTCTGACTAAAAGGTGGTGAAACATTACACTGTGCTGAAAGGAGGGTTGATGAATCCGTCCATGTAGAACTTAATAAAATAGCACAAAACAGTGTAGTTTTGCCTGGAGGGAGAATATCTTCCAAGGTTTCCTCTTGTGCTGTGATTTTATGAAACAGAATGACAATGTTATGCAGGAAATATTAAAATGTGTCCCTCTTTCCCCAAAAGAGGTTCTTTGGATAGAGTTTGTTGCTGTGTAAATGTTTGCAAATGACTCAGAAAATAGGAGTGGGGAATATTTAGTCAATCAGGTCATCTGATTGCTTAATCATCCTTTGGTGAATTGAAAAACAAATTACAATATTGATGAAATCTAGCTGATGGAAGAAAATGATCCAAATCACTATCTAATTCAATCTATTGTGAAAACAGCAAACTTGTCAGGTTTCCACATTTACTAGTGTGTTATTTATATAATTATTTAACTATGTAAATGAGCATGATGACAGATATTTTGTTGTTTTCACAGTAAATTGGGCAGTGACTCAATCCTCACCAAGAGGAGGTCTGATGCTTACACTACACAATACTGTCACTGGCCAGAGGTGCTGCTGGGTGACGAGCCATGAGCAATGGTGAAAGAAACACTGGGGCTAGGAGTGCAGGCCTTGACCCCCAGATTATCAGCTGAGTCACCTTGGTGAGTCAATTCGTCTCCAAAAATACACCTTTTCCTCATCTTAAAAATAAGAATAGCAGTACCTGTTTCCCTTTTCATAGTAATGAAGAAATAAATGAGAACACACGCATGAAAGAGATTTCAAAACTTTCAGCTGTGACGTTAAACGTTAAGCATTATAAACTAGGGGCCCTGGAACAGGATTTACTTTTTCAGACCTTAAGTGTAAGTGAAATGTAATACAGCAGTATTTTGAAATTCCTGTTGTTGAGTATGGACCATAATCTTGAGATCTAAGAGCATCAATGGATACCTGGTTCAAGGGCTTCATCGTCCTGTAATAATTAATAGCTGATAGCATACGGCAGTTTATGAAACACATAAGCAGCTATAATTTCAGTAAATATCAATTTATTTCTATACATAAAGTCACTTAGGTACAATATGATATAAAAATTGAGTGTTTTAAAATTAGTATAAATAGATTTTTGGATATAGAACTACAAGCCTATGAGGACAAACAAGATACAAATGAGGTGAGTACCTCACACAATGCCTGGCACAAAACATGCAACCAAGAAATATTTGTTGAGCTAACACTGACTAAAAGAGTCATGTAAGTTCACAAAATAAGAATTCAGTGAGAATTTTGAAAATGCACATGTACATCATGGTATATTCAAACTATGTTCACCTGAGAGTTAAACAACAACAAAAAGTTATTTTATCCAACACAACTCATCAAGTATGACCTGATTAAATCTTCTGCTACAGACCTAATGATGTGTTTTTACCATCGTCTCTAAATTAAATCATACAGAACTTCCCACTGTATTCATGGTTACTCCAATGATCTAAATGATTGTATTTGACTTTGAGTGTTAATTTATATTGCCTCATTTTAAGACGACATTTTAAATTTCTCAAAGCATTTCTTATACATTTCTGTATGTGACGGTTAAAACAACACTGTCAAGTTGACCAGATGACAGCTCATGTTCACAAACACACGTCTGCACTTGCTTCTGCAGGAGATGCTGGGGGAGCTCAGGGTAACTCGCCCTACCCACTTTTGCAGCTCATCCTCTATCACATTCTCTCAGAGAGTTTTAACCAGGCTTGGGAAATAGATGCTCCACAGCAACATAACCTGGTTACTAGGTTCAGAGAGACACGCACCACCAGTGAAAAAAGCCCGCGTAGACTCCACTTTCTACTGCTATTATAACTAGAGAACTACTTAAAAATAGTGGGTGATATTTTATTCCTTTGCATATGAAGATTCACTAGATGTGGTACTACCAGGCATGACACTATGGATTAAAAAACGTGTACTGAGATCATATAAAAATTAAAGTCATTTGAAAAAATCTGAAAAAGGTAACTATTGAAAACTGCTTGGAACACAGAAATATAGCTTCTTATTTTAAAAAGTATCTATATGAGTTCCAGTCAGTCAATGTTAATTACCATCAGATCCTAATACATACATGCATTCATGCATATATATATATGTATATATAATACACACATTTTATTTTCAATTAAGTTCCAGTTCAAAAAGTTTTGAAACATAGGTTAAAATAAACTTTTAAGGAACATTAATTAGGAGAATATCCCACAATTTCAACCTACCTTTTGTGGCCACTTGGACACAGTCTATTTTGGTTTCCTGTGTCAAATAAAGAGAGGGAAAAATCATTATTCATGTTTTCTTTAAGACAAATAGAAATATCTGTAATTCTATTTAAATAGCACTGATAAGGAAGGATCTCACTGTTCTGAGCGTGTCTTTAATCACACAGCAATTATTCTTTGAACCATACTCAGATACATTTTCTGGCTCCAGTGGCAGGCAGTGCTGGGCATTTCTAGACCAGGTGATGAGCAAGGAGCTACACATAAAATGTCTCTGCCTGGTGGCCCCGGACCTCCTTTAGTAAGGAGGTAAAGTAAAGGACCAGATCTGTACTTTGCCCCTGAGCAAACAGTATTGGAGAAGCATGATGCATCTCAGATTTCCCCCCTTTACACCGGCAAAAGTCAAGTTGACCACGATACCTAGACCTATGCTGCGAAGGAGGGACCCACTGTGGTATCTGCGAAACATTTCCTTCTGTCTAAGGAGAGTTTACAATCTTATCAGAGTTCTGGGTTGGTCTGAGCAGGAAGGGGAAGCAAATTCAGAAATGACACTTTTTATTTTGTTTCCGTCTCATTTTTCTATTTTCTCTTAGGAAAAAAAAAAGATACCAAATTTAGTCAAAGTATAGGAAGTAGAAACTCTTGTGGAACTTCTTCAGTTCCCATTTCTTTAATGGGACAGACTATGCTGAAAAGACAGATGCTGTGAATCTCACAAAATTTTAAATGAGCTGAATGTATGTGTTGGAGCTATACTGTCTTCCTGTAAAATAGTAAGCTAAGCAGAATTGCCAGCCAACTTTTGGTAACAGGAAAACTGAAAATAAAACCTATCATGTTGATGATAAACTCCCCCAATCAAAAAAAAAAAAGATGAGTATATTTGTTTCTTTCCATAAATTTCTCTAGACAAAAATAATTTTAAGAGAAGAAAATCACATTTGTTTACAAGTAGAAATGCAGAAAAGCATGACTTCCATTTTACTACTATTTTACTTAATCTATGTTCACATTAACAACCCCAAATAGCCTAAGTAAACAGTTATCTGTACAACTTACCCCATTGGCTCTACTAGCAGCTTGGAAATAAATTCTGTAGCTTTTATAGGGGAGAAGGGGAGTGTTCCAGTATCCATTATATGTCTTATTATCACCAATTGTAAAAGGCTGCGCAGCTTGGAGGCTGTCTGCAGGAAATTCTGCAGCAAAGTAGTACTGTGAGTTCAGCAGAGAAGCATTCTGGAAGTGAATTGGCACTGGGTAGCACTTTAAGATTTCTGTCGTCTTTTTAGTTCTTCGAGGACGTTCTTCCTCAACAACTATTTGATAGACACTAGAAAAACAAGAGTACCATCAATGATATTTTATGATAACTGAACTGATCCACTCTGCCTTCAACTGCATGGACCCACAGGACACGCAAAATAAAGAACACACTGGACGCAGTCCATACTAAGTGCTTGATATATAACAGACTCTCATGCAGCACTTGCTCAGTGAAAGACAGGGAGGGTTCTTCAGTTCTTCTTCAGAACTCTCTCACCCAAAACAACACTATTTAGTGAGAGAAACAAAATTCACCATCATTTTAAATTTTTAATATGATAATCTCTACTGTTTATGTGAGCAGAAGTAATGTTTTTCTCACATGTAACTGACGATGATTTTACAGATAATTAACTCAGTTTACCTGATAAATACAATTAAATTATACCAACTGTAAGTTTATTTTAAAAAGCAATGCATTATTTTCTTTAATGACAACACAAGTAAAGTTTTAACAAATCACAAAACACAATGTGTAGTGATTCATGTTAACTAAGGTTTATCTTCCTATGTTTTCTTATGTTCCTTTGCACTCACCGTATTCAGTCAGTGGAAAGAAATGCATAAGAAAAGCAGAGATAAGGGATTATAGTTTCAAAAGCCAAAGCCTTGGAGTTCCAAGTGATTAGTAAGACTAACTAATGAACAAGGCCCCTCGAATCTCATATAAGAATGGGCTGGGTATCTCTGAAGACGCCTGCAAGGATGACAGCCCCACTAAGGAGTAGGTCTCTGGTACCCGCTCATCCTCTTCCAATGTCTTTGAATTCTGAAGTAACCTCAGGAGAATGGCAGAAACCTTGAACTGATAGATTTTTAGAAAATTAAGGTATTTATTTAATACATTTGCCAGAGTGATGAATGTTGTTTGCAGTTTTGTTGGAAAAAAACCTTTCTCATGCTGAGAAAAACTAAAGCCTGACAACAGCTTCCCTGAACTGAGTCCAGATTAGATTTTAAGTCCTCTGGCAGGAAGAGGGATCTTTTTCTTACAGTATCAGAAAGGCACCAGAATTCCCAGGAACCAAGAGCTGCCCAGTACAAGAACCCATTAATGCCAAGGAAAAAGCACAGAAGAGGGCTGCCTGCTATCCCCACCCATGGGGGGAATGCCTAGAAAGGTTTGTCTCTACACTCTCGTCTATGTGACCTCTGAATCTGCACTCATAGAACCACCTATCTCTGTGGGCACAACCACTTAGCACCTTCTATTACAGAAACAAAATGTGTGCTGCCATTTCGTTGGTAATTCTGTCTAAATAAAAATCAATTGTTTTAGAATATCAGACTGATTTCTCTGTAGACAGGTAACCAGCAGGTTTATAAGGCAATGATAAAGTGAATATTACCAGTGATGTAAACTTAAAAAAAGGAGTACAACTCTTATTTCCTAAACAGCAGATACTTTCTATCGGATTGAGTCACGTAAAATGCTCCACATTAGTGGATCATTCATACAGTAGTAAAGGTAAAGGGTCAAGGTCAAAGTGGAAGACTAAATACTACCTGTTCTGTAGCACAGCCACAGTTGACAGCGGTGAAAGAAGTCTCACCTGGAATACCATTAAAAACAAACAGGCCTAAGGAAGCGTGACCATTCTCTTGAAATCGCTTTTGGAGGGGTAAAGACAATGCACTGGTCTGAGCTCTAATTCTAATTCTGCTAAAAGCTTGGGTTTTAAATGCATTTCAATTAATTTATTTGAGTTTTATTTTTCTCCTACGAAATGAGAGAATTAAGTGAATCTCTAACATGGAGTTCATATATCTAGAATTTTTATTCAACTTACAAGGACTGATCTCACAAAATAGAGAAACCGTAAGAATAATTATTTTCTTTGCAAAGTGATTCTCCATTTAATAAAATAATTTTTTTTTTTGAGATGGAGTCTCCCTCTGTCACCCAGGCTGGAGTGCAGTGGCACGATCTTGGCTCACTGCAAGCTCTGCCTCCTGGGTTCACGCCATTCTCCCACCCCAGCCTCCCAAGTAGCTGGAACTACAGGCGCCCGCCACCACACCCGGCTAATTTTGTTTTTGTATTTTTAGTAGAGACGGGGTTTCACCGTGTTAGCCAGGATCTCAATCTCCTGACATCGTGATCCGCCCGCCTCGGCCTCCCAAAGTTCTGGGATTACAGGCATGAGCCACTGCGCCTGGCCAATATAATAATTTTTAACATCACTTCCTTCAAATCGTTTTTCCAGTTCATTTCCTGTATGACATGATTTTCAAAACTTCAACTTAAAAACAACTTCTGGGAAATCCATATACTAGACAAAGCAGGAAAATAAGGATATGTGTGAAGAAAAAAATGTTGCAGATATTCCATACTGGAAGTGCTAGGCCAGGTGCCCAACACACACAGAGTTTATCTTTCCCATTTTCCTAATGTGAAAACTGAGGTGTAGAGGTGAAGTGCCATTCTACCAGGGTATTCTACAGAAGTGGCAGAGGTGGTCTGACAGCAGAGCCAGTTCTCCTAATCATCAGACCAGGCTGTGCTGGCATTCCTCATTCACAGGTCCAGTGAAGGCACTGATGGAAACCATCTGGCCTGAAGGGAATTTTCACTTGCTCCTGTAGACACAACCAACACATAAGCTAGTCTCCACTGACTTTCCACAGTCAACTTCTTTTGAGTATTGTAAAGATTCACACTTATCACATCAAGGGAGTTATAGACGATAATGTTGGCTTTGACCTCAATTCCTTCTGTATCTGAATCATTCCTCAATGAATGATTGAGGAATCATTCACTGGAATGAGGAATCAAGGTATGTACAGAATCATTCCTCAATTCTATATCTGAATCATTAATTACTTTCAGGGAGGACGTTCTCCTGGGCTCCACAGTGACTTTAGCACCGGGCTGGTGTCCTCGGAGCACTGTGATCTTCCCACCTCTCTCAACCTGCAAGGAGCTCCCTCCTGTTACAACCCAGCTAGACAAAAAAGCAGCACAGCTGCTCCTAGACTTTCCATGTCCCAAGATCCTAGATTCTCCTACTGCAAACATCTTTGCCTCTTTTCCTTCACCCTGGCCTGGACTCAAGTTTGCCACTTAAATGTAGTTCTCCTCAAGGCAATGAACTCTAGGTCACTCTCAGATGCCCTGTGTCCTAAAACACAGACCCTCAATGAGTCTCTCTCAAGGGCTTATAGTCTGTTCCCTCATTTTCATGTTCTCTTGCTCTGCTCCAAATGCACAAAAACATGTTTTCTGTGAGCACATAGTCATTTTGTGTCCTTTTATCACTATTTTCAAAAGTCCTACAAGCTTCTGAAGAAGAAGGGCAAAGGTTTAGTCACTGTTGTGTCTCGTGACACTTCGGCTGTGAAGTACATATTTCTGAAAGCATGCTATAATCCTGAAGTTGCTTCTATTTGGTTTGGGGGTATATTACACATTCTATGTACCAGGAGGGAGGAAGCACACCGATAGTCACAACGATGCTTTGCCTTATTAAAATTTAATGTGAAGTTTATTTTGTATTCATTACCCAAATACTCAAGAGCCAAAGAGAAAGCAATGACCAAGGAAAAGGTTTTATGGTAAGAGGATGCTAGTTATGTTTTAGTTTATCCTGGATAACCCACAATTAAATAATGAACCTAAGGGAATCAAACGCTGTGTCTCTATGTGCCCCCCACACCTCCATCTCTCACTTCCCATTCCTCTCTCCTAACCTGGCTCGTAGGTGTGATGGGTGAGTGTGTACACTGATTTATTATTTCAACAAATTTTTTTGAGTGCCTAATAGGTGTCAGGCACTGCTCTAGTTTGCCTTAAACAACACAATGTTTGACATTCTCTAATGATACAAAATTTTGTTTTGTAATATAAATATCATCTAAGCAAACATGAAAAAAATCATTTGTTTCAAGCAGTAGTTTAATGAGGATTAGGTGAAAATTTAAGAATTAAACAATCATTGGACAGGCCTCCATGTTAGCCAGTTGGCATGGGTTCTATTATACACTCTACTCCAGACATACTGCTTTTTAAATGGCTACTATCCACTCATCTTCAGATATATTAAAGAAAGAACTAAGTTGACTGGAGCAATTTCAAACCCAAAATGTCTTTTCATCCTTGCTCCACAAGACAAATTAGATTTTCAAGCATCCAGACCTCAAATCTATTTGCTCTTTAATAATTTAAGCACTGAAAGGTCAAGCAGCTCTTTTCTAGTCCCCTTTATCAAAGCCCAAGTGCTAATGAAAAATAGCTAAATCCTATCTGCTGCCCAATTGCCATAATTTGCTGTTTCCCTGATGGAAATTAACACATTATTAGCACCTAGGTCAATAGTACCTTGACAGAACTTTATAGCTGATGTGTTTTTCATCTGTACAAGTAACATCACTTCACTAATGAGTTTCATAAAATTTTTCCATCCACAATCATAATCTCAAAACTAGCTTTGAAAATCTCACTGTTGGAATGGTGTTTCTAGAAAGAGTTTTAAAAAGCAAATTTCTGAGAATAGAAAACTGATCAGAAATTTCTAGCTTAGTGAGCTGAATTTAAATTCTATTATCCTTTTAATGAGTTGCCCATGCTGCCTTTGTTTATTAAAGTTGCACCACCCTAGCCCTGTCCTACCATTATTCTGGAATTTAAAGTAACATCAAATCTTCCTACTGCATGTGCGATATTAAAAGCACAATCCACAGTGAGGATGAATCTGCCAACACTGTGACATCATTATATCAGAACTTTCCTATGGAAGGAAATTTAATTTAAAGTTTAATTTATGCTAGGCATTTCTACAACAAAATTCTAAGGCCTTTACAAGGAGAATGAAAAATCTGCATTTATATGGAATAGCACATGAAGTATAATCTAGAAAAGAACATCTGAACATCTTTCATCTACTTTTTTAGACTTGAAAGTTCAAATGTGATAAAATGTTTTTAGTTTTTTCCTAACTTTCGAGTTCCTGGAGAGGAAGCCTCATACATATGTGAAATTAACTTAAAATGTTTTGTCCTAATTCATTTCAAGATGAGTTGTAAATCCATTTTTGTTATCCATTTATCGTATTTCTTTTCACCATAAGATATCAGAGGGTTACCAATTGGATAATAGAAGGTAGGGAGGTAAGGAAGAGAACAGAGAAGGAGAAAAGTTGTAACGCTTTCATTGTTGTTTTTGCTAATCCTCTAAAACAGGCACTTCTGATCATTTCAGGGACTTAGAATATTGTTCATTTTATCATATCTAGTAGTGACTTTTGGCTTGATTTGTAATTTTTGGTAAAAACCATCCATTATATATGTATAAAAAGAATAGATATTAGTATTGATAGCTTCCTGAAGATTAATATGGGGGGAGATGAAAGAAAATGAAAATATTAATTACATGCAAAGCATGAAAAATAAATGTGTAACTAAGGGTTAATGCCATGCAGCCACACTGAATTTATTTACCTCTTGTTCTTTGCTCTGACATTGTCTTTTCCTAAATCTGTCAGCATTTACTGAAATGACACCCTAATACTCTAAACAACCTGATAAAACTAAACTCAGTTTTAAAAAATATGTCACCAAATTACAATTACTGGAAAAAAATCAGAATTCAGTGTTTGTTATTACTGCTCAGATTCCTTAGAGTCCTTCAGGTAACACTGAGAGTAACTGACTGGACACACACCTGTTGATTAAATTATCAATGATAAATGGTAATTAGTTTTATACAGACAATTGGCAATGGGTAACACATCACACAGGATAAATAGACCTGTGGGGCTGAATATTCTATATTAGCAACTTTAATTTCTCTTTGTCCTGCTCTGATATAGACAAGACTGGCCAGAAATTGCTGTGGAATATTTGTGGGGCACCACAAGCATTTTTTATGTTCTCTCAGCCGTAACTCATAACAAGGAGCTTGCCTGGCATCAGTAAGTTACTATTGCTCTGTGGGTGTGTGTCTGTGCACATGCTCCCATACTCGGTTCAATACCCTGCTGCTCTGCTAGTTAGTGATAAAATCTGATATAATAAAATATTAATTACAGATGAAAGGTTGGGTGAGAAATATGAACTCAATTACCATCCCATATTATGAACAAAGGGCAGGGTGAAAAAAATTCTTTAGTTATGGAGGTTTGGGATAATAAAAAGAACAACTAGAACATTAGGCTCAGGCTGAGAAGCTCTGTAAAAGGCCACCTATCATTAATCTTCACAACAGGCACCACATTTCGAGTAAATTAGTCCTAGATGGAACATCTTTAAGGGTGATGTCTCCTGCTTTTAACAAGTGAAGACAATTTCCTTTGCATTTCCTATTTCATATAAATTTAACACAATTTAATCATCTCAATTTCATAAACACATGATTATGAAAGTATAATCCAAAATTAGTTACTATTATGAAAAGTATGTTCTCTTAAATAGTCCTAATGATTTGAATAAAAATAGAAAGAGAATACTATCAAAGCCACACCAAATAGCTTTGTTCCTGTATGTTTGTCTGAATGATATTTTATAGTTTGTATTTTATCCAATTCAAAATCTTTCAGTCCCGAAAAGTTCCAGTGCTTTGGGCCAGATGGGCTGGAATACAAATGCAACTATCAGAGAAAGGCAGCTGTGCCCAAGGGGGTGCTGATGAGAGAGCATTGACTTGGGAATCACCGTCCACAGGTGACTGGCTCCTGCTTTGCTCCTGAATCACCAACTGACCACTAAAGCCCTTCAGGCGCTAATATTTTATGACTCTCAGCACAAGATCAGGCAAGTTGTGACATCAGCAAATGAGAAGAAAATTATTTCATTCATGTTTCCTCCATCCTTTCTTTCCACAATATTCACCACGTATCAGGCCTTGTTCCAGGCACAGGGGAAGAATAAAAAGAGGAATTAGGCACAGACTGCCCCGTCCTTGAAAAGCACAGGCTAAGAGTGTCAGAAATACATCACACCAATGAAGAACTACCATGCCAAGGATCTGATAAGGGTTTGTACAAAGGACAAAGTAACAGGACCCAGGGATGTGTCAATCTCTACGTTAAAATCTCTTCTAGCATCTACTACATTGAGGGCATCTGACCTGAACCAAGTGCCCAAATGTTCTCACCCTAAAACTGCTCCTGCAATGCTACAGTCACCAACATTCTCCCTGAATTAAAGATAACACAACAGCAACAAAAAAAAAAGCCAACATGTTTATTAACAGATCCCAATACAGTCTCCATTCACTCCAATTGCTTGTGAGTACCCTTCATCAGCACAGAAGATGGAAGACAATGAGCTGGGTCCTACCTCACATACTGCCCAGGTCCCAGCAGGTATGCCCCCAGGAGTCCCCAGAGTGGCCCCAAGAGCTACACAAGAATGGCAGGGTCTTCCTCATTCAATTCCTGTCCTGCAGAGCATGAAAACCAGGCTTCCTAGTCTTGACTCCTCTAGGCGCCCACAAGGCCTGAGGTAAGGATGAAGAAGGAGGTACCTGAGGGTGGGCCGGGAAAGAAGCTTGAAGGCATGCATGGTCTTCGTCTTTGTTCTCCTCTCTCTTTCCAAATCACTGTCAGGCAAACTTGGAACTACTCTCTGTCGAGTCTATAATCACTCCTTAGGCTACAAAGGCCATAATTTTTTGTTTTCAGTACTTCACTGGATATCCATTTTAATCCTTAAAGTTATATCAAAATATTACGTAAGTATTTTGTTGGTTTTTCTGGGGGGTGACTGGCAGTGGAATTTGGCTCTGAGAGCCATTCCTGACCTTCCCTGTCTATAGCAGCCTCCCTGTACACCCTCCCACAGGCGCCCTGGGCTTGCCGCCCTCAGCACTGGGGGCCTGGGAATGAGAATGGAGGTCTGATCCCATGCAGAGAATCCTTCAGAAGAGATTACTTTGAAGAAAAGAAAATGTGAAAAGTAGGGGAGGGAAGGCTAGGCAGCATATTTTCATGCACAAAAGCAAGTCTGAAATGGAGTTTGAGGGAAAGTTAAATTAAGTTTCATTGTATAAAAGCTCAAATACATCTACTCTATTATTATTATCTTCCTCTGCCATTTTTAAAGCTTCTTTTCAAAGGTTCTTAAAGAACAAACTTAGTTTCCAAAATGAATTTTCAAAGAGATGACTGACATTGTCATCCTAGAAGCAACATTAATAAAAATGATCTTTGTTTTCTGGCAGTAAAGGAATCCAGAGTATTATTTTTTAATACAATAAAACTCACTTAAAAGCAGGTGGGGTGGGGGTAGTGGTGGTGGTGATAGTAAGGGATCTGGCACCTTTTGCTAACACTCACTGTAGCGATTCAGCAACAGTAAGTAATAATAAAAACAAATTCTATAAAAAGCAGGCTGAAGTTTTACCACTCAATGACATTTTGATCCTATGTGTACCTCAATGAATAAAGGAAAATTATTAGAAGTCAGTTGCTTTCCCTAAACAATTTTAGCCACAGATAGAGCCTTTTCAAAAGGTTTGAAAACTGTGACAAAAGTGCATTTAGCCCTGAAGGTTTAAGATGCTCCTGCAGTCTGCATTTCTCCAATAAATAAAAAGGGAACAATTAAAAAGCCACTTATAAGTACCTCAAAAGCACTGATCCTTAATTTATTGATTCTTTGGAGACTAATAAAAATGGTGAAAGGAAAAAGAACATACATACCAGCAGAAAAACACTGATTAATTTGATTAAAATAATCCAATATTCTAAAACAATTTCGTTTAAGTTCTTCAAGTTCTCAAAATTATATGGCTAAACAATTAACAAGGGCTGGGTGTGGTACCTCATGCCTGTAGTTCTAGCACTTTGGGAAGCCAAGGTGGGAGGACTGCTTGGGCCCAGGAGTTTGAGACCAACTTGTGCAAGATAGTGAGACCCTGCTCTATAGAAAATAAAAAAAAATCAGCTGCGTGTGGTGGCACACCACCTCTAAGTCCCAGCTACTCAGGAGACTGAGGTGGGAGGATCGCTTGAGCCAAGGAATTTGAGGCTGCAGTGAGCTATGATCATGCTACTGCACTCCAGCCTGGACAATGGAGCAAGATTCCCCCACTAAAACATAACAAAACGAACAAACAAAACCCCAAAATGTTTCAGCTTAAAAATAATAACAAGGAAATAATGAAGAATACAAAAGTATTGCATTTAAGAATTAAGCAAGCAGTAGGGATAAACCCCAGAGATTCCAATGATCATAATATAGAAACAAAGGTGTAACGTATTTTCTTAATAAAGGCGTACCCAGCTTAATAAGGCACTTCACATTATTGGGCTTCACAGATACTGAACTAAAGTTTTACAAATTGAAGGTTTGTGGCAACCCTCCCTTCAGCAAGTCTGTCAGTGCCATTTATCTTACAGCATGCACTTACTTCATGTCTCTGTGCCATTTTGGTAATTCCTGCAACATTTCAAACTTTTTCATTATTATTACAACCGTTATGGTGATCTGTGATGAGTGATCTTTGATGTTACTCTTGTAATTGTTTTGGGGTGCTATGAACTGTGTCCATATAAGACAGCCATCTCTCTCCCTGGCACTGGGCCTCCCTACTCCCTAAGACACACAATATTGAAATTAGAACAAATGATAACCATACAATGGCCTTTAAGTATTCAAGTGAAAGGAAGAGTTGCAAGCCTCTCACCTTAAATTAAAAGCCGGAAATTATTAAGCACAGTGAGGAAGGCATGTCAAAAGCCAAGACAGTTCGAAAGCTAGGCCTCTTATACCAAACAGCCAAGTTGTAAATGCAAAGGAAAAGTTATTGAAGGAAATTAAAAGTGCTACTCCAGTGAACACATGAATGATAGGAAAGTGAAACGGCTTTATTGCTGATATGGAGAAAGTGTTAGTGGTCTGGATAGAATATTAAACTAACTTGAGTGGTCTGGATAGAAGATCAAACCAGCCATGATATTCCCTTAAACCAAGCCTAGTGCAGAGCAAGACCCTAACTTTCTTCAATTCTATGAAGGCTGAGGGAGGTGAGGAAGCTGCAGAAGAAAAGTCTGAAGCTAGCAGAGGTTGGTTCATGAGGTTTAAGAAAAGTAGCCATCTTCATAACATAAAAGTACAAAGCGAAGCAGCAAGTGCTGATGTAGAAGCTGTAGCACATTATCCAGAAGATCTAGCTAAAGTCATTGATGAGGGTGACAACACTAAACCACAGATTTTCAATGTAGATGAAATGGCCTTCTATTGGAAGCAGATGCCATCTAGGACTTTCATAGCTGAAGAGGAGAAGTCAATGTCTGGTGTCAAAGGACAGGCTGACTCTTGTGTTACGGGCTCATGCTGCTAGCAAGTTTAAGTTAAAGCCAATGCTCATTTACCATCCTAGGGCCCTTAAGAATCATGCTAAACCTACTCTGCCTGTGCTCTACAAATGGAACAACAAAGCCTGGATGATACCACATCTATTTACAGTATGGTTTACTGAATATTTTAAGCCCACTGTTGAGACCTACTTCTCAGAAAAAAAGGATTCCTTTCTAAATATTACTGCTCATTTGACAATGCACTTGATCACCCATGAGCTCTGATGGAGACGTACATGGGATGAATGCTGTTTTCATATCTTCTAACATGACATCCATTTTGCAGCCCATGGGTCAAGGAGTCATTTTAACTTTCATGTCTTATTATACACGGAATAGATTTTGTGATGCTATAGCTGCCATATATAATTATTCCTCTAATGGGTCTGGTCAAAGTCAATGGAAAGGGGTCACTATTCCAGATGCCATTAAGAACATTTGTGATTCATGGGAGGAAGTGAAAGTATTAATATTAACAGGAGCTTGGAAGAAGTTGTTTCTAAACCTCAAGGGTGACTTTGAGGGGTTCAACACTTCAATGGAAGAAGTCACCTCAGATGTGGTGGAAAGAACAACTAGAATTAGAAGTGGAGCCTGAGGACATGACTGAATTGCTGCAATCTCATGATCACACTTGAACGGATGAGCAGTTGCTTCCTATGGGTAAGCAAAGAAAGTGGTTTCTTGAGATGAAATCTACTTGTGATGAAGATGCTGTGACCACTGTTGAAATGACAACAAATGATTTAGAATATTATATTAACATAGTTGATAACGCACTGACAAGGTTTGAGAGGATTGACTCCAATTTTGAAAGAAGTTCTACTATGGGTAAAATGCTATCCAACAGCATCCCATGCTATAGAGAAATCTTTTGCGAAAAGCAAAGTCAACTGATGTGGCAAATTTCATTGTCTTATTTTAGGAAATTGCCACAGTCACCCAAACCTTCAGAAACTACCACCCTGATTAGTCAGCAACCATCCATATTGAGGAAAGACCCTCCACTAGCAAAAAGATTATGCCTCATTGAAGGCTCAGATGATCATCAGTACTTTTAGCAATAATGTATTTTTTAATTAAGGTAGATACATTTTTTAAGACATAATGCTATTGCTCACTTAACAGACTACAGTATAATATAAACATAACTTTTCTATGCACTAGGAAACAAAAAATGTGTGTGACTTGCTTTATTGTGATATTCACTTTATTGCAGTGATCTGGAACTGAGCCTGCAATAACTCCAAGATATGCCTGTACTAGAAAAGACAATAAATAAAGGATATTAATTTGCAGAATAGTCCACGTCTGCAAAGGGAGGTGTAACCATCTTGGTTCTGAAGGGTCAGGAGGAAAGATGTCTTCTGATCAAGCAAAGTGGGGGACAAGAGAATGAGCACAGCTCCCAGGAGGAGGCAAGGTCCTGACAGCTCACGTGCCCTGTGGCTCTGAGCACAAGATTAAGTGTTACACGGAAAGCTCATGGCTTTGGGGTTAGAGTAGACAAGTCTGTTAACCTCCCTGAACCTCAGTGCTTTCAACTGTAATGGGGAAATGCTGGCATCTAGCGAGGAAGCCTGCTCTGAATCATGATAAATTATTTCATTTGGGACCAAGCATGGGCTTGGCACATCACAGCTCCTCAATCCAAGTAACCATGATTATTCATTTTCTATTGCTGTAATTATTATTTATCTATCACAAGCTGCTAAGAAGAACATAACTGAGGCTCAGGAATACAATGCTAGGACCCAGAAAATTTCCCAAGACATAGGCAGAATAAAAGGGGCTACCATGTTATCTATAAGTTGTTTCTATCACTATAGAAATCAACAATAAGAAAAGGCTTCCTGTACTGAACAGATAACATCTGTGTTTGATGCTGTCCTGACTGCTTTGCTTACAGGTCACTAATTCTCCCAGCTGTCCTTTGAGGTAGATATTATTATTACCTTTGAGGTGGACATAAATCTTGGCAAATAAGAATTTAAACCCAGAAGCATCAAGCTCCATGCTATGGTTGCATTCTTTATGCTTCTTAACAACATTGCACTTTTACTCCCTGGAATGAGCTGTTATCTATAAACAGTCCTACCAACAATGCCTTCTCTTATTGCTGGGATGTTTTGATGGAACAAGAGATCTAAAACATTGATGATTTTACCAAATGAATGCACAATATTAATACCAAACACACATATTTCTTACAACTTCTATAGAAGTATTGTCAAATATCAGTGACTGTTAAAACATAGTTCCTATATAGGTGATAACCACAGAATATCAGCATAGAAGATAAAAGGCAGTAATGATAGGAAATTTTAAGTGTATTACTAAAAGCGGAGTATAATGGGCATAAAGACTGAATAGCAATCTAGTCAACATTTTTTAAGCAAATCATGATATCATAGCTTTATTCTCTTTGAGCAATTCGGTTTGCAAATAATTTTCACTGATCATAATCCTTCTGACCAGGCTGTGAGACAGGCAAGTAGTATACTTGATGCGAATTTTACAAATGAAGGAACAGACTTAGAGAATTTACAGGGTGCCATAGTTTGGATATTTGTCCCTGCCCAAATCTCATACTGAATGTAATTCCCAATTGGGAACTGGAGGTGGGGCCAGGTGAGAGATGTTTGGTCATGGGAGCAGATCCTTCATGAGTGGCTTGGGCCATCTCCTTGGGGATAAGTGATATCTCACTCTGAGTTTGCACGAGATTTGGTCTCTTAAAAACGTGTGGCATCTGGCTGGGAGTGGCGGCTCACACCTGTAATCTCAGCACTTTGGGACGCCAAGGTGGGTAGATCACTTGAGGTCAGGAGTTCACAACCAGCTTGGCCAACATAGCAAAACCCCGTCTCTACTAAAAATACAAAATTAGCCAGGCATGGTGGTAGGCGCCTATAATCCCAGATACTCAGGAGGCTGAGGCAGAAGAAGAACTGCTTGAACCGGGGAGGCAGAGGTTGCAGTGAGCCGAGATCACGCCACTGCCCTCCAGCCTGGGTGACAGAGTAAGACTCCGTTTCCACACATACACACACACACACACACAAGTGTGTGGCATCTCCCTCCTCACTCTCTGCCTTGCTCCTGCTTTCACCATGTGACATGCCTTCTTCCTCTTTGTCTTCCGCCATGGTCTTAAGTGGAATATTGGAGGCTTCTGAGGCCTCCCCAGCAGCCAAGCAGATGCCAACACCATGCTTCCTGTAAAGCCTGCAGAATGCTGAGCCAATTAAACCTCTTTTCTTTATAAATTACCGAGTCTCGGGTATCTTTATAGCAATGCAAGAAGAGCCTCACACACAGGGTGACTTCAGGTCACACAATTAGTAAATGTCCCAGCCGAGATTCAAACCCAAGTCTTCTTGTGTCTGTGCCACGTGTTCTCTTAATTTGTGATACTACCTTTCTAAACTATTAACTTGTATGAATTGTTTACATCAGAGAGATTAGATGTCACTTATACTACCAAATGAAACTTCAGTCATTTGGTGGGAACTGGGAGGTGGAACCCCTGAGCACAGCCTGCTCCATTCAAAATCTTTGTGTTTGGCAAAAGACAGTTTTGATGCATCCATCCACGGTAATCTGTTAATTTTCCATCCGGAAGACACATTGGCCTGTTTACTTCCCCAATGTCCCGGCCCCAGTGGTTGATCTAATATGCAAACCCAGTCATAGTTTTTGCCTCAGTAAAAATTCTTCTACAGTTTAAAAAAATGAGAAACAAATAATAAAAACAAAACAAATAAACAAATACTCATGGAAGCCTGTGTCTGGCATAGAACCAGGATTGGAAATACAGAAGTAAAATCAGAGGACAGGCCTGGCCCTGAAGGAGCTAGTAGGTGGCCAGGACAAGCGGTCACCAGCCAGTGCAGTGAATGAATCTAGGGCTGAGCTCTCTGGGAGAGCTGCAGGACACAGATGGGCAGGGGGCCAGGGTGGGCTCTCCAAGGAGGTGACATCTGGGCCATAGCTAGGAGGGGAGTGGAAATAAGTGAGAGAAAGAGAGAGAGAAAGAGAGAGAGAGAGAGAGAAAGAGACTGTGGAGAGACTGTGTGTGTGTGTGCAGGCAGGACAGAGGGAAGATAAAAGAGAGAAGATTCCATGAAAGAAACATCAGCTGCAAAATAAACCCACAAAATGGCATGGAACCACCCAGGATATTCTCAGGCAAATATTTACAGGTGGAAGGGAGGCTGCCCCAGGAAGTGAGTAGAAGCCAGAGGCTTCCCCATTAGAGGAAGTCTGGATTTATGCTGAAGGCAATAGGGAGACACTGATGGGTTATTAAGCTGGGAGGAAAGACCCTGCAGCCACAGGGTGAATGGGGATTGGAGACCTGAGAAAGACAAATATGAACTAAGACAGTGATTGTGGGGGATGGAAGGTAAAGCGAAAAGGAGGGGAGGGGGTGTCATCACTGTCCTCAAGAGGTGAGAAGACAAGTTTTTGCAGGAGTCAGTATAAGCCTGCAAATTGGAGTGACCTTCCTGATTGGATCTGAATTTATAGCAATGGCTTATTTGAAGCAATCTTTCTCAATTACTCTTCTTATTAAAAAAAAAAGATTGCTTCAAAGGTAAAGGCAGGGTGTTCTTTTATAGCTCTGCATTCTATGGAAGGTTCATGATATTTAACTTTTATTTAGGGATGAAAATATAATTTAAAACTCCACTTGTTCCTGGTATGTCCCACTAGTTAAATGAAGGTCTAGGGTCTTCTTATCTGTAATAAATGTTTCAGGTGATAATTATTACTGCTGGCAAGAAAAAGATGAGGTTCATTCAATAAACATTTATTGCACTCTTAATTAGGTTAGAGGTATTGCATGATATTCAAAAACTAAATTATTAAAATCATTTTGTGATCAAATGATTTTGCATTTCTGATTATATTTTTATATGTTTTACATAATGTTTAGCCTAGGGAAATGCTCACTCTCAACATTAAATATGGTCATGAGTCACTTAATGATGGGGATATATTCTGAGAAGTGCCTCATTAGGCCATTCCATCTTTGTGCAAACATCATACGGTGCACTTACAAAACCCTAGATGGTACAGCCTACTACACCCCTAGGCTGTATGGTAGAGCCTATTGCTGCTAGGCTACAGAGCTATATGGTATGTGACTCTACTGAATACTGTAGGCAACTGTAAAACAGTGGGGAGTATCTGTAAACCTAAAGCTAAATGTAGAAAAGGTGCAATGAAAAGACAGTATTATAATATTTCAGGACCACTGCTGTATACGCAGTCTGTTGAATGAAATGTCCTTATGCTCTGCACAACTGCATGTAAATCTAATTAATGCTCCTGAGTGATGGTCAAACCTTGTGTGTTTTTAATTTTGTTGACTAGGATGACCACTGTTTAGGTCTCTTTAACTTCTCTTATCTTAGGCTTTTCTACTGATTGCTCTCCTACTTGGTGAACCTATCTACCTACCTCCTCCTCAGGTTTCAGTTTAAGTAACACATTCTCAGTAAGACACTCCTGATTCTCCTGTTGAGATTTCATCCTTCTGTCACATACTCTTAGAGTACCCTGTACTTTTCTAGACAGCTTTTATCACAACCCTAGCACAATGACATGAAGACAATAAGTGTTCAGTAGATATCTGGTGAATGAATGAAGAATAACTGAACAGTAGCCAAGTGTCAATCCTAACATTTCCTACAACACTTTTCAATGCTATGAAGGGCCAGGATTTTAACCAGGTACTAATAACTGGACAGAGCTCTTACTACTTCTCATTGAGTGGAAAATACATTGATACAGGACAGGAAAACACTTAGCAGGTAGAAGTAGAGATGAGATGGAACTGGGCCATACATACATGTCAAAAGGGACATAATTATATGGGAAAAAACACCAAAACCACTCCCTAATCTTTCTACTGTCTGATTGAAGAGCTGAATATTAATTTAATTAAGTTGCAATGAAATACAGGTAAGCCTCACAAGCATAATATAATATACTTAAAAAATAGTTATTAAGGAAATAGAAGGCATATTAGCACTTTTGTGTACACTGGTGTTCTTATAATAAATAGTTACATTGAGTATACTTATAAGTGCTGGTTGATAAAATGCCCTGCTGAAGAGAATGATGTAAAACATAATTCCTTCTGTATCTGTGCCCTCATTCCTCTCCCCACCACCAAAATAGGATGAAGCAGAAATGTAACATGAGGAATGTGGTCAGGACTTCTGAGTTGGTCGTCCTCAGTTCTAAAAGTCTAGGGCTCTAAGAAGCATACCGGCTTAGTGATCACACATGACTTTATCAGTCTCTTGGAATTTGCAACCTTTCCTCACATTTCACATATGTGAAAGTGAGGCATCTATAGTCAAATCAGTTAATCTTTCTCAAAATGTCCAAGATCCTCTCCAAGAAAGGCTATCAGCCCTAGCTTGGAACACCTCTAGAAGTTCATCCCTTAAACTCCCTAAATCAATAACTGTGATTAAGAAGACCCAAGGGTTCCCGAGAGCAAATGGCAGAGCAGCTTTACAATTCGTAAAGTAATATATTGTTCAGTGCAGGCATTTGCAATCTTTTAGTGCTCTGAGTTTATAATTGAAACTATTTCTAATTTATTCCACTATTAACATTTAAAGACGGTCTATCTAGATGAGGGAAAAGAAACAGCATGTAACTTTCTCTACGGTCAATGGAAAATGAAGTAGACTTTAATGTCTCCCTCCTTCCTGCCGAATGGCTTCTGTGCAGCTGGTCAATAAGAGGGGAACGCATAACACAACCTGGCTCTCGCCTCCACGAATGTGCAAGGTGTGGCCTCCACTGTGAAGGACATTCGAGAGCTTTCATGGAGTCTGTAGTTCCAACTCAAATATTTGCCTTTTCAGGGACAGGCATGGGTTCTTTTGGGGATAGCAAAGCAGTATGATAAAAAACTTAGGTCTTCCCCGGCCCTAGCCAAGAATGAGCCACAATCACCCACTAAGTGTGCTGCTGGCATGCCTTCTGAAGCCGAGAGAAGCATTTCACACTCTAGCTTTTAGTAACCAGAGGTGCCACCCACATCCACTGAGTAGGCATCATGGTAACACCTCAACACGTACAGTCATTGTCACAAAATTGATGGACACAGGCCCACAGCAAAGGGGTTAAGGTGCAATATAAGGAAGGTAGGAGAAGCAACAAAAGAAAGATCCAGAAGGTTCTTCCAAACAAGAGACACTAAGAACAACTTTTTACTGCTTATGAAAATTGGGGTTTAAAAATATTTATATAATTAGTGATTTCCAATGAATTATTGGAAAGTCATTGCTAGGCTAGTTTTTCAATTTCAAGCGTTCTAGTATTCACTTTAACAATACCCCAGACAGTATTTTTAACATCAATATATTCTCTTTTTTTCCTTCTAAAAAGGACTAAGTGTTTTTGATTTCTCTAAATCCTATTTCTAATGAAAATCAGCATCTGGCATTTATGAAACCCCCTTCCTCCATGCCGCCAGGGTTAGCTCTATCTTAACTGGGCCCAGCACATCCTCCAGCCTTTATGCCGCTCCTATTAGTTTGTTCTGAGGCCGCACGCCCTCTAACCCATCCTCCATTGCTGCTGCAGCTCTTCCTTACATTTTTTCCCTGACCTGAATCCCTTGAATGGCTACTTATTGGTATGGAGTACAAGGTTGTCCAATTCATCCTCTATCTCCCTTGCTTCTTCTCCCATCCCACCCCTCTCTCTGATTATAACACACTTCTCATTCTCAGATCAGGCCAAACTCAGTCCTCCCTGTCTTCATGGAGCCAACCTGTCTCTCTCATTTTTTTATTCCTTGCCACATATCTAACCTCCCTGGCAACATACTCCACATCACACAGATGCTCTGAACAACAGCCGTCTGTCAAGATTCAGCTACTTGGCCCCAGGGTTACCTCCTCTCTGAAGTCTTAGCTGACTCTTCCCTGTACTGACCACTCCCTGGTCAGGCCACTGGTTCCCATCCTCATCCCTACTTACTACAGGACACTAGATTCCATGTTGCTCTCTTTCCAATCTACATTGCCAGCCCCTGGAGAAGAGAGCCCTTAGCAGCCTCCTCCATATCCCCAATGCTTAGCACCACCTTGTGCTTGAACCTCATGAGTATTTAACAAATCCAATCCTAGCACAGCTGTAAGATATAAGGGGTATTATCCTTGCTGTGGAAAGACAGGCAAGCCCAGGCTCAGAGACCTTAAGATGGAATTTTTAACAGTGGCGTAACTACAAGTGGAGAGAGCCTGGATTTGAAACTATGCTTATCTAATTTCAAAATGTGTCCTTCTCTATGTCATGCACTCGTTTTAAAAATTAGGCCCATAATTTATGTGATATATAAAGTGAGTGATTATTTGAATATTAGAAGTTTCCTCCTTAACATTTGCCAAAGGAAGAATGAAAAATTCTGTCTAAAAGGCTATGTGCGACACTTGATATGATCTTGTATCTTAGGGGCAATAGTTGTATTAATTATTAATGGATTCAGTAGTTTCTAATTAATTTAGAGTAAGCATTATTTAGATCTGGAAACCATATATTGATTTATTTTATTTATATTTTGTTTTAAATTTTTAAAATTTAATTATAATTGAGATAGGGTCTCAATTTGTTGCCCAGGCTGGTCTTGCACTCCCAGGCTCAAGCAATCCTCCAACCTTGGCCTCCCAAAGTGCTGGGATTACAGGTTTGAACCACCGTGTCTAGCCCCTATATTGATTTATAATAGGCTAAGTTAAAATAAAGCCACTTTAAAATTTATATTACAAAACATTTATATCTTTTTTTTTTTTGAGACAGGGTCTGGCTCAGCTGCCCAAGTTGGAGTGCATAATCACAGCTCACTGCTGCCTTGACTTCCTGAGCTCAAACAATCCTCCCACCTTGGCCTCCCGAAGTGTTAGGATTACAGTCATGGGCCACTGCACCTGGCCAGAATATTTATATCTTAAGGTAAACTTTGCATTGCAAGGTTTTACACTATAAGTTTTTTGTTTCTCAAAATAATATTGTCATTCCAGCAGGAAAATACTATAAAGGGATAAACTTTTTTGAATAAATAATAGAATTTAGCTGGCTCCTCTAAGCCAGGATCAAACTCTTGAACAAACCTATTCTGATTAAAAGAACAAATTCTGGAATCTGGGGAGTGAATTCTAACATAATTATAAGGACTGAATTATTATAAAATGGCATGTAAATCACAAATATCTTTTTTTAATAAAGTGGAAAGAGATTCATATACTTAAAGGGTGACTAGAACATTAGGCTTTGTTAAGTTACGTAAGTAATACATCTCACTGGTTCTTCATACCCATGGCACATTGTGAAATTTACTATGTTGCCAAGTGTTTATTTCCTTTTAGAGTGGTTATAAACAGAAGACCGTTTTGCTTGTTTTATGGCTAAGTTTATTCAGTTAAGCTGATAATAACCACAATCACATAATGATTCAGGGATCAATAGGGAAACACATCCATTTTTTTTTCTGAGTTATTATATAGATTTGGGGTCAGGGGAGTTTGCTAATTATTTATAAGATCAATTCCTGAAAACTTGCAAATGCACAAATAAACTGGTAGCTCCTTGCAATCAAACTTAAGATTCATCAGAGAAATCTGAATTTATATGAATTCTATTTATGATTCTGTTGATAGAGGAAATAATTATATTTTTCATGTAAAATTAGATTTTTCATGATATCAGATTTGAATAAAATGAGACGAAAAAAGGAAATGCTGGAGGACCAGGGCTGGTCTTATGAATAGAAACGTGTAATGAGAACTACTGCTAAGGCAAGAGTAAACACTTACATGGTGCTGAGTATGTGCAAAGCATGGTTTGAAGTGTTAAATAATATCACCTCATTTAGTCTTCACAAGAACCCCATGAGGTTGGCATGCTCAAAGGCTCCTAGCGTGGAGAAGAGAATAGGATGTCTAGGAAGGTAGTGTTAATGGACTGAACATCTCTTTCCTTGGACTTACGGACAGTGAGATAAACAAATGGGTTGCTGCTGCTTGAGAAAAAAAAAAACATGCTTTATGCTTCATAACCTTGAACTACTAAACCATAACCATTTGTATGCCAACAACCATAATTTCTGAGAAACGTTTTAAAACAAAAATGCATGATTATCTCCTGTCTTTCTTAAAAAAAATTTTTTTGGTAGAGGGTCTATGTTGGGCCTCTCTATGTTGTCCAGGCTGATCTTGAACTCCTGTGTTCAAGCAATCCTCCAGCCTCAGCCTCCTGAGTATAGGCACACACAACCATGCCTAGGTTGGGACTGCAGGCACATACCCATGCTCCGCTATGTTTTTTGTTTGTTTGTTTTTGTTTTTTAATTTTCTTTTTTGTAGAGACAGGGTCTTGCTACATTGCCCAGGGTGGTCTCAAACTCCTGGCCTCAAGTGATCCTTCCACCTTTGCCTCCCAAAGTGCTGGGACAGACTTTCATTAGCAATAATAATCTCTCTCTGGCTTCAGTTCCACATTTGAGGTGCCCTGCTTTCCAAATTGAACACTGCTGTGCTTTTAGGAAGGGTCATGTCAGTATTGGTGAATATGCTCCTTGAATTTGCCAGGGGCACTGTGCATCCTGTCTCTAATACCTACTCTGGAGGCTGAGGCAGGGGGATCGCTTCAGCCTCAGAAGGTCAAGACTGCAGTGAGCTACAATTGCACCACTATACTCTAGCCTGGGCAATAGAGTGAGAACCTGTCTCAAAAAAAGAATAAATACATAAATAAATGAAAGAAAGTTACACTTTTCCATATCTTATTAATGAAAAAACTTTGAATCCATGAACAGACATTAAAATTCTCTCCTACATGCTAGTTTACTGGCTGGAATGATGGAATTGTGTTCTTCTTGGCCATCTCAGGATTTAAATAATTTTATGTGACAGAGCTGATGTGTTGATCAATAAAAAGACAACAATCATTTACATTGAGAGTTTAGTGCAATTTCAAGAATCTACATGAACCAAGCTGAGTGTTTGTAGGGAAATCAATACATGACCACCTTACTTAGTGAAGTGCATAAACGAAATTCGACTGAATTTTCAACATCAATGAATACGGATTAAAAAAAAAATCAAATCAATTGAAAAAAATGGGTTTTGGAAATCACACAATGACAGTATTTTTGAACACACAATACTGTGCAAAATCCAGGAAAGCAAACAGATGTTCGCTTCCATTTCCCTCCTCCTTCTAGTATTTATCTTATCATTTGGGAAAAGCTTTCTTGTACTGCAGTTTGATTACATGTGCATTTTGCAGATTTCCAGATGTGTTCAAATGTTTTAATTTACATTATGGCTTTATATTTAGGTCCATACGATTCCATAATCAGAGTTCTTATTTGTCTAAACATTACATGAAATTGAGAATTTTAATATGCCCTATTTAGTTAGAGGGTACTATACACATTTTTTTCCCCAACCTAGTCTTTCTCGCTATATTGGTCTTCCATCTATTCTACAGATAATCAGTCCAATTATGTTGTCCTATATAATGAATCCCTTGAAGACAACATTCACTTTTCTGCAAAAAAAAAAAAAAAAATCTTTTCGACAGGTGAGGTTGAAATAATTTCCTCTCTCAAATTTGTGCCAACACGATTTACCCATTTAAGATAGGCATCCTTCCAATAAAGATGATGTCTATAGCAGGTTTCCCCATAATGCTTACTGAATGATGCCCCTTAAGGATTGATCATGATTCTAAAATTACAGATGTGAATAATGAACATGGATATATTTATTAATTTCAAGATGCTAACAGGGGAAGAAGGTATTAGAGACTGGATGCAAAGTGCCCCTGGCAAATTCAAGGAGCATATTCACCAATACTGACATGACCCTTCCTAAAAGCACAGCAGTGTTGAACTTGGAAACCGGGATGTTATGACAACTGTAAAAGAGGGTGAGGCAATACAAAGTGATGAAATGATGTAAGGTCTGCAGTGAAAGTTATGTATTTTGGACTCTGACAAGCATTTGGATCTGTATTTTTATAGATGTAAGAATAGGAAGCCTGAGGACACCAAGAACTACCAGTAAGGTCCCAAAGTCTCCGAAAAACAACTAGACATGTGTAAAAGTAAGCAACAACAAAATAATGTCTTAGTGAGGCATATGCTAGAAATAGGAACAGTAGTTTGGAGTGTGCCTGGCACCTTGTAAAGACTAGGGAAGAGGACTGGGAAAGGGGTGCAGGTATATTGCGCAAAGAGCAATTATTTTAAAATTTAGTCTTGGCCAGGCATGGTGGCTCACACCTGTAATCCCTGCACTTTGGGAGGCCAAGATGGGCAGATCACCTGAGGTCAGGAGTTCAAGACGAGCCTGGTCAACATGATGAAACCCTGTCTCTACTAAAAATACAAAAATTAGCTGGGTGCAGTAGCACGTCTGTAATCCCAGCTACTTGGGAGGCTGAGATAGAAGAAATCGCTTGAACCTGGGAGGCAGAGGCTGCAGTGAGCTGAGATAAGGCCACTGCATTCCAGCCTGGGCGACCAGAGTGAGACTCCATCTCAAAAACAAACAAACCAACAAAACTTGGTCTTGGAAAGATCTATACAAAGATGCGAATGAAAATCCAACTGAAAGGGTTTGAAAGTAAGATACAAGTATAGAAAATGTGCAAAAGGTATCCATATAAGAACAAAGTACCATGGGATAACTGGCTGTTTTTGAAAAATGATTAAGCTTTCAGCTTCCTTCAGTTTGGAGGCATTGAATCTGAGTGAACTCTAACTATTCACATGATCATGATGCTTTGCAGTAAAATATTGAGTCCTGTCCCAATGACCCTTTATTGCTGAGTCTGAGCAACTGTTAAGTGGGTCAGAAACAAATGACACTCCCAAGGCCATGGTCAGAGCATACATTTTCATTTAATAAATTTCAGCTTTTAAAGTCAAAAAAGACTGAGCCATGGTCATGGGTACACTTGAGTCTTGGATAGCATCTAATGCGTGCCTTGGGTCCATTGGATTAGTGCAACCTCTCAGTGCCACCCACAGGAATCAACCCAGAGGGCCTGGGGAGTGTCAAGCACATCACTCGAAAGGTAGCAGTAACACTATCTCCAATTTGGAATAGAGATTTTATATATTTCATAGTATTCTCACAAACTGCATCTATGAACAGCAAGCATGAAACCTCATATGAGCTACTGTGTTGCATTATTCTACAGTATAAACTAAAAATTGTTTTAAACATTTTGGAGATTTTTCAAATAAAAATTTCTGTGACTCTTCCCTAATCTGACTTCACTAAAAACTAATACTATTCTGGTTTTACTTATGACTTTATGAACCGAAACCTCCATATATATTTTACTGAATAGAAAGAAATCTAACTGATTGCCTTATGATACTGCAGTGAAAACATGATCAAATATAGCCAGGTGTCAAAACATTAATGAAATCAAATTCTACAAAAGAAACATGAAAATAAACCCTATAATGCCTTAATTGTCAATGTAAATCTTTCTTCCAAGTACTCTATTCAAAGTAATAGATGACTCTGAAGGGAAACTATTCCAAAATACAAAGGTAAAACATTTAAATCCCTCTGAATCAAGTAGAAATTTCACTTATGTAGATTAATGAGTTTATGACAAGTTGATACTCCAGAGCTATTCAGGCATCCTTTGCTCTGTCGTGGAAATAATCAATTTATTTTATTCAGTCACTATACAAGTTATACTTTATAATTGCTTAGCTATATAAATCATCATGGAATAAGATGCGGGCCTAGATGTTGGTAATTAACTCTAATCTGTTCAGATAAAGACTTCACAATGTTCTTTCCAATAATCTGTTATTTTTTCAAAAAACTATACATCTCATATTTTATTGAGAAATTAGCCAATTTACTAAAAAATAAATGACATAAAACCCAAAGTAAACACACAAATGAAAAAATCGAAACATCCATTCAAAGAACAGAGCTGAGAACAAAAATGTCATCTGCCCTTGGGTAACCAAATTGCATCAAGCAGTCACCTTTTAATTTAAAACTACCTCCTCAACAGACTAGTGCTTTGTTCCTTATCTTCAAAAGAACAACTCACTTGCATCAGAATAAAACCCTTTAAACAATACTTGATCACCTTACATCAAAGCCCTTTCATTTTCCTCAGTCATTACTTTTAATTAGAGCTAATAAACATATGGATTTACATGCTGGCTGAGATTTGCAGCAAATCCCTAGAAAACACATTGGAGGAATTAATCAACTTGATTTAGTTTTCTTCTATCTAGAGCCGGCCCAACCCTCTGTTCCATACCTGACAGGTGCTCCTCTGCTGTGGGCAGGTTTCAGCATGACTGTCACGGTATTGTCAGTTTGATTCAAAGGTGTCTCAAGTTCATAAGCTGGCATAGAGGGTGCTGGGGAAAAAGGCGTAGAATGGGAGACTCATTATTTCTGGTTTATCTTCTCAGTTTAGTTTCCACTTTCTTTTACAAAGAGCATTAAGAACACAGTGCATTTACTTTACATTGCAGCTATCAACAACCACGAGCAAGCTTCACATATATTCCCTACATAGAATCACAGGGACAGCTGCTAAAAGCAGCCCATACTGTCCTCTGTGATCTTGAGTTGAAGTTGGGAGATGGTATGAGGGGGCTTCTAAGGTGTGAGTAATATTCTGTTTCTTGATTTGGATTCTGGCTAAATGAGCATAGCTTGTGAAAAATCACCGAGCTGTACACTTACAATTGGTACACTTTTCTGTACATATGAATTCTCAAATAAACTGTTTATGCTAAAGGCATATTTAGGAAATAATCATTGGACTTTATAGTTATTCCATCTAAATCAAGGTTTTTCATGTACCAGACTCATTGGGGATTTAAAGAGGACAGTGGGAGTCAGAGAGATTTGTTGGAATTAATTAGTGACAATCTGTGGGCTCTCAGAAAAGCATGACAGTGGAAAACACATAGGAACTGAAATAAGAAAGGCTTGGGTTTGACTTTTTGCTGTGTTTTGTTTTAATTAGCATAAGAGCTTCTATACATCTCAAAATGGGGGGAACTACCCTCTACGTTTATTATCGTAATTCAAAGAGAGAACAGAGAGACAGGCAAATATAATTCTACAAATGTTAGTTCTCCTCCCAATGTAAATCCTATTTCTAAGGCCAGTTTCCAGCATCTTCCTTCTCTAGACTGTTAAGTCTTATTATGATAGCAACAGAGGTCTTCAGTAATTACGGACAAGACAAATCATTACACGGAGCTGTGATGTGGGAGGGCATACCATATTTTCACAGCCCACTGGTAGAGACTCCTGATGAGAAAGCTAGAGGTCGTTTTCTTGCAAATACAGTTTTTAAAATTGTCTTACATATACAAAAAGATTTGTTTATAACAGATATGGGTTACTTCTGAGTTCCATTTATTGAATGATCTCAGCATTAAAATTTATTTCAATTCTCTTAAAAATTAACTCCAATTCATAACATAGAATTAACAAGAGTGGTTCCCTCTCTTAGGTCCATGAAAATTGAAAACAGGACCTGTAAACTGTAACTGTTTTAAGACTATAAAAATCAAATACTTATTCTTGATGAGCCATATAGGCTAATGAAAATGTCAGGTTGCTTGATTTTCAATAAAATTATTTGAACTTGGCATGCTGAAAGTGGTCAAAACCATTGATTAGAATCTACCATGATTGTGTTTCCTGAGGTCTCCTCAGCCATGCTGAACTGTGAGTAAATTAAACCTCTTTTCTTTATAAGTTACCCAGTCTCGGGTATGTCTTTATTAGCAGTGTGAGAACGGACTAATACGGCCATGTTGATCAGAATTCTTATCTAATAAAAATAGCAAAAATGAATTATTTTATTCAAAAAATACACTCATTATGACAATAATCTTTGTAGTGTAACTTACATGGGAAAAATTTCTTAAAACATGCTTCGAGGTATATATATTGGCACTTATTTCATCTTTAAATCCCCATGATAAATTCATGCGCTAGATAATATTATCTTAATTTGTATGTAGGAGTAAATTTATTTGATCAAAATCAGAGAGGAAGTGCCTGGCAAAATCATAACTAGAACCTAGATTTTTTGATTCCAAGTCCAGTGGTCTTTCTTCTACCAACCCATTTTCTTCAATCTGTGTCAGTTTTCTAATCTCTAATTATTCTAACTTCCCAAAGACTTATTTTCTCTTTCTCAACTCTCCATACTGTTTCTATAACCTAATTCTATACACAGAATATCAAGTGTATTAAATTTCAAGTCAAGTTTGTGCTCATAAAATATTACACAATAAAAAATTATCCCTTGTTATAATTGCTTAAAAAGAAAATTCTAAACCCTCCCTCAAAACCTAGCCAAACACTTACAATACTCTAGTTGTGAATATTCCTTTCCTTCAACTCCAAATGATAACTTTTATTAATACAAAACAAGGAATGAGAGATAAAAGATATAAAGGTCAGGCTAAATATTATTGACCTAACCATGGCTGATAACAAGAGTTAGCTCCTTTCCCTACTTCCACCCCACCTGCTCCACCCCAAACAAAATAGTTAAAGCCAAAACTCAACACTTCCACACTCATACCCAAAGGGGAAAAAATGGGAAAAAATATTCATGCAATTTTTTTATTGCTGTTGTATATCCCATACCAGATGGCAGCTTAATTTCCTCTAGTCTGAAGTACAAAGACATTTTCTGCACAGTTGAACATGCCTAGAAATATTTCTCAAATTACGTCTTTTGTTAGATGGCATAATTAAGTCTCTAAAAGCAAAAAGCTGGAGGCCCTCAGTTCCTGGTACCCTCATGTATTTGCCTCTCTCTTCAGGACAGAAGTTTCTTATGGTAGAGATCCCAAGGAGGCTGATCCTTCAGGAAGCAGACTCTATATGACTGTCTTTCTGCAGAGCTCCCGATGGTTCATGGTTCATTACAGAGATTTTTCCAACAGTACTGCTCTGGCAACTTGGGATTGACAAGGGGATGAGAGTGTCTCAACAGAACCTTCTGCCTCATGCCCAAGTCCTCCAAGACGCCCTGCTAAAACAATAGCCACTTCCTAACATGTGAGGATCTTAAGCTCCCAAATGAGAAATATTTGTAGTACTTCATTTAAAGCTGTGAGTCTGAGCTTCAGGCATCCAGGAGTATTCCTTTGGATACAATGTTAGTGTGGGCGAGCTTGGCATACTTGACAATGGGAATGAAAACGGACAAAAATGTTACTTCTGATAAAAGACACAACTCACGAATGTAGAGTACCTGATATTTTGGTGGTGAACTGGTTTGTTGCTGGAGGCCCAAAACCCTTAGCTGTGCTAGCTCGGATGGTAAAGGAGTATGTGGTCCCCGGATACAGTCCAAAAAACAGAAAATGGGTTTCATTTCCCAGCTTTGAAACTCTTCCACTCTGATTGGATAAATCTATTTCTGGGTCAAAGGAACTGACTGCTTTGTAGGTGATCTGCAAAAGAATGAGAAAGTGATAAAATATCTGGAGCAGATGGACTCAGATTGCATCTTTATCCAATAAACCCTTCTGATGTATGCACTGTCAGACACTTTATGATAAGCTCCTACTCAGACTCTTGAAATCCTGAATCCACTGAAGGGATGAAGGAACTCCGCCAAAGCTGCTGAGTTATTACTTTTATAGACAGGGGAACTTAAGCCAGTAGATTAGAATATACAGGATGAGTTCGGGGTTAAGCTAATACTTTGAAGTTGTTTGCTTTCAAAATGTCATTTTGTAAAACTACATTACAATGGGTTTAGAACAAAATAAGAAAATATACAACTAGCTCAAACAGATAAGATACTGACAAGGATAAGGCCTCATCTTTAATCTAGTGGCCATAATTTGACTTAGGATCATTACCTATTGGGAACGAGGGCACTGAAGTGTTTTCATCAATGTGGGTGAGGACATCTGCTCCAATGACTGGAATCCTAGACAGATTCCAGTCATTCCTGATGCTACAAATAGAGTGATCATTATGGGTCATATTAATTTCTTTTCTTTAGAGCAATGTCTTCCAATAGAACTTTCTGAAATGATGGAAATGTAGCCACTAGCCACATCTGGTTACTGAGCATTTGAAATGTGGTTAGTGAGACTGAGGAACTGAAAATTTGAATTTAAATTGCCATGTGTGATTAGTAGCTGCCATATGAGACAGTGCAGTTCTAGAAGTTTTCATGATACTAGCTACATAACAGATATTCAAAGCATGTTGGATGAGTCTGAAGTGTTTGAAAATAAATATAACATAGGTGCCTTTAAATCCTACCCTTTCAAATGATATTTTAAAGAATTTCACTATGAGTAGTTCATCAACTATTCAAGAACATGCACTTTAGTGGTGATTACTAACTTCTACTGGTTGTAATGACATAATTTTAAAATGTGGCATATTCGAAAGTTTTAAATTGCAAAACTGAGCACTTTTCTTGCTTTTAAATAGGTAAACTTACTTGTAATTTATGTGCATGAACACTAACACTGTTATTATACGAAGTGATAATTGACATTCTTTCTTCTTATATTTATACCATGTCATTACAATTAGGAAGACCTCTCTGAAAGAATATTTAGATTGAATCAACTAAGCTTTAGCAAGAAAACTGTTTGCTATATATATTAATCACTGCACTGCATGACACTATTGGAGTCATGCAGAGTATCTATTGTTAATCCTCTAACAGACTTCCTCTGCAAGGTTAAGGAAGTCAAGAAGAGACAAAGCCAATCTACCCCCTAGTGGCTGAGCGAAGGACGTCAGCGATGTAACCGCTGTATGATTACTTGGTCCTCCATTCGGATACCTCCAGGGAACAAGGCAGTTTGGAGGAGACGGATCTAAACCTCTATTATGAATGCATAATTGCTTCCAATGTTTACTCACTAATTCACCCACACATTTGAAACATATTCATTGAGCCCCTCTCATGTGCCAAGCACTGTGTTCGGAGCTGGGGTCTTGCATGGTGCTTTAGGAATCGTACCTTCCCCGAAGGAGGTATCAGTCTGGTAGGGGAAGGGGAGAAGTGATCCAACAACTATGACAAAGTATAATTAAAATGAGGACTGACGCTGCCCACCGTGGCTAGCTTAGTGTTCTCATTCATTTTATTGCCTGTCTAGAAACCTTAATGAAACATAAATGCATACGAGAGAAAGCCCAAACTCCTTAGTTTTGCTCTCACCTTCTCCAAACTTACTTCTGAATCTGTGATACTACACCATTATATTCCTTTCTGTTCTGGTCAGAGGATAAAGACTAACTGCCCTACAAACACTAATGGGGCTTTTCTGACACTGCTTTTGCTCGTAAGCTTTCACCTGCCTGGAACATGAGACAGTTAGCTCTGTTTCCATGTTTTCTACCTATTCAGATTCATTTACTTTATTCAAACATTGATTGAACACTGACACTCTGCAAGCACCATGGCCAGCAGGTAAATACACGCCCTGTTTCAGATAACTGAGAATCTGGACAGGGTGGGATGGAGCTGGGGAGGCATACAGTAAGTAAATGAATACTTTCAAAACACCAAGTTCCATGGAAGAAACGAATAGGGTGCTAAAATAAGGAGAACTGTCAGGGGAGAGAGGTTATTACACAGCCACTTAGAGTGGCTGGGGAAGGGCCCACTGAGATGTCAGTTAAGCTGAAGAGATTTGAACTTTCCCAAGGAGTTAATCATGCTGAGAGTTTGGGGAAGAACAGTAGGAACTAAGGCAGTGAAGCGGGAGTGAGTGGGCACAGTATATGAACAGAAAGGAGGTCGGTGTGGTTCCTTGGGGGCTTGAGAAGTGGGTAGGACCATACTGTACAGTGCTTTGCACCCCAAGATAAAAAGTTTGGATACATACAACAGGAAGCCCTTGAACGTTTTTAAGCATGAAAATAAAATGATCTAATTTCCCTTATAAAGAGTTCACCCTGACTGCAGGTGGAAGGTTGATTTGATTGGTGGGGCAATTGAAGTAGTAGGGAGGGCACTAGGAAGTACAGCAGAGTCCAGGGCCTAGAGCTATAGCACAAGGGAGAAAATACAGGGGCTTGGAATAAGGTGGGGCTGGTACAGACAGCAAGAGATGAAAAGAATTGGCATCTTTTAGAGATAAAATGGACAGAACTCAGTGAAGGACTGGATATAAAAAAAAGAGGATGGAATAAAGGATAGGTTCCATTTTGGGCTTGATCAGAAGACGGTCCCATGTATCGAAAAGAATGGAACATATGAGGAGAAATTTACAGACACAGGTGGACATACTAAGTTGGAAATGCCCACGGCAGTCAGGTGGACACACATGTATGACATGAAGCTGTGATTTGAAAGGACTGGGCTGGAAGTGAAGACTGGGGGTGATGAACATTGAGATGATATTCAATTCTGGAATGGAGGGGGTCACTAGGGAAGGAAGTTTAGAAAAAAAAGAAGGGAGCCTGGTACCACTCCCTAATGAATGTAGGTATTTAATACAGGATAGAGGAGGAGAAGCCAACAGAAGAGCCAGAAATGCAAGAAGAGAGCCAAAGGAGAGAAAGCTGTCACAGAAACCAAATGAAAAAAAAGCAGAGAGAGAAGGGGAGAGAGGGAGGGAGGGTGAGAGGGAGGGAGGGAGAGAAGGAGGGAGAAAAGGAGGGAGGGAGGGAGGGTTGGTTTCCAAAGATGAGACTGGGACAAAAAAAGTACCCATCCATGTCCCAATCCAGAGTTCTCATTCTGTGTATCTGTAAAGCCTTCCTAAACCTGGCCTAACAATCACTAGATCCACTGAATGCCTGTGTTGTGACTATTCATACAATTCACTGGGCAATGAATCTTGGAGTACTGTGAAATCTCTTCTTTGATCTTAAATCATGATTTAAATATACCAGAGGAATTGGAACATTTCATGTAATTGTATCTTCTTTCTGAGGAGTGACTGATGTCTTATTCTTTTCCTGATCCCACTGTGATCAGTAAATATTTGGCACTCAGTATCTATTTTCCTAAAACTACTCCTGGGGAGAGCGGGTGTGTGCATCCGCTCATGTAAACACTCAAGACAAGTGGGATCTTTGCTCCACCCACAGAGACTATCAAGCAAACGCTTTACTAAGGGACTTGTTGTTCCAGCAGGGCTGATGGGCTTGGACTTGCTGAAAGCCTTGTGGCTGCAAAATAACACTGGGGTTCTTAGCTGGCTTCCAGTCATAGCCCTTTGACAATTTGGTAAAAATTAGACACCTTCTCTTTCCTACTTCTAAAAAACACATGTATACACTAATTCATGCACTCCTAAAAATTACAGATCCTCTCCCTCACGCCTAACAAACAAATATGTTGGGCATGTATATGTCCACCAAATGTCACAAAGGTGATGGGTTTCCCCATCTCAGACCCATCCACAGAGCCCTGGAGTCTGAATATCAGAATGAGAAAAGCTTCTCGGCAGCAGGGGCACTCTAACTCTACAACCCCACTGCCTGCCACAGAGCTGATGGTAGACATTCACCAACCTCAGCAGCTGCTCTAAAGGGCACCAAAATATACTCCCATGCTCAAACTCAAATGTCCATATGGTTTCAGCTTTACTTTTCCACTTGTTCATTCAATACATGCTTATTAAGTGCCTGTTAAGTACTTCAGTACAGCAGCAAACTACAAGAAGGAAGTCTGGAAGCTTCTGTACTTGTACTCTGTCCCTGGCTGAAGGTCCAGGAAACTGTAATGAAGCCTCTGTAAAAAACGTTGCTGCAGCAGTGTTGGATGTAAGTAATTTTATGGGAGGTGCCATGTCAAAAGCAAACTGAGATCTCAACATCATGTGTGAGGGTTAGATTTGGGTGAGATGGAGTAAACTGTTGCTTCTATTGGATGATTTCTGATTTGCAGGTAAGTGCCTGAAATCTTCCAAAATTGTCTTCCCTTTCTCTACTTAAAGCCTCAAATTCTAAACTGAGAGATTCATGGGAAACCAAGATAGAATAACATGCAATCTTTGACTTGCATGTTATAGAAGAGGGGAATCAAAATCTTCTAGACTGTGAGTTGATGGTAATTCCAGCCAGCATAAAACACCATCCTCTAATTGAGGTTTAAGCAATTATTCTGAGAAAACAAAGGAATGAATAATTAAATCTGATTTTAGGGGAGGAAAGGACCTAGGATATTTCAAGGAAAAGTAAAGTACTTGAATAAAATACTGAAAGATAGGCAGAGCTGCTATAGGAGGAGAGCGATGGGATGGCACAGGCAGAATGAATCTAAGCAAAAGCAGGGTGTGTGATGGCTCAGAAGGCTCTTGGCGAAGAGACAATTTCATATACATGGCTCATTGAGTTCCAGAAGAAAAATAGTAGGAGATGGCGTTATAAATATAGATTTGGGTTGGATCACAGAAGCCCTTGAGTATTGAAAACAAACTTCTTAACATGGCCCCTAAATTCTCATTCCCTCTACATAACCACCTATCTCAGCTGATGGTGACTAACAGCCCAGTTATCCAGGCTAAGGATATTAAGGTGTCTTCAACTCTAGACTCTTGAATGTCCCAATCAGCTGGCAAATCTAGACCATTCTACTTGATTAAAGTGCCCAACCAAAACTGCACTTGATACTCTAGTCACACACTCATGTATTGAGTCCCTAAGTTTGGAACTCATTTCATTCTTTCTATAGTTGGTTGCTGATGGGGTAGTTACTTCAACAGAAAAGGAACAGTACCTTTTCTACTTTTGTCTTTTTCCAATATCTCAGACATACTAAAGCTTTTAAAACAATCCATGTGTTAGTCTCATGACCAGGAGTCTGGTATTTACTCACTAGAGATATGTAAAGTTAGTAGGATACAATGAAAATACTTGGGCAAATATCCTTGTACATTGGGGAGTATTACTAATAAACTTCTAGAAATAGGTTTGGCATACTATGTTTACATTTTGATAGAATCTCCCTAATTGCCTACAAAAAAAAAGACTGCAAAATGTGTGTTCCCATCAACAGACTATGCATGTACACATTTCTCCACATCACTGATTAACACTTGATATTATAGAAATTTAAACTTCTGTATCACTTGTAATACTCCATTTCTCAATCATTAGTAAGGCTGGGTAGGTACTTTACCATATACTTACATGCTGGGTGAATTTTTTTTTGAAGTGTCTTTGTCCATTTTATTTCCTAAAAGAGTGTTTTGTTTTTTTCTTATTACTACGTAGCAGGTCTCTATATATTATAGCCACCAGCCTGTTGACTGCTGTAAGTGCTGAAAATAATCTCTCCAAGTCTTCTGTTTGTACTCAGACCTCCTTCATGGTATCTTTCATCATTCAGAAGTTTAAAATTTTATATAACCAAATCTGTCAATCTTTATTTTTAATGACTGCTGAGTTTTATATCAAGCTTAGAAAAATATATAACAAAAATGTCTTCCTACCTTTTTCTTAGAAGGTTCTTCTAAACTTTTGTGTTTAGATCATGAATCTGGTGTTTATTTTTGTATGATGTGAGGTGGGAGTCTCATATGGTATTTTATTCTTGTAATAAAATGCTGGGTTTGATAATATTTATTAAACTGCATCCATTTTATATTCATTAATGAATTTGCACTACAGTTTCTACCTTGTAAAATTTTAGAAGGATGTGTATCTAGCTGTTAATAGTAGTTACATTTGAAAAGTAAAATTCGGAAGCAAGGATATTTTATTTTGAATACTTCTGCACTTACAAGTATTCTTTCAGAGGGCAGTATTAAATTGACAACTCGACAAAATAAGAGATTTTGATAGCTACTGAGTAAAGGTGTAATGATCAGACCCAGGTTGTAGGAAGATGATTGACAAAATTAAATGACTGAGGTGGAGGGTAACGTACGAGAAGGACTTGAGCCAGAACGAAGACAAGGTCAGAGAGGCAAGGCTAGTGCTGGAAGGCTGAGAATGGAGTCAGAGGAGTGAAAAGGAGAAAGCAAGGAAGAAAACCAGAAGAATGATGTAAGGCTGTGAACTGCCATAACTCCTGGAAAAAACAATGCTGTCAGCCGTTTTTGATCATTAATGCTTTTGTGTATCTTTCATAATAAGCAAAGAGAGAACAGAGAATAATCTAAAGCTACAGCATATTCATTTCCAGCACTGATATGGTCTGGATGTTTGTCCCCTTCAAATTTCATGTTGAAATGAGATTCCCAATGTTGGAGGTGTTTGGGTCATGTGGGCAGAACCTTCGTGAACGGCTTTGGGCCACCCCCTTGGTGATGAGTGAATTCTTGCTCTGAGTTCACAGGAGAGTGTGGCACCCCCTACTTTGCTCTCTCTTGCTCCTGCTCTCGCCATGTGACGTGCCTGCTGCCCTTCACCCTCTGCCACATTCATAAGGTTCCTGAGACCCTCGCCTGGAGCAGATGCAAGTGCCATGCTTGTACGGTCTGCAGAAGCATAAGCCAGTTAAACCTCTTTTCTTTATAAGTTACCAAGCCTCTGGCATTTCTTTATAGCCAAACAAGAGCGGCCTAATACAAACATCAACAATATTCCATCTGTGCTTTCTTCTTTCCTTCAAAAATTATCCTGTGTGCTGCCTCCCTTAAAGAAACACCTGTGTCATTGGTTACTAAACTTTTTTCCAACCATGGCAATTTATCTCACCCTCTGATTTTTACCAGTATTCAAATGTGACTCCATGACAGAAAACAATGTTGCCATGGTCCCTGCTTCTTTTGGGGCAAGTGTTTGATTTCCTTAGCGTGATTTTGTCTCAGAAGTCTGTGATTCTCCAGAGAGGTACTGAATCTGGGTCAACATGTATCTTCAGCTCCGGGAGGAAGCTGTATGTGCCTGTTGTAAACTCTGGCATAGGCTGGGTGAATCGTAGCTCACAGGTGCATTTCAGCTCAAGAAGAGCTCCTCCTGAGACTCCACCTAAGACCTACCTCGAGGGAGCTGGGGACTCCCTTCCTTCCTACTTGTAGAAAACATGGGAAAGGGAGAAAGACTTGTTGGCCAGAAAGCTTGTATTTAATCACTTTGGCCTGGATCACATATTTCCCCTTTGGTCCCTACAAAACTGAACCAATCTGTTCTACTTACACATATCTGATTTTTAAAACCCTGATTTATGACACATTCATGCATCCCCATTGTAGTAGTATTTAGATCAGTGTTCAACTGGGTAGTCCTGGCTGCAGAATCAGAGAGACTAATGGGTTTTTCCTTTGAATTATTATTCCCATTGTTTTCATGTTAAAGTGACTTACCACACAGAGATATATCTCTTGTAGGATTAAAAAGAAAGAATCTGTTAAATATTTTCTGTCTGTCTAGATAGCAACATGTGGCTTTTAGGACAGGTGAACTTACGGCTTGGAAATTAAAGTTGATTTCAAAGATTGCATGTTTCCTAGTTTAAAATCCTGTTACTAGGTAAAAATCCCCCAAAACTGAGACCTAAAAATGGCAATGGGGCCAAAAATAAAAACTAAAAGATTCTCATCACTGAGAAAAAATAATATGAACTTGTTTGATTTGTTTATAACACTTAGCTCTATAAAAGCTGAGCCATGAATTTTCATAATATTCAATTCTTTTACAATGAAGCAGCCAATGAACAGCATCAATAACAGTACAAAAATCAACTTTTTTCTTTTATCTTTCTTCGCTTAGCTTTGAATTAATTTTTGTGTGTGTTTCAATACCAATTTTCAAAAATTACAAGGAAACATAAATGTGAGGCTAGTTGGGTCAGGGAAGGGGTTTACTGGTGATCACTGTCTGACAGCTCATCTTTACAGGCTTTTGTCAGTAGTTCTGAAAGGTATTCAAGCAGAGGTTCCATATGAGAATTTGCCACGATTTTTAGAAACTTTACAACATATAATTTTGTGGAATTTGCATTCAAATAAATGCTAGCTTAAAAAAACACACCTGCTTGTTTCTATGACAATAGGCATAGTGAAATGATGCTTGCACAGATGTGATGATGAATGTCACCCTGTTATTGCTGTTACTTTTTTCCTTGAACAATTCATCAAATTCTTCTCTGCTATCTATCATTCAACCATTTGATATGCCTCAGTAGACAAAACTATGTCACAGAAGTCGAAAGGATGTTTTGGTAATACTAAGAAACCAAAAGATATTATTCTATTGTTAGTCCTGAGACAATATTTATTGACTTTGCTAACTGGATAATCAGTGTCCTTCTATAATTCAGTAGTAAAATATTTAATAGCTAAGCAAGAATAGAATTCTGTGTTTGTCTTATAATCAATGCATGTTTCAAAATACTTATTGTTTTTAATAAAGGTAATTTTTAAATGTAATGCTGTGTCTTAACATATAATAACATATAATCTGGAAAGGTCCAACTCATTGTAAAGCTAAATCCTCAAATTATATATAATTCAAAAACTTATTTTTACAATTTTCTTCTATATAACAACCATTATAACTACTGAAAGCATTAAACTTCTTAAAATATATTATGTAAGTATGCATTTTTAAATACTAGATAGCCTACATTATCATGATCATGAGTATTTCTAATTAAAAATTACTAACAAACATATATATTACCTCATATAAAGTGATTACACCATATGTTTGAGTTGGTTCTCTCCACTGAAGAAATATCTTCTCTTCAAAGGTACTTCCTTGTATGGATTCAGTGGGAACAGCACCTGGGACTAAAGGAGGGTGGGAGGAAATAAATGTTTAAGTAATAAACAATTAAAAAGTAGATTTTTCTAGACTTGGTTTTAACCTTCTATTGAGAGAAAAGATTTTAATAGTCCACACATATACTCAATTTTTCTTTAAAAATCTGGAATCTTAAACAATTTTAGCTACACTGTCTTGATTAAAAGAATAACTTTATCATTTTTTTTCTTAAAAGTTTTAATCAATTAGACAGAGCTCAGTCCCATCTATTAAATAAACGTTTTTACTCTTCCAAAAGAAATGAGGAAGGATTTCAAGTGATGAGAATTCTCACATACTCCTTGTGGAAGTGTAAACTGGTAGAGCCACCTTGGAAAATTATTAATAGCATTTAGTAAAGCTGAAGATGCACAGAACATATGACCCAATGGTCCCACGTGCAGGTATATTCCCTAGTAAAATTCTCGCATATATGCACCAGGAGACATATACAAAAATGTTCACAAAGCAGTGATTTTTGTAATAATAATAAATGAGAAACAAGTCAAATGGTTTAGTAAGTTATGTTATAAAATACTGAAAAGATTGAAAGTAAGTAACAGTTATATATCACATGGATTCAAGTTATAACCATAACACTGAATGATAAAACCATGCTAAAAATATATATGAACTACTGTACTAATATATCTATTAAAATACATACAAAGTAGAAGTTGATATAGATGAAATAACAATATAGTCTTTAAACATTATTTTATTTGTTAATACTATATGTGATTTGGGGGAAGTTTGATGCCATTTTTCAAAACTTAAAATACATAACACCTTCTTATAAGTTTGCAAAAAAACTAACAAAAGTGAAGATGTCATTTGCCAGTTTTCTATAAAATAATATTCAATATCATTATAAAATGTTATTTATCCCATCATCATTTTAAATGTAGTTTTTTAGTATGCTTCATGTTATAGACAATTTAGTGTACTAGTATGCCTATCTTATTTACAAAATAGCTATCCTGTTTATAAATATGCATATATTTTGGGGCACATGATCACATTTTTTGGTGATGAAGTGAATGACCAATAAGCAGTCGGAGAGAACTCACCCATCCTGATTTCAAAACTGACTGCAAAGCTACAGTAATCAAGACAGTGTGGTGTTGGCATAGGAGACATATATATCTTTACATAGATAAAGATATATATATATAGATAGATAGATATAGATATGGAATCGAACTGAGAATCCCAGTACTCAAGAAACCCTTACAGTTGCAGTACATTGATTTTCAGTAAGAGTACTGGGAACATTTAATGAGGATAGATTAATCTTTTCAACCAATGCTACTGGCACAACTGGATATCCACATGCACAAGAATGAAGTTGGATTTCTATCTCACACCATATATAACAATTAAATCTGAATAGTTTAAAGACTTAACTGTAAGAACCAAAACTATAAAACTCTTAAAGAAAACATACATATAAATAAATCTTCATGACCTTGGATCAGGCAACAATTTCTTAGGCATGACACCAAAAGCAAAAGCAATGAAAGAAAATCTAGATAAAATGTACATTATCACAATGAAAACCTTTTGGGCATCAAAGGACACTATTAAGACAAGACACAGAATGGGAGAAGGCTTCTGCATATCATATATATAAGAGATTTGTATCTAGACTGTAAAAGTAACAATATTAAAACCCAATAATAAGATAACAAATAGTACAATTAGAAATGGGCAAAGGACCTGAATAAACAGTTCTCCAAAAAAGACAAACAAATAGTCAATAAGCACAGGAAAAGATACTCAGTATCATTAGCTAGCAAGCGCTGTAAATCGAAACCATAATGAGATATCACCTCATACCCACTAGCATTACTATAACGAAAAGACATGATAACAAGTGCTGGCAAGAAGGAAGAGTAATCGGAAACCCCATACCCTGCTGGAGGGAAGGTAAAGTCATGCCGCTACTTTGAAAACACTCCGGCAGTGCCTCAATTGGTTAAACACTGGTAGATTTACAACATAACCCAACAATTTCACTCCTAGGTATGTACTCAGGAAAAGTGAAAAAAATGTTAATTCAAAAACTTGTTCATGAATATACATAGCAGCATTATTCATAATAGCCAAAAAGTGAAAACAACCCAAATATTTATCAAATGGTGAATGGACAAACATATCTCAATAAACTTTTTTAAAAGGGGTTGGAAAAAATGTTTTAGATTGTGAGAGGATATGAGCAGTTTTTTAATGATTGCTAAGACTACCACAGATTGGAAAGCCTGCCTAGGATTTCAAAAGGACTCATAGATAGTATGCCTATTTTTTTGAGATTAGAGGCTACTTATATATAAATGTAGAACATTTACAGTTATTCCAATTAAAGTCAAGTGTTGTTTGGCACAAAAAAAATGCTGATTCATATGGGAGGCCCGGGTTCTGACTTAAGACTAATAAATGATTAAATTGTGCAATTTGGACAAATCATTGAACCTCTTTAGGTCACATTTGCCTCATTCCTAAAATGAAGTTGGATTAAGTTGATTTTTTGTTTTTTGGAAATAGGGTCTTGCTCTGTCATCCGGGCTGGAGTGCAGTGGGGCTAGCATTGCACACTGCAGCCTCAACCTCCCAGGTTTAAGTGATCTCTCACCTCAACCTTCTGAGTAGCTGGGACCATAGGTATGCACCAGCATGCCAGCTAATTTATTTTTAATTTTTGTAGTGATAGGGTCTCACTATGTTTCCCAGGCTGGTCTCAATCTCCTGGGCTCAAGTGGTCCCCTCCTGTGTTGGCCTCCCAAAGTACTGGGATTATAGGCATGAGTTACTATACCCAGCCAAGTTAATTTTAACATTGAAACCCTAAATAGCACATAAATATGAAAATAATTGTTAGTCCTATGTTGAAGAAATTTATATACGACTACATTGAAGCAACAAAAAACATTAGAAATGACAACACTGGTGAGTTCTAAGAACACTGGAATTCCAAGCTCTGAGACTAAAATGTTCATCATAATTAGAAGTTGAACTAAAACAGGCCATGCCTGAGAAAACTCGACTAAGTCTCTTCCTCTTAACCTTGAAAGTGTTTATGATGATGACATCATCAGTTTTCTCACACCATCAAGATAACTAAGATGAGTGACTCTATTTTGTGATAATATTTCTTTTTCTTTTTAAGTGAAAGCAAGATTATTAAGAAAGCAAAGGAATAAAAGAATGGCTACTCCATAGGCGGAGCAGCCAGTGATATTTCTTATTTGAAAATATGTGTTAATCCATGTGCAGATGTAAAGAAGGTGAAGAGTTAGACAAAACAAATATTTGTTTCATTCAATTCGTATAAAAGAAAATACTAACAGTAATATGACACAGGAGGTATTCAAAATCATGTTAGGAAGAGGATATCTCAGAAGGATGGACTTATTAGAATGTACTGGTGGTGACCCTGTGGTAAATGGCAGTAGAATAGTTGACAGGAAACCCTAATGGGGATTCAGATAATCACTTTAAGGTCAGAGAAAGACAATGTAAATTAAAACAATATGAATAAATAATTAATATACTACTAATTAAGTTACGGAAGATAGTACCTCATAGTAACTTAGGTCTAGTACCTATTTTTAGAAGCTCTGGGAATTCAGGATCTGGGATATAAAGCCATAATACCTAAGTTTGTACAACTTATCCCTGGGCTGTATAGGATTCTACTAACATTAATGAAAGGTAAATTTTTTCCCACACAATTTCTGATGAAAAAAACTGTATTTCAATAAAAGTATTATACTATAATAAAACTCACAATGTTCAATGAATTATAACTTTTGTTGATGGATAAACAAAGTGACTCCCCAATTCTTTTCTCTTCAAACTGGATACTGTTTGACAATTATTCTATTTCTTTCTTCTCTCTGCCTTTTCTGAAGTATTTTTTTTGGAGGGGTTACAAAATATAATTTGAAATTAAAGTTTTTTCTAATTAATGAAACGCTAGTGTGCTAGGAAAACAATAGATTTTTATTTGGAAGTAATGCATGCTCCAGCTTCAGGGACTAGCAAGATAATTTAAACAAACAAAGTAATTCTGTCCTCATGTTTTGATGGAATTTAACAGAATTCCTAGCTCATGACAGTTCTCAATTTGAAACCCATAGTGTTCAATAGGTTCATGCTTTAGCAATATATATCTGGAAGTGACTGCATTTTATTTCTCTCATTGATGTAACCATTATTGTTTATTAAAACATGAACTAAATGCTTATCAACAATACTTTATTATTTCATTTAAAGACCTAAGGTATTTTGGGGTGTTTATTACTTACTCAATATCACGCCTATTGCTATAGAAGAAAAACAGACAGTACTTCTTGTCAAGTAGTTTACAATAAAAAGAAAAAAATACATACAAATAACATAATGAGGGAGCAAAGAAGAATCATGAGTGGCTATGAATCATTACAATACTAAGAAAGGCCCCTTTCTGACAGCCTACAACCAGCTCTCCACATAAATTTCTTCTATCCCTAATGTATCTAAGAATTGTTATTATTCTCACTTCTCAGATCAGGAAATTGAGGGTCAGAGAGTTAAGGATCTTATGAAGTACAATTAAGGTCAGAGGGATGTGAATAACACAGACTGAAGAGCTGGAGACAGCTATGTGAAGGACCTGAAATGTGAGGAGAGCTTCAGCTGGTAGCAGAGTAGGCGAGCTTGAGAAGCGGCCAGGAGAGGCCCCGACTGGCCAAGGAGAACAATCAGGCAACGATGGGAAGCCCAGGATGCACAGAGCAGGCACAGGGACCAGCACTCAGGGATGGCTTTGCAGAACAAGATGCTGTGAAGGAGAAGTTATTACTCCTAGAATATGAGCCAAGAATACAGAAGACCTTGACAGCCAAGGCACTGGAATGAAGATTAAGTGAAGAGCCACTCAAGACTTTTGTAGAGAGACAGCCAAGATGAAAATACATTTTTAAGATTAGTGAGTGAGTGAGTAGGGGGACATTAGAATAGAAAAAGGCTGGAACCACAAAGAAAAGGTAGAAACAATTATAGAAATTTCAGCATAAAATAATAAGGATTTGAATACAGCCAATGGAAATTGACAGAAAAGAACAATCTAAAACTTTGGAAGTAGAAACAACAGATGTTAGGACCAGAGTCAATAGAGAAATGTAAGGCAGGAAGGAGCCAGCCATAACTTGATGACAATGTGGACACCATCTTCTCCTCTTCTGGGAGATGAGAGAGAGTTGGAAGAAACAGAAATAGAGCTTCTGGTCTCAGCCTTGCCTGAGTGGCTTCCATCAAACTTAGACTCCCTCTCAAACAACTGCTTGAGAGGAACCAACACAAGCAGGACTTGAGGGACAATAAAAGAGGAAAGAAAGGATGTGCAGTGAGTTCCTCATCTACTCCAGCTATTTCTATGTTTTTCTTCTACAAAAATACGCAGGTGCTGGGTAGGTAGAAACACTCAAAAATACTTTTTTAGCTCTTTAAATGAAACGATAAAGTAGTCTAAACATTCAACTCACAATTTAATCAATGGTCAAAATTACATTATCAGTTACATGAAGAAACAAAAAGCTAAACAACTATTTTTCTTAGGAATAGTCAGTTCATTCGTTTAATGGTCTTCCTACATTCTTTGTCATTCATTTTGATGCCGGAAAAATGATTTTTAGGTCAAATTTATGATATACTACCATTGTATTTTATGTACTATATGAATATGTCATTACACACAAGGGTTCCCTGTGTCATCTGTGTAAAGAAACATTTATATCCACGCATTGAGATTCAAGGCATAATTTTACTGTTTTAAATTACTATGGAGGTTTCCTGTATATTTGCTTTTTTGATGCGTTACTGGTGACATGCATGGTTTATTTGTAAAGTAGTTGTTTATTAAAGTAACATCCGGTTTCAACATTGTTCCTGTGGAGAAAAATGACCTGTTTCATGACCACCAACTTACAGTTTCTCAAGACTGTGTTGAAAAGCAAGGGCAGCCCCTATTTAGTGCTGAAATTTTATCTGAACTATGAAAAATGTTTCAGAATGCCATTTAAATATATTTAGGTAAACATTTTATATAAATAATCTAATACCCAAAACAACAATTTTTCAGTCCAATGATTTTATATAAATAATCTAATACCCAAAACAACAATTTTTCAGCCCAATGAAATAAAACTTGAAGAACTATTGAGAGCAATATGGAATGATTATATATAGAAAAGTAACTGTATGAGTAATAAAGAATGACATTTCTATATCTCTACTCCCTTTTCCCTCTTTCAATCAGCGCTTAAGAATACAGAGTACAGATACACATTTGTGTTGTTCAACAAAATAAGTAGTTCTTTCTTCCATCTGCACAGCAAAGATCTCGAAACAAAAGTTGTTTTTTGAAAGAACATGTTTTACACAAACATATCATTCAAAGGTACTCACGGTCTTCATCTGTCTGCACTATGAGTTCTTGGCTTTCCTTCCGGCCCTCTGGGTTCATGAGGATCAGTTTCACACTGACATTGGTGTATGGTGACAGGTTAGTGATCGTGTGTTGAGGGTGTGAGTTTTCTGTATCCCAGCTTACTTCTTCTCGCACTTGTTCTTGTCCTCCAACTTGGTAACAGTAGTGGACAGTGAGATTATAACTGTGGCAACGAGTTACATTATATCCAAATGGCTCCCAGCGGATAGTGATTTGCCGAGATTTGACCTCCACTACTTCTAGTTTTCTTGGGCCTCGCATGGGATCTATTTAGAAAAGAAGACAAAAGAAAACATGAGAGAGAAGAAAGATAAAGGCTCAGGTCAATCCCAAAGGTCACAGATATTCCCAGTTGTCCCCACCACCTGGTCTCCTCTTCTTCCTGGATAATAAATCCCTAAATCTTGGCTAGGCATTTGGCTACCCAGAATAAAGATGAAAGTTTCCATTATTTTCTGCAGATGGATGTGGCCATGTGCCTAAGTTCTGATGAATGGCATATAAGATGAAATGTCCAAAATAGTTTCTGAGAGGTGTTCTTAAAAGGCAGGGGCTCACCATCTTTGGTCCTTCTTATTTCCTATTAGCTGGATGGAGGATATGATGTTTGGAGCTCAGGCAGCCATGGTGAACCATGAGACACTTAAATGTTAAGAATTCAAAGCAATGATGAAGGAGGAGCCAGGGTCTCTGATATCACTGAACTACCATACCAGCCCTGACCTTCCTACTTCCAAACTTGTCATTAGGAAAAATTAAATGCTATCTTACTTAAGCCTCTTTTTCTCTGGGTCTCTGATAAAATAAACCAATCTGCTTTTTTTTTTTTTTTTTTTTTTTTTGAGACGGAGTCTCACACTGTCACCCAGGCTGGAGTGCAGTGGTGTGATCTTGGCTCACTGCAAGCTCCACCTCCTGGGTTCATGCCATTCTCCTGCCTCAGCCTCCCAAGTAGCTGGGACTACAGGCACCTGTCACCACCTCTGGCTAATTTTTTTGTGTGTGTGTGTATTTCTAGTCGAGACAGGGTTTCACCATGTTAGTCAGGATGGTCTTGATCTCCTGACCTCGTGATCCGCCTGCCTTGGCCTCCCAAAGTGCTGGGACTACAGGCGTGTGCCACCACACCCGGCCAAAATAAACCAATCTTAATACTGATACATGTGTTTTATCTTTAAACATTAATTTATAATCATGTAATTGGAAAACAAGAGTAAAAGCTTGAGAATTATACATGAAATAATATAGTAAGAGAACATAAACTTCTGAGCAGAGCAGGTATTTTTGGATTTCAATCTGAATAGAATTCCACACAATCAATGCTAAAGTAATTCTTGCCTGTTCATGACAATTTTTTAGTAATCTTATTTTAGCCCAAGCTCCAGGTACAGTTTCAAGCTTAGAAATCTAAATGACATGGAGAGAATATAAGCATTTTTGCATAATTTAAAACAAAATATATGCAGAGAAAGCTTAAATTTGTTTATGAAATAATGATGAAAATAAATACTACTACATAAATAACATTTACCAAGCACTTATAATGTACCATGCACTACTACAAAAAATTCAGCATTCAGGGTTTTAGGAAAAGCCTAACCTAAAATGTTTTGTGTTATACACCCATAGGTCATTTGATTCATAATTTTGATTTTTGTTTGTCTGAAGTGTGCTCACCAAATATGAATGTAAAGAGATCTACAATTGAGAAGGGACAATAAACTTGAGATATAAAAGCTACAGTTTATTGCACACTTACTATGTGTGAGTTGCTTTCTATAAATTTCCTATTCCTCAAAATAATCCTGTAAATATTTTTATTTCTAATATATAGACATAAAAATTGTGACCAAGGTAGGCTCAATAACTTGATCAGGGTCAGGGTTTGCTGTGGCATTCAAATTTAGACCTGACAACTACAAATCATGCTGTCCCCACTCCACTGTTTTCTCTACCAAACTAAAGAGAATCAAATAAGAAGAAATCAGGATATTAAAGATACTAAGACTTCACCTAAAACATGACCAAAGAATGTACAATATAATAAAGATCCAATGAATTTAAACTTGAGACAAAAGTGCTGAGAGGAATTCTTCCCCCTTTTCCTGCTAATTCTATAGACGAGAGGGTCAAGGCCACATTCCCCAGTTCAGCTGTACCAGAGAGCCTGGCCTGCATTTCAGGGTGCTGCAAACTTGTCTAGACTATTGTTGAAGTTCCCTTCTTGATTCCTATTTGTGCATAAATTCTTTGTGTCTGTTTTCTCCATCAATTATGCCACAGAGAGAACTTAAAATCCCCCCTTTTTACCTGCAACCTCTGACAAATGAAAATGTTTAAAATGGAATAATGTTAAATATGCAACGTAGCATTTACCAGATATCTGCTGCAATCATAAAATGGGATTAATAAAGATCATTCATGCTACTCTGTCCTGTAATAAATCTAAGAACCAAAGATGAAAACTCCTCCAAGAAATCGTGAGTGGCATTCTCATGGAATGTTCCCTATTACAAAATTAATTTTTCATATTTAAATTACTACTGTTGGGAAAATGTCATAAATAAATTATTTAGAAATAACATTGAAGGTTTTTTTCCCTAGACTAGTAACTTTTACAACTTAACGGAAATGTCTAATTTTATATAATGCTTCATTAGTTGAATGTTCATAAAAACTTCTAATAAGCTCCAGATCTCTATACATACACAGATCAACATGTGTCCCTTTGCCCTTTTCCTTATTAATCCCAGGCCTCCTATTCATCACAGGACTGTTCTAACGCATTTTCCTAAGGTTTTCATCAATTTTACTGACTAATAAAATGACTAAAGGCTTCAGATATTAGTTTAAACAAGAAGTACAGTTCTAACTTAATTTCAATGGAAAACTATTTTTCACTGCATAAATAAGTCTGCATCATTCAGTATTCCTTATCCAAGAAAATATATACTTAAATTAAAATTCAGGACTGAAAACAAAGGCTTCTGTCTGTGTACCGGTCAAGTATTTTTGCATGCTCCCTTTCTCTGTGAGCACCTTTTAGAATTCCATCATGGTAAAATTATGTCTCACATTTCCCATACATTTGCCAAGTACTACAGCTAAGCCTAACACAAAACAATCATTTCTATGACAAAGGCTCTAAATTGCCTATTGTCATGAGTGGTAATCAGACAGGAGACAGAGGCTGTATGAGGTCTAAATCTTAGATGAAAAGAGGGTGACACTCACTTTTTTGCATCTTTACGTTGAAGCATAACTACAGTTAACCAAAGCAAAACTATCTTACGGAAGCTTTTGCAGAGTATTTTCCTTTGTGCCCTCTGTGAGCCTTTGACTATGGTCTGTAGTTCTGCTGTGCCTACTAATGTGTTGCTATCAACGTGGCAGGGTCAATATCAATGGGGGTAGGAAGGGTCACGTCAACATAGGATAGGGATGAAGGCCTCTTTGACTCTGATTCTCATTTGTCAAAAGCTTACAGGATAAGTTAAATCAATACCATGACACAGGGACATGGTCCACTTCAGATGGAGTACTGTCATTTTCTCTTACCAGGGTCCAAACGCAAAGTTAAGAGGGATGGGGAAATGGCTGGAAAAGCAGATACATACAATAACATAAAGGAAATGCCATGTGCTACCATGTACCTATGACAGCAGCCTTCTTTAATGATAGTGTTGATAGGCTATGACCAATGACTAAGGAAATCTGACAATTCTTTTACTAATTCTCATACAATTCTTTTACAATTCTCATACTAAGCAAATTGCCTGATTTCAATGCTTCTTTGTTTTTACTTTTTTTTCTGCCATTTTGCAAAATTAAATTCTGATCCAGAAATGGATTTATAATAATTACATCTCAAGTTAGTGTTTTATAATACCTTTGTTTTCAATGTTTCTACAGAGCGATTTCCATTAGTGTGCTACTAACTGTGAATGAGGCATTCCACAGGGACATTTACTCTAGTGAGTTATACTGATGATCACTGAACACTCTGAAGGGCATCACTGTAGAAATATATTACACTGTAGGAAACAAATGGCAACTTCATAACCAGAAATGTGTAATTTTGGTAGGCTAATTGCAACTCACACTGCATTTCTGGGAGTAGAATACAAACACTGTCCCCCCAAAACATGGCACAGCATTACAAGCATTCTATGTGCACAATATAGATCTCTTACAGTTAGATAAAAGGGTAATAAATGGTATTCATAGGACCACTAGTTGTAGGAAATTTGTCCTCTTTCCTCACAATCCTGAGGATGCTACTGAGAATGGAATTGATAGCAAAGCCATTTTTCTTCACACTCACACCCTCTGGCCACACTGATGCCTCCCTGCTTCCCTGAAAGGGTATCATGACAGGCCCCGTTGGCATGAATCATGAGGCCAGTGGGTCCACTGTGGGCCCACTGACTCATGATAAGAGATGAGAATGGCCTCCCTATGGAGAAGTGCACTGGCTGTCACGCAGGAAGCTCAGTCAGTGAGCTCTTACCGACTCTCCCACTGATGCCTGCAGCATTTTTCATTCTGTTCTTTTTCTGCCAGCTTGAGCCAGGTTTCCAGCAGAGAAGTCTGACCTAAGGGACGAGCAAGCCCACTTCTAGCCTCCAGCACTTCAGCATCCTATTTAATCAGTGATCCTGGCTCCTTCTACATTCAGTCCTATTTTTCTATGAACAAGGGCAAAAACTGACTGATAGGATCAATTTCCATTGCAGGTTCAATTCACAGCTCATTTCTTTGGAACTCTGCACTTTACCTTTTATTACTACTACAGTGCTTTTTCAGAAACTCAATTTCAGAACCTGTGAGAGATATTTGGGTATAATTTTAGGATCATGTCATTGATAATCAAAAACATAGATTACAACCAATGCTCCCACTAACAGGTTTCTCTTTTCTACCTCTCAATGAACTCTATGGAGGTGTATTACAATAAAGGGAATAACAACCAGAATGGCATGGTGGGCCCCTTCAGGACCTCCAGCTACTGTACTCCTGCCTCACCGGTCACACTAGAGGGTGACAAAATAATAAAGCAATAGCTCCCTTTACTTTACTATTTAGTGAAATCAGAGCAAAGGTCTGAGTAACTAATATTATAGTGGCCTACCCCAAAATTCAGTATTCCTAGGCAGCAACGATTCTGGGTACATGGCCTTGTTTTTAGGTGAAGTAGTTAAAGGCTTTCAATTGGTCAGTGCTTTCCAGAGTTTAAAAAGTACCTTGTCAGTCAAGCTGAAATTGCTGGGATACAACAATCTTTAATTTACACTGCCCTACAGGCATCTATGTACTGGTGATGTAATGGAACGAATTCAAACTTATCCTAAAAATTATATAAATTTGAATATATTTTTCCTCCAGAATACTTTTCATAGATATCACATTAATAGTTTTCACATTTTATCATAACAAAAATCAAAAAATGCCCTTGGAAACAATCTGTTTTTCTTCAAAAAATCATACAATCCTATATAAGGGAGAATAGTATCTTCCTAACAAATAGGCCAAATTTCAAAAACAGTACTCGTTTAAGAGAAGCAAAAAAAAAAATAGTCTTACAGAATAAATGAAGGAAAGTGTAACAATGCCAAAGTCTACACAAAATCATTCTACTTTATTTCTTGGTTTAAGATGGACATAGTCTCACCATGTCTTTCTTGTATTCCAAATGCTGGTTTGAACTCCGCTTAAATTGTAAAGGTAAGTAAACTACTGCCCCATCTCGCTGGGAAATAGATTATCTACATAGCAACTAAATAATTTAATTTAAATTATTAAATTTAAAATTTAAAAAACTAATCATTTAAACTTCCATCATATTTGAAAGCTGGAATTCTTATTTACATGTTATGGCAAACATTCAGGATTATCTTGTATAATAAAATGACTAGGATATACACTTACAGTAAGAACACAGATCTCAGGTAAGGGAAAATAACACTCTAAACATAGGCCACAATTGACAGCCTAGAAGGAGCACTCCCTAGTGGTGTTAGGTAATGTTGAATGTTAGGTAATGCAGTATGTCCAAATGCTTTGCTTAGTTCTTGGTTTGGCTAGTACATTTAAAAAATAAAGTAAAAGAATACATACTGGACCCTGGGCTAGTCATTCAAGGTATCTGGTTTCAGAATAATTTCACCAAGTCTTTCAGGATAAATATTTTGAGAATTTTTTTAAGTTAAATTTTTAAGTAAAAAGCTTGTTGAATGCTGAAAGTTCAGACTTCACCACTACGCCATATATCCATATTGCATGACTGTACTTGTACCCCTAAATCCATAAAAAATAAAAGTGTTATTGAATAGAGAGGTTGGAAAAAGAGGGGTAGAAATTTACTGTTGATACCTTCCAAAATAAAGAAATGTGGGTATTGGTAAGGCACTTAATAATGATAACATGTCATATTTTATTCTCCCTGAATGATGAACTGTACAAAAATAAGGTTAGAAGTGTCACAATGGAAGATGGCCGAATAGGAACAGCTCCGGTCTACAGCTCCCAGCGTGAGCGACGCAGAAGACGGGTGATTTCTGCATTTCCATCTGAGGTACCGGGTTCATCTCACTAGGGAGTGCCAGACAGTGGGCGCAGGCCAGTGGGTGTGCGCAAGCCGAAGCAGGGCGAGGCATTGCCTCACCTGGGAAGCGCAAGGGGTCAGGGAGTTCCCTTTCCGAGTCAAAGAAAGGGGTGACGGGCGCACCTGGAAAATCGGGTCACTCCCACCCGAATACTGCGCTTTTCAGACCGGCTTAAAAAACGGCGCACCACGAGACTATATCCCACACCTGGCTCGGAGGGTCCTACGCCCACGGAGTCTCGCTGATTGCCAGCACAGCAGTCTGAGATCAAACTGCAAGGCGGCAGCGAGGCTGGGGGAGGGGCGCCCGCCATTGCCCAGGCTTGATTAGGTAAACAAAGCAGCCGGGAAGCTCGAACTGGGTGGAGCCCACCACAGCTCTAGGAGGCCTGCCTGCCTCTGTAGGCTCCACCTCTGGGGGCAGGGCACAGACAAACAAAAAGACAGCAGTAACCTCTGCAGACTTAAATGTCCCTGTCTGACAGCTTTGAAGAGAGCAGTGGTTCTCCCAGCACGCAGCTGGAGATCTGAGAACGGGCAGACTGCCTCCTCAAGTGGGTCCCTGACCCCTGACCCCCGAGCAGCCTAACTGGGAGGCACCCCCCAGCAGGGGCACACTGACACCTCACACGGCAGGGTACTCCAACAGACCTGCAGCTGAGGGTCCTGTCTGTTAGAAGGAAAACTAACAAACAGAAAGGACATCCACACCGAAAACCCATCTGTACATCACCATCATCAAAGACCAAAAGTAGATAAAACCACAAAGATGGGGAAAAAACAGAACAGAAAAACTGGAAACTCTAAAACGCAGAGCGCCTCTCCTCCTCCAAAGGAACGCAGTTCCTCACCAGCAACGGAACAAAGCTGGATGGAGAATGACTTTGACGAGCTGAGAGAAGAAGGTTTCAGACGATCAAATTACTCTGAGCTACGGGAGGACATTCAAACCAAAGGCAAAGAAGTTGAAAACTTTGAAAAAAATTTAGAAGAATGTATAACTAGAATAACCAATACAGAGAAGTCCTTAAAGGAGCTGATGGAGCTGAAAACCAAGGCTCGAGAACTACGTGAAGAATGCAGAAGCCTCAGGAGCCGATGCGATCTACTGGAAGAAAGGGTATCAGCAATGGAAGATGAAATGAATGAAATGAAGCGAGAAGGGAAGTTTAGAGAAAAAAGAATAAAAAGAAATGAGCAAAGCCTCCAAGAAATATGGGACTATGTGAAAAGACCAAATCTACGTCTGATTGGTGTACCTGAAAGTGATGCGGAGAATGGAACCAAGTTGGAAAACACTCTGCAGGATATTATCCAGGAGAACTTCCCCAGTCTAGCAAGGCAGGCCAACGTTCAGATTCAGGAAATACAGAGAACGCCACAAAGATACTCCTCGAGAAGAGCAACTCCAAGACACATAATTGTCAGATTCACCAAAGTTGAAATGAAGGAAAAAATGTTAAGGGCAGCCAGAGAGAAAGGTCGGGTTACCCTCAAAGGGAAGCCCATCAGACTAACAGCGGATCTCTCGGCAGAAACCCTACAAGCCAGAAGAGAGTGGGAGCCAATATTCAACATTCTTAAAGAAAAGAATTTTCAACCCAGAATTTCATATCCAGCCAAACTAAGCTTCATAAGTGAAGGAGAAATAAAATACTTTACAGACAAGCAAATGCTGAGAGATTTTGTCACCACCAGGCCTGCCCTAAAAGAGCTCCTGAAGGAAGCACTAAACATGGAAAGGAACAACCGGTACCAGCCGCTGCAAAATCATGCCAAAATGTAAAGACCATCGAGACTAGGAAGAAACTGCATCAACTAACGAGCAAAATAACCAGCTAACATCATAATGACAGGATGAAATTCACACATAACAATATTAACTTTAAATGTAAATGGACTAAATTCTCCAATTAAAAGACACACACTGGCAAGTTGGATCTAAGAGTCAAGACCCATCAGTGTGCTGTATTCAGGAAACCCATCTCACGTGCAGAGACACACATAGGCTCAAAATAAAAGGATGGAGGAAGATCTACCAAGCAAATGGAAAACAAAAAAAGGCAGGGGTTGCAATCCTAGTCTCTGATAAAACAGACTTTAAACCAACAAAGATCAAAAGAGACAAAGAAGGCCATTACATAATGGTAAAGGGATCAATTCAACAAGAGGAGCTAACTATCCTAAATATATATGCACCCAATACAGGAGCACCCAGATTCATAAAGCAAGTCCTGAGTGACCTACAAAGAGACTTAGACTCCCACACATTAATAATGGGAGACTTTAACACCCCACTGTCAACATTAGACAGATCAACGAGACAGAAAGTCAACAAGGATACCCAGGAATTGAACTCATCTCTGCACCAAGTGGACCTAATAGACATCTACAGAACTCTCCACCCCAAATCAACAGAATATACGTTTTTTTCAGCACCACACCACACCTATTCCAAAATTGACCACATAGTTGGAAGTAAAGCTCTCCTCAGCAAATGTAAAAGAACACAAATTATAACAAACTATCTCTCAGACCACAGTGCAATCAAACTAGAACTCAGGATTAAGAATCTCACTCAAAGCCACTCAACTACATGGAAACTGAACAACCTGCTCCTGAATGACTACTGGGTACATAACGAAATGAAGGCAGAAATAAAGATGTTCTTTGAAACCAACGAGAACAAAGACACAACATACCAGAATCTCTGGGACGCATTCAAAGCAGTGTGTAGAGGGAAATTTATAGCACTAAATGCCCACAAGAGAAAGCAGGAAAGATCCAAAATTGACACCCTAACATCACAGTTAAAAGAACTAGAAAAGCAAGAGCAAACACATTCAAAAGCTAGCAGAAGGCAAGAAATAACTAAAATCAGAGCAGAACTGAAGGAAATAGAGACACAAAAAACCCTTCAAAAAATCAATGAATCCAGGAGCTGGTTTTTTGAAAGGATCAACAAAATTGATAGACCGCTAGCAAGACTAATAAAGAAAAAAAGAGAGGAGAATCAAATAGACACAATAAAAAATGATAAAGGGGATATCACCACCAATCCCACAGAAATACAAACTACCATCAGAGAATACTACAAACACCTCTATGCAAATAAACTAGAAAATCTAGAAGAAATGGATACATTCCTTGACACATACACTCTCCCAAGACTAAACCAGGAAGAAGTTGAATCTCTGAATAGACCAATAACAGGAGCTGAAATTGTGGCAATAATCAATAGTTTACCAACCAAAAAGAGTCCAGGACCAGATGGATTCACAGCCGAATTCTACCAGAGGTACAAGGAGGAACTGGTACCATTCCTTCTGAAACTATTCCAATCAATAGAAAAAGAGGGAATCCTCCCTAACTCATTTTATGAGGCCAGCATCATTCTGATACCAAAGCCGGGCAGAGACACAACCAAAAAAGAGAATTTTAGACCAATATCCTTGATGAACATTGATGCAAAAATCCTCAATAAAATACTGGCAAACCAAATCCAGCAGCACATCAAAAAGCTTATCCACCATGATCAAGTGGGCTTCATCCCTGGGATGCAAGGCTGGTTCAATATACGCAAATCAATAAATGTAATCCAGCATATAAACAGAGCCAAAGACAAAAACCACATGATTATCTCAATAGATGCAGAAAAAGCCTTTGACAAAATTCAACAACCCTTCATGCTAAAAACTCTCAATAAATTAGGTATTGATGGGACGTATTTCAAAATAATAAGAGCTATCTATGACAAACCCACAGCCAATATCATACTGAATGGGCAAAAACTGGAAGCATTCCCTTTGAAAACTGGCACAAGACAGGGATGCCCTCTCTCACCGCTCCTATTCAACATAGTGTTGGAAGTTCTGGTCAGGGCAATCAGGCAGGAGAAGGAAATAAAGGGTATTCAATTAGGAAAAGAGGAAGTCAAATTGTCCCTGTTTGCAGACGACATGATTGTTTATCTAGAAAACCCCATCGTCTCAGCCCAAAATCTCCTTAAGCTGATAAGCAACTTCAGCAAAGTCTCAGGATACAAAATCAATGTACAAAAATCACAAGCATTCTTATACACCAACAACAGACAAACAGAGAGCCAAATCATGAGTGAACTCCCATTCACAATTGCTTCAAAGAGAATAAAATACCTAGGAATCCAACTTACAAGGGATGTGAAGGACCTCTTCAAGGAGAACTGCAAACCGCTACTCAAGGAAATAAAAGAGGATACAAACAAATGGAAGAACATTCCATGCTCATGGGTAGGAAGAATCAATATCGTGAAAATGGCCATACTGCCCAAGGTAATTTACAGATTCAATGCCATCCCCATCAAGCTACCAATGACTTTCGTCACAGAATTGGAAAAAACTACTTTAAATTCATATGGAACCAAAAAAGAGCCCGCATCGCCAAGTCAATCCTAAGCCAAAAGAACAAAGCTGGAGGCATCACACTACCTGACTTCAAACTATACTACAAGGCTACAGTAACCAAAACAGCATGGTACTGGTACCAAAACAGAGATATAGATCAATGGAACAGAACAGAGCCCTCAGAAATAACGCTGCATACCTACAACTATCTGATCTTTGACAAACCTGAGAAAAACAAGCAATGGGGAAAGGATTCCCTATTTAATAAATGGTGCTGGGAAAACTGGCTAGCCATATGTAGAAAGCTGAAACTGGATCCCTTCCTTACACCTTATAGAAAAATCAATTCAAGATGGATTAAAGATTTAAACGTTAGACCTAAAACCATAAAAACCCTAGAAGAAAACCTAGGCATTACCATTCAGGACATAGGCGTGGGCAAGGACTTCATGTCCAAAACACCAAAAGCAATGGCAACAAAAGCCAAAATTGACAAATGGGACCTAATTAAACTAAAGAGCTTCTGCACAGCAAAAGAAACTACCATCAGAGTGAACAGGCAACCTACAACATGGGAGAAAATTTTCGCAACCTACTCATCTGACAAAGGGCTAATATCCAGAATCTACAATGAACTCAAACAAATTTACAAGAAAAAAACAAACAACCCCATCAAAAAGTGGGCGAAGGACATGAACAGACACTTCTCAAAAGAAGACATTTATGCAGCCAAAAAATACATGAAAAAATGCTCATCATCACTGGCCATCAGAGAAATGCAAATCAAAACCACTATGAGATACCATCTCACACCAGTTAGAATGGCAATCATTAAAAAGTCAGGACACAACAGGTGCTGGAGAGGATGTGGAGAAATAGGAACACTTTTACACTGTTGGTGGGACTGTCAACTAGTTCAACCATTGTGGAAGTCAGTGTGGCGATTCCTCAGGGATCTAGAACTAGAAATACCATTTGACCCAGCCATCCCATTACTGGGTATATACCCAAAGGACTATAAATCATGCTGCTATAAAGACACATGCACACGTATGTTTATTGCGGCATTATTCACAATAGCAAAGACTTGGAACCAACCCAAATGTCCAACAATGATAGACTGGATTAAGAAAATGTGGCACATATACACCATGGAATACTATGCAGCCATAAAAAATGATGAGTTCATGTCCTTTGTAGGGACATGGATGAAATTGGAAACCATCATTCTCAGTAAACTATCGCAAGAACAAAAAACCAAACACCGCATATTCTCACTCATAGGTGGGAATTGAACAATGAGATCACATGGTCACAGGAAGGGGAATATCACACTCTGGGGACTGTGGTGGGGTGGGGGGAGGGGGGAGGGATAGCATTGGGAGATATACCTAATGCTAGATGACGATTTAGTGGGTGCAGCGCACCAGCATGGCACATGTATACATATGTAACTAACCTGCACAATGTGCACATGTACCCTAAAACTTAAAGTATAATAAAAAAAAAAGAATAGCTAAAAAAAAAAAAAAAAAAAAAAGAAGTATCACAGTATCACAACAATGGTTGAAATATGTTTTCATTTTAAACAGAATAATTTTTTGTTGGTGTTTAGGGTTTTTGAAGTTTTAAGTAATAAAACCTTTAAAACACATTGAAAAGTACAAAATAAAACAATATTCTGTGTATCCACTAATATCAAATGTTAACATTTTATGTTTTGTTTCAGATCACTTTTTATTAAAGAAATAAAATATTACTGATATAAAATTTTGCCACCTTCCTACTTCCTATTCAAAGGTTATTATCTATCATTCCCAAACATGGTTTTGTACTTTTATTATATATATCTAGGATGCTTAAAAATTTTCAAAAATGCTACTATTTTTTGCAACATGAGATTTCATTCAATATAGCAGAGTTGAAGCTATGTTAGTTTAACTGGTGTCTAGAATTACATTAAATAAATAAAATACAGTTTACTTATCCATTCCCTTACTGCAGAAAAGATAGCTGAGTTTACCTTTTCTCTACTACAAGCAGTGCTATGAGCAGCATCTTTGTCTATACGCCCTCCTGGCCAGTTTCCCTTAGTGCATGTTAAAAGTAAGACTGCTGACTTGTAGATGTTATACATCTCTAAGTACAACAGACAATGTCAAACTTCTCTCCAAAAGAAAAACAATGTTCAGATGTTCCATTTTTTTTTTTTTTGCTAAAAAAGGCTGCATTTCAAGGCTATGGGCCTATACTGGCTCCGAAGGACAGATCTTAAAGTAATGGTTCCAGTTAAATGTAAATAAGCAAAGTCTAATGTGCATTTATCTTTTTTTTTTTTTCTTCTGAGATGGAGTTTCACTCTTTCGCCCAGGCTGGAGTGTGGTGGCACAATCTCAGCTAACCACAACCTCCACCTTCTGGTTTCAAGCAATTCTCCTGCCTCAGCCTCCTGAGTAGCAGGGAAAACAGGTGTTTGCCACAATGCCTGGCTAATTTTGTAGTTTAGAGTCGGAGTTTCACCATGTTGACTAGGCTGGTCTCGAACTCCTGGCCTCGTGATCCACCTGCCTCGGCCTCCCAAAGTGATGAGATTACAGGCATGAGCCACTGCAACCAGCCCTAATGTGCGATTATGAGTTGCATCATTTATTTGGCATAGTATTTCAAATAGAGATTTACAATACATAGAACTATTTCTTTCTTTGGCTATAGCAACTGTATTTGACAAAGGTTTATGTTAAGAATTTCTCTCAACAACCACTCATTATATCATATTATTATTGTGTTTGTATGAAAGCAAAATATTCAGACTCATCAAATAATTAGATAAATTAATAAATGAAGAATACATCCATAAAGTAATTATTACAATTTCTGATTATAACAGAATGGCATATCATTTACTCTCAAGGACTCTCCCATTTGAAAACAACTAGATCCGGTATAAGACAATTTTTTTAATTGCGTAGGATGTAGTGTGTCTCCAGCAACACCTTACACCATGTCCCTTATCCAAAACAAAGGGTAAGGTGGAACTCTAGTTGTCTATATCAGCACCGGCATCCAAAGATTAAGCCATGGGCCAGGGGCAGGGAAGCCAAATATGATGTTCTCAAGGTAATCTCATACGAATAACAGTGTGTAAAGTATCTGCAGTCAGTACCATCTCCTGATTCCAGCAAACACAAATACAAATCTTCTATAAACACACTGATACATAAATATAGGCCTCCTACTTTCACAAATAAAGCCCACCCAAATATAAGCTCACTAGTAAAGATTAACAAAAATAACAGAAAACAAGATGCCCTGACAGAGTCAAAAGAGATAAGAAACAACAGATTCACATCACTCAAATTACCAGATTCAGAATATAAAATTTGCGTGCCACTTCTAAAATTAAAAATGTAATTCTAAAAATGAACATGTAATACGTCACTGAAAATGACCAATTTTAAAAACAGCTAACGTAACTTTTAGAAATAAAAACACTGTTGAAATAAAACAAAAACCTCAATGGATAGGACATTAATTATGTACTGTATAAAACTAGACAGCAAGATTGGACACAGCTTAAGACAGAATTAGTGAAGTAGTGCATGGATCAGAGGAAATTATCTAGAATGTAGCACAGAAAAATAGAAATAGGAACATAATAGAAAATAAGAAAGGAAGATGGAGGGCAAAATTAGAGGGTGTATCTATGTCTAATTGGCATTCCAGAAGTAGAACACAGGGAATAGAGGAGAGGCACTAACTGAAGACATAATGTCTGAGAAATTTCCAGAATTGACAAGAGATATCAGTCAAAAGATACAGAAAGTATAACATATACAAAAGATAGAAAAATTAAATTCCACATTTAGACATAATGTAGTTAAACCACCAACACCAAAATAATCAAAGAGATGATCTCAAAAGCATCTAGAGAGAAAAAGCACATCACCTACAAAGTAATGGCAGATTGAACAAAGAGTTCTAGACAACAACAGTGGAAGGCAAAAAACAAGGGAACAAAATATTCAAAGTACAAAGAGAAAATATGAATATGTCAACTTAGAACTATATACGTAGCAAAACTATCATTCAAGGATCAAGACAAAATAAAGCTAATTTCAAAGAATTGTACCTGAGTGAACTTACTACCAATGAACCTGCAATAAAGGATCACCTTCAAAAAGAAAAATGAGTTTTGAAAGAAGGTCTGAGATGCTAGAAGAAATGGTGAGCAAAAAAACATAAAAACTTATGTTTGTAAAATAACAATACTGTCTAATTTTAGAGCTTTTTATATATACAGAATTAGACTGCCGACAACAAGAGCATACACACAGGTAGGGCAATGCTCAGAGTTACAGTGTTGTAAGATCTTTCCATCACTGGGAAGGGAAGTTTAAGATATCAACTATAAACTTTAAGTATGCAAGGCAAACTCTCTAGGGTAATCACTATACAGATAGCCATAGGATAATACCTTCAGTAACAAGTAACTCATCTAAAGAAAAAAAGTTATTTCAGTCAATTATGGGAAAAAAACAAAAGAAAAGAAAAAAGGCAAGGGGTGAGGGGAAATGTAGAAAAACAGGAAAAACCAGAAAGCAAACAGAAAAGTGGTACACAGAAGTCTACCACTAGTAGTAGTAATATATATATATATATATATATATTACTACTACTAGTATATATTACTACTAGTATATACTAGTAATGACAATACATGTAAATAAAATATTGTCTATTAAAATGCCCAGAGAATTAAAGGTAAAATCAACATCGTGCCATAATCTGTTTACAAAAAATAAATCTAAGCTGTTTCACTATAACATTTTCCTGGAGGTTCCATTCAGTACAGTAAGAAATGAAAAGTGTAAGAATGAAACAAGAAAAAACAGCACTTTAATTATACACAGACAATGTGACAGGCTTGGCAAACAAGCAGGACCTACAAGTTATACAAAAATAGCAAATGTCAGCAAGGTGACCAAATAGGGGATTAATTTTGAACTCCTCTGCATTTTTTGTATATTATCAAACTGAAACATTACTGAATTTTTTTCATTTACAACAAGATCAAATGATATAAGGAGCCCAGGAATAAATCTTACAAGACACCAATAACAGATAAAAATCCAAAACCTCATTGAAAGACATTAGTGAGGACCAAAATAATTGGAGTTATACCATGTTTATGAATGGGCAGACTCAATGTGGTAAAGGTGTCAGTTCTCCCCAAGCTAATCTATAGAATCACTACAATTTCAATTAAAACCTAATTAGAGTTTTAAGGAACTTGATAAATTGATTCTAAAGTAAATAAAGACGTGCAAAGGTCCCCAAACAGAACACTCCGTAGGAAGAATGAGGTAGGAAAATTTGTTCTATCAGATGCCAAGAGTTATTTAAAAGCTACAGTAACTACACAGTGTGGTGTTGCTGAAAGAACAGACATGGAGCACAACAGAAATCCTGATGTTCTATATGATAGAGGTGGTGTTTCTGATTCCTGGGGGAAACACAAGTGGTGCTAGGAGAAGTGGATTCCTACTCTGTATCATATACAAAAATCAATTCTGACTCAATTAGAAGCACAAAAACCCAAATTTAATTTTTTAAATTAAAGAATGTAGGGGATTATTTTTTCTGATTACAGGGCAAAGAAATAGTTCTTAAGCACCAACTATCAATGAAAAGCTTGATAATTTATGCTACACTAAAATTAAGAACATATTTATCAAAATGTATCATAAGGAAAGTGAAAACCTAAGCTAAAACCTTATTATTGTAAAGAAGGGAAAACAACCAAACACAATAAAGACAAATGATATAAAGAGGTATTTAGTAGAAAAGTAAAAGGCAAAGCACAGAATAGAAGACATTGGCAACCACTAAACAAACGAGAGATATTGATTATATACAGAACTTCCACCAATCACAAGAAAAAGCTGACAACTCAAAAGAAAAGTTGGTAAAAGAACAGGACTTTTGAAGAAGAGGAAAATTATAGACCACAAACGTGAAAATATGCTCAAGCTTAATACTAATCTGAGAAATGCACATTAGAGTCAAAGTAAATTCCATTCTATACCAATCAGATTCACAAAAATTAGAAAGTCTGGTAATACTGATTGTTGGCAGAATGTAGATCAATGCAATGTGTTATACATCATTAATGAGAGTGGGATTGGTACAGCCACTATGGAACACAAGTTGGCATCATCTTGTAAAGCTAACCTTAGAATACAATCCAGCTGTTATATTCTTAGGCATAAATCCTAGAATAGTATTCCTTCACTTAGAAGAATAACCTGGCAGATTTTCAAAAATACAGTCATGCATCTCCCAAAAACAGAGATACATTCTGAGAAATGGATTGTTAGGTGATTTCATTGTGTGAACATCATAGAGTGCACTTACCCAAACCTACACAGTAGAGCCTACTCCACACCCAGGCTATAGGGTGCCACCTACTGCCCCTAGGTTACAAACCTGAAGAGCATGTTTCTGTATTGAATGTTGTAGGCAACAGAAACACAGTGGTAACTATTTTTGTATCTAAACATAGAAACGGTACAGTGAAAACATGGTATTATAATCATATGGGACCACAGTGGTATATGTGGTCTGCGGTTGACCAAAATGTCATTATGCAACACATGACCCTATAAAACTCTCTAGGCCTCATCCCCAGAGACTTAGATTTGTTGGGCCTGTGATGAAGCCCCAGAATTTGTATCATAAGAAGCAGCCTGGGTGATTCTTGTCATCAGAGAAATTTGAGAAAGAGCCTAGAGCCCTGCTATTCAAAATAGTGTTGGTTCTCACACCAGCACAGCAGCATCGCCTGGAAGCTTACTAGGAATGCAGATACTCAGGCCCTACTTCTGACCTCCTGAAGCTGAATCTTCACCTGCACACTGAAGTTGGAGAAGTTCTGTCTTGGAGGAGTGTTTTTTCAGAGTGCAGGCTGTATCCCTAGGTCATATCACAGTGGCATTTGTTTTAATGAAAGAGAATAGAAAAGAAACATGAAAATGGATTTTAAAAGATATGGATTGTATCATGTAATAACCATGTAACAACGAAAATACATTTCATGCTGCATCTAAAGGGTTTGAAAAATGCATTCCTAGAGAAATTCTTCCCACTGGGCTCCAGGAGACATGTGCAGAAATGTCTTTACCAGCATTATTGTCAAAAGAATAAAAAAGAAAAGCAAGGAAACAATCCAAATATTTACTGAGCCAAAAGCAGATAAATATCCCTACAATGGAAAGTTAGACTACAGAATTAGCTATGGCTATGAGCTATAATGTGTTTCAGAAACACATTATATTGAATTAAAAAAACAAGTCCCACAGGACTACTATGATGCAATCTTATAAACCTGAAAAACATGCAAAAGGAAATGGTTTAAGAATACATACGTATGCGATAAAACTATTTTAATAACAATGTAAGAGAAGAGCAAAGGAAAAATTTACATAAAAATGAAGATATTGGCTACCTCTGTTCTGGAGACACAGGGATAAAATGAGCAGAAGACTACAGTTAGGGGAAAAGGTTCTAGAAGTATTCTGTTTTTAAGATGGGAAGTTGATTATTGTTATGCTGCACAATTTATGTAGGTTACGTATGTCCTTTTGTTTGTATCAAATATTACATAACTTCAGAAAACATTATTATAGGAAAGGCATGAATATCCTAGAAAGATTGTTGGCTCTTTGAGATTTCTTTTCTGGATAACAGTATATCTTGGTTCTTCTGAGAGAGGTACAATGGTTACTACCAGGCAAACTTAACTTACAGGAAGCAAGATCATACGTCATTAAAGATTCAGCAGTTCCACAGATACCCCCACGGGATGGAGTCCTGTGACTTGAAAAGAATTACAAAGCCCCCTCTTTCAAAACACACAGTAATAGGCTTCCTACCAGTAATATTCTTATCCCTGAAACTAGACCTTGGTTCCTAAAAGCTGAGCCTCAGGCCTGAGTGCAGCCTGGCTCTGACACTTGGGTACAGTTGTTGCTCCCCCTCCCCTCACCCAAACTTCTGAATCTCATTCTTGGAAACTTAGTGCTAGATATGAAATGGAACTCAGGGCTGTCACATCAGGAGGAAGAGAGCAGTCAGGCAGGTTACCATCCAAGGCCACAGCTAACCCACATTGTACCTCTGTGCAATTAGAAAAGAGAGCCCGCCCCTTCCTTCCTCAAGACACTTATTTTCATCTGTTGGAAAACTGCCACAAAAATACACAAATCTACGAGGTTTATGTTTATGTAAGTTTCATGATAAAAAGATACACTTTCTACTTGATATACGTATATGCTGTGCACACTGAAAGTCCTTAGAGAATATATTTATAATTAACAATTTCAGAACTTATGATGAATCAAGCCTACGAAAGTGAATGTACTATGAGGTATGCATGTTGACAGGAGTGTATGAGTGTATGGAGGGTTTTTTTTTTTCAGGAAACTAATACCACTTATTCACTAATCAGAGTTCAATATTCATATTCATATTCATACTTAAACTACATTTTCTCCAAGGTTCATAGTCTAGTTACTCCCCGCTAACTTATCTGTCCCTCCAGCCACTGCCAGAATGCCTTCCTGATGTGACAGTTCATCTGCAACAATCAAAGGACTTCTAATTCATGCTCTTATCGTCTGACCGAAATAAAGCCTTTCCATTATTACGTCACAACTATCAAAGAGATCACAGAACCCTTCTTGCTTTCCATACCAGTCAAGCAAATCTATCTGCTGTACTTCAAATAAGGTTCTCCCTCCAAAATTAATATCTCTGTTCAGACTGATCCAATATGCATACAGTGGCAGCCACCTTTTAATCTGCCAAAAAGTAGCCTTCAGTTCCTTTCAGTCTTGGTTCAAAATCAAATCCCTTTATGACTATTCCTTCTTAGTTGCAATAAAAACTCACAGACTTGGCTGGGCGTGGTGGCTCATGCCTGTAATCCCAGCACTTTGGGAGGCCGAGGTGGGTGGATCACAAGGTCAGGAGTTTGAGACCAGTCTGGCCAACATAGTGAAACCCTGTATCTACTAAAAATACAAAAAAATAGCTGGGTGTGGCGGTGTGTGCCTATAGTCTCAGCTACTCGGGAGGCTGAGGCAGGAGAATCACATGAACCTGAGAGGCGGGGGTTGCAGTGAGCTGAGACTGCGCCACTGCACTCCAGGCCAGGCGACAGTGCAAGATTTCATCTCAAAAAAGAAAAAAAAAAAACCTCACAGACTTTCATGGACTCACATGGTCAAGATCCCAGTATATATATATATATGTTTATTATGTTTCTCTATGTCTTACTGCATTCTGTAACCATCAAGTTACATATCTCATCCCATTAACATGAATCTTTATCCTGGAAAATGCCTACATTTGTTAATCAACATATTTGGTAAAAGGATACTAGCACAATATAATATATAGCGAACATTTAGATCATAAATCAACTCTTTGTCTCATAAATCAACTCTAGAAATATCTCCTTTTCTGCAGTATTTACCTATTTTCTGTGAAAAGCCTTTCCAAGTTTCTGTGTTGTGACTCACATCTCTGTTGTGCTTTTCTGTTTTAAGGAAGTCACACAGGCACTATAAACAAGGATTTCACTCACCACTGGAACTGTTCGGTTTTTGCTTGAGCTCCTTGGTGACATTTCCAAAGTGTAAAGTTCATCACTATAGAAGGAGCACCACTGCTACACTCAAAATTAGAATCTTGAATTGTTTCTATACAGTGGAACAAACAGGCTGCAATTCATCCTATAGATGAACTTTACAAGGAAACTGTTGTATGAAACAAATATGAGTCTGCAGTGAAAGACTTCCTTGATATTTATTTCAGACTATATAAAACAGGAGGAGGCAAAATGATTTTCACAGAGTTTTTCAGAACTGTCAAAAATTGGTTTGGAATGGGTTTTGACCTTTTGTAACCCTCATAAAGCTATGATATCCACAAAAAGCCTTGGAAGTTTGGAACTGATATTTTACCCGGAACTGATATTTTACCCAGGGCAAAAGAGAACCCAAACCATTCACTCTTTGCTACAGAAGTAATGTAATTAGTGATGAAAAAAGTGAATCAAATACAATTTCAGTTTTGCCCAAATGTAACTATTACCTCTAGTTAATACTAAGCAGATAAGTGTTACTTAAAATATTTTTACCTGTTTAGAGCCTCCTATTTTGGTATTTACAATCTTCTTATGATTAGATAGTTTTCTATTTGAAGTTGTTTACAAGTCTACGCAAATGGTTTCACAAAAGACCACACTCAACTCTGCTAGATTGATGGCTATACTGTAATTATTCTTCTGTGTTTTCACTACCAACTTTTTTTTTTTTTAAAAAAGACTTCCTCAATTTAAAAGAGCCTATGATTGATAAGTTAGTTCTTATTTTAAACCTAGGTTTTCCATCCTGCTAATCTTCCAGGGAAGCTTGGGGAATGAGATGACAGAAAACTCAGTTTCAATAGAAGAGTGTGTTCTCAGCACCCCACTGACAACTGGAATGGCAGGGCAGGAGGAGGTATGCTATGGAAAAAATGAACCCGCCACTTTTATTTTAAAAAGATAGAAAGAAGGAAAATACAGGTTCTAACTTGAAATTATTTCTGTTACAAATAAAACAACTTAAGAAAAAAAAAAGCTTGCTCCTTAATAAAGAGCAGTTTACCTCTCTGCTGAATTATCTCCTTATTTTGCTACCAAATTTGTTCCATTTTAATGTCAATTTTTCCCTAAACATAGTTTTTGTGTGGGATCAACTCCATTTTCCCACCAATGTCAGACTACTTTGCAATACTTTTCTATCTCTCTCAAGCCTAAGGTAATCTGAGTAAGCTCAATTTGCTGATTTAAAAAATACAAAGGCAATGTAGATGTTTTTCATTGTTTTCCTGGAAGCCAGGGAATCAATCATTTATTTACTGAAAATGGACGGATTCATACTCACTTACTCTAACACTCTTGGAGGCCTATCATCTGTTCCGTAGTCCTTCAAGAGGAGTCTATTACATGTATTTATGAATGGCTACCCCAAACTTCCTTTCCAAATTAACTTTGGTCTCAAGTCCATAGCACTCAACTGGAAAAAGTTCCAGACATCCTTGATCTTCACAGTCCACCAACATGAGGAGAGTGTGGGTTGCACAGCCCCAGGAGTCCCTGGCCAATTCATCCACGTACCACACCCATCTTACCCTCTTCCCTCTAGGTTCTGACATTCAGCTATCTTGGTGGGAGGCTGGGGAGCACTATTGGGGATGAGGGTAAGGTGGAGTTTTATAAAGCTCTCCAGGTGACTCAGAGACCACCCTCATTCCACCTGGTCACAAATCCCTGAATGGGAAACATGTACACACATATACTGTATTACTAATTTAACACCTAGAGAAAGTGCATTGTGTGACTGATATAAAACAAGACATTTTTGTTCTTTGGTGCTATCTTCTTTTTCAAAATTTGCTATTTTTGTAGGTATTACTTTCTTGAATACAATAACAATGTAACTGTCACAAAATAAGAATTATCATATAGCTAATTCTTCATTAAACTTATAAAAATGAATCACAGTTTGATGTGCATATCTTTCATTTTTAATTGTTTATTTGCCACAAAAATTTTTTTTATTACTACCAAGTATGTTTCCTTGAAATACTGCTTAGAAGTGGCCTAAAAACTATGGAATACATTGAATCATCTTAATAAGGTAAAGCATTCATTTGCCATCTAGTGTTCCATTTAATTTAAAATGCTCATGATTCTTACCGTGTTGAAAATTAACTAAAAATTTTCATGAGGATCTACAGCTATTAATTCTAATGGGTTATAGATATGATAAATAACTTAAAAAGTCTTAGTTTCGTTCATTCTTTCTGAAGTTGAATTCTCAGGGAAGAATCAAATCTTTCAAATTAAGAAAAAACCTTTATTTGGTCTAGTGGTCACTTGAAGTTCTAGACACCTTCTCGCTTATTAATACCTTGTTGCAAGAGTACATGGTGGGCAGATGTTGCGGGGAACACTCCCTGAGCAAGTGTGGGGAGGTGGTGATGCTTAGCTTTGAGTTGGAGGTCCAGGAGTATGGATGGGTCTGGAGGACAGCCATATAGTATTATTAATATCTCATTTATGCCATGAATGATGCAACTGCACAAAGTCAATCTGACCACACTGGGAATACTGGGGAATGCTGGCCCCTGAAACTAGATCTTCTTGTGAGGAAGGGGAAGGCAGGGAGAATAAATGATGTCATGGAAAAAAATGTAATAGATTCAAGCACGGAAACCACATCAAGGAGGACCCAGAGACACACGGACTGGGGCCCTGGGGAGGGGCTGGGATAGGGAATCATACTTCGTCCCTGACCGCTCCCTCCCTCCCCTGCTGCAAGTTGGGAACTGATTTAAAAACATCAACGCAACAGTGCTGACACAGGATGGATACAAGATAGAAAATAGATGCAAGATACACAGAGGGTAAGTGGTATACTCAGCTATGCATTAATATGTGGAGGTTTTAGAAGGTCAATAAATAACTGTCTTCTCTTTCAGGTTCTCAACTGAGAGATACATATACCTACTGATTTTAGACAAGTGAAGATTTCACTAATATCAGACTTTTTTACTGTATTAGTCTGTTCTCATGCTGCTATGAGGAAATACCTGAGACTGGATAATTTATAAAGAAAAGAGGTTTCATTGACTCATAATTCTGCATGGCTGGACGGTTGGGGAGATCTCAGGAAACTTACAGTCATGGCAGAAGGTACCTCTTCACAGGGTGGCAGCAGAGACAATAAGTGCCAGAAGGGAAATGACAAGCACTTATAAAACCATCAGATCTCGTGAAACTCACTCACTATCATGAGAACAGCATGGAGGAAACCGCCCCCACGATCCGATTACCTCCCCATGACACTACCCTTGACACGTAAGGATTACAATTCAAGATGAGATTTTGGGTGGAGACACGGCCAAACCACATCAATTACTGACATATGCGACTGAAGAAAAAAGACTTGATTTGTGGAAGTCTGCTATTACAATCATTCTTAGTTTTCCTCACTTAAGTCCCTTTTTTCAACATCTTTTTGAGCTATAGTTAATATGTCATAAAATCCACCCATGTAAAGTGTACAATTCAATGGTTTTTAGTACATTCACAGACCTGTGTGACCATCACCACAATCTATGTTTGGAACATTTCCAAAAAGAGATTCCACATCCATTAGCAGTCACTCCCATTTCCCACAACCATCACCACCCTGTGCCCTTGCAATAACTAATCTACCTCCCACCTCTACAGATTTTCCTACTCTGGGTATTTCATATAACTGGAATCATACAAAATGTGGTCTGTTGTAACTGGCTTCCTTTTACTCAGCACAATGTTCCCAAAGTTCATCCATGTTGTAGCATGTAGCAGACTTCACTCCTCTTTATTGCCAGGCAATATTCCACCGGGTAGACATACGACGTTTTGTTAAGCCATTCATCAGTTGATGAGAACTATATGTTGTTTCCACTTTTTGGCCATTATGACAAATGTTGCTGTGAACATTCGTGTTTAAGTTTTGTTTTGAGACAGTCTCACATTGTCACTCAGGCTGGAGTACAGTGGTGCGATCACAGCTGACTGCAACCTCCGCCTCCCAGGCTCAAGTGATCCTCCCACCTTGGCCTTTTGAGTAGCTGGGACCAGACGTACATGCCATCACGTCCAGCTAATTTTTGTATTTTTTATTAGAGATGGAATTTCACCATGTGGCCCAGGCTGGTCTTAAATTCCTCAGCTCAAGTAATCAGCCTGCCTTGGCCTCCCAAAGTGTTGGTATGACAGGCGTGAGCCACCATGCCCTGCTTACATACAAGTTTTGTGTGGACATATGTTTTCACATGTGCTAGGTATATTCTTGGGTACCTAGCTAGAAGTAGAATTACTGGGTCAGATGGTATTCTGTCTAACCATCTGAGGAACTGTCAGACTGTTTTATGAAGTGGGTGTATTATTTTACATTCCCACCAGCAATATACGAGGGATTCAATTTTTCCACATCCTGGCCAACACTTATTATTTTCCATATTTTTTTATAGAAATCCTAGTGGGTATAAAGTTGTATCTCATGGTTTTTGTTTTTATTTTCTGTTTTTTCTTTTTTTTTTTTTTTTTGAGACAGAGTCTTGCTCTGTTACCCAGGCTGGAGTACAGTGGCATAATCTTGGCTCACTGCAACCTCTGCCTCCTGGGTTCAAGCGATTCTCCTGCCTCAGCCTCCCGATTAGCTGGGATTACAGGCACCTACCATCATGCCCAGCTAACTTTTGTATTTTTAGTAGAGATGGGGTTTCACCATGTTAGCCAGGTTGGTGTGGAACTCCTGACCTCAGGTGATCCGCCCGCTTTGGCCTCCCAAAGTGATTACAGGCACAACATGTTTATCATTGTGCCCGCATGTCTTGATTACTGCAACTGCGTAGTGAATCCACTCTTGAGTCATATTTACACATCCTCCATTCACTAGATGATCCAAGCACTCTGCACTCCCACCTAGGGATGGTTAATTTACCTCTAGTTGCAGAAAAGAGCATTTGTGTCCCGTGGACAATGCCCAGAAGAAACAGACTGAATATCTTCGGTTCCCTTTTCAAATGTCATCTATTCAATGAATCATTTTTCTCATAGGGTGAAGTGAGAGCTTACCAAGATTCTCCCCTTGAACAAACTCTTGTCAGGCCCCAATGAGCTCTCTTGTTGACTAGGCCTCAACCCTGGCCTATAAAGACTTGAACAAACACTAACACAGTTTCTAAAAGCTCGAGGCTTCATCTGTAGGATGATCCTAGCCCCTCTGAGAGTGCCTGCCTGAGAAAACTCCAGACAGAGAATTTGTTGTTTGTTCCGTGGCAATCACTTGAAGATAGGGCTCCCTGACTCCCAGTCTTAGAGGGTGCAGAAGCCCGGTCTCTGCCAAAGAGTAGAAACTTAACTTCTATAAGCACTAGCTAACAAACCCAGATGGTTTCACATGGATTAACCCTCCCTTTCTGCTTTTTATAATTTTTCATTTCCCTGACTCTCCTGAGACCCAGCTCGCCCCCTCCCCTTCCTACTCCCTCATTCTCATTTATAAATGCCCAGTCCTCTCTGCACAGATCAAGGGTGACCTTAGATCATGCTGGACTCTTTTCCCCACTTCAATAATTATCACTTTAACTAGTGTCCAGCTTTGTTTATGTTTGATAGGAAGCAGGAGAGGGAAGAGGGTTGGGGAGGTGGCCCTGACTTCTCCATGGAAGCATCAGGATTGTAGGATAAACATTCCTCCCAACATGGAGAACAACGTGAAAAAGAAGTGAAAAAAAAAATACCTAACTAGCATACCTCAAAAAAACAGCATCAGTACACTCAAGTCTCATTTCTAATGTAAACTTAGAATAGCAAGCATATAATAAAGATACTACCATAGGACCAAATAATTGAAAGAGGGCAGAAACAATCCAGGCAGAGTGGACCATATTGATGAAGATATAATGTCAGGGGATCACACAGCCTGTCTGGGCAGCAGACTAAAACTGCGGCTTCAGGTTAACATTAAGAAATTCTACCAGTGACTAAGAAGCTCCCAGGCAGGGACTAGAATCTGCGGCACATACTAGGCATACTACTAAGAAAGAGGGCCAGGTACCACCATAGACAGGCACCTTGTTGCTTGGTAGGGCTAATAAGTTAGGATCTGATCTCCTCATGTATCACCAAGATAAAACAGGCTATACAGGAACCAGAAGCAAGGGAACTAGGTGCTGAGCTGTATGTTCTCTTCACATCTCCCTTGCATGAGGTCAGCAAAGGGCCTGAAGACAGTACAGGATTATGCCTACTGAGCCCAGTGTGCCCAGCTGTGGGGAACAGAGGGCTGAGGACCTGGGAAGCAGACACAATAAGCAGCTGTAGGCGGTTGAGACGGAGTGAAGAGGGGAAGCCTGCAGAAAAGGGGGAGTTGGAGGGTCTACAGGGGGAACTGTCTTGGCGATGAGTACATGAGGCCTGGACCAAGAAAATGGCAACATGAGAAACAATCCATGGGCTGTGATCAATTAGCTGGGCAGGTGTACAGCAGGAAGGTGGGAAAAGGGACAGGAAAAAGACACCCAAAAAGCTAGCTCAAACTGAAGGCAGTATTGCCAGGACAGGGGACAATGGGACAAGAGCCTAGGCTGAGATGCCTCCCACTGCTTGCTGCTTGAGATATCCTCAAAGGACACCCAGCATGTCACTTACACTAGATCTGAAGCTCAAGGGTAGGGGAGAAGGAGTCAGAGGTTATGTGATTGTTCAAGCCAGCAACATAGATGGCAATTCCAAGAAAAGCATTTAAAAAGAATAGAAGGATATTGAAAATGACCGCATTTGCTGTAATAAAGTGCAGTTTATTTTAATTTTGTTTTTCTTTTAAGATTCTTCAAGGCATCTGCCCTCTCATATGAAACTGACAGTAATAAGATATTAAGAGTTATAATTTTTAAACCATTCATTCTTTGATATATGCCATTTTCAATATATTATTTTACAATACGTTTTACTTAAATTTTAAAAGAAGATAAATACGTTTTTAGTCAAGTGAAGAATTTTTAACTCTGAACTAAAGCCAACTGCTATTCAGATTTTTATATTTGGTACATACTTAATAGTTACACATTTTAGAGAATGCCTCATTTAAATTCTAATGTATTTTAATAAGCAATGAAAAAAATCACTCAGTATATATTTTTTCTTAAATTACCCCAGTGCTTGATTACTCCTCCACAATCAAAATCATCTTAAATATGAATGATACAAAACAAGACTACAGCCTGAATGTCTAACACAGAGATTTTAGCTGCTTGTTTAAGATGACATACCTAGCTATTCAGTAATCACTTTATAATAACCCCTTTCATTTCCAAATCTACTTAGCCATCAGCCTGCAGTGAGGAAAAAGCTGGCAGCAGTTTTTACAACTGCACATTAGTTTTACATTTCATGACAAGCTAATTCTAGAGAGTTCTAAAGAGAGACAAGCATGGGCCCTTGTGATTTTCTTTCCCTTGCATGAAGGAAACATGTGTCTAGCTGATAAATGAAAGATAAAAGAGTATAGACATATACTTTTCACTTCACCCTTGTGGCAGTGACAGTTTGCCCCACTGCACCCTAGGTGCCACAATACAGATGTAAGTCAACAAAGAGTAACTAAGTCTGACGATTGTTCATCTGCTTAAGCCAACTCAAGCTCTACTGTGGGGACTTTGAATCCCAACCACAAGTGGACTTAATCATAGTATGGCCAGCTTTTCATAAGAAGTTCTGGGTATAAATGCTGCACAAACACACTGCAGGACATTGCTTACACATCTTATAAGAAAGAAGATATAACCACACTGTAGTAGAAATGACAAATATGCTTGGCCTTTTTTTTTTCTTTTGGTCACACATGGTGCATCTCAGTGCAGACTAACTCAAAGTCATGCCTTTAATGATGCCTTAATTAACTTCAAAGCCCCACCAAATGTCAAGTGTGTGTCTATATACCACCAAGGAGCTGAAAGAGTAAAATGGCTTTCACGGCACTATTTAATCCAATCCATGATCCACACCTGAGCAATACTTTAAGCTCTTGGCTTAGGCTTTTAAGGTTGCCATGAATTTCACCTGGTAAAATGATAAACCATGGTATCAATCTTCACAGATGTTAGTAGCTCCATCCTTGAGCAAAGCCAGGCATAGATGTTGTTTATAATGTGGTACAGAAATAAATGGGATATGCTATTTCATACATCAGTCTGAAGAAGATGTAGAAGGACGTTCCTGCTATCACTGCATTCTATAGCTGCTGACAAACTGCATTAATTCCAAGTCATTACCACCAACAATGTTGGCTAAATGGAGAATGCGAGACAAGACTTTACTGAACCCAAGTGACAAGACTGCATGGTCACATAAATATATGCTAAAGAAATGTTATCAACTAATGCTGCATGGCTAAATAGCAGAGTTAATTTTTTAAAAATGGAGAGATTCTGATTGGTGTAATCAACTTGAGCCAAGGAATATAGGATGAAATCAATTTTAGCAAGTTAACTCTCAAATGCAGAAACTGATAAATGAACAACATTCTCCAGATAAACTGGTGAAATAAACTTTGAACTGCTCAGTGCATCCAGGTCCAGAATGAACAGAAATAGCTCTCTCATCGAACAATTATATGTTTACTGTTTTAAATATCTGACAACAAGGCACAATAGAACACAGAAGTGAAAATTTAAAAACTTGAGATTAAAAGGTAGCAAACGACAAGAAACTCACTTGTAGTTTTTTACTGAACCTTCTTTTTCTAGTTCCTCACATAAAAATACATATCACTGTTTACAAACAAATCTGTGATTCTGTTCTTTAAATCTTACCGCTTTCAATGACCTTGAACTATACCTTATTCCTTTAACTTCAAATCAGCTTCGATTTGACACATAACTTTAATAATTGCACCCATACCATGAGCCCAATGCAACCTTACACTTTGTCATACCCAACCATCCTACAGGAAGCAGGATTAGTGCCCCTGGACCTGGGTAATCACCCAAATAGAAAAATAATTCTCAATGGGAAGATGACTAGGATGAGAGTGAGAACAACAGGCTTCATGCTTGGCTGCACATAACAAGCATAGATATGTGGTAGACACTCTAAGAAAGCATGCCAGCCAGAACTTCTTTACCCTCCACATGCTCAAACACAACACACCCAGAAGTCTTCACATGGGATGCATCCAATCATCTACTTCTGGGGAAATCAACCCTGAAAGGCTTCATTTCTTCCATCTCATAAAATGACTACTTCTTTGGTAAAGCCAAGAACAAAAAATATTTGAAATGTCTAACCGTAACTTGTTCTATTGGTTTACAATATGCTGTTTGCAATATATCTGAAAAGGTTTTTGTTTTCTTAATTGGGGTTTTCAATTATTTCTGAGCAGGGCCCAGGTATCCATGCATATGAAAAGGTCCTTCTCATAATTTTAAAGGTTCAAGAACTTCTCCAGCCTTATCTACATGGCCTGTCACCTCTAAAAATCTTCTATCCTGGAAAATAATAAATAGGGATCTATAATTTTAGTTAGACATGGGAAATAACTGCAAGAGATCTACTGTACAACATGATGAATGTAGTTAATGACAATGTATTCTATACTTGAAAATCGCTGGGAGAGTAGATTTTAAGTATTCTCACTACAAAAAAATGATGTATGAGAGGTGATGTATATCATTTTGCTTAACGTAGCCATTCCACAAGGTACACACATTTCAAAGCATGTTTTATACCATACATATGTAATTTTTGTCAATTTAAAAATGTTTAAAACGAAAAATACGGAACTTAGCAGGTATCAAATACCACATTTTAAATAATAAAGATAATCCCTACCATTTTTTGAATACTTATTATAGAATCAAACAGTATTCTAAACTGGTATACTTAAGTATTTTTAAGAAAAACAAGTATAAAAGCAATGATTCTAAAACAACATTTAAACTTTGTGGAAATATTAAGATTAAGATGGATCTCCTTTAATTTTTATTAAAAAACAAATCTGAACAAGTATTATATTGTTGAGGAGAGAAATACAGTAATCTGTAAAGGTTCCTACAACTTTTTATGAAGCTTCATTTTCTTATGCATGGTTTATATGCATATAAAATAATATATAAGATTTAACAGGTATTTGCAATTCTGACAACTGCATTTTATTAACTTTCAAAGGCTGGTTTCTAGATAATAAATCTGGTATATTCTAATAATGCAAGTATTAAAAATCTCTTACAGAATTATGAATTTGGTAATTACTTCTGAGTTGCATAAAATCATAAAATGTATCAGGTTTTCTCTAATATAATTCTGGCAAAAAAAAACCCCTGAAAATAGTTCCAGTTATTTACTAATATTCAGACCAATTCAAGATGTTCCAAACGCTTTACTATGGATTATGCTCCTAGAACTAACTCTAACAACTATCCCAATTCTGGCTATGTGCGTACTTCAATCATGTTGCAGTTTCCAGAATTAAAACTGGGGTAGGGGTAAGACAGAGACTTGCATAATAACAATCAAGAGGCTGACTAAAGGGCTGCTGGAAATACTATGAACACTGTGACTATAAGATGCTTGGAAATACGGCTATGTGCTTAAAAACCTAAAAAGCTGGCAAGGCACAGTGGCTCACGCCTGTAATCCCAGCACTTTGAAAGTCCGAGGTGGGTGAGTCACTTCAGGCTAGGAGTTGGAGATGAGCCTGGCCAACAAGTTGAAACCCCGTCTCTACTAAAAATACAAAAATTAGCCAGGCATGGCGGTACACGCTTGTAATTCCAGCTACTTGGGAGGCTGAGGCACAAGAATCACTTGAACCCAGGAAGTGGAGGTTGCATTGAGCTGAGATTGCACCACTGCACTCCAGTTTGGGCGACAGAGTGAGACTCTGTCTCAAATAACACCAAAAAAAAAAAAAAAAAAATCTAAAAGCTAATTGAGGAAAAAATAAAAACAAAACCCAGAAAGCTGGGTTTTTAAAACTGCACAGGTTCCTGTCTTCCTCCTACCCTCTCAACTGTTTCTCACTAAAACCAATGAAAATATGATTAATATGACAATTAATTTTGTTCTAAATTCCAGAGATCAAGTCCATTTCAGGGGTAAATCTGAAGATACCAGGGTTAGAGCACAGTCCAGTGGAAGACAGAGATAGCCACGTGTCTCTATTCTAAAAGATTCACAAGTAGTATTTGGGGAGACATCTTCATTCATTCAATAAATAATAATTGAATATGCACCATAAGTTAAGAGGTGATATAAACATGAAAAGACAAGAAGCTCAGAGTCTATTACAGCAGTCAAACATAAATAATTTTAATATACCATAAGAACTGCAAAAGTAGAACCATGTTCAAGGTCAAAGAGTGACACATAAAGAGGAGGAAAACACCAAAATTATTAGATAAACATCACTGATCAGGAGCTAACATACAACACTATGGCTCGCACCTCTGCACCCTTCCATATGCTTTTTGGGTGTGTGGATTTCTTACTAGTCCATCACGATCTCAGACCTTGTCTTCTGCAGATTAGCAGAGTTCTACCACCCAATCCACACTCAGCCTTTAGAGAGCACCCCAGAATTAAGGAAATTAACTCACTTAAGATTTTACAAATCAGAATTGGACTGAGAAAAAAAAATAATCAGAGGATTGGAAACTAAAAGATTTGTGAAGCTAGGATATTAGAGAAAGTATATTTACAGGAATTCAGACTGTTTTATTCATATATACATTTGACTCATTTCTCAAAATGAGCAATTTAGTACCTCAAGAGAAATGGGTATTTTCAATAACTGCAGTTAACTCAATATAGGCTTCTCACACTTAAGATGTTGAATCAGCAACAGAAGGAGGACAGTATACTGTCTCATTAATTAAATAGTAAAATCACGTTTAAAAAGGAAAGGGAGACTTTTCAAACATCTAAAGAAGCCATTATCTGAAGCAGAAAATATTTTTCCTCACAAACACATTTCTGAGAGCCTGGAATTTAGTAAAGATATAAGAAATTTATTTCCTGTAAAGTGGATGAGAAAAAGATGTGCTAATTGTAACTAATGAAGGTATTAAGTGTGAGGAGAGGCCACAAAGCTACTATAAGAAAAAGCACAGGGATTTTGAAGAAACCTTTAGTCTGAGAAGACAGCCCTAAAAATAGACTTTTCTCCTTATCTTAGATGTTTTATTCAACTTCATATATTACTTATAAACAACACCAGATCATTCTGTCCAGATCATTCATTTCTGGCTGAGAGACTCATTTGCTTAGGGAATGATTTCTTTCATAAAACAAGGAGCCCATGATCCCAGTTCAGAAGCAGAGGAAGTTCATTAAGCATAAACCTTAGGACCGATAAACACCCAGTAAACAGCAACTTTCCTGCATTTAAAATTTATGCCACTGTGGACATGAGAAAAACTGTATTTACATCATCAGTTGTAAATAAGGCCATCTTTGAGCCACAACAACACATATCCAATTTGGATATACCCACATTACATGTGCACTCAAGCGAAGCGCCCAAATTAAGTCTTCAATGTTGCAGGAGCTCAGGTAACAGGGGAGGAAATGGTGCAGAAGTCAGAGAGTGCCTGAGAGATTTGCCTGGTTCTGCAAACTGGTCTTAAATCTAACCATGGTTAACAACATCTCTGAGAAAGCATAACTTTTAATCTGTGTATAGCTGAGTGCCCACACATTACATTCTGTCCACAAAAATTCATTGTGTGCTGCAGTCAAAATAATAGTCACTTGGGAACAAAGTACTATCAATTTACCATTTTTGCACCTTAGCCAATCCTCCTCCCTTGAGGAACTTATATAGCTAGAGAAACTGAGTAGAAAAAGAGGTCTTCTACCTACAGCCTGGGTTCCCACTGTTTTAGTGTTAAAAAGGAATGAAGGACAATTTAATACAACTACTTACCCAACGCATAAGCACCTCTATAAAAATCTCTAAAAGGTTACTTTGCCTTCTGTCTCAGCATGCATTGCCTTGGGGCAGTAGATGCTGTTTGGGACAAATCAGAGTGTAGAACATTTTCTATTGTGCCAGAACAGCCTCCTTGAACCAATTCATTTTTACTTTGAAACCAAACACAATAATTTTTATCCTTCTGTTCCCCGGAGTTACCCCGACGCCATGTGAGGAGCTATCATGATCCTCCAAGTCTTCCTTTCTCACAGTAACCACCACCAGTTGATGCAACCTCCAGCATGATGTGGCTACTCCGCCTGAAACTATCCTTCTTTGTTGTATTTCAATAATATTTGGAGTGTTTACTCCATTTTGACACCTCATTCTTACTGAGGCATAGGTGCTCTAAGATACTCAGTAAGATATACACTGAGGCATAATAAATATGTCAGTATTATAAAATCATTTCAAGTAGCTTATTTCCTTATTCACCTTGAACCTCAATTTTTAAAAAACAGGGTTGTTAAAAAATAATCGAGATACAAAATACTGTGCATATTTAATGTATACAATGTGATGAATTTGCATATATCCATGTGCTCCTGTACCACAATCAAGGTAATAAACATGTCTGTCATCTCCAAAAGTTTCCTTGTACCCCTCCAGTTTGTGTTTATTTCTTTTGTGGAGAGAACACGTAACATGGGATCTGTCCTCTTTTTATAGGTACAGTCAGCCCTCCGTATCTGCAATTTCTGCATCTGCGGATTCAACCAACCTCGGTCCAAAAATATTGGGGGAAAAAAACAATAAAAATAATACAAATAAAAAATAATATAGTATAAGAACTATTTACATAGCATTTACATTGTATTGGGTAATATATACAATCTAGAGATGGCTTAAAGGCTATGGGAGGGTGTGCACATGGCACACCACTTTATATCAGGGACTTGAGTAGCTGCAGATTTTGGTGTCCTGGTGGGGAGGAGGGGGGCAGTCTTGGAACTAATCCCCCCTGGATACTGAGGGATGATTATATTTTTTCTGCATGATTTGCAGGTTATTTTTCTTCACAGATAGAATAAATCTAAGAATTAAACTTTTTATTCAATTTAGCTGAAATTTCCAAGCCAAATTTTGAAGATGCAGCCTGGTTTCTCATTGCTGCTTATAATAAAATGGAAGTGGAAAAGAGACGAATTGAGAAACTATTAAGCCAAAGACATCAGCATTTGATAGTTTGGAAGATTCTCGGCTATCCAGATTGCAAAGGATATTAAAATTAGGCTGTCCACTGTGGGGAAAGGTGCTCTGGAGAGAGGGTCAAGGGAATGGCTGGACAGCCCTTTGCTAAGGGGATTATGTGTGTGACTCATGGATCCAATCAGCCATGTCAGCAGAAGCCAGGAATAAGAATGGGGTTATCCTTGAAAATTCCATGGAGGCCTCTCTTGTCTAATGACCTGGATCCTCTAACATACACAGGAGACCCACTAGGCTTATGAAAATGTTGTATCAGCACAAACACTACCAGCTTGGACAGAATGAGGACAGAGACAGGATGAGATGAAGGAAGGCTGTTAGACTTCCGGAATTCTACAGGAAGAAAACAGGCTGATAGAGCCACTTGGCTGAAAATATATACTATTGTTCAAGGAAAAGGAAAACAATCCCTAGGGGAGAGCCTTGAGCCCAGAAGCAGAAGCCGGCAGAACTGTGAGCCCAGAGTGGAGCACTGGGCCACAGAGTATTATTCTTAGGCTCTGAAATATAATGGAGTTTGATCTGCTGGATTTCAAACTAGCTTGGGTCTTGTGGCCCCTTTATTCCTTCCAGTTTCTCTTTTGTGGAATGAGAATGTCTATCCTATGCTTGTCCCATCACTGTATTTTAGAAGCAGATAACTTTTTTTTTAGTTTCACAGGTCTACAGATGAATGGAGATTTTGCCCACAGATGGATCACACCCAGAGGCTCAGACATATCTGATTCAGATGATTTAGATGATGAAACTTGGTACTTTTGAGTTGAAGATATTTAAATGGGATTTTGGACTTAGATTTGACACTATAGTGGGTTGAGACTTTTAGATGTTGGGATAGGGTGAACGTATTTTACACATGGGCTGGAGGACCATGTTTTGGGGTCAGAGGGTTGGCTGAGTAGTGGTTCCCCAAAAGATAAGTCTGTGTCTCAAAACCTGTGAATGTGACCTAGTTCGGAAAAAAAAAAAACTTTACACAGGTAATTAATGTAAAGATCTAGAGATGAAGAGATCATCCTAGATTACATGGGTTGACCTTAAATCCAATAATCTGTACCTTTCTGGAGATACACAAGGGAGATTTGAAAACCAAATGAAGTGAAGGCCACATGAAGATGGAGGCAGAGACTGGAGTGATGAAACCAATGAACCAGCACGTGGCAAGAACCACCAGAAGCTAGAAGAAGCAAGGAATGGAATCTCCCCTAAAGCTTCTGAAAGGAGCACGGCCCTGCCAACACCTTGATTTCAGACTTCTGCAGGCTGTGTGAGAATAAATTTCTGTTGCCTTAAGTTATAAAGTTCATGTTAGGAAGTTAGAAATTTGTTACAATAACTAGTAAAAGGTTATCAGTCCATAATTCAGGTACTATCATTTAAAAACAAACTTTTCGGTTTGATAGACGTTAACAAATCTATACAGTGATGCCCCAGAGAATGGTATTTTGGTCAATGACAAACTGTGTATAAGACAGTGGTCCCATAAGATTACAATACCGCATTTTTACTGTACCTTTTCTACACAAATAGATACCATTGTGTTACAGTTGCCTTCAGTATTCAGTATAGTCACATGCTGTGCAGGTTTGTAGCCTAGGAGCAATGGGCCACACCATATACCCTGGGTGTGTAGTTGGCTCTACCATCTAGGTTTGTGTCTGTGCACTCTACGATGTTTGCACAACCATGAAATGGTGAAAGACACATTCTCAGAGTATATCCTTATTGTTGAGTGACACATGACTGTATAGTGTCTATACATATAGTGTATAGTCATGATACATACAGTGTATGTATAGTACATATGTATAGTTACATCTGTGCTTAGAGCTGGTACTGACTTTTAAAATATGTTTAATAAGTATTTTTATCTCTGTTTTCACAAATTGCCTGTTATAATCCTTTGCCCAGTTTTATATTATAGTATTCATTTTTTAATTGATTTTTAAGACCCTATAATAGACTGAAGTTATTTTTACTTCAGATTTTAAATTTTTTCTCTAAGTTGTCATTTGTCCTTCTCTTTTAAAAATATTTTTTATATGAATAGATGTAAAACTATGTAGTCAAATTCATCAATCTTTTATTTAATGGTTTTGAATTTTGAGATCATACTGAGAAGAATCTCAGGCTTTTCAATGCTCAAAACTACAAAAAATATTTGCCTGTCCTTTTTTTTAGTACTTCCAAGGCTTCATCTGTTTCAGTTAAACCTTAATCTCTATGGGGTTAAACCTTAACCTATAGGGGGTTAATCTAACTGTATTTTTTTTCCAAATGATAACTCTGCTGCCCCAAACCAGTTAGTAAATAACTCATTTCTGGTTACCTATGTATGAAATGCCGCTTTTCTAAATTTAATATGCTTGTATTTTCTATTTTTATCCTACTGAGCTATAACATATTTAAATATATGATGGGGGCAAATCATCCTCTCCTGAATGCTTCTGTTTCAATTTATTTTTTATTAGTTTCACATGCCCATAATTCTCCAAATAAACTTTAAAAATATTTTGCAAGTCTTCATAATTCTTTTTGGGATTTTAATTGAAATTATATTAAATTTGTAGATTACTCTTGGGAGAACTGACATCTCTAAAATATAAAGGCTTCCTCCATTTATTGTAGTATTTCTAGTTAGATTTTATCCTAGGTATTGTATACTCTTTATTGATGCTGTAAATGAAATCTTAATTACATTTTCTATGAAGATTATAGGAAAGCTAGGAATAGCAGTGGAAACAACAATAAGAGGAAACGTTATGTTGGACTGTGTAACAGGGAGTATTATGAAGTTTTATATATAATAATTTATTTCATATGCATAACAATCCCCATTTTTACACATGAGGAACCTGAGGCACAAATATAAGGAGACTTGCCCAAGTTTGCATAACTGATAGTAGGGCCAGAATTAGAATCCAAGCAATGTGGCTCCAGAGTTACTGGTTTTTACATATGTTACTTTGTAACTATGTATTTGCTGGACTCTTGTAACAGTTTTAATTGATTTTCAGTGGATTCTTCTACATTTTCCAGGAAGAGAATACTATGAACAACGATGACTAATAATTTTGTCCCCTTTTTTCAACATTATTTTTCCCCTAATTTATTGAATAGACAAATAGTTCCCTAATACTGAATAACTGTGCATCCTTTCTATTGTAAGACACTGATGGTCACTGTATTTGGCAAGTGTTTTGCATGTGATCAATGTGTCTTCAGTTGTTTATCCCTTGCTCCTTCTCTCTTCTTGGCTAACTCAGGCCTTCATCATTTTCACCAACTCCTGAATGAGGCCAAGCTTGACTGGCCTAGAAAAGACTGCTGATTTGCTTGGGTTCAGTGACTTCCAAATTAAATCACAGCACTCTATTACAGCAACCGTCATATCTCCACACATCTGCTGGACACTTGGCAGAGTCCCTTTGAGTGGGGTGGTGTGGCTACCTCTTACTGCTCTGCCTACTGTTTTCTCCTGTCAGACTCTATAGTGCTGCAAACGTGCCTTCATTTTAACTCTACCTCAATGTCTTTCTGTAATTCATTCACTTAAGGTGCACGAGTAAGATACATTTTTGCCCTGAGTTTTTTTGCAGAACTAGCTTTCTGTCCAGACTGCTTTGTTTCTGGCATTTTTATTAATTCCACACATACTGCATCTGACGGAATTATTGCCGTGTTTGTTGACAGGCCCCTCTGGCCTCCAAATATCAAACGCATGATGTCCCTATCAAACTTGACACCTGTTTTTCATTCCCAGACATTGATTTTCCACCCACTAGCCAACATATTTCATAGAAAAAGCTGTTAGCACTATCTGCAAAGTATTGATTGCAGCAACACTGAAATCTCTACCCGAAAATTTACAGCCTTAATTTCCAGTAGGTTACATCAGTTATCTTCAAGTGGGTGAAGATTTAAGAGTGTGATTAGCATGTGCTAACTAAAGTGTTTACTACCGAATAGCCTATACAACACGAAACTTACACCAAAATTGCAAAGACAAAAATAAATATTAAGTAATTGCTTAAATTTCTCAAAGATCAAATGAATGGGCAACCGTTTTCCAAGGAGGGAGTAAAATACAAACAAGCGCACACTCTTCCAAAAATGGAGAAAAAGATCCAAAGTATAAAGAAAACACAAGTATTCAACGTTGAAATTTAGGAAAATTTTGGGTAGTACACAGGCATTTTATTCTACCATTAATCGTAGAAACTCATCTTTTGTGAGATTTTATGACACAGAATTTGTGATTTTTTATATAAAACATATATAAAGAATCTTTCAAAAGTTTAATAACTATCTCATTCATCAATCAACATATTGAGGACCTACTGTGTACCTGTCACCGTATTAAGAATCTCAGTTGAACCACCTCATGTTGTCATTGGATTATCTGTAAAGTTGATGCTACTTCACATACATTTTGAGAGAAGACACCTCATGTGAGGGATCCCATCTGTGCTCTACACAGAACAGACAAAACGTTTTCAATAATGGAATTGAAAGAACTTAATATTTCAAAATGTATTATACTAAAATAGACAGATGAACTTCAAAATATGCCCAAGGTCCACAGGCTATTACTATCGGAACACGCACTAAGAAATGCCACTAACACAGTCACTTTGACATAGTATTCCTTATGCATGGTTTTGAGCAAATTCTCACACTGACGGACCATGATGAGGGAAGAACTATTGGACACTCCCTTGAAGTCATGTTGAGAAACCAGTTTCAGGGCCTAGGCTTTCAAATCACTTTCCACTCCTTTCTGCCTACAGCAACAATTACTTGTTACCCAGCTTAAGACCTCAAACTATGTTCAGTGCTGCTGGGAAAATTAAAGACGTATAAGGTACAACTTTTATGCTCAAAAAGTGTCTTCTTTTATGGTAGGCATGAATGTAATCTACATGGACTATGTGAATAAAGATGGCATATGATGTCCACACTGTATTGTACAAAGCATATGCAGTATCTTCCTTGAAGGTTCTGAGAAGAGAGACATAACACAGATTGGCATCGACTTGTGTGCGCTTTTTAAAGATGGTGGCACCTGTGCTCTTGCTTAAAGGAATGGATTGGTCTGCGCTGTTTACTTCGCAGGGAAAAAGAAGGAACACATCTGGGCAAGGATAACATCAGTAGCAAAAGGCTGCGGTGCACGGAATGCAACTGGATCACAGGGCCGAGGCATGCAGACAGGCCACCTCAGCCACACGGATGGTCAGATCACACAGGGGGCAGGAAAGTTTCAATCTCATCCTGTGGACATTGGGAAGACATCAGGAGGAAAACACTCAATTTAGCCAGTATTTCCTGCAGGCTCACTGTGTGCCAGGCACTATACTGATGCAGGAGATACTAAACTGAATAAGTATATAAGACACAATCTCTACTCTCGAGGAGCTCACATTGGTGGGGAAGACTGACATGTAAACTGCTGAGAATGACAGATGTTTATCAGGACAGTGATAGAGGCATATACAAGATACAAAAGAGTACACAGAGGGAAGGAAGGAATTCTTAGTGGGGATGTGGGAGGATGGTGGCAGGGAGCCAGCACAGGATGGTTTCCCAAAAGAGGTGACACTCCAGCTAAGACTAGAAGAGTAGACAGAAAGTGGCCAAGCAAGCATGAGGAGAGGGCACTCCAGGCAGGACAGGTGTGGGGGAGACACTCCAGGTAGGACAGGTGGGGGAGGGGCACTCCAGGCAGGACAAGTGTTAGGGAGGGGCACTGATGGCAGGACAGGTGTGGGGGAGGGGTGCTCCAGGCAGGACAGGTGGAGGAGGGGCACTCCAAACAGGACAGGTGTGGGGGAGGCACTCCAGACAGGACAGGTGTGGGGGAGGCACTCCAGGCAGGACAGGTGGGGGAGGGGCACTCCAGGCAGGACAGGTGGAGGAGAGGCACTCCAGGCAGGACAGGTATGAGGGAGGGAACTCCAGGCAGGCAGGTATGTCAGGGTGGTCAAACTGATCTTGAGGTGAGAGAACCCATATGAATGAACCAGACAGGAAGTTACCACAGCCTCCATGTAGGATATACAGGCAGTAAGCCATTGCATAGGGAAGGCCCAGCCCTGGTGTTGGTGAGAAAGAGAATGAAAGACCTACACATTCATTTCCTGAGGGATTCAGTGGGATTAGAATGCTCTACAAGTAAAAACCAAAGAGTATAAATTAAAAGTCATTGACTTTGCCAGCATTTGAGATGTTATTGCCAATATTAAAGGGCACAGTGGTGAAGGAGACACTGTCATGACTACATTCATGATCTTTTTTGCACTTCATCTTCCTCGTCGTGCTCTCTTGGTAAATGCTATTGTTATTCAGCCAGCTGATGTACTAGCAAGGCAGAAATACGCTCTTCTTTTACCCAGACTAGTACAATGACCCCCTAACTCCAGTGTCTGATATAGTAAGTATTTAATAAATATTAGCTTAAATAATGAATAATTTATTGATTAAGGCCACTGCTAAGTCGGGCTCTGGGAGGCAGCATAGAAAGTATTACACATATGGTTTACACATATGGTTTTAATGGGCAAGTTCTGGACAACAGTTCATATTGAAAATGCCCATGAATTAAAAACATGCTGAAGGTGCTATCTCTAAATACAAAAACACACATATTATATCTACATTTATTTAATAAATTTTCCGGGAGTGAGACTAAGGGCCCAAGCATTATGGGCCTCTGATAACCTGAAAAATCAGGTTATCAGATTAGGGATCTACATACCTAAGAATGATCATCAGGATGGATAATCAGACTGGAAGGTGTTTAGAAAGCAACAGTGGGCTGGGCACGGTGGTGCACACCTGTATTCCCAGCACTTTGGGAGACCAAGGTGGGAGGATCACTTGTGGCCAGGAGTTCCAGACCAGTCTGGCCAACATGGCGAAACCCCATCTCTACTAAAAGTAAAAAATTAGCCTGGTGTGGTGGCACGTGCCAGTAATTCCAGCTACTTGGGAAGCTGAAGCAGGAGAATGGCTTGAGCTCGGGAGGCGGAGGTTGTTGTGAACCCAGATTGTTATCATTGCACTCTAGCCTGGGTGACAGGGTGAGACCCTGTCTCAAAAAACAAAAAAAAGAAAGAAACAATGAACGGCCATGTGCATAAAGACAACTAACCAGGGGACAGTGATAGGAGATAACAGTGAAGGGATGGGGTAGACAGAGGCGTGGAGAAGAGACAGAAGACAGGGGCTGGGGCTAGAGATGGAAGAAATCGCTAACAGATAAAAAGTGACCCAGTGATAAATTCTACTTCTTTATTTGCAATTTTTTTAAAATATAAGACTTGTCTTTGTATCTAGTCAATCGTTTTTCTAAAACTGCAGTAAATTGATAGTTTTTCACTTGGATCTTCTTTATCTAATCTTTGATACTAATTCAGAAATTATGCTCTTCTCTTAAAATCAACTTTTAAAGGCTAAGGGTCTTCCTGTTCTATGTTGGTTTGTTATTTTGCCACGTGGGAAGTCTCTTTAACATCTGACTGATAAACAAGTACTTTTATACACATATGTATTTGGCTATGCAATATGTTAGCAGAAATGGGCAGAATCTGATTAAGTAGAAATCTCAAATGACTTATGAAGGTTATTACCCTACAAGTGTACACATTTCCATATAAAATAGATTCTAGAAGGAATGTAAAATCCTAATCACTCTCATATGCTAAAGCAGCAAAGACTTCTATTATTTTAAGGGATATGTTTCTCATTCTGGAATAAGAATTGAATATCAGGCCATCTCACTAAGTAAAAATTGAATGAAACTAAGATCACGAAATAATTGTCAAGCTTATTTATATTAAGATAATAAAAAGATTGAATTATATATCACTGAAATCCTGAAAGGCTAATCCTTAAGTGCATAAATCAAGACTTAATTAACTTTTACAGTATTTTATAGTTCTTTGTTAGAAGTGAATTTTGTTTTATGATGAAGGAATGAGTATTTTCAAACTTGGGGAAATGCTCTTTATTTCATACACACAATACAGAAGAATATAAGCCAGTAAAAATGGATATCTATTTGTGTCCTAATAAATATTAATAACTTGGGTATCCAATATCTATATTTTAAAAAGATTCTTTGACAGAGGAAATGGTTTGTTTATGAATATATCACTAGCTCCAGAAATCAATGCCTTATTGTACAAGACCACATCAAATGAGTCATGTTTTTAAAAAATGACAAGCTTTGTTCTATTTTAAGCATTTTTTTTTTTTGAGATGGAGTTTCACTCTGTTGCCCAGGCTGGAGTGCCGTGGCACAATCTTGGCTCACTGCAACCTCCACCTACTGGGTTAAAGTGATTCTCCTGCCTCAGCCTCCCGAGTAGCTGGGACTACAGGCGTCCACCACCACACCTGGCTAATTTTTTGTATTTTTAGTAGAGATGGGGTTTCACCATGTTGGCCAGGCTGGTCTTGAACTCCTGACCTCAAGTGATCCACCCACTTTGGCCTCCAAAAGTGTTGGAATTACAAGCGTGAGCCACTGTGCCCGGCTTAAGCATATTAATGTTTGAAAATATGATAATAACTGAAATACTGTTGAAATAATATACTACATACTAGGATTCAGCATGAAGTAAACAAAATTGCTATTATTGTTCAACACACTTCTCTTGAGACTCTCAATACTGTGATTTTGTATCCCAATTTCTTGTAGTTAACATATTCTTCTGTTGCTACAGGTGTCATTTTAATTCCTTCATACCATTCAACTTAGAACTTCTGGCCCATGTCAAAGGATTCATGGCCTTGGATATGTCTATGCAAATGGAAAAGAAGCTGGTGTTTGATACCACCTGCTTCCACTTCTCTAAATTTATCCCTGATTACCAGGATGTTCTCAGACTTTCCATGGAGGCATAAAAGTCTTATGAACTCAACCCAGAGGTAAGCTGAGAAATCCCGCCTCTGAATACAAAAGCAATTATCTTCAACCCTGCACTTTGATCTAAAGGTGCCTTGCATTTTAGCCTAGCAATTTGTCTAAGGAGTTTTGAGTAGGTGGGAAAACATTTACTCTTTGGGCTTTGAGCTCTTGCTCAAATCTTTGTCTTGATGAATCTTGTGAATGCTCAAGTACACTGGGGCTTCACACACATTCACTGAAAAAGCACCTTTCTCCTTCTGCTCTCCCTGGAAAATCTCTGACACAGGTGTTTACCTGTGCAGCACACATAACTGAAGTTCTCAGGGAGTAGACAGAAAGGGCTTCATGATAGACAGCTAAATATTAAAAAGAAATCCTTGGAGTTTTTACCTTAAAGCTCAGTCCTATCTCTTCTCACTCCTCCCATCTTCAAATCCTTGTTTTTATCCGGAATGGTTTAATTACTTTTGTTCCCTTGAAAATCTTTGACCTCAGGTTTTAGGTCAAGATATTTTTCTAAACAAAGTTCTCTCGCTAATATCGTACCAGCTGTTGAAATAATTCATTTCTTATGTTTCTGCTACTGTAAATACTTCATGTTATATAAAATACAGATATAAAAAATAAACACATCAAACATAATTGTTAAATGAATCAACAAACACCTTCCTTGAGTGTATTCACCTTTTACCAGAAGGTTTAAAGACAAGACATTGAGTAACACAAAGAAGAAACTTCTCCTGGCACCTAATCAGGCAGATTTTTAAGAGAGATGTGAGGCCTCAGTGGTCTTCTCCATCCCCCCAGTCATAACCTTTATGTCTCTATTTGACAAAAGAAGAGCAGCAGGAATGTCCAAACGTTTTCAGACCAGAGTTAATCAGTTTTTCTCATCTTCAAAATGTATGGTCACTTAAGTCAGCTCTTTTCAAACATGTAGACCAAAGTACCACTTTGGTCTAAGTGGAGAGAAACCAGAGAGGCCTGGGGATGCTCTATTAAGCAACTTGCTGCAAACGTGGTATTTCTCTGAAGACCCAAACTTTCATCTAAAAAAATGCACATTTTGGGTCATGTTCCATTAAAATATGTCTAATATAAAAAGAGTACTGCACATTATTTAGCCCTGATTAAAACTGCTATTCTAGGAAGGCACCACTTCTACCGCATAGTTCTGCATATAAAGTAAGATTTGGGCCAGGTGCGGTCACTCATGCTTGTAATCCCAGCACTTTGGGAGGCCAAGGCAGGAGGATCACTTGAGGCCAAAGCAGGAGGATGGGTTGAGTCCAGGAGTTCCAGACAAGCCTGGGCAACATGGTGAAACACTGTCTCTCCTAAAACAACACAAATTAGCCAGAAGTGGTGGCATGCATCTGTAGTACCAGCTACTTGGGGGGCTGAGGTGGAAGGATTGCTTAAGTCTCAGAAGTCAAGGCTGCACCGAGCCAAGATCATGCCATTGTACTCCAGCCTGGGTGACAAAGCAAGACCCTGACTCAGTAAAAAAAAAAAAAAAAAGATTTGGGTTTCCAAATCTTTGGAATTTGGTGTGAAAAGTACAGTCTTATGTAAGAGAGAGATTTGCAGAAACATGGACAATTTAAGGCTCTGAAGTGCAAAATGGTCACCTATAAGTTGAGTGCCCATATGTCCTGGTTTGAAATGGGTTAAGCATGTTGTCCTGGCATCACTGTTATTAGCCAAAAGCACTTTTGTTCAGATGACAAATTACGTGGTCACCTTGCCAACAAGCCATGAAACTGCCACTATATTCTCAATTCACAGTTCTCTTTGACAGAAACACCCACAGCCATGGGGCAGTAAGAATGACAGCCAAAACTGTGAACAATCGATCAGGCCCCAAGAGAAACTAATGACGGAGATCAACCAAATGATATGGCTGTCAGAAATGTGACATCTAAATTTTCAGTTACTTGAAATAAAGGAAAAAAAAATCAACTAACAATGCTTAAATCAATAAATAAGACTACTGATACTAAAAGAAGCAGAAATTAAAGAAATAAAACAAAAACAGAGCTCAACTCATACCAGATATTAAAAATCATTTCTGTCCTCATAATACACAGACCAATGTGAGATTTCCTAAGAGAAAGTATAGCACCTTCCGTGTTTTCTGCCCCTATGGACCTATGACACCAACCTAAAGGCATACATGTAGCCCATAAAAAATAAGTACATAATAATTTGAAGCAGTTACGTGAGTAATTAGCACTCCTTCTGTTGATTAAAACACATATTTCAAAATGACTCATTAAAGACAGAATAAATCCAAAGCCAGAAAATGGTTCATTCATAGGAGGGGTGTGCGTGTGTGTGTGTGTGTGTGTGTGTGTGTGTGTGTGTGTGTCTTCTGATAATTTACCATTTAAATTGGCAAAGAATTATTATTTACATTGTATATTATCCATAGCAATTTTTAAAATGTTCAATTCCAGTTGGCTTCTATAAGGTTTTTAAAAAAGTTTTCCTGTGCTTGAAAATGATGAGCTCTCAAAAATTGCCTAAAACTGAGCCTTTTCATTTAACATTTTAAGACTCCTCTCACATTACTTAGTCTAATTCTCAGGAAGAACAATAGAACACTCTAAAACTATTTGTGTACCAATTGGCTGCAATGAACTTTAAAGAGCAAGTTTAGTAAGTTCTTGAGATAAAACACTTTATGCCAAGTTATGAATGCAAACTTACACTATTTAAAATGAAAACTATATCCAGTATTATCCTAAGTTAAATACACATAAGATGACCAATATGGTCTTTTTTTGAAACCAATCAGCCTATATATCTCTCCTCCATATTGGTACATGGTATCAGCAATCCCTACTCCTGAGAACATACAAGAACTTTATACAAGTACTTTATTATTATATTACCAAGGATTAATGTCCTCTCTAAATTCATTTGACTGAACTTTTAGTCTCTTTCATTAGTTTGTCCATCTCTTCCCAGCCATCAGCCCTTTTCCTTCCTGACTTTTCCCTCTTTTCCTTCCTAGCTGGGGTAGCCTGGCTTATCCCATCCACGATCCTCCCTGTCACTTACAATGCCCTGGCTCTTGTCCTTCCATCACCTCCGCAACATGAAACCCACATTCCTATATTAGAGGGCTAACCTTACATTGTGACTTCTGGCTCCCATGTCAAAGACTTTGTAAACCACCGGGTGACTGAATAAAGAGGACGTTTCTACATCAGATTGATGATACCCAGTCTTCCTGGGGCTGAGGTGTCCTTGGAAAGCTTCCACTTCTCTTCTGCCCTCTCCCACTTCCTCAGAAGCTTGTCCAGTTGCTATTCCAAATGTTTGCCAAACATTTTAAAATCTGACATCCATAGCACTTAATCACTGCCCAGTAAACGTTAGGCATTTAAATATCTTTAAGTGAATGACAGAGTGACTTCTTACATATTCAGGAATTTGAAGTCATTGATAAGGACAGGCCTTATTCTGTATTGCTGCAAAGGGAACATGTGCACCTTGGAGGAAGTTACAGACGGACCTAGATCAATAGGAGCGCAGTTAGGAGCTGCCCAGCCATCACTAACTTTACAAGGCAAGCACTTCCTAACCATATGCATGATTTAATAACGGTGGGTGGAGACCTGTTATGGTTTCTGTCTAGGTGACTGTGTCTGAGTGATCTTCAGAGATCCCTTCAAGATTCAGATTCACAACTGTGCCAGGAGCTATGAAATGATAAGGATTATATACAAACAGTAATGAGCAAAAATTAAGTGTAGCAGAAAAGACTTAGAAAACGCTTTCCAAGCTTCCATGCCTTCTCTGCCTGGAGCACCCTAAACAGCTCAGTCTTGTGCTCTTACTCATGTGGGGTGTAGCAGGTAAAAGAAAGAAGTATCAAGAGCAACATAAGCGCCATATGATGGCTTCAGGTGTTTTTCATAAATTCACAGTGAGTCTTTTGAAGTGGTCCTCTCTTCTACAGAAGTAAATCCCAGAGATTACTTTATTTAAAGTGTCCCTGACCCTGGGACAGCCCTCAGAGAGAAGAAAAAATGAAGGGAGGCAGAGACATGGGGGTGAGGGGCAGAGAGAACTGGCTTAAGATAGGCTTCCAAGTCCTAGACCAGTTCTCCCTATGAGGCAGGCCTGTATTCTTATTTTCCTTTTTTCATTATTGAATTTTATTTTTATTTTCAAACATAACACCACAAAATACAAATTTTATTCCACAAATCTATAAATGTATGTGCTCATAAAACTGATAGAATTTATATTTTATCTGAAAATATCTACTGATTAGTCTAAATTTACTGAGATGTTAGAACAAAATTAGGCCAGGCATGGTGGCTCATGCCTGTAGTCCCAGCATTTTGAGAGGCTGAGACAGGAGGATTGCTTGAGCCTAGGAGTTCAAGACCAGCCTAGGCAACACAGTGAGATCCCATCTCCACCAAAATAGACTGGATAAAGAAAATGTGGTACAAATACACCATGGAATACTCTGCAGCCATAAAAAAGAATGAGATCATGTCCTTTGCAGTGTGAAGATGGAAGCCAGCAACCTCAGCAAACACACACAGGAACAGAAAACCAAACACAGCATGTTCAAACTCATAAGTGGGAGTTGAACAATGACAACACATGGACACAGGGAGGGGAACAACACACACCAGGGCCTTTCGAGGAGTGGGGGGCAAGAGGAGGGAGAGCTTAGGACAAATACCTAATGCACGCGGGGCTTAAAATCTAGATGACGGGTTGATAGGTGCAGCAAACCACCATGGCACATGTATATGTAGGTAACATACTTGCACACTCTGCACACGTATCCTGGAACTTAAAGTAAAATTTATATGTGTGTGTGTGTGTGTGTGTGTGTGTGTGTGTGTGTGTGTGTCTCTTTTATGCTTAAGCACAAATCACTTGGTTTTTGTTACTTGGAATCAAAAAAGCTTAAGTAATATACCACAGCACCTGCAGGACTGTTTGAAGCCGCCATGTCATATCAACACATGCCTGGCTCAGAAAGGCTTGTCGCCAAGTACACAGAGTATTTTCCAACATAATTTTCTAACAGAGCACACAGCAGGTCAGTCAACAGGTACTGCTACTCAGAAGACCCTAGGCTCTAAAACCTTTCTTGAAGTCCTTCTGACAGGTGTTTCCAACCAGAATCCCAGGCATTTATCATCAGAGTTTTTGTAGTTACAACCAAGTCCCAATACTGCACTGGAAACAAAAGGCTTGGAATGTGCCACTGGAACTGTGTCTGGGAAACTTTGGTGAATTACAAGTGCAGGGGCTTTACAAATCCGAGTCCCACACAGAACGACACTAAACAGTACCTCACTGAGCACGTTCAGGTTCTGTGCTTGCCTCTGCTGCACAGAAACGACATGCAAAAATGGGTGTTGACTGTGTTGGGTGGCTGGCACTTCTTTTTTCTCTTTCATTATCACCAATGAACAAAATTGTCAAACAATTGTGGGAGAAAAAACTCGGAAAGAATAGTGTGCAGCACAATATCAATAAACCATGATTGGGCTGTAAAGGCACCAAGCCAGTACTGAGAGACCAGGAAGTGAGGCAGCTGATTAAGCAGAGACACCCGAAACATTCCAGTAGCTAGGAGAATATTTTATGTTTAAAGAGATTTTTAAAAATTCTCATGGGTCTATAAATCCTTTGAAAGGTATTTTCATCTTGCTAAAACCTCATTTGAAAAACAATTTGGAGCATTACAGAAGTCTTAGACTTTTTTTCCCCTCTCAAATTTTAAACAGTCACAGGACTAGGAAAATTCTTCTTGACCACATGCATTATCCTTCAGACACAGTGTAGAGAAATACTGAAAAGGCTGTGCCTGGACTCTCTCTCCTTCTTTACCCATACTGACCTGCGAGTCCACAAACACTGAGCATCCCACTGCCATAATTCAAAGTAAATGAATGGTTATTTGGACAGAGCACTGCGGATGACCTCTGCCACACGCACGAAAAAAAGATTGGAGTGAGAGTGCAGTTTTATTTAAGTAAAAAGTAATAAGCACAAAAACTTCAGATACTTTTTGTCACAACTAATTCGATAAAAATAGCTAAGGAGCATTAATGCAAACAGTTAATGATAAATGACTGATTCATATATACTAACAGGCATCATCAAGCCTTCTCCTTGGCAATAAGACTTTGTAAGTGTCAATTCTTGCTATCCTAAGATTATCAAAAAGAAGTAAAAAGGTCCCCTTTTTAAAATTTAATGATGAACTTTCTCAGGAGGATCTTTTCCTAAGTTACTCTGGGTTGGTAGGGATTTAATGCATGAGAACCCAAGAGCGTTGGGTTAAATTTATAAATTAAATAAGTTAAATTTATATATTTAAACAAGTATATTATAAATAAATATTATTTATATTATATTATAAATTATTAGTTTATAATTATTAAAATGATTATAAAAATAAATGTTTATAAATTATATATTTATGTTTATAATGAACTTCAAGTGCATTTTACAAAGGTGAAGCACCACCCCTAATCCTCCTTGTTTAATTCCAGATAGTAAACAAAGGATAAGAAATAAGAGGTGGATATAATTGAAGGGTTTACATTAAAAAAAGAAAAGAAAAGAAAAGAAGTAGGAGGAAAATAAAAAATGTTTTCTTTTCCACTGCTGCATAGTTTTAAAAAATACTGAACAAAGACTAGAGAGATGGTGAAATTATAAGAAATAATGACCAAATCAGAAATATGACCAACAAATCCTAAGGTCTATCACGCCATTTTGTCAATTGTGTAGAAGAACACTGCTTTTTACATATGTTCCCACAAGGGCCAAAACAAAAAGAGAAATTTAGGTAGAATTTTCTGATTGTGAATGAATTAATTTACCTCATTTAATTCTTATGAGTCCAAGTAATGTATGTTATCAGTACTTACAGATAAAACAAATTCATCAAATTAGGTAACTTGCCCAAAGTCATTCAAATAATGAGTGACAAAGTCACTCCCAAAGCCACCCCTTCCTCCTTCAGTGACCTACGGGACTGACACTGCACAACAGAATCTCAACGTGGTCCTTCTGTGCAGAGTGCAGTGAACTGATGACACTATCTATCTAGAAGGTTTTGCTGCTGCTCTTTTTATTCAGTGCTTTTCTAAGAAGCCCAAAGCCTGTCACAGATATTACCTTATTAATCTTTACCATTTATCTGGGTATACTGGTTTTGGATGTTATTACTGTCGTTATTACGGATGGGAAAATTAACGTGAGCACAAATGTCAGCAAGTGTGTGGCAGCTTGGACTGGAAGTCTTGCCACCTAATACATAATCCAGGGCCCTAGTCACTAAATCTTGCTTTTTGTGATACGGCAAAACACACAAGGCCATGCTACTATTAATCTTTAATGAAACTGAATGTCACCTATACTATTCTGAATCATCATTCAGTTTCTAGTATAATATTCAGTATATAGTTAGGTTGACCACATATTCATATATAAAGGTTGAAAGAAAATCCAATTTACTTTCTAAAATTACATAAATTATTAACATGTCACAACAATTTTACATAAAAAAAGGGAAATTAATTTGCCCATCAATTTACACTCAGATACTTTTCCTCTCTTTAAGGAGTTGATTCTCTATTATTGTGGATTGATTATTTTTCCTTTCCTTAAAGAATTCTTAAAAATAATAACAGCAATGTGATAAATGTTTCATTTCCTGTCCATCAGCAGCAGAAGCTCCTTCTGCCCAGAGGATAAATCGAATGCTCTGTGACAATGAGGGGTGCGTAACAAGCAACTTGCAGCTCTGCTCAAACTGGGTTCACCATGCTGCTTCTTCGTTTTACAAATGCACAGCAAATACAGCTGCATTTAAAAAGGTTCCTAAGGTTCCCCCCAAATACCTAATATTATTGTTTAGATATGAACTCTATGTTGCCCAGGCTGGAGTGCTGTGGCTATTCACAGGCACAATCATGGCACACTCCAGCCTTGAACTCCTGGGCTCCAGCAATCTTCCCTTCCCGCCTCAGCCTCCTGAGTCTCCATAAATGCCGTTACTTCAGCCTGGAATTCTCTCCTACTTTCCTTCTTTTATCAAGTGCAGTCTTACCTGTCCTTCAAGGCTTGGCAAAAAGACCACTTCCTCACCTCAGCCTTAGCTGACATGGGCTTCAGCATTGGCCCATTCTCTTGGGTCATGTAACATTTTAGTAGTTCTTGTATTTAGCAAGAAGTTTCCATTTGTACCTAACAGTTTCTATGATCATTCTTTTTAAGGCTGTAAGCTCCTTGCGAGGTGGGGCCAGAATTGTTTTATCTCTGTACTTCCCAAGCACAGTTCCCTATTTACGTCCCAGGTTTTCCATGAATGCTTGGTGGATGTAGTGCAGAGACCTTTGAGCTACAAAGTTCTTGGGTCTAGTCAAAGCAACAGTGGCCTTTGTGATATCACCTACCTCAGCTATTTCACTTGTAAAGTGGACTCATGATACCTGCTCCTGGGAACTTGTTTTCCTCACTCCAAAGCAAAACTGGAAATATGCTTTGTAAATTTTTTTAGTAAAAAGTGTGTTTATATAAAGCACTGAGGACGCTCTAATTTTTTTTTTTTTTTTTTTTTTTTGAGAAGGAGTCTTACTCTGTTGCCCAGGTTGGAGTGCAGTTGCACGATCTCGGCTCACTGCAACCTCTGCCTCCCGGGTCCAAGCAATTCTCTTGCCTCAGCCTCCTGAGTAGGTGGGATTACAGGTGCATGTCACCGCACCCAACTAATTTTTGTATTTTTAGGACAAAATTTTTGTATATTTTTTGCATGTTTTTTGTATAATTTTGTATTTTTGTATATTTCACCATGTTGGTCAGGCTGGTCCCAAACTCCTGACCTTGTGATCCGCCTGCCTCAGTCTCCCAAAGTGCTGGGACTACAGGCATGAGCCACCACGCCTGGCCTAATATTTTTATACTATACAAGTATAAAGTGTCATACCTATATGTGCATGTGTTTAAGGATAAAATGTGATATACTGTGTAAAACACCTGAAATAATAAATACGTGGTCCTTATAACATATTTGATCCCTTTGAATTAAAGACATGCTTAAAATAAATACTGTCAGGAATTAGCAAGAAATAGAGCTACCCCACTCGTATGTAATTTATAGATGAATGTAGAAAAAAAATCGGTATGGGTTTATATAATGAACATGCAAACCCTTTCCTATAACTATTACTGTATTATGTAAATGTTGGAACCAGAGAGAAACCAAAATCTATTAATGCGTGAATATTGGTCAGCCATGTAGATGAAAGAAAATGAAGAGAGGCAGAGGCATCCCCTCAAGCCTTCACTTCAGCTCTCTGCTTGGAAAGTGTGATCATCTCCAGATTATTGGTATGGATAGATAGACGTTCTTTTAAAAATGAATGCCGCATTTCTAGTGACCAAATTAAATCAACAGCAATGTTAATGATCTGTTGTCTGTCTTTTGTAACTCTTGTCAACTCTCTTGTCCTTTCATTTCTGTGACCACACACTTACTTTCTGCTTTGCCCTACACCAATCTGAAATCAGTTCCTTTTGAATGTACCAGAAAGAATGTGTTTATACAAAGCTTTGAGGACTCTCAAATATTTTTCTTGTGTTTTCTTTTCTTTTTTTTCTTTTTTTTTTTTTTTTGACAGACTCTTGCTCTGTCACCCAAGCTGGAGTGCAGTGATGCAATCTTGGCTCACTGCAACCTCCGCCTCCGCCTCCGCCATGAGAGGTTCAAGTGACTCTCATGCCTCGGTCTCCCGAGTAGCTGGGATTACAGGCATGCACCACCAAACCTGGCTAACTTTTTTATTTTCAGTAGAGACGAGGTTTCACCATGTTGGCCAGGCTGGTCTCGAACTCCTGACCTCAAGTGATCCACTCGCCTCAGCCTCACAAAGTGCTGGAATTACAGGTGTGAGCCACTACTCCTGGCCTTTTAAGTTTTCTTTAGGTGAGGTTAATTATGATGTTTATGTCAAATATTCAGAAGCAAAAACTTGATCACCCATTTTCTTCCATCAGCCAGCAGGAGTTCAGGTTCTTGCTTCTTCCTGTGTATCCATCCACCCTTTCCACCAATTATATCTTTTTCTAGTAACACAGCACTTCAGGACCACCTTAGGTTCATTCCAAAATTTCATTTCAGTGTTTACACAGGAAGAAGGATCCTAGTTAAAAGACTACACTTCTTAGAAGACATTTTAGGTACTATTTTTTGTTAATTGATATTTCGAGGTCTCATACATTTCAGGAGCTTTTCCAACTAACTTTAGTATTCACTCCAAGATTAATTCAGATAAATGCAATTTTTCCTACCTGTAGGCACCTAAAGAGTTGTTGGGGTTTGTGTGTGTGGGATGGGGAGTGCATTTTTCATTATAATTCTAATTTAAAAGGTTTAAAAATGATAAATGATCAATTCTACACTTATCTTTAAATTCATTAGTAATAATACACTTTCAAAGTTCAGGATAAATTATTTCTTTCTTCAACACTTCAGTATTTAACCATTCTTGTCACAGATCCCTTGGAAAGGTTCTGCTCTAAATTAATTTAAAAACTATCATACTAAGTATAGTAAGCCCTATCAAAGTAAGCAAGGTTGTCAATCAGAGTTGTCAATCTGGTTGTCAATCAGCCTTTCAGGGACTCAAGTCCCCAAGTGTTATCCAGAGTTAGCAACATTCTCTTTGTTGGATTTGAAGCTATGTTTCATATTTCAAATTGAGTATAAACAGCTTTAAATGAGAAGAAGACTTCACTTAATTTGAAAAAGGTAGAGGTTTGAGAAGCATATTTAGTTTTTGTCATCTTTAAAATAAAATGAAATAGAAAACCTAACTAGAGAAATATTATATTTATTTAAAAATATGTGTCAATCAACTGTTTCTGTTATCAGTAAGGCTTCTAGTCAACAGTAGGCCACTGTAGCATGTGGAGCAATTTTGTTTCATTTTGTCTCATTTTGTCATACACCTTTGTGTTAGGGTAGAGGTTGGGGTTGGTGATGGAGAATCTGTTCCCTGATATTTGTAGTCACATAGACATGAGATGCCCTTTCTTGCTATGACTGAGTCACCAGTAAGTTCACTAAGCCACATGCACAAGTGTGGAGTTATTGAAAGGAGGCTACTCCTGAAATTTGGTGAGCTTATCAGAATAAGTTCTACTGGCGCAGCCAAACAATAGTCCCAAACATGAACAGTGAGGGGCAGAGATGAACAACCATTTTCTCTGAGGCACCAAGCAAATACTAGATCATGAAAAAAATTCTGTAATTGACAATCTCCTCTGGATTCACAGCAATGCCTTATTGAAATGCAACTTAAAGAATGAGCTATTACAAAGGATAATCCCACTGGTTTTTCATCACAATTTTTGGCACTAAATATGGACATTTCAGTGTATTTGGTGTGTGTGTTCACATATGTGAGATACGCACAAGGGTATAAATGAGTGTGTATATATCCTTCTTAATTTATTCTTGTTAATTTAGACCCATCTACAAATTTTCAGACAGAACACAATTTCCTTTGTATTTAGATCTATTTTGTACACTATTCCTTAGTCTAATATATACTTTTACATTTCATTTAGCAGTAAACAACTGAAGCATTATGTATCCATAAAAGGCAATTATCCTAACCGTTCTAATTATCTTATAACACTTGCACTTTTTTCCTTCAGTGTGTGAGTATACAAATGTTTGCTTTGTTTAAGAAAGGGAAAAAATGGAGACAGAAAGGATGTACTTTTTAACAATTCACTAATCCAGGAAAATGTCACTTCTTCAAAAACAAACAAAAAAACCTTTGAAATAACAAAACAGGAAAAATAAGATTTTCAGTCAAAAGATTACTTATCATGAAAAACCAAATAATTTGCTTAAAAAGGGCTTTCTAAATTGCTTTAACTTTTGCATGTTATTTTTTAAAGTTTAATTGCCTAAATTCCTGGTGATAAATTTTTTTCAAAAAATTGACCGAATATTAATTTTTTGTATTCTAAAGGTCATGAAAAAAGTTACCTAATTTCCTGAAATCCTAATTAAATGAAGCAAACCAAAATAAGATCTCATTATTCTTATACTGCCTCTGTTTTAAAAAAGAGAGAAAAAACTGGAATTCATGCTAAAAACCTTAGGTTTATTCATTTTAACTTGAATTTGTTGTTTATGATGAAATCTTGAGTTTCGGGATGATATGTTTAGATATAATTTTCACTAATGGATGTAAAAGAGCTCTGTACCTAAAACATGTATTCATACTTTTTTCTTAAAAGGTCTAAATTCTTAATGCTAAGAAGTATATTATCTAAAAGTGGAGTTTTATAACTCCTACAGTTTGATATTTTTGAAGCTACAGAAAAACTTTGACAAGCTCAAATAGATTTTTCTCCCCAAAATGAGTACATGGTCATTTCAAACTGACCCTGTTATCCTTGAACTAATGGCGTTCCTCCTTCACAGTGGCCAACAGAGGGGATGGTATGTACCCCAGGAGGCTGTGCAGCTGACCCTTGAACAACACAGATTTGAACTGTACGAGTCCACTTCTATGTGGATTTTCCTCCATCTCTGGCACCTGAGACAGCCAAACCAACTTCCCACTCACTCCTGGGCCCACTCAACCTGAAGACAACCAGGATGAAGATCCACCTCCACTTGATGAATAGTAAATATATTTTCTCTGCCTTAAGACTTTCTCAGTAACATTTTATCTTCTCTAGCTTACTTTGTCATAAGAATATAGCATGTGAAACACATAACATACAAAATATGTGTTAATCGATGGTTTATGTTATCAGTAAGGCTTCTGGTCAACAGTAGGCCATTAGAAGTTTTTGGGGAGCCACAAGTTAGACGTGAATTTTCAACTGTGGTTCCCCAGCCCCTACACTGTTCAAGGGTTAACTAAAACAGATTGGTTCATAATATTTTCTGAACCAATTTGAAAATTTTTATTTTCAAACAAATTGAAAATTTTTATTATTTAATACTATTTTCATACTGCTTTTTGAAGGTTTTTATGCTGGTGAAACTGAACCTGTCCTTATAAACATGAAGTCCCTAAGAATAGTGTTTATACCAAGATAGGGGACTTACTTAACTGAAGTCCTCCTCCATCTTCCCCTCCCTTCTTGACAGGAGCCCTGCAGGACAGGGTTGGGCTAGCAAATGGCCTTTTGCTACCACTCTTCCTCCTCCACCCTCCCCAGTGCAAGAGGCAGCACGAGGCCACTGCCAATCACCCTTGAGTAGTCCAGCTCTTTCATGTGTTTCCCACTAGTCTACATTCTGGATGAAAAAAAAATACACTTCATTTGAAAAATAAAAAATTCAATGAATTATGATCCCTTTTGCTAAGAGACAGCATTTCAAAGTGACAGGTTTTCACAAAATGACAAAGATAATATACAGACATGTGCTGTATAATAATGAACCGCACATATGACGGTGGTCTCAAATGAGATGGTACACCTTGTTTTTATTGCGCCTGTTCTAGGTTTAAATATGTTTGGATACACAGATACTTACCATTGTGTTCCAAATGCCTTCAGTACTCAGTACAGTCACATGTTATTGACTTGGTAGCCTAGGAACCATAGGCAACACCACATAGCCTGGGTGCATAGTAGGCTCAACCATGTAGGTGTGTGTATGTGCACTCTATGGTGTTCATGCAATGATGAAATCGCCTAGCAACACATTTCTCACAAGGTACCCTGTCCTTCATCGAGGCATGATTGTAATTAGAAGGCTGAAGAAAGCCAGAGGAAGGTCCTGGCAGATGCCAAGTTACCATTCTGGAGAAAATCTTCATGGCCTGTCGATCTGTCACAGAAATGAAAATCCTTTAGAGCCTCTGGAAACAAAAAATGGCATTTCTAAAGTAACTCTTCAGTTTAAAATAAAAGCAGATGTACTATTTCCCAAAGTTGTATGGAATCAATAAAGGAAATTATGTATCTAAAAATACAAACTACCAGAGGTCTAATTACTACTTTGAAAAAGGTGAGAATTCACTATAGTGCTCAAGTAGCACAGGTCAATGCCCCCCAGTGGCGTCTCTCCAACTTGCAGAACCGTGACCACACAGATAGGTCCACTAGAGAGTAACCAGAAACACAGAAAGGGAAACCACGGTGGCAACAAATCCTGGTTTTCTTCTCTACAAAAAGGAGGGATGAACTATGAGAAGGAAAAAATGTGCAAGGAAACATTTCAACTTATACCTATTTCTATACGTATAATTTGGTCATGTTACTAGAAATGATTTTAAGGTAAGTACTAATAAATTCGTATTTTTCCTTTTCAAGGTGAAGGAGGGATCCCTTCTAAAAGGCACAGGTAATATCAAATTGTCCTTAGCTGTGTTATAAACATGATACCTTGAGCTTCATTCTTGATATTCTAGTTGAACTAATTAGCCACCATGCATTCTGCATGTCACCTGTGATAATTTTCTTGGGCAGTTATTTCCTAATAGCTGCAAGGGTGAAACTCTAAAGTCTGCCTTTGCATTGGAAAGCTAGGCTGGAAAGACAGGAGTAGGGAATCATTGTAACAAGTCTCATATTTCTGCAAAAGTCCCCTCTAGGCTACAACAGTTTGCTTTGGGCAAAGGGTGACTCAGAGCAATGAATAAGTATCAGAAGTAAAAATGATCAAATATTTAAATGAGCCTAAATATGGGTTAAAAGAAACGGGAATGTAGTGAAACCATGAAGAGTGAAACCTCTGTGACTGGCACAGAGGGCTAGAGATTGATGGCTGTGAAGAATGATCATCAGAAAGTGTGCCCATCAGTCCTCCCTCTCCAGGAGAGAGTCCCTGCTTGCCTGCACCCTCCCAGCAATCAGGTCCTGTTTCAGAGATTTGGGACATTGATATTTCAGCTGCGGTTTTCCACTGCCAACATTTGTCTCCAATCTACCCTCTAACCTGAGTATACCTTATCTACTCTCTTCTATCTGTCCTTGTATAATTTCAACCCAAGTCAAATCCTTTGCTGCTCTTCAGGCCCTAACAGTCCCTCTTTTGGGAAAGCCTGTTCTGTCCGGAATAGACACTCCATTTATTCCAATCTAGATTTTCTTAAATCAAAATACTTTCCTCATCCTAAATATCCTGAATTACAGGAAAGGATCTTGGGCTGGGTTCATCAATGCCTCTTATATGTTTTGCTTTATTTTTGTTTTACACCACATTCAAGGAGATTCTGTTGTCAAATTATCTTCATGACATCCAAACATATTCCCAATGAATCTACCCTGAAGCTCACCTCCTTCTCCTGTCTTTCATCTCCTGCAGTCTATAATCTTTGTATCTCTATAAGCCACTTTAAAAGTGAATCTGGCTCAAAGAATTTTACCTCCTTTCCCTGCCTCTTCTTCTGACCTGTGGTTTTCAAAGACACCTTCAGCCTCAAAGTATGCCACCTCCTTAAATTCAGATCCTACCCTCCCTGACCTCAGCCTCCCATGTGCAAGGCTGTCTCTCCCTCCATCTCACCAAGTCCATGGGCTCTTCCATCCTCCTTAACCCACCTGCCCCCATTCCTGTGCTGCCACCCAGCCTGGGCAGTCACAATATGAACATTTTAACATTTGTTTCTCAATTCTTGCTGTTTTCAACATGGTGAATCCTCTTTCTTGAACTGGGTCTTTCAGAATGGACAAGGTTTGGGCAGGCTGTGAGACCATGAAAACAAAACTCAGTGGTTTAGGGAACAGGACATTTCTGAGGTCTGGCAGTCAACCATACTGATGGGTACAGAAATTTCATAAATGGAAATAGTATGAGATAATGATGAAAATCTGGACAAAGAAGATACTTTTGTACTTACCTTGGGAGACAAAAAGTCACCGAAGGCTTTTGAAAAGGGAAATGCCTTGACCAAAGAGATTTTAGGAAAATTAATTTGGTAATGATATTAGGAAAAAGGAAGACAACAAGGAGTTGTCTTATAAATCACAAAGCAACCCTAAAAAGTCACCTAGTCTAGGATGTACTCATGTCTCTGTATAACATCCCATTACAGAAATCACAAATACTACAAAACACTTCTAAAAATAGATATTCTAAGATTTTCTACTTTATTTCAGGATGGAACAGATACTTACATATAAGAAATACCCATCTGATTCTAACCTAAATGTCTGTTCTTAAATTTTAATTCCCAAATAATTTTGTGCCTTACTATTAGTAGGAATGTAAAGTAAGTTTATATTCAGGTAGGTATTACAGTTCACATTAAAAAAGAAACTCAGGAAAAAAAGAGGGAAATAGTTTATTATCTCGAGTTCTAGTTTCTTTCATTCATTATAGCAAAGTAAATTTACTATATTTCCAAATGGAAGGTACACTAGATATTATTTAGTCCAACTGACACATTTTACATGGAAGAAAAGGGAGGTGTAAAGCAAAAAGTGATTTTTTTATTTTTTATTTATTTATTTTTTTGAGATAGAGTCTTGCTCTGTCCCCCAGGCTGGAGTGCAGTGGTGCGATCTTGGCTCACTGCGACCTCCGCCTCCTGGATTCAAGCGATTCTCCTGCCTCAGACTCCCAAGTAGTTGGGACTACAGGCGTGCGCCACCATGCCTGGCTAATTTTTGTATTTTTAGTAGAGACGGGGTCTCACCACATTGGTCAGGCTGGCCTTGAACTCCTGACCTCGTGATCTGTCTGCCCTGGCCTCCCAAAGTGCTGGGATTACAGGCATGGGCCACCGCGCTCGGCCAAAGTGATTCATTTAGTTTCTTAGCTAGTTGCTGGAAAAATCAGGACTCCAAGTTAAGTAGGTAATGGGCTCTTTCAGGCTTTCAGGGTAAAAAAAAAAAAAAAGTTATGGAAGCCAATAAGGTATAACTGCCTTATTCACTGTCTCCAGAAGCTTCATCTTTTAGCCACATCCTTCAGAATGACAGCTAACATCAACTGAGCACCTCACAAACCAGGCATCGTACTCCACACCTTACATACAGCACTGTTAATTCTCACCCAGCACACAAGATGAAGCTATATCGGAGAAGCTCCTTTGTTTGAAATGTCCTTGCTCTCTCCTCCTCGCTTACTTAAGAACTGCCTGCCCTTCGAAACTCAGCTTAAGTTTCCAACCCTCTGTGATGCCTTCTCCTGTGGCCACCGATAACTACAGCATCTCCTTTGAGGGGCTTGAGCATTAAACTGTCTTCAAGCCAGGACCTTCAGCCACCAGATTTTAAGCCTCCTTACAGTGTTATTAAGCACTTAATATTTACTCAGGATTTCTCTTTCTAGACTCTGAACTCCAAATGGTCAAGACTCAGCTCTTGTATCTTTTCATATTCCTAGTGTCTGCTGAATAATGTCTGCACCAAAATGATGGCGTCTGGAGGGAGCGAGGTCAGTGTGGATCTCTAAGCACGTGCGTGTTTCTATGGAGTTAAGCACCAGGGAGTCAGGGCTTCCTGCAGCAACACTTTTCTTTAAGCAAGCCTCCAAAAAGTTTAGAGAAAAGGAAAAATAACATTCACATCCAAAGCTACAGGAAGTCAAAGAGAACAATTCATTATTTTGTCTCTGTCAACCAACCACATTATTGAACCCTACATCACCCAAAGTACAAATAAATAACATCACTAGTTATTTAAGTTTTGAACTAAGGCATTCAAGAGCTAGGATGGGGAACGCTTTTTTCTTTTCATTCTTTAATTATCTATTCATAAAAACAATAAGTAAAGACCTTTTATTTTAAAATATAAAACAAAAAAGTGGATTTTTCTGTTAAGATTTTTAAGCTGAAAGATCAAACTTTTCCCCGACCTTCTTCGTCAGCCTTTAATTTTCCTATAGTTGGTCTTGTCAGCTGCTGTTTATTGATTTCTCAGTGATTTATTCTGCATTGTGCAGAACTGAACTGCCGACCTCCTACTGTACACAGCTGATCCTCTGCAATTTTATGGTAAGTGGTAGGAGGAGGATGTGATATGGGGCTGGTAGCAGGGCAGCTACATTAGCATCTGATTACACAGGCACTAACCCCAACCCAATGCCACTTCAGTCGATTTTCCATTCTTCACACAATAGCCAAAGTGCAAACACTTCAAAGGGATTTCAGGAATAATTTCCACAGAAATATTTCCCAGGTCTTCAATGTACCCTAAAAAATAGGCAAAGATGTGCTGTCACTTTAAAAATAAAGACAGCACCACAAGCGGGAAGGCACCTTCCAGCCCAGGCAGGAACGCACTTACCAAGGGGAACTCAATGAATAAAAAAGATCGATTCCTCTCCTAACGTCTTTTAACTATTAGATAAGAATCTACCACCAGAAACAATTGCAATGTATGAAATAATTTAACATATAGTTTTCTATCCAATGTTATCATTCCCATGTTTGGAATGAGACCCTCAGTGGCCAAGAGCGGATTTAGTACTGACTCTCTAACCTAGAGGCCCCCACCACTGATTCATCCTGTTAGCTATCTCCATGCTTTACAACAGTGGGTCTCAACCACGGTGTCTCAGACATTTGATCAATTCCAGTATCTTACTGCTTGTTAGATCGGGATGAACAGTGGTCAGACATCTCCTTTTAGATCTGTTACAAACTGATGGCTTGCTGGGCACTGTTAGACAAGTCACTTGATTTTGCTGTGCTTTAATTTCATTTGAAAAAGAGATAAACTATTTACTGTGACTGATTCCAGAATGTTCCCTAATCATAAAAATAACTTGCAACACTTTGTAATTTGTAAAGGGCTTTAGCAAGTAAGTGAGGCTCCTCTGGATTGCTTTATGGATTTTTGGAAGGGACACAATCTGATCCACATGATTCTCTTACCTGCCTGCAAAAAGGAAAATAATAATAATAATAATAAAGAATGTTCCAATATTAGAGATAGAACGCAGGTACCAAGTGTTTTGAGAAGCGTATGTTAGTAGGGAAAACTAAAGGTGGTATTTATCTAACAAATATTTGCTCAAGAAACAGATCCATTACCCAACTTGTCTGATCATAAAAACCACTGGCACTTGTGAAACTGCAGATTCCTAGGTCCTACCCCTGAGATTCAGAATCAGCAAGTGAGAGGTTGGTTTAGATAAGCTATGCAAAGGATAATTATCTAGAGGGAATGATGCGGTTTAACACTGGGAGGAGCACAGATCTAGTCTTACCTTTTGGACAGAGTTGACAAGTATCCTACAGAGAAGTGAAATGGAAATTAAACTCTTAGGAATATTGAGAACAAAATAATATGTATTTGTTATCTAACTGAGGTAATTTCCTAAAATAAGACTTCAGAGAATCTCGAATGGATTCAAATGACTTGTTGGAGAAAATCCACATTAAAACCCACACTTAGATGCAACAAGCGGCCACTTTGCCTGTGCATCTTTTGCAAACCCACACGAGTGTTCTGGGTGACACCAGGGAAGACAAAGAACTGTGGCAGTGTTTGGTGTGACTGGTGCTTCAGTGTCAGGGACCCAGCACACCACAGCAGTTCTAAAATCCTGAATCTGTCTGGGGTTGCCATGGTTTTGGGAATATAAGATCCTCCCAGTTCTACCCATGGTTTCCTGGAGAAAGGGCAAGAAATATGCCAATTCCACTCCCGGGAAAAGCCAAAAGATGAGAGAAGCAGGAGGAGGAAGCCTCCTTTACCTGTGTTGTTTTGTGCAAGGATGCCTTTGGTGCAAGTATTTTCTCACAAAGTTTGTGATAAATTACACAGGAAGGCCAGAAAGGAAGCCTCATAATGTAATATGCAAATGCTTCCTGCTAAACATTTATTATGCGAACAGGGCCACTGTAACTCATGTGGCTCTCACTCATGGAAACACTGATCATGGCTATGCATAGCATACAGGCCCATTATTCTTAAAATGAAGTTTTATAAGGAAATTTAAATTTCACTGAGATGTCTTCAAAGTATTTATAAATGTTTACTTGGGACAGAAGATATGAGCTAGTAATCACAGAGCAGTAGCTATTAGCTATGCAAAAATAGATTTATCTTAATTACTAACCACAACACAGATCAACCTGAGCTGACAGGCAGCAGGCTTAACAGCAGCGAGTTGGAAGGTCTCAAGTTCATATGCTCCGACAAACCCTCACAAGGGCTCCAGCAGCATCAGGCAACCCATGAATCCTTTCACCTCTTGCTCTGCTACGTCACTGTAATGCCAAATAAATTAGGTTCCCGCTTAACACGTGGAGCTCCACAGAGCCTCTGTGATTCAGGGGATTTTCTGAAGGATGTCCCCAGCTCTAATATAGCACTTAAAATTATTTTTAATCAGGAAAAAAGACTACTTATTCCACAATTAGAAATTAAAAGGCTTAAAATACAAAAGACAGATTGAGGCAATATTTAAGTATAAAATGAGTGTCAGCTGTGTAATAATAGTAATAAAATGACCTTTGAGAACTGTAATCAGAGGAGGGGAAGAGAGTGAGCAGCCCTGAGGGACATTAGGCTCCTGGGACAGGGGAGGTCACCCCTGAGGTGATAAAAAAGGCACCACTGCACAAAGAAAAATACTGCTGGAGGTGGGGCCAAGAGTCTTGGATATGAATCTGGGCCCTGCTATTCACTCGCTATACAATTTAAGGAGTTTTCAATTTTCTGAATCACAGTTTACCCATCTGTAAAATGGGCATATGTCAACCTCAACCACTGATCTGGGAATTAGATGGGATTACTTATGTAAAAGTAGTTTGAAAAAGATAAAGGTGTGTATCAAAGTGAGGCAATATTTCTGCATTAGAAAGCTAGAACTAGAAAATAAGAACTTCCCAGAGATGTGACTTTGAAGAGAGCCTGTTTGTTTTTTAATAGGATAAAGACAAGAGGTAATATGTGAAGATATTTTAGTTATATACGTATAAAAATCAGATGGCTCTACTTGAGAGGGTTTATGAATTTTTTTGATTTATTTGTAACACAGTTGACTTGAATATCAAAGGGCATTCCTTAATTGAGACAGACATTTTCTACAGTTTCGTTGCCCTGCCTTTGAGTATATTTTTCCATGCAACCATTCACCAGCCATGCCCAAAGGACCATTCTTTAAATAAGTTCTGAAATAAATTTAACACTTAGCTATACAAGCTGCACATGTGCTTTTGGAAAATACAATATAGTGTATGCTCATCATTTACATAACCAGACAGCTGGAGTCTACAGAAATGCAAATTTTGTCATCACTTATATGCACTGAAAACATATTCTTCACTGAAATGCATGGGTGAGGGGGAACCATTTGAGGGAAAAGAGTTAGCAACAAATTCAATCCTTAAGTAAATAAAAAAAGAAATCAAATTTTCAGTAAAAGTAGGGTAAACGGCGATTGCCTTGATCTGATTCTGTGTTTATTCCAACTTGTGGCACGAGCCACAGGGCCCCCCATAAGCTCTCCTCCTGGCTCCTTCTGGCTTCGTGCAATCTATAGCAATTACTAGGTTGGTGCAAAAGTAATTGTGTTTTTTGCCATTACCAATTACTTTTGCACCAGCCTAATAGCTGTTGAAACATTGCTCCCTTTCCTGATGCCATCGGCTTTCCCTCATTATGTCTTTCATCCCTCATGCCAGAGGTCAGTCATCTTCTGAACTGAATTACTGGGGGCTGCAAGTAATACTAACTTGGGCCCATCCTATCTTTGCAAACTCAGTTCCAAGCCTGTTAGAACATTTTCTTTTTTTTTTTTTAAAGTTCACTAGATAGGCAGGCAAACAGCCAGTCAAAATATGAGAACTCATGCCAAATGTTATCCATTTGAATTGCCTGAGTAATTTTTCTACGCAATTCCCTATAAGGCAGACATTACTCACATGGCACACACACACAATTTACATAAAAACATAGGCTAGATCCACGAATTGCAAAATTACAGTGATTCTATGGATCCCTTTCATAAGGGTCTTATCCAACATGCCCCTCTCAACCCTTACTGTAAGTAAGTGGTTGCTTTCAGTTTGGTTTTCAAAACAATTTTCAGCGCACTCTCAATCAGAGAAAGTGACTTGGAGTAGAGAAATTCAGTGCACAGCTGAGATTCCCCCTCTGTCATGTTCTCTGAGGCCCTATGAAATTCCTGAATAGGTCAGTCCACAAAGGAAGCATTTCCATTTCCTTTCAGAGACGTGGAATTTCCACATAGTCAACACTGGGCCATCAGAAAAGTTTAAGTGCTTTTGAGGGCTGGAAGAATGCACTCAGCTCCCATTGAAATGAATGACTGAACTTGGTGCTTCTATGGCCAAGAAAAGGAAAGCGAATATTTATCTTCCTTCTTCCCTAAGTTTCTTTAAGTAGAATGGTCACAGACAGAAGGCCAAGAGGCAACACTAGGAGAGCAGGTAAGGAATGCCAGCTTGTATGTAATAGGCCCTCAAATGTGCATTAAATGAAGCTGTTGAACTAATGATGCAATTATACAGATGCAAAGAAATACACAATCTCTTAAAAGCATTCGTGTCCATAATGTAATTAACTCCCAGAATTTAGTTTAAGGCTTTAAGCCACAGCTATGACTTTATTTTTGCCTAGTAATCTTGAAGGTAACATGAGGACCGGAACTGATCCGTACTTTATTCAGCAGATGTGATACGGTGCTCAGACCATCTTCTGCAAGTGTAGTCATCAGATGCCCTGGCTGAGGCACCTTCCTCTCTCTTTCTAAATCTGGAGAATAATTCTGTTGTCTATACTGGAAATGGGATGCCCAAATTTGCCAACTGTATTAGTCTGTTCTCATGCTGCTAATAAACATATACCCAAGACTGGGTAATTTATAAAAGAAAGGGGTTTAATGCACTGACAGTTCCACATGGCTGGGGAGGCCTCACAATCATGGTGGGAAGCAAAGGCACTTCTTGTCTTATGTCGCCGTAGGCAAGAGGGAGCTTGTGCAGGGGAACCTCCATTTACAAAATCATCAGATCTCATGAGACTTATTCACTACCACAAGAACAGTATGGGGGAAACCACCACGATTCAATTATCTCCACCTGGCCCCGCCCTTGACATGTGGGGATTATTACAAGTCAAGGTGAGATTTGGGTGGGGACACTGCCAAACTATATCACCAACACTTTTTCTCAGCCATGGCAAAATGAGAAACACTCTGGGTAACAGCACAAAAGCAAATGCCAGACTGTTTTGTATATTTCATCTTTTTGGTCCTAATAGAGAATTTTTAGAGAATTCTTTGATATTTCAGTTTTTAATCAAAACGAAACATTTGGAATTAAAAAAAATAAGAACTCCTAAAACCCATTAGTCTCTCAAGTTGTCAAATCAGTGGGCAGAGATGTATCAGCATTTCTTGTCCATCTCAGCCTGAGAATTGCAATCACGGAGAAATGTTCTGTGAAATCCACTTTACTCCACCTCTGTTGGGGATGATACTTTATTGGTTCTCAAACTTTAAAATGCATCAGAATCACCAGCAAGACTTGTTAAAACAAGATTGCTGGGTCTTGCCACTCAAGAGTTTCTGATTCAATACATCTGAGTTGGAGCCTGGGCGTCTGCATTCTCCAGGATGCTGATGCTTGCTGGTTTGGAGACCACCCTGTGACAATCACGGACACAGGAGAATACGCAGAGCTGGTTCTCACAATGGTGGAGAAAACAGGGTCCCCATCTTCTCCCAGAGTCATGGATCTTTCTTGCCAACATTCTGCATTCTCATACCAGGCATCCAAGGATGTGACATTATGTCTTTTCTGCCTGTGGTTCTGACTTTTGCTTTGTTTCAAGTCTTGCTTACTTCTAACCTACTCAAGAGCTAGCATGCATTCAGGTCAAATCATACCTGGTAAGGAATTATGTGCTCTACTACCCAAATGTCTTGTCCTGATGGCAGGACCTTCATTCCCTTCTGAACATTTGCTTCTAAATGTTATCAAGGTTTTTAGAAACAGAAGTGAAATAACAAAATGGAGAAACTATGCATATATGCATCTATTCAGCATCCAGACACCTAAATGTCTATTAGGCACTCTTTCCAGATGCATTTTCTGCCTTGGGGGAGTGCTTCATAAATCTAGATAGAGTGTGAATGTCAGTGGATGGATTACCGGCAATTTTTCTATGATCTCATCTCACGTGGTCCTCTAATGGCCAAAATAATCAGGAGCAGTTTTCCACATTTAACAATAACTCTTTTTAAGTTCTGAAACTTAATGGCATTAGCTGAGGCAGAACTGTTCAAGGAAACCAAAGGAAACATCAATTATGACACACAGCAGGTGCTGACAGTGAATGTTGTGCTAGAGGCCATAAATCTATGTCTTAACATTGGTAGAATATGATGTGTTCAGTAAGACCATTCTTACTGCCTTCTGCCTGTAGGCTTTCCAAACGCCTGACATGGCTACCTGATGTTATTCAATCTCACCAGGCCAACTGGCTGCTAGAGCTCAGCAAAGAAAAACTATCAACTGGCTTTTTATTAAGGAAGATTAGGCAGAGAAGGGGACATGGGTTTTGGGAGCCATACAGACTTAACTACTGGATTCTTGGAATCACTTCACAATTATTGCTAGTTTTGGAATACATACCTGAGAATAACTCTATAAAGTCACAAAAGCCAGTGTGTATCTAGGCTGGTGGAGGGGCAAATAAAAAAAAAAACAAACCTTTCATCCAGTTGTCTAGCACCAGAAAACCTTTAGCCTGAGTGGCAGTCCAATCTCTCAGCAGCTCCACCTTTCGAGCCAGATACACACACACCCATTCGCATGCACCAAATTTCACTTCAGAGAAACCATAACTGGACAATGGCCTGTGACACACAAAACTGAGGAGGTGGCAGTAATTATCTCAGCAATTCTGTCAGCAAAGACACTAGCACTTACAGGCCTAACTAGGCTCCATCCTGGAGTTTACGAGGAGTCTATCGCTATCCCCTAACAGAGGACACAGGAAAGAAATGTGCCAGCCCTTCTCAGCAGAGACTTGCAACGAATTCAGACCCCTCGCCAATGCTGTCAGAGACAGCAAGAGGTGGTACAGCTGCTGGACCCATGACTTCAGGCACATGCTGAATGTAGCATGTTACCCTGCTCTCCTTCAAAGCTGCAGTTGCTCACTCTTCTGCCCCCAATCAGACATTTCCAGTTTGCTTGAAAATGCTATTTTCACTAAACATTTTAGAAATGGTGCTCTCTTTCCTAGGTGCCTGCAATGTTCCACCCATTTATTGCCACCACCATTCTTCATAGGCCAGGAAGTCATTTGCTATGTTCCAAATTGAGTAGTTTATTCAAGTGCCTGCCACTGCTGGAGAAGAATGTGAACAAGTCTTTGGAAAAGCACATAAACGTTGGCAATTGTAAAAGCTACTTTCTTGACTTCCTATGAAAGAACATTTAGTCTGCACTGCCATCCAGAACTGATTTTCTTCTTTTCTTGTGACTTCATGATATATGGTGTGAAATGGATGAGGCGGTCACCATAAGGTGTAACTCTATGTTTCTATCACACACAAAAAAGGTAGGTTTAAAGATGCCACTTTAGACTAATGTCCGTGAACATAAATATTTATTCCTAAGGATCCTATTCCCAGCTTGATTTTAGATGTGCTCATCTCTTTGCTTAACTAAGCACCTCTCTACAACATCAACAATTATCTTGGCATGTAAATATGAATTGAAGCTGGGCCCCCAAGTGAGAATTCTGTTATTCAAATACACCTGTAGAAATCCAAACATATTATTTTATATATTCACTTATTGGCACACAGTAAGACCATTATACATCAAAAGAGGGGAATAAACAAATTGATATGATTAATAACAGACACATGCCACCTTAATAAATGTATCTGCTGACAGTTTATCTAACTATGGACTTTTGCCTAAATAAAGCATCATATTCAACTATCTACAATTTAAATGTAAATTCCTGGCATTCATGATTCTGATGGTTGATTTTATGTGTCAGGTTGACAAGGTGAGAGGCAGCCTAGACATCTGGTGAAGAATGTTTCTGGTGAGGGTGTTTCTGGGTGAGTTTAACACCTGCATCACGTTACTGAGCAAAGCAGATTGCCCTCCCTAATGCAGGTGGGCCTTGTCCAATAGAATGAAGGCTGAATACAACAAAGAGACTGGTAATTCCCCTTGCCTGACCGCTTCTGAACTGGGACATTGTTTTTTGTTTTTCTTTTTGTTTTCCTGGCCTTCAGACATGAACTGAAATATCAGCTCTTCCTGGGTCTTGAGCCTGCTGCCTTTACAACTGGAACCACACCAGCACAGGCTCTTCTGGTCTCCACTTTGCCAACTGCAGATCTTGGGACTTGCCAGCCTCCATACATGTGGGCCAATTCCTTATAATAAATCTTTGTGTGTGTGCACACACATATCATATTGGTTCTGTTTCTCTGGAGAACCCTAGTACAATAATTTTCCCACATTTGAGCATCTGTCTATCTTGGAACCTTCTCTGTTACTACTCTTTCAAAACAAATGCTCAATTAGCATCAACACATTATATTAGGTTGGTGCAAAATTGTGTATTTTGCCATTGTCAATTTTGCACCAACCTAATACCTTACCACTATCTCCTAAACAACTGAAAGTCCCTCCTGCAAACTGTCATCAGTACTGTCTTCTGTGCCTAGCATCCCATCCCACTTGCCTCTGCTCAGAGAAGGATTGTACCTTCTTTCCAGAAAGCCCAGCTCAAGGCTTGCTTTCTCAAAGGACTCACCCCAATCACCTAGCCTATACTGATACTATCATCTGTATCATTGACTTGACTCTTATGGTAAATACTGGTTATATACCAGGTTCTCAATAACACTGTCTCACTCCATGTCATCTGGTTATAACACCGATGAGAAAAATATGTCAATTTCTAGCCAGTGCCACTGTCTGTGTGGAGTTTGTACATTCTCCCCATGTCTGTGAGGGTTTTCTCCAGGTACCTTGGTTTCCTAACACATCCCAAAGATGTGCATGACAGGTTAATGGGATTCTCTCAAGTGTTCCATTGTAAGTGAGTGTGGGGCTATGTGAGTGCACTCTGCAGCGGAAAGGCGTCCTGTCCAGGGCGGTTCCCACCTGTGTCCTGAGCTGCCAATATAGGCTCTGACTACTTGTGATGCTAAGCAGGAATAAGCAGATTGGAAAAGGAATGAATACAAATTATAAAAATTCATAAAGTATACAATAATCATCCAAATGCACAATAAATAATGCTATACAGGCCAGGGAGAGTGGCTTACATCTGTAATCCCAGCAGTTTGGGAGGCCAAGGCGGGTAGATCACTTGAGGCCAGAAGTTTGAGATCAGCCTTACCAGCATGGCAAAATCCTGTCTCTATTAAAAATACAGAAATTAGCCAGGCGTGGTGGCACATGCCTGTAATTCTAGCTACACAGCAGGCTGAGGCATGAGAATCACTTAAACCCGGGAGGTGGAGGTTGCAGTGAGCTGAGATCGTGCCACTGCACTCCAGCCTGGGCAACACAGCAAGATTGTCTCAAAAAAACATAAAAAAAAATGTTGTATAAAAGTACTTGGGGAGCCTGCCATATTTGTAATTTTTTTCACTATATGAATATTCTTTCTATATTTAAAATATTTAATGCTTTTTTCCTATTAGTCCACAAATATCTTCATGAGGAATAAACGCAGTACTTTTAATAGTGTCATGTTTTAATTTTTAAAAATTGATACATAAAAATTTCACATAATTGTGGAGTACATGTAATATTTTGATGCATGTATACAATGTGTAATAATCAAATCAGGGTAATTGGGGCTTCCAACCCCTTACCCTTCTCAGTCTCTGGTAACCACCATTCTACTCTCTAACTCCATGAGATCAACTTTTTTAGCTCCAACATATGAGTAGAACCTGTAACATTTGTGATTCTGTGCCTGCCTTGTTTAATTTAACATAATGTCCTCCAGGCTCATCCATGTTGCTTCAAATGACAAAACTTCATTTTTTAATGGCAGAATAATATTCTTTTGTGTATACACTATATTTTACTTATCCATTCATCCATTGATGGACACTGGGTTGACTCCGTATCTTCACTATTGTAAATAGAACTGCAATAAATATGAGAGTGCAAATCTCTCTTCAATATACTTATTTCCTTTCTTTTGCAACATACCCAAATACCCAGCAGTGGGACTGCTGTATTATACAGTAGTTCTATTTTTAGTTTTAGAGGAACCTCTATATTGCCTTCCATAATGGCTACACTAATTTACATTCCCACCAACATTGACATGAGAGTTCTCCTTTCTCTGCATCCTTGCCAGTATCTGTTATAACTTTCTTTGGATAATAGCCACATTAACTGTGATGAAAAGTTATCTCACTGTGGTTTTGATCTGCACTTCTCTAATGATTGGTGATGTTGAGCATTTTTTTCGTACAGCTGCAGGCCATTTGAATGTCTGCTTTTGAGAAATGTTCACTTAGGTCACTGGCTCATTTTTCAATCAGATTTTTGTTATTGTTGTTGGGTTGTTTGAGTTCCTCATATATTCTAGCTATTAATCCCTACTTATCCAATGGATAGATTGCAAATAATTTCTCCCATTCTGTAGGTTGTCTCTTCACTTTCTTGATTGTCTCCTTTGCTGTGCAGCTTTTTAAAAAATCTGAATTGTCTATTTTTTGCTTTGGTTCCCACGTGTTTTCAATATTTTAACAAAAAATATTTGCCCAGACCAATGATGTACCAAATCAATTCTCCTACATTTTCTTTAAGCAGTTTCATAGTTTCAGTCTTAGATTTAAGTCTACATCATTTTTATTTGAGTTTTATATTTGGTGATGGGGGTCTAGTTTTATTATTCTGCATGCAGAGATCCAGTTTTCTTAACACTATTTTTTGAAGAGACTGTCATCTCCCTATCGTATGCTCTTGAAGCCTTTATCAAAAACGAGTTGACTATAAATATGTAGATTTATTAACAGGTTCTCTTCTGTTCCGTTGGTCTATGTGTCTGTTTTTATGCAGCACCATGCTGTTTTGCTTATTATAGCTTTGTAGCATATTGTCAAATCAGGTAGTGGGATGCCTCTAGCCTTGTTCTTTTTGCTAAGATTGCTCTGGTTATTCAGGATTTTCTGTGGTTCCATACGAATATCAGGATTGTTTTTCTATTTCTGTGAACAATGTCATTTGTATTTTGTTAGGGATTGCAATGAATCTATGGATTGCTTTAGGTAATACAGGTATTTTAAGAATATTATTTAATAATTCTTCTAATCCATACACATGTAATATCTTTTCATTTTTGGTGTTTTCAATTCCTTTCATTAGTGTTTTAGAGGTTTCACTGTAGAAAACTTTCATTTATTTAAATTTATCCCTAGGTATTTTTTTTTTTTTTTGGTAACTACTGTAAATGCGATAGCTTTCTTGATTTCATTTTCAGATTGTTTGCTGTTTAGGTATAGAAATGCTACCGACTTTTGTTATGTTGATATTGTACCCTGCATCATTATTGAAATTGATTACATGTTCTAATAGCTTTTTAATAGTTTTTAAGGTATTTCTAAATATAAGATCATGTCATCTGCAAACAAGGACAATCCGACTTCTTCCTTTCCAATTTGGAGACTTTTATTTTTTTTCTCTAGCTTGATTTCTCTGGCCATGACTTCCATTACTATGTTGAATGAAAGTGGTGAAAATGGGCTTCCTTGTCTTGTTCCAGATTTTAGAGGAAAAGCTTCAAATTATTCTGTTTGGTATGATGTTAGCTGTATGTCATATATTGCCTTTAAAATTCTGAGGTATGTCCAAGTTCATTGAGAGACTTTATCATGAGGAGATATTAAATTTTATCAAAAGCTTTTTCTGCACCTATAGAGATGATCATATGACTTTTGTCTTTTATACTATTGATGTAGTGTATCACATTCATCGATTTGCGTATGTTGAACCATCCATTTTCCCCTGGGATAAATCTCACTTGATCATGGTGTTTATTTATTTTTTTTTTTAAGAAAGAAAGGAAAGAAAAAAAGGAAAAAAAGAGTAAATGGATAACTTCAACATGCTTTACCTACCAAGAAATAAAAGCTTTTGTCTCTTTTACAAAACCTTGAAGGGAACTAAACACAGCAGACTAAGCAATAATGAACTTTCTGAAATCACTACATAGTAAAAACCTTCAGAAGCCCAGAAAAACCAAGGAATACTGGAATTAGAAAGACTATTTTTGAGAGCCATGTGACAGACCAAGCAGCCCACCCCACAAGGATCCCTTCAGCAAGCAAAGAACAAAGGAAAAAAGCTCTCACTTGACATGTTCTCAAAACAATTTGCCTGCTAAATGTTAAAGCTATCACCCTCATGTACAACAAAAACACTGTTCTTAGTACACAACAATAAAATGGGAAGCACTCAGACTGCATGCTCTCCGTCTTACTCTCCCAGAGGAAGACAAGAACAATCATCAGTGGCACATGGCAGGTGCAGTGAAGCAACACCAAGAGTCAGCTTCATGCTCAGGAGAGAACACTGTGCCTCCTCCTCATGGTTTCCAGTGCTCTACCCATTCAGAGAAACTTCTCTAGTAATGAACTATAGAAATGATCCCTGAAAGTATAGTCTTTGTAACTTTTTAATGTGCTGTTGGATTTACTATGTTAATATTTTGTTGGGGATTTTTACACTTATGTTCATCATGATGATGCCTGTAGTTGTCTTATTTGTTACATCCTTGTCTGGTTTTGGTATCAGGGTTATGCTTGTCTATTACAATGAGTTAGGAAGAATTCTCTCCTTTTCTAATTTTTGGAATAATTGTAGAAGAATCCATCTCAATTCTAATTTATAAATTTGGTAGAATTCAGTGGTAAAGCCATCTGATCCTGGGCTTTTCTTTGTTGGGAGGCTTTTTATTACTGATTCAATCTCATTGCTAATTATTGGTCTGCACAGGTTTTCTATTTCTTCCTCATTCTATCTTGGTTGATTATATGTGTCCAGGAATCTGTTGTTGTTAGTTGTTCCTAATAGTCTCTAATGATTCTATTTCTGTGGTATCAATTGTAATGTCTCCTTTTTGTTCTAATTTTTTTTGGGTCTTTTCTGTTTTTCTCTTGGTCTAGCTAAAGGTTTATCTATTTTATCTTTTCAGAAAACCAAAGTTTTCATTTTGTTAATCTCTTTTAGTCTCTATTTTTGTCTCCATTTCATTTAGTTCTGCTCTGATATTTATTATTTCTTCCCTTCTACTAATTTTTTATTTGGTTTGTTCTTGCTTTTCTTGGTTTCTTGAGGTACATCATTAGATTATTTGAAATCTTTCTACTTTTTGATGTAGGTATTTATTACTATAAACTTCCCTCTTAGAACTGCTTTTGTGAAATCCTATAGGTTTTGGTATGTTGTCTTTCCATTTTCATTTGTTTCCATTTTTTTATTTCCTTCTTCACTTCTTCATTAACTCAATTATCATTCAGGAGCATATTATTTAACTTCCATATTTTTTCCAGGTTCCAACATTTCTCTTGCTACTGATTTGTAGTTTATTCCATTGTGTTCTGATAAAATACTTGAAGTGATTTTGACTTTTTTATATTTATGGAAGTATGTTTTGTTGCCTAACATATAGTGTAACCTGGAGAAAATTCCACGTGCTGACGAGAAGAAGGTGTATTCTGCAGTTGTCGGATGAAAGGTTCTGTAACGTCTGCTAGGTCCATGTGGTCTGTAGGGTAGTTTAAGTCCAATATTTCTTTGTTGATTTTCTATCTAGGTTATCTATCTAATGCTGCAAGCAAGTTTGGTGTTGAAGTCCCCATCTGTTATTGTAACGGAGTCTATCTCTTCCATTAGCGCTAATGATATTTGCTTTATATATCTTGTGCACCAGTGTTAGGTGTGTGTGTGTGTGTGTGTGTGTGTGTGTGTTATTTATATCCTCTTGCTGAATTGATCCCTTTATAATTATGTACTGATCTTGTCTCTTTTTATGTTTTTTGACTTAAAGTTCTAGTTTGTCTAAGTATAGTAACTACTGAAGACTTTTGGTTTCTTTTTGCATAAATTATTTTTTCCCATCTCTTCACTTTCAATCTATATGTCTTTATAGGTGAGGTCAGTTTCTTGTGGGCAGAATATGGTTGGGTCTTGCTATATTATATATTTTTATCCATTCAGTGAGTCCATATCTTTTAACTGGGAGATTTAAACTGTTTATATGCAAGGTTATTAATAGGTGAGAACTTATTCCTGTCATTTTCTTCATTGTTTTTTGTTTGTTTTGTAAATCCTTTATTCATTTCTTCCTCTCTGATGTTTATCTTTGAGATTTGGTAGCTTTCTGTAGTAATAACATTTCATTCCTTTCGGTTTCTCATATACGTATCTGCTCTTTCAATAAGTTATATATTTTAGTGTGTTTTCACGGTGATGGAGAACATCCTTTCACTTCCAGATGTAGGTCTTTCTTAAGCATTTCTCATATAGTCAGTCTAGTGGTGACAAATCCCATCAGTTTTTGTTTGTCTAGGAAACACTTTATATCTCCTTACGTTCTGAAGGACACATTTGGTGAATATAGTATTCTTCACCAGGAGTCTTTTTCTTGCTTTCAGTACTTTGAATATATCACTCGATTTTCTCCTGACCTATATGGTTTCAGCTGAGAAATCTGCTGTTAATCTGATGGGAATTCTCTTACATGTGACTTGATGCTTTTCTCTTTCTATTGTTTAGAATTCTCTCTTTAACTTTTGACAGTTTAACTATAATGTGCCTCAAAGAGGAGACTTATGTGTTAAGTATATTCAGAAGTCTTTAAGCCTCCTATATTTGGATGTCTATATCTCTTTTAAGATTTAAGAAATTTTTATTATTTCAGGTTTAATAGGTTTTTCAATGCTTTTTTCTATCTCTTCTCCTCTGGCATTCACAATAGTTGAATGCTTGTTCACTTGATGGTGACCAATATGCCATTTAGGCTTTCTTTTTAAAATTATTTTTTTCATTCATTTATGTCTGACTGGGTTATTTCAAAAGACCTATCTTTAACTTTAGTCATTCTTTCTTCTGCTTGACCTAATCCACTGCTGAAGGTGTCAACTGTATTGTTATTTCATTCATTAAATTTTTCAGTGCCAGGAATCCTTTTTTACGATATGTCATTAATGTTTTTTTAATTGTGTGGTGGTAGGATGGTAACAGATGCTCATTATAACTTTGTTTGTAAATATGTATTCTTTGATTTAACCCACCAATACTACTACTACTACTGCCATCATTCACTGATTCACCAAAAATTGAATAAATAATTGTCTTACTTGTTTTTATTAATCTTTCTTACATTTACACATAGCTCACATTTGTTTCAATATTTAACATTAGAAGGTTTTTGGGTCTTTATTTTGAAGGTTGGTGATGTTTTCTTGACCAGAAATATCACATAGTAACTTAACTCATTTATATTAATTAGCCTATGGTAAAATTGGTTTTGATATACAATGTTTTTCTTAAAGTCATAGTTTCCCAGAACCTATCAATGACAATAAGTTAGGACTTCCTGTACCGTACTACCAGTTTTCTGTGTGTTAACGTTTTGTTTCTCAAATAAACTACAAATTCATGCACAACTCTTTGTTGCCCCTGGTCCCTGGATCTACTGTCTACCTACCTGTGTGTGTTTACTGATGATGATGACAAGAAAGCTATTTAGAGGTATCAGCAAATGTGAAGTTTGGCTTCTCACTTCTGCCATTTAAGTGTACAAAGGAAGTACTTCTGAACCTCAAAGAAGCACTGAGTGAAACAACAATGCTTTGACACTTAATCTCATCAATTTCTGTGGATAAATCTTCTCTAATGAAGCAATTACTTGATTGTAGTAAGATTTTCCATTGCCTCCATGCTCAAAGAAGTGAATGATATAGGCAGATAGTTCAAAAAAAAATTACACTTTTGTAGTCAAAATATCTTGTTAAACAGGATCATACCCAGAACCCCAAAAGATAAAACAGTTTTTAGTGCAGGTGCTCTGGTGGAAGCAGGAATGAGGTTATAATAACTCCCTCTCCTACCCACTCAGGGCACGGTACTGAGGAAAATACACATCAGTTTTACACAAAGTAGCTCTTGTTCCTTAATGGAGTCACAGATTCTTTTTCTTTTTGACTAACTTTCTTTACCTTATCATGTATCTTTTTCTGGAGGCTGGTCGATGGTTTAAAAAGCTTTTCCTATGCCCAAGAAACATCATATTGGATAAATACCTCTAGATACTTTGTTAATCTCCTGAGAATCTGAAACATCATCCATGTATCTCATGATGGGTTCTTTCCTATGGTTTTCCTATTAAGTTTTCGGCTTCCTACTCACATCCCATAACTTATGGGCCTTTATAACATTCACTGCTCATTTTTTTCTGGGAATCAGAAACCATGTGGACAATCAACAAAATCCTTTGTGTCAGTTACTAATGAGAAAAAGCTCTCCTGGGTCAGGCAGCTAAGATTTTATTAGTTTAAAACTAAACCAAATCTAAGATGCTCACAAAGTTGCTAGATTGGGTTGCTACTGAAAATATAAATCTGCTTGGTGCAGCTGGTTCCTTTCATTCAGGAAAATTATTTGCTGCAAGAATGTTAATGAAATTAGACCCTGCGATTCTATTATGTGCTACTGCCTTGCAAACCAATATTTCCGTTTTACTTTACTACTTCTGAAGATTGCCTTAGATTTGCCTCTGTTCTTTGTCACCTCATCTCCCTCCATTCCTCCCTTCTTTTAGCTTTCCTTCTCTCTCTCCTTTCTTTTCTTTATAGTCATAAGCCATTTTCTAGTCACAAATAATAATAGTTCCATTGACATTACTGGTAAGGTCACTACAATCCTCAGGTGGTTAAAGGCATGGTGTCCCTTAAATAAAACAACCATGACATCCCCTATTTTGCATTATTTCTCACTTTAGCACAGTTATCAACATAAATCATGTTTAACAGTGAGTGAGGTGTAAAGTGTTTGTAAAGAGAATTTTTTTGAAGTTTCCCTAATGCTCTCATGAAATCCTTCTTAAGGTCATGGAAGATGCAGAAAAGCAAATTAAGAACCTCATTCATGGTTTCTTCATTCTCAAGAATATATTGCTATTAACTGTAAGAATACAAATTCACTGATTCCACTGAATTACACTCAATTATACTGGGTCAGTAAGCTTAAAGCAAACCAGAAGCTTAATCTGAATCATTTTCACAAGACCTCCATTAGCTATAGCAATCATTCATGTAAGAAACCATTACTACACCCTGTCACCTACAAAACCTGGCACACTGAGACAAGCTTCCTGCAATCCACCCATCCCCCGTCCCCCAGGCCCCACCATCATGTATACACAGAGAACTGGGCTGACATTAACACAGAGTCTATCCTTGAAGAAAAAAACAACTTTTAAAAAGGCAGCATGAATGGAGAAGGCACTTCTCTGTCTCAGTGATCAGTGTAGACTGTCTACATGTATACCTCCTCTGTTTAAGCCTGAAGGACAGAAGGCTAAGAGCTTCATCTCCATGAATCAATGCCAATCAGCATTGCCATCCTTTTGGGAAGAACTCCTGAATCATAAAAATAACCCATTTGAGGCTTTTAACCCTAAAAGATTTTGGCTGAATATTGAATAATTTTTATATTCATATTTTTAATATTTGTAAGTAGTTATCACTCAAAAATACTATCATTGAAACCATTTAGTACACAGCAATCTATTTATGACATTATCCAAAGTAAGTCAACATAGTCTCTTCTTATTAAGAGAATATAACCTAAAATAAACTAGCTACAGTGAAGGAACAGGAGAATCAAACCACAGAACACACTTAGCGCACACACACAAACACACACGATTCTTCACACTGCAAAAATACAAAGACATTGGTGCATTTTGCATGACAGTTAGTGTTAGGATAGATGGAAAGAGTAAATGTTCAGAAAATATCAGGAGTGGTCAGGGTGCAGTGGCTCATGCCTGTAATCCCAGCACTTTGGGAGGCTGAGGCCAGTGAATCACACGAGGCCAGGAGTTCAAGACCAGCATGGCCAACATGGTGAAACTCTATCTCAACTAAAAATACAAAAATTAGCCAGGCGTGGTGGTGCATGCCTGTAATCCCAGCTACTTGGAAGGCTGAGGCATGAGACTCACTTGAACCCGGGAGGCGGAGGTTACAGTGAGCCGAAATCGTGCCATTGCACTCCAGCTTGGGCAACAGAGCAAGACTGTCTCAAAAGAATAAAAAGAAGAAGAAGGAAGAAAATGTCAGGCAAAAACATCATCCTGAGAAAAGAGAAAGCTTTGAAGAGCTTCACAAAAGAAGCGAGCAAAGGTGAGGCCCGTGAGAGGTGAAGTGAGGAGTATGAGAGCAGATGGTGGCCAGTGAATAATATAGGAATGGTTTTCCTATTCTGGAAACTTATAGAAAGTGTGAGGAAGTAAATCAATTCAACATTAAAAATGTTAACCAGAAGTTTTAAGAAAAATGTTAACCAAGAAGAATTGGCTATGCTAGAAAAACTGAAGTCAACAAGGGGACAGGAGGTTATCTAGCAGGATGAAGTGAATAAATCCCATATGCATAGTGGGTGGACAGGAATCCTGCAGCTTCTTGTTTGGAAGTAAGAACATACAGAAGTGCTTCTTATTATAAGTAAGAACATACAGAAGTGCTTCTTATTATGCTTACACGTCCTGCTCAAGGAGGCATGGCTAAATCTTAATTAGTGTTAAGAAATAAACATTAACATGCACTGTAAATAAAGCACTATGTTAAGATGAACCAAGATGGTGGTTTGGGGCTAATAATAGCAATATGGAAGCAAGGTGAGCATAAATTTCAGTGGAACCTGCAAGCCTCTGATATACTGCCCATGGTTTGGTACAGTAATGCCAGTTACTAGAAGTCATTTAGTTTTTCCTGTTACTTTGCCTGTAACTAGGAAATTAAAAAAAAAAAATTAGCCACACCCATCAACATTGCTGCTCTCTCAGGTTTGTGTCAGTGGTAATTAGGATAAATGTAATAGCCACAAAAACAAATATAGAGTGAATTTACAACTTACCTATGACCAACAAGTATTAATTGAATATGTATTAATAATAATAAGCAATATGTACTTAAATAAAGGTACTATATTCTCTAACCTTAGCAATAGTTATTTGCTCTATAGATGATTTTCCCCATTCTTATGTTGAACTTGATCTCCAATCTGACATTTTCTGGGGCCTAAATCTAACTTGTATCAAAAGCCCTTAGAAATCAAACAGATATTGTACATTAATGTTCATAGTAGCATTATTCAAAATAATCAAAAGGTAGAAGCAACCAAAATGCCCATCAACAGGTGAAAGAATAAACAAAATGTGGTATATCCATCCAATGGAATATGACTCAGCCACTAAAAGTAAGGAAATTTTAATATATGCTACCAACATGAATAGATCTTGAAAATATCATGCTTGTTGAAATAAGTCAGACACGTGGAAAACCATGGTATGATTCCACTTTTATGAGATACCCAGAATATGCATATTCACAGAGAAAGAAAATAGAATAAAAGTTGTCTGGGACTAGGTGGAGGGGAGGAGTGGAGGTTGTCGTTTTAAGTACAGGGCTTTAGTAAGGGATGATACCAATGTTTTGGATATAGATCGTGGTGACAGTTACACAATATTATGAATGCATTTAATGGCACTGAATTGTACATTTACAATGGTTAAACTGATAAATATTTTTATGTATACTTTATTACAATAAAAAATAAAAAATTTTAAAGCCCTTTTCATTTATTTTAATCAAAATTAGAAAGGGCCTAATTTTAAAACCATAAACTAATGAAAGGATTATGTTAATTTTACCAAAAACTTCAGATCATTGAAAGTATCTCTAAATCATTTGCATTTTCTTTTTTGTTTGTTTGGTTTTTTTTTGAGATAAGGTCTAGCTCAGAATTTGAAATGAACATGATAACAGATCCCCTAGGTCTGTCACCCAAGCTGGAGTGCAGTAGCATGATCACAGCTCACTGCAGCCTCAACCTCCCAGACTCAAGCGATCCTCCTGCCTTAGCATCCTGAGTAACTGGGAGGACAGGCACATGCCACTAAGCCTGGTTAATTTTTTTTTTTTTTTTTTTTTTGTAGACACAGGGTCTCACTATGTTGTCCAGGCTGGTCCTGAACTCCTGGACTCAAGTGATCCCCTGCCTCCCCTCTCAAAGTGCTGGGATTACAGGCATGAGCCACTGTGCCTGCTATCATTTACATTTTCAAATACATATTTGTTTGTGAAGATATCAAGAAAGAATGAAAAGTTTCTGTTTACTTAAAATTTCAAAATAAATCCATGAGGACTGTGAACAAAAGTGAATCATAATGCTGACTCTGAAAAAATGGTTTTAATCTTTAGTAGGTTTTTAAAATTAGATGTGATTTAATGGATATTAAATCTACTTACTTTTTATGAGTTTTCTAAACCAGATAAAATAGAAATGAAAGCACCTCCCAGGTTAATTTCACCATCAGCCCCAGCTGTGCCCTGGAGAGTCTAGGGGTCCCCATTCCCCATCCTTTATCCCTGTGAGAATAACAGAGATCGGTTTGCTGTAGGTTTGTCTCCACTCACCGCAGATCATGGACCTAGTGGAATGACAGGGAGCCTGCCAAGAAACATTCATGACTAATCTTCCCCCAGTCACTGATTCTCATGTCTGTTATACGTTAAGTATTCTGAAGCAAGAGCTTATGTTATTAATAATTTAAAAACAATTATAGATAATAAATGTTTCTCCACTTGCTCCCTTACTGGTGGCTTAGCCAGCTTCAACCCACTAACATCATCATAACCAAGTCAACTTTCCTCTGACTGTAAGAATAATTCTTCTAAAACAATATTTAAACACAACTGACCAAGGGTTTACATAAACTTTTACACTTGTTTCTCAAGAGATCTACTGTGGGCAGTAGAGAATTAAAGACAGATTTTTGGAGGACAGTTACAGCTCAAAAGCGCTGTGTCTAACTGACAGTCCCCATGTTGGGGTTACCAGCTGAATAAATTTTCCAGGGCTGCCATAAACAAGTACCTTAGACTGAGTGGCTTAAACAATAAGCACATTTTCTACAGTTATGGAGGCTGGAAGCTCAAGATCAAGACATTGGCAGGGTTACTTTCTACTGGGATCTGTCTCCTTGGCTTGCTGATGTGTTCTCCCTGTGTCCTCCCATGGTCTTCTCTCTGTACAATGCCTGTATCCTAATCTCCTCTTCTTACAAAGACACCATTCATAATGGATTATCACATTTTAAGTTAATTATCCTCTTAAAGACCCTATCCAAATATAGTCACAATCTATAATACTGGGGTTAGGACTTCAGCACATGAATCAGTGAGGAACACAAATTCAGTCCAAAACACCAACTCAGACCTCCATTATAAATGAGTGTCTATAAAGATATTTTCCAATTTTTAAAACATTTGCTAAATTTAGGCCATTTTAGTTCACAATTTTGCCCTGCACTTGCATATGGATGTTGAGTTACTCTAGCACCAGGTGCTATGGCTGAACCTCTCACAGACCATGACACCTTCATTCACCGGCCTTGGCTGGGGATGTGCATGTACTGTTCTCCATGTCAGGGCACAGGCTTCCAATCCTCACCAAAACAATGCTAGCTCATTCTGGCACCAAAAGGCAATGGGAAACACTGCCCAGGCAACAGCTGGCAATCACAGATTTGAATAAGTTCTACTGTGTTTCTCTGTATTGCTCTAAGAACGGACCAGAACCATACAGTACAAAATATTCCTAAGTGACCAGGTACATAAAAGTAAGGAATCTGCTTTTCTCTTTCCTGAGAAAATGAAACACATTTCAAAACCCTGTAAAAGGCTTTAATTTCTTGTATGCGTTAGTCTGAGCTAAGCTGCTTTAAATCCTGTTACGCACTACTGAGGACTTGAACTATAGGGGATCTGTTATCACATTCATTTCAAATTCTGATAACCTCTCCAGAATTTTTCTAAAATGTTTTTAGTCCATCTATTTGAGCATTGGGCCTTAGACAGCTCTCCTTTTATCTTCAAACTTCAAAGCATAATTTTGAGACAAAGGTTTACTTTTCTGAGGAATTCTGAAAGTTTTACACTGTCAGGGACAGTCAGTTGGAGTTTTTTGAAATGTATCCCGACTCTGAAATAACTCATTTGCATTAGGGTTTGTGTACATTCAAACTCTACAACTATTCTAGAGTCCACCTATCCCCTGGACACTACTTAAAGTTTACTCTTTAAATACTAATCATGAAAGAATGAATAAGACCTACTATTTCATAGCACAACAGGGTGACTATCATCAATAATAACTGAATTGTACATTTTAAAATGGATAAATGCTTGAGGGGATGGAAACTCCATTCTCCGAGATGTGGTTATTCTGCATTGCATGCCTGTATCAAAACATCTCATTTACCCCATATATACATATACATATATATATATTTACCCCATATATGTATATATTTATATACGTATCTACCAGTATATGTATATATTTATATACGTATCTACCAGTATATGTATATATTTATATACGTATCTACCAGTATATGTATATATTTATATACGTATCTACCAGTATATGTATATATTTATATACGTATCTACCAGTATATGTATATATTTACGTATCTACCAGTATATGTATATATTTATATACGTATCTACCAGTATATGTATATATTTATATACGTATATACCAGTATATGTATATATTTATATACGTATATACCAGTATATGTATATATTTATGTGTATATACAATTATATGTATATATTTATGTGTATATACTATTATATGTATATATTTATGTGTATATACTATTATATGTATATATTTATATGTGTATATACAATTATATGTATATATTTATATGTGTATATACAATTATATGTATATATTTATATGTGTATATACAATTATATGTATATATTTATATGTGTATATACAATTATATGTATATATTTATATGTGTATATACAATTATATGTATATATAATTATATGTATATATTTATATATGTATATACAATTATATGTATATATAATTATATGTATATATTTATATATGTATATATAATTATATGTATATACAATTATATGTATATAATTATATGTATATATAATTATATGTATATAATTATATATGTATATATATGTATATATTTATATATGTATATATAATTATATGTATATATTTATATATGTATATATAATTATATGTATATATTTATATATGTGTATATAATTTTATATGTATATATTTATATATGTGTATATAATTTTATATGTATATATTTATATGTGTGTATATAATTTTATGTGTATATATTTATATATGTGTATATAATTTTATATGTATATATTTATATTTACCCCATATATTTATATATTTTTATATATGTATATATATAATTATATATGTGTGTATATATATATTTACCCCACATATACATATATGGGGGTTTGTGTGTGTGTGTGTGTGTGTGTGTGTATATATATATATATATATATATATATATATGGGGCATATATATATGGGGCATATATGTATACTACCCACAAAAATTAAAAATTAAAAAAATTAAAAAATATTAATCACGAAGGTAGATTTTCTAAATATTTAATACAGCTGTACAGATTTTCAATTTTTAGTCCTGTAGCAATGAAGTAGCTACATCATAGCAGAAAGAACCCAGTTGGGAGTCAGGAAACACTTGGGATTGTATTGAGCTTTGTGTGACCTCTGAATACCATTTAACCTCTTTGAACCCAAGCTTCCTGACTTGGAAAATGAGGATACTGTTATCTCTCTTGCAATCATTACGAGGATTAGGTAAGAAAACGGATGTGGTGGTACCTTATAAACTCTAATGCCCTCAAGAAGGTGGTTGCATTTTTCTTGACTCTTTGGTGACTATGGTGGCTGATCAGCAGTCATCACTGCCCTTGCTTTGTTAGAAACACCAGGTGCTTCATAGCATGAGGCTGCTTCCTATCTTGACCTTATTTGGAGACTATTATGTAAAGAATACTAAAACACATTGTTTTCCAGAACACACCATATTCTAACAAGTTACAGTTTCATTCATCAAGTGAACAGTATTTCAAGGCAAATTGATCAGCTACCGACCTTGATAACATCAATTTAGCATTATGGATGAAAATCTCAAATGTCTCTGGCTCTTTAGCATTAAATATTGAGTGGAAGTGGGGTTTTTATTGACAGCTTTGTTACTTTATTTTACTATGGCACGTTTTTATGTGACAGTAAAGCAGCTAAAGCAGCTAAACACACATTAAATAAGTGCTGAGATAACTTGATAATGACCTTTCACAGATTATTTTCTCAACGAAGGTTAGTGGCAAAGAAGACAGGCAAATATGTTGCAAGTAGAAAGTAGGACTGCTCCTAGTTCTGATTGAGACAGAACTAGGAGCAGTTACTTAAATGTTTAAAATCTTTCCTGGGCTTCTACAGTGTGCCAGGCAATAGCGCACAAGAGAAAAAAAGGTAAGATTTAGGTCTTACACAGAATGATGAGAAAGCCAGAGACAAAAAGCATAGTTCTAGCCTATGAGACAAATGCCTATATTGAAAGTGCCATGGCAGGACAGGGGCAGGGCAAAGACTCTGTCTGGTGAGTAAAACAGGCATTCCTGTTCCTTTATACCAACAGGCCCCAAACTTTTTGGCACCAGGGACCAGTGTTGTAGAAGACAATTTTCCCACTAACCAGGTTGGGGGGATAGCTTCGGGATGAAACTGTTCCCCCTCAGATCATCAGGCACTAGATTCTCCTAAGGAGCTTGCAACTTAGATCCCTCGCATGCACAGTTCATAATAGGGTTTGCACTCCCACGAAAATCTAATGGCCGCTGCTGATCTGACAGGAGGTGGAACTCAGGTGGTGATGCTCGCCCGCCTCTGGCTCACTTCCTGCTGTGCAGCCAGGTGTACCTGGTTGGCAGTCAGGGGGTTGGGGACCCCTACTTTATATGAAAGTACATGTGTTTGACAAGCAGAAAAGAGGAGGAAAAGGCATTTCTGAGAAAGTGAACAGCACTAAAAAGACATGGAAATAGGGAAGAGAATGCCAGAATCGTGGCGAATGCAGATAGTGCCAAATAGGAGCTATCAGGAGGGCCTGGTCAGGGCCCTGAGTCATGAATGTGAGGCCTCACAATCCTTGTAGAAGCTTCCTGACTTTCAATAAACCTCAGAGAAAGATACACCATCACACGCCACATAACAACATTTCCATCAACAACGAACCACATATATCACTGTCATCCCATAGGAGTATGCTGGAGCTGAAAACTTCCAGCCGCCTAGTGACATCCTAGCTGTCCTAACGTCATAGCACAACACACTACTGAGGTGTTTGTGGTGATGGTGCTGTAAAGAAATCTACTGCACTGCCAGTCATATAAAAGTCAAGCACATACAATCATGTACAGTACCTAATACTTGCTAATGATAATAGACAACTATGTTACTGGTTTATGGTTTTACTATAATATACTTTTTTAATACTTATTTTACAGCATTCTACTTATACTAAAAAAAAAAAAAGTTAACTGTGAAGCAGCCTCAGGCAGGACCTTCAGGAGGTAGACAGCAGAAGGCCTTGTTATTCTGGGAGATGACAGCTCCATGAGTGTTACTGCCCCCTGAAGACCTTCCAGTGGGAGAGGATGTGGAGGTGGGGCCAGTGCTATCAGTGATCCTGACCCAGAGTAGGCCTAGGCTAATGTGTGTTTGTGTTTTAGGTATCAAAAAAGTTTTAAAAGTAAAAAAAAAAAAAAAAAGTAAAAACTTAAAAACAGAAAACAGCTTATAGAATAAGAATATAAAAAAGAAAATATTTTGTACAGTTGTACAATGTGTTTGTATTTTAAGCTAAGTGTTATTACAAAAGAGCCAAACAATGAAAAATGCATTGAAACGTTTCTAAGGTACAAAAGTTTAAGGAAGCTAGGGTTAATTTATTATTAAAGACACAAATTTAAAAAAATAAATTTAATGTAACCTAAGTGTACAGTGTTTGTAAAGTCTACAGTGGTGTACAGTAATGTCCTAGGCCTTCATATTCACTCACCACTAGGTCCCTGACACCCAGAGCAACTTCTAGTCCTGCAAGCTCCATTCATGGTGGATGTCCTGTACAGGTGTGCCATTTTTATCTTCAATATCATATTTTTACTGTACCTTTTCTACGTTTCAATGTTTAGCTACACAAATACCATTGTGTTCCAAGAGTCTACAGCATTCAATACAGTAACATGCTCTACAATTTTGCAGCCTAGGAGCCTTGGCTATACCATATAGCCTGGGTGTGTAGCTGGCCTTGCTACCTCTGATTGGGTAAGTACACTCTATGATGTTCACAGAATGACCAAATCACCTAAAGATGCATTTCTCAGAATACAGCCCCATTGCTTAAGGATGCATGACTGCATATACTTCATACTCATATATATTTCAGTACTTTGTCCTGTCACATCACAGTCATTCCTCCGGGGCAAGTATGGGAGCCAGAGAACTTCAGTTGGAAGATCAGGTGGGAAAAGTATAGGGGTTGGGGTGGAGGGGAGACTGCCTCACACTTTAATTGATGTAAGTGGCTCCATGGAGGAAAAGATAATGATCATTCATTGTTGATTAGGCACTACTAATGCAGACTGAATCACATGGACTCAGTCTCCAAAATATCTGTTGAAAGCCCACACTAGGCTAGGTGCTGTGTGTGCATTCATAGACAGGCAGATATGGTTCCTGAAGATTTCAGGCTTCCAGTGTAGCAGGGATATTAGATGTTTAAAAAATAATAAGGGAATGCACGACTCCATTGTCCAGAGATTGCTTAGGGAAAGCCTCCCTGAGGAGGGGATATTTAAGTAGAGAGTGAAGGTGGGGTTGGTGGGCGGGGGGCAGAGAGGTAGGAGTAGTAGAAAACCAGCGGGAGAGGAGGTGTGATTCTACCTTCATGGTGCTTCATAAGCAGGAAGAGCACCTTGATCTCAAGAAAATGAAAGTGCTAAGGCTGAAGCTAAGAAAGCAGTGGGGAAAAACAAGGGGAACTGATGGAGAGGGGGCCAAAGCCAGATGATAGGGGAATGTGCGCCAACCACTCATTTCCATTCCCAGAGTGCCTTCGATGGCTCAACTCAGGCACAGTAAGCAAGCCAGACAAAAGCCCTGCCAGGCCAGCTCATGCTCCAGTGGAGGGAGACAGATCAACACATGAAATCTCAGCATGTAGCATGCCTGGCTGTGAGAAGAATTATGGAGAAACGGGAAGCAGGCAACGGGGAGGAGGATAGGGGAGCTGTGTGTTAAGGAGTCTCTCACTGTCCATTTTTGCTTAGAAATGGTAGGACTGAATGTGCATTTATAAAAGACCTCTGATGGCTGGACACAGTGGCTCAAACCTGTGATCCCAGTGCTTTCAGAGGCCGAGGTGGGAGGACTGTTTGAGCCCAGGAGTTCAAGACCAGCCTGGGCAACATAGTGAGGCCCAGTCCCTACAAAAATTTTAAAAATTAGCCAGGCGTGGTGGCATGTGCCTGTAGTCCTAGCTACCTGGGAGGCTGAGGCGGGAGGATCACTTGAGCCCAGGAGGTTGAGGCGCAGTGAGCTGTGATCACCACTGCACTCCAGCCTGGGTGACAGAGCAAGACCCTGTCTCTAAAAATACTAAAAATAAAAAAAAAGATATCTGGCTGTAGGGTAGAGCAACTCTAGGGGGCAGCAGAGTGAACATGGGTGCAATAAGGAGCCATAGTAGTGGCTGAGGCTAGGCAAGCAGCATTGCAGAGAAACCTCCGAAACACCAAGACACCTAGGAAAGAGAGTACATGAGATTTATGATTGATGTGGTGCAGAGGTGAGGTAGTAGAAAGACTCAAGGGCAATTCAGGTTTCTGGCCAAAATGAGTGGGCAGCTTGAAGTACTGATTCAGGTAAGAGACACTGGTAGAAAAAAATATTTTGTGGGGCTGCGAAGACAGGCACGGCCAAGGGGGAGGAGTAAGACGCTCAGGGGCATTATAGAGCAGAGGAGTTGGAGATATCCAGGGAATCCATGTGGGGTGTCCAGGAGCCAGCATGCCCAGAGGCAGGAGCGAGAGCTGGGCTGAAGACACAGCCCTGGAGATGTGGGCATCTGGGAGGGATCAACCCAGGGCGGGACAAGGTGGCCCCTCACCCTCAGTCCTTTTCAGGCAGAAAGAGGAAGTGTGTCCCAAGTCACTTCACTGGAAATGCCAGTGCAGCCTGTTCCCCAGCCTCCAAGCACCATCCCAGCCTTCTCCTGTGTCCGCTCCACACTTCTGCCAGCGGACTGCAAGGTGACGAGGGAACACTTAGCACAACACAAAATGCCAGTGCCTGGGCTTTTCCAGTCTCATTTTTCGACTTTGTATTTCATTTCTTCTATTATATTAAAAACGATGTCGTTTCCTGAGAATAAACTCCTGGAAAAAAATATGTAATGCAAATACATATTATGAGCTCTGCACGATCTTTGGGAAAAGAAGGTTTAATTTCAACGAGTATTTTTCATTTGGACTAATAAATATGTCATGTAACACGTTAACCATTTGTCTCAAATAAAACACCTTAGATTCATAATCTGCCCAAAAGAGATGTTTAGCTTAGATCTGCGTTTCAAAAAATGTTTCCAAAGGTATCCAACCAATGAACCTATCGGTAAGAATTACAAATTGCCAACTATTGTAATTTCTGCCTCCCAAATCCCAAATAGTTTTATGTACATAGAAACCCATATTGTTGATGTCTTTGGAAGTCAATCTTAGAAACTCCAGGATTCTATCCTAGAAGGGAATGCTTCTGTGTTTTTTATATACTTAGACAGGGTCAGACAAAGGTGGCCAGAACAAAGGACTCTACAGTGGCGGGTCAGTGATTTCCTCAGTTGGCTGGACATAGATCATCTGCAGAAATCATCTCTCTGCCCTCCCTTTTGTTTTCAGACACTTTGGCAACAGCTATAGCTTCAATATAGCCAGGAATGAAATTAAAGACCCAGCTTATAGATAAGGTCACCCAGGCAACATTCAATTTTCTTTGCCACGGGCCTATGGCTCAGTGAAAATACAGGTGGGGAGCCCAGAGCTAAGTTCTGTCAGCTCCATGGTGAAGCACTGTTTTTTAAAGGTCGCTACACGCAATTCTGAGGGTGGAAAGAAATGTCTGAGTTTTCAAAAAAAAATCATATAACATTATTGGAATTTATATGAAAGAATACTCTGTCACGTGCTCACAGACCCTTCATAATGTTTCATATCCTAACCTTAATATTATGATATAAACCTTTTTAAGAATTAAAGCTGAGACTGATCATTATGTAGTAAGAGCCACGTATAATATTGATAAAGTATAGAATAAGAGTTATGATTTCACAGTACTACAAAGAAATTCTTTATAAAAGAAAAAGTTATATGCCAAGCTAACGTGTCAAACAGAGAAAGTGTTACCAACATTCGCCTCGTAAGTTAGCATGGCAGGCTCACCAAGAGCTTACTTGCAGACAAAATAATTAACGTGACCACTTCACTAAGTCTAGATATCCTTTGGGCCACGAGGCATATTTAATGGTCAAATTGAGTCCATTTAGTGGTCAAATAGAGTCCCGTTTTATAATTTAAAATAAACTGTTTACAGCAACATGCAAACAAAATAGAAAAACAATGGAGATGGTCAGCTGGTTTTCCATTCTAGTTCTTAGTAGAGTTACAGCTAAATGACCCTGGCAGATAAATATCTCTCGGTGTTGAATAACCCTGTCAGCTTATATCTGTATGTTCTATACGACTAGTCACCTCACTTGGTTCATGTCAGTTTTATCTGGCTCTGTCTTGAAGTGAAAGATTCTTACTGTCCAATCCCATCCTTAAATCAACCCTAAGCCAGAGCTATTGGGCAGACTCACAGAGGCTGGCTTTGTAGTGAGGCTAAAAGCAAAGTGCGCTGAGAGGAGCAGGCACCAGTTATCAGAGGGTGTTGGTAACAGTGGCCTTGCCAGGCACTTCTGTAAACAGACGCACTGCAAAACTGCACAAGTCGTTTCCTTACTCCCAGCCTCAGTTTCCCAGTCAACAAGATTTGAGTTAGAGGAAATTATGAAGAAGTCAGTTTTTTTCTTTCAAGTATATTCTGTCCAGAACTGTGAGGAGTCTGAGACTTAATCAAGTTTCAAGCCTACGAGTTTGCCTGCCACTGTTTCATGGATGCTGGCAGAAGACAGGAGACTCCTGGGCCAGAGACATAGAACTGTATTATGAACAACAAAGCAAAGCATGCACAAAGCAACATGAGCTTTGTGTTCTTGTTGTTTCCCCTTGCCCCCAAAGTCTCAAGGGAGAATACAGAGGAATCCAAGTTGATGCTACACATGAAGTCAGTTTGTATCACAGCTAAAGAGCCCTGAGTTAGGAAAACCAAATCTCTTATTATGGGCAGTAAGCAAACCTGCCTACCCTTTGCTCTCAAGAGAGACATTATCTTTCTTATGTTGGACAACTAGAAAGCTCATCCAGTGCTCCAGAGAGAGACACTATCTCTATATTCCAAGGCTGTTCCCTGGACCAGAACAAAGGCCATCGGTGCCTCTGCTTGCAAGGTGTGCACGTGTGAGGGACCTACGGTGAAGTGCATGCCAACATCCTCTAAACAACTCAGGAAGCTGGGTGCGGTCACTCACGCCTGTAATCCCAGCATTTTGGGAGGCCGAGGAAGGCAGATCACCTGAGGTCAGGAGTTTGAGACCAGCCTGGCCAACATGGCAAAACTCCGTCTCTACAAAAATACAAAAATTAGCTGGGCGTGGTGGCAGGTGCCTGTAATACCAGCTACTCAGGAGGCTGAGGCAGGAGAATTACTTGATCCCAGGAGGTGGAGGTTGCAGTGAGCCAAGATCACACCATTGCACTCCAGCCTGGGCAAAAAGGGCGAAACTCTGTCTCAAAACAAAACAAAACAAAAACAATTCAGGTATTATTAATTTATTTCATTATAACTGGAGCTAAGGTGAGATCCATGCTAAATATGAGGAATGGATTTACAATTGATCCCCATAGTTAAATCTTCTAATATCCATGTCACAATCAACCTTTTTTATTGTTAAAATCAAGCTTTAAAAAAAAAAAAAAACAGCAAGTTTCTTTGCAGATCTCAATTCTGACTGATAGTACTTAACAAACGAATACATTTACTCAAGAAAAGAAATAAATCTTACCCAATTTCTCAGTAGTCATTTGACTACAATTATTATATTCAACTCATATCAACCTTTATACTGGCCACTGTCAGTTGCTTACTCCGCATTCATTTTCCTCTCTTCCTTTCCAGTAGTTCCCCAAACCCTTGATTTTGTTCAGTGATTTAGTCTTCCACAGTTCGTGGCTCAGGGATGGCTCATTCCATCCCTAGACTCAAGGGTGAGGCTCTTTTTTTTTCATAAATAAAACTTTATCTTGTAGAATAGTTTTACGTTAACAGCAAAATTGCATGGCACGAAGCATATGAAGATTCCCCACAATCCCCTGCCCTCAAGCCTAGGCGTAGCCTCCCACATTATCAACACATCGTACCAACGAACAATCAGCACCACACAAAGTCCAGAATTGATATCAGGATTCACTCTTGGTGTGGTATATTCTATGGATTTTGGAAACTATATAATGGCATATATCCACTACTATAGTATCATACAGAATAATTTCACTACCTGAAAAAGTCCTCTATGATCTACCTATTTATCCCTGCCTCTCCCAGCTTCTGTCAAACACTGATATTTTTTACTGTATCCATAGTTTGGCCTTTTCCAGAATGTCATATATAGTCATGGGTTGCCTAATGACAGAGAAACGTTCTTTTTTTCATTTTTTATTTTTTATTTTTTTGAGACGGAGTCTCCCTCTGTCTCCCGGCTGGAATGCAATGGCGCGATCTTGGCTCACTGCAATCTCTGCCTCCCAGGTTCAAGATATTTTCCTGCCTCAGCCTCCTGAGTAGCTGGGATTAAAGGCACATGCCACCATGCCTGGCTAATTTTTGTATTTTTAGTAGAGACAGGGTTTCACCATGTTGGTCAGGCTGGTCTTGAACACCTGACCTCGTGATCCACCTGCCTCGGGCTCCCAAAGTGCTGGGATTACAAGTGTGAGCCACTGAGCCCAGCCAACAGAGATACATTCTAAGAAAAACATCTTTAGGTGATTTCATCATTGTGTGAACATCATAGAGTGCTCTTAGACAAATCTAGATGGGATAGCTTACTATACACGGAGAGTATATGTTGTAGTCCACTCCTCCTTGGCCACAGACATATACACCATGTTACTGTACTGAATACTGTAGGCAACTGTAACACAATGAGAGTATTTGTATATTTAAACATAGAAAAGGTAATGCATTAGCTATGAAATTACAGTGGCTACAATGTTACTAGGTGATTTTCAGCTCCGTTATAATCTTAAAGGACTACCATCTTATATGCAGACCTCATAGACTGAAAGACTGTTATGTGGAACCTTACCGTAGTTGAAATTATACAGTATGTAGCATTACCATATTGGCATCTTTCACTTCTTAATATACACTTAAGTTTCCTCTGTGTCTCTTCATGGCTTAATAGCTCATTTCTGAAAAATATTCAATTGTCTCAATGTACCATAGTTTATCCAGTCATCTACTGACCTCTAGGTTGCTTGTAAGTTTTAGAAATTATGAATAAAAAGCTGCTATAAACACTGGTGTGCAAGTTTTTGTGTTGACATAAGTCTGAAGTTCCTTTGGGTGAATGTCAAAGGACACAACTGCTGGATTGTACAGTAAGAGTAGGTTTGCTCTTGCAAGAAACTGCCCACCTGTTTTCCAAACAGGCTGCACCTATTTTTATATTTTCACCAGCAACAAATAAGAGTTCCTGTTGCTCCACATCCTCCCAGCATTTGATGTGTGGCAGTGTTCTGAATTTTGGCCATTCTAATAGGTGTGTGGTGCAAGGATGCATCTTCATCATTGCAAATCAGTGGTTTTCAATATCGGCATCACTGAGGAATTTGTTAAAAATGCAGATTCCTGATCCAACCCTAAACCAACTGAATGATAAACATGGGATAGAAGCCAGTCAGGATCTTTTCACAAGTCCTCCAGGTGATTCTGATATACACTGTCATTACTGAAGTACGTTAAAGTTTAAGAATAAGTGCACTAAGGCAATCAATCCATGAAAATCTGCTAGTTATTATCGGTCCTTAATTGACGTAAAAGATTGAAAGAAAAAAGTTACATTCTATGACTGGGGAACTATTCTTCTCTGCCCGTTAGATGTGAACACAGCATGTTTCCCCAGTTGCTTTTAAATGTCACCTTATCACCACAAAGAGAGCCAGCCTGGGGTTGAGGCCAATAGATCAGAGATTTGGAAAGAGCCCATGTCCCTGGGAAGATTACTGAGTCACTGAACAACAAACTGTAAAGGGTGCCTTACCTATGGATTTCCCATTAATGCGAGTTAATAAATTTCCTCATTGTTAGCCTATAGGGGCATTTATATTACTTGCAGCCCAAAACGTCCGGATTAAAACCATTTATTTGTGATGCTCCTGTCTGACCTAATATTTATGTTGACTTTCAGAACCTCTTCTCTACAACTGCTCTGGGAATCTCTGTAAGCTTTGCTTCATGTAAATGTGTGCACACACTGCACACCAATGGAGAACTTTAGAAACTAGAAAGCTGTGTCCAGGAGGGCAGGAGACTTGTTAGTTTTGCCTACTAACTGTATCCTCAAAGCCTAGGAGAATACCTCTCAGCAGATGCTCAAAAATATTAGACTAAATCAATAAATGAATAAACAAATGGGGCAAACCAAAATGAGCTGTGACTCAGTTGTGCCTACTCGGCTTTCATAGCAGCTGCCTTTTTAGCTGGTTTCCCTGTGGTCACATGCTGCCTGCCACATTCTCAGGCTCCACGTCAAGCAAAATGCAAAGGTGAGAATGGACCATTCTCCTCGCGCATCATTGAAGTGCAAAGGAACTGTCCCCAGAAGGCTCCTCAGCCCTGGAGTCTTCCCCTCAAGTCTTTTTTTTTTTTTACCAGAATCTCACTGACTAAATACTCTAAGTATAAAAATAAGTTCTAAAAAAAATTCAACAAAAATGTAGAAAAATATCTTCTAAAACAAGACTAGAAAGTAAGAAGCCATTAGGAAGAAACAATGGGTCATTTAGCAAACATAATTGCATATGTAGACATCTACCAAGATAAATTAATATATATTTGGACTGATTTATATTCCAATGATACATTTATTGTGTGTATTAATGAGTATGGGTAGCCCTAAAAGATATAATTGATAAATTTAACTACATAAAATGTGAAGATTTCTCTATAATAAACCACAAATAAAGTCAACAGCAAATGGTAGAATAAGAAAAATATTTTGAAAACATATGACAAATGGTAAATAACCCTACTATAGAAAGTATCCCTACAATTTAAAAAGGAAAAGATTAGAAAGCATCCTAAGGACAGAAATGGACAATTTGCTGAGGAAGAAATATACTGAATACATGCATGGAAAAGAGGAAATGCGAATTAAAACAAGAACATATAATTTAAAAACCAATAAATTGATTTTTTAAGTTTTAAAAGATCATTAATATTCAATGCTCGAAAGCATTTGAGGACCCTGACATTGTGACACCTTGCTGGTAGAGCATAACTTGATAGAGCCTTGTAGAAAGTAATCTGACAGCACCTACTAAAGTCTTAAATGCATATATCTTTGGCCCTGCAATTCTACCTTAAAACTGTAAACTTAACTTATAGAAATCGAAATAATTGTATACTATATATATTTATAGATATTTACTGAAATATTCCCTTTATTAATGAACAAAACCTGACTATCCATCAAGAGAGGAGGGGCTAAATAAATTAGGTCATCCATATTACAAAAGAATAAACAGCTGCTAATAAGAGTGGGTTATATATATTATATGTGGGTTATATATGTTTATATAACATGTATTGTACTAGACTCTAACAACTAGAGAGCTGTTCAGAAAATACTGGCAGATGTGAAATCAAGCTGATGAATAACATGTACAATATAATCCTATTTGTTAGAATTAGTAAGGAAGGGACTGAGGACATATATTGATATTTACACACCTAAATGAGCTTACATAGAGATGTTGAAGGATAAACACAAAAGGATTAACGATGATGATTTCTGGCAAAGGGACTGAAAGAGGAGGGAATCTGTTACCTTCTTCATCATATACTTCTATATTTTTTGCCTTCTTATATCACATCTATGACTTCAGTGATTTTCAAAGGCCATTAACAAGATATAAACATTAACAAGTAAAATGTTATTTATCATGAATTCATTACTCAAATTAGGAGCATTATAGCTGAGCTAAAGAATAGCAAAATAGCAATACATAATATTTAGCAGAAATATATTTTAATATGTATATTTTTTCAAATGTTAATGTATTTCTAAAAAGCCCTTTAGAAAGGGTTTCTTTTTTTTTTTTCTATTCCATGTTTCTCTCCTTTTTTTTTTTTTTTAATGTTTTTTTTTTTTTAATTATACTTTAAGTTTTAGGGTACATGTGCACATTGTGCAGGTTAGTTACATATGTATACATGTGCCATGCTGGTGCGCTGCACCCACTAAATCGTCATCTAGCATTAGGTATATCTCCCAATGCTATCCCTCCCCCCTCCCCCTACCCCACCACAGTCCCCAGAGTGTGATATTCCCCTTCCTGTGTCCATGTGATCTCATTGTTCAATTCCCACCTATGCGTGAGAATATGCGGTGTTTGGTTTTTTCTTCTTGCGATAGTTTACTGAGAATGATGGTTTCCAATTTCATCCATGTCCCTACAAAGGACATGAACTCATCATTTTTTATGGCTGCATAGTATTCCATGGTGTATATGTGCCACATTTTCTTAATCCAGTCTATCATTGTTGGACATTTGGGTTGGTTCCAAGTCTTTGCTGTTGTGAATAATGCCGCAATAAACATACGTGTGCATGTGTCTTTATAGCAGCATGATTTATAGTCCTTTGGGTATATACCCAGTAATGGGATGGCTGGGTCAAATGGTATTTCTAGTTCTAGATCCCTGAGGAATCGCCACACTGACTTCCACAATGGTTGAACTAGTTGACAGTCCCACCAACAGTGTAAAAGTGTTCCTATTTCTCCACATCCTCTCCAGCACCTGTTGTTTCCTGACTTTTTAATGATTGCCATTCTAACTGGTGTGAGATGATATCTCATAGTGGTTTTGATTTGCATTTCTCTGATGGCCAGTGATGATGAGCATTTTTTCATGTGTTTTTTGGCTGCATAAATGTCTTCTTTTGAGAAGTGTCTGTTCATGTCCTTCGCCCACTTTTTGATGGGGTTGTTTGTTTTTTTCTTGTAAATTTGTTTGAGTTCATTGTAGATTCTGGATATTAGCCCTTTGTCAGATGAGTAGGTTGCGAAAATTTTCTCCCATGTTGTAGGTTGCCTGTTCACTCTGATGGTAGTTTCTTTTGCTGTGCAGAAGCTCTTTAGTTTAATTAGATCCCATTTGTCAATTTTGGCTTTTGCTGCCATTGCTTTTGGTGTTTTGGACATGAAGTCCTTGCCCACGCCTATGTCCTGAATGGTAATGCCTAGGTTTTCTTCTAGGGTTTTTATGGTTTTAGGTCTAATGTTTAAATCTTTAATCCATCTTGAATTGATTTTTGTATAAGGTGTAAGGAAGGGATCCAGTTTCAGCTTTCTACATATGGCTAGCCAGTTTTCCCAGCACCATTTATTAAATAGGGAATCCTTTCCCCATTGCTTGTTTTTCTCAGGTTTCTCAAAGATCAGATAGTTGTAGGTATGCGGCGTTATTTCTGAGGGCTCTGTTCTGTTCCATTGATCTATATCTCTGTTTTGGTACCAGTACCATGCTGTTTTGGTTACTGTAGCCTTGTAGTATAGTTTGAAGTCAGGTAGTGTGATGCCTCCAGCTTTGTTCTTTTGGCTTAGGATTGACTTGGCGATGCGGGCTCTTTTTTGGTTCCATATGAACTTTAAAGTAGTTTTTTCCAATTCTGTGACGAAAGTCATTGGTAGCTTGATGGGGATGGCATTGAATCTGTAAATTACCTTGGGCAGTATGGCCATTTTCATGATATTGATTCTTCCTACCCATGAGCATGGAATGTTCTTCCATTTGTTTGTGTCCTCTTTTATTTCCTTGAGCAGTGGTTTGTAGTTCTCCTTGAAGAGGTCCTTCACATCCCTTGTAAGTTGGATTCCTAGGTATTTTATTCTCTTTGAAGCAATTGTGAATGGGAGTTCACTCATGATTTGGCTCTCTGTTTGTCTGTTGTTGGTGTATAAGAATGATTGTGATTTTTGTACATTGATTTTGTATCCTGAGACTTTGCTGAAGTTGCTTATCAGCTTAAGGAGATTTTGGGCTGAGACAATGGGGTTTTCTAGATAAACAATCATGTCGTCTGCAAACAGGGACAATTTGACTTCCTCTTTTCCTAATTGAATACCCTTTATTTCCTTCTCCTGCCTGATTGCCCTGGCCAGAACTTCCAACACTATGTTGAATAGGAGCGGTGAGAGAGGGCATCCCTGTCTTGTGCCAGTTTTCAAAGGGAATGCTTCCAGTTTTTGCCCATTCAGTATGATATTGGCTGTGGGTTTGTCATAGATAGCTCTTATTATTTTGAAATACGTCCCATCAATACCTAATTTATTGAGAGTTTTTAGCATGAAGGGTTGTTGAATTTTGTCAAAGGCTTTTTCTGCATCTATTGAGATAATCATGTGGTTTTTGTCTTTGGCTCTGTTTATATGCTGGATTACATTTATTGATTTGCGTATATTGAACCAGCCTTGCATCCCAGGGATGAAGCCCACTTGATCATGGTGGATGAGCTTTTTGATGTGCTGCTGGATTCGGTTTGCCAGTATTTTATTGAGGATTTTTGCATCAATGTTCATCAAGGATATTGGTCTAAAATTCTCTTTTTTGGTTGTGTCTCTGCCCGGCTTTGGTATCAGAATGATGCTGGCCTCATAAAATGAGTTAGGGAGGATTCCCTCTTTTTCTATTGATTGGAATAGTTTCAGAAGGAATGGTACCAGTTCCTCCTTGTACCTCTGGTAGAATTCGGCTGTGAATCCATCTGGTCCTGGACTCTTTTTGGTTGGTAAACTATTGATTATTGCCACAATTTCAGAGCCTGTTATTGGTCTATTCAGAGATTCAACTTCTTCCTGGTTTAGTCTTGGGAGAGTGTATGTGTCGAGGAATGTATCCATTTCTTCTAGATTTTCTAGTTTATTTGCATAGAGGTGTTTGTAGTATTCTCTGATGGTAGTTTGTATTTCTGTGGGATTGGTGGTGATATCCCCTTTATCATTTTTTATTGTGTCTATTTGATTCTTCTCTCTTTTTTTCTTTATTAGTCTTGCTAGCGGTCTATCAATTTTGTTGAACCTTTCAAAAAACAAGCTCCTGGATTCATTGATTTTTTGAAGGGTTTTTTGTGTCTCTATTTCCTTCAGTTCTGCTCTGATTTTAGTTATTTCTTGCCTTCTGCTAGCTTTTGAATGTGTTTGCTCTTGCTTTTCTAGTTCTTTTAATTGAGATGTTAGGGTGTCAATTTTGGATCTTTCCTGCTTTCTCTTGTAGGCATTTAGTGCTATAAATTTCCCTCTACACACTGCTTTGAATGTGTCCCAGAGATTCTGGTATGTGGTGTCTTTGTTCTCGTTGGTTTCAAAGAACATCTTTATTTCTGCCTTCATTTTGTTATGTACCCAGTAGTCATTCAGGAGCAGGTTGTTCAGTTTCCATGTAGTTGAGCGGCTTTGAGTGAGATTCTTAATCCTGAGTTCTAGTTTGATTGCACTGTGGTCTGAGAGATAGTTTGTTATAATTTCTGTTCTTTTACATTTGCTGAGGAGAGCTTTACTTCCAACTATGTGGTCAATTTTGGAATAGGTGTGGTGTGGTGCTGAAAAAAATGTATATTCCGTTGATTTGGGGTGGAGAGTTCTGTAGATGTCTATTAGGTCCGCTTGGTGCAGAGCTGAGTTCAATTCCTGGGTATCCTTGTTGACTTTCTGTCTCGTTGATCTGTCTAATGTTGACAGTGGGGTGTTAAAGTCTCCCATTATTAATGTGTGGGAGTCTAAGTCTCTTTGTAGGTCACTGAGGACTTGCTTTATGAATCTGGGTGCTCCTGTATTGGGTGCATAAATATTTAGGATAGTTAGCTCCTCTTGTTGAATTGATCCCTTTACCATTATGTAATGGCCTTCTTTGTCTCTCTTGATCTTTGTTGGTTTAAAGTCTGTTTTATCAGAGACTAGGATTGCAACCCCTGCCTTTTTTTGTTTTCCATTTGCTTGGTAGATCTTCCTCCATCCTTTTATTTTGAGCCTATGTGTGTCTCTGCACGTGAGATGGGTTTCCTGAATACAGCACACTGATGGGTCTTGACTCTTTATCCAACTTGCCAGTCTGTGTCTTTTAATTGCAGAATTTAGTCCATTTATATTTAAAGTTAATATTGTTATGTGTGAATTTGATCCTGTCATTATGATGTTAGCTGGTGATTTTGCTCATTAGTTGATGCAGTTTCTTCCTAGTCTCAATGGTCTTTACATTTTGGCATGATTTCGCAGCGGCTGGTACCAGTTGTTCCTTTCCATGTTTAGCGCTTCCTTCAGGAGCTCTTTTAGGGCAGGCCTGGTGGTGACAAAATCTCTCAGCATTTGCTTGTCTGTAAAGTATTTTATTTCTTCTTCACTTATGAAGCTTAGTTTGGCTGGATATGAAATTCTGGGTTGAAAATTCTTTTCTTTAAGAATGTTGAATATTGGCCCCCACTCTCTTCTGGCTTGTAGGGTTTCTGCCGAGAGATCTGCTGTTAGTCTGATGGGCTTTCCTTTGAGGGTAACCCGACCTTTCTCTCTGGCTGCCCTTAACATTTTTTCCTTCATTTCAACTTTGGTGAATCTGACAATTATGTGTCTTGGAGTTGCTCTTCTCGAGGAGTATCTTTGTGGCGTTCTGTGTATTTCCTGAATCTGAACGTTGGCCTGCCTTGCTAGATTGGGGAAGTTCTCCTGGATAATATCCTGCAGAGTGTTTTCCAACTTGGTTCCATTCTCCACATCACTTTCAGGTACACCAATCAGACGTAGATTTGGTCTTTTCACATAGTCCCATATTTCTTGGAGGCTTTGCTCATTTCTTTTTATTCTTTTTTCTCTAAACTTCCCTTCTCGCTTCATTTCATTCATTTCATCTTGCATTGCTGATACCCTTTCTTCCAGTTGATCGCATCGGCTCCTGAGGCTTCTGCATTCTTCACGTAGTTCTCAAGCCTTGGTTTTCAGCTCCATCAGCTCCTTTAAGCACTTCTCTGTATTGGTTATTCTAGTTATACATTCTTCTAAATTTTTTTCAAAGTTTTCAACTTCTTTGCCTTTGGTTTGAATGTCCTCCCGTAGCTCAGAGTAATTTGATCGTCTGAAGCCTTCTTCTCTCAGCTCGTCAAAGTCATTCTCCATCCAGCTTTGTTCCGTTGCTGGTGAGGAACTGCGTTCCTTTGGAGGAGGAGAGGCGCTCTGCGTTTTAGAGTTTCCAGTTTTTCTGTTCTGTTTTTTCCCCATCTTTGTGGTTTTATCTACTTTTGGTCTTTGATGATGGTGATGTACAGATGGGTTTTCGGTGTGGATGTCCTTTCTGTTTGTTAGTTTTCCTTCTAACAGACAGGACCCTCAGCTGCAGGTCTGTTGGAATACCCTGCCGTGTGAGGTGTCAGTGTGCCCCTGCTGGGGGGTGCCTCCCAGTTAGGCTGCTCGGGGGTCAGGGGTCAGGGACCCACTTGAGGAGGCAGTCTGCCCGTTCTCAGATCTCCAGCTGCGTGCTGGGAGAACCACTGCTCTCTTCAAAGCTGTCAGACAGGGACATTTAAGTCTGCAGAGGTTACTGCTGTCTTTTTGTTTGTCTGTGCCCTGCCCCCAGAGGTGGAGCCTACAGAGGCAGGCAGGCCTCCTAGAGCTGTGGTGGGCTCCACCCAGTTCGAGCTTCCAGGCTGCTTTGTTTACCTCAGCAAGCCTGGGCAATGGTGGGCGCCCCTCCCCCAGCCTCGCTGCCGCCTTGCGGTTTGATCTCAGACTGCTGTGCTGGCAATCAGCGAGACTCCGTGGGCGTAGGACCCTCCGAGCCAGGTGTGGGATATAGTCTCGTGGTGCGCCGTTTTTTAAGCCGGTCTGAAAAGCGCAGTATTCGGGTGGGAGTGACCCGATTTTCCAGGTGCGCCCGTCACCCCTTTCTTTGACTCGGAAAGGGAACTCCCTGACCCCTTGCGCTTCCCAGGTGAGGCAATGCCTCGCCCTGCTTCGGCTCGCGCACGGTGCGCGCACCCACTGACCTGAGCCCACTGTCTGGCACTCCCTAGTGAGATGAACCCGGTACCTCAGATGGAAATGCAGAAATCACCCGTCTTCTGCGTCGCTCACGCTGGGAGCTGTAGACCGGAGCTGTTCCTATTCGGCCATCTTGGCTCCTCCTTCTAGAAAGGGTTTCAATGCTGACTATAAATATGTGTTTACAGTCACTTGTCCAGATGGATAAGAAGGAAATATTGCTATTTGGTCAATGGGAATATTTTACCTGAATAGTTACATTACTTATATTACTCATTCCACAATGGTAATAACATGGATGGAGGATCAGCAATTTTGGTATCAAACAGCTCTATTATCTTTTCTATTTTAATAACAGGTATAACTATACTTCCTAATAAAATTTCTTGTATTTATAATTTAAATTCCATTTATATGCGTTATTCATTTTTAAAGCATTCTATTCACTTGCAGTTTATTCTAATAGGTAATTACCAGTTATTTATATTCTTAAAATTAATTTATAAAAGTGTTACACAAAGGAACATGGCTAACCCTCATAAACTAAAATTTTGACATATTATCAATCTTTCATAATCTGTTGTTATGACTATACAAGTTTTAGCTCTCATTTATCTTACTTCTTATTTAGCTTTTAAAAGCACAAGCAGCATTATCCTTACAGATGAAGTTGGCAAGTCCTAACTGGAGGCCAGATGCCACTGAGTATGTCCCAGTGAGCCCACATTTCGTGTTAATGAGGACGAATAAACTGAGAGCTGGGTGAATAAGAAGAGAATGCATCTGGATGTGCTGAGAGGAGCATGGATAGAAGGAAGTACACAGGACATATGAGGTCAAGATAAAATCCACCTGCTTCCCAAAGCATGACAGTGGTTCCAGACATAACACATAACATACCTGGTAAGTCAAGAGTGACTGAACTTTTCCTAAAATGTTCAGAAGACAAAGGCTAAGACTGGCTTTGCCCGCTCTGAGGCCAGCGACACTGGATGCAAGGTAAGCCTGGCTCACAAGCAGCCCTATGGTGAACAATCTTACCTGTGTGCTTTAATTCCTTACATCCACACCACCAAGACCCCAGCCATCCAATCTCACTCAATAAGGGTTCACCTACCTTCCTGGGGTATGTGTGCAAATGAGCAAAAGAGAAACATGTCTCCCAGCGCACCTCAGCCTTCTAGCTCTAAGCAAACTGCCATCAAGCTTTGAGTCCTCTGGATAAACTTACAAGTGTTAGAGTGGGCTGGGTGAGGTGGCACATGCATGTAATCCTAGTACTTTGGGAGGCCAAGGCGGGTAGATCACCTGAGGTCAGGAGTTCACTACCAGCCTGATTAACATGGTGAAACCCCATCTCTGCTAAATACAAAAATATTAGCTGGGCGTGGTGGCGCGTGCCTGTAATCCGAGCTACTTGGGGGGCTGACACAGAAGAATCGCTTGTAACTGGGAGGCGGAGGTTGCAGTGAGCCGAGATCATGCCATTGCACATTGCACTCCAGCCTGGGTACACAAGAGCGAAACTCCGTCTCAAAAAAAAAAAAAAAAAAAAAGTGTTAGAGTGGGGGCAGAACCCTCCAAAAAGTTAAAAGTGTCAAAAACACTTATCATGTCACTAATAATTGCAACACATCCACAACCACAGCATAACAGTGTCTCATATGTAAATGAAGTATTTGCAGTTATTCTATTTTTTTGCCACCCTGCAGAACAGGGACCCTGGGTCACTATGCTATTTTCTATCCCGACCACACCTTAAGGAGGCAAAACAAAAAGTTTTCCCAGGTTCCAGTGAACATGTGATCATTTCTTTTTCTTGGCACTACCTTGAAGATACATACATATTTTTTGTTTTGCTTAAACTGCAACTTGTATATGTGTCAAATGCAACCCAATCCATTCAGCTTAAAAGTCCTATTGAAAGATTTCACCATAGGAGTGTGTTTCCCTTGTGGTAACAAAACATAATTTTGTATCAGCATTTAATAGTAAACCTACTTAGGATTCATTCGGGAGCCACCAGGTGACCAAAGTACTCTGCTAACAAGTTTTCCTGCATTAGCATATGTAATTTTCCCAGCAGCATTATGAAGACAATGCTGGTACTGTTTAAAACAAACAAACAAACAACAACAACAACAAAAAAACACTGACCAGAAGGATTAAGAAACTAGGAATAGCAAGGTTAACTCGTTTGTTGAGAGTTTTTAGCTATTTGTGCCAGAACCAACATTCACCCACCCAAGTCAGTCAGACTATAAAGTGAAAGAAGTTTCCCAGGGGAACACTGTTTCCTCTGAATGTTCACAAAGGCAGTCACAAAAGTATAAGCCTCTATGATAATTTAAAGCAGTCAATTATGCTCCAAGTCCTTTTAAAACACATACGTATGCAGTACATACAGATTATGCATAGGACCCCAGTGTAGTATAAATGCTAACATAAAGATCATAAAATATAACCTCTCCACATTATAAATGTGATAAAGAATTAAGGCATGTGCTCTAATAAAAAATTAATCATGTCATCATCAATAATTTTTTTTCTTACTAAATATATAAGAGATTTGGGGGAAATTAAGATGGCCTGGGGTCTCTTTAAGAATTGTTCAAAGCAGATTTAGTAGATGTCTTCCTTTCCTAGGAGATATTGCAGCAGGATGCAGAGGCATCCTCAAACATGTCAGGGGCTGCAGGACCACGCTCACAGCTGTAGCTGGTGCTCAGACAAGGCCTCATACTAACAACAATCATGTTTTTCCCATAGCAAACCCCCTCTGACAGCGACTGATGACCTGTCAGATCCCTAGAACAAGGAAGCTGGTCAAGCCCCTCACAGATAGACAGACAAAATACAGCCTGAAACGGTTCTGTGATTCTTCCCCATGTTAGATGGCTCATTAGAGGGACAGCAGGACTAGGCCACAGGCCCCCGACTGCAATCTCCAGCTCTTTCCCTTGATTTTCCTGGCCTCCTCAGTGTATTCAAAGCTACACAAGAAGCCACCTACAAAGATTTCAAAAACAAGCCTAGAGGAAGTTGAGGAGCACTGTTAGCACGCTCATTTTTCACAGCCAAAGGGCCTGCCTGACACCTTCCAGAGAGTCACAACACCTTAAGAGTCACTGGATAACTCTATGAACAACCACCTCCATCTGTCCACACTTTTTAGAGGAGCTTCTGAACCTCTCATGCAGAATTGCTCCAGCAGTTCTATTCTATACCCCTCTGCTGCTGCCTTAGGGTTCAAGCACAGGGAAAGTGCTGAATCCGTGTTTAAGGGCAGCAGAACTTGAGGTTTAGGTATTAATTACAGAATCTCTGGGGCCTAAACACCTGTAAGGAAGGGACTGAATATATTATAATAAAAAAGACACTGCATTGCTGATATGCCCCTGTCCTATGTACACGGTGACGTGACCCAAAGTATCTGACATCTGCAGCATAATAGGGAAGGTACTCCTCATGCCCTTTTAATGTTCATAATTTAAAAAGGTTTTTAATGGCTTCATGTATTGAAAATTCATTAAAACATGTTGCCCTGTGGCAGAACTGTTTTAGAATTAGAACACTTTTAATTTCTTCCCTGGTAAATAAACTTAAATCAAAAATAAATTATGCTCCACTCAATTAGGTCTTTGGCCTTTATGCCTTCCGAATAACAGCCATTGTTAGATTAGCTCCCACATGGCCCCAGGTACCTGAGGGTCAGCCCTGTAAGTCCAGATACTTATTGCAATGCCAGTGATAATTCTGTACAGAAAACACAAATACTACTATCTTTGATTTAAGAGAAAATACATCAGGTTTTGGCAGGGTTTAATTTCAGATTATTCCCATTTCAACCAGAATTATTTCCTTTTTTCCCACAGAAACAAACTAAAAATAATAAATAAATAGCAGCGAGGTCAGCCTTCGGTTGAATGCAGGCATGGTGCAGTTTGGGCTTCATGTAATGCCCCCTTGCCAAGGAACCTGTCACTACTCATTTCCAACATGAGAATCTCATTCAGATATATTTAAAACGAATCACTCCAGTGTTACCACTAGGCAAACACAGCGAATTAATATTTCAAAACCAATATGAACCTAAATCTAGTGACATTTAGACTGGACCGGGTATGACAGACAGGGTGTGCTACTACATAAGGCACACTGAGAGATATTCTCAGGGTATAAGATAAAAGAAAACACAACACCGTAAATTTGTATTTAGTACAAAATTCCCACAGTCGGGAATGTTGGGTCCTTACTGTGAAGGAACACTAATCCTTTGTTTATCCTCCATATGTATATATATGTTGCCTATATATTCCCTCCCTCCAATACCCCCAAATATATGTTTGTTTATGTATGTTATTTGTTCACAGAAGAACAAGGCAGGCATACAAGAAAGCTACACAAATACATCTGTTCAAGTGCAACAGTACGACTGTCATCACAAAAAAATAGGAGATTCACAAAACTGCATATCACAAATGGGATAAGCAGACACTGAACGTTTCACAGAACAAAGATTGAAAGGTGAAATGACTCCAAATAGTGGCAAGGTATGTCCAGTATCTTCTGCCACTGAAAATACTGCAGATATGATAGCTATTACTGCATGTTATCAAAGCATCTAAGTACAACAAAATACATTTTAATGTAATACATATTCCAAGTTTTTATTATAGTTATGTAAAAAGCTCTAACTAGGCAGATACTAGGCAGACAAATATATAGCTCTACGCAGACAGATATTAAAACTCACTCAATCATTTAAAAAAATGGAAGTTATAAAAACACTATCGCTTTTATAAAAAATCACATTTATAAAAATGTGTATACTTCTTACACATCACATTTATTAAAGACTTCTAATACATCACTCCTATTCCCAGCAAGCAGCAGGCTAGCTGTGGATGGGATGGCTCTGCCATTAGGACAGAACATTTCTAGGATAACTGATCATACTTGGACTCCTCAGGAACCCAGCAGTACATGCTTTACTAGTAAACATTTCCCTAAGTCATAAAGAAGGTGCATTTTTAAACTGAATGCCAAAGTCAGTGCTTATAGTCTCTAAGTAGTTCACAAAGAATTATATGAAACAAATATATACAATTCAATTATCAGCATAATTAAAAAGGTGCAATCGCACACGTGATGACATGGATAAACCTGGAGAACATTATGCTACGTGGAATAAGCCAGTCACAGAAAGACAAATACTGCATGATTCCACTTATAGGAGACACCTAAATAGTTAAATCCATAGAGACAAAAAGGAGACTGGTGGTTGCCAGGGTTATGGGGAAGGGGAGTGGAGAGTTAGTGTTTAGTGGATGCAGTGTTTCAGTTTGGGAAGATGTAAAGATTCTCAATGAAACTAGTATTTGATAGCACAATAGGGTGACAAGAGTCAATAATAATTGTACATTTAAAAATAACAAAGAGTGTAACTGGATTGTTTGTAACACAAAGGATAAATGCTTCAGGTGATGGATACCCCATTTACCCCGATGTGATTATTACATATTGCATGCCTGTATCAAAATATTTCGTGTACCTCATAAATATATACACCTACTATGTACCCACACACGAGAAACAGGTTCTGGAGATTGGCTGAATATACTTAACATGATTTAACTGTACACTTAAAACTCGTTAAGATGGTAAGTTTTGTTATGTGTATTTAAACATAGTAAAATAATAAAAAATATCATCTCCTACCTCTCTATTCTCTATCCCTTCTTCTATTTTTCTTCATAACATTTATCATTTATCTGACACTGTATTGTATACACATGTGTTGTGTGTAGGTATGTGAGTAATATATATATATTAGAGACAGGGTTTTACTCTGTCGATGATGGAGTGCAGTGGTGTGATTACAGCTCACTGCAATCTCCAACTCCTGGGCTCAAGTTATCCTCCTATCTCAGCCTTCCAAGTAGCTGGGACTACAGATGTATGCCACGGTGCCCAGCTAATTATTCTTCATTTAATTTTTTGTAGCAATGGAGTCTTGCTATGTTTCCCTGGCTGTCCTCAAACTCCTAGTATCAAGCAGTCCTCCTGCCTTGGCCACACGTGTGTGTGTGTGTGTGTGTGTGTGTGTATATATATATATATATATATATATATATATGTTGCCTATATACTCCCTTCCTCCAGTACCCCAAAATATATAAGTTCTGAAGACAGAAATCTTGTCACTCTACTGGCAGGGCTTGGAATAGTGCCCGGCAAATACGGATGCTCAATATGCATCTTATGGATAATTTTTTAAGGTGCAATCATTATTGTTTCAAATATTTTTAGGTATATTAATGCTAAAGGACACATTTTAATTAAGCTTTGCTTCACTCTCACCAATCTTAATTGTTTAGTCATTAGTTTATAATAATCCTTCGTTAGCTCCTGGGGCCAGTTATTGGCAAGTCACTTAACCACAGTTAATAACCAATAACCAGAATACATAAAAAGAAGTATCTCCAAATAAAACACATAAAAAAGCCCACTGTGAAAATTAATCTAACAACATCACCCATTTCTCTGTTTCAAGTAGCTACTATTCAATGGCTTATGATATACAGGCTGCACATAATTTGAGAATATAGGATACATTAGAAATCACAAACTAAATTGCATTTTGTTTAACTGGATGCTGAAGTAATTTTAACTCTCTGAAGTTACCCAACTATAGCTGAACTGCAAAGTTGGAAAACAACTGGATATGTATATAAAGCTTGAAGGTAGCTTGACTATAATCACTTTTTACAATAACCCATATTGACAGGGCATTTTATCACTTTGAAAAATGTCTTTACAGATAAAATCTACCCTGATCTTCAAAAACACCACTGATACAGTCAGGGCAGGTGTTGCTGCCCCAAATTAGAGATGAAGATGTGGAATCAGGGAAGCTATGTGATTGGATCAAGGTCTTGCATGGAGAGCTTGTGCATATATTTGGAAATAATTTTCAGAAGCATAAGAAGCAAGAGTTTTGGAAGTGTGTTACAATACAATCCTTGCAGAAATCCAACCAGGTAATGAGACTGTGTCTACAAGCCACACAGGAATGATGGGTAATAAATAGTGATCTTGCCATTTTAATACAAGAAGCTAAATACAGTTTCATGGGTGTCACCAAAAAATGATAGGACAGGTGTCACTGATGCAGCACAGAAACGAAAACACAGAGCTTGGCCAAAATAAACAGATTTAACAGATGAGAACATAATGCACAACTGCAAAGAATTCTATGAGCCCACAATAGAAATCATGGTTCTCAGATTTTAGATTTCCCAGATAAGCAATATTTCTAAAACATTGGGTAATGAGGTAGCCAGTGTCTAATTCTTCTGAATGAAAATATTAAAAGACAAAAATTTATTAAATGGTAGTTAACTCTGATTGACCACATGCTATATGTAAGAGTTTGTTCTAGGCAACTGATATTCAGTAGCTCATTAAGGCTCACAACAAAACAATGAAACACATATTATTATTATCATCACCTCTGTTTTATAGATAAGGCAACTCAGGCCCAGAGAGGGTTAGCAGTTTTTCTCTAGTCCTATGTCTAGTGCCAGGCAGAGCCAACACTAAAACTCAGGTAGCTGCTCCCAGAGCCTGTGTTCTCAACCGCTGACTCTGGCTCTAGCACCCAAAAGCACTATTATTTCAAGAACTGAAGTGATGTTTTAGCACAAAACCCAGGCAGGAAATCTCAGAGTGAGTCAGTCCTTCAAATTTATTTTACTTCACTGTAATAAAAACTTATACGTTCTCCCCCTTTGCTCGGATTTTTGGAAATGTAATAGCAGACCTTCACTGCCCAAAGAATAGTACTTGATAAGCATGATTATGGAGTATTTAGACAAGGATGAAATAAAAATGAAACTGAAAGGCTTTCAGGGTAGAAATATCCGGTGGATCATCTCATCAGAAAGCAAACAAGAAATGAATCATAGAATTTCATACTGAAGAGATCTTCAAGGTCAACCAGCTCAATCCTCTTCTGAATATAGAAATCAATTTCTACCATGTCAGGTTATGCTTGAACAAATCAGCCACAAGAAACTCACTCAGATCTTGTCGAGTTTACACAGGTGCCCTTTCCTCCCCATCCCCTTCTCAGTTCTTTCCACCATTCCTCATTAGTTAAGAAAGGTTCCACATCCTTTCCTATCCTGATTGCTCTCCCCATGGGCAAAATCTATTTTGTGCTGTCTCTCTTAAAAAGCAGGAACTAGAAATAAATGTGAGAATTATGAGAAGCCTAAACAGCACTGGTAGAGTAAGGCTATCACCTCCTTCAATATGGGCATTTTGCTTTCCTGATGCAACCTAAGATTATTTTAGGATTTTTTTTTTTTTTTTTTTGCAGGGGATGGTGAGGCACTAACATCACAGGGATAATTTATACAAGATGGATGATATTGTAGATTCATTTGCATTGAAGCCAAATCCTCAATCTCTTCTTCATACATATTGCTGCTAAATTGTATTACTCTAATTCCAAGCCAGTACTCTTGGCTTTTTTGAACCATACAGGAAGGATTTAGATTTATTCCTATTACTTATCACCCTGTTAGATTCATCAACCATTTGCCCCTGGCCAAGGATGTTTTCCACTTATTGCTGCAGAATGCTTCTAGTCTCTCCCATGTTTATGAAATCCATGATTTGCTCTTTAGGTACTCTAAATGCTCACAAACCATCTGAATAATACTTTGGGACTGATACCAAACTTTCAGTCTATAATTTACAGCACACGTTTCCCTTTAACTTGCTCCTGCTTCCCAAAATTCCACACTGATCATAATCAGTGATTACTGATATTACCTGCAGATTTTCTCAAAACCCCAGGTCAAGAAAGGGTGAACCATATTTCTTCCTATAGCAAAAAGTCTCATTTGACTTCACTTTCCTCACCTTTCACTTTCCTCACCCACCTAACATGCCTTCCCCTCTTCTTTCTAACTTTGACCCTTTCACCTAACATATCTCTCTCCATTTTCTAAGGGTGACTCCATGCCAGCACAGGGCACAACCAGACCATGCATCACGAACAGTGCCAACTGCAGGCTGCAAACAGTTAAGAGGAAAGGGCGCATCGTCATTAGGCTTCCTGGTTTAGGTGAGGTTTCATACATTGAGGCACAGTGTGGGCCTACAAATATCAATTCAAAATTGGTTTTCATTTCTTAAAAATAACTGTCAATCTATTATTAAAAGGTAATTTGTCTCTTTGAGCATTATCCATTTACACATTATGCAGCAGCATCAAAAGGCTTCCTGAAAACACAGACACATGCATTATAATCAGTGGATATATATACAGCAATGTGTCAATAGCTGAGATGTACAGACACAAAACCAAAAGAAAAGGCAAAAATGTGTAAAAAAAAAAAAAAGAACAGGACTGGAAACATTATGTAGGTGGGGCTGCTAGTGACTAGAATTGAAACAGATCACAGTCTCTCTCCAGTCTAAACAATGAAATTCTAACCTGCTTTTGGAGAGAGAGAGAAACCATATATTGCCATGCCCAAAACAGGAATTCTTAACACTAAAGTGAAATAACACTAAACTTACTTCTTACAGAGTGAGCTTAGAAGTAGAAAGGAGCTCACACGGGCTTCACTTTCACCATCTGTATTATGGGGATCAAAGAACCTGCCCTGGAGAATTCATAAGGCAGTGGTAAAATAACAGATTTGAAAGCAATGCCTATCTTGTCAAATGATATAGGCAGTATTATCCATAGCTATTGTTTGCATTGCAACAAATGGTAAGATAAAACTTTTACAACAATGATGGAATTTATTCAACTAAATAGAGGAGATGACGAGGTTTAAAGAAGACAGGAAGAGAAAGGATTGGGAAATTCTCCTTTCTCCTTAGAGCCACCACTCAGGGCTGTGGGAATCACCAAATCAAAACAGCAGGTCTTATTCCAGGGACCAGACTGCCTGCACAAAGGTGCCACGAGGATACAGATGTGGGGTCTGAGAAACAGATGAAAGATGTACAAAACAGCAAAGTACACAGTCTACTAACCCAGGCCAGTCCCTGTACTCAATAGCATGTATCCCCAGAAGAAAAAAGTACCTGTTCCCTTTTCTAACAAAAGTCTTTTTTAAAATACAGAATTTTCCATGAGTATTGAACTTGTGGAAACAGTATAATACAAATTATGAAGAAAAAATTTAAAAACCAGCTACAATGGTTAAGGTTTAATAATTTCTCTTACTCCTACCAGATAGAATCTGACTATGCTAAGCATTTTTAAAACTTAAGAAAGAAATGAAACATTGATAAATGTATTCTTATCTAATGCTATCTGAATAATTAACTAACACCATAACAATTTATGGAATCTCCTCATCTCAGCACACAATTCAACACAGAAATTCCTCATTTACAAGACAAAAGAGCACTTAAATATCCCAATATACTGTTTCTCTCTGCTTCCTACCACAGAGTAGCCATACGGAAACAACACTACAATCTCTAATTGGGGAGCTTCATTCAGGTTTTGATTTTTGGAAGATTTTACACTTCTCTCTCCATTAACCCTACTTTTACTTAAGTTGCGGAATGGGTTTAGCACAATTAGAAATTTATAATCTAAGAAACTAAAGACTGCACCCAGCACACAAATCACTCTTGCTTATGATACAAACAGGCCCAAGTCATTCGCCAGCAGACCCTCCATTAAACACTCATCAATGAAAACACATCTTTAAGGCTATCTCTAAGATGGAATCTGTTATTCCAGAGCCCCTCCAGGCTGCTGGCACATTAACTATGAACATAAAACAAAGGGGCCCAAGTAAGAGAGTCTGACCTATTAGAGGACATCATTAGAGTAGACAGTTTCTGTAAACTTCACAGACAATTCCTATATGAACAATGTGGTACTCAGAGTAAGAAGTAAATTAACAATAGGAAAAAGGGTGGGGGCAGGCTGAGAAATACCAAGCCTGGAGGTTACTGGTCCCCAAGTTCACAAGCTGTTAGCTGACTATTCACAGGCTAAGGGCATTTTCTGTTCATATGCAGGTTTTGATAGAGCTAGGGGAAGCGTGCTAGGCATCTGATCAACCCCAGTGCTGCCAGTCAACACCAGGAAAGACAATGACAATTAATTGCAGGGTTCCTTATACTCACCAGCACACTTTGTTCTTGTCCTGAGAGCTGGACCAGGAGAGCCAGTGCCACCCTCCCCTGGCCTGGTCAGGAGCACACTAATCTCATATTCTGTATCTGGGTCAAGGTGTCCAATTTTATAGCTCGTGGAATCGACTGGCTGCCGGTCATTCCAGCTCCCACTGGCCGTGCAGTACTCCACCTCTCGGGCCACAATGGGCCCATCCCCATTGATGGAGTTGGCGTTGAGCTGTATCCACAGGTAGGTGGCTCCTACAGAGGCGAGCTGAGGTGGGGCAATAGGAACGGGTGGTTCTGAAAGACAAACCAGAAAGCTGTCTTTCAGATGCTTTGTCTTCAGTCTTAAAAGAGCTAAACATGCATCAATTATTAAAATGTAGAAGATAATAAAATTTCAGGAATAAATTGATGAGAAAAATTTTGTTTGGGTTAACAAGAAAAAGTATGTTGAAAAAGATTTTCATAGCATTCAAAGTTGTGAAATAAACCATCTTTAAACACATAAGCTTATTCAAGTAGGCATAACCCTAATTTGTTTTAGGACACCAACCACCGTGCATAGCATATGCAAATTAGCATATCTGATACTTTTTGTAATGGTGAATACAGAAAATATTCTCAAGACAAAAATGCATTAAAGTGATGCCTGTTTTAGGATACTAATTACAATATCTTGAATGAGTAAGCCCACTCATTACAGTGAGTCAGTTACACAGATATCAAAGGATTTTTTTTTTCCACTAAAGTTAACTGGTAAAAGTTCTCTCAAGTAGTAGTATTTAAGCTCTAGGAAGCATTCATTGTTAATCTCCTTATTGAGAATGTCTTCAAAATCATCAAAGGTATTAGTTCTTATATCATTAAATTGTTTCCTTATATTTATATTCCAAAGGTATCACCACTTTAAAAACATGCCTGAAATTACAGTTTATCTCATCAAAAATACATTTCCAGGATGACTCATTTTCCAAAATAACTATCACAATGGATTCATTTTGCTACAGGAGAATCGAGCATTCTGGATAATGAAGTCCACCACTGCTGCCATTCAGGGAACTTCCAGTAGTAAGTCTTACTAAAGCAGTGAATAGAAAGGAAAGCTCTGAAGCAAAAAACATACCATGCACAGCTTGATAAAACTAAGAAATCACTAGCAAACACACTTTACAACCCAAGAAAGTCCCTCTCTTTGTTTAAAATCTGAGACCGACTCTTTCCTATATCATTGTCAATCTTATCATAAATAGTACTCCCAGTATATTAGTTAGATGCCCGTTGAAAGGCTCTCTAGGCACCAAATGAAGGTATTCCACATGCCGATGCCACTGTGGGTGATACCACACATGATAAATGAGATCATTGTACAAAACAACGTATTTCTACCGGCATAAATCTCCCTCTCAGAAAAACATAAATCTAGTGATTTTTTTCAAGACTGTATCTATGGGTGGTTTGTGCCTTTTTGGCATGTTCTGTTTTTAACTCCTCATTTTGCTCATACAAATGCACGGAAAAATAAAATCCGCTATATCCTATTACTGGAATGCTGGCTTGCTTGCTGAAATTTCTGCTACCCTCTTGCATCCTCTTGCATGGCAGACATAGCTAATCGATCACAGCCATGTTCCCTGCTGCAGAGGACCTCAGAGAAGCTAGCACCACATGAGGTTTGCACCTGAGCTGATACCGGGTAAACTCCTAGACCAGCTAAAAACCAGCAACATTGGTTCCCTTTGTTGAGTTGGTTGTCTTAGTTCTTTTTTATATTCAAGGTGGGATAAGTCATACTGACTTTTTACAATTGCTGGGGAAATCTCACTCGACTAAGTCAAAATAAGACACAAAACTGTGAATGAATTTTCCTTCAGAGACTACAAACATAATGTAAATTTACTAAAATATTGTTCCTGTTGTTTATAAACTGAAACTTTGTGCTGGTTTTTCATTTCTTTAAACAGCTCTGCCTTAACTCACAATGATTTAACATCAATTCATATCATTAGGCGATTCCTTGAACCGAGACATGAAATGGGCCTTTTATGGTACATCCTAAGGCATTTATGTAGCCAGACTGAAAGAGCAGTTAATTACTTTCGAGTTGCAAATGCTAGCAAGGGTTGTTGAACTGCCATTCAAAATGAAACTCAGGGGCAAAGTCACAAAGGGTCATGAGTACACTCACTCATTTAAGACATTGTAACTAGTATCCTAAAATAGATGGGACTTTAATGCATTTGTTTCCTGAGAATGTTTTCTGTTTTAATTCTCCATTAAGAAAAGTACCAGATATGCTAAATCAAATGAAGTATTCAACTAGAACCTGGAAATAATTGGGACAGACATTCAAAAGGACTTTTGGTTTACAGAAGAATCAGCACAAGAATACGGCAACATTTAAATTTTCGTTTTTAGACAGAATCTTGCTCTGTCACCGAGGCTGCAGTGCAGTGGCACCATCGTGGCTCACTGCAGCCTCCGCCTCCCAGGTTCAAGTGATTCTCCAGCCCCAGCCTCCTGAGTAGCTGGGATTACAGGTGTGTGCCACCACAGCTGGTTAGTTTTTGTATTTCTACTAGAAATGGAGTTTCACCATGTTGGCCGGGCTGGTCTCGAACTCCTGACCTCAAGTGATCTGCCAGCCTCGGCCTCCCAAAGTGCTGGGATTATAGGCATGAGCCACCACGCCCGGCCAACATTTACATTTTCTTTTCTTTTTTTTTTTTTTTGAGATGGAGTCTTGCTCTGTCGCCCAGTGCAGTGTCGCCATCTTGGCTCACTGCAAGCTCTGTCTCCCAGGTTCACACCATTCTCCTGCCTCAGCCTTCCGAGTAGCTGGGACTACAGGCGCCCGCCACCATGCCCGGCTAATTTTGTATTTTTAGTAGAGACAGGGTTTCACCGTGTTAGCCAGGATGGTCTCAATCTCCTGACCTTGTGATCCACCCGCCTCAGCCTCCCAAAGTGCTGGGATTACAGGCATGAGCCACTGTGCCCGGCCACATTTGCATTTTCAACAAATTTTCCCAAAGGGAAAGGATGAAAGAGGTAAAGAAGGAAGGAAGGAGAAGGCAAGAATCTTAATCTGTACAAAGTGATAAAATGCAATTTAAAATATTTCTTAATTCAAGTGAAAGGACACCATAAAACTAATTCTAAATCAAGCCAGTAATGGCAGTATTTATACACACACAGACATATATCTAATGGATACGCACATGTAAATGCCTAATACATCAATAAATATGTCAGTATCATATTTAACTGTATGAAATATGTTTACATATGAAATATAGAAACGTAACTAAATAGGGTATTGATATATATATGCATATATACATGCATTGTGGAGATTATATGAAATATTTTTATGTCCTTGGTTATCAAAAGTGGCTAGACATGAATAAAGATGAGAGTGATGGTTAGTCAATTAAAGGACTTGGTCTTTATTTGGGAGGCTGGCCACAAATCAGTGTGTGACCTTAAAAGGTTAAAAACTCTATGGACTTTAGTTTCTCCCATTTGTAAAATTTAGCACTCCAAATATGATATGGTATATAAAAAAGTGTTAAATTATAGACAAGTGGCCTAAAAATGTTAGTGTATATTTTAAAGTAATTGCCTCAAGGTAATAACCTTATAAAACTAGTAGTATCTAGCATGTTATCTCATTAAAAAATATATCTATATACAAAATATGGCCATAAAATTATAATTGGAGAAAAAGTTAAATTTCATATTTGAGTCCTAACTGCATGCAAATTGTCATGAGCTGTGGCAGTGTGCGGAAATGGAAATAAGTCCCTGGTAATTTTTATCACAGTGAGCCAAGATACTACTACACTGCCATAAGACAGGAAAATGTGGTGCACAAATATGAATACGAATCTATTCATTCTTTCTATTTATGTTTGTTCAGGTAGACTAGAAATTTATAATTTACTTATAACTTCCAACAAATTAACTTTTCCACAAGGGAATTTTTAGAGATACTACTAGATTTGCATCCCACTAATCAATAACATGGGTAGTGGCAGGTCACAGTGAAGCAGTATAGCAACTGAAAGAAAAGGAAAAATAATCAAAAACAAATGAACCAAGATGAAAATTAAATAATGGTAGTAATAATGATGATGATAATGATGAACTCTAAAATGACAAAACAGTTTGTAGGCAAACTAGTGTCCTTTCTGTACATCATGATGTCTCACTTGCCAGAGCACTTTCAACAGGGTAGGGTGTGTACAGCAGGGAAGAATCTTAGTTTTGTTAGAGACTTTAAACCTAAATATTAGGCTGGTTCAAGTCTCATCACAAATAAAAACATGTTAAGAATCTGCTGTGACAAATACATTATCCGAGTAGATATCTTAATGTGCACTTCCTTACGCCGAACATCAGTCACTGCTGCAGACGATTCTCGAGGTGGCCTCACTGGGGTGCACTGTCCCCCATAAGCTACGTGTGACTAACTAACACTGGCAGTGGTGATCTCACAACAGAGCATATGGCTGACTCATTGGAGGTTTTATAACAGAGGCTGTGTCCCTGGATATTCTGACTCAATATGGGTGTGGCCAGACAGGGAGGAGACAATAGGTGGGCAGGTATTTACATTTTTAAAAAGTCAGAAAGGTAGTTCAGACATCCATTCCCCAGTGAAGACCACTGACAGACTGGACCAGAGAGAAGTTTATCCCTGTCCTCCTCTCCCTTCCCACCAAGGGCCTTTCAAGCACCCATTGCTCACTATGTATACTAAGTGTCCTATATATAATATACACTTTGCATTTGATCTTCCTCATGGCCCTGTAAGGTAGATAACATTATTATCTGATATCTACCTTACACACAAGGAAACAGCAGCACATACAGGGCAAGCCACTGGCCCATAGCCACATACCTAGTTCTGGGATTTGAATCCAGCAATCTTTAAAGCTGCCTATCTTGAGAAATGTGCAGATAAAAGCTATTGCTTTTATACCACATAAGAAACAGACAATTTTTGTCTAAGACACAGGGTCTCACTCTGTCCAGGTTGGCTGGAATGCAGGGGCACAATCATAGCTCACTGCAGCCTAGAACTCCTGGACTCAGGTAATCCTCCCACCTCAGCCTCCTGACTAGCTGGGAGTATAGGCACTGCCACCACACCTGGCTAGCTTTTTTTATTTTTACAAATTTTTGTAGAGGTGGAGTCTCAATATGTTGCCCAGGCTGGTCTGGAACTTCTGGCCTCAGCTTCTCAAAGTGCTGGGATTATATATGTAGAGAGATCAATTTTATGTGCCATATTTAACAAATGCAGGGAAAACTTTTCTTAAAGCAGTCCTCATTCTGTTCTCCTAGGAAAAACAGCAATGGCTTGCCACAGGTTGTCTAAAAATGCCTCATGGTACACCTCAAAGTCCAAATTATCCTGTCTGGGACCAAAAATTGTCTTGGTGGCTTAATGCTATAAATTCCTCAGCCTACAAAAAACCCATTAAACCGGCTAAAGGAAACTTATTTCCCCTTTCTATTTTCCCTCATCCCCCACCTTCTTAAATATAATGACTCAATTTTTCAGTCATGCAAAATATAGTAATAGAACCTAACTGGAACATTATGAATGTTAACACAGAATTATCAATATGGCTTGTGTGATATGACTGAGCATGTTTATACTGACACTGCTTCATTTTATTAACCACTCTGCTATCATAAACACGCTGGCTGATGAATATTTGCATTTTAAGTGATTTTTCATCAGTAAAAAATTTTATTCCTTAAAAAAAATTTATAAGTTGTAATCTCTGTATATAGAGTTGGCAGAAGACTTTGCCAAGAGCACATTCATTGTTTTTTGTGCAACTAAATCAACATAGATAAAACACATTTTTCAAAAATATTGTTCACGTGCAAAATTTGTACTTAAAATGCAATCCATCAAAATAGCCTGTCATCAAACCACTGCTCAGAAACAGACAAGGGTAAGTTTGAGCTTTAAAGGGATAATGAACTAACAACACCTAACATATCTACTTTAGAAGAATATTCTGGTATAAAAACACATTAAATACCTTTAACTACCAACTCTGCATAGTTTGATATTCCAACACCTCCTTCAGTGCGAATCATGCAGCGGTACTTTCCAGCATCTCGTTTGGTGGTATTCACAACATTAAATGAAGCAATGAAGCGTCGGGAGCTGGTCACCTTGATTTCCTTCAGAGGAGCATCTCGCACATCAATGCCCTGTATCAAGTGGGGTGGGGAGGACAAAAAGAAGCAATATAAGCTGTCAGAGCAAAACAGTCAGACACCCAATGGTATATTATCCATGCTGTTTTCATGCAGACCTTGGTGCAGTTGCTTATTACCCATGGGCAGTTGTACCAGGAGAATAGCTGAGCAGGAAACTAAAATTCTGCCATGATCAACACCTTAAAGACTGAGCGATGCAAAATTAAGTGTGAAGACATTTTTTGTTTTTGCCTCTTCAAAATATTATGTTAATTAGTGCAACAGGGGAGTAAAAATACAGAAAACTTGTTACCTTGTTTTCAAACTATCCACATTTGGTCTTATAGCACTTTCTCTTATTTGTATGCTTGACTAGGAAATAAAAGTAGCTCACCCACTATCCTATTACTGACCTCATTTTATAAATGAAGTAATAAACACTGTATTAAGAATAACATTCAACTATAAGTTAGGTTTTAGAGTACTCCCTATTGAACAGGACTAAAAGAATAGTTCAACCCTTTTGACGTTCTTCCTGGATATACAAAACCAAACAGAATTAGGTGCCTAGTAACTATTAAATGACATTCATACGTAACAAGAGAGGTTCCTCTCTACATCCCATATCCCCAGGACCACATAAACAAAGTTCCACAGCTGGGGCAGTTTGGTCTTTTATTATCCCCATATATGGTCTTTTATTATCCCCATATATTAAGTAACCCTTTTAGTTATGCACACTTGGAAATCCATTCTATGCTTCCAATAGTTTAAAGCCTCAAACCTCGTGGCTTCAAAAGCAGGTTAGAGATTTAAAGTCTCAAAAGCAGGTTAGAGATTTTAGTTCTCTCTCTTGTATGTGCTCTTGCTCTTGTGCTCTCTCTTCTCTCTCTCTTTCTCTCTCTCTCTATATATAATATATATACACACACATATATATAAAGTTTCTCACACCAACAGTCCCCCATAGACAAATACGAATATGGACAAATATCTAGCCCTGAAAGCGGAAACCTGTGTGTGTGTGTGTGTGTGTGTGTGTGTGTGTGTGTGTGTGTGTGTATTTTATAATCAGGAAAGAGGCTATCTTTAACATGTTATTTATAAGTATTAGTAAAAAACAATGGACAAAGACCTCAAGGCTAATACATGATCATTATGCCAAGCGTAATGCCCAAGCACTATGTCCGTTATTCACTCAGCAACCACTCTTGGCATCCCAACCAGGAGCTATCACTATGTCAAGATAGCATGATCACAATGGTACCCAAAAGAAAAGTGGTGGCTGGGCTTATGGGCCTGCAGTTGTTTGGGGTGTATAGGTTTAGAGTGAATACATAATCAGAAACGATGGCCAGGGTGGTTTAGGAAAGATGAGCTGGCTAGCAGAAACCCCATTGCAGACAAACTGCAGATATAGTGGCTGTGGGAGGCTAGTCTGAGGAAGTGACATGTGAGTTGAGATCTGAAGGGTAAACAGAAGCTAACCAGGCAAAGGGGAAGGGTGAGAGGGGAAGAGCATTCTAGTTATAGGAAACGCTACAGGAAGCTCAAGATGGTGAGAAAGAGATGAAGGCTTTGGATGAAGTTAAGGCAGCCAGTGGAGCTAGGGAGGTGGGCAAGCACCTGTGTGCTCAGGGACTTGCAGGCTATATTAAAATGTTTACATTCATAGCTATGAAAATGCTAGCCTACAAAGGAATCAAACTCATCTGTATTACCCAGTGATTTATACTATGCAAAGTCCTTTAAAAGCTTTTATCTGTGATATTTTCATTGGCCGAATCACCTAAGGGACACAAGTTTGGGAGTTAGCCTGACCAGTATGCCAAACCTATAGTGATCATCCAGAGTGGTTAACCTTCATAGAGCCTCACTTCCTAATCTGTAAAGAGGAGATGATACCACCCACTGTCAGGGCTGCTGGGAGAACCCACAGGCATACGCAAGGACACAGCCATAACAATTCCACCATGCAGCCCCGCCCAAGCGCCGGAACACCTGAGTGATGAATTCAAGGAGAAAGGCAGAGCGGCTATCAAAGTACCACCTTTATTACTGATAAACCTGAGACTGAGGAATATGACTTAAGAGTGCAGGAACAATGGGCTTGCTAATCCTGAAGCACAGAATAAACAGACTCACTAACCCAGTCCCAGGCCACCCTAGAAAACCACAAGGCCTCCCATATGTTCAGTGCTGCTGTAAAACTCACAGGATGGAGGGAGAGGGTTCCCATAGGCAGTCAGCTCCCCAAAGAAGGGGCTGGGCTAGGCATGCTCAGCCCTTCCTCCCAGGCAGCTTCAGCTTGGGCAGTGAGAAAGCAGACAGGAGTGCTGCAATAGTACAGTTCCTGCCACTTGGAAGGAAACATCACGAGTGGGGAAGAACAGTTCCATCAACATTATCTTTAGTATTATCTGTAAAACAGTCTTGTTTATACCACACAATGCCGTAAGTCAGAAAATAAAGTCCCACATAAGTCTGTGTGTGTTTTTTTCACTAAATGCCCTAAATTTGTTCTCATAGACAGCATCAAGAAGTTAAAAAATGAAACAAAACCAAATTTAGCATTAATAATACAACAGGAGAAAGGTTCCTCTCTGCTTTCCATAGATATTCAGTCTCTGATTCTCACCCCACCCCAGGAAATAAGCAAATTCTAGCCCTAAGGATAATCTTAGACATACTACTCCCTAGTCTTCTTTCCAAACTGAAAAAGAACCACATCTCTGGTTTTTGAAGGGAAAAGAAATTAAGCCATAAAGGCAGATTGCATATCTGTAAGTATTTGTTTGCTAACAACAACCAAAGAGGCCTTAGGGCTATCTATCCATTTATTTATCTATTTACTTGCGGCATGAATCCTGTAATAATATCCTTTTGTAATAATCTCCTAATATTTTTCCAAACAGAAGCATCTATCAAAAGAATGTTTATTCAAAAACAATTTCAAGTTTGCACTTACTGACCCCTCACAACTATTCAAGGCTATACTGAGGGCACTCAAGTAAAAGAAACCCTCCTTTTTGGATTTATGCATATGCTGAGAGGAGTATGACTCACAGTAGCACTGTCTTCATGCCACAGATGGGCCCTATAAAATAAACAGCCTCGGACTAGGAGCCCTGCGTGACTCTAGTGAGTCATATGAATGCTCAGGAATGAGCCTTTAATAAATTTTTAACTCCTGTACTTAATCACATGAAAAGTCAGCTTCAGCTTCAAGAGAAATAGTACATAGGGAGGAGAAACCAAGCAGCAATCGTTTTAGCTTAGAATCTACACAGGAATAGCAAATCACACATCTTACTCAAATCTGCAGGCCATTTTGTATTAAACCATTCATGTGTGCATGGATTCAGGCATTCGTTCAACCAATATTCAGTGACAGTCTTTTATGGGGCACACACTATATCATATAAGAGAGCATAAAATTAAAAGAACCATCATTTACCTAATTGAGCTTATTGTCTGGCTAGAAAAAAAAACAGACAAGGCAATAATTACAATACAGAGCAATGAACTGCCTCCCATAGCACAGAGGAGAAGACCTGACTGGATGTCTTAGTCTGTTTTCTGTTGCTTATAACAGAATATCTGAAACTAAAATTTATGAAGAAATTTATTTCTTTCAGTAATGGAGGCTAAGAAGCCCAGGTCAAATGGCCTCATCTGGTGAGGGCCTTCTTGCTGGTGGGGACTCTGCATATTCTCTTTTTTTTTTTGAGATGGAGTCTCACTTGGCTGCCCAGGCTGGAGTGCAGTGGCGCCATCTCTGCTCACTGCAAGCTCTGCCTCCCGGGTTCACGCCATTCTCCCTGCCTCTGCCTCCCAAATAGCTGGGACTACACGTGCCCGCCACCATGCCTGGATAATTTTTTTTTTTTTTTTTGTATTTTTAGTAGAGATGGGGTTTCACCGTGTTCACCAGGATGGTCTCAATCTCCTGACCTCATGATCTGCCCGCCTCAGCCTCCCAAAGTGCTGGGATTACAGGCGTGAGCCACCACGCCCGGCCGGGACTCTGCAGATTCCTGAGGCAGCATAGGGCATCACATGGTGAGGGGGCTGAGTGTGCTAGTTCAAGTCTCTCCTCTTCTCATAAAGCCACTGGTCCCTCTCCCATGATAACCCATTAATCCACTAATCCACACATGTATTAATCCATTAATGAGGGCTCTCCTATGATGACCCAATCACCTCTTAAAGGCCCCACCTCTCAATAATGACACTGGAGATTAAATACTGATTTAATACTGGTGATTAATATTTCAACATGAGTTTTGGAGGGGACAAATATTCAAACTATAGTCCTGGAGATGTTGTCAGTGCAAGCTTTCTAGGAAGCACTGCTTAAGCCCAGGCTTCAGGATGCACAGAAGTTTCTTAGGCAGGGAATAAAGAGGAAAAGTCTAGTGAATAAGAGAAGCTCTTCAGAGTCAGGAGCCAAGAGAGAGCACAGAACTATAGGGGAAATATAGGGTAGCTATGGGGGAACTTTAGGAGAACTATAAAAAAACTATAGGGAAAGTATAGGAGAACTCTAGGGGAACTCTAAGGGAAGTATAACTTATCCCATATGGCAAGAACAGAAGTGCTTCTTGGTATGGCAGGTAAAAAGGCTAGAAGGAAAAGCACAATACAGACTGCAACAAGAAGTATGACATGTTAAAGATTTCAGTGTATTCTGATGCTGGGAATGGAAGGACCTTAGGCAAAGAGGTAACACAAACACCTCTGTGTGTACAGTAATGGACTGGAGGAGATACGGTGTGAGTCCAACTGATGTCAAGGGAAACTGGGTAAATTGTTTTCAGAAATCATAGTAACAAATGACACAATGAGAGAAGACAGAAACAAAGGGACGGAACCTAAAGATATCTAGAAAATGAAATCAACACAACATGTACTCTACTGCAGTAACATCTTTCTCCTCTAGCAGTCCATAAGGTCCAGGGTCGTATCTTACTCATTTTGTGTACCCAGGTGCACAATAAATAGAACTCAAGAAATACTGGCTGACTCTAGGAATCACAGCCTCAGTGGAAAAAAATCTTCCAGGGGTAGAAGAGAAAAATGAGGTTCTACTAAATTAACAGGCTTAAACCCCAAACCCTAGACAAAGAATCCCTATTTACAATGGAGACGAACAGGGAAAGTAAAAGAATGTTTTAGAGGTTCTGTGTGTCGTCAGTCAGCAACATTGCCCCAACTCATCATGACTGTGGTAGGCAGAATAAGGGCCTCCAAAGATGTCTACATCCCAGTCCCCAGAATCTGGGACTATGTTACCTTACATGGCAAAAAGGAGTTTGCAGGTATGATTAAAATAAGGGTCTAGAGATGGAAAGATAGACTGGATTATCTGGGTTGGCCAAACGTAATCACAAGGTTCTATTTATGAGGAAGGCAGAAGGGTCAATGTGAAGGAAAGATAACAGAAGCAGAGGTTGTGCCGACGGGCTCTGAAGTGTGAGGAGGGGATCACGAGGCAAAATATGAGGGAGGTTTCTAGAATCTGGAAAAGGCAAGGACCAGATTCTTCCCAGAGCTTTTGGGAGGAACCAACCCTGCCGTCACCTTCTTTTAGGGCTTCTGACCTGCAAAACAGTAAGATGATGAAGCCACGAGGTTCGAATTTGTTACAGCAGCAATAGGATGCCAATGTGGTGATCATCTGAGAAACTAAAAGCCCTGTGGCTTTTTGAAGGTGTCCAGGGGTCGTGCATCTTGATTTGTCAGAGGTGCATAAGCAAGTCTTTAAGGTCATGTTGGGTCACCGAAGTAGAGTACCCCACTTTGGAATCATGAGCTAGAATAGCAGCCCAAAGACAGCAACCATGGAGGCACCCCATAAGATGAATGAAATGAGCAGAGGCCAGACCAGGAAGGCATGAAGAGACAGAAGAGCCACAGGGGCAGTGGGATAACAAAACAGAAGAAAGAAACAGGAAAACATGCCGTCTACACTGGAGAAGAGCGGGGGAATGACAGTGTGAAGACAGAAAATCAGAAAGGAGTGGGGAAAGCTGGGTGAGGCAACAGGAGAGGAAGCATGGGGAAGAAAGGACCAGGCAGGGCAAGGATGGGGAGAGGCACAGAAACGAAAGGCCAAATGACCCAACACGCAGAAAGATGTGATCCACGAGGGAAAAAGATACAAGCCTTCAATGACGTTATTAGTTTCCTTTGAAATCCTGACATGCACACATTCAGAGACCCCTCCTTGGTTCTTAAAGCAAAAAATGTGTCAGGTGCAAGAGCAACATCAGGCTCTCTATCAGCCCCATTCTAAGAAGACACGCGTAAGGCAGCAAATGCACTTTGGGACTAATGGAGGAGAAATGAGGGGATGTCCTCAAAGTACTGGGTGGGGAGGAGAAGGGAGGAGAGAGACCTCACCCTCCACTTTGTTAGTGTTGATGCAGTGCAGGAAATGGTACCCCAAAATATGGCACCTTGGCATACTAAGTATTTAAGCTGAAAGAAGCTGAGAAAACCACAACATCAGAAAGATCATGCAGACCATTCCCTCCCCGCCCCCCCACCAAGCAGGACACAGAAACTGAAATTCCACTTGCCCCTTTCTGCCCTGAGATGGGCTAGGAAACTCAGAGGTCACTCTCTGACTTCTCCCTCCATCCTCCCCTAAAGGCCTTCATGTGGCAGGTATCCTGCCCTGTATCTGGAGGGCAGGAATGTCACACAGGCCACAGAGAATCTGAACAAACAGGCCTTGTTCAGTGCACCCCGCTTATTACCATCAGATCCTGCCCTGTTGTCCCTCAATCACACTTCTACACGACTGTCCATAAAAACACAGTTTTCCCTGAGTATTCGGGTCTTCATTTTCTGAAGGCTCCTGTGCCATGTAAAACTTGTATTAAATATTTTTTTTTTTTTTTTTGAGACGGAGTCTTGCTCTGCCACCCAGGCTGGAATGCAGCAGCTCGATCTTGGCTCACTTCAACCTCCGCCTCCCAGGTTCAAGCAATTTTCCTGCCTCAGCCTCCCAGTTAGCTGGGACTACAGGTGCCTGCCACCACAACCAGCTAATTTTTGTATTTAGAGTAGACACAGGGTTTCACCATATTGGCCAGCCTGGTCTCGAAATCCTGAACTTGTAATTGCCCACCTTGGCCTCCTAAAGTGCTGGGATTACAGGTGTGAGCCATCGCACCCAGCCATATTAAATAATTTTTTATGTGTTTATCTTGTTAATCTGTCTTTTGTTATAGGGATTTCAGCCATAAACCTTGTGATGGGTGAGGAAAGGTATTACTTTTCTTCCTCCAGTGTCGAACCATATTTCTTGGAGCATGAGGAAATGAGGAAGCACAGTGTTCAGAGTCACTGGCAAAGCACCAGACAATGTCTCCTATGATAGCTCTGTGGACACAAGGAGAACAAGATGGGCTAACTGCCAGGAAGATCAGGTGGACTAGAAACATGCAAGCGACCAGAGTCGCAGCTGCTCGTTGGCACCAACGCTGACGTCTGTTTCTGGTGCCTTGGCACAAGGCTATTTCCTCATCCCTGACTTCTCCCAACAAGTTTATTCCTGCCTTTGATAGTCATAGATGTGCTTCTCAAATGAACAGGTGACAATATATGAGCACATAAATTAACAAAAAGGGATGGAAAAAGATATCTACAAAGCCAAACAATAAATTAAAACAAGATAAACATCAATAAAAATAAATGTGCATCTGATGCTTCCCTGTAAAATCAGACTTTGTTAAGTGGATAGAGTTCTGATTTAGCATCATCTTCATCATTAAAACATACATAACAATTGTGGAGCAGGTTTTTGTCTAAAATCCTAATTCAATTTTCAGTTGTATTAATGAAGTATCTGGAGAGATGGTCCCTCTTGTCCCTGTCCCAGCACACAGCATTCCATTTGGAGCCTCAGGCTTTCGGCAGAGCATAAGAGAAGCAGACTTGTTCAGAGGACTGTGGGCTAGACAGTGAATAAATCCCCTGGCCCACAGTTAGGGAACTGAAGAAGGGGAGGAGCTGGAGACCAGGCTAGTCATTAACGCAGCTGGCTGAGAATGAGGGGGAGAGGACAACCATCTTCCAGCATGAAAAGGACAGGCACGTAAAACAGGAATGGGATGTGAATGTCTGGGCCACAGGATACTAGTAAAAGTCACCAGTACTTACTTATTTGAAATCCTCGCAGTAAAATGTGGTTCAGAATTCAGATTTTTTATTTTATTTCATAAAGGCATCTGCACTGCATATTCTTTGACACCCCAAGGAAAGTCTGAGACAGCACCCCATAATTCCTAGGTTTTGACATTTCTGCATCCAAACCTAGGAATATTGACTTTAAGGAGGAAAAAACAGAAACCCTAAATAGCTTCACATCCATTCAGGTCAGGTTTGGTCACCAAATGAATTACAAAAATGGGGAGGTTTTGCTACCAAATTAGATATGGAAACTTTCTGATTATAGATTTTGGAGTACAGGCTAAGGTACTAAGAACGACCACCGAGAAGGCACACACCCAGTCCTCCCATCCTCAGGCACTCCCAGTCCCACTGTGCCATGGCCGCACCACTGTGCCGGCTGACTCAGCCCCACCATGTGGACTCCTGGCTGTTCTTTCCAGACCAGGCTTCCTCCTTCCTTGAGACCTCTTCCTCCTCCTAGAATGCTTCCCACCCATCCCCCAGAGCCAACTCCATCTCCTTCCAGGGACTGCTCAAATACTTCACTGAGGCCTAACCTGACGCCTAAATTCCAAACTGAAACATGCTCCTACTTGGCACCACCTAGCTGTTCCTTTATGAGTGCCACTGACCCCTTCCTAACATGCTGCATAATTCTCTTACTTACCATAGTTGCTCTCTATCTCCCCTACTAGAATACAAGTCCCATGAAGGCAGGGATCCTTGCCTGGTTTTTATTGCTCTAACTTTAACATATAAACCATGCCTTGTACATCCTAGGGAGGACTGGTGGTGATATTAAAAGTGATTCAGGCATTGAACAAGTGACTAAATTGATTTTAAGATGTCTTTTGGTCCCCAGATTCCATTCCCTAGGCTGGAATTAAACAGTGAAGTGTGGGGAGTGATGGCCAGCCCCAATTCCTTTGCTGCAAGTCAGGTGCAGACAGGCATGAGAGTCTGCCCCTACCGTCCTTTCCCCATGACAGTGACACCTGGAGAGGTCAGTGTGTTCAGAACCTCAGGTACCACTGAGCATCTAGAAACCCACAGCAAAACAAAATTGTGAAAATATACATCAGGTGGACACAGCAAAATTGTCAGCCACATTTTGCCCCATTTTCAGAATAAGAAACAGGCAGCCCCGTCAAGCACTGGCACTCTACATTCTTAATAGCGTGACAGAAGGACCATAAAAAATGATGAAGGATGGGCATCGCACTGTTCTTTACCATATGAGAGTTCACTGGGAGAGACAGCCTAGGACACAGTTGTTGGGAACAAAAACCTCAGACACCATGCAAAGCACAGTGACCGAATGTCCTGGGTTGTTAAATAAATCACTGACCCATCTTTTGTCCACTTAGTGAAATAACCATAATGATGATGCCTGAGAGGAGATATCTGACCGGGTTAAATACAGCTCTTTATAAAAGCAAGAGTATCTTCAAATGTGCATGTATTTCAATTTGAGCAGGCTAGAAAAAAGTACTGATAGTTATTTAAATTAGACTTACAACCTTCTCTATGCAATGGACTAACTCTAGGACTTCTAAATGAGCAGTAATTTACCAGCAAAAGATACATATTAAGTCTTTCAGAAATAGTTTTGCAATAATCAGAGCAATGATTGAAAGAAATTGAGGTCTGGGAAGTTAGCAGCACTTGCAGCAAATTAATCAATCTCAGGCATTTTGGAGCTGCTCTGAGTACGCAGGCATCAGGCAGGGAGCTCTGAGCCAGTCCCCCTTCCTCAGACATACAGGTGGGGATTAAACGGCACTTTCATTTCTTCAATAGTGAAAATAGTCTGTATTATCCAACTTTCAAATGTGCCCATTTGTGAGATATTGATTGAAATTCTTACCACCGACATCACTAATAACATCAGCAGGGCCTGGAGTAATTTTGTTTGAAATATCTTATGCAAGCTAAATCCTGTATTAATCGAACATCTCAAAGAAGAATCTACCTTTATATAGCCCATAAGTTTGATTTTAATAATTAACATAGTGTTGACCTTTGATTTCTAGACCACAACCAAGTTAACCCAAATATTTATCAATTTGGAGTACTGTACTAAAACTAAAAATTCTGACTTGTATCATCATATGCTAGCAATATATATTGACAAGCACACGTTAAGTTGGCTAATGAATATACAGATAGCCAAAATAACATACAGATATCCAAAGTTATATCCTATTATTATTGGTATATTCAAGAAGAATTTGATTATGGAAATTTAGAGCTTCATTTTGCTATTTAGACATAGTTCATTTTGTGATATATTCATAATAGCTGAATAACATCATTTAATAAACCTGTATTTAAATTTTATCTAGAAGTTAATCCAAATAATATAGAATATACCTAATAAATGCAGTAACTAGAAATGCCAGCAAAACTAGAAGTTCTGTGGTCTTAAAATCAAATATCCCAACTGTTAACTGGGTTAACTTGGCCAAATCAAACTAAGGAGCCCAACACTGACGAACATTTTTTCATATATTTAAAGGTTCAAACCTTTGCAAAACTAGGTCTCAAGCCAGTTCACTTTTAAACTGTATTTATAGCACTCTAGTATGGGGAGAGTGGCAGTGCTTGTGCTACCTCTCAAACATGATCTAAAAGGCCAGGCTAGTCATTCACACGGCTGGTTAATAACGTCACTTTTCCTTAGTCAATATGCCTTAAAATATACAACTCTTCTGAAAACATAGTTGAAAGAGGATAAAGATGTAAGATAAAGGAGGTTAAAATCCCTACAGTTTTGAATTTGCATAGGAATTGTCAGTATGCACTCAGGGCACAGTTTGTCTTTAAATGTGTGTATGTGTGCATACCAAGATATCTTAGCTCTCTCCAATGAGAAGATCCAAAAACAATAAACAATAAAATAAATAAAGTAGTAATGAGCATCTCTATGTTCAGATTGTAAGTTCTAATGGCCATTTCCCACAGAAAAACAACCAGGATTCCCTGGAAAAATGGCCAATTCTAGGTCTGAAGTAGAAAATGGAAAATATACACCTAGAATATGTCATCACACCAGAAAGCAAAGAAGCTCCCTGAAATGGACCAGGACAGGAGTCACCCATGCAGAGTAAGCCCCACTGGAAGGCTGGGGAAGACATGAGCAGCAATAAAGATATTAAGCGCAATGGACTGAAACACATCAAATGTGTTCAAACACACAAGCTGATGACGACAATGCTGATGATGACAACAATAATTATAACTACCTTGGTCACTTTTAGGTGATGACAGTAAGTGACTGATAGACCTAGACCATTCTGCAACTCCTAATGAATTAATGAACCAAGGCAATGATCATCAATGGCTGATAATGTTATGGGATCCTTGGGGTGTTGCTTCGCCAGCCAGAAACCTCTGTGGCCAGTGGCACCTTTACCTGAGTTTTGCTCGGGCCCAGCGGGCCCACTTGGCTTGGCAGGCTGCGCTCGGCTGACACTACCGGCCTGGATTCCATGCCTGCCAAGGGCGAGTTGGGAGAGGTGACGGGTGTGTGAGTGAGCGAGCATGGGATCTGGCCACTGAGCACAGCCAGGCACACTGGCTGTGGTGGGATGGGCAGCTCCAGGTGCCGGCATGGGCACCAGCTCCCTGCAAGCAGCTTCCAAGGCTGGCAATGGGGAACGTGGTGGCACCCAGAAACTTCAGACACCAGGAACTGCAGAGCCACGAAGAGGGTGTCACAGCCCTGGCTCGGGGAGCTTCTAGGTCTGGGCTCCCTGAAGGGCTGTAGGTCTTCTCTCCTTCTTTCTTGTCACCCACAACGTGGTGAGCAAGGAGCATGTTTCAGCCCTGCTTGTGTTATAGCCCTTGCAGCCCTGCCATTTGGTGGGTCCCGAGTTCTTGTCCTGTGTCTAGGAAGAATGAGGTATGCAGACAAGTGGAGGGTGAGTAAGGTGAACAGGAGCTTTACTGAATGACAGAATAGCGCAAAGGAAACCCATAGTGGTCAGCTTTGCTCCACAGTGAGGGTGTCCCAACAAGTGTTTAGCACTCAGCAGAGAGGAGACCCTTGAGTGGGTAGCTCCTGTATGCAGGCAGGTCATCCAGTCAAGTGCTCAGCTCTCAGCAGAGAGGAGACCCTGGAGTGGGCAGCTTCTCTCTCCAGGCAGGTCGGCCTGAGTGCTCGAGTCTGGCTGAGTCCATGGATTTCATGGGCTTCAGAGGGGAGGAAGTGTGTGCTGACAGGTTCATGGGTGGCCATGGGTGGGCATCAAAAAAGCACGATAATTTCCCACTCCCGAACTGCAGGACTGACAGCTCCCAGGCTTCAGGCCTTCCTTGGCTTGAAGGTGGGACTTCACCGGGGAACTCCCCCATCTGCCCTGGAGCCTGTCTGCCTCCTGTTCATGGTACTCAGGCTGTTCATGCTGAGGGGCACCTGCAGGCCAGTGCCAAACTGCCCTCAACACCCCCTCAGCCTTCCTCCCATGCTTGTCAGTGCCTAAAGTCAGGAAGGGGCTGAGGCGGCAGGGGGCTGGCATGTAAGTGCTGCCCTGGGTGCACACACACCTGGCTGGGTTGCGACAGCACCTGGGTTTAGCCTCAACTTTGCTCCAAGATTGAAGCGGGCACTGGGAACAGGGAGAGGCCAGGCAGTGGAAGCAGGTACTTCGAAGCCTGCAGGTGCAGGGGTGTCTTCCTGGGTCCCTGAGAGTGCAAAGATGCCCAGGTCCACAGCCGTGGCTGGGTAGCTGCAGCTGCACCTGGGAGGGCAGGGCTCCTGCCTGCTCCCAGCCTCTAAGAGCACAGGGATGCTGGGTCTGCAGCCATGGCTGGGCAGCCGCAGCTGTGCTCAGGGAGCATGAGGTTCCTGCCCTGCCAGCTCAGCAGTGGGTGGGGCTTCTACCTGTTCCCAGTTCCCGCCAGCCCCATGAAGCAGGCAGCCCCAACCATGGCCATCTCTGTCTTCCTTTCTCATGGGATAGCCTCGGATACTTGGAAGCAAGAAGAGCAAGTGAACCTTCCGCTGAATATAATAAAAGAAGAAAGAAGGCTTTCCCAGAATGTATGGTTTGTAGGGCCAAAGGAAGCAGACCTTAAGATTAGTGGTGATGCCCTTCCTTCTCTTCTGCCCTCCAGACTGACACAACCTGACCAGTAGTTTTAAAAGCCCAATTTCAGACACAGGGTCTACTTTAGGGTGGAGGGTGGGAGGAAGGTGAGGGTCAAAAAACTACCTAACAGGTATTATGTTCGCCACCTGGGTGACAAAACCACTTGTACACCAAACCCCAGCAACACAAAATCTACCCATGTAACAAACCTGCATGTGTACCCTCTGACCTAAAATAAAAGCTGGAAAGAAAAAAATAAAAATAAAAAGTCCAATTTCAAGTCGAGGCCAGGAGACCTCAAGGTTGCTATGGAGGAAGGGGCTCTCTACTGCCCTACCTGTTCCTGCCACATCCTACAGCACCTGTTGCTTACATCTTTTTTTGGCTGAGTTAGATAATATCACAAAGGAAAAATTATTAATTAATTTCTTCTAGAGTATCCCTAGACATGTTATACTGTTTCATCAATATAAAAGAAATGTTTATTTTTAAATAAAGGTAATCCAAAATCATATTAAGTTAAAACATAAGGTATACGCCTAAAGGTTTTCAGTAGCTTCAGTCTGATTGTTCAGTATATTATATAAATATAGATATAGATATTTAACTGACTAAAACAATAATGGATGTGATTTTAAGTACTCAAAATTTTTTAGAGCAAATGGTTCCCATAGCAACTAAAGACAGTCCTCCTTTATGCATTTCTAGTATTTTCTGGAATGCTAAGTGATGTTAAATTTCTGCTTTAATATATATGGCATAAAATACCCAAGTTAAGCTTGTGAAGGGAACCATAATTTTACTTCTTTTCATATCATTTTGTGGCTTTTATACATAATAACAAAATTGTTCTGAAATACAGTTGTGATTTTTTTCCTTATAATCAACAAATGAAACTAAAAGCCACCTAGAAAGGTTGACCAAAAGCATATATCCATAACACGAAAGCCAAGGCAACATCGCATACATACAAAAACAACTTTAATTGTACATTCTGATCAATGCTATCATTTAAATTACATGATACTTATGAATTCATGAGGAACTATCTATGTCTTTTTCTGCAGTACCAAACATGCATTATGGTTACGATACAACATAGACGGCCTGGGTTCAAATCCGAGCTCTTGTGATTAGCAATGCACCATTGGAAAAGTCATTAAAGAAGAAGCCTCAGCCGCTTCTTCTATAAATGGACGTATAATAAAATTCTTGTAGGGATCAATGAAAAAAATGCCTGAACATCACCTACCAGAGTAACTAGCACATAGCAGTGTTCAGTAAATGTAGCTGCAATTACTTTATTTCAAACACACCTGCTGAAGTCAGTAATATAAACACTATTCATATAATTTTTAATTTATTCATTCAAAAGCCAAATTCTATGGTAGATCAGTGAAACTGTTCCCATTAAAATCGTTGTAGGTTATAAAAATCTCAAGGTTTCCCTCTTTTCTCTCAGAAAAAGTTTTAAAATTATCTGAGCTCAAAAACAAAATGTGAGCAATTTATTAGACTGGAGAAACATACTTTTTTCACGATTGCGTAGCTCATACCCAGCTTGGTGGAATTATATGTCAAACTCTCAAAAGAAAAAAAATATATCAATCTCTAGGCCAACAGCTGAAAAACTGTTAACTCTAAGTAAGTTTTTTTAAGAAAATTAAACTCCTCAAAGGAAGAGCTCAAATGGAATTACATTCTTTACAAAAGGTGGATGGCGTAGGTTTAATTCATCTATTACTATGACACAGGTGTTGCCATTGTGCAAACTCAAGTGGAATATCCTTATTAAAGGTATATTTCTTATGTTCATGGGGATCATGGAAAAAAATAAAGGTGTATGTCTATAACGTTTAATGTGGATGCCACGGCAAGAAAGTTTTTACAGGAAGAATTAGGACAGAAGTTTCATGACAGAATAAGAAAACCTAGGCAAAGGGTACAAGAAATGAAGATTTAGGAAAGATGATATATTGACCATATTTGCTTCTAAAATTACTCCAACATATGCCTGTTTTTATTAATCAGTTTTTGTAACTCTGCATGATATTTGCTATATAGCCTGAAGCAGCAGAGGCACCACTACATTCTATGAATTGCTCCTCTCATCAAAGACCATCCTCTGAACAGGAACTGCAGGCCTAAAGCAATCATCCCAGAGAGAAACGATTTCCTCTGTGCTTGTTTTCCTGCTCTAACTACAAATCTACTTTTGATGCTCACCTGAAGGAGCTACACGATTTGTTTGGGTAGCCAGTAAGCCCCATGCATTAGTAGGTATTCACTGAGCATTTTGCTATGTGACAAGCACTAGTCTAGGTGCTCGGTTGTACCAGTGTTTTTAACAGTATAGCAGTCCCCCCTGTTCCATGGGAGATACATTTCAAGACACCTAGTGGATGCCTGAAACCATGGATAGCTTCTGTCATGTCTTGCACACACAAACTTAATGCCTCCTTGTATATCTTAACTAAGCACTTACCATGCACTGTGGCTGTAAACTTTTGCAGTGTGAGGTACAACAGCAAAACTAGAATGAATTTCTTTTTCCTTCTTCACAATTTGAAGTATAGAAGATTCTTTCTTACTGTAGATCTTAGCAAGCAGTGCATACAATTTTTTTCTTTCCTTATTAGGTTGAGCACTTTCACCTTTTCACTTGAAGGAAGCACACTTTATGCCTTCTCTTTGGCCATATCCAAATTGCCATCATCACTACTCCTGTGCTTTGGGGCAATGGTTAAGTAAAGTAAGGGTGACTTAAACATAAGCACTGTGATCCTGAGACAGCCTATCTGATAACCAAGACACCTCCTTAGTAACTACTGGGTAGGTGGTGGGATTTGTTGGACAAAGGGATGATTCATGTCCTCAGTGGGACAGGGTGGGCCAGAATAACTTTTCATTGTGCTCCTCAGAATGGTGCACAATTTAAAACTTATGAATTGTTTATTCCTGGAATTTTCCATTTGACATTTTCGGACCACATTTTCATCGACCACAGGTAACAGAAACCATGGAACGTGAAAATCTCGGATAAGAGGGGACTACTGTACTTTACAGTAACATCATCTGATTTCCTTTTCTATTTGTATAAACTAATGCATATTATGGAATCATTTTAAAAGGCTATTCTGGTGCATTACTTATAATAAATGCCAAACTCTGCTTGCAAAACAGTAAAACTCTCAATTATATTGTGCTATGATGGATTTTAAGGTTCTAAATTTAACACAGGTAAATCACAGTAAATCTGAGACTATCAGGTTAAAAGGCTAATATTTGAGATGCAAGATCACTCAGTGAAGAAAAATGTCCAAGAGAAAAAATTCATGCATTTGTAAATAAATAACAATACTTATACGTAAGTATAAACATGTACATATATATACAGACATAAAAATATTAGACATATAAAACTGACTTTCAATAATAAAATGGAGTTACCTATAATAAACATAAAAACAGGATATACAGCTGCACTAAAGTTTCCTACATTTTCTGGGCTTCTGTTTTCTCGTCAATAAAATTAGGAATTTAATTTGAAGATTGCTCCAAATTCAGAGGTTACATAATTGTGTAATTTTAAAAAGTAAGATATTTAAAAATGGTATGGACCTCTAATGACTGTGAAGAGAAAGGGGTTATTTTCCAGGTTTCCACTGCCAACTGCTATTCACTCAACATGCACACCTCAACCCCTAGCCTGATCAAAGATCTGTTCATCCTTTGTTGAAAAGACATCGCTCCTCCCCACCTCCGTCTTCTGCTCTTTGTCCTGGAGGCAGAACCTTTGTATTTCCCACCCACTCTGAATGTGATGTGGTTGCTAACAGGAGTAAGGAATGCAGGAACCTCTACAACGATTACAAGAAATGAATTAAAGAGCAGAAGTTACAAAAACACCAAAATGGGACCCCAGGCAGGGGAAGAGAAAGGCAGTGGCCCCCATGCCACAGGTCTTGTAACTGCACGTGCATGAGTCATCTATAGGTACATAAACACTAGCTAGCTTTGGTTGTCACCTTCATTTACTGGAAAGTATTATAAATAGAAAGTCCTGAGAGAAACAAGCAAATATAGGCAAATAATATTTGGAATACTGAAGAAAGAACAATAAAGGTTTTAATACAACCATACATAGCTTAAAGGTCAGTGACTACATAAAAAATATACAACATCAGAAGTTTCCCATCAGCAAACAAAAATTATTTATTTATTTTTATTTATTTTTTTTGAGACGGAGTGCAGTGGCACGACCTCGGCTCACTGCAACCTCCGCCTTCCGGGTTCAAGTGATTCTCCTGCCTCAGCCTCCTGAGTAGCTGGAACTACAGGCACGTGCCACCACACCCAGCTAAATTTTGTATTTTCAGTAGAGACAGGGTTTCACAGTGTTGGCCAGGATGGTCTCGATCTGATCTCATGATCCACCCACCTCGCCCTCTCAAAGTGCTGGGATTACAGGCGTGAGCCACTGCACCCAGCCAAGAAAGTACTTTCAAAAGTATAAAAGTGTACAGAAAGTATAAAAAGAAAATCTCAAATTCCATTTTCTCTTTTCAGTGTTATATATATATACACACACATACACACAGTATATGTATACAGACTCTGAGATATTTTCAAAATGTGGGCTCAAAAAGTGATCGGAAAGTTGATAGCAAAAAATTACAGTAATATTTTGGGTGCTTGAATGATTTCCATAAATACACTTAATTTTAGTATCTCACACTGTTGCAGTCCATGTTTATATGAATAGATTGCCATATCCGATAACATATCACAAGTATCTTCAAGAACTGCATTGCATATAGGTTTTTCGATACAAGAAAAGAGTTCTACAGATGTTGTCTTCCTACTGTCTGGAAAATTTTTTAAAGTATTTTGTAGCTGTAACAATGGATGCGCTCACACACTGGGTCTTATTCTATTGTTCAGTGTTCTAGAGAAAACAATCCCACTTGGCAACATAACCTGTGTGGTCCACAGATGAGACTAAGAAAATATAAACAGATGGGACACATCTGTTAATCATAAACATTTCTTCATTAGTGTCATCATCAGATTTATTTACGTTACGTTATTGTGAAAGACTCTGACAAGGGTTATATTTAATCTATATTTAAAAAAATCAAAACCTTGGCCATTTTCACAGGTATGGATCAATATGACATGTAATACATATAAGCATTATTTTCCACGGTCAGGATGGCACCTTGATATTAACGATGTAATATTGGTCACACCCAAATTCTTCTATCAAAGCGTAAGTGCATAATGCCTATTCATCTACCTTCCAAATTCAACAAGACGGTATAGTAGAGTGGAATTACTTAAAGGTGAAATAAAAGTAAATAAACAGAGTTGTATTATTGCCAGCTATGTCATTTTTCTTTGTGACCCAGGACAATCCTAAACTTCCAACTCCTCTCCTACAAAACAGATAAACTACCATGGGATACAACCATGAAACTTTGTGCAGAATACCTATTGTGGGCCTCAAAAGACTGCAACACAAGTAGTAAAAATTATTGTAAATAGGTCGGGCATGGTGGCTCACGTCTGTAATCCTAGCACTTTGGGAGGCTGAGGCAGGTGGATTGCTTGAGCCCATGAGTTTGAGACCAGCCTAGGCAACATGGTGAAAACCTGTTTCTACAAAAAATACAAAAAATTAGCCAGGTGTGGTGGTGCACACCTGTAGTCCCAGCTACCCAGGAGGCTGAGGTGGGAGGATCATCTAAGCCCAGGTGGTCGAGGCTGCAGTGAGCCGAGATCATGCCACTGCACTCCAGCCTAGGTGACAGAGTGAGACCCTGTCTCAAAAAAATATTGTAAATGATTATATTCAAAAACACCAATGTACCCCCAAACAAAGATGTATTATTAATTTCTAAATATTGACTCACTCTTGAGAGAGATTCGAATCACAGAAAAAACTAAAAATAAGTTCTTTTCTTCAATTTTCTGCCTGGATCTCAGGATTATTTTGAGGACCCAAATGAGTTTACACGCAGACAGGTGTTAGTGTATTACAACTCTAGATTAGAAAGACCTGGTCCATGACGAAAGGTTTACATGTCTTCACGACCTCTAAAGAATGGACTGAGAAAATGTTCAAGGGGGAGTGAGGGGTCCTGGGCAAGAGGGCAGGAAGGGCTGTGCAAAACCAGCATCTGCTGAAAACCTTCATCACTACTGGAAACTGCTTTGTACACATATAGATTAATAAAAACCACCCTTGCAGGTGAAGGACACGGGTCTTATTTCATAAGCTATTAATAAAATAAATATTTCCCCACAAAATGCCTACCCAACCAGGGAAAATAAACTATTTAACAGTAAAATTATTCTAACATCACAAAGATTCACTAACCAAATAGTGTCCTGATTCCAGGATAAAGTAAGTTTCAGTAAAAAGCTCAAAGTCACAACAGTTCTATCTGTGTCATCTCCTTCTTGACAGCGCAGTGTAGAAAGCTGCAGGGCAATAAATGGTCACTGAAGACAAGAGGGGTCAGAAAAGACTCAGCAAGAGAAAAAGAAAGGCATTAAGGGACCGACTGTGAAAACAACTACCAACACCATCATTCAAATCTAATGAGAAAAAATTCAAAGATCAGTACATGGAAAATTAAACGTTGGGGTCAAACTGAGGCAACTGAATACAGGTACCAGTTATATGTTATGTCTGCCTTCTTTCTTTCCTGATTTAGAATGTGTGTTGTATTTTGCTTCACACTAGTAATTTCCAACCCTGGGTGCACACTGGAATCACTTGGAGAGTCTTTAATAAAACATTGCACGCTGGGCCCCACCCTAGACCAACTAAATGAGAATCTGGAAATAGACAAGACATTTGTGAAAAAAAACAAACCAAAACAAAACAAAACCCTTCCAAGTTGTTCTATAGTAGAGTCAGGGCTGATAACTTTGCATTTAGACCCTTTGTTTTTCAAACCCCAAAACTGTAAGTAGCTTTCTCCATACCACATGACAAATTATCTCTAAAACAAAGTTCCTGGAAGTGTAGGAAGTAGTGAAAGATTCCCAACCCAAATAAGTGCTCAAGTTTAAGCAGGAGCACACCAAGTCCAGGACGTTTGCAAAAATAAAAAGAGCAAATCATGTCCTCAACAAACCTTAAATTCTTGGGAATATCTAAGATGACTCTGTTAAGGCGAGAGCTTAGACTTAATATAGTATTTATATTGTATTCTCTAGACTTAATATAGTATTTATATTGTATTCTCTCAAGTAATATCATAAATATTAGGAGCAAAACGTATTTTTCCACAAATAATTAAGATTTCTAGAGATAAATCAAAGGAACAAATAGTTTCATTTTTAAAAGGTGCTTAATACTCTGTGGAAAATGTCAATAGAAGATGTTTGTCTCATCATTAATTACCACAGATGGCCAATCTTGATTGTGTTTAATACCAAATAGCCATTATCTGAGAAAACAATTCTGAATTTTAACATCAAGAGTTTAAAACAATTGGGATGTAGGTTAAAAAGAGAAAAAAAATTTGAATACGGAGGACAGTTTTCACAAGCGGCAAAAAACTCTTAAGTTAGCAGTTACAAAACTTTTACAGACAAAGAAGAAAGTAAAGATGAACTTGGAATATACAATATAATCCTCTGCATACACTTCCTGGCCAGCAAAGTCTCTAAAAGGGACAGTAGGGTATGAAAAAACAGAGTGACACTGGGCAGAGGGGTGGAACATCCTGGCAGAGAAAACAACAAGAAGCCTCTCCAGAATGCATTTCCCATCTGACAATGCATTGCTGATTAATCTTGGGACATACACTCAAATGTCTCCCATTTTCCCCAGAAAGAGAAGAATAAAAATACTACTGGGCTGGGTGCAGTGGCTCACACCTGTAATCCCAGCACTTTAGGAGGCCAAGGCAGGAGGATCACTTGAGGCTAGGAGTTTGAGACCAGACTGGGCAACAAGGGAGAATCCATCCCTATAAAAATGACAAAATAATTACTCAAGCATGGTGGCATGTGCCTGTTGTACCAGCTACTTGGGAGGCTGAGGCAGGAGGATCACTTGATCCCAGGAGGTTGAGTGAGATGGTACCACTCTACCGCATCCTGGGCAACAGAGAGAAACCCTGTCTCTAAGACAAACACAAAACAAAACAAATGACTACAGATTTACATTGCAGTGATTAAAAGGAATGAAGGATTTAAAAATTACAGAGTGTCACACGGAGTCTCCAATCACAATCATAATTACACTGCGAGGCATGACAGGAGGTGGAGAGATGGCACGTGCAGAGACAAGGCCAGCACACATGATGGAGCGGAAGCCAGTGTGGAGCACAACCGCGTACACAGAAGGGTTAAAACCCGAAGGACAGTTCAACTCAGTAGCAAACTAAAAATAAATAGATAATACTTTAAAAAAAAAAACCCACACCCACACAAAACACGGAAAGATAAGGACAAAAAATCAACACCACTCAAGATGAAAAATGAGCAGCCTCCAGATTAATGCTTAAAAGAAAGAAACAAGAATGCAACTGGAGAATACCAAGGCAGGGCAAACCCCAAACCTAGAGCTTAAAGAAGTGGGTGGCATTCTGGTTAGAAGGGACAGGCAATTTACTCCCACTCATTCTGTCAGGATTCCTGAGAGCATGGATGTATCCACGCAACCCTCTGCCATGCAAAACACATATGGTGGAATTTGAATAATTACAAAACAAGTCACACAATTGATCACTACACCAAAGAAATATAATTTAAAAGCTCAAAAGTAAAATATGTATTATTAATTTCTAAGTTTAAGCTTACAGCTTGGAAATTCAAATGACAAAAAGGCCTATGAAGTGTTCTGTGGTGTGTATGTGTGTAAGAGAGAGAGAGAGAGAGAAAGAGACTCTTTAGATTTTTCTCAAGAGGAAGACTTAGGAGAAGAGTGCTATATTTTGTAATTTAATAAACTGCCATATAAGTAATTTGACAATCAGATCTTCCAAGCAAGATGACTAAGCATAAGCAAAGGAAAAAAAAAAGAAATTCACAAAAGGTGTTTAAACAAAAATAATTAGCTTTTATAGATTACTAAGTAATCTGGCTACTTATTAACAAAGAAGGAAACTCTTACACTAGGACCTGAGTCTGTTTCTCTGGGTTCCTCCTCCAGGGGGAGTGTATTCTTCCCGCTGGACTCTCATCAACTGATGAAAATGAGTTACTGTACCTGTAACCAGAGCCTGTCTCCTGCCACGGTCCTGCCGATGGCACTGCACTGGAAGGTAGCAAACTGGCCAGCATTAACTTCCACATTCTGAATCCGCAGGAAGTGAGGAGTCCTGGCTACATAAAGAAAAAGAATGAAAGATATTAAAAGTGGAGATTTGTAACTAATATATGTCTTCTTCAATCTATCTGAAATTTTTGGCCTTTCAATTTTGTTCACCTTGGGAAAAAAATAATGCTTTTGCTTATATAAGCTTTAAAGATTTAACTATAATTTTTAAAAAATCATAAAAGGTTTTAGTATGTTGTGTAAAAGAATAACAAAAAGCCAAGCATTCTGGAATAGAATGAAACAGAAAGGAGATATTTTATTGTTCCTGCTGTGCAAATTATCATAGCTCGGCAGTCTTCTTGTAATAACAGATCTGTATTAATAAAGATTATACTGAAACCTAATTGATGTTTTGAACAAAAACATATTAGATATTTATACCAGCAACATGAAAAGAACAGTAAGAAGTTAAATGATGTTGTCAAGGAAGCTTTTCAAGCCAAGTACACAGCTGTACATAATATATATTTTAATACAACTAACTGGTATGCAGCATTACTTATGTAATATTTTTCAGCTACCAAAAATACTACTCCTTTAGACACACTCTGTGAAATGATGCTGAGACTGCCATAGCATGGCAATGTTTGCTGATTCTTATTTCTAATTCAAGAACAAAGAAGGATTCCAAATGGTGAACACCATTGTCTCGTAATGTACATTGTCCATATGGGACAGCTGTTTAAATAAAGGATTATTCTATTTGGTATGAGAAGCACAGGCCAATTTCTGCATCACACTGAAAACAGGTGTCCAGGAACCAGGACGGTAAGTCAGGACTTAAATTTTATGAAAATTCTACTTTTAGGAAAACATTTCCTTATTATAACAATGATAGAGTGAAAGAGTAACAAAGCGGGAAGGGTGGGCACAGCAGAGTGCTTCCCACAGAAGAGGTGGGAAGCAAAGGGGATGATCATACTTTCTGGGAGAGACAGATAAATCTGGATAATAACCAGAATGCATCTGTCACGCCTTGCCAGCTTTTCCCCACTGCAAATGTGTCTTTAGCCATGTCTAGGCAGCTTCAAAAAAGGGTGCCCCACTACTGGGTAGCAAAAGATTACAAACTAGTGCTCATATTAGCCTGGGCAGAACGTAATTAGGAATGGAAGTTGAGTTACTACTTCAGAACAAAGAACAAAGAAAAACTTAATTTAATGTCAAAAACACACAGGAAAGCCCCATTATTAATTTGGAGGCCACTAATAATTCAGACAAAGTATTCATGATGCTCAGCATGCAAAATGTTCTAAATAACTTCCAACAAAGCAATATAACCATGGACCATTGTTTCTTAATACTAATATATTAACATACAACTCTATGATCTCTGCTTTTCACTGACTTAATCAAATTACCCCTTGCTCAAGAATAACATAATTATGTGTTTTTAAAAGATCTCTGTAAAAAGTCCCTAAATGAATTTCTCTTTTAGTCTTTGTTCCTGAAAAAGTCAAAGACCCATTGTTTTTAGAAAATGGAACAAGGTAACCTTTATTGGGTACTTATGTGCCAGAAACTTTTCCATTGAGTACTCACAAATGTTCTGTGAGGGAGATATTTTCTCCATTTCCAAGATGGGGAACACTTATGGGTACTTGGCTAGTAAGTGTAAGAAAAAGAACAAACTCCAGTATATCCAGTTCCAAACACCAGGCTCGGTTTACGAAGCCACAGTGCCTCTCCCCAGTCTTCCCACCATCTGTGCCTTTCCTTATCTCTTCATCCCACTTGCAGTGGCTCCCCTGGGTCTGCCTGCGGGAATTTTCAAGGCATTTCTCAAATGCTGTTCCTTCCATGAAGCTTCTGTAGATTCGCTCACCTTGTGGTTAGGCCTTCTCATATCACAACGGCCACAGCACTTGATGCAACAGAACTTGATGTTATTGCCTCACACACACCAGATACTCATTATCATCATTAAATTCATATTACTTACAATTATTAAAACCACACACCTATCCTTAAAGACTGTTCATTTTAGATTTCAATTTCTGTAGAATTCTACTCTCTCACTCTCATCTGATACTAATGAAATGTTACCATATAAAAAACTTTATAATCATTATAATTTTAGGTTTACCTACACCACAAGTCCCCAACATGAATAGAGTTCACTAAGAATTTTAAGATTTAACTCAATTAATAGGAATATATTAGAAGCCAAAAGCTGTTTCTTGTCAAGGAAATTTAAACAAATTTCTTCTAATAAATCTATTTTAGTACATGTGTCATTAACTGGAAACATTAAAAAAAATTCCCCAATGAAATAATTCTAAGCATACTCCCAAAGCTGTGCAAGCTGAAGCTGGATGACTTGATAAAACTTCAAAAGATTAATCACCACCACTGTGTGGGCCACTCAGAAAGCCCACTGGAATACCTGCCTCTTCCACATTCTGCTCCAGGGAGTAACCGTGGCTGTGACACTACTATCATCACTGAAGACGCTTCAAATCCAACACCCGGAAATCACAACTGGCTGCCTTCTGGACTCAGAATCTGAGTTTATAGTTTGCTCCAACCATTATTCTTTGGTTTCTTTTTGTTTCCTTGTTCTAATCTAAATTCGCTCTCTTTTATAGATCTCTTACCTTGCAATTTATAACACAAATGTCTCTGCGCAGCAATCAACCCACTTTCTTTTTTTGAAGGAACTTCTACATAGGGAAAATACGGGGACCCATTCAGATCCCCAGAGTTGGTATACAGATTATTTTAAAGTGAAAACATTTGAGCAAAAGAAGATGCAGAAAGAAATCTTATCTGAACTTCAAGTAGTTGACTAAAACAGAGCTTTCCCAGAAAAAATAGTTGCCATTAACTCCCCTGTAAGGGAGTTGTCTAATTCAGCTCCCAGGTAGACAAACTGCCTGTTGCCATTACCATCAAAAAGCCTGATAGAACTTTCTACATTTTCCCACTGAAGCCCTAAAACCACTCCCCAATCTTTTGTTAAATTTGGAATATAAACCTTTATCTCTGGTTATTTAGTGGGTTTTCCATTGCTGGGAACTCTGTCCTGTGAAAATAAACTTTGTCTTTTCTTCAATTAATCTGTCTCTTGTCAGTTAATCTGCAGGTCCCCAACCACTGGACCCAAATCAGAAAAGGAAAAGTTTTCCTTCCAATAATATCTCAGGACAATGCCTTGAAGCCTCATTCCACATGTTGACCAACCCCCGCCGCCTTCCATCTCCCTGTGGAGTGTTAAAGGCTGAAGTTATCTGGCACACTCAGAACAACAGGTTCTCTCCCTGGTGCTGGTCTCTCCAGTGGATTTCCCAGACACCTAATCCTGCTCTCCCCCAGCTACAGGTTACTACAGCAAGCTAGGTCTCTAACACAAGGTGTCTGGGTATGTAGCCATTTCTCAGGATAACTTGGGTTAAAGGGGTATTGCACTTGCGGCCACTATTCTAAATTTTACCCCGCTCAGTTAAGCTGGTCAGTTCTGAGCCTGTGCTGAAGGGTTGTTAAATATTTTCAGTAATGACTCCTGGTGTCTCGCAGCAGAATTATGCTACTAAAAGGCAGTGCTATTGGCACCCAGAAAGCAGAGGCTAGAGACACTGCTAAAATGTGCAGGATAGCCCCCACAACAAAAAATTAGCGGGTGCCAAAATCTCAATAGCACCAAGGTTAAGAAACCCTAATACATATCATACATAAACAAGTTTACGGAAACATCCCCCATTATTGAACACTGAGGTTTGTTTCCACTACATATAATGCTAAGATAAAAGTTTTCATAATTAAAACCTTTTTTTTATAAGTTAAACTATTAGAAATTACTAATTAAAAAATACATGCATTTTTGCCAGTTCTGAAATGGTGGCATAGAAGCAAGTTGGCTTCACTCACTCCCACAAAAAATAAATAAATATACAGCACAGAGATTATCACCAGCAATACCCAAGAACTCAAATATGAGGATGAGACTATTCCAGGAGCCAGAGACATGAAAAATTTCTGAGCAGAGGGAAGAAAACCAGACTTCAATATCTGTGAAACCCCAACCCCCAATCTGCCCAGCAGAAAGTAACCGGAAAATTTCCTCTGACTCATAATTTCTACATTGGAAAAAATGAGGTCAAAGTGGGTAAACAATTTCCCCACTATTGTGGATTGCCTGGCAGGAAATCTGTCCCTTCCCCAACCCAATGGAAACATCGAAAGTGCCTGAAGGGAGAAATATCCCTAAGGACAGAGAAAAAGGTACGGGGCAGCAGGACTGCCACCCCAGCATTAGAAACTTTCTCTGTAACTTGGCCAAAGGGATGCCAAATCAGAGTGGCTGTTAAGCAGCACCTCACTGTAGGAGAATTGTTCATCCTTTCTGCACAAACCCTTAGCCAGCCTTCCCACACTACTGGTATATCCCTTTTGGGACCTCTCAAATTCAGGGAAAGTAGCACTCTCATTGTTTACCATAACTGAGGCAAACTTTGGCTTAAGGTGTCATCTAGTGCCAAAAATTAGGCAGTAACCTAGCAGAGGAAAAAAAGGGAAATCAACAGGTAAATTACAAAGAAGCTCTAAGCAAAAATGTCCAATAAAAAACAAAACAAGCCAGACTGGGAAGACTGGAATAAATAACCAACCCTTCAATGCAAAGACATAGACATACATCCACAAGAAACAAAAACAAATGAGGAACCACAGCTTCTACAAATGGACAAAGCAAGGAACCAGTGACTGACTTGAACAAGATGGTGATATGTAAACTTTATAACCAAAAACTCAAAATAGCCATTTTAAGGAAATTCACTGATCTCTAAGAAGCCACAGAAAAGCAATTCAGAAACTTATCAGAGAAACAAACAAACAAAAAAAAACAGAAATCTTGAAACTAAGAAATACATTTGCTGAATTAAAAAATTCATTAGAGGCCGGGTGCGGTGGCTCACGCCTGTAATCCCAGCACTTTGAGAGGCCGAGGAGGGCAGATCATGAGGCCAGGAGTTAGAGACCATCCTGGCTAACACAGTGAAACCCTGTCTCTATTAAAAATACAAAAAATTAGATGGGCGTGGTGGCAGGCGCCTGTAGTCCCGGCTACTCAGGAGGCTGAGGCAGGAGAATGGCATGTACCCGGGAGGCAAAGCTTGCAGTGAGCCAAGGTTGCGCCACTGCACTCCAGCCTGGGCGACAGAGCAAGACTCTGTCTCAAAAAAAAAAAAAAAAATTCATTAGAGGCTCTTAACAACAGAATGGGTCAAGCAGAGGAAACAATCAGTGAATTTGAAGACAGCTATTTGAAAATTTACAGCCAGAGAGGCAAAAAGAAAAAAATGAAAAGGAAAAAGATTATCTACAAAATACTGAAAAATACCTCAAAATATCAAATTTAAGAATTATTGGTGCTCAAGAGGTAGTTGAGCAACAGCAAGGGGCAAAAAGCTTACCTATTACAGAAAACTTTCCAAAACATGAAAGAGATAAATATCCAGGGACAGAAAGTTCAGAGAACACCAAACAGATTCAACTCAAATAAGGCTACCCCAAAAGATATAATGATTAGACTCTCAAAGGTCAAAGACAAAGAGAGTATCCTAAAAGTAGCAAGAGAAAAGAAGCAAATAACATATAAAGGAATCAGGGTTCATATGGCAACAGAACTCAATGAAAACAGGAGTGTATAAGAAGACATTTTCAAAGTGTGGAAATTTTTTTTAAATTGCCATCCAAGAATACTGCAGCCACTAAAGCTATCCACAGAAAAATAAAGGTCAGATAAAGTCTTTCCCAGACAAACAAAAGTTGAGAAAATTCATCACTATTAGATCTATCTTACAAGAAAGGCTAAAGGGAATTCTTCAATCTGAAAGGAAAAAAACACTAATGTGCAACAAGAAAACATGTAAAAGTATATAAAACCCACGGATAATATTAATATACAGACAAATCCAGAATATTCTAACACTGCAGCTGTGGTGTGCAATCTATTCGTAAGTATTGTGAAGCCCAAAAGACAAATCTATCAAAAACAGTAATAGGTATGGTAACCTGTTAAGAGATAGGCCGTATAAAAACACGCAAACTGAAACAACATAAATTCAAAATGTGAGGGGGATGGAGTTAAAGCATAAAAGCATTTTTTTCATTTTTCTGTCCTTTTATTTGTCATCAAAGATAAGTTGTCATCTCTTTAAGATAACTTATATCTATAAGATATGTTTTATAAGCCTAATTGTAACAACAATGCAAAAACCTATAATAGATTCATTACATATGAAAAACAACAAATTAAAACACGTGACCAGAGAAAATCATTTAACTACAAAGTAGTAAGAAAGGAAGAAAGAGAAGAGCTACAAAACAACCAGAAATTAAGCAACAAAATGGCAGTAGTAAGTCTTTACTTAATAATGACATTGAATGTAAATGGAGCAAATTATCCAATTAAAAGGCATAGAGAGGCTGAACATATAAAAAACCAAGACACAATTAAATTCTTCCTACAAGAAATCCACCTCAACTATAAAGGCACTCACATAGGTAAGACAAAGTGAAGTGGGTAGAAAAAGATACTCCATCTAACTGGAAAACAAAAAAAGAGGAGGAGTATCTATGTTTATTTCAGATAAAATAGGGTGCAAATCAAAGACTGTAAAAACAAAAATGGTAATTATATAATGATAAAGGGATTGGTTAAGAGGATAAAACAATTATAAATATTATACACCCAACACCAGAGCTCCCAAGTATATAAAGCAAACATAGATCTAAAGAGAGAGATAAACTGTAATACAGTCATAGCAGGGAACATCAACAGACCAATCATTCAGACAGAAAGTCAACAAAGAAACATTAAAGTTAAACTACACGCTACACCAAATAGTCATAACTGACGTCTATAGAACATTTCACCCAAATGCTATGGAATACACTTTCTTTTCATTAGTACATACAAAATTATCCAGAACAGAACATATCTTAGGCCAGAAAACAGGTCTCAACAAATTTAAAAAAGTAGAAATAATATGAAGTATCTTTTCTGACCTCAATGGAATAAAACTAGAAATCAGTAACAAAAGGAACCTCAGTAAATACGCAAATACGTGGAAATTTAAAAACATGCTAGTGAACAACCAATCGAAGAAATTAAGAGGAAAATCCCATAGGTTTAGGTATGTTGTATTTCTGTTATGATTTGTTTCAATAATTTTTAAAATGACAATACTACTCAAAAATTACAAATTCAATGGAATCCCTATCAAAATATCAATGCCATTCTTAACAGAAATAGAAAATATAATGCTAAAATTTATATGGAACCAGAAAATATTCCAAATAGCCAAAGCAAGCCTGAGCAAAAAGAAAAAAGCTGGAGGCATCATATACTACCTGATTTCAAAATGTAGTATAAAGCTTTAGTAACCAAAACAGCATGGTACCAGCATAAAAACAGACACATAGATCAATGCAACAGAACAGAGAACCCAGTAATAAATCTACGCATTTGTAGCCAACTTGTCTTTGACAAAGGTGCTAAGAGTATACAACGAAGAAAGGACAGTCTCTTCAATAACTGCTGCTGGGAAAACAGGAGAACAATATGCAGAAAAAGGAAACTAGCCTCCTCTGTTTCGACATCTACAGAAGTCAAATCAAAATAGACCCAAAGATTTAAATCTAGGACCTGAAGCTATGAAACTACTAAAAGAAAACACTGGTGAAACATTCCAGAACATTGGTCTGGGCAAAGAATTTTTGTGTAAGACCTCAAGAGCAACCAAAACAAAAACAGACAAATGGGACTACATTAAGCTAAAAAGCTTCTACACAGCAAAGGAAACAATCAACAAAGTGAAGGGAGCCCATGGAATGGGAGAAAATACTTGCAAACTATCCATTTGACAGAGGACTAATCATCAGAATATACAAGAAGCTCAAATAACTCAAGCAAAAATACAAATAGTCCAATTTAAAACTGGACATTCAAGTAGCTGTCTTCAGATTCACTGATTCTTTCCTCTGCTTGACCCATTCTGTTGTTAAGTAAGAGCCTCTAATTAATTTTCTCATAAGACATGAAAATTGCCAACAGGTACAGGAAAAAAAATGTTCAACCTCACTAATCATCAGAGAAATGCAAGTCAAAACAAAAATGAGCTATCACATTACTCCACTTATGATGGCTTTTATCAAAATGACAGGGAGTAACGGATACTGGTGAGCATGTGGAGAAAGGGGAACCCTTGTACAGTGTTGGTGGGAATATAAATTAGTACAGCCCCTATGAAAAACTGCATTGAGGTTTCTCAAAAACTAAACATAGAACTACCATAAGATCCAGCAATTCCACTACTTGGTATATATCCAAAAGAAAGGAAATCAATATATCAAAAAGATATCTGCACTCCTATGTTTATTGCAGCACTATTCATAATTGCCAAAATATGGAGTCATCCTAAGTGTCCATCAATAAATAAGTAAATAAAGAAAATGTAATACACATACACACACACACACACACACACACACAAACACACAAGAACACAATATCTCATATTACATTATGGAATATTATTCAGCCACAAAAAAGCATGAAATCCTGTCATTTGCAGCAACAAGGATGGTACTGGAAGGCCTTATGTTAAGTGAAATAAGCCAAGCACAGAAAAACAAATAGAACATATTCTCACTCTTATGTTGGAGCTAAAATAGTGGATCTCATGAAGATAGAGAGTAGATTAATGGTTACCAAAGGCTGGGATGGATAGGGGGAGTGGGGGTGCAGAATTAAGAGCAGTTGATTAATGGGTACAAATATACACTTATTAGAAATAAAACTTAGTGCTTGAAGATCAACAGGGTGACCACAGTTTGCAAAATCTACTGTATATTTCAAAATATCTAGAAGATAGTAACAATTCAAATTTTTCTAGCATAAAGACAATAGTTAAGGTGATGGATATCCCAGTTACACTGCTTCCATTTTTACAAATTGTATACATGTATTAAATTATCACATGTACCCCCAAATATGCACTTATATTATGTATCAATAAAAAAGTATATATTTTTTTAGACAGAGTCTCACTCTGTCGCCCAGGCTGGAGTACAGTGGCGCGAGCTGGGCTCACTGCAACCTCCGCCTCCCAGGTTCACGCCATTCTCCTGCCTCAGCCTCCTGAGTAGCTGGGACTACAGGCGCCTGCCACCACGCCTGGCTAATTGTTTTTTGTATTTTTAGTAGAGATGGGGTTTCACTATGTTAGCCAGGATGGTCACGATCTCCTGACCTCGTGATCCGCCTGCCTTGGCCTCCCAAAGTGCTGGGATTACAGGCGTGAGCCACCGCACCTGGCCAAAGATAATTTTTAAAACACACATTTTAAAAGACATTTGACATAAATTGTCAAACTGCTTTCCATAAAAGCTTATAACAATTCACATTTTTACCATCAGGGTATGAAGGAGCTTTTTCACCACCTTTTCAAAAGTACCTTGTCATTTGCTGCAGCATGGATGTGCCTAGAGTACATACATGATGTTAAGTGATAAAAGCCAGGCACAGAAGGACAAATACCACATTCTCACTCATGTAAGAGAGATCATAAAGTTGATCTCAGAAGTCAAGAGTGGTTACTAAGGGATAGGAAAGGTAGGGCGTAGAGGGACAACATGTTGGCTAATGAAAACAAAATTACAGTTAGATATAAGTATTAATAAAGTTACAGTGTTTTACAGTACTGTAGGGTGACTATAATTAACAATAATTTCTGGTATATTTGCAAATACCTATTAATAGAAGAGAGGATATGGAATGTTCCCAGCACAAAAAAATGATAAATGTTTGAGGTGATAAGCTAATTAATCCTGACTTGATCATTATACATTGTATACATGTTTCAAAATATCACTCTATACCTCATAGGTATGTACAATTATGTGTCGATTTATTTTTTGTTTTTATTATTTAAAATAAAATAACATTTTTTTTAAAAAAGAAAAGGACTCAGCTCTTTCCCCCTCTGTCTGCCATGTGAGGACACAACAAAAAAGATGGAAGTCTGCAACCCAGAAGAGGGTCCTCACCATAACCTGACCGTGTTGGCACCCTGATCTCAGACTTCCAGGCTCCAGAACTGTAAGAAGTATATTTCTGCTGTTTATTCTAAAAAATACAATAAGTACTAACTTCTATAATCTTTCTTGAGAAAGTTATAAAATGCATACACTCTATCAGCAAACGTTATAAGAGTTAAAAAAATAATGTGAATATGAGAATTGTCGCTGGTTCTGCTAAAGGTGTGTTCATCTATGGTACGCCCAGTTTTGGAATATCACTTTCTTTTAAAGTTTTGTATCTTAATGGATTTAAGGGATCCAAGTGCAGTTTTGTTCCTTGGATATACTGCATAGCAATGAAGTCTGGATTTTTAGTGTACCCATCACCTGAATTGTGTACATTATTCACCATAGGTAATTTCTCATCACTCACCTCTTTCCCCGTCCCACCTTTCAGGGTCTCCAATGTCTATTATTCTTTTATGTCCATATATACACACTGTTTAGCTCCCACTTGTAAGTGAAAACGTGTAGTTTTTGTTTTTCTGTTTCTAAGTTATTTCACTTAACAAAATGACTGTGAGATCAGATTTCTCCAAGAACATGAAAGTCAAACTTTCTGCTAATGGTGTAAATTTTTTCAGTAAATATTAAAGGCTTATATAATCTTCCAAGCTTTTAAGATGCCTAGATTCCCCTTGTTTAGTGCTATAAATCCTACAACCATTTTCAGGTGGCAAGCAGCTTAGGCTGATACTATTTTAAGATTTGGATTTCAGCACATTTGTGTTCAAGCATCAGTACTTCCTTCAGTCCTTTATTATCTCCGAATATATGCAAAAATTCTTAAACCTAAATCTTCACAAAATTTTTTTATTTGTAAAATAGAGATTTTTTAAAAGTACCTATTTCGCAGTGTTGATATAAAGAATAAACAAGTTGATGAAGCCAAGGTGTTCTCTGTGCCTCATACTTAGCCCACAAAAATGTTCCTTACTATTTAAAATAACTGATCTATCACTGGAACCTGGAAAAGAGCCCAAGAAAAAGAGCTCTATGGCCAGAAAAGTGTAGATCCCATGCTGAGCTGTATGCTCTGAATCTTGCCATACTACTTTAATTGTAACATCAGGTGTATACCACCTTTAGAACAGAAATTTCAATCTATCTCATATTCAAAAAGAAACATTCTCTCTCTCTCTCCAAATTTACAGGCCCACTTGTCTCCTGGATACCCTTTCAAAATGCTATGCCAGCTTTCTTCTAAAACCTGTAGGAGATTTAAAAACTAAATATCTTCCATGAATAACAAACATGTTCTTAGTACAACCCTCCTATCCTCTCATCGCTTCCATATTCTGTTTCTTCTTACTAAGAAAGAATAGAGGTTTTCGTGTATTAATTGATCTCAAATAAGCCTTTGATCCCAAAGCCAAGAATTATCATTGACCAAGATACAAATCGTTTTGTAGATGTTTCATTATTATTGATTCTTCAGAGTCTGCATACAAATACTAGCAACAAAATCAGAGAAGAGTAATTTGTGAGATCAAAGTGCAAACTGAAGTGGAACAAGAGGACTATGTCCTAACCCCCTTTTGCTTTAACTTACATTTTAATGTAATGGCATAGGTTGAAATGTACGGGATGCATGCCCAACCACCAGAATAAAAATAGTTAATATTTCTCTCTATTTGTGTAACATATCATCACAAACAAGGAAGCAAATTGCTGCCAAAAAGAACAGCCTGGTACTGCTTACTCTAACGCTGAGAACCAATATATTTTGCAAACATTTTTGGAATTTAACGATGGACATACAATTAAACTTCCCCATCTAGCATATCAATCATTTTAGCTATTTAGAGGTTTACCATTAGCAGCTAACTAATTCTAGCAAGTCTATCACAATGTAGTGCCTAATAATAATAATAGTTAACATTAATTAAATTCTTAGAATGTGGTAAGCATTGTGATAAATTCTATATGTACATTAACTAATGTAATCCCTATATTTACTCAGTGAGAAAAACATTATTATTTTCTTCTTATACAAATGAGATTATAGGTCCAAAAAAAGCCAAGTAATTCCTGTGATAGAAGCAGAAAATTTCTCTTAACATGTTTCAGGTCAAAGTCAGTTTTGTTTTCCTTGAAAGGTAAGAATAGGCTTTAATGAAATAATTTTTCAAGTGGAAAAACAGATTCAACATTCTTATCAGAGAAAACTAAGGTAGCCACTACATATAAATAACTTTTAGAAGTCGACTCTATCTTAAGAAGAATGATATTCCTTTAGAGAAAAGTCCAAATTGTGTTCCCACATGTTTAAAATGAAAGGTCAATTCTGAGTCCCACACATCTCTCAACCAAAGCACATGAATCTGTCTTTATTCAGCAGAACATAATTCCGAAAACAATTCTAATTTGTGCTTTGTCACTGTTATTCTTATTTCAATCACACTATTTAATAAATCTTCATTAAAAAATCTAAATTTGGGAGTGGTAAGCAATGTGTGACTACACAAATTAATAAGGAAAATACTATTTTAAAAAATAAGAATAATTTTGAATTTAGGAGGCCATATTATAAACTTTAATATTTAAAGAAATTGCTGACTTATTTTCTATTGCCCAAGTAATAATACAGGACAGTCTTGGATTTTGTATTCAATTTATCCAATATACAGCACATGGGTTTAGAAGGGCTTTATCTCTTTTTTACTGTATTATTTTGTTTTTAAATTGGCATCAAAATAATGGGGCATGATTCTGTATAATTTTAAGATTTCAGAATTGAAGGCATCATATATCCCAGTAACTTCGTATAATGTTTCATTACTACATGCCAACATATTAAAAAAGATTATACACCATGCCTAAGTGAGATGTGTTCCAGGACTGCTAGGTTGTTTTAACATCCCAAAATCAATCAATATAATATGCCAGAATATAGGATGGAAACCACATAATAATCTGATAGAGAAAAAGGATTTGCTAAAACCCAACAGCATTTCTTGATAAAAACATCCAACAAACTAGGAAGAAAAAGGAACTTTCTTCCTAAAAACAAGCATTTACAAAACACCACAGCCAACATCATGCTAAAAGACTGAAAGCTTTCCTCCTAAGATGAGGAACAAGACAAGCAGTTCTGTTCTTTTTGCTTCTATTCAACATTGTACTGGAGGTTTTAGCCATGGCAAACTAGCAAGAAAAATAATAAAATTCACCTGGGTTGGAAAAAGAGGAATCTGGAAAACCTACTTGAAGATGACACAATTTTGCATACAGAAAATCCTATGGATCCACCAAAAAACCAATTAGAGCTAATAAGCAAGTTCATCAAGATCTCGGGATACAAGATCAATAAACAAAATCAACTGCATTTCTACAAGCGAGAAATGAACAATCGAAAAATAAAATTAAGAAAACAATTCTACTTAAAACAACTTCAAAATAAAATACTTAGGAATAAATTTAACAAATGAAGAACAGAACTTGTACTCTGAAAACCACAAACACTATTAAAGGAAATTTTAAAAGACTTCAATAAAAGGAAAGACATCCCACATTCACAGATCACAAAGCCTGATAATGTTAAGATAGCAATAACCCCTCACCCAAACCAGTCTACAGATTCAACACAATCCCTATCAATATCCCAGCTGAATTTTTTTGGCTGAAATTGATAAGCTGATTCTCAAATTCATTTGAAAGTACAAGGGATTGGCTGGGCGCAGTGGCTCATGCCTGTAATCCCAGCACTTTGGGAGGCTGAGGCGGGCGGATCACGAGGTCACGAGATCGAGACCATCCTGGCTAACACTGTGAAACGCCATCTCTACTAAAAATACAAAAAAAAAAAAAATTAGCCGGGCGTGGTGGCGGGTGCCTGTAGTCCCAACTACTCGAGAGGCTGAGGCAGGAGAATGGCATGAACCCGGTAGGCGGAGCTTGCAGTGAGCCGAGATAGTGCCACTGCACTCCAGCCTGGGCAACAGAGTGAGACTCTGTCTCAAAAAGAAAAGAAAGTACAAAGGATTCAGAATAGCCAAAACAATAATGAGAAAAGAACAAACTTGGAAGACCCACTGATCCAAATTTCAAAATTTACTAAAAAGTTACAGTAATCAAAATAGTATCATACTTGTAGCAGAATAGTCATGTAGATCAACTGAATAGAACTGAGGGTCCAGAAATGTCTTTATATTTATTAATTAATTTTCAACAAGGGTACCAAGGCAATTTAATGGGGAAAGAACAGTGTGTCAACAAGTGGTGCTGGAATAACTGCATATCCATATGCAAAAGAATGAATTTTCACCACTTTCTTACAGCATACACAAATATTAACTCAAATAGCTCATAGACCTGTAAGTAAGAATTGAAACTATAGGACGGGCACAGTGGCTTATGCCTGTAATCCCAGCACTTTGGGAGGCTGAGGCAGGCAGAACACCTGAGGTCAAGAGTTGGAGACCAGCCTGGCCAAATTGGTGAAACCGCGTCTCTACTAAAAATACAAAATTAGCTGGGCTTGGTGGCAGACACCTGTAATCACAGCTACTCAGGAGGCTGAGGCAGGAGAATCACTTAAACGTGGGAGGCGGAGGTTGCAGTGAGCCGAGATCACAGCACTGCACTCCAGCCTGGGTGAGAAAGAGAGACTCCATCTCAAAAAAAAAAAAAAAAAAAAAAAATTGAAACCATAAAACTCTGGAAAAAACACAGAAAAGCTTTGTGATCTTAGAAGAATTATTAGCTACAACTCCAAATAGTTTTGTATCTAAGTGATGAAAGAAAAAACAGAAAATTGGACTTTATCAAAATTTAAATCTTTGTGCTGTTAAGGATGCCATCAAGAAAATGAGAAAACAACTCACAGATTGGGGGTAAATGTTTTTGAATCATATGTCTGATAAGGAATTTGTATGTAGATATATAAAACCTCTTATAACTGAATAATAAAAAGATAAACAACTCAATTAAAAATGGGGAAAGGATCTGAATAGACATTTCTCCCAAACATACATATAAATGGCACATGGAAAGATGCTCAACATCATTAGTCATTAGGTAATCCAAACTACAAACAGGTGCCACCTGAAACCCACAAGGATGGCTATGATTTTTTTAAAGACATAAATATTTGCAAGAATATGAAGAAATTGAAATCATACACTGCTGTTTGAAATGGAAAATGGTGCAGCCAATTTAAAAAACAATTTCACAGTTCTTCAAATGCTACCCAGCAATTCTGCTCCTAAGTATATGTCTGAGAGCATGATACCCAAGAGAACTGATAACAAATGTTCACAGCAGCATTATTCCCAATAGCCCAAAGGTGAAACAACCTGAATGTCCATCAACTGATGCATGCTTACATAAAATGTGGTATATCCATGGAATAAAATACTATTTGGTTTTAAGAAGGAGTGAAATATTGATATACACTATAACATGGATGAACTTTGAAACACGCTAAGTGAAGGAAGCCAGACACAAAGGGCCACATATAGCGCAACTGCATTTAAATGAATATGGAGAACAAGCAAATCTACAGGAACAACAAGTAAATTAATGGTTGCCTAGGGCTAGGAGTGGTGGCCAGAGTAAGTCGGGAGAATAGGGTCTAGAGGCAAGGAACCTGAGGCCGAATCATGCTGACTTCCTAGAACTAAATCAAAAGGAAAATCCCAACTTTCCACACCCAAGTGACAAAAGGACCAGAGACTACTTCCTTTGCACACTGCCTCCCCCAACTTTTTCTGGGTGGCAGATGAAAAATTGAAAGTACCTCTGACTGGTCCCCTCCTGCAACCAGTCAGGCTGGTCTTGGGCTAAGTTTTCATTTTATAGGAGTATAACTTTGTAACTTCACTTCAGTCTCTGATTGGTCACTTTCTGCAACCAATCAGATGTTTGCAGAGGGTGTAACTTTGTATCTTCACTTCAGCCTCTGAATGGTCCCCTCCCACGACCAATCAGACTGACCATCGGCCACTACTTCACTTACACAGGGTGTACACCAAGTAACCAATGGGAAACCTCTAGAGGGTATTTTAAACCCCAGAAAATTCAGTCATGGGGATCTTGAGCCACTTGCTCGGGCAGCTCCCACCCTGTGGAGTGTATTTTTCATTTTCAATAAATCTCTGCTTTTGTTGCTTCATTCTTTCCTTGCTTTGTTTGTGCGTTTTGTCCAATTCTTTGTTCAAGACACCAAGAACCTGGACACCCTCCACCAGTAACAAGAGAAAATAAAGAATGACTATTAATGGGTAGTGGGTCTTTTGGGGGATGTTGAAGATATTTTAAATTTGACTATGGTCGCGGGTACATACTCTGTGAATAAACTAAAAACTACTGAATTGTACACTTTAAACATGGATAAATTATGTCAGTGATATGTCAATAAATCTATTAAAATTACATACGGCTTTTAAGACATAAAAATACATTATCAGCACCAGAAGGTAATAAGAGAAATACCCATATATGCACAGCTCATAATGTATTTAAGAACAGGAGGCAACATTAGGAAGCTATTGTAATAAAATGCTTCTTTTCTTACCAGGATTATTGAACCAAATTCCAAATATATTTTTAGTGTGCATATCAAATGCAAAAATTATCTGTTTATTAGAAGTGGTCATATGCTAGAGAGCTGCTGATTTTGCAAAGTCATCTCCATATTTCAGGCTGATCTTGCATCTTATTGTCACTAAAGTCAATTTTATGAGCAACTATATACTTGTATCAGAATATCTAATATTAAAAAATGTTGTAATGCTTACTCATAAACCTATATGAATCCAAACAAGAGCCTTTACAGTGGAGCAAATGAGATTCAGCAATTTTGCAGCCATTTGGAAAGCATAGTTTTAGATATAAAATATTAATGCTCCTTTAGGATTTAAATTTAATGAACATCAAAATTTCAAAATAATTCATTATTATGAAATCCTGATAAGAAAGCTCATAAAATATTACCTGTAAAGCTTTCATTTTAAGAACAAACTATTGCCTTCTTTAAAATCTTTATTTGCATGCTTCCCCCATTAACTTAGAGATTCAGGAAAAAATAAGCTAAGGAAGAGCTATCATCAAAACCATTTAAGGCTTCCAGTTCACAATGCTGTTGTACCATACATCACCTTGGTACAGAGCCTGTTTTGCAATTCTGTGCCCTCACAGCAGTTCCCAAAGCCAATTAGGTATTAGCACAGGTATTCTCCAAAGGAGAGAAGATAAACACCATTTCTATGGCTACAGAAAGCTCTCTCCTATGGGAAGAACAAAATTGCTTGAGACATGTTTTAGGAAGGCACTGATAAGCATGAAGTCTTTAGGTCTTTGCTGCACACAATGACTAAAATCCAGTAAAATAGAAGGCACTACACTTCAGGAGCTCTTATGCTGGCTAGTGGCCAGATGTGGAAGATGGAGCCCAGGATATGTAATAGAAAGCCATGTGCAACCTTGACTGCAGCCACCACACCTGCACCCAGTACATCTGCCTTGCCGTGAGCTCTGCTCTAAGAAACAGGGAGGCAGACTATGTCATTAGAGTGCTCAGCACTTAGTAGGCATGCAATTACAGCTCTTATGTTTTTAACCTCCTAGTAAGAAGTGAATCAGAGTCCATGAACTTTGTGCATATTAGAAGATCTCATGGCACTTTTCTAGCTGGAGGCTATTACTCTGAGGATTTGGCTGAGTTCCAGCTCAGGTAATTGCATTCTGCTTCCTAAATTTACCCTGCTGTTTCAATTAGGTACAGCCTTGATGGTTTTCCAGTCTTTTCATGAAATGGGAGGGGACAGGGAATCTTCTTGAACTCCCCAGTTTTGCTGACAACAGAAGAAAAGACAAATGTAACATGACACAAAAGTAACATCTGCCTTTGTAATGAACAAATGATTGCTTTATGTTAACTTCAATGTTTGGCAAGCTTCAAAGCACCAAATAAAGATATCAGAGAGAGCAAAACCCCTTTAGATGGAATTAAAACACCTGTGTCATGATACATTCATCAGGTAACAACCACACAGGTCTTCTCTATAAAGCTTAACAAAGAGGGTCCTGGTGGTCTATTCAAATCCATGCAATAAAAAGCTGAGCCACTCCTGCAAATATTTCCATTTTTATTATTGTAGATATAATCATTCTTTCATAATTTTGCATAGGGTCATCAGGAAAGACCCATGAAATATATGAACTAGCCAGTTTCTCTTTAATGCCAGAGATCCTAAAAATAAAGCAGGTTATCATCCCTCAGATGGCCAAAAATTTGAAGTCTGGTGATATCAATTTTGAACAAAGATACAGGGAAAATAAAGCTACCATGCACTGCTGGTGGGAATATAAACTGGTTCAGACACTTCATAGCATTTTGGCAGCACCCAATAAAACTAAGAACGTCTCTGCACTACATCCCAGCAATTCAGCCTCTAAGAACACACTCCACTGAGGCTCTCAACACTGCACCAGTAGGCACATCCATAATGCTCACTGCAGCAATATTTAATAGAGAAAAACTGTGGGAAACACTAAATGTTCATAAAATACTAGAAAAATAGAATGTAGTAAATCCATATGATAGAATACCATGGATTGACCTAAAATATCTAACACTTAAGTTAAAAAAAAAAAAAGAATACAGAGAAATTTGTATGGCTGGAAACCATTCATTAGCATTTATAAAAGGCAATCCTTACTTTTTTGCTTTTATAAACCCTTGGGGATTATGGGAAAGAGCACACACATGCGCATACACACACACACACACACATTTGCGGTGTTCAGTTGCTCAGCACTATATGTTTCTCAGTAAAAGTTGAGGCCCAGCTCCCTTGACAGAGTGGGAAAAGCCAACAACTCACTTTCCTAGTGACACCAATTGCCAGGCATGAATGAGTGCATGATCTAGCTCGCTCACCCTGACTATCCCCCTCAGGGCTTTGCACCTAAGGCCAAAGATGCCAAGGCCCAAATCAGCGCAGAATGTCTAGGCAAGGGTCATCTTCCAAGGGTAAGGTGCACAGAGACACAGCGCCAGCTCCCCTTGTCCTCGCAGCTGGCTCCCCTGCCATAGTGGTTGCTGTGGCTGCTTGCGTAGCCTCACTTTGGGGGCCTGCTCATCATCTGAGTCTAGACCACTAGTGTTCTCAGGAATACCACTGCCCTCCAATTCTCTATCAACAGGATGCCTTTTCTGCTTCAAGCAGCTACAGTCTGTTGCTGTGTGCAGACTAGAAACCATAACAGGTGCAACAACCAGCTCACCACTGTGGTGGCCCCTGGGGGGCAGGGTTTGGGGAGAAACAGATCTAGCAATTTGTACTATTTTATTTAAGGAAAAAGGTTCACATACAAATATGACAAACTGTTAGTTGTTCATAGTAGAAATTTTAAAAATTGTATGTTTATCACCTATTGTACTTTTTTAAAGTATTAATTTTTAAAAGATGAAGAGCAGGCCATTTCTGGGGTCCCCAGGTGGTTTAGGTAGGTGTCTTTTATTTGACAGATCCCAGGCCTGTTTGCAGCTATATCACCTGAAACCATGTGATAAATACTAAGGAACTGTGCCAAAAACATACTGGACTTATAAACAAAACGCACAGATTCTCAATATTTAACTTTGTGCTACTACTGAAAAGCGAATTCTAAAGACCACGGCAACAAATAAACAGGTTCTTTGCAAAGATGTCTGAGCATGCCAAAGAATTCCTTGATTCCCCATTCCTGAACCAAATTTTAAAAGACTTATACAAACCATGGCATTTACACAAAGTACATGCTTTTGGATTTCTGGGCTGGCAAACCAACAATACAGGCCTGTCAGGGAACTGTCTTGGCAAGATGACCTCTTCACAGGTTTTCATCCCTTCTCTTCATTCATAATGTAAACATGCCCCCAATGATGTACCCGAATATTTACAAATAAAGACAACTTACTACATGGATGTCCTAACACCTTCACCTCATCGATAGCGAGATAGCCTTGATGTCCAGAAGTTATCACTTCAAAAATCACCTGGAAAATTAAGAAAGATTTACATTATTTATTCATTTTGTCTTACTTTTACCAAGTATCTCCTATATATAAGACACATAATTTCGTTTATTCTTTCACCAATTCATTCATTCATGTACGTAACATCTGCTAGTCAATGTTCCAGGTTCTAGACTACAAAGATAGGCAAGACCCCACCCCAGTCTTCAGGGAGGTCAATAGGTAGTGAATGCGTTAGACAGAACCCCAACTTAGAAAACCCATAGTGAAAGGATACTTCATGGGGTTGCGGGGGATGACACATACACTGTAGGAAAAGCAAGGAAGCTCACAGGATAGTGAGTTGGCACAGACGGCAACTTGTTGGTGGGTAAGCTGCTTGGGTGGAAGATGGGGACACCAAGATAGAAGAGGCTTTGGGGTTACCTCTCCAACAGTTTCAGCAGATAGAAAGGATTCCCCACCCAAAGCCAGGGTTGAGCTTGTGAGAGATCCTGAACATGAAACAAAGTCTAAAGAAGACTTTTAAGGTTGCACTGTATGTTAAACCCACTGCCATACACACATTTGGATTGTGGTTGTTTTCCCTCAAGAGACAACGTTAAGATTCAGATTGCTTTAGGTGATCTAAACCTTTTCTGAAGGTTCTGAAAGTAACTCTCTGACCACACTGGACCATGTGGGGTAGTAAGATTTACACAAGTGAAAAAAAATACAGTAAGTGTAATGAAAGAAGAGTGCAGTGTACTATAAGAATATACACATGGAGGACCTCCCATGAGGAGGTGAAATCTGTGCCAATAGCTACAGGATGAGAAGGAGCTAACAGTGTGAAGAGGACCAGGCTCAGTCCTGGGCACATGTGAAGGCCCTGAGGTGGTCATGACCATGGCCTTCAAGGGGAGAATTGGGACCTACCGCCACAAAGGTCAGCTGTGGCCAGGCTGCAGAAGACTCCACTTCAGGACAGAGACACCAGGAAAGATAGCCTATTAATAATGCAGTGAAGAGAATATGCTAACTGAAAATCAGACAATAAAGCTATGAATCAAGAGGAAAATAATATAAAAATGTCCACAGTGGCAAAATCAAGAGGGCGTTAGCTCTTCCTTGATAATTGGAGAAGCAAGAGAAGAGGAAAAGGCCTACATGCCTGGAGGTTCTAAGAATGGCGGAGTTTTTTAAGATGGTGGAGCCACTTCAGAGAAATTAAGGCAAAAAAGAAAGAACCAGGGCTGGGCGCGGTGGCTCAGGCCTATAAACCCAGCACTTTGGGAGGCCGAGGCAGGCAGATCACCTGAGGTCGGGAGTTTGAGACTAGCTGGCCAATATGGTGAAACCCCAACTCTACTAAAAATACAAAAATTAGGTGGACGTGGTGGCATACGCCTGTAATCCCAGCTACTCAGGAGGCTGACACAGGAGAATCGCTTGAATCTGGGAGGCGGAGGTTGCAGTGAGCCGAGATTGTGCCATTGCACTCCAGCCTGGGCAACAAGAGCAAAACTCAGTCTCAACAAAATAAAAAAAAATAAAAAAAAGGAAAGAAAGAAAGAACCAGTAAAAGGGTTATCAATTTTCTTAATCTGATTAATTGACTAAAAGTGTCAGTTGTCAGGCTATCATTTAAAAGATCCACATGAATGTTATTTTGACCTCCATTTACACACAGAATGAAACTATCTCACCGGGGAACCATGACTCATGATGGTAAGTCTTAAAATACAACCTAACCATTGCACTCTTGGAGATTCATCCCACAGAAATGTAAACTTTCATTCATATAAAAATCTGTGCACATCATATTTACAGAAGCTTTATACATAATAGCCAAACAACAGAAACAGCCCAGATGTCCTTCAACTTGTAAATAATACACTGTGGTCCATCCACTGTATTAAATACTACTCAGCAATAAAAAGGAGCAAATTAATGATGTACCTAACAACTTGGGTGAACTTCCCGATAGCTATGGTGAGTGAAAAACACCACTCCCCGAAGATCATGTACTCTATGATTCCATTTATGTAACATTTTGTAATGTTAAGATTCTAGAAATGGAGGACAAATTAGTGGTTGCCAGGGGTAGGAATGGAGGAAGATGAGACAGGAGGGAGATGGGTTTGCTTACAAAAGGACATCACCACCACTCCTTGTGTTGGTGGAATTGTTTAGCATCGTCACTGTGGTGGAAGATACACAAGCCTATTCAGGTAACAAAGTTGTACACAACAAATTGTACATATTTGTACAATTGTACAGAAGGCAATTGTACTACAGTGTTGTAAAATGTTAGCATTCTGGGAAATGGCATAACATGTACTCAAGAATATCTTTTTTCTTACTACTGCATGTGACTCTACAATGATTTCCATAAAAATTTCAATTTATAAAAGTAATTATAAGTTAACATTTAGTAAGCAGATATGTTACACACACTAGGAAGATATCATTCCATTATCTCATTAGTTCATACGAAAAATCAAGAATTTCATGTTTCAAAAAAAATGAAATCTTTAGATACAAAGTAATTGTCCATAAATGCAACGAGTCTATCGTAGATGCAATCTTTAAACTCAATTTTTCTGATTCCAAATATGATGTTTTCACTTCTACACATTGCTCAAACAAAAACTTTGATCCTAGGCCTGCATTATTTTGTGTATGGGATGGATGTGAAACTGGAGAAAGCAATCAGCAGAGCCCAGAGTGGAAAAGCTCAAGAGTACAGGGACAGAAGACATCCCAGAAACTCTTGCTAGACTAGATGACACTGTGCCACAACACTATTACAATAACATATAACACAGCGGAGAGGAAAGGCACAACAGAAAACCAGAAATGAAATAAAACTTCATCCTGTTCGTAAGTTTAATAAATAGTTTCCACTGACAATACAAGAGAAAGGAAGATATGCACGGATATTCCTGCAATGGGACCCTGCTAATTTATCTGTCTACTACTAAAGTCTATAAGAAGACAACTGAGAGTACAAAAGGAAAATGAATATTGAGAGCAAGTAAAGGAAAAAGCATTCCTGAGGCCCTCAAAACAGGTCCCCTCAATAACAGTCACATCCTGCCTCCCAGGAAACAGCTACAGTTGGCACTGCAGGAACCTGCAAGCTGCTCTGATACAATGGCTACTGCAGGGACAGCTGAGGGGTGGCTGCTGATGCTACCACTACCAGCTACCCAAGAGCATGGGTGCTGTGGTTAGAAAAATGTGTTTTGAAAACCAAACGCAGAAATGTTCATCAGACCTTCCTTCATCCCACCTGCCATCCTCTCTTCCTTCTTCTCTCTTATTCATCCATGCATTCATTCATTCAATGAACTCAAGGCTCTACTGAGTGCCACCTCTCTGCCAGGCACTGTGATAAGCACTTGGAATATATCATGGATAGAACAGCTGAAGAAATCTTTCCTCATCAAAACTATCTTTCATATTGAAATTTTATTTTGCTTTATCAACTACAATGTCTGAAGCTTCTACTAAAAATGGAATTATCCTTATTCTTTGAAGAGAATGCATTACCTTTTAGAACATAGTGTACATGTGAGACGTGCTCGTGTGAATCTACTTTTAAGTTGATCTGTATGTGTAAATTTAATCCATAATGTTTTGTTTAAAGCTATACAGGGTCATACCCTTACCAAAGCAAAGGAGAGTACAAAAAAAAAAAAAAAAAGGCAGAGAAGATCTGAGACCTGGAAGAGCCATCTAGACTTCTCTAGATCTGTTTTTTCATCCATCGCGTCACAGAATGGATGACTCAGAAGTTTTACGCTAAGAAATTCTGAGCCTTTTAGTCCAAATATTTATAAAATATCTACCGCATGCTTTGGAAGATCTAAGCAATGCAGACAGTTTTATAAAAAGTAAGCTTTAGTTAGGGAAAAAACAAGAAACATGAATGATGAAAGAATAGAACAAGATAGCAATGGCCAAATGACAGATTCAATAAACACAGCTCATAGCAATGGGATCCTTTCCTGACGCAGAACCATGACTCCTCCCCTCCAAACAAGCCAGGGAACCTGTGCCACAGCCACACAACCCCCAGCACAGAGCTTCAGCCTGCTAGTATCAACTCATGGATTTCCCAGCAACTATCTGCCTTCATCCCTGTGGACTAGAGGCAAAGAGAGTCTCAGAAACAAGCCAATTCGCCCCATATTTCCCAGCAAGATGACTTGTCAGCAAGGCCACAAAAAAGAATTAGAGACAAGCTTCTATCTGCAATTTTATTTGCTCCCCTCAGTCTTCCAACTAGAATATCAAGAGGCAAAGAAGGACAGCAGCTGATTACAAATATGTTTCCTGCCCCCTCTGAGTTTAATTAGAAACTTTAAAAAGTAAACTTCTCAAACTTGACAGGTTCCAACACTGACTTAAAGCTAATTGCAGAGTCAAGATAGGAGAAAAGCAATCTTTGTTGATACGTTTATGTGTGCATGCCTACCCATACATACATACAAAATTAATACATAATATATAAACAAAAGTTTCTTATGTCATACATTTGTGTCACAAGTTTGAAGCAACAACTTCTATGTTTATTAAAACCATTTTCTAGTTCTTTCTTAGAAACTTGTTAAGGGACTTGAGTACAAGTTTTATTAGCTGCTTCATCAAGTTTACAACTTAGTATGCAACTGTTTCAATACATACCACAATTATAAAGTAGGTATGAGCTGTACTGGAGAGTTTCCTATTGTGAAATAAATACGACTAAATGAAGTTATCTGAATTTAGATGCCATACAGTAGTCTGAGATTACCTATTTTAAACACCCAACCATTGAGAGATTTCCCTTTGTTTTTTTTCTAACAAACAAGAGGATTAAAACATGCAGCTCAGGCCAGGCACAGTGGTTCATGCCTGTAATCCCAGCACTTTGGGAGGCCAAGGTGAGTGGATCACAAGGTCAAGGGATCGAGCCCATCCTGGCCAACATGGTGAAACCCGTCTCTACTAAAAATACAAAAATTAGCCGGGCGTGTTGGCGGGCGCCTGTAGTCCCAGCTACTCGGGAGCCTGAGGCAAGAGAATCACTTGAACTCGGGAGGCAGAGGTTGCAGTGAGCCAAGATTGTGCCACTGCACTGCAGCCTGGCGACAGAGTAAGACTCCGTTATCAAAAAAGAAAAAAAAAACATGCAGCTCAAAGGATGAGGGTCATCTTAAACAAGTTTCTTATAAACAGATTTTGGAATTCTGTTCAAGGTTCCACTGTTGTGAACTCTGGCTATCTGGCAAATTTTCCATTATGTACACCTCTCTAGCCAGTGCCCTTATAAGGCTTCAAAAGCAAAAATAATCTTTTTTCTCTTTTTGTCAAATAAGGAACTACTCTAATGAAAAGTACAGGTATTGCTCTAGTGAAGTATACCAAGTGTGTGCAGAACCCAGTGGGAATCATAGGAATGTTTGAAAATGCCAGCATCCGGGTCGAAAAAGATTGAGGTCAGAGGAAAGAGTAACATGAGAATACCAACAGTACCATTGGAAAAGGAAAAAAGAAACGTGTAAGAAATTGATCTGGGGATGTGCCATGTTCATTTTTATGAAACGGAACAAAATATATTGAAAATATTCTATATTAGAAGGTTTGAATTTCTTATGGAGCCATGTACCAAGTTTTTCTTCAAAAAGAATAATTTAGTAATTCAAAAAAAACTATTTATTTGTATACTTCCATGTCCCAGGTATCCTTTGCATATATTATCTAATTTTCCCCCATCAATTATGTGAGGTAGGTCATATTAGCTCCCTTTCAGGGATAAGATGACTTAGAAAGGTTAAGTAATTTTTCTGAGTTCACACAAGTAGTTACAGATTTGGGTCTAATCCTAGATCTATTTTGCTTCCAAGTCTGGACTCTTTTCATGTTGCCAAACTGCCTAACTAGCAAGTATGAGACACTATATGTATATAGAATACCTTTACATACATATATATACACACACACACACACACCTTTTAATGTATAGATACACAGGTTCTAAAATTTTTACATCCAGATTTATAAGAAATATAGCAATTGGGAAGACTGATACGGCATAGTTTTGACAGCATCAAGTTTAATACAAGAGTTGGCAAACTACAGCCCACGGCCAAATCTGTCCCACCACCTGTTTTTATATCGCTCACAAGCTAAAGATGGTTTTTATAGTTTTCACTGGTGGGAGAAAACAGAAAGAAGAATATTTTGTGATACAAGAGAATTATATGAAATTCAGATTTCAATGTCCATGAATAAAGTTTTATTGGAACAAAGCCACGTTTATTCATTTACATCTTGGCTATGGCTGCTTTCATACAACAGCAGCAGAGTTGAGTAGCTGCCACAGACAGCGTTTGGACTGTAAAGCCTGAAATATTTACTATCTAGCCTCCTGTTTTTAGAGAAAACTTTCCTGCTTGGCTCACCAATGCACCATCAATACTCTGATTAACAAGAAAGCACATGTCAAAAGCAATACTTTATCACAGCCAAATACAATATGCCTTGCGCTCCATGGGGGAGCCTCACATTCTAGCAATGAGAAGAAGACCCTGTCCCTGGCTTGACTTGTTTTCAATTATATCACATGTGTGGTTTTCTAAATACCCACTTAAGTTTGTAATATCATTATCAAATTTTTAAAATACATATTTGCAATATACCAAAACAAAGCCAGAAAAATTAATTACTTCATAGGCCTCAAAATATCAGAAAAATTAAAAATAAAATAAAATAAAACCTAACTCATTTAGAAGTCAAAAATCTTCTATAAAGACACTGTAAACTACTGAGAATTAGTAACACTTTAATATTAAAACCTACCCTAAGATCTCATTTTATACCATCTTCTTTGGTGTTAGCTAAATTTGGACTAAATGGTTTTTGTTTGTTGTTTTTACTGAAACAAACATTTTTAGGAAAAATGTTTTTGCCCTTTAGCCCAATCTAAATTGTGATTATTTTAAAAGTTGTGGGTCTGACAGAATCACAGAGTCACCTTATCTTATTATGAAATAATTTTGTCACAACACAGAACTTAGTTTTTTTGACTTGGCTTGACAGAAAATACAGTCAATCCTCATTATTCAAGGCTCATATTTGTGAATTTGCTACTCCCTAAAATTTATTTGTAACCCCCAAAAATCAATACTTGCAAAGCTTTCATGGTATCTGCGGACATGCACAGAGCAGCAAAAAATGTGAGTTGCTCAACACACATGTTCCTAGCTGAAGTCAGGCAGGGCAATGTTCTGTCGCCTTGTTTCAGCTCTGATACTATAAAAGAGTATCCTTATCGTGGTCTAGTTAGTGCCATGCTTTTCCATTTTTGTGCTTCTTTTTGGTAACGTTGCTTTTTAAAATGAACCCAAATATAGTGCTTCAGGGCTGTCTAGTGCTCCTGAGAGTGCAAGGACGCTAAGATGAGCCTTAAGGAAAAAATACACATGTTAGAAGCGCTCCAGTCAGCATGAGTTACAGTGGTACTGGCCTTTGCCATAGGTTCAAAGTTAATGAATCAACAACATAAATTACATACGGCATCCGGTATTGATCAGTAGACAAAAACATTACAAAAACATTGTGACCAAAGGCTCACAGGAACCTAACCCCATATTTCCTATAGAAGTAGTTCAGTATTCACTAATTCAGTGTTCTCTGTAATTTTACAGAACATAACTGCTGCAAATAATCGAGAATCAACTCTATTCATGTGATGTGGTTCACTCTGAGTCTCCATTTCACTGTTTTGCTGATAACGCCCAGATATTTGCAGCCCTGGGATGTAAGAAAATGTAGAATAGAGAGAATCAATATTCATTCAATCTCAACTAATAGCATTTCAGGAGACAAGATGTTGTATCCCTATAGCCTTTGGAGACTGTGGGAAAAGCCATTTGCTTTCAGAGAGGAAACAACTGGTTAAACCAGTTGTTTAAACTGACTATTGCTCTCATTTGCTCATGAAAATCCATCCTGGATACTGGCCTCTGAGAGGTTTGACATCAGGCTATCCTTCAGATGTCTGCCAAACAGGAGAAATGCAGAAGCAGTTTAACACCACAGCCTCCCTGATCCTCCCCGCTTCAGTGAAGAGCAAAATTAGCTTTCCATGCTGCCACTTTTCCTTGCTATGTGTAAGCAAAGAAAGGGATTTGCTTACCAACACAGATACTCACCAAGGAAAATGTGCTGGTGGAAGTCATTAGTCAGTTCCCTAGAACAAAGGGGATTAAACGTTGGTTCTCCCACACATTACCTAGTCTATCCTTCTGGTTTTGATTTAAATAAAATGCAAAGGTGGGTCACACCCATTTACAAAAACTTTATCTTGTTTGTGTCAAATGAGTTACATAAAAATAAAACATATACAGTAAAGTTTCTTTAATATTAAAGAGTCCAGGCAAAACCACAAAACATGTCACATTAAGAATCAGGAGCAAAATATTCAAGCATTTGTGTTTGTATTGACATGTTATCAGAAAATAAAATAAAAATCTACTTTGAGAAAGCTAAAGGCACTCAAAAGACAGCAAAATTTGCAATGGAGCTAATTATTAGTGCTTGCAATGTTATTTTTAAATGTCTTCACCTGTTTTTCCTACCAATAACACAACCTTCCTCACTTTTCTCTTTGTTTCCTCCTTCCCTTTAGAGAAAAGTATGATATAATCATAGGTCATATACTCATTCAAGAGGCCGTGCACAGAAATTAAGGTAGAGGACAAAAACATGGCTTAGAAGTCATAAAGAACAGGGTTGATATGCATATAGCGGCAGACCACGCAGAGATTAAGATGGTAAACAATAGAAGTACTTATCCTTTATCATCACATAAGAAGTACAAGTTAAGAATGAAATTTAGAGATGTGGCAAGTTTTAAAAAATAATCAAAAATAAGATCTTTGAGGGTGAAAACAATCACGCAAATTGTTCTACTTCCTAAATACAGTTCTAAGTCAATATTAAACTGACAACCTACTGTGTCCCCAGTGGCTTCTTGAGACATATTGTCTTTTTTAAGCACAAAATGCAGAGTATTGCGGCACCTACTAGACTAGCTTTCCTGCTTGAGAGAGAGTGATATTTCACTGCCACAGCAAATTCCCCACATCCTCTAGAGGCATGAAGCAATTCAATTGTCTTGCACTTGGAATAAGGGCCATAGCCAAGGAATTTATGGAGTCAAAGTATGTTCTATTTTTCAACTGGCACATATCAGTATTCCCAAGTGTACTTCAGGGAACACTAGACTCAAGAAATACTCAGCAAAGCCCAAATTCTGGCTCCAGCTGGGCACCCACACTCACCATGTGTCCTTCCCGGAGATTCAAAAACACTCCTAGCCTCCGAAATGGCCTGCAGAACGAAGCAGTTCTACTTTGTTTAACCCAGTGCTTCTTTCCATTTGGTCAATTAATGCCTCCTAACATTCCCTGGATTTGTGGAACACAATCTAGAAAAGACTCACCAATTCAACTCTAAAACACTGTCTCTAGGCAGCAAATGTATGCGGGCCTGCTGTCACTTAGCTGTGGCTTTACATGGCTTTGTAGTAAAATCAGTGGGCTGAAGGCAAATACAGCAAAGAAACAGGCACCGAGCTAGCTGTGCAGGGGAATAAAGTTTGCAGCAAAATGTGAAAAGATAGGTAAGATCAAGTCATCCCTATTCCCTCAACTCCTCTTTTACCAGGAAAGATGTCAGACTGATAAGGGTGAATCTTGGTTTAGTGCCCCTCTCCCCAGTACAAGTTCCTTTGAGTCCTTGCTGCACAAAGAACTCCAAGCAGGGCGCAAGCTGAATCCACACCTAATCTTCTCCCAGGACCCTTCAGTATATCTAAGGCATTTGTTTTAACAAGGAGGCTCTCGTGAACCCACAAGGCTCTCATATTTGATAACTTTATCCTCCCATTCCCTATAGTCCATGCCCACCCTCCCCAGCCCCACTTCTTTATGGAGACCCATGGGGGAAGGAGATTTTCAGCTACCTATGCATTGTTTCTCTTTTTAAAGCAACCATTTATATCAAAGATCACTGCCTCCCTGGCCTCTGACTGGGCTCAAAATCACTGTCTTCTGAAAGCAGAGAGGAAGGCTGAAATTCTGGGTAGGAGCTGAGGCTTCTGGGGTGCATGCATGATTAGAATATGACGAAATCTGTGGCTAGCTCCTTTGCCTCAGGGTGTAGGGGTGGGAAACAGGAGGCGGGGGTGCAGAATCAAAGCAGAGTTCTTTTTTTTTATCAGCACAATAAAGCAAAAGGGCGAGTACATGAGGAAAATATTATTCTTCAAATGGCAAAAAATCAATGTCTAAATCAAAGGAGGCAGGTGCCCTGAGGATGGCAGGTACCTGCCCTTCCCCACTGCTTCCCAACCATAGGAGGGCAGGTCAACACAGAAGCAATTAGGAAAAACATTAATTAAGGAATTAAATATGTGTTAATCACTAAATACTTGGCAATTTATGTTTTAAGGAACAGTAATTAACCTGCGATTAGCTGTATTCCATGCAGGTTACCATTGTGATGTGTACCTGTAGCATACTATTCTACCATAAATAGTAAAAACTACACAAAATGACTACTGTGGCAAGAACACTTTACTCTGCTAAGAAACTTTTCAAAATTCTATAAATGTCTAACAATGTCAATATTAAAGCTAGAGGAAAAAACTGTGAAAGTAAGAGATGCCCCAAAAGACCTATTATGGTTATCAAAAGTACACAGGACACTTGTGTCTAGATTGCCTGAAAACTTTGCCTAGTCCAACAATTGCAGAGTTCAGATGCTGATCAAGATGAAAATTAACTCAGTATTTTGTAGCCAAAGCGAAGTGAGAAATGGACGTTCTGGAAGAAGGCACAGAAGGTCATGGGAAATAGCCAACTGAAGAGCCCAACACAGCGGTCCCTGAATACAACCCAAGGGCACCTGGTCCTTGAGATGCAGTCAAACAAGTCCAGGGAAGGGAGAACTGCACGGACCCTCACAGAACCTCACCTTGCAGTGCTGTATGACAGCAGGTCTGGAATGTTCTGACAGAAGGGAACTTGGTTCACTTTGTCTCATGCAGTGTTCCACAAAAGGATTTGTTCCTGGAACCCTTTTTCATTTAACACCTTTTGACATTCCACTAAACACATTTAGGAAGCGCCTTAGCAGGGAGAAAGCATCAACTATTAACTGGTTCCCTCTTTTTACCATCTTCCACAAATCTTAACAGTGGCTCAACAAACTGCCACCGCTTCTTAAGAGGCTAGCATATCCCCAATGTGCTTTTCCTTTCATCTCCAACCCCTAATTACCCCTAATCACTACCCCCCACCCCGCTGTAATTAGGAAAGTGAGGCTCATAAAGTTTAAATCAGTTGCCCAAGCTTCTAAGTAAGCAGGGCTGATATTCAAATCCCATTCTTTGTAACACAAAGTGTATGTTCTTTTACTGTCCTCTGATGCTGCCCATGTGCAAACAATTTATAATATGAAATTCCTTTAAAAGAATTCATTAATCAATTTTCACTCATATCAAAACTACTTACTAGTGTGAAATTTGCTTATAGAAATAAAGTACTGCATGAAGTATTTTAACACATAAATATTTCAAGTATACATGAAACTTATATTAATATTTTAGAATTCTAGAATATATCCTGCAGCCTACGTAATAATTGTAGAGGTGGTGTCTAGAGGAAGCTGACTTCCTGTACCTTGAGAGAGGGCTTCTCAAAGGTGTCACCTCCTTTAGATGCCCATATCCTATTATCTTGTCTTCAGCTTTCAGGCCTAGAAACAGCCTGAGAATGCATCACTTGGATATTGAGTTTTATGCACCATGTTCACATAAGAAAATGTTACACACATGTATCCATGCACACATAATACTGGAAAAAAAATATTAAAAAATATATATATATATATATTTTTCCTGAGACGGAGTCTTGCTCTGCCCCCTAGGCTGGAGTGCAGTGGCGCAATCTCGGCTCACTGCAAGCTCTGCCTGCCAGGTTCACGCCATTCTCCTGCCTCAGCCTCCCGAGTAGCTGGGACTACAGGTGCCCGCCACCACGCCCGCTAATTTTTTGTGTTTTTTAGTAGAGACGGGGTTTCACCGTGTTAGCCAGGCTGGTCTCGATCTCCTGACCTCATGATCCGCCTGCCTCAGCCTCCCAAAGTGCTGGGATTACAGGCGTGAGCCACCATGCCTGGCTTGGAAAATATATTTTTTATATTTTGGAATCAGAAATATAATAGTCAAAAACCAGAGTCACATTTTCAGGCCAGTACAGAACTCCTTATAAAGAAATCTATATGGGAAATCATATCAAAAGCAGACGGGCTCTTGCATGACTTGTATTTCTGAGAGCATCAGACTACAACAGGCATCTCCTCGGTACACGTGTGCTGGCCCCATGGACTAGGGACTGGATCTGCAGCCCAAGGAAGCCCCTCCCCTGGCTCAACTTCAGAGCTTATTGTTTTTTTGTTTGTTTGTTTGTTTTGTTTTTTGTCCAGGCTTTTCTTCTGACCATCTCTAATTAGGCTGACACCTCAGGCCAGGGGTGAAAATTGGATTTGGTAGGTGTCTTCCTTTTACTTTGTATCTGTGAATACGGCCTGTCCTTCTTAACCCAACTGGGAAACCTCATTCAGGTCTTACATAGCGATTTTAAGGCCTGCAGTTCAGTGTCTGGGAAGTTTCCTGCTGACATTTCTCTTGCCGCATCTACAATGTGCCATTTACCTAATAGTTTATATTGCTATTAGGGCAATGATTTCAATTTGTTTACTGCCCAGCAGATAAAGGGGAAATAATAAGGAAGTGCTACCTTAACTCTGTCTTTAAAAGTTCCAAGGCCGATGCTTGCTGGAAGTGCTCAGGAATTAAACAAACAAGTGGGTTTTCAGTAGATCTATACTCTTTACAGATGTTCATCAGGAGTTGGTAGTAGCCCACCTGCATGAGGGCGGCCAGTGTTAACAATATTTTTGCTCTGATCTTCTTCTTCCCCATTTTTGTTTCCTCAAACAGGTTTTTAGGAGAGTGGAGATTTAAAGTCAGGATGTGGGCTTTTTATTTTCATTATATACTTAATTCTTAGAACAAGTAGAATGGGAAAGGAGTGACTGATAAATCTAAGATTCAAAATAGTCCTGTTGAAACTAAAAGGCCAGATTACTGCTTTGGAGCTTTCTGTAGGTACCTAGCCATCCAGTCGTTAAACGTTTTCATGGATATTTGAAAAGAAGACCATGTACTTGTAATAACTGTTCTTTTCTCAAGTTTCTGCCTTGTGCTTTGACCTGGATTGCATTATTATTGTTTATGCAAAGAAAAAAAAGGAAAGCACAAGCTTTTCCTGTATATTTCCATTTCCATTTTAAAATAAAAATTTTCCCAACAACAAAAAAATAAAAACTTAGCAACACTGTATTAAAGAATCTCTACAAATCCATCTTTAAATTCAAAGTATGAAGCTATTCCTAATGAATCTATCAGTGCTATGAACTGAATGTTTGTGTACTCCCCAAGTTCACGCTGAAACCCTAATCCCAAAAATGGTGGTATTAGGAGGTGGGCCTTGGGGAGGCGATGGGGTGACGAGGGGACAGCCCTCATGATGGGAGTAGACCTTCATAAGAAGAGAGGCGTGAGAGCTCTTGCTTCCCTGACCTCCCCCTAACTGTGTGAGGACACAGAAAGAAGATGACCATCTGCAAACCAGGAAGAGAACTTTCACCAGAATCGGACGATGCTGGCACCCTGATCTTGGACTTCTCAAACTAGAAATGTGAGAAATATTGTCTGTTGTTTAAGCCGTACAGTCCTGTGGTATTTTGTTACTGCAGCACAGCAGACTAAGATATCAATGAAGCAATACATTCAAAAATGAACCAAAAAGCTATGAGAAAAAACTTCTAACTTAATTTGGCAAATCATTTACTGCTCAGTAAAGTGTGAGTGATGACAGTGAAAAGTGAGAGGGCTTAAAGGTTAGGAGCAGAAAAGTTCACAATTGGGAAGGTGAAATATGTTATCCAAAGGTGCTCAAGATAAGTAAGAATTCACTGAAAATGACAATGGCCTGAAATATATGGGACCATCTTACTCTCAATGTAGTTTAACAGTTCCTTTTTAAAGTCTGGTCTTCCAAGACTGTTCATAAACCGCATCATTCCTTTAATGCAGCTGACTGAGGTAGGGACATAAAAGGCAAAACAGAAATTCCACGTCTGACTGCAGCCAAGGCCACGCTAAACCAGCACACTGTGGCTCTGGAGGCTGTGATGGTCTCAAGAAAGCCCATTCTAGAGGTTTTGTGTGGACACTGCTAAGGCCCAAGAGAAGAAACTCAGGGAAAACATGAGCAGGACATACCTTCTGATATCAACTAGGAGTGCTGTCCACTGGCCTCAATCCAGCAGACAACTGGAGACTGAGGAAGAACCTAGAATAGGTCCCAGAGGGGCAGTGGGAACATTCCAGATCCCTGTCTTCCCTACTTTGGGAAAGGCTCCTCCAAAAGAAGGTTTTTAATCACATTCAGCTTCTCAGCCTAGGCCACCATACAAAAACCTCTGGAGGCCTAGCTTGGCCAAACCCAGTTCTACTGATTGCCTTTCTTTTTTTTTCCTTTTTTGAGACAGGGTCTCGTTCTGTCTCCCAGGCTGGAGTGCAGTGGCACAATGTCAGCTCACTGCAAACTCCGCCTCCCTGGTTGAAGGGATTCTTGTGCCTCAGCCTCCCAAGTGGCTGGGACTACGGGCACGCACCACCATGCCCAGCTAATTTTTGTATTTTTAGTAAAGATGGGGTTTCACCATGTTGACCAGGCTGGTCCTGAACTCGTGACCTCAAGCAATCCACCTGCCTACCTGCCTCAGCCTCCCAAAGTGCTAGGACTAAAGGCACGAGCCATTGCGCCCGGCCACCCACTTGCTTTTTAACCCTATGAAACGCATTTCCTAAGTTTTGTCCCAGAGGCCATATGCTTTAAACTACTGATTGGTCACCAGTACATTTATATAAAAAGCATGTGTTTATTAAAAAGATATTTTCCTTCTGGAGGAAAAACAAATTTTTACTTTTTGTTTTATAAATAAAAACAGTACATGTACGTTGGGGAAAACTGAGAATATAACAGATGGCCAAAAAAAAAAAATTTACCTGTTATCCCACTAGCTAGAGAGATTCTGCTTTCTTTTTTCCTTATTTTTATTTTTTTTCTTGAGGCAAGGTCTCACTCTGTCACCCAGGCTGGAGTGCAGTGGCATGACCACGGCTCACTGAAGCCTCGACCTCCCAGGCTCAAGCGATCTTCCAGCCTCAGCCTCCTGAGTAGCTGCAACTACAGGCACACGCCACCATGTCCTGCTAATTTTGTTGTTTTTTTTTTTTTTTGGAGACACTGGATTTCGCCATGTTGCCCAGGCTGGTCTTAAACTCCTGGACCCAGGTGATCCTCCCACCTCGGCCTCCCAAAGTGCTGGGATTACAGGCTTGAGCCGCTGTGCCCTGCCAAGATACCACTTTCTTAAGTATTTATTTCAGGATATATTTCAGTCTTTATTAGATTTTTTAAACTTAAAAATAGAATTTAATGTATTGCTTTATACCTGTTTAATCCATTTAACAACATAACCTTAAATGTATCATTAAATTTTCTTCCATAACATTATTCTTAATGGCTGCAAAATAAATTTTTGTATTGAGGTAGCATAAATTAACAAATCCTCTATTGTTGGAAAAATACTGTTTCTGATTTTTCTTTACTATAAATAAGCTGCTATGAATATCCCAGTAGTTAATTATTTGCAATCACTCTTCATTACTTCTTTAGGATAAATTCCTAATAGTGGACTGCTAGATTTAAGCATATCTAAATTTTTTAACAATTTTAAAACTTACTGCCAAAGTACATACTCTAAAAAGATCTTAACAATTTACACGTGTACTCACAGAGCTTTCCCTATGTCTTCATTTCCATTAAAAAAAAACAACACATTTACTTGTCACTCATTAAATCCTAGAAATTGTTGTAGGTATATGCCTACAAAGATAAATTAAGCAAGAAATTTACAGCCCATTTATTCATCAGTCCAGGGAGAGAGAAATTGGGGTTGATGGATCTTAACTCATAAACACCAAAGCTGCAGAATGGATTACTGGATGCTGTTCACGCCCATTTTGAAGACAAGCAGCCCTGGAAAGCCCTAGCTTTCCCTTCCCTATGTCTAGCCAAGCACCTCAATTAAACATGAAAAATGATCTTAGATGCATGTTCCAGCTGGCTCCTGTCTGAGCCAAAGGAATTAAAGAAAGAGAAAAGCAAAATATTGCAATCCTCTTTATTCCTCCTCGTAGTTGGCCATTAATTGAGTATTTTCAATACTGTTATTTTTAAAAGATGCTGTGGACAAAAAAGAAAAAGCTCTCCAAATGCCCATTGTCACTAATTTCCCACTTTGATCCTAAGTTAGGATGCTCTTGTGTCACAGGAATCCCCCACAGAAGGGCAGACAGGACGTGACGTCAGAACTGCTTTGGTACCACTTCTGAATGTCCATGGGCCTCCGCCCTTCAGTTACTTTAAACAGGAACTCAAAGCAGTTACTGCAGGTCTCCACAGAGCCCCCAAAATAACAGGACAGGTCTTGTGGCAGTGCCTCTGTGACAAGGACTCCATCTACATCTGGTACTTTCTTCCTGTTGCTTACATGGGTAGAAGCAGGGACCTGCCCCTCACTGGCTCGTCTCCACAGGGCTCATCTCATTTACTCCTGAGACCCATTTGCAGAGGGTGTCTTCTTTTAGACTCAGGTGCTATGCCTTTCTGCGTCACATATGGCCTACTTAATATAGAAACTAAAATATCCAGCTGGGCACAATGGCTCATGCCTGTAATTCTAGCACTCTGGGAGGCTAGGGTGGCAGGATCACCTGCGACCAGAAGTTTGAGACCAGCCTGGGCAACATAGCAAGGCCCTGTCTCTACAAAAAAAATATAAAAAATTAGCCCGACAGGTGGCATATGTCTATAGTTCCAGCTACTTGGGAGGCTGAGGTGGGAGAATCACTTGAGCCCAGGAGTTTGAGGCTGGAGTGAATTGTGATCACAACACTGTACTCCAGCCCGGGTGATGGAACGAGTCCCAGTCTCAAAAAAAAAAAAAAAAAAAAAGAAAGAAAAGAAAATATATTTGCAAACCCCGTACATAGCATTTCTTGCCCTCCTACAAGTGACTGCTTTTATTTTCTTAAAACAATACATGCCAGGCATAAACAAATTTTGAATTGTATTTTTTACTAATTTGACAAAGCCTTAAGACACTCCTTATCAAATAGCATAGGTTTTTCTTGCACTGTTATAAAAATTTATTTATTTATTTATTCATTTATTTAAATTGCAGATTCAGGAGGAACAGGTGCAGGTTTGTTACCTGGGTAAACTGCATGATTCTGAGGTTTGGAGGTATGATTAATCCCGTCACCCAGGTAGTGAGCACAGCACCCAAAAGTTAGTTTTTCCACCCTTGCTCCCCTCCTTTTTGTATTCTCTAGTGTCTACTATTCCCATCTTTATGTCCATGTGCACCCAGTGCTTAGCTCCTACTTATAAGTAAAAACATGCAGCATTTGGTTTTCTGTTTTTGCATTAATTCGCTTGGGATAATGGCTTCCAGTTGCTGCTAAAGACATGATTTCATTCTTTTTTATGGCTGCACACTATTCCATGGTGTGTATGTACCATGTTTTTTTTAATCCAGTCCACCACTGATGGACACCTAGGTGGATTCCATGTCTTTGCTATTATGAATTGTGCTGTGATAAACATTCTACCAAAAAAACACCTGAACTCATGTAATTGATTTTCCTTTGGTTATATACCCAGTAATGGGATTGCTGGGTTGAACAGTAAGTCTCTGTTCAGTTCTTTGAGAAGTATCCAAGCTGCTTTACAAAGGGGCTGAACTAATTTACAATCCCACCAACAGTATAGGATGAGAGTTCCCCTTTCTCCACAACCTTGCCAACAAAAATACAACAACCTTTTCTGATTATAATGATATAACAATAATTTATATTTTTAGAAATTAGAGGATGCTTCAAAATATGTAATAAAAAGAAAGCACATACCTGATAAAAGTTAGGCCAGAAAGTACTAATGGCCAGTTCTGCCCTGTTCCATGTACGTGTTGGGTCTCCAGATATATTCCAGATAGGATTCCCCAGTGGCCCGTTATTGACCTTCACGTAGACATTGAGTAACCCCGGAGGAGAATTACTCTTGCTGGACACAAAATAGTGAAAATCGATGCAGTGGGTGTCATTTTCTTTAAGTTGGGGTAAGAGCAGGTGGGCTCTCTGCCCCTCAGGTCTCCCAGAGGCATTCACCAGCATGAAAGAACCTGCAAAAACAAAATCAAGGAGAGTCATACCCTGAAACACTACTTTCTGGTTATCTCTGAAAACCCACCACCATTTACATGGGTTGGCACTGCAATTCCATGTCTTACTTAGGCTTAAACTGCCATTTCTTCCATTCCTATTTCATATATCACCACCTCCTCCTCCTATCATCCCCCTATATGTTCTCAAGAGTGCACATAGTATTAATGGAAAATTCCCTGGATGTTACTGTAATTTGACTTCTAAATAACAGAAATGTAGCATAATGTTTGTAGACTCGCCTTAGGTCTAGCAGTCAGGAGTCACAGGTGATTATTTAAAATAAAAATTAAAATTCCATATTTAAAATGCGTGTCCTCATTCACACCAACTGTGTTTCAAGTGCTCAATAGCCACGTGTGACAAGTAGCTACCACACTGGGCAGCACAGATACAGAGCATCTCCATCCAGCAGAAAGTTCTACTGAACAGCACTGTCCCATCATGTTAGCAATACTCAGTAATCACTCTGTATAACCTAGAGAAAGACAAAAGATTGGGTGGGCTGTGCATCTTAGGGTCATGATATTGGCCCCATCTGTTCCCTGCTGTCAATGTAATACGATCCTCTTGCACTTCAGCACCAGTACCCCACCTCCATCACTGGAACAACTGACTTCTCCTTGACAGTGGAGGTGTTCTCACAACAAGGTGATGACTTAGGCAATCATTGTCCCAACTGAAGGACGATCATTCTAAGAAGTCTCACGAGCTCTTTGGATCTTGACCCCAATGGCCCTAACCTACCCATGAGTGTTGAGGAGCTTCCAGATGGATTCAAGCTTTCCAGATACCAAGCACTTGAGCCTTCCCCATATGAATTTTATATTTCACACAGTAAAAGATAAAAGCAAAATGTTCTAAGATACAAGGGAAAATAGGCTATCATAGGTCGGCTTTAGCACAGAGAAAAAATGCGTTGAAATTCTAAGGAGCAAGTACACCTGAACTTGGAGTATAAAAATGAAAAAAATAAAAATACTACACAGATGGGTACCCTCATTGTGAATCACAATGTTCAAGGTGTGTATATATGTTAATATGTGTTTATTGTCTACCCACACATTATCAGTAAACACACACATACACGGTACTAGAAAATGTATGGAATTTCTGTCTTGTTTACATGCTGTGATTGCCTAAACAGCAAAACAAGAAGACCACTTTTTTATAGTAATTCCCAAAGAATGACTGTAAGTATCAAATGAAAAATACAGATGTAGATATCCTTCACCGATTAAGAGGTTGTTGTTAAAGGATCTATATTATCATATGCTTTCTTATGGTTGCTACCTTTACAGCTATGAGGTGAGCCAGGTTTAACACCATTTATGATAAACAGGAATGGGGTCACAGAGAGATTAGAAGCAGCTTATCTAGGTTTTAGGATGAGTTAGTGGCAAAACCAGAACTTTGAGCTTCTGAGTTTCCAGCCCATTACTCATTATGCCACACTCCAGTAACCCCATGTTTCTTCATGTGCTTTTTGAACACATATGAAAAAAATACCCTTTCACAGCAGTGAAGGGAAATTATAGTAGCTATTTTAAAACAGAGCAATTTTTCAAGCAATGAATGTTATGTACCTAGAAATACAAAAGCCAAGTCACAAGCGAACCTATCTGTGAAATATAACTTACCTATGAAATATATTTCAGCATTAAGGAAGAACTTTAACTGTCATTTAAGAAAGAGGGGCAGAGAAAGAACAAGTGACGAGAGTATCATTGAAATAATTCAGGTTAGTTACTGTTTACAAATGTAAAAAATCTTCAAAACATGCAGGGTTGATGAACCCCATCATAAATCCAGAGTAGGACGTTCCTGTGTATGAGTTACAGATTGTGTTTTCCTGCTCTTAGTGAAATAGAAGCTGATTTACGCCAGATTCTATCACTGGGGGCTCTGTTATCTACAACAGTTACCACATATATCCTTACTGGTGGAGCTGAGGCATGACATGTTCTTGAGGTCACGTCTGAATGAACAAAACCTGGAGTATGGCCATATTGCCAAGAATATTGTATCTCTCATTGTTCCCATCACTTAAGCTTGGGCAAGCATGGGTGGAAAGCACGGCAATATACACAGGACGGCAAAATAAGTGTTGCCCACATCCTGTGAAGCACTCAGAGGGGCCTCCTTTCACATATTTACATAAACTGGGTACCTTTCTACCATTACTGTTAAGGAAATCACCCAGTTTTCCAAAACTGTTATTTTACTAGCTACACAGCCTGCCTCCAATGCTAAATCCACTCTGCTCCATTCCAGCATGAAATGCTCTTACACTCTTGTGTCTAAAGTACACAAGAATTTTTATGTTGAGATCCAGGTGAAATTCAGGTATAATCTAAGTTACTCAAGTGATCCTAGCTTTTATAGTCTTTTCTCCTCCTTTTTTCCCTGTTTGACTAAGAATAGTCTATTTTGCTTTGAGGCATGCTTCTGTAGTGCAGATTAACTCATAGAGGATTACTAGACAGGGGAGTGACATCCCTATTACACACAAGTCCTCTTGGTTTATGTGCAATTTTTTGCAGGACATTCATGTTGTGAAGTGATGAGGGGCAACTGTCCTCTCAAATAAAGGGAAAGCTTTATCAGTGCATGATGTCTTTTAAACAAAGCTGAAGATCCTACAGAAGTGGATCTTTCCTCAATGCAAGGAGTGGCAAGAAGGGGGGTTTGGTGGTTTCATTCCTCTTTCCACTCCTAAGCTGTCTCTGAAACTGTAAGAACGGGTGAAGAACTGTGAAGCCTCTGCCCCCTTCCTCTGTGTTTAAAAAGGACAAAAAAAAGAAAAGGACTGATGAAGAAGACAAACCTCAGATGATATTTTTACGTTCACAGCAAGTAGTCTCTATTAGAAGAGAATGACTTCGAGGACTTCTATGGAGAGTGGGAAGAAGTGGAGGCCTTGGGTTCAGGGTCTGGGGTTCAGGGCCAAGGATGGTCTCATGGGGTCTGTGCCAGAGTGGAGTTCAGAGAGCCAGCACTTTTATTAGTTTTGTCAATGTTTTTGTTCACTTGCCAGCTACAAAGCTGCATAGATTTGGAAGGGTCAGCCCCAACCCTGTTCTTCTCACAAGATCTGCTATTTTCTCTCTCTCCTTTTTTTTTTTTTTTTTTTTTTTTTTTGAGATGGAGCTTTGCTCTCGTCGCCCAGGCTGGAGTGCAATGGCGTGATCTCAGCTCACTGCAACCTCTGCCTCCTGGGTTCAAGCGATTCTCCTGCCTCAGCCTCCTGAGTAGCTGGGATTACAGGTGCCTGCCACCATCCCTGGCTAATTTTTTGTATTTTTAGTAGAGACAAGGTTTCACCATGTTGGTCAGGCTGGTCTTGAACTCCTGACCTCAGGTAATCCACCCACCTCGGCCTCCCAAAGTGCTGGGATTACAGGCAAGAGCCACCGCACCTGGCCTAAGATCTGCTATTTTCAGCATGTGATTTTGTGAAATTCATGAGAGGCTTCTCAAGTGCAGGGGCAGGGCTTTGGTGGAAATGCAGACTCTATGCACAGTCTTCCTCTGGCAGGGGTTCAGGTCCTTGGGAGGCAATTCTGTCTGGACTGCCCCCATGGTCACTAGCACAGCTAGTCTCTCCCAACTGATCTGGAAATCAATTAAGCAGCACTCAGATTTCAACACTCATGATCTTTTAGAGGAAAAGTCTCTGCCAAGCACCTTCCCCTGCGGTACACTCCTCTGTGAGATTCCCTTTTTCCCTTCCTCTACAGTCTCCCAATTGGTGTATCTATGCAGCCTCATAATTAACCACGAATGCATACAAGGCAAGCGGGACAAAGCCTGCCACAAAACACAAGCCCAGCAAATGCTCCTGACTTTCATTATGATGACTTTAGCTCCACAACCCTCCTAAATGTATGGCTTTTTAAAATTATGTGGCTCTTTTTTAGAGACAGGGTCTCACTCTGTCCCCCAGGCTGGAGTGCAGTGGCAGAGTCACGGCTCATAGCAGCCTCGACCTCCTGGGCTCAAGTGATCCTCCCATTTCAGCCTCCCGAGTAGCTGGGATCATAGGTGTGCATCACCACACCCTGCTAATTTTTTTTATTTTTTATTTTGTAGAGAGAGGGTCTTACTATGTTGCCCAGGCTGGTCTCTAACTCCAAGATTAAAGCAATCTTCCTGCCTCACCCTCCCAAATGTTAGGATTACAGGTGTGAGCCACTGTGCCCAGCTGGAATTCTTTACCATTTATCTCTATTTCCCCCTGTTCACCTCACAACTCTCCTGGTCCTACTATAATTCACCTAAGTGGTAATTTTTAAGTTTCCTTTCTTTACGAGAGAAGAACATTAGTACTGAGATAACACAAAACCTTCAACTCAATTAATCTTCCCCTTACGTTTTTGGGGAAAGGGTATCTTTATTTCAGTGTGTGGCCATCAGGACTTAACTCACAGCTTTAAAGTACAAAAGGTGACGTTTCTATCCACACTCGTGTTTCCTGACAGTGGTGTACTATTATGTGCCAATGAGTTTACAGAAGCAAATATGAAAGTCTAGCAACCTGCAGTAAAGTTACAGTTGGCAGGAGGGAGAGAAGTGTTGCTTCTTAGTTCGTTTTTATCACCTATCTGCTATGAAGGTATAAAGTCAACTCACCAACCAATGTTTAGAGAATTACAGAATTCAAAGCATTTATATTCAATTTTAGACTATTAAGTCTGTTTTTTAAACTATCCCTATATGGCTGAATGTTTAATTTTCACCTTCTACTTAAATGTTTTGACTGCGAGGTAATGCATTTTCAAAGAGTAATTGGGTCTCCCTCTGTAGTTACTTCCTTACAATTCTTTCCTCCTACAAAAAGCATTCCAGCTCGGTAAATTTTTAAAAAATCATAATTCAAATTAGCATAGAAATTCCGTTTGTGTTCAGATAACAAAACACCCTTAAGTCACTAGTATATAAGTAGAAAATATACCATTGCAGGCAAATGAAATGAGCTCTGCATGATGGAGTCAGCTTCAAAAAGGGACAGCCTTTAGATGCAGACTTAGAAGCTTCTTAAGAATAATTATTTTGGTTTCCCCAAAAAGGAAAACTCTTTGATAAGAACATGCAATGTTCACATTCTCAAATCTCTGGGTGAATTAAATTTAGCCAATCATATCCACTGGCAAAGGCTTTTGATTAAACTATCTTCCATCATTGTTTGTGACAGCAGTAATAACTGCACAGAATTATTCCTTTCTAACCCATCATTAAAATTTGCATTGGTGTGTTTGGAGCTCTAGATTTGTCAAGGCTGAGAAAACTACATGAATTCTCTTCCAAGTGTATTTGAGAAACTTTGCAAACAACAACAACAAAAGAATATTTTCCATTATCCAGCAGGAAGAAAGAGTTACATGGCTTCTTCAATACTTTGGCTTACAGAGAAGCAGCATTTTATGAACTTTAAAGCTATTATAAAATTCACTTTTTAAACTTCTTAATTTTAGCAAAAGCCACAGATTATTGGTCTTTGCCTCCCTTTGGCTGTTTTGCCTTTTTCTTGTATGACCATGCCTTTAAATTTGTGGATTTAGAATACGAGAGGCAAACAAAATGTTAACAAGTTCCATCACTGCAGGCATATCTCCTGACTCTAGTTTATGGGGTTATTTGTGCTTCATCTGACCTATGCAGATACAACCAGTTAGAACAATTCAGTTCACTAGAGCAGCACTTCTCAAACAACCTGTAATGAAAAACCAGTTGTTGTTGTTTTTTTAAAAAAAAAAGTCCAGTGCATCTCAGACCAATTTATATAAAATACAATAAACATGAATTGCTAGAAAAATGAAATTGTTTAGTCACACAACATGGTAGCCCCAGATTTGTTATTATTCGATGAAATAAAATTATTCTGTCCAATTCCTATAAAAATTTTCTAAAGACTTGCTCTCAGTTTCTGTACTGGTCAGGGACCAGAAACAATGAGTGGGCCAGCTCTGATCTGCCGACCATACTGAGTAGCATAGGCTTAAAGTTATAGCAAAGAGTAAACAATATAGCATCCTTGGTACCCAAATATACATTTTTCCTCAACAGCAGATGAGGAAAATTGAAAGAAAAGAATGAAAAAAAGAAAAATCTGCTTTCTTAACCCAAAGGTAAGTTATAAAAGCCAACCCCTTTGACTACGAAAGAACGTTGCAGAAGAAAATGAAGAGGGAAAGTGGGAAGCAAGTGGACACACATGGTCATGGTGAATGGAAAGGCTGCACCCAGGCTCTGAATATAGAAAAGACCCGGCTTCAAGGAAAGGAGAAAATAAAGGGTGCCAATAGGCCACGGCACATGGAATCACCACGTACATCTGCATGTCTTAAGGAGAAGGGAAGAGGGTACGGGAACAAAATGGGCCACCAGTGCCTAAGCCAGGTGCTCCATGAACTTGATCTAATTAAATCCTCACAACAATGAAGCTCTGAAGAAAGAGAGAGCAGGGTGAACCCACTAGAGGACAAGTGAAAGCATCGGATAGGGCCAAGGGGAATGCAAAGTTTTTACCTTCAAACTGCAAAGGCAGTGCTCCTAAGACTAATATTTTTCAAACATTTTGACTAACTCAGTACGAAATAATAGGTTGTACTTCCCCCGCTGCCCTACTCCAAGACGGAGTTTTGCTCTTGTTGCCCAGGTGGGAATGCAATGGCACAAACTCGGCTCACTGCAACCTCTGCCTCCTGGGTTCAAGTGATTCTCATGCCTCAGCCTCCTGAGTAGCTGGGTTTACAAGCACGCACCACTGTGTCCAGCTAATTTTTGTATTTTTAGTAGAGACGGGGTTTCACCATGTTGGCCAGGCTGGTCTCAAACTCCTGACCTCAGGTGATCCACTTGCCTCAGCCTCCCAAGTGCTGTGATTACAGATGTGAGCCACTGTGCCACGCCAATATATTGTTCTTTACATTTCAGCATACATGTGTAAAGCGACATGTCTCTATATACATTTACCTACACACACACATACCCAGGCTTTCATTAAAAAAAAGTGTACCACTACGCTTCTAACCATGTGTATATATGTACTGCATGTACATTTTCTATTCTAACTCAATTGCATTTTGCAAAATCAAATCAATTCTGGCTGCAACCTACAACTGACATCAGAGCCCACAAATGCTTTAAGACCATAATGCAACTCCTCCCAATAATCAAAACCACTGTGCTCTGCTTCCTAAGAAAGCTTTTCATTTTTAATTTGTCCTTTACACTTTGATCTCATCCCCTGATTATCATAATACCAGGTTACACCCCTCCTCCAACTCCCTCAGTCAGTACTGACACAGCTCCTAAAGAATATGTCTCCAGAAATTTCCTGAAATAGGGAAGAGGAAGGCCTGTGGAGAAATAAATGAACTACGGGAGCAAAGCTCAAAGGGAACAAAGCCTCTGCAGGGAGGTGCCACCATCGCCCTAAAAATGTTTATTAGCACCCATTTCAGTCTGATGAAACCACAGTCTCCAAGCTGCATTCACATTCTGCAGACCAGATATCATATATCCCTCCTAAGCTACTGCCTCTTCTATGCCCTTCCTACAAACATAAAATACTTATTTCTCAGCCACTAGGGAATAAGACATGAATAACAAAAATTCTCTCTTCTCCCAAATGACACATTTTCTTTCCGTTTGCCCTGTCTCTTCTTGCCTTCCTTGTGGATTCCCAACAACTACTGAAAAAGACCATTTGTTAGTTGTATTAATTTTTGCCCCATTCATGACATGCTGGTGAAAACACAGTAAGATAGCAAAAAGAAGTAATACTGTATCACAGGGAAGCTGAAGTAAAACTCTCTAACCAACTGCACATCCCTTTACTCTCTGATATGGCTTGGCTGTGTCCCCACCCAAATTACATCTTGAATTGTAGTTCCTATAATCCCCACATGTCGTGGGAGGGTCCCAGTGGGAGTTAATTGAATCATGGGGGTGGTTACCCTCATGTTGTCCTCATGATAGTGAGTGAGTTCTCATGAAATCTGATGGTTTTATAAGGGGCTTTCCCCCCTCTGCTTGGCACTTCTCTCTCCTGCCACCATGTGAAGAAGGATGTGTTTGCTCCACCTTCTGCCAGGATTCTAAGTTTCCTGAGTCCTTCCCAGTCACGCGGAACAGTGAGTCAATTAAACCTCTTTCCTTTAAATACCGAGCCTCAGGTGTTTCTTCATAGCAGTGTGAGAATGGACTAATACACTCCCTCACCAGGGACAGCAGCTGATGGGATCATCCTGGCATGGATCATTCTACAAATCATGCCATTTAGTTCACGTTACTCTGTTCTACTTGAGAGAATTCCACATGAATCTAGGTGCTACAAAATTAATAAGCACAGCTCATATACCTCAGATGTGCTTATAACCTTTGCTTTAAGACATTTATATTAAATACCAAAAAGATATTCAATTGTCAATTTAGTGATTCACAGCACAACTGAACGGCCATTTTTATTATTCATAAAAATATTGAGCTGAAGAAAAATATATTATTTCACCTTAACTAGTCACTTTTAGCCATGGCAGGATTCATCTGAGCACCCATTATGTATTGGGGCACTTTGAGAACTACAAACGAGACAAACTTGGACCTATTCCTGCAGCAAGAACTTCACAGTTTAGTTGTATATCATATTTTAAGTTGTTTTCACTGAGCACAGAAAGAATAAAAAGAGATTCACAGAATTAGCAAATCAGATCATTAAGTTCACCAACAGTTACATAAGTAACAACCAGAAGTGGCTGTAAACTTTATGGATTTAGGACCATCAATCTTAAAAGGGACTTGTGAAACACAGTTATCATAAGAGACAAAGCAGTATTGGAAGAGGCTCACTGCAGAGAGGAAACCCGGTGGGTTCTGTAGTAACAAGCAATGTGCTCTCCTTTTATAAGAAAAGGGAAGCTTTAATGAGAACTAAATTGTATTACAGTGTGTCATTTAGACAAACTGCTTCAGTGACTTAGGTAGAAAATACTAGGTGTGAGCTTTGTAATTTATAAGTAAAAAACAAACACTGAGTAAAGCAAACACAACCTTTTAACTATCTGATGACGCTAATGACTGTATCTCAGGAAATGAGCCACACATACAACAATTGAGTAGTGACAGGTTGACTATTTAGAACGTTCTAAAGAGACTGTTTAATTTCCCATACGTCAAGTTTTTCATTGATTGACATCTTTAGAAACGGGTTAGTTTCTGTTGTAAATCTCAGAATGACATAAGCCATCACAATATAAGCTTCCATTTATTTTTCCCCTAAATTAGTGTTGATTCAGAAACCTTTTTTTTCCACATGTGAAAAAAAAGCCTATGCTACTCAGTATGGTCTGCAGATCAGAGCTATCTGGTGATAGTCTACCAGCTAAACTATGACTTGCCTTAAGAAGAAATTGTGCAGTTAGCTTTTACATAAAATGCAGGCCAAACTTAAATATTTTAAAGGTCTGTCTTTGACACATTCAAACACTTGCTAGTGGTACTCAGAAGAAGCTTGCTAAATCATCCTTTGTCCTAAAAAACAGTTCAAAAGACTCCAAGGGTTCTGTTGACATCCCTGATTGACAGCTCCCCACATTCCTGAAGAAGAAGCCAAAGGATGTTTCATTAGCCCAACTAGGGTCAGAAACCAGAGTCATGCAGGAATTTTCACTGCTTGATCAGAAGGCAGAAAGAAGGAATGGTCAAAATTTAACAAGGTGAGTCAGTGGAGAAAATGAAACGGTGTCCACATTAAACTAACAACACAGTATCAAGTTTATAAATTATCAAAAGTCTGGAATTTAAGTAATCTGTTGGATTAATTAACCAGAAAAAGCATCAAAATACCAATAAATAATTAGCAAATAATATGAAAAAGCAATCTGCATTAGCAGAAATACAATTAGAATGGAGATGTCTGGGAAAATAGTTATCTTACCACTAAACCAAGAAATTTAAATTAAAGCAAATGCTGGGTATAATTTTAACATGGATAAATTTCTTAATTACATAAACATTTCAACACTATATGCTTGTGAGGTTCTGGTGAAGCTCCTGCAAGGGTTCAGGAAAGAAAGAAGCAGGGGATTTTATCACACACAGCATCCCAACAGCAGAGGCCACAGAGAGAGTCACACTCCTTGCCAAGAGCAGGCTGGTAGATAAATCTCACCTTACAAAACTTGCTAGTTCTGTGACCTTATGAAAATCACTCTCAATCTGAGTCAGTTCGTCCATAAACTCAAAAACAAACAGTGCCTACTGTGAAAGAATTGGACTAAAGCAAGCAAAGTACTCTGGACTGTGCTGGGCAGGACCTGAGGAGGGCTCCCTGAGCTTGGTAGGAAAAGCTAAGCTCTGTAGCCAAACAACCTGAATTAGGATCTTGACTCAGTCACACCTTGTATGTCCTTGAGTAAGTGAACTAACTCTCTTTTGCAAGTTTCCTAATCAAAGAGGTGGTTGAATAAATTAAATAAGGTAAATCACGTAAAATACTTCTTAAAAGGGTGACTGGCATAGAATAGATATATGTCAAAATTCAACCTTGGTCCCAGTTTTTATCCAAATGTATTTGAACTTAGCCTAGAAGACAAGATAACAGAGTTCTTACTTCAAGGAAATTTCTTACACCCATAAAATTTATGTGTATCAATGATCATGCGATTACACAGGTTACCAACATCCATCTTTAAATCAGCATAACAAGGTCAGTAATACAAACTAGGCATGGCACTTGAATTTATCTTCAATATCTAAACATGAATTTTCAAATATAAATAATCATTCTAGGTGCAACGTGGAGTGAAAAATCTCCTAGTGTGATTTAAATGCTTAGATGCTACCAAGTCTGTTAAATTATAAATACATATATTTAATTATAAGAGCAAAAGGATACAATAATTAATGGTGATTATGAAAGCTGCTAATTATACTTATAAAACCAATTATTAAAAACTTTCAAATCATTAAATATATATCTATATTAACAATTAATATGGGAATTGATAATAGCTAACACTTACATGATATTTAATACGTGCTGAGCACTCTTCCAAATGTTTTACATATATTAACTCTTTTACTCATTACAGACAAGGACAGAACTCAGGCATAGAGGGGTTAAGTAGCTTGCTCAAGATCATGTAGGTTGTAAGTGGTGGAGACAGAATATGAACCTCAGGGAAATGTGCTCTGGACTTTGTGCTCTTAAGCATGATACTAAGCTGCCTCTCAGTTTAAGGGGCAGCACATTAGTTAGATAACTTCAGGAGGAACATTATATCCTTGTAAGTATATATATAAATAATATCTAATTTTATTCATAAACCTAAGATAGCAGAGCTAAATAAACCTAAGATAGCAGAGAAAGGAACAACATGTGAACATGCTCACTACCACGGGGGCAGGTCCAGGCTAGACTGCTGGAGGACAGGAGACAATGTGGAGCAGGATTCAGCCTTCCCAGTTAGGACCAGCTGACCTGACAGCTGACTGCAGATGCAAAAGTGAACCCAGCCAAGATCAGCCATGCATGGCTCAGATCAGCTGAACCATTCAGCTGAGCCCAGCCCCAACTGCTGACCCATAGAATTATCAGCTATGAGTGTTGTTTTAAGACAAGCTTGAGGGTGGATTCTTACTCATGTGTATTTTGAGCATTTTTATAATAAAAGTTTTAAATGTTTTTTTTTAAAGTTTTTAAAAGAGCAAACAATATCTAAATGACCTGAATTTTGGATCATGTTATATCATTGAGAATGCATTACAGAAAATTAATATGTCTTTCTTGGGTACTTGATTGGACATGTGATTTAAAAAAGGATAACCAATTTGAAAATTTAATTTGACTAAACCAATTTTTTTAAATCACCTAATGAGTTTATATCAATACAGACGTTTTGAATTTCTCACACACACACATGCACACACACACACACACACACAGTCATGCATCACTTAAGGACATTTTGGCGAAAGATGGACCATATACACAACTGCAGTCCCATAAGATTGTAATACTCTAATTTTACTGCACCTTTGCCATGTTTAGACACACAAATACTTACCATAGTATTCCAGTTGCCTACAGTTATTCAATACAGTCACATGCTATACAGTTTGTAGTCTAGGAGCAATAGGCCATACCACATAGCCTAGGTGTGCTGTAGGCTCTACCATCTCGATTTGTGTAAGTGCACTCTATCATGTTCGCATAATGAAAAAAAATCGCCTGACGATACATTTCTCAGAATGCATCCTTGTCATCAAGCAATGCATGACTTTATTACAGGTATATACACACATACAAATATACAGGGAGAGTGACCGGGATAGAGAGAAAGGAAGAGGCAGGGAGGAAATGGTTTTTACAAACAAATTTGCTGAAAAAAGAGTAAAGATGGTAAAGTTCAGGTCTTTGGCAAGAATGGTGCATGTTGGCCGGGCACAGAGGCTCACGCCGGTAATCCCAGCACTTTGGGAAGTCGAGGCAGGCAGATCACGAGGTCAGGAGTTTGAGACCAGCCTGGCCAATATGGTGAAACCCCGTCTCTGCTAAAAATACAAAAAAACTAGCCAGGCATGGTGGTGCACGCCTGTAGTTCCAGCTACTCGGGAGGCTGAGGCAGGAGAATCGCTTGAACCCAGGAGACAGAGGTTGCAGTGAGCTGAGACTGTGCTACTGCACTCCAGCCTGGGCAATAGAGGGAGACTCCTTCTCAAAAAAAAAAAAAATGGTGCACGTTACCAAGAATGTTTCACTGATACGCATAGTATCCTAGGATACACCATAATACAGTGAACAATTTACCCACTGTGGGATATGTCACTTATCATTTGTAAAGAATTTCTTTTTTTTTCTTTTTCTTGAGACAGACCCGTTCTGTCACCCAGGCTGGAGTGCAGTGGCACGATCTCAGTTCACTGCAACCTCTGCCTCCTGGGTTCAGGTGATTCTCCTGCTTCAGCCTCTCCAATAGCTGGGATTACAGGCACCTGCCACCAAGCCCAGCTAACTTATTTTTTATTTTTAGTAGAGACGGGGTTTCACCATGTTGGCCAGGCTGATCTCGAACTCCTGGCCTCAAGTGATCCGCCCGCCGCGGACTCCCAAAGTGCTGGGATTACAGGCATGAGCCACTGCGCCAGGCCATTTGTGAAGAATTTCTGAAGGAAGCTTTTGGTTTTCTGTTTCTCCTAGTGTTTTCAGCTCCTCAGCTCCTTTCTGTGGGAGCTATAGGATAATTAAAATAACTGAACTCAGTGCATCTTGATTTATTCCCTTAGGTAGGTGGTCTAGAAACAGATTTATACACATATATTTCTATCACTGTATCTCTAAGCTTGGCTGGGTGGAAAGTTATTTTTACTGAGTACACTATTTCGTTTTCAGGTTTTGTTGTTGTTAATTCAGAACCCAGTATAACTTATTACATTTCTATTAAAACCTTAGGTTTTAAAACTCGTTTTTCATAGAGGTCTAAAGAGGTGTTTCTCTCTCTCTTTTTTTTTTGCCTCTAGCATAACCACTTTAAAAATTTCATTTTTTAAAAGCTTCATTTGAAATGTCCTCACTTGATGATGAATGATCGATCAGCTTTCCAGGGAAATAACTGTATATTAGGGAAAATTCTTTATATCAGCTCTCAGAATATAAAAACAAGATAGCTAAATTCTAGATATCCTTGCAAACTGTTTTGTTTACATAGAGACCCAGTTCGTTCTTTCCCCATTTTAACTTTTCATTAAAAACATTAACAAAAATTGCATATGCCTTTATAAAATGTCAAAAAATAGATTTCAAAGGAAAAATTAAACATTTCTTCCTAACTTTCACTTAACTGACCACAAACTTATCCCATTTAGACAATAGTATGTTTCCCTCAGGATACTTCTTTATATACAAATAAACATACAGACACATATACGAAGGGATTTTTTTTTTTAAAACTTTTCCTACTTTATTCAAAGAATAATAAGCTGACACATTCCTCTGCAGCTTGTTCTGATCCTTTACCAATAATATAATGTTGACAACTCTTCAGGCCAATAAGGACACAGAGACCCAAATTTACACTTTCGACACCTGCTACGACAAAGAACATCCAATAAAGAGCCATGTGAATGGTCTTCATTTCTACAGAAGAGAGTCCTACAAGTCAGATTTCTAGCCAAAAGGTATATGTATTTTTAATCTTCCAGGGTTTTGATTTATTGAATATAAATACTAAGCAACTGCTCCAGACATGAAAATAGTATTTTTTAATTTATTAATGATCATGGTCAGTGGTTTATATAAAGTTATATAAAGTTATATAAAGTGGCCCTGTTACTTCAAAGAAAAGAAGACTGGCTAATGTGAAAGCAGCTTCCAGCCCAAAAGAAAAGAAGTCTCTTGGCATCCTCTGTTCTAAGCACAAGCAATCATCTTGACTTCCCCCACTCCCTCCTTTTGGTGGTGGTGGTGTTACTGTTGCTCTTGTTGTTACCGAACCTGTACTGAGTGCTAGCTATGTGCCAGCCACTCTGCTAAGCACTTTATGTCATTTGGTCCCTTCGGTAACCATTGAGAGAAGTATTGTCATTTTATAACCAGGAGGGTTTAAAAAAACTTCCCTAAGGTCACACAGAAAAGCAGATTGTAATCCAGTCAGTCAGATTCTGGAGCTGATGATTTAGTCTAACATATAATCAAGGTTTCATAGCACATCTCAGAGTCAGATAACCAAATATTGGTGGCATATGCTCTCTGGAGAAAATTAAAAAGAGAACAAAAAAAAGTGCATTAGAAGCTATTAGGGTCATCTTCAGCTTTGAATTATAAGTCTTAAAAAGTAAAATTAATCGATTCTCAAATTACATGAGCTATTCTCTTATTTAAAAATAAAAGTTAAAACTCACTATGCTTATGATGACAGTATGGAACCAAAACTAATTCTATTATTTCTTCTCAAGGAAACAAAAGAATTAGTGACAGAATGCAAGATAAGGAGATGAAAATAAAATCTATCATTTAAAAACTACCAACATTCATTGAAAAACATGAATTTTAAGTAAGACATTTAATATAATATAAACAATTAAATAAACCCCTGGATCTCTTCAGAAGCCCAGAGGATATTTTTATTCTTGTTGCTTCCTAATGCAATAAAATGATATAATAACACTCATGTGGCTTTACTTAAAAATGTTATTTAAGATCAAATTATTCAAAACAGATGACCAATTCTCTGAGCTTACACAACCCAAGAGAAGACAAACATTATCTATTAAGTGCCAAAATGGTCTGAAGGTCAGAAGCATATCTGTGATGACTCACAGAGGCACTCGATACTAAGTGCTCTTCATCTTCTGCCTCCACAGAGTGCCCTCCACAGGTCTGTCAAGAGATGCCACGTGAATCACTTCCAACATTCACTCCTGTATAAATGGCACTTTTATTGTTGCCGACAAGGAAATGGGAAGAAATGTACAAGAAGTAATACCACTGATTATCTTGGGTATTTTTATTCAAGGCTAATTTTTCTTTCATTTAACCAGTATTTTTGTAAATAACTCTTTCAAGTAATCGTTTTCAATCCGGGTAAAAAAAACAAACCAGGTACCCATAAACACACTGGGTAGAATAGCAAAATAATATGAATAATAACTGCACAATAATATAATTTTATAATAACATGAAGAGAAAATATTAGGTGGGAATAGTAGACCAATGGTAATCTAAGGCAGTGATATGAGGAAGTGGGAAGGATAAATGGGATATCTTGAGTTACAATCAAAGGATTGTTTGTCTGAATGGATACTGAGAGGCTGGGGAGCTGATGGTGTCCAAAATGATTCTTAGCCTAAAATATGTGAAAGAACGGTGGTTCTTTTACACCACTTACATGATTCCAGTTTATGCTGACAACTGAATTTTATCTGACAAAAAAGCAGAAACAGTAATTTGATACATCTATATCACCAATGACGGATAATCTGAGATATGCCTGGCACTCAATTAGTTGAATTAACTACCACAATGCACTATGAACAAAAAATAACAACAGAGGCATTTTAAATCCTTTTATGTATCTCATTGGCAGAAACACTTTTTCTTTAATTTTTTCTTCTTTATCATTTACACAATTATTCTAAAAAGAAACAGCAAACTTTAAAATGTACTGTGTATATGTATTGAGTAATCACTGCCCAGGCACTGTCGTAAGCACCACTGATTCAAAGTTGAGTATAATAACTCAAGCCCCATTCTTAAGTCAGGTGTGGCAGGAAGACAGTGATGTTGCAATGGTGTGAACACCTCCCTCGTTCAACATTCACTGAGGGCACACACAAAAGTGGCACTGAAGCTAGCTCAGGGAGGTGGGGTGCTAGTGACAGCTCTTTAGAGAAAGGGAACTCTGAGCTGAGTCCTCCAGGATGAGGCATTAAGACAGGCCACAGATGGAGAACAGGCTGGGGATTCAACATTTGTTCATTCCACAAACATTTGTGAGCCTGTTACAGTGAACAGACACTGACATTGGGCATGAAAAAGACATGTCCACGGCCCCTCAGAAGCTTCCAGTCTAACAGAGTAAGCAACTGTGTAATTAAGTAATTAAAACACGAAGTTGTAATTGCTATGTCAGACATATTCAAATGCCAAAGTGACAGAATGGCACCGCAGAAAACAATGGCTAACGCAAGTTTAGGATCATCATCAGGGTAAATTAAGAACTGAACTGGACTGTCACTGAGAAACTGTAGAGCACACACAAATGCAAATAGTGACCATCAATACCTTGGAGGGTAGAGGAAGATACTTTATTCACTGTCCAAACTTCATTCACTTCATTCATTGTCCAAACTTTAGAAGGATTAATCAGTGCTCCACAGCTGAAATCAAGATGTGATTTAACCACAGGAGGAACAGCATGTCCACAGTTATTGTTGGGAATCACATTATGGCTTTCTAGGAAAGCAACTGGGCTCTTGCGAAAGTAATAGCAGTTCACATTAAAATGCCTTGTCCTTTACAGCTTGGTGTTTTGCTTTTATAAAACTTCTTTCAAGAGCTGCATTGCTGCCTTAAGTGGCATTCCAGGGAGGCGAACTCCCACTTTGCACACAAACAGGTCAGATACGTCAAAACTAACCATTATTGTTGGAGTTTGAAAGCTACTTTATCCCCATGAGAGTTAACTGCCAGAGAGACGGTTCTTTTCTAAAGTGTTTTAGACAACATCTCTAAACCTTTTTATTAGGCAGAATTACTTCCATAGAGTCTACAGCCAGGCCCAGAGGAGAAAGCTGAACTAAAGGCAAAGAATATTTTTAAATCGTTGAGGAAAAAAAATCTTCAGTGATTTTATATTTCAAATAAAAAATATTCAGGTGATTTAATATTTAAAATTGTCTATCAGATTTTTTATTGATTGGTAGGCAGTGTAATGAAGAGAGGAGGGGATGGGGTACCATCAATTTAGAGTTAAGGTATCTTTCAGTTACACAGAAAATTAAGTACTAGAGAGTACATATACCAAAACAAAACCTCTGAGCAGCCAAAACAGATGTCGTCAAATCCATGCATTTATTCAGTTGACTCACAGCCTGTACTCAACCATATGCACAAAAATTATGTTATCTGGTATCTACACCTTCAGAAATTCACAGGAAAGAAAGACTGCTAAAGCAGACACCCAAGCAACAATGAGAAAACTGAGTTGCCAAAAGGGAAGACATAATAAAATATAAAATACAGTCATGCCAAGTTGCAGCACAGCAGCCAGGGGTAGTTAGGAGCATAAGTAAGCCACTACTCTTTAGCAAATCTGCAGAAAAACATTTATGTTTTTCAACATGGCCTTAACTTACCACAAACATGTTAATTTATGTTGAGTAAGGCAAAAAGGTGCCTGATAAAGCTTAGAGTGATATTCACCTAAAAGCAGTAAAATTTCCTGATACCATAGTGCAGCCAGTTGTCAGCCATCTTGAAAATTCAGCTCTCTAAACCGACTTCATCTCCTGAAGACAAAGTCCACCATGCCACTGTGCAATTTCAACTTCAGTTTTACTTTTCATTTCAGAACCATGAGCTTTCATAAGATTACAAAGATTAACTTGCATATGGCCCAATCTCTAGCCTAAGGGAAGACACTGGGGCTCTTAGCCTTGAGGATACTCCTGATGCATATGCCAGTTAGGAGCTACAGAAGAGCAACATCATGTGGTCAGACATCAAGTGAGCTGATATCCACGCCCCACAGAAAGCATCTAATAATTACTTGCATTAGAATATCCTCAGAAAAATCAGCACTCTTCAAAAAGCCATCAGTTAAATAATGGCCACTTACTGGCCACTTCAGGAAGAAAAGATCATTGCTTTCCTTGGGAAGCTTAAAAATCTAAAAAACTGATCGATGGCTGGCAAGATGGCCGAACAGGAACAACTCCGGTCTGCAGCTTCCAGCGAGATCAACACAGAAGGCGGGTGATTTCTGCATTTCCAACTGAGGTACCCAGCTCATCACATTGGGACTGGTTAGACAGTGGGTGCAGCCCATGGAGGGAGAGCAGAAGCAGGGTGGGGCATTGCCTCCCGGGAAGCGCAAGGGGTCAAGGAACTTCTCTCCCCTAGCCAAGGGAAGCCATGAGGCACTGTGCCATAAGGAATGGTGCACTCCAGCTCAGATATTACGCTTTTCCCACAGTCTTTGCAACCCACAGACTAGGAGATTCCCCCCGGTGCCTGTGCCACCAGGGCCCTGGGTTTCAAGCACAAAATTGGGCAGCTGTTTGGGCAGACACTGAGCTAGCTGCAGGAGTTTTGTTTCATACCCCAGTGGCACCTGGAAAGACAGTAAGACAGAACTGTTCACTCCCCTGGAAAGGGGGCTGAAGCCAGGAAGCCAAGTAGTCTAGCTCAGCAGATCCCACCTCCACGGAGCCCAGCAAGCTAAGATCCACTGGCTTCAAATTCTCACTGCCAGCACAGCAGTCTGAAGTCAACCTGGGATGCTCCAGCTTGCTGGGCGAGGGGTGTCTGCCATTACTGGACTTGAGTAGGCAGTTTTCCCCTCACAACATAAACAAAGACACTGGGAAGTTCGAACGGGGTGAAGCCCACCACAGCTCTGCAAAGCTGCTGTAGCCAGACTGCCTCTCTAGCTTCCTCCTCTCTGGGCAGGACATCTCTGAAAGAAAGGCAGCGGTCCCAGGCAGGGGCTTATAGGTAAAACTCCCATCTCCCTGGGACAGAGCACCTGGAGGAAGGGGTGGCTGTGGGCGCAGCTTCAGCAGACTTAAACGTTTCTGCCTGTCAGCTCTGAAGAGAGCAGTGGATCTCCCAGCACAGAGCTCAAGCTCTGCTAAGGGACAGACTACCTCTTCAAGTGGGTCCCTGACCCCTGTGCCTCATGATGGGGAGACACCTCCCAGCAGGGGTTGACAGACACCTCACATAGGAGAGCTCCAGCTGGTATCTGGTAGGTGCCCCTCTGGGATGAAGCTTCCAGAGGAAGGAAGAGGCAGCAATCTTTGCTGTTCTGCAGCCTCCACTGGTGACACCCAGGCAAACAGAGTCCAAAGTGGACCTCCAGTAAACTCCAGCAGACCTGCAGCAGAGGGGTCCGAATGTTAGAAGGAAAACTAACAAACAGAAAGGAATAGTATAAACATCAACAAAAAGGACATCCACACCAAAAACCCATACAAAGGCCAACCAACATCAAAGACCAAAGGTAGATAAACCAACGAAGATGGGGAGAAACCAGAGCAAAGAGGCTGAAATTGCAAAAACCAGAATGCCTTTTCTCCTCCAAAGGATCACAACTCCTCACCAGTGGGGAACAAAACTTCGACAGACAATGAGTTTGACAAATTGACAGTAGGCTTCAGAAGGTGGGTAATAACGAACTCCTCCGAGCTAAAGGAGCATGTCCTAATGCAAGTCAAGGAAGCTAAGTACTTTGAAAAAAGGTTAGATGAATTGATAACTAGAATAACCAGTTTAGAGAAGAACATAAATGACCTGATGGAGCTGAAAAACACAGCACGAGAACTTCGTGAAGCATACACAAGTATCAATAGCCAAATCAATCAAGCGGAAGAGAGGATATCAGGCATTGAAGATCAACTTAATGAAATAAAGCATGAAGACAAAATTAGAGAAAAAGCAATGAAAAGGAACAAACAAAGCCTCCAAGAAATATAGGACTATGTGAAAAGAAGAAACCTATGCTTGATTGGTGTACCTGAAAGTGACAGGGAGAATGGAACCAACTTGGAAAACACTCTTCAGGATATTATCCAGAACTTCCCCAACCTAGAAAGACAGGCCAACATTGAAATTCAGGAAATACAGAGAACACCACAAAGATAGTCCTCGGGAAGAGCAACCTTAAGACACATAATCATCAGATTCAACAAGGTTGAAATGAAGGATAAAATATTAAGGGAAGCCAGAGAGAAAGGTCGGGTTACCCACAAAGGGAAGCCCATCAGACTAACAGCAGATCTCTCAGCAGAAACCCTACAAGCCAGAAGAGAGTGGGAGTCAATATTCAACATTTTTAAAGAAAAGAATTTTCAACCCAGAATTTCATATCCACCCAAATTAAGCTTCATAAGTGAAGGAGAAATAAAATACATTACAGACAAGCAAATGCTGAGAGATTTTGTTACCACCAGGCCTGCAATACAAGAACTCCTCAAGGAAGCACTAAACATGGAAAGGAACAACCAGTACCAGCCACTGCAAAAACATGGCAAATTGTAAAGAACATCGACACTATGAAGAAATTGCATTAACTAACAGGCAAAATAACCAGCTAGCATCATAATGACAGGATCAAATTCACACATAACAATATTAACCTTAAATGTAAATGGGCTAAATGCCCCAATTAAAAGGCACAGACTGATAAACTGGACAAAGAGTCGAGACCCATCAGTGTGCTGTATTCAGGAGACCCATCTCACATGCAAAGACACACATAGGCTCAAAATAAAGGGATGGAGGAATATTTTCCAAGTAAAAGGAAAGCAAAAAACAAAAACAAAAAGCAGGGGTTGCAATCCTAGTCTCTGATAAAGCAGACTTCAAACCAACAAAGATCAAAAGAGACAAAGAAGGGCATTACATAATGATAAAGGGATCAATGCAACAAGAAGAGCTAACTATCCTAAAAATATATGCACCCGATACAGAAGCACCCAGATTCATAAAGCAAGTTCACAGAGACCTATAAAGAGACTTAGACTCCTACACAGTAATAGTGGGAGACTTTAACACCCCACTGTCAATATTAGACAGATCAACTAGAAAGAAAATTAACAAGGATATTCAGGACTTGAACTCAGACAGGGACCAAGTGGACCTAATAGACATTTACAGAACTCTCCACCCCAAATCAACAGAATATGAATTTTTCTCAGCAGCACATCACACTTATTCTAAAATTGACCACATAATTGGAAGTAAAACACTCCTCAGCATATGCAAAAGAACGGAAATCATAACAAACAGTCTCTCAGACCACAGTGCAGACAAATTAGAACTTAGGATTAAGAAACTCACTCAAAATCACAAAACTACGTGTAAACTGAACAATCTGCGCCTGAATGGCTACTGGGTAAATAACAAAATTAAAGCAGAAATAAGTAACTTCTTTGAAACCAATGAGAACACAGACACAACATACCAGAATCTCTGGGACACAGATAAAGCAGTGTTTAGAGGGAAATTTACAGCACTAAATGCCCACAAGAGAAAGCAGGAAAGATCCAAAGTGGACACTCTAACGTCACAATTAAAAGAACTAGAGAAGCAAGAACAAACAAAATCAAAAGCTAGCAGAAGTCAAGAAATAACTACGATCAGAGCAGAACTGAAAAAGACAAGAGACAAGAAAAAACCTTCAAAAAAATCAATGAATCCAGGAGGTGGTTTTTTGAAAAGATCATCAAAACAGATAGACCCTTAGCCAGATTAATGAAGGAGAAAAGAGAGAAGAATCAAATGGAAGCAATAAAAAATAATAAACGGGATATCACAACTGATCCCACAAAAATACAAACTACCATCAGAGAATACTATAAACACCTCTACAAAAATAAACTAGAAAATCTAGAAGAAATGGATAAATTACTGGACTCATACACCCTCCCAAGTCTAAACCACGAAGAAGTCAAATCCCTGAATAGATCAACAACAAGTTCTGAAACTGAGGCAGTAATTAATAGCCTACCAACCAAAAAAAACTCCAGGACCAGACGGATTCACAGCCGAATTCTATCAGAAGTACCAAAAGGAGCTGGTATTCTTTCTGAAAATAATTCCAAACAAGAGAAAAAGAAGGAATCCTCCGTAACTCATTTTATGAGGCCGGCATCATCCTGATACCAAAACCTCGCAGAGACACAACAAAAAAAGAAAATTTCAGGCCAATATCCCTGATGAACATTGATGTGAAAATCCTCAATAAAATACTGGCAAAGTGAATCCAGCAGCACATCAAAAAGCTTATCCACCATGATCAAGTCAGCTTCATCCCTGGGATGCAAGGCTGGTTCAACATACACAAATCAATAAATATAATCCATAACATAAACACAACCAATGACAAAAAGCACATGATTATTTCAATAGATGCAGTAAAGGCCTTCGACAAAATTCAACACCCTTTATGCTAAAAACTCTCAATAAACTAGGTATCAATGGGACGTATCTCAAAATACTAAGAGCTATTTATGACAAACCCACAGCCAATATCATACTGAAGGGCAAAAACTGGAAGCATTCTGGCACAAGACAAAGATGCCCTCTCTCACCACTCCCATTCAACACAGTATTGGAAGTTCTGGCCAGGGCAATCAGGCAAGAGAAAGAAATAAAGGGTATTCAACTAGGAAAAGAGGAAGTCAAATTGTCTCTGTTTGCAGATGACATGATTGTATATTTAGAAAAACCCATCCTCTCAGCCCAAAATCTCCATAAGCTGACAAGCAACTTCAGCAAAGTCTCAGGATACATAATCAATGTGCAAAAATCACAAGCATTCCTATGCACCAATAATAGACAAACAGAGAGCCAAATCATGAGTGAACTCCCATTCACAATTGCTACAAGGAAAATAAAATACCTAGGAATACAACTTAGAAGGGATGTGAAGGACCTCTTCCAAGAGAACTACAAACCACTGCTGAAGGAAATAAGTGAGGACACAGCCAAATGAACAAACATTCCATACTCATGGATAAGAAGAATCAATATCATGAAAATGGCCATACTGCCCAAAGGAATTTATAGATTCAATGCTATCCCCATCAAGCTACCATTGACTTTCTTCACAGAATTAGAAAAAACTACTTTAAATATCATATGGAACCAAAAAAGAGCCTGCATATCCAAGCCAATCCTAAGCAAAAAGAACAAAGCTGGAGACATCACGCTACCTGACTTCCAACTATACTACAAGGCTACAGTAACCAAAACAGCATGGTACTGGTACCAAAACAGATATATAGACTAATGGAACAGAATAGAGGTCTCAGAAATAACACCACACATGTACAACCATCTGATCTTTGACAAACCCAAGAAAAACAAGCAATGGGGAAAGGATTCCCTATTTAATAAATGGTGTTGGGGAAACTGGCCAGCCATATGCAGAAAACTGAAACTGGACACCTTCCTTACACCTTACACAAAAATTAACTCAAAATGGATTAAAAACTTAAACATAAGACCTAAAACCATAAAAATCCTAGAAGAAAACCTAGTCAATACCATTCAGGACATATGCATGGGCAAAGACTTCATGACTAAAACACCAAAAGCAATTGCAACAACAGCCAAAATTGACAAATGGGATCTAATTAAACTAAAGAGCTTCTGCGCAGCAAAATCAACTATCATCAGAGTGAACAGGCAACCTACAGAATGGAAGAAAATATTTGTAATCTGTCCATCTCACAAAGGGCTAATATCCAGAATACACAAAGAATTTAAACAAATTTACAAGAAAAAAACAACCTCATCAAAAAGTGGGCAAAGGATTTGAACAGACACTTCTCAAAAGAAGACATTTATGCAGCCAACAGACAAATGAAAAAAGGCTCATCACCACTGGTCATTAGAGAAATGCAAATCAAAACCACAATGAGATACCATCTCACGCCAGTTACAATGGTGACCATTAAAAACTCAGGAAACAATAGATGCTGGAGAGGATGTGGAGAAATAGGAATGCTTTTACACTGTTGGTGGGAGCATAAATTAGTTCAACCATTGTGGAAGACAGTGTGGCGATTCCTCAAGGATCTAGAACTAGAAATACCATTTGACCCAGCAATCACATTACTGGGTATATACTCAAAGGATTATAAATCATTCTACTATAAAGACACATGCACACGTATGTTTATTGAGGCACTATTCACAATAGCAAAGACTTGGAACCAACCCAAATGCCCATCAGTGATAGACAGGATAAAGAAAATGTGACACATATGCACCATGAAATACTAGGCAGCCATAAAAAAGGATGAGTTCATGTCCTTTGCAGGGACATGGATGAAGCTGGAAACCATCATTCTCAGCAAACTAACACAGGAACAGAAAACCAAACACTGCATGTTCTCCCACATAAGAGGGAGTCGAACGATGAGAACACATGGACACAGGGAGGGGAACATCACACTCCAGGGCCTGTCGGGGGTGAGGGGCTGGGGGAGGGATAGCATTAGGAGAAATATCTAATGTAGATGATGGCTTGATGGGCAGCAAACCACCATGGCATGTGTATACCTATGTAACAAACCTGCATATTCTGCACATGTATCTCAGAACTTAAAGTATAATGAAAAAATTTTTTTAATCTAAAAAATGTAAAAGCCTCACCATTCACCTACGCACATGAAACTGCCAAATCTCAGACCAATTAAGTCAAACCCATAGTTTACAGTCCATTTCTATACTTAAAAAGACAAGCCTTTTAGCAAACTGATGGTGAAATTGTGAGAACGAATCTTATTCCCAGCTTTTCTCTACCCCAAACCTAATAGAAGAAAGCTAAGTATGACTATTGGAAGCAATACAGAGTTTCCCAAGAAATCTCCCTTTACAAGTTTGTCCGTATTTCATTTTTTCTCACCAAAGACTCTGCTGTGACTTCTGATAACCTAAGCAACTTAGAGAGTTGTAGACATCCCCAGGTAACTTGCCCAGGCAGGCTGCATACCGAGACCTGTTGATGGGGATATCAGAATTCTGTATTAATCAGAGAAGAATCATGTCCTCTTTAGATTCAAATGAAGGTAAAATGATTCTGCGAGTTTGTTACATTTATTGAGCAACTGCATTTAGCCTATTCAATATCATAGGAGCACCATTCACAGTCTTAGCAGAACTAGCCACAGCAAAGTTATCAAGTTTGTTTTCCACCTTCCTCTTTCCCATTTTACTTTTCTTACCCTCCATCTCCTTGTGCCTCCATTCACTTGCTTAAAACTTTCTTCAATGGAATCAGAGAAATCCCTGGGAGGTGTCCATGGATAAAATTCAAAGGGTCCAGAAACGTCAATGATAACAAAATTACATCTTAATTTTCAATACCTTCTAACTGAAAGTATTGAAAACACCTGAATGTGGTATTCATATTTGAATGTGGCACTTCCTTCAAATATGATGTAGTTGACAAAGCACAATTTTATTAGCAGTATTTGTGACGTTGTCATCACTAAAAAATGAGAAGATATTCACTTCACATCAACATGTTACATTCACTACTTTAAAATTACCTGAGTGAATAGACTTATTGCTAGATATCATTATTAGGGCACTGATAAATAAAGACACCTACTATTATACAGCAAATTTTGTTTTAATATTTGGATACCTTTATTTTGAACTTAACTGATTTCACTATAATCTTATAAATTTTATGTTATGCATTTATGCATATCATTTTGAAAAGAGGTCTGTAGACTCCACCAGGCTGCCAAAGGTGTACACGGCATGAAAACAATCAAGAATTCATGTTCTAAATGCTCATGTCTTTCTGTGATTCCTCGTCCCTTATGACCATGTGCATTATAAAGTGGTTTTCAAAAAGCACAGAATTTCAGGCACCTAGGTAAGACAGAAATCTTAAGGAGAGGGTTTTTCCCCAATATTCAATCAAATATACAGCCTACATATCCATGTCTACTTTGCAGGGTGGGGGTAAGAGAGTAGGTTTACTGCTTGTCTATATTAGCATTTTGGCTTCCTGTTTATGTGCAGATTCTCTCTCTCTCTCTCTCTCTCTCACACACACACACCCCAATATCAAACAGTCTTCATTCCACTACCTATCCCAAGAAAGGTGCACAAGATTTTGAGTAAAAGGTGGAAGACCTGTGTGCCGAGTTGTGCCTTGACCCCACCAAAACGAACCAGATCCTCAGAAAGACAAGCAATAGAAACCTCCTAACAGAAGCTTTCAAAGTCTGATTGTTTTTAGACTTGTTTTAGGTATATTTTATAGAACTTTTAGGGTCATTTCAATTTACCCAAAATAAGTTGTAGAAAATGCTGATTATGTACAAGTATAAATATTTTTAAATATTATGCTGTCACCTGCAAAGTCCTGCTGCAATAAGCCAGATTGCATTCAAATATTAAAGACATGAAAATCCTCAGTGAGTAATTGTTAGTCTCACTTAGTTTTCATATTACTATAAATACTGAGTGTGTTTATTTTAATCATTATTCTGTTTACTTTATAAGCAGAAACTTAAAAGCACAAACCATAATTTTTTTAGGGGATTTACAGAGCTGCAAACCTCCAGTTAAAAAAAAATTGTAGGGAAGGCAAGAAAGGTTGAAACATCATACATTCAGCCATGTAGAACTCATTTATTAAAGGTCTAGAAACAGAGCGAAGAGCCTAGGATACAGGATGCAAAAATGAAGAGGACATGGACTAGGGCTTCAGGGAGATCATGGGCTCATCCAACAGAGGGACATACAGTGTAAAAAGGGAGGGACCTAGGAGGAACAGAGTAGGAAGTCAGATCAGAAATGGCTTCTTTCTCAGTGGAAGAACTTTTAAGAATGCATTTGCTATCTGTGCCAGAAAATAATTGGGATAAGGATCCAGAAGGAAAGTACTTGACAGCACTAGTCAGCATAATTCATTTGAAATGGTAGGAGCAGAAACCAGAAAGCAAGGGATGGTCTACAAAGACAGGAAAGCTGAGACAGAGTAGGGAGTGGGCCTCTACCTTGCTCAAGAGCATCACAATCCCCATGCAAATATGGTGCAAATCATGGATCTTTACCTGTTAAGTTCTCCTGTAACATACATCTAAGATTATTTCCCTGCATACTGGACAAACCTTGTTTTTAATGTTTCTGCTAAATAGAAGTATTCAGCATTTCTGTTAAATGCAAATAATCCAGAGGAACAAGATAAACGAGAGGAAAAGGTGGTGAAAGAGGCCAGATGATTCCTGAGCTTGGAAAGGCTAATTAGTTCTGTGACTTCAGCAGGTGGGTTTCCCAAGTTGCATATACCAGCAGGTGCTTTGCCTGGGATCTGAGATTGAACAAGACAGACCCCCGCCCCCTGCACTCTTCCCTCACTGAGCACATAGATCCATCTGTTTATCTGAATCCATTTTATCTCTCCCAAACTAAAAGAAAAACTTAAAAAACTGGCAGAATGGGCACAGTGGCTCATACCTGTAATCCCAGCTCTTTGGGAAGCCAAGGCCAGCAGATCACTTGAGGTCAGAAGTTCAAGGCCAGCCTAGCCAACATGGTGAAACCCCGTCTCTACTAAAAATACAAAAATTAGCTGGGTTTGGTGGCACACAACTGTAATCCCAACTACTTGGGAGGCTGAGACAGGAGAATCGCCTGAACCTGGGAGGCCGAAGTTGCAGTGAGCTGAGACTGCACCACTGCACTCCAGCCTGGGAGACACAGCGAGACTCTGTCTCAAAAAAAAAAATAAAATAAAAACATTTAAAAAATAAAACTGGCAGAAATACTCACAATTCAAAAAGGATCAGAAAATTCTCCATAAATTTTCTCAAATATAAACCTCCAATCTACTAGCCCTCCACTTGTACTTTTGCCTGGGTTCTCTGGAAAATGGAGCCTGGGAAAACACTTCCTGGCTTCCATGTAAATGGTTGTGAGGGAGGCAGGGCTTTGAGGCAGGGGAGGGAGGTATATGGGGCAGGTTGGTTACTGACCTGGCCACGGTTTTCACAGGCACAGCAGATCAGAGTATCTGTAAAAACCCCTGAATCTGCACACAGTCCACCATGGGAGCAGAATTTCTACTAGCTCTGGTCTTCAACCATCAATGTTTGCACCACAGGGTACCGACTCCTCAACCCCCATTTCTGACTGGTTCCCTGGTCCCTCTGGCAGCCATCCTGGAAGCCTGAGTTCCCCAACAGGAGTGACATCTGCTATGCAGGCCAGGGTTATGGGAACTCCAGTGGGCATACTTGGGCCAGAGGTGCCTGGGGGTCAGAATAGGAGCACTGAAGTTCAGAAGGCTCATGGAAGCCCCAGGTGCCAGGCAGTAATGCCAGTTCTTGATCACAAGTGACATCAGAGTTGGGAGACGGGAGTAATAATGGGCCTGGCTGGCCCAGCAGAGGTGTCCTGACTACCTGGCTGCCACCAGCAAGGATCAGGGTAGAAATCTGAGCTCTGTGTCTAAAGAATGCAGTGGGCATCAGGGAATTTCCCTAGAGGGGGATCAGGGAAGCACAGCAGAAAAGAATGGCCAAGAAGATCCTGGGAGATGAATAAACTGGGTCCAGCACAACATATACATTAATATACATAATACATATTTATCATATATATCTATACATATATGTATATCTAATACACATATTAAACAGTTGGCGTCAGCTTTAGATAGAACTCATTTTGTAGACGTTTACACAAAACTGGGAATATCAGTAGAAATTAGGTTATAAGTGAAGCTGCTCAAATCTCATTTATATAAATTTGGATTTCATATTTCCTGCACTTTGGGGCAAAACCCCAGAATGCACTGACTGCCTCAGGAACTCTGTTCTAAAATTCAAGGATGCACTATTTTTTAGACACTCATATAATTACAGTAACAAGTAAATCAAATCATGAATTGTTCTCTTTATTGAAGACTAGCTAATCGTCCACTGGGATATCAGCTCTGGGAGGACTTGTTTATAGATATCCTTGGTATCAACATACTAACTGGCACTTAATAGGTGCTCCGTAAATAAAGGCACATTATTTAGTAGATGGAACAAGGATATAGCCTACAAGGATAGTGTGAGTCTCCATTATGATAGCTCTAGCTCTTATTATTTCAAGACTTCTCTCCAAAACATTTCCACGCACTGCGTTAAGTATTCTACATATATTAACACTTGTATTAAAATATATTAAATTATATTGGTAATTCTCATCACAACAATAAAACTAGAAGTTTCCCTCTGAACTTACTTATTTTTTGTTTTCTAAAAGACAGGGTCTCACTCGCCCAGGGTAGAGTGCAGTGGCACAATCACAGCTCATTGTAATGTCAACTCCTGGGCGCAAGCGATCAATCTTCCCACCTCAGCCTCCAGAATAGCTAGGACTGAAGGCAAGCCATGATGCCTGGCTTATTTAATTTTTTTTTTAATAAGAGACGGAGTCTTGCCATGTTGCCCAGGCTGGTCTTGAACTCCCAGCCTCAAGTGATCCTCCCACCTCGGCCTCCCAAAGTGCTGGAATTACAGGCATGAGCCACCTTACCCAGCCCAGAACTTACTTTTTAATAAACAAAAACATAACTTTGCAGTTTCTCAGTGCCACATTTCAAGGAAGCATTGGTGAAGTAATCTTGTACTCTTTCAAAATGTGAACTTCCTTGTACGTCACCTTTATTTATCCTATTCAATAAGAAAAATAAAATCTGCATAAAGATTTAAATCCTTAATAAGATCTATGATGAACCTAAGCTTAATGGGCTTTGATTTAATTGCTGGAAATACTTAGGGCCAAGCAAGAGCCTTATAACCCAAGAAATTAGAAAGATTCAAATGAAAGATCTGCCCTCTCTCTCTTCTAATAGCACTTAAGAAGAAAGCCATTAAAGTAAGCTCTTTCTCTACTTTGCTTTACTTTTTCAGGGTTCCATCATTTGCTTCTTTATCTTTGTCAGCAGCTCTAAGAAATGAACATTATGATGTAATCTTAGCTTGATTTCCACCCACACCTCAAATTTCTGTATTCAAGGGCTTTGTTCTAGTCCTCTACTGATGTCGAAAAAGTTGGCTGTACAAACAGCCACAAACAAGCCAAATAACACACTTATTACTGGAAAGGTAATGGCTGAAAGAAACTGACTGAGTCCCTGGATGCAGGATGGATGAATGGCCCTGAGGAGTGAGGATACCTGTACCATGCTCCATTTGCAGGAAGGGCAAATGGAGAAGACAGAACTGTCCTGTCACAGGCCCATGAGCCACAGAAATCTCAAAGTGAAATGTAAACACAGGTGTATTCTCATACGTCTTTCAGCAAATCATCATGCATTTGTTGCAATAATATTTCTTCTATAATTTTCAGCCTTTGCATGAAGATTTCTTTCATGCAGAATCCCTGAAGCCAGCATCCCAGCTGTATCGAAAGGTTACCTGTTAGCACTTTATTAGACTACAGGGCAATCAGCCTGCAGGCTACATATTTTAAAACAAGTTTTAAAATTTTAATCTGTTACTCTATTTCAAGGTTTAACAATCTAGTTTCCAAGTTGCTTATCAGATAAAGCTCAACATCCTCAGCATGCCACACAGGACCCTTCGAACTGAGCTCAGCCTACCTACTGAATGTGACCATCTGTCAACCTGCCCGTCATGTGCCCCTCTGCACCACTTCTCAGCTCAGAGACCATCTACTGATTTCCCACAGCAGAGAAAAGCCAGAAACTCATTCTGCAGGATTCAAGAAGTGTTTCCCAGAAGAGATGGCATGTGAGATTGAGCAATGATAGGGAAATAAAAGGAGAGGGAGCAGGAAAGCATTCTGAAGCCACAGGTCCTCTGAAAACTAGTTTCAGGAGCGAGGGCAAGAGACATCAGCCAGGAGATAATGCTCCCATTTTGCTCTTATCTGTGAGTCATTTATAAGTCAGATGTTTTTGAGGTGAGTACCGCCTCTGCATCAGCACAGGGAATACTGATACTGCCTCTTATTGTCTGCATATACACCATCTGTCTACAGCTTAGATATGGAGATAACAGTAGTGTCATTCAAAGCAGGCACACTCTTGATGACTTTTTTTTTTTTTGAGACAGGGTCTTGCTCTGTTGCCCAGGCTGGAGTGCAGTGGCATGATCATGGCTCACCACAGCCTAGACCTCCTGGGCTCAAGTGATACTCTTGCCTCAGCCTCCAGAGTAGGTGGGACCATAGACATGTGCCACCACATCCAGGTAGTTTTCTTTTTTTTTTTTCTGCAAAGACAGGGTCTCACTATGTTGCCAACATTGGTCTTGAACTCCTGGGCTCAAGCAATCCTCCTGTCTCAGCCCTCCGTGCTGGGATTATAGGCATGAGCCATGGCACCCGGCCTGCTGTCCTTTTCAACTGGTCTAATGTGGGTATCAATAAACAAAAGTAGAGACGGGTGACTAGGTAAAATTTATGCAGACATGGGCATTACTCAAAACATTTTTTAATTTCCTCTGTTCAAACTGCTATCATAGTTGCATTCCATGTCTATGAATATGTATGTATAAAGTGTGACTATGCCTTGTTTATAAATCTTTGCAATCAAGACAGGTAACTATGGTTTTCAAGGACAGCATGATATAAGCAAGCAAAGATAAGAACAAAACAGGCTTCAGAAGCCTCTTCCATTCCCATGGAAAATAGAAGGGAATCTAGAATGCTGGATCATTAACTTCACTAATTACAAATCAGATATGGCTCAATGTTTTATAGGAAGGAGATGAAAAAGTCTAGTCCTTGTTGGGCCTTTTTCACATTGAATTATCTCATAATTAAACCAAGCTGATGAGCAAGTGTTATCATACCCATTTTCCAGAAGCTGAGAAAAAGCAACTTGTCCCAGATGACTGTTTGATTCCCAGGCACCTTCTGCTTTTTCTACTGTGACCTACTTGCTGTGGGATACTATTTTCAGCCACATTCCTGACAACGTCAAACATCTGAATTATGCCATTAATTCTCCTTACTCTGAATCTGTGTTCACAAAGATACACAAATGTCTCTCCATGTAGTTCATGTGCTAGCCAGAGGAAACAGTGTCTTCTCAGATGGAGGGCTCTATTTTTCCATTGCCAAATAATAAACTGGAATTTCATTTCATCTAAGTCTTTTGGGAGCTTAGTTACCAAGAAGCTCATCCACACTCCTTGTACTGACAAAAAGCTTACTTAGTTCTCACAAACTGCAAGGTGAGTTCAGTGCTATTAGTTCCATTTAACAAATGAAGAATTAAGATTTAGTAGAGGGTGGAAATGGAATTCAAAGGAAGGTCAGTTTCTGAGTCTTTGCAAATAGGATGGTACCACAGCCTTCTTTCTTCTTCCTTCTTTGTGTAGGTGGCATGTTCCATGGAAGTCACAAAGAGAAGGAGCCAAAAGCAGCTTTGTGGTGGGGAACAATCCCATCAGATAGAGGAGTGCTAAGTGGAGATGGGAATGAGGCACTTCCCAAGCCACAAGGCCCCCTGAGCCACAGGCCCATGCTGGTGTCTTTATGTGAGACCATGTCTCCTTAATCACTACATGCCAGTATGTCACATAATGTCTGGAATACTTCTCAGTCACACCCAGCTTTAAGTGGATACCCCCCTGCACAGCATTCTAATAATAACAATGTAAGAGTGTAGGTACACAGAAGGTTAGCAAGCAGCTGTTCTCCTCCACCAGGGGAGAAGGAGAAGAAAACACCTACATTATAGCATGAGTCACTCAAAATAGATATATTCAAGAATATCCTCATAGTAAATAGAGCGGTAAATTCTCCCCTGGAAGCCTTTAAATATAAAATGTTTATCTGCCTGGGGCGGTTGCTTGGCATTCTCATTTCTGAGGGTAGGAGATGCTACCTAACCTTCAAGGATATGCAGTAAAATGATAACTTATTTATAATTATTTGCTTGGAAACAAATCTGTCAAAGATCAAAAGTCTAGGTCGGCTGGATGAAGCAATAAGCAGTGAAGCTTCTCTTCCATACCCTTTATATAACAATGCATTTACACAGAAAACTTCTAGGTCATTAAAAATCCATTTTTAAAAACATATATCAGTTGTAAAAAAAAAAAAAAAAAACTCCTAACATTTCAAAAGTTTAAAAAGTAAAAATTAAGTCTTCCACTCTCTCAACCCTTTAATTTCATGCCTCAGAGGTGATCAACTGCTAACAATCTTGTGTGTGCACTTTCAGATACAAGATCCATCTTTAAATAGTATTTTAAGGTTAGGGAGCAAGCCAAAGAATTTCTGTTCTGCTACCTGCATTTTCAAGTACCTGCCAGTATCTTATACTACAAACTTTCCATCTGTAATGGAGTTTCAAGTAAAATGAAATTAGGCTCCATTTCATTCCACACTAAATTTTTCTGACAATCCCTGTCAAGATTTTACATAGAAAATTGACTTGATTCTTACATAAGTTAAGAACCTTTGCAGAAGTGTAAAGGGGTAATATACTAGATCCTCATTATTTCTGCTTTAGCTAAGAGAGGTAAGAAGTATGAGGTCAGAATTCCAAGTTCAGAGAACTCTTTCCCTTGTAGGCTCTTATTTCTTCTACATTTCAGCAATAAGAATCAGAGGTAACATGATAGAAGAAAGACAATTACTGGAAAATGGTAGACAACCACTTCTTCAAAAGCAACTATGTCCATCATTTCCTTTAGCTGAAGGAATTATTTTCCTTCATTCTCTTATGGTACATAAAAACTAATATTGCTGTTTAAATTTTCTGTTTTGTGAAACTTCAGGGGGAAATCCTGAAATGCATTCTAACAAATGGCCAATTCTGCAACTCTCAATTCAGCAGTCTAGGTCCAACAGATACAGAGAATTTTATGGCTCATTTTCTCTCCAACACCTGCTCTCATTAGCTCAGCTTCTTTGAATGAAAAGACAACCAGACTGAAAATATAATTCCACTGACTAACAATTTAGAAAATCAGTTTTCATTGAAGTTCAAAGCTGTAAACCTGATTAGAAAAAACTGCTCCCTGATTGAAGCTGTTTATCTTGGTGGACAACAGCAGTTCCAAAGAGAATCAGCTTGGTATAGAATATTATTTCAAGCTCTTTCAAGAATAGGTTGTGTTCACATTCTATTCCCCCTTTCCAAAGGCACAAGTATGTCTCTACCACTTCTAATCAATGGAGATGCTCTTAATAGCCAACAAATAACTGTTTGAGAAGAAGAGAAGATTCAGAAATCCAGTGCAATTTTCCTGATGCTCACATTTTTGATGCATGAGTGAAATACCAAAGAACAAGGCAAGGTGAGATTCTTACTCTTCCTGGTATGCTTTCATTTTTCCAGGTACTTCTGAAGCCACTGTACTCTGGGGTAAGACTTCTGCTAACAGCAGAGAAACAAACAGCCTTACTACCCATTCCAGACTTTACCTGAAGCTCCCAAGGGAGGACACCTAGCACCAACTCCACCTGCAAAAGGGAGACCAAGTCTCTTCTCTCCTACTTCAAGCTGAGCCCTACATTTACACTTCCTCAACTAAGTAACTCACATAAGGATAACAGAAAACACCAACCTCCTTTGAAAGGGATTGTGGAAAGAAATGACATGGTCTGAATTTGAAATCTGCAAAAAGAAGGAATCAGTATCAATATTTTTCCAATGTCCATACAGAACATTAGAACATTATCTGTTCTTTCTGACTTTAGAACATTCTATTCTTTGAAGTCAAACCACTAAAATATTAGGCAACATGATGTCTTTTACATATTTGAGATTATGCTGTAAGGTAGAAAACATTTAAAAGGGTGGTATTTTCCGTTTATATTGAACCTCTTATCAGTGTAAAGTTTCCTATTTTTGGATATTAAGTTTCTTGCCTAAAGTCAACTTTTTAACAGTTTAGTTCAGCTATGTCAGCTTTTCTTTTGTTTAGGCTATGTAACTATGTATTATTTATTTTTTATTTTTTGATTGGTTGGTTGATTGACAGGGTCTCTCTCTGGCTGGAGTACAGTGGTGTGATCATAGTTCAGTGCAGCCTCGAACTCCCAGGCTTATGGGCTCAAGCAATCCTCCCACCTCTGCATTCTGAGTAGCTGAAAATACAAGTGCATGCCACCATCCACAGTTGTTTCTTTTCTTTTTTTTATTTTTGAGAGGGAGTCTCGCTCTGTCGCCCAGGCTGGAGTGCAGTGGCACGATCTTGGCTCACTGCAAGCTCCGTCTCCCAGGTTCACATTCTCCTGCCTCAGCCTTCCAAGCAGCTAGAACTACAGGCGCCCGCCACTATGCCCAGCTAATTTTTTTGTATTTTTAGTAGAGATGTGGTTTCACCGTGTTAGCCAGGATGGTCTCGATCTTCTGACCTCATGATCTGCCAGTCTCGGCCTCCCAAAGTTGTTTCTTTTCTAAAAAAAATTTTTTTGTAGAGACAGGATCCAGCTTTGTTGCCCAGGATGGTCTTGAACTCCTGGCCTCTAGCGATCCTCCCACCTCGGCCTCCTAAAACACTGGAATTACAAGTATGAGCTACCATGCCCAGCTGATATAACCTTTTATTGCATCCTTTCTATATCTTCATATTTATGTCTCTTGCAAGCAGCAAACAGACATTTTCCTATCCTTTTTTATCTGATCTAACAATCTTTGCCTTTGAAATAATTTTATGCATATTTACTATAATTCATATATTTGGGTTTGAGCTCTCTATTGAGCTGTGTTCTTTGTTTATCTCCCCTTTACTGCTCTCTTCTAGATTGGTGTTTTTATTATTATAATTTCCATGCCAGTAGCTTGTTCTTTACATATCCCTTCTCTATTCTTTTTGTGATTGCTGTAGAGATTACAATATGGCTCCCTAAATTACTGAAGTTCAATATCAGTTTGTACATATGCCATATCCTGAAAATCTCAAGAAACTTAAAACACTAACCCCATTCTCTTTTTCTTGAGTTAACAAGCTATTGCTGTCACATATTTTAAATCTCTATGTGAGACCCAAAAAACCATTATTACTTAGAATTTTTACAGTCAATTTTTATTCAGATTTACCTCCAGCAATACTCCTTGCCACCGCTCCTTATTCCCTGCACGATCATGCTTTACCTAGGATCATTTTCTTTTGCCAAAAGAACTCCTTTTAGTGTTTCCTTTGGTGCAATTCTGCTGGTAATTAATTGCCTCAGTTTTTTTTTTTGTTTTTTTGTTTGTTGTTGGTATAAAAATAATTTTATTTCTCCTTCATTAGAAGTAGAATTCTGGGTTGGTGGATATTTCCTTTCTGTACCTTGCAGATGTCAATCCACTGTCTTGTAGCTTCCATTATTTCTGCTGAGAGGCTGCTTTCAGTCTTATATTGCTCCTTTGAAGGTGGAATGTCTTTCTTCTCTGGCTGCTTTTAAGACTTTCTCTTGTCTTTGGTTCCCAGCAGTTTGATGACAGCATATATAAGTTTTCTTTGTGTTTATCACATTTGGGTCCATAACTCTTCTTTACATCTGTGGCTTGATGTCAGTTTTGGAAAACCTCCAGTGACTATCTACTAAAATATTGCTTCAATTCCTCTGCCTTTTGACTTTCCTGAAGATACTCCAATTATGTATGCTAGACCTGCCATGTCATACAGCTTGTACATTCTTTCTGGTGTTTTCCGTTCTTTTGTTCTTCTCTGTATATCCAGTTAAATACTTTTTTCTGTAGAAATTTTGGTTAATTTATTAGCTCTCAGCTGTGTAAAATCTTCTCTTAAACCAACTCACTAGGTTTTAACATAGATTTTCATTCTAGAATCTCTTTTCACTTTTTAACAGAATTAGTTCTCTATGAAATTATTCCATTTGTCATTCAATTCTCTAAATATTTTAATCATTGTTATATTAAACTCCTTCAACCCATGTTATATTGAAGTTAAATAACTCTAGTATCTGGATCTCCTAAGAGTTCCTATTTGTATACTTTTTGTGCTACTGATTTTCAGTTAAGTGCTATGTTTTGGGGTACCTGGTTATTTTTAATTGAATAACACTGGAAATAAAAACTTGTAGAGAAAATCTGAGGCTACAGTTAATGTTACTTTCATCCAGAGTGGATTCACTTTTGCAGCTAGCAGAGGCACAGGCTGGGAACAGATTACTTCTTTCTAGTGCTTGCATGATCAGAAGCTTGGCTTCAGTCACTGTGAGAAATCACTTCTCAGATTCACTCTTATTCCTACAGTGAAACCCTTTGAGGTCCCAATAAAAGCTTGAGCTATTTTCCAGAGCTCCTCCTCCTTAGCAAAATATGAATTTCACAGCTCTTTGAGTTTTCCAAAAACTCCACTCAGCTTTTCAGCTTCCCAGATGAGACTTTTAATTCAGCAAATGCCTGAATGGGAAAAGTTGCTCCTTTTCTGGGTTACCTTCTCCCTGGAATATTGGCCCCACAAATTCTTGCTATCTTGTAGATCTCAATACTTTCAAATTGATATCCCTCCCCACTTCCAGATTTTCTATTTGTTCTAAATGGAGAATGGTCTGAAACAAGCACATTAACCATTACTGAAAACAGAATTACTAGACTGTTATTTAAAAGCTCAAGAACAAAGCCCAGAATCTTAAGGCACTATTTCATTTTCTCCCAAATAACATATATCTTCAAATACACCTTGGGACAAAATTGTTGTAAACATGCATATACAATATAAGTTCTTATTCAAGACTGACATATTGGTACATGAATCACCCACATCTGAAGATCACCTAAGTTCAAATCTTGGCTGTTAGACTCTGGACAAGTTACTCAATCTGTGCATCCATTTCATGATTGTAAAACAGGGATAGTTTTACTACCAATGTCATAGGTGTCTTTGAGGAAATAAATAAAACACATGAATGTGTTTAGGAAAGTTAACATGTTACAAATACATGTTAGCAAACTATTATGATTACTAGTATTAAAATAAATGTCAACGTAAGTAGCATCTTACATACCATGCTGTTTGGAAGATAGTTATGTGTCTTATACTGGTGGTTTTTCTGGAGTTGCTCACTTCTGGTGACTGCCTCCCCCTCTCATATGTTGTTCTCAACCTTTGCTAAGTAAAGACACATCTCACTGCTAATTTCTGCAGCACAACTGGTCCATTCTTTTAAGTTATTTCTGCATAGTTTTCAACAGCTCCTTATTATTTTAAAGTATTTCCAAAAAGTATACATATCATAGCTGCAAAGAAACATATTAACAGACAGCCCAATTCCAATCATTTCATTTAAACTGAAAGACATATGTTTAAAAAGTGCCTCACTGTTAGTACTGGCATCCCCAGAAAAAGACATTTACTCCTCATTCCCCACTTAAGAATTGGAGCTAGAGTTAACATCTATTTTTTAGAGATCCACTTTCATCTGAATTTTCCAGCTATACTTTATCTCTACAACTCTAAAAGAGACCCATCTAGGATTCATTCTCTTTGCTAAAGATTGCCAGGGCAGGGAATGAGCACAGGGTATAGGAAGGAGCCATGTGGAGAAGTCATTAAGCCACACACCAGCCTTCTCCAGGAGAAAAACACTTTCTTGATAACCTGAAACATTCTGAATCCCCAATGAAACTTGAGACATTTTACCTGCAGTCATAGACATAGGAATTTAACCCAAAGTGAAATGAGCAAAACATCACAGTTTGGCCGCTGCATGAAAATCCATTTGATAGGTGAGGGGAAAGCCAAAATCATTCTGGGTGCAATATATTCTACCAAAAAAAATTAACGAGGCAGATGCCATCTCAGATCAAGCCAAATTTGCTATGCGTTCCCCTGTGGCAGGGGAGAGGAAAAGAACCAAGAACTTTCAAATTCCTAAATCAGAATCAAAGCTCAGAGATATCTAGTATTTTGTTTATATGAAAATTTACCACATTTTCAGTGAAAGCTATTTAACTTTCCAAAGTTAATGTCCAACTTTATACATTAAATTACCAACATTTTAAATGAAAATTTAAAAAAAACTTCATTTTAGAAACAGTGGCTTACTCTCACTGTGTAAAGTAGAAATTTCCCAAAGCAAATTTTATTTTATTTTTAAAATTTTTGTCTTTCAAGGCAGTATTTTGGTCTGTCACACAGGCTGGAGTACAGTGGTGTGACACTAGTTTACTACAGCCTTAAACTCTCGGACTCAAGCAATCCTCCTGTCCCAGCTTCCTGAGTAGCTGGGACTACAGGCATTCCTGGCTAATTTTTTTTTTTTTAAGTAGAGACAGGGTTTCACCGTGTTGCACAGTCTGGTCTCAAATTCCTGGGCTCAAGTGGTCCTCCTGCCTCAGCCTCCCAAAATTGGGATTACAGGCTTGAGCCACCAGCCTCAGCCACAAAATTTATTTTTAAGCAATTCCTTGTAATTCAGAACTTAATGAAAATGAAGACACTAAATGACAGCAAAGCACATTTTTTTCATGAAATATTGGGGTTGGCCTATTCTTGCATAAGTTTTATTAGCAACATGACAACCAGCATGGCTGAGCAAGCAATTTTCATACTGTTTTATTTGACTACAGAAAGACAAAATCTCTTACAGCTGCCTGGCCAATCTCAACTCCAAAATGTTCAACTTATTTAAGTAAGTATACAAATAAAAGCCTTAACATTATGATTTCAGTCCAGCAGACTATTAGGCAATACCTCCCATAGGCAGCAAGGATACACAGTCTGGTGGGGAGGACAGTGAAGGGGGAGACCAACCCAGATAAAAGGAGGTAAATGCAATGTGACTATGGGCAGGTCTATGTCCACATATTTTGAAATGTAAATACATTTGGGTGCGAATTCAGACTCATTAAGTTTGATAGGAAGATTTCCTCTAGTTTTGCTTTGCCCATTTCTCCCCTGAAACAGCTCTCTACACAGTAGTACTCATTCTTCCTCTTCTGTGACAGAAAATACCGGCTGTGTGCTTAGTGTCCACTCCCTTGAGGGGGCCTCTCTGATGGCATAGCGCCTGGGTCAGCTCATCAATCAAGACAAGCAGATGCCACCAGCTGGCAAAGGAGAATTCTCCACCCTTGGTAACAGTGAATACATCATTTGGGTTTGGATGGGTGACCCTCTCTATAAGATGTGTAATATAGATGCTGAGAGAGAGTGGGAAGGTCCTTCCTTTTTAATCTTTAGTTGTAGGGGGATAAGCTTGAGCCTGTCATCTCTTATGTTATAGGAGAAACTCTGCCTCAGAATGAAGCCACAGCACAGTGAGAAGTGAGCTGAGCTCTGGAAAGGGAGACAGAGCCCAGTTGTCATTGAGCTGCTGGATCCAGCTATGCCTGAAACCAAACTCTATTCCTCCACTCCCAACTACACAAGCCAATAAATCCCCATTTATGATTAAGCTAGATTTGTGGACAGGCATGGGGGCTCACACCTGTAATCCCAATACTTTAGGAGGCTGAGGCGGGTGGATTGCTTAAGCCCAGGAGTTTGAGACCAGCCTGGGCAACATGGTTAAAACCTGTCTCTACCAAAAATACAAAAATTAGCCAGGTGTGGTGGCACATGCCTGTAGTCACGGCTACGCAGGAGGCTGAGGTGGGAGAATCGATTGAGCTTGGGTGGCTGAGGCTGCAGTGTGCTGTGACTGCACCACAGCACTCCAGGCTGGGTGTCAAAGTGATACTCTGTCAAAAAAAAAAAAAAGCCAGATTTGTATTTCAGAAACTACAACCAAGCAGCTAGACTAGAATACCCCTCTAAATCCAACACTACACTCTGCTCTTTGTCAGTGAAGAGGCAACTACTAGATAACTAACTGCAGATGAAATTCTAAGGGACCTTGCAAAGATTCCTAGTTTAAACTACTTCCTTGAATATAAGTTGCTATATCCTTCAAAATACAGTGATAGTCTGAAATAGGGAGAGAAATCAAATAAAGGGTAGATCATCCAAGAAGTCTCAGAGATAAGATAAAATACAGTAGAATAAGAAGGTGGGCAAGAACACTGAAGAGGAAGAGACATCAGAAACCCTGGTCTGATTAGGTATCAGAATTAGTAGCCAGCAGTAACTACTCAGAATAGCTGAGCAGAGCTCCGAAGACAAGCAGGTAGGCAAAACAGTGCCTTAGGACAGGAAAGCAGGCAAGAGTCAGTTCACTAAGCATTTAGTGAGTGCCCTCCAGGGCTGTGCGCTTCCCTAGGCAAATCAGGTGAAATTAATAAAACATGGCCTAGCCCTCCAATTCATTGGGGAACCCAGGAACACAAACCAATAACAATCCTGTAAGGATAACAACCATGCTGTGCATAATTCCCGGCTACAGAAGCACGGGAGAGGGCCACCAGGCCCAGATGAAGGATGAGGCAATAACAAGTACAGCATAGGACACCAGTTGCCACAGCAACACCCTAACATCCTAGAGAAAAACAGTTCTTACTCGTTATAGCAAATACAGGAAAACAGTCAAAAGAGTTTGAAGTTACCTATGATTCTTTTGGAACAGAATTCATTGTTTTATTCACTGTACAGTAATATAAACATTTTCCTTTATTTAGAAACAAAAACAAATCAACCAAAAACACCACTGCTGTATGTAATGGGGGATCTAGCACCATCACATACAAATAATTTGTCTTGCCTTCTTCCACCTCATTCTATTTCAGGCGTGTGAGTGGACACTCTGATGTACATCCCTCCTCTGCTTTAAGACTAAAAAGCTTATGGTCCCAGCTGCAGCAAACACTACTGGCCATCAGCTGTCATCCTCTAGAATTGCCTTGAATGAAGAGAGTGTTTTTGCCCGAGGTAATCCGCATCAAATGACTGATGAACACTGGGGTCTAAAGACTCAATCTCCTTGCCCTGACTCAGGACAACTCTGAAAGAACAGCCAAGCTTCAGCTGTTTCAAATAGGGTCAGCAGAGGCCTTTGCTGAGCCTGTATTACAGGATTGGGCAGAGGGGGAAGTAAGGCTGCTTCCTTCCCTTCCCTCCACTAGACACTGACCCCAAGAGCAACCCTTAAGAGTCATCCTGTATGCTAATCTGCACCTTGGAGTTGGCTTCCCAGGGAATCCCACCTGCAAAACTGCACTATTATGTATGGACACGGAGGACCACCACAGAGACTCTGGAAAGAAAGATAAGGAAGTCTTATTTCTAAATTTCCTCCATTGAAATACGAAGGGCAAAAATAAAAAGACACTGTCAAACTTAGAATAACAGGGAATGTTGTCCATAAATGTGAAAAGGAGAAATCAACAGCAACAGAAAAACATTTCTAATCAGACTGTTTCATTTGTCCTATAGGATATTTAGGTTTCAGTGTATCGAAAAATTTTTACAATGTAAAATATTTGATCATAAGAAAATCCTGCAGGAACTTTGCGGTCATGAAAGAGTGAGATGCTTTTCACATAAATTATTACTAGTATGGTTACACTGCTTCACAAAAAAAGTGACTGAACACACAAGCTAACTTATATAAAGCATAAGTTGACGTGGACATTTGTCAGGTTTTCATGAACTTCTCAAAGATATCATAAATTAATCCATCTTAGCAAATGCAAGCTCATGAAATGCAACAATTTTGAACACAATTAAAGCCATATTCTCATTCTTGTTCAGAAAAAAAGTAATTTTGGAATGCATACTTTTTCTAGTTTAATACTTACCTATGATAGATCATGAATTCCTCCCAGAAAACAACTCTTAAAAGCTGAGGGTACACTATAAAAGCCCTTAATAAAATCTCAGAAACGTGTTAAGTCAGTGCCTCAGAGAACTGTTCATTCAGATAAAAGGCTAAGAATCTTACGGACATACCTTATAGATCCTGTCTATTAACAGTACTGTCTATAAAAACCTTAACAGGGTAATCCCTCAGCAGAATCTCAAGGGATTCTCATTCATCAAAGAATCTCATTCATCAAAGAGATTGATGAATGTGAATTTTGTCTAACAAAATGAACCTCAGTAAGATTCACAGGAGATCCATAGGATTTTTAAGAGAATTAGTCTGACACTGCCATTAGAAACACTGCCAGTTCAGACCAAAATGGACAGAGACACTTACAATGAAAATAGACCTTTGGACTACCAAGAGGCTAAAATAAAAGTACTACAGGCAGAAATCAGACTTGGAAAGCTACCCAATGAAACTGGCCACTTCTTAGGGAAGAGGAGGAGTGACTCAGACAGAAGTCAAGAATTATGGAGAATCATTCCTAGGCAGTAGGACTGAGACCTTGTCAAGTAATTACATCACATTCCAGGTGGTTTTTCAGAGTTTCTATGAACCAGTGACTCGTGCATGCCTTCTGTTTCCACCCTTCCTGAACAGGAGGCTCTACATGAAAGTTCTCCTCTGCCCGTCCTACCATTGCATGTTGAGGGGGTGGGAGGGAGATAACTTGTCTCTTTAGTTCACAGGTCTTCAGACTAAGATCTATATTTGAGAAGCTGTGCAAATCCACAATGAAAATATCTCTTCCATATTTGAACCTGATTTAAGGGCTGAGATCCTAGACTTTGATCTGACATCCCAATGAGGATAAGATTTATAGATCTTAAGGGGAAGAAGTGAGTGTATTTTACATGTAGGAAGCATATGATGTGAATTCTTATGGTAAGAGGATACTGACATTGTATTTCGCAATCATGGCCACACTTATATCCTGTTACACATGCTCTTCTTAAAAAGTTACAGACACTCCTCTACTGAGTGGTGGGGTCTACATTCCCTTCACATGAACTTGGTGGGGTCTTTACAACTTTGGGCTAAGTGCTGCTGCATGATATCCAAGGCTGGGTCATGAACGGCAGTGCAGCAGTGACCACCTGCCCCCTCAGGGTGCTTGCCATTGGAATCAAGTCATCATGTTGTGAGGAATCCCAGACCACATGAAGAGGCCATATGTATGTTATCCCAGCAGCAGCCCCAGGTGGTCCACACCTGACAGTCAACATTAATTTCTAGACTTGTGAGTGAACAAGCCTTCAGATGATTCCAGGCCCTGGTACTTGAGACCTCTAGCTGAAGCCCCACACATGATGGAACAGAGATAATCCATTCCCATTGTGTCCTATCTGAATGTCAGACAACAGAAACTGAGAGGCATAACAATGATTGTTGTTTTGAGCCATGCAGCAATAGATGACAAATACATATGTTATATAGTGCCTCAAAATACTAATGTTATACAAAAATTCCATATTCCAGTGTAACATGAAAATGAAAGTTGCAATGTTGTTCATGCAACAGCCCATTCAAGCAGGTTTGGGAAATGCTAGCCTAGAGTATCACATCTGAATTAGCACTAACTCATGATGACAATGATAATATATTAGTAGTCTGGGAGTAGGTCTTCCCCTAAAACACCTATCAGAAATTCTAAAACTGCACAGAAATATTCCTTCACATGCCCTGAATAAACTATCTATAAGGGCAATTAAAGAATGCAGAATCTTGACCAGAAATGCCTGTGGTCCCCTGTAATAGTGATACAAAATAATCACAAAACTTTGCTTCAGGGTCCTAAGTTAAAGAAAACAGCCAGCTGCTTAACAATGGAGACTCTCAGGAGAGACAGGGCCAGTTGAATGAAAAATCATAAAAGCTTTCTCTTGATGTTGTTTTGTTTCTGTTTTTAAGAGGCAATAAAGCTTAACAGTAAAACATGTGAGCCCTGGAGTCCAAAAATCTAGTTGCAAATCTCATGTTTGCCAGTTATAAGCTGTGTGACTTTAGCTGAGTTAACTGACCTCTCTGTGCTTTTATCTGTAAAATGGAGATTGTATAAGCCAGGTTTCTCCAGAGGAACAGAATCAATAGTAGATATATGAGAAACATAAAGGCACTACATGAATCTCCAGAGGAACCTGGCTCATATAATCTCTCTCTCTCTCTCTCTCTCTCTCTCTCTCTATATATATATATATATACACACACACACACACACACATATGAGAAACATATATATATATACACACGAGAAACATATATATATATATGTTTCTCTCTCTCTCTCTCTATATATATATATACATATATATATACACACACACACACATAAACATATGTACAGAAAGCCAGAGAGAGAGATTGATTGAGATTTTAAGAAACTGTCTCATGTAAGTGGTGGGGCTGGCAAGTCCAAATTAAGCAGGCTGGAAACTCAGGCAGGGTTTCTATGTTACAATCTTGAAAATTCCTTCTTCCTTAGGAAAACTCTGTCTCTTTTCTAAAAGCTTTCAATTGATTGAATGAGGCTCACCCATATTATGGTGGGTAATTTGCTTTACTCAAAGTCTACTTATCTAAATGTTAATCTCAACTCAAGCCCACTGATTTAAATGGTTAATCTCATCTAAAAATATCTTCACGGCAACGTCTGGACTTCTGTTTGACCAAACAACTAGGCACCACTACCTGGCCAAGTGGACACAAATTAACCATCATAAGGATAAGAAAATAGTACCTACACTTCATTGGTTAGTTGGGTGGCTTGAGTTAACGCCCATAGATGCTTAGCATAATGCCAGGCAATGAAAAAATGATCAAAGCATGTTAGTTATTATCGGGGTGACAACCATTTTGCCCAGAACAGCCCTGGCTTATACCTATTGTTCTCACATAATTGTTCATATCACCCTCGTGTCCCTTCATTATTACTTACAAACTAACCTTATAAACCAGAGGTTCATTTAGCCTCATATTTTTCCTATCTTTATGTGAAAGTGGGTCTAAAAGAAAAAGGAAGCAGACATGCTTGGTGTTTCTGGGAACATGGATCTAAGTCATCAACTTCTTCAGCTCCAGGTGCCCTCACCTGCTCAAGGAACTGGACCTACAGTCACACTCCTTCATACTAAGTAAGCCTCTGAAAAAGCCAAAGTCAACAAGAAAAGCTAAAGAGAGCAGCAAAGAAAAAAAAATAATAACATAAATTGTCATATTTATATCTATGAAGAATAAAAATTTCAAAATATAAGTAGGTTGTTTTGTTCTAGCACTTTTACACACCCCACTTCCAAGCCAAGTTTCATCCTATAAAATTTCTGAACCTACAGATCGTAATGGCATTGTACAGAATGCTCAAATCACCTACAAGGGGCCACTCATAGCTTCAGTAGTGTAAGGCATTTCATTTTCTAGTTAACTGACTAGTTTCACGATTATGCTAATGTCAGAGTATTTAAGCAACCGTGGTGCCAGATAACCTGTACATACTCTCTGAATAATCAAGTGCTAATCATTTTTCACATTAAGAAATGATTTGGGCCAGGCGTGGTGGCTCACGCCTGTAATCCCAGCACTTTGGGAGGCTGAGGCGGGTGGATCACGAAGTCAGGAGATCAAGACCATCCTGGCAAACATGGTGAAAACCCGTCTCTACTAAAAATATACAAAAAAACTAGCCTGGCGTGGTGGCAGGTGCCTGTAGTCCCAGCTACTCAGCAGGCTGAGGCAGGAGAATGGCGTGAACCCAGGAGGCGGAGCTTGCAGTAAGCTGAGATCAGGCCACTGCACTCTAGCCTGGGTGACAGAGCGAGACTCCGTCTCAAAAAAAAAAAAAAAAAAAAAAAAAAAAGAAATGATTTGAGCCAAAAATGTCCAAACCTGTCTGACCTGAAGTTAGAAATACAACTATTCTATTCCTATAAGGAAGCAATATGCAAAAGCAAAGCTCCAGAACAGCCCCTGTATCTTTTCTGAATTACACATTTTTGGCTATATTATGATCACTTACAATTCACCATGGGCTCAACATGGCTAGAAATTCCTTGTATGAGATCTGCTTTTCAGTTCAAGGAACTTAAAATGATGCTATGTGACTATAAAATAATGAGCCTGATTTTTGCACATAGCTTCTCCAGTTACTTCTATTGTAGTACTTTACAAATTACATCTTGTCCTTTCATCTCAGGTCAATTTGGAACACACACAAAAAATAAGTGAAGCCTGTCTTACACTACCAAACTTCCACTAAAATTTATGTTAGTTTTAATATAACAAACACATTGACCAAAGCATCTTGGATTTTCAAGGGCATGTCAAAGCAAAATAGTAGCAGCTTCTGAAGTTATAACAAAACAAATTCTACAGCCAACTGTTGTACCATATGTTTCCAATGGCTTTTATTCTACATAAAGCCAATTCATCCTTTGAACAAAACACAACATCACAGAGGCTAGTCACTGACGGCACATTTCTGATCATTTGTCAATTTCCTGCTACAGCAAGTTCTGGAGTCTGAACAGGAAGTTGAATCTTGCCTGAAAATAACAGACACACTGCCAATGGCTTTTATAGCACAGACCCTGCCAGAATGCTAAGAAATCCAGATCAGGAAAGTTACACTGTCAGTTTTTGGAGGCAGATCTATCAAGTGATTCTCATAGCACCCAGGTATGATAGCAAACAAGTGCTTCAAAATACGATACCTTCAGAGGAAGAATTTGCCTAATCACCTTATGTCTATATGTGTCCTCCAATAAGTAATTTAGTTCTCAACTAATCACACATATACCTTTTTTCTTGAAAAAATATCTAGAATAAAATTTAAAACTCAGACAGGGGGCAGAGAAGGATGGTCTTTCCTGCAAGGACACCAATTAACACCTATCTACACTAAAAAAGCACCTTCTTACGAACCAAAAATCAGGTGAGCACACACAGTAACTGGTTTTAACTTATCTCTGAAAGAGGCACTGAAGAGGTGGGAAAAACAGTCTTGAATTGCCAAGGACACCACCCCTCCCCCATCACCCTGCCCTCCCCCCCCACCTCCACCCCACCCCCCACCCCACCCCATACACACATATCAGCAACATGGTGCAGAGAGTATTTCTGTGTGCTGGGGAGAGGGGAGCACAGCAGCCATGAGGCACTAAACTCAGTGCTGCCTTGTTACAGCAGAAAACAAAACCAGAGCAAACTCAACTGATGCCCACCCATGAAGGGAGCATTTAAACCAGCCCTAGGAAGAGGGGAATCACCAGTCCCAACAGTCCGAACTTGAACTCCCACATGCCTCTCAAGCAAGTTAAAGTACTCTGGAACCCAAACTTGAAAGGCAGTCTAGGCCACAAGGACTGGAACTCGTAGGTGAGGCCTAGTGCTGAACTGGGCCCAGAGCCAGTGGACTTGGTGGCATGTAACCCACTGAGACATCCCCAAGGGCAGCTAAAGAAGTATTGGCATCATTCCTACCCTAAGCCCAAGCTCCACAGCTTGTGGCTCCAACAGAGACCCCATCTCTCTGCTTGGGCAGAGGTGGGGGAAGTCTGGGGAGGACTTTATCTTACATCTATAATACTAGCTCAGCCACAGCAGGATAGGGCAATGCTCAGAATCATGAGGCCCCCTTTCCAGCTTCTAGCTCCCAGATGACATTGCTAGACACACCCTGGGCCAGAAGGGAACCTACTGCCTTGAAGTGAAGGACCTAGTCCTGGCAGAATTCATCACCTGCTGACTGAGAGTCCAAGGGTTCTGAATAGCCAGCAGGGATGCTGAGGTGCTATGTCAAGGGCCTTGGTGAGCCTCTGAGACTTGCTGGCTTCTGGTGAGACTCAGCACATTCCCAGCTGTGGTGGCTATACGAGGCAAGACTCCTTCCACCTGAGAAAAGCAGAGGGAAAAAATGAAGAGGGCTTTGTCTTGCACCCTAGGTACCACCTCGGGCACAGTGGGGTAGAGCACCAAGTGGGCATTTGGGGGTCCCTGGTTCCAGGACTTGACTCTTGGATGGCATTTCTGGACATGTCCTGTGCCAGAGGGGAGCATACTGCTATGAAGGGTGAGTCCAGAAATGCTATCCAAGAGTCAAGGCAGCATTCACCACAGGCTGACTTAGGAGCCCTTTGGGCCAGAAGGGAGCTCTGGTGGTAGTCTGGCAGTACTCCCTGTGGGCCCATGGTGGCTGTGGCGATGGAATGAGGCACCTCTGCCTTTGGAAAGGGGAGGGAAGAGTGGGAATGACCACAACTTGTGGTTTGAGTGCCAGCTCAGCCACAGGACAACAGAACACCAGGTAAACTTCTAAGGTTTTTGACTCAAATTCCATGCACCTGGGACAGCACCTTTGGCCCTACCTGGGCCTAGGGGAGCTCTCCACCCTGCAGGGAAGGAGGCAGGCCTGACTGGCTTTGCCATCTGCTGACTGTAGAGCCCCAAGGCCTTGAGTGAAATTAGGTGATAGCCAGGGAGTTCTTACAACAGGCCCTGGGAAAGACCCAGTGCTGTACAGGCTTCAGGTTTGACCCAGAGCAATTCTAGAGATAGTGGGCACAGGGGTGCTTGTGTCTCCACCCTCAGCTCCAGGTGGCTTAGAACAAAGACAGAGACTCTGTTTTTTGGGAGATAAATTAAGGGAAGAGAACAAGAGTCTCTCTACCTGGTAATCCAGAGAATTCTTCCAGATCTTGTCCAAGACCACTAAAGTGGTACCTCTATGATATCATTTGGCTGTGTCCTCACCCAAATCTCATCTTGAATCGTAGTTCCCATAATCCCCACATGTCGTGGGAGGGTCCTGGGGGGAGGTAATTAAAACAGGACAGTTACCCCATCCTGCTTTTCTCATGATAGTGAGTGAGTTCTCCCAAAATCTGATGGTTTCATAAAGGACTTTTCCCCCTTTGCTCAGCACTTCTCTCTCCTGCTGCCATGTGAAGAAGGATGTGTTTGCTTCCCCTTCCACCATAACTGTAAGTTTCCTGAGGCCTCCCCAGCCATGTGTACCTGTGAGTCAATGAAACCTCTTTATAAATTACCCAGTCTCGGGCAGTTCTTCACAGCAGCCTGAGAAGAGACTAATACACTCCATGAGTCTTCTCTTCAGGAACCACAGAGTTACTGGGATCAGCGTGCCCCCTAATGCAGATACAGCTTAGACCATAACACCCAAGTCCTTTAGAATATCTGGAAAACCTTGCCAGTGTACAAACAAGCCCAGACTGAGAAGACTACAGTAAAAACCTAACTCTTCCATGCCCGGATACAGATGAGCGTCTACAAGTATCAAGACCATCCAGGAAAATATGACCTCACCAAATGAACTAAATAAGTCACCAGGGACCAATTCTGAAATATGTGACCTTTCAGAGAATTAAAAATAGCTGTGTTGGCCAGGTGCAGTGGCTCATGCCTGTAATCCTAGCACTTTGGGAGGCTGAGGAGGGTGGATCACCTGAGGTCAGGAGTTCACCTAAATGGTGAAACCCTGTCTCTACTAAAAATACAAAAATTAGCCAGGTGTGGTGGCATGCGCCTGTAGTCCCAGGTACTCAGGAGGCTGAGGCAAGAGAATCACTTGAACCTCGGAGGTGGAGGCTGCAGTGAGCTGAGATCACACCACTGCACTCCAGCATGGGCAACAGAGTGAGACTCTGACTCAAAAAAAAAATGTGTTTTGAGTTTGAAGAAACTCAAAGAAATTAAAGATAACACAGAGAAGGAATTCAGAATTCTATCAGACAAATTTAACAAAAAGACTGAAATAATTAAAAAGTATCAATCAGTATTTCTAGAGCTGAAAAACTCAATTAGCATACTGAAGAATGTATGAGTCATTTGATAGTAGAATAGGTCAGGCAGAAGAAACAACCAATGAGTTTGAAGACCAGCTATTTGAAAATACACAGTCAGAGGAAACAAAAGAAAAAGGAATTTTAAAAAATGAAGCACACCTATAGGAACTAGAAAATAGCCTCAAAAAGGCAAATCTAAGAGTTATTGGACTTAAAAAGGAGTTGCTGGCCTTTAAAGAAGAGGTAGAGAAAGAGACCGGGGTAGAAAGTTTATTCAAAGGGAAAATAACAGAGAACTTCTCAAACTTAGAGAAAGATATCACTATCCAAGAACAAGAAGGCTATAGAACAAAAAGCAGATTTAACCCAAAGACTACCTCAAGGCATTTAATAATCAAACTCCCAAAGGTCGAGGATAAAGGATCCTAAAAGCAGCAAGAAAAAAGAAACAAACAACATACAATGGAGTTCCAATACATCTGGCAGCAAACTTTTCAGTGGAAACCCCACAGGCCAGCAGCAAGTAGCATGACATATTTGAAGTGCTGAAGGAAAAAAAACTTTTATCCTAGAAGAATATGTCTGGAAAAAAATATTCTTCAAACATGAAGGGGAATAAAGACTATCATAGACAAACAAAAATTGAGGGATTTCATCAACAGCAGACCTGTCCTACAAGAAATGTTAAAGGGAGTACCTCGATTAGAAAGAAAAGGATGTTAATGAGCAATATATCATCTGAAGCTCACTTGTAATAGTAAGTACACAGAAAATCACAGAATATAACACTATAACTGTGGTGTGTAAACTACTCTTATATTTAGTAGAAAGAATAAACAATGAACTTATGTTAATTAGAAAGAATTAACAATGAACCAATAAAAAAACTATAACAACTTTTCAAGACATAGTGCAAGAAGATATAAACAGAAACTACAAAATATTAAAGAGGCACAGAGCATTATTCGTTTTCTTTTTGCTGGTTTGTTTGTTTATGCAGTGTTGTTATCAGCTTAAAATAATGAGTTATACAATAGTATTTGCAACCCTGATGGCAACTTTAAATCAAAAAACATACAATGTTTACACACACACAAAAAAGCCAGACACTAAATGGTATCACCACAGAAAATCAACTTCACTAAAAGAAAGACAGGAAGAAAAGAAATAAGAGAAGATCACAAAACAACCAGAAAACAAATAACAAAATGGCAGGAGTAAGTCCTTACTTATCAATAACATTGAATGTAAAGGACTAAACTCTCCAATCAAAAGACAAAGAGTGACGACATTAATTTAAATAACAAGACTCAATAATCTGTTGCCTACAAGAAACATACTTCAGGCATAAAGACACAGGTAAACTAAAAATAAAGGGATGGAAAAAGATATTCCAGGCACATAGAAACTGAAAGAGAGCAGGAGGAGCTCTATGGAGACACAATAGCTTTCAAGATAAAAAACAAAACAAAACAAAACAAAACAAAACAAAAAAAACTTTAAGAGACAAAGAAGGTCACTATATAATGATAAACGGGTCAATTTAGCAAGAGGCTATAATGATTGTAAATATATATGGGCCCAACATTGAAGTACCCAGATATATAAAGAAAATATTATTAGCGCTAAAGAGAGATAGAGACCCCAATACAAGAATAGCTGGAGATATCAACATCCCACTTTCAGTATTTGTTGACAGAAAATCAACAAAGAAACATTGAACTTATTCTGCACCATAGACCAAATGAACCTGGTAGATATTTACAGAACATTTCATCCAAAGGCTGCAGAATACACATTCTTTTCCTCAGCACATGGATCATTCTCAAGGAGAGACCATATGTTAGGTCACAAAAGTCCTAAAACATTCAAACAAATATAAATAATACCAAGCATCTTCCCTGACCACAATGGGATAAAAAAGAAATCAATAACAAGAGGAATTTTGGAAGCTATACAAATACATGGAAATTAAACAAAATGTTTCTGAATGACCAGTGGGTCAATGAAGAAATTAAGAAGGAAATTAAAAAATTTATTGAAACAAATGACAATGAAAACACAACATTTAAAACCTATGGGATACAGCAAAAGCACTATTAAGAGGAAAGTTTAGAGCTATAAGTGCCTACAACAAAAAAAAAAAAAAAGAAAAATGTCAAACGAATAATTTAAAAGCAAGAACAAACCAAACCCAAGTTTAGTAGAATAAATAACAAAAATCAGAGAAGAAATAAATGACACTGAAATAAAGAATATCAAAGATCACTGAACCAAAAAGTTGTTTTTTTGAAAAGTTAAACAGACAAACATTTAGCCAGACTAAAAAAAAAAAAAAAAAAAAAAGATCCAAATAAATAACATCAAACATGAAAAAGGAGACATTACAACTGATACTACAGAAATTCAAAAAACCATTAGTGGCTATTATGAGCAACTATATGCCAATAAATTGGAAAATCTAGAAGAAACGAACAAATCCCTAAACACATAAAAGCTACCAAGATTGAACCACGAAGAAATTCAAAACTTGAACAGACCAATAACGAGTAATGGGATTGAAGTTGTAATAAAAAGCCTTATAGTAAAGAAAATGCCAGGACCTGATGATGGCTTCACTGCTGAATTCTAACGAACATTTAAATATGAACTAATACCAATCCTACTCAAACTACTCTGAAAAACAGAGGAGGATGGAGTACTTCCAAACTCATTCTTTCAGGTCAGTATGACTGTGATATCAAAACCAGACATCTTTGAACTGGTTTTGGTAACAGGGTCATACTGACCTGAAAGAATGAGTCTGGAAGTGTGTGTGTGTGTGTGTGTGTGTGTGTGTGTGTGTGTATACTTGTATATTGGCCTGTATTTTATATATACATACTTATATTTACATATACATACTTATATTTACATATACATATATTATATTTATATATACATATGTATATATAAAATACAGGCCAATATTTCTGATGAATATTGAAGCAACAATCCTCAACAAAATACTAGCAAACTGAATTCAACAATACATTAAAAAGATCATTCATCATGACCAAGTGGGCTTTATCCATGGGATGCAAGGATGGTTCAGCATATGAAAATCGATGTGATACATCATATCAACAAAATGAAAGACAAAAACCATACGATCATTTCAATTGATGCTAAAAAGTATTTGGTAAAATTAACAGCCCTTCATGATAAAAATCATAGAAAAATCTGAGTACAGAAGGAACATACCTTAACATAGTAAAAGCAATATATAACAGACCCACAGCTAGTATCATATTAAAGATCTAGAACATGACAAGAACTCCCTCTTTCCCCACTGTTATTGATGATAGTACTGGAAGTCCTAGCTAGAACAATCAGGCAAGAGAACTGAAATTAAGCACATCCAAATTGGAAAGGAAGAAGTCAAATTATCCTTCTGCAGATGATAGATATATTTAGAAAAACCTAAAGATGCTATCCAAAACCTATTAGAACTCATAAATTCAGTAAAGTTGCAGGACACAAAATCAACCTACAAAAATCAATATGCATTGCTTTTGTTGTTGTTGTTGTTGTTGTTGTTGTTGTTGTTGTTGTTTTTCTTTCTGAGACAGAGTCTCGCTCTTGTGGACCAGGCTGGAGTGCCATGGTGAGATCTCGGCTCACTGTAACCTCCACCTCCTGGGTTCAAGTGATTCTCCTACCTCAGCCTCCCGAGTAGCTGGGATTATAGGCACCTGCCACCATGCCCGGCTAATTTTTGTATTTTTAGTAGAGACAGAGTTTCACCATATTGGCCATGCTGGTCTCAAACTCCTGACCTCAGGTGATCTGCCCACGTTGGCCTCACAAAGTGCTGGGATTACAGGCATGGGCCACTGCACCTGGCCAAAAATCAATATGCATTCCTATACACCAAGAGTGAATAATCTGTAAAAGAAATAAAAAAGTAACCCCATTTACAATAGCCAAAAATGAAATTAAATACCTAGGAATTAACCTAACCAAAAAGTGAAAGATCTCTACAATGAAAACTATAAAACCCTGTTGAAGAAATTGAAGAGGACACCAAAAAATTAAAAAATATTCCATGTTCATGGATTAGAAGAATCAATATTGTTAAAATGTCCACACTACCCAAGTAATCTACAGATTCAATGCAAACCTTATCAAAACACCAATGACATTGTTCACAGCAACAAAAAAAAATCCTAAAATGTATATGGAACCCCAAAAGACCCAGAATAGTCAAAGCTATCCTAAGCAAAAAGAACAAAACTGGAGGAAGCACATTACCTGACTTCAAATTATACTACAGAGCTATAGTAACCAAAAGAACATGGTACTGGCATAAAAAAAGACACAGAGATGAATGGAACAGAATAGAGAACCCAGAAACAAATCCACAGACCTACAGTATACTCATTTTTGACAAAGGTGCCAAGAACATATAATGGGTAAAAGACAATCTCTTCAATAAATGGTGTTGGGAAAAGTGGATATTCATATGTAGAAGAATGTAACTAGACCCCTAACTCTCACCATATACAAAAATCAAATCAAAATGGATTAAAGACTTCAATCTAAGACTGCAAACAATAGAACTACTACAATAAAACATCAGAAGAGCTCGCCAGGACATTGGTCTGGGCAAATATTTCTGGAGTAATACCTCACAAGTACCAGCAACCAAAAGCCAAAATGGACAAATGGGACTACATCAAGTTAAAAAGCTTCTGCACAGCAAAGGAAATAATCAACCATATGAAGAGACAACCTGCAGAATCGGAAATATTTGCAAACTACCCATCTCACAAGGGGCTAATAACCAGAATATATAAGAAGTGCAAACAACTCTATAGGAAAAATATCTAATAAGTAAAATGGCAAAATATTTTAATAGACACGTCTCAAAAGAAGACATACAAGTGGCAAACAGGCATATGAAAAGGTGTTCAATATCACTGGTCATCAGAGATATGCAAATCAAAACTACAATGAGATATCATCTCGCCCCAGTTAAAACGGCTTATATCCAAAAGACAGGCAATAACAAATGCTGGCAAGGATATGGAGAAAAGGGAACCTTCATATACAGTTGGTGGAAATGTAAATTAGTACTAGCACTTCGGAGAACAGTTTGAAGGTTCCTCGAAAAACTAAAATTACAGCTACCATAGGATCCAGCAATCCCACTGCACATATATATCCAAAAGCAAAGAAATCAGCATATGGAAGAGATAGCTGCACTCCCATGTTTGTTGCAGCACTCCTGACAACAGCCAAAATTTGGAAGCAACATAAGTGTCCATCAACAGAAGGATGGATAAGGAAAACGTGGTACTTATACACAATGGAGTACTATTCAGCCATAAAAAGAATGAGATCCTGTCACCTGCAACAACATGGATGGAACTGGAGGACATTATGCTAAGTGAAATAAGTCAGGCACAGAAAGAAAAACCTTACATGTTCTCACTTATTTGTGGAATCTAAAAATCAAAACAATTGAACTCATGGAGACAGAGGGTAGAATGATAGTTACTAGAGGCTGGGAAGGGTAATGCGGGGTTAGGAGGGAAGTGGAGATGAAGGTGGAGATGGTTAATGGATACCAAAAAAACAGAGTGAATAAGACCTAGTATTTGATAGCACAATAGTGTGACTACAGTCAATAGTAACTTAATTGTACATTTAAAGATAACTAAAAGAGTATAATTGGTTTGTAATACAAAGGACAAATGCTTGAGGGGATATATACCCCTTTTCATGATGTGGTTGTTATGCACTTCATCTCTGTCAAAACACCTCATGCACTCCTTAAATATACATACCTACTATGTACCATAACAATTTTTAAAAAATTAAAAGAGATTTGGAAAAAATAAAATGGTTATGAACAACAAAAATGATTTTCTTCAGAAGATTTGCTAGAATAAAAGGTGATAAATGTTCTATGTCTGCATTAAAAAAATAACTCAGGAAGGCTTTCCCTACCAGTCAGTGAGCCTATCTGTAATGTTCAGAAAATAAATATATTTTTTATTGATGTAAGACTGACATGATAAGAAAGGCAGAGTTGCTCCCCAAGAGATTTATTTCAAAGTAAAATATAAATAATCTTTGGCAATATTTAAGACCATTGCTCCTAGTTAAGAACTGCAATCTAGCCCTTATTGAAAATAAAAATAGTGTATATTTTCCTCAAAAAATAAGTGCAGTAAAGACTGTGATTGCCCAAAACTTTCAAAAACCTTAAATCATCTCCATCCTATACCATAACTCTGCCTGAACACAATTCTGGAACATCACAAAATATATTTAACCCCTTCTTTTACAAATCTTCTCACTGCCCTCAACATTTTTAAGTAGTGAGATAAGCAATTCAAGACAAACTCCATATCCTACACCAAAAACAACCAAAATGCAGAGTCTCTTCTGTTCAGTGACTACAGAAAAATCAAACTACGTTAATCCAAAAGGGAAATATATTGGACCAGGTAAATAACAAGTGCAGAGGTAAAAATGCTTTCGGGTGTGTGTTGGAGGAAGGACACAGACTTACCTCTCTATCCTTCAGCTTTGCCCTCCACTGGCTGCTGTCTCTTTAGACAGGATGATTGGCAGCTTCAGTGGGCTTTATGCGACCTATTTCAAGGCCCTTGGGAAATAGAACATATCTCCTCCTAGCAACTATGACATATGTCTCATTATTCACTCTGATTGGATGAACTCAATCTCTACATAGGTAAGTCATGTACTGCCTAACGACTTTCCTGTCAACAGCAGACTGCATGTGACAGACCATATATATGATGGTGGTTGGAGCAATAGGCTATACCAAATGGCCTAGGTGTGTAGTAGGCTATACCATTTAGGTTTGTGCAAGTACATTTTGTGGTGTTTGCACAAAGGAATTGACTAACAATGCATTTCTCAGAACATATCCCCCTTGTTAAGTGGTGCATGTCTGTAAATGTGTACACAGGGAGATGGAATTACATGGACTTGCGGTATCTAAGTCACATTCTTACCTCTGAACCAGTCACATGGCTGGGGGAAACTGAGGCTCTGATTGGCCAGCCCTGAGGAGTGTCCCACTCCTCCAGCCAGAGATGGGGCTCCACTTGAAACACATGCCCAGTAAGAGGGGAAGGGCCCACAGGAAATGTGGGTTTGGGAAGTGAAAGAAAGGGAATGGATATGGAGAATAAATATACTACATTACTACATTCTGTTATATTAAATTTACCAAAACAATGAAGTATATTGAATTAGGTTAACGAGATTTTAACTCATAAGAGTTGTGAGAAAGGAGGTATGCCATTTGGCTCTAAGTTAATTAGAACATCCTTTCCAAAAACTATAGGACAATATTTGTTAAATAATGTAATTACCACTTGAACATTAAAAAAATGAGGATAATCAATACTCAAACATTGAAATGTCTGACACACACAAAAAAGGGGGGAAAGTAAATAGATACATAAGTAAACAAAGGAGGGAGGGAGAGAGGGAGGGAGATTCCAATTCCCAACACAGGAGGACTCTGGTTAGGAAATCCTTTTCTAAGAAAGAGCAATCTCATTTCTGCTAAAATAGAAATGTTTTGGAAGTACCACATGAAAGTTTTTATATGGCCAAATGAAAGAATTCCATTTCATAAGCCTCACATATACTAAGAAGCCTTGCAAATGGTCTTGCAGATCCTTTATAATATTGTGAGATTTATAGGTCCCCTTGACTTGAGATATCTTTAAGAGCAATCTCACAGCCATGCTTTTAATATTTCAATAATATAACACAAACTTATGTTTTGTTTGTTTACATATATAATTTTTGAAAGGATATCTCACCTGTCTACAAACCCAACATGTAAAAATGTCACTTTAAGTTAGTAATCTAGTTTTGGCCACCCATCTCTGAAATACAAATACGTTGATTAGCTAGGATAGAATGTAACAGTATTTTCCTGGATATCAAATGTGCATCTATTATTATCTTGAATGTGAAGAGTGTCATCTTGAATTCTAAGGAAAGCAAATATGTAATTATTATGTACATAGATACAAGTTTCCTGAAAATATTGTGCACAAAAATGTCTCTAACATTTATGTATGTTGTTTTGTTTATTCCTCTCAACAGAAGTGCTTTGAACCATATAAATATGTCACAATTATATCACTGTTATCATCATCTATATTCAGGTTTCCATCATTTAAGATAAAAATGATGCAGATAGTCCAAATGGCAGATTATCCAAAAATCATTTCAATTTCAAAATACAATTAGGTATTTACAGGAAATGCAGATCTTTGAAATTGTGGGAATTAACAGCACTGAATGTAAACTATTGGAACTCTAACTAGAGGCCAGACCAAAAAACAAAAAAGAGAGAGAGAAGAAAAGGAGTTCTTTATTGCAATACTTATATAATGCCATCATTCATTTGTGTAAACGTTTTTATCTTTAAAATTTTTTTGCTCATACTTATTCCCTCATTTACCTTTACAAGAACACTAAATATATGCAGCACAGGTACTATATCAGCTGTAGGACCAGTAGGGCTAGTTCTAAAACCAGCTTTCCTTAGACAGCTTCTAGTACACTGCTTCTGCATTTGACTAATCTCTTTCACTGTAGTTCTTTCCTACTTTTCATCTCAGCCTAGAAAAACACGGAATCCTTTCACACAGATGTACTGCACAGCACACTTCCGCCACTCTCAACGCAGTTTCACCTCACTCATAAATGAAGCGCCTCCCTGTATGGGTTCAGCAGTGGCAGGACATACGGCAACGTGGCATCCATGAGGGAGCATGAGACGTGGCCCTCTTGTCACTGCCAGGTTTCAGTTTGCCCTCTGACAAACGTTTTTTGGCATTAAGAATTCTGGGGAACATCACACTCTGGGGACTGTTGTGGGGTGGGGGGAAGCGGGGAGGGATAGCATTAGGAGACATACCTAATGTTAAATGACGAGTTAATGGGTGCAGCACACCAACATGGCACATGTATACATATGTAACAAACCTGCACATTGTGCACATGTACCCTAAAACTTAAAGTATAATAATAATAAAATTAAAAAATAAAAATAAAAAAAGAAAAAAAAAAGAATTCTAACTCATTAGTTCCCAAAACTAGTTACTCATCTGAACCATCCTGAAAGCTTTGTAATTCTACAATCCTGCCTCATTTGACTTTACTAATTATGAGATAGGACCACATATAAACATTAAACACACTTGCACATATTTATACACCTATACAAGCACAATTTTTTTTAAACTTCCCAAATGATTCGGATTATCAGCCATTGCTGATTCAGATCATCATGTCAGCCACTCTCACACTGCTCCAGATGATGAACCGCCTGTGGTCATGGGCATTATCCAGTGCCTCTCTAAAGCCCCTGAAGTGTCTGGTAAATAGCCCTGTAACAATACAAGTGGAATATGTGGGTGGACTTTCTAGCAAGTAATTAATCACGCCCACAGTTGTGAGAAAACCATGCCTCCTGACAATCATGGACCACATGTCCACTATGGATATATAAATGTATTGACATGGGCACACGTGCTCACATGGGAAATCAGAACACTACCAGTTCAACCATGACGAGTAGCCTTGATAAAGATAAGACAGATTCCCTGAACATTCAGTGTATGGTTTGATTCCATTTTGGCTTCTGATGTACAAATCTAGGTGACTCTTGGTGCTTGGTGCCCAAGATCATTGATGTGCTGGAGCGAAGGCTCTCACAGAAAGATGCAAACATTATTAAACATTCACTATTTTCCAAAGGTAAAAAGACAGATAAGCCCTAAGTCCTTAACCTCAAGTAATTTGCTCTCAAGAGAATGGGAGAGTCTTGTAAACCAGAGTACAGCTGTGGGGAGTGCTACAGTGAAGGGGTGAAGATGCACATTTTATTTTACCTCTACCATTAGGTGAATTTTAATAGAAAATCCAGAAGGGCTACAAGGCTTCAGCTATCTTTAATGAAATCGATTCGACAGCTATGAGAAGAAAAATAAGGGGCAGACAGGAGAGTCGAGAGTGATGTATGATTGAAGGAAAGTACTGTGTTTGTTTTTAAGATGAGGGACACAGTAATTTGCCTTTCTTTATACCTGTATTAACAGGGAACATATGTTTATTTTACTTTGCTCCAAAGCAAACCTTAGTGCCCTGAACACAGTCCATACACAATAAGATGTTTTGTTTTTGTTTTTGTTTTTGACAGGGCCTTGCTGTCACCCAGGCTGGGGTACAATGGCATGATCACAGCTCACTGCAGCCTCGACCTCCTGGACCCAAGCAATCCTCCCACCTCAGCCTCCCAAGTACCTGGGATTATAGGTGAATATCACCACAGCTGGCTTATTTATTTATTTTTTTAATTTCTGTAGAGACGGGATATAACCATGTTGTCCAGGCTAGCCTCTAACTCCTGGCCTCAACCAATCTGCCTGTCTGGGCCTCCCAAAGTGCTGGGATTACAGGCATGAGCCGCTGCATCTAGCCCACAGTAAGTTTTTAATTTAAAAAAATGGAAGCTTATCTATGCCCAGAAAAAGGGTAAAAGGAAACACAACAAAAAGTTGTTTTCTTTGGATAATATGATGGGAGTTACTTTTATTTTGTTTGATAAATTTCGGTATTTTCCATGATGAACAAATGGTACTTTCATTATTGGAAAATAAAGTAACAGTGTGAACTCTTTTATTTCATGGGAGTTTCATTTGTTATAACCATGAAATATTCAACATCTTTAATTTCTTTCTGCTTTTCAAGGAAACAACTGAGCTACACGATAAATGAAATAAACCACTTTTCTATGTCCAGTTCACATTTTCAAATTTAACAATGCTTGACATCCCAGGATAGCACAACTAATAAGTCAGCCATTCTTCATTATGATCAGAAACTTGTTTGAGTGGCAGTGCCAGTACTACTCAGCTTGCTGTACGGGAAGAGCAAGCCCTAGAAAGGCATGTTAATAGGGGACATTCCCAAAGCAAGGCTTACCATTTTGTGAATGTAGCTTCTGTTGAATTTAAATACTTCATCATATATAAGTTTTATGAAATATAAATCTCACATATGGAGATGAAGATGTGCTAGGACAGAAGTTTTCTTAGTCAATATGCAGCGTGTAGCTTTCTGCGAGGTAACACAGAGCAGGCTCACACCACCTAACAGAGCCTCACTCAGTGACACAGAGAGGTTCTGAACGCTGCTATTGTACCTGAGCTCTCGACCAATATCAGGTTGACGGGGATGCCATCCAATGAGGACAAGCAACAAGGTGCTCTGAGAGCCACTGTTAACACCAGACACATGTAAATGGCAATCCTATCTATCCTTATGGAATAAATATGGTGAGGATTAAATGAGTTAATATATGGAAAGCTTCTAGAACAATGCCAGGCACACAGGAAACACCAACTATGTCCCATTCGATATTATTCTAGAAAAACATAAGCTTCAAGACGTCAGGAATTTCCATCTGTTCTGCTTACTACCATCTCCCTAGCTCCTAGCATGCAGGTGATACTGAAAATATATTTCATGAATGAATAAATGCCAAGGTAAAAACAGAGGCAAACGCTTGGTCTGAGGGGCTTAGGGTGGTGCTTACTTCTAGGGGATGGGAGCCTCGGGGCTTGTATGTCAGGGATAACATAATGAGCTGCCAGCCCATGGCATCACAGGGATCAGCCAACCTCTATTCCTTGTAAATTAAGAGTCATTTTGGCCCAATTATCCACCTTCCAAACCTGTGTCTTCTCCTCCCTCACATCCTTTTATATACCTATCCTCCATCCCTCACAAACACCTGGCTATATCCTCAGCTTTTCAAAAACCTTCATTATACCGTTAGAGCAGAAGTTGCCAAACTTTCTCAGTTCATAGTGCTCTTACCTTTCAGTGATTTTTTTCATGGTACTCCTATGCAAAATCAACCTATCCATTCCATTTATTAAATAGCGAAGTCTAAGCAATCTCATAGTAGTCCTCTGCATGGTACCTAGCTGTGTTTCCCTTGAAAACGTGAACACTTACAACATGGTGTAGTTGTTCCAGTACTCCAGGGAGCCTTGGCCCACAGTTTGGGAACCAGGGCCTTAGCAATTTCCTCTTTCGGACAATTGCAACTAATTTGGAATGCTATTTAGTTCAGCCTCCTGGCTCCCGGCCACTTCTTCCTAGGGAATTTCCTCCTTTAATTGCTGGACAGAAATGCTGGTCCCAGTAGCACTGATGGCCCTGCACATGAAACGCAGCAAGCCTTGATGCTAGTTGAACTAAGAGAAAACCAATATCTCCAAATCTTAAAAACAGACAGACATGTTTAAGCATTTGGTGTAAATCCATGAAGAGAAGCTTAAGTCTGGAAAATACAATAGAGGTTCCATGCATCCTGGGAGCCCCAGCAAGCAGCTGACACCATGTTGAGTAGCGCTGCCTGCCCAGAGAGCCTCCCTGGGGCCAGAGTTCATGCACTGACATCCAGGGCACAATTCTGTTGTAAGTCAGCTTAGGCAAAGCATGCTGGGATGATGAGGGCTTTCTCGTTTTACCACATCCCAGAAGAAAACCATGTTTTAACCACAGTTTGGATGGTGTTTTGTTCCATTATTAAGGGCAAAGCAAAGCTTTTAATCTTAGTAACTGGACAGGAAAATAGAAAATACAACTATATTAAAAATGTACCTTGCTGATAGAAATAGTCTAGTAGTTACTAATAGGAAAAATAAGTAAATAGAAAAAGAAGAGAGAAGGAAACCCTTCAAGTTACAAGGGGAAAAAACGAGCAATAAAAGTAATTTTATAAAATGCTAAAAGATCTCTTCTTACAAATAAAGAAAATGCTACTGAGGAAAAAACACACACACACACACACAGGAAAATCCAACCACATCACCACGTCCACCTGCTCTTGGGCTGCCTGGTGCACCTGAGACCCCACGGAGTTGTTTCATGTGTCCCCACCATGACTGGTGCGCACTCTCCTGACTGATGTCACCCGCAGAACAGTGGGAGATCCTACTTCCTCTAGAGGCTTTCTCTGAACAGTGATGTCCCAAATGCAGCACAGGAAAGTGGGACTAACTCATAACAGAGTCCAGGTAATGCTCAGGCAAGAACAATGGTGCTCTGACCTTCGGGGTACTAGAAAGGGAGACCACAATGAGGCCCGGATGAAGACCAGGGATTTGTCTGTGAGATGACAGTGAAAGTGGCCTAGGAGTGGGGATGGAAGATATGCACGTTAGAGAGGGAAGGACAAGGGGGCACTCACTCCTTTGGCTCTTGTACAGCCAGTGCAAGGGGCCAATAAAGACAGATCCATCCAGTGAGCAGGTTGGGGCTTGGGGCCCCTTTTGTCCAAGTATATTAGTCAGGGTTCTCTAGAGGGACAGAACTAGTAGGATAGATGTACAGATGAAGGGGAGTTTATTAAGAAGTACTGACTCACACGATCACAAGGTGAAGTCCCACAATAGGCCATCTGCAAGCTGAGGAGCAAGGAAGCCAGTCCAAGTCCCAAAACCTCAAAAGCAGGGAAGCCGACCCAAGGGCCCCTGGCAAATCACTGATTTAAGTTCAAGAGTGCAAAAGCCAAAGAACTTGGAGTTCGATGTTCGAGGACAGGAAGCTTCCAGCACGGGAGAAAGATGAAGACTGGAAGACTCAGCAAGTCTGCTCCTTCCAACTTCTTTTGCCTGCTTTATTCAAGCAGCGCTGGCAGCTGATTAGATGGTGCCCACCCAGACTGAGGGTGGGTCTGCCTTTCCCAGTCCACTGACTCAAATGTTAATCTCCTTTGGCAGCACCCTCACAGACACACCCAGGAACAATACTTTGCATCCTTCAATCCAATCAAGTTGACACTTAATGATCACACCAAGGCTAAATTTATATCTGCCTGCTGGGCACCCCTGTCCATGGGCATCCTTCTGTTTGTGGAACTAAACGTGTGAAATGCAGGCATTCCCCTTTCCCATGTCCCCACAATACCATCGTTCTGTTTTCTTAGTCTGTACTTGTGAAGTCTCCAAATAACCTTTCACCCAGGGAAACACCACAGTGTCAGCTTGCTCTATTCTGTGTCTCTGCAGGGAGTGGAGGGAAGAGAGTTTCTGCATGGGGAAGCTTTGTAAGCATCCTGGGGCTATGGAATATTAAATCCTGAATAGGGCAACAAGAGTAGAACGGATACTACAAATAGGAGAAACATTAGGACAGTGGTTCTCAACCAGGGGAGACTCTTGTCTCCCAGAGGACAGGTGGCAATGTCTAGACACATTTCTGAGTGCCAAGAGGGGTGTACATCTAGTGGGCAGAGGCCAGGAATGCTGCTGAACATCCTACACTGCACAGGATGTCACGGAGACTATACAACAAATGTTCCCCGGAGAGCAAGCCTGGCCCACAGCACACAGCTGCGGCAGGAAAGGAAGTGCAAAAGGCAGTGTGAAAACAAGAGAGGACGGCCAAGAATAGGCTCATGAGTGTGTGACACCAGGGAAGCCATGAGAGGCTAAGCATTTCAGGTGACAGGGACAAAAACTAAGAAGGCAGAGTAGAATTTGGCCATTTATTTAGGTGGGTTTAGTTCAAGGTCCGCAGAGGCCTTGAGAGAATTCATTCTAAGGGTTGTAATGAAAGCAAAAGCAACTTGAGAATGCTTGGCTCGCCTTAAAAAATGACAATGCAGAACAAGCTGGAGATAACACTCCTCTCCCACCCACAGAACACATCAAAGAGCCTGAGCAATGAAACTAAACCTACAAATATTCTGTGCCCATTTTATATGCAAGATTCTCTGGTGACTCTATCTATTGGCGAAATTGTAAATATCAGTCCATAAGTTCATAGTATAGAAAGTACCAATCAGAACAGAAACTCTCAAGTCAAATGCAAATGAATGAGTTCTATCACTAATGTTGCCCCTTTTTCTCAGTCACTATAAATGGAAATGTTATAGCTAGAAATTGTTTTGACTCAAATAAATCACAAGGGGAGGTAAGTATATTTCCACATTATAGCCCAGGCCAGGCATTCTGAAGTGGATGAGATAGTTTAGAGTTTGCTTCAATAGCTCTGGATATACACACACCTCCTGTGAAACTTGATGGGGGACAAGAAGTATTGAGCATCAGAGAGAGGTAAAGTATAGTTTAAAAGTACACATCAGGGGCAAGGTGATGTCAATAAATATAAATGTAAAATAATATTTGACGAAGGAAGGAAGTAGAACTATATTTGGAGTTACATCTTAAGCAGCTATATTTATAATGTGGCAATATAGTAGTCCTCCCTCATCTGCTGCTTTGTTTTCCATGGTGTCAGTTACCCATGATTAAATATGGTCCAAAAATATCATGGGGCAAATTTCAGAAATAAACAATTCCTAAGTTTCAAGCTGTGCATTGTTCTAAGCAGTGTGATGAAATCTCATTCTATGTTACTCTGTCCTGCCCAGGATAGGAACCATCCCTTTGACCAGTAGATCCATGCTGTAGATACCACCTGCCCTGCCCACAAATCACTTAGTAGCCAGCTCAGTTATGAGGCCAACTGTTGGGGTATTGCAGTGTTTGTGTTCAAGGAACTCTTATTTTACTTCATAATGACCCCAAAGCACAAGACTAGTGATACTGGCAAATTATTATAATTGTTCTATTTTATTATTGTTGTTGTTCAACTCTTTCTGTGCCCAATTTATAAATTAAACATCATCATAGGTATATATGCATAGGAAAAAAACATAGTATATATAGGATTCGGTACTTGCCTCGGTGGTTTCAGGCATCCACTAGGGGACTTGGAACGTATCTCTTGTGGATAAGAGGAAACTACCATATTCCATCATAATTCTAAGTATTTGTCTTATGAGTAAAAAAAGGGCTACTTTACATAGGCATCTAGAACACATTATCACATTCGGCAACAAGAATGTCTTTTCCTTGTTTCACAGTGATATTTCTCTAGATTCTAACTGGAGAGGGACTGAAAAGCAACTGTCCCTGCATGGCACAGCCCACCTTGGATGAGACTGTTCACATACTACCCAATAAGGTGTTGTTTAACTCAAAGGAACCCAGACTATGGAGAGTGTCCATGGTAGACTATTATGGGATTGCCTTGCTAAGCCATAGAGCCAGAACAACGTCCTGGGGCTGAGAGTGAGTTCTACCAGATGGGTTTTCTCTCCACCACTAACACTGAGACCATTCCTAGGAGGGAATGAGGAGGTGGGATTTGAATTCAGGTTACAGAAGAATTTCCTCCTCTTTCTCTAATCAGTAGCTCCACAAGGCAGGCTGACTTGTGGAACTCTCCCAGTCCTTGGGGGGCAGCTGACCAGGGCTGGGGGAGGCAGGTGGGAGCCAGCAGAAGAGCTCATGTGTAGACCTTGACCTGCTGCTCTATTTCCATGCCGCACTTCCCTCCACAGCAGCTAAGCCTCTGGCAAAGGCAGGCTGCAAATGGCAGTTTGGTCTCTGTGCTGTGAAGAATCAATGGAAAGGGCCCAGCTGCCATGAGAGAAGCCAAAGAGAGGCGAGGCCACCGTGGTGCTTTCCGGGGAAGTCACCCACGGGAGGTGGCTGTGCCCAGAGGATCATCAGCCTGGCAACATAAGAGGCCTGGAACCTTCCAGGGAAACATTTCTGAACTGAAGAGGCGAGGCTCTTCAGGGAACACACTCTGACTGGGGGTGCCTCGAAGGGGCCAGTTTCCAGCAATAAAGCTGCTAGGGTGTCTGTCATAATTACCTCTACAGTCAAAATCAGTGTCTTGCCAACAGATTCTAAGTGTTCTCTCCTCAAGAATCACACAAAAAATAAAAGTAAAGCAAGTTTGTGTAAAGTGAATGGATTTGGGGGTTATTGTCTGAAGACTTGCAGAGGCCACATTCTAGGATAATGACCTTTTATTCAGTTGGAGGTGCCTGTTGACTGGAATGAGCTAGGGCAGCTTGAACCTAGTTATTTAATTGACCCTCTGAGCAGAGCAGGCCCTCACCAATCCCCGGCCAGGCCCTCCTTGCAGCTCACAGCCAAGGAACTAACGTACCTCTGTAGATGTACCTGTGGCAGGCAGCTCCAAGGACAAAGCTTCCCACTGCCATTGAGTATGGCATCTGGCTAAGAGTGGATATAGCTAATTGGAAGCTGGATACAGGCAGGCACAACAAGAGGTCTTGTAAGAGACCCCTCCATGTCTTTCCCAGAAGATCCTGCACAGTTTCACCCAAGCTTAAGATAAAGCAAAAGTATTTATTAGCAACGCACTTCACAAACAGGGGTTGGTGACTTCACAAATTAACATGAGACCATCCACTTTATGTATCACTTCAATGGCTCCTGGCTGCCTCTTGGGGAAAAGTCCTTCATGGAGGGGTCTGCTTCCCGCTCCAGGCCCCTTCCCCTTCAAAATGAAACAAGAAGAGATCCCTTGTCCCCCTCTTAGGACATGCGATGGTGGTATGGCTTGCTTCTTCAGCGCCCCACAGCTCAAACCTCTAGGGGAGCATACAGACAGACAGGCTGTGGGGTTCTGACTCCACAGCAGTGTCTAGGCATGAATGTTTACAGCTGAAGCCCCTGTCCATAGGCAGCTTGTGTTAGTCAGCTCCATTAGAGCCCTGCCTTACTGCAAGGACAGAGGGCTTTCTGTATCCCAGGGTTCTTGCCTTGGTGTACTAGAAGAATCAGATCACCTGTGGGCTTGGAGAATGAGGACGAGGTTTTATTGAGTGGAAGTAGCTCTCAGCAGATGGGGGAGCCAGAAGGGAGATGCTTTTCCCCTAGAGTTGAGCCACTTAGTGGCCTGGGCTCTCCTCTGCCCTGGCCAAATTCTGCGTCATTCCACTGGTTGATGACAACTGTCGGTGTGCTCTTTTGTCGGTGTGCTCTTCTGCCAGTGTGCTCCCCTCAACATCCAGCCGCTTCTATCTTCTTCCGCCAATGTGTTCCTCTCAACATCCAGCAGCTTGTGTATCTACCTGCTAGGGTCTCATAGTTTTTATAGGCACAGGAAGGGGGCATGGCAGGCCAGGGTGGTCTTGGGAAATGCAACATTTGGGTACAAAAGCAGGAGTGCCTGTCCTCACCTATGTCCACAGGCACAGGCCTGGGGGTGAAGCCCAAGCCAGGGGCCCACCTTCTCCTCCCAGGACTCCCCTGCCCCTCTTCCATATCAATAACACCATAGAAGTAAGAAACCACTGGACATTTCTCAGGCCCACTATCTGTACTTTACCATACTGACCATCTAGACAAGAATAATACCCTTTCCTCAAATCACTGCTCAGGCCTTACCTCTCCCAGGAAGCTTCCTCAAGCCTAACCTTAAAAAGAATTACACTTTTCACACCTGAGGTTTCTAGGGCTCTGTCTATAATCCTCTCCACCCTTCTGTACTCTCACGACACATTGTATGTATCCAGCTCTACTGGAACATGAATCCTCCATGGACAGCAGGAGCTGTGTTCACAAGCCTCACAGAATCAATAAATCCTCTCTCATTCATTTGTGCATTTGCTCCACCAGTAACACTAAGAGTGGCACTTCATATGAATTAAGCATTTCACACCTGCAGAGAGAGTGTTTTACTGATGTTTAATTTCAACCACAACTCTGTGAGCAGGGCTTATTGTTACTTCCATTTTGGGGGAGCAAAAGCTGCCCCAAGATATCATAGCTACTAAAAGAAAGAGAGGATTAAATACTGTCCAAGTGCTTAGGGCAGTTCTTTCTTTATCCTCTCTCAGAATTCACTGTGTATCCCACCTTCTAGAGTAGATACATAGATGAATACAACCTCAGAGTCCAGTAGGAGGACACCAGGCACGCAGGGAGCAAGTGAGTGTTGCAGGAGCTAGGATGTTAGTCTGTACCTGGTAGGAAGAGGCACAAAGAAGGAAGGAATTAATCTTACCCTAGGATGGAGTCAAAACTGTTTGTGAATGACTGAACGAAGTAAAGGAACTGAATGGTTAGATACATTTTAAAGCTCTCATGGAGAGGCCATAATACCTAGACCTAACCAAAGAAATTAATACTAGTTTCTTAACTATTAAGCTACTTTCCAATACAAGACTCGTCGGAAAAAAAACTAAATTAGTAGAGAAGAGAGACTGCTGTTGTATAAAATCATATTCCCTAGAAATTAAGTGACATTTTTCCCACACAACTCTAATGAAGAGCTTCCTCCAAAGAGGGTGTTGGCTAAGATAAAAGGGAAATAATTTTGCCCTGGAGGAGGGAAGTGAATAACTTGCAAAATCCCTAGGCTGCCCTGACCCAGGGAGTGTGAGGTTAAGGACAGACACCACCTTCCCTGTGTACCATCTGCCTTGCGGAGCTTTCTTTTCTGGACGGAAACATTTTTTCTTCTTTCAAAGCTCAAATAGAGAGGTCTGTAGCCTCATTCCCTTCCAGCTTCCGGGAGTCTTACTCCAAGCGGAGACCAGCAGTCAGACTAAGACAGCACACAGGAACACGACAGGCTGCCTTGGATCTGCACATCCCAAGACTTCTGAGAATCACATGGTGCAAACGCAACTCCAGTTTTACAATCTGACCCCAATTATCCTACCAGAGATAATGCTATCCATCATACTGTTACAGCAAAACAGAACAGCCAAAGTTCATCCCTGTACAAGAATGCCTTATTTCATGGAATAATATGATAGAAAAAGAGCATAGAAATCACTTCACATATTGAATCATTTAAAATCTTTCATAAAGCTAGGAACCCTTTTGTAATTATAAAAAACACATTTTATATTTTATCCAAGTGCAAGTTTGTAGTGGCCAACTGTTAATTACTAGAAAAGAGCAGGAGTAGTACAATAATAACCCCAAATGGTATCTAATATTACATTTCTATCAACTTATTACACATAATACATAAATATTTTATGAGGTACCACTGTATCTTTCCTTAATGTCAGGTTTACACTGGATTATCAATATGATCTACTGATACCCGTTATAGCAATATATCATTATCACTCATAGGTAAATAAACTAACTAGAAAAAGGCTGGGGGCAGCAGCTCATGTCTTTAATCCCAACACTTTGGGATGCCGAGGCGGGCAGATCACCTGAGGTCAGGAGTTCAAGACCAGCCTGGCCAACATGGCAAAACCCTGTTTCTAGTAAAAATACAAAAATTAGCCAGGCATAGTGGCACATGTCTGTAATCCCAGCTACTCGGGAGGCTGAGGCAAGAGAATCACTTGAACCCACGAGGCAGAGGTTGCAGTGAGCCGAGATCACGCCCCTGCCCTCCAGCCTGGGCGCCAGAGTGAGACCCCATCTCAAAAAAAAAAAAAAAAATTAATTAACTAACTAGAAAAAATAAAAGACGTTTTCTTCTCAAAGAGATGCATTTCAAATGAAATTTCAGTTATTATGCTTAACTATTATTTATCCGCCCTGAGTATATCTATGTTGTTCAGATCAACTGTGTGTTACTGATCATTGTAATGATGACTCAATCCAGAAGAATTTGCTTTTACAACAGAACTTTATGGTAATGAGACTTTTGTAAAGTATTCCTTTAATTTATATGTTTATTTTAGATGTAGAGAAACATGAAAGGGTGAGCTATAAAAGTGTTAAGGAAGCAAACACATGATATTAGAAGTAAATTCAATGGAGGATGTAGAATGAAATGACTCCAAGAAAAAGGAATGACGTAAAATTTCTAAATGTTAAAGAAGAACTTGTTCATGATTTAATATTAAAAAAATTGACCTCACAATACTAACGAATGTAGATTCTAGATGACATCTTTAGAAGAATAATTATACCACTTAATTTTTAAGTGCCAAGATTTGTAATTTATTAGAAATGACATCCTTTATTCCTATTTTGCAACTTACAATTCTTAAAAGCTTTGCATGTCAATTTACAAGTATATGAGGGAAGTATATTATTTACATTATTGTTTAAAAATTCTTCTAGGTTATATGCAAGAGAAAAGTTGGAAGAAACTAATTGGAAGATCTCTATGCCAACTGTCTATGCCATATGAACTCTGAGACTCTAGCTTCTAGGGATTACCACAACAGAGAAATAGTCCTTAACCAGCAGAACACAAGTTTCCAGTACTTGGTGGGGAAAATATTGTATATAATCAGATGTGTTAACTTTACCAAGTCCTGGAGTAAAGGAACTGCCAAGCTTATTTTATCACAGAATTCTTTGGCTTTGGTAAAGCTATTAGACCTTCCAGAATATAAACTGGGACCTAAGGCACATATCACTCACTTGACACTCAGTGATACATTAGTCACCATTACTGATGTCTTATCACACCTGTTAAATTAGACTCTCTTCAAAGGGAGAGGACAGAACATACGCTGATGTCCTTCAAACAATGTGGATCTTGTGTTCACTACATGAGGGCAGCCGTTTCCTTATGTTTAGGAGTTCCACTGATTTTGTAGTAGAACCTCATTTTGCCTTTCTTTATTGATTTGCTGTCCATATATTAAATCTATTCCCATACTTTAAACTACAATCTCTTCAAAATGTGCTGCTTTATCAATAACCTTTCCCTCAAATACTAGGCCTCTATTTCTTTTCTTTTCTATATTTTTTTAAAGACAGGGCATCTATATATTAATATTATTATTGCCCGGCTAGAGCGCAGTGGCTATTCACAGGCATGCTCATTGCACACTACAGTCTCAAAATCCTGGCCTCGAGCGATCTTTCCACCTCAACCTACCTAGTAGCTGGGATTGCAGGCAAGGGCAATGATGCCCAGCTTAGGCCTTTATTTCTAACTGTGTAGTAGACATCTCTATGAGGAAAAATATACTATTAATAAGATAGAAACATGCCCCAAACCAAATGTATCACTTTATTCCACAATCAATTTTCCCACCTTCACAGAACTGCCCCCAAAGCGTCAAAGGTATGGTACAGATAGGTGTCACTGCTGCCGCACAGGAGGCCAATTACTAGGACAAAGAGTATTGCCAGGCTTTATTCGGGTACTGCGGCAGAGGAGAATGGGAGATCAGTCTCAAATCCATCTCCTAAGCCAACTAAAATTAAGGATTTACACAGCAGGAAAGAAACGTAATGACATGTGGGAAAACAAGACCAGGAAAGGGTAAGGAAGAGGAGTTAGCCAACAGGCAGTAGGTGGTGGGCTAGGCAATCATGTTGGGTGAGGGGTGTGGTGTCTCACTGTCCTGATGCTGTGATCTGGAAAGTTTCAGTTCCTTGATACTATCTGGGAGGACTGATGGTTGGTTTCCTGAAAAAGGAACTCAGATAAGATAAATGTAACTTTCTCAAGATTTAAGACTGGGAGGACTGATGATTGGTTTCCTGAAAAAGGAACTCAGATAAGATAAATGTAACTTTCTCAAGATTTAAGACTGGGAGGGTAAATTTCTGTACTTATTTAAAAGAAACCATAAACATCAGTTTTCTGGGACAATTCCGTCAGTTTCAAAACAGAAGTATAAAATGTGGATATTTCGCTAATGACTAAGACAAGTGTGGCAGACATGAGAAAAGACAAAAGAGGACAGGTTTGAGGGACATTCTAGAGGAGGAAAATCCAGGAACTGCTAACTTTCTGGATGAAGGGAAGGAAGAAGCAGCTGGGGCCACTCCCCAGTTTCTGGCTTAAGCAACTATTCAGATGGATGGTGGTGCTCAACACATATAAGAGCCCAACTGACTTCATTTGCTATTTATAGCATCACTATTATCCCTCTCCAGTGAATTAGGTGATGCAGGTTTCCCAGAACCTGTTTTCCATGACACCTGTCCTTTTGTCCGTTCAGGTGCCCACACCGAAACTGCATTTCCTCATTACCCCCTGTTGAAATATCATCCATTCTTCCAGGCCCATCTCAGAATCCTGCAGAAAGTGTTTCTTATTGCCCACAGTGGGATGTAATCTGTTCCTTTTTTATAATTTTACCCTGAGCCCTAAGCCATAATTTTACCGTGGTACTTATTTTACCACCTATGTGCTTAACGAGGTACACCCAGCCTGATACAGTGTGTACACACAGCAGGCCCCAGCAAGTTTGTTGCAGGAGGCTGCCAAGACCCTGGAAGAACGGGGATCCCCACAGCACAGGCAAACACCCCTCTCAGCACCCATCTCCCACAATCCCTATAGAAAAGTAGCTGAAAACAAGTATAACCTCACAAGTTGTATACCATCAGATGTCAAGCATGGAGATGTGTACACAACCACAAAGTGTTAAATATTTGAAGAAAATGAAGACCAAGAAAGAGAAGCAGCAAATATAACCAATAGTATAAGGAATGCTTTAGTAAATAAGTATTAAAGTGAAGAGGAGATTTTAAAAGGGGTCTGAAAATAGATAGACTACCATGTTAATAATAATTTTTTAAAGGTGATCTGAAATTTTTAGACAATTTTTAAATGAGGAAAAACAACATTTGGTCTAAACAGGAGAAAGGATACAGCTGAAGAATAAATTAGTAATCTAGAAGACAGAGCCAAAGAATTATCCCACAAGACAACTCATCTCCCATAGGGGGAAAAAAAGATGAAAAAATGTGAAAAAAAAAGTTAAGACAAGCAAGAACTTAGAAGTTTTAACATATGCCTAATATGAAAAAAAAATTAAGAAGAAATACTTAAAAGAATATAGAGAAATTAACAGACAAAACTAAAGAGATAAGAGAAGAAAAGTACCCAGAGTTGAAGGCACATATCCTCTCGGTCCAGAAGGCCCACGAAGTTCCAAGCAGGATGAATAGGAAGGGGGTCCACATCTGGATGATAAGTGCCCTGGAGCCAGGTCCTCTGTCTTCAATATTTGAGTATTTCTTACGTGGTTACCAAGAATGTTGCATTAAAGGATATTCAATAACTGAACTGCAGCATGGACGGAGAGCCCAGAAATAAATGATGCACTCTGTCTTTGAGAAATAGTCTTACTGGCTACCGGTTCCAAGCACTTGATCTTTGTCAATCTCAGCAATGATTCAGCTATTAAATTTCTCCTTGAGGTCCTAACACACTAACGTTAATCTACTGCACTGAGATCACAACACACTAATGTACATCTACTGTACCCTTACATTCACATTTTCTTTCCCTCTGCCATTCCCCTCACTCATTTATCCCTCGTACTTTCATTTCTATGGAAGAACATGGCACTGGCATATGTTTGTCTCTTACAGAACAAGAGAAAGAGACCCTCTAGAAAGGAAACATCACCAAAGTGGGCATAACCTGCACACAGGTAAGTCACAGGGGTAATTCGTCAGCATGATGTCTCATAGAGCTAGGTGGCTAAGGCACTGCTAGGTGCACATGAATAGCACAAAGAAGCCATGTCAGGTTTTAGACATACCCTGTTCTGTGCTTCTGTGCTTCGGTTCAACCTCAAACTGACAAGATCCACCCAGCACCTCTGCGCCACTGCTGCTCTGATGGCATCATTTCATGCCTCATTCATACACTGTGCAGTGGCACTTAATGTTCACTCTTCAAAGAGCTAGACCATCCAGACCCAATTTCTCCATCATAAGCCAGTGCACTTTGAACAAGTATTGCTGTCAAAGAAAAAAAAAAAAAAACTTTCCAAGTCTCAGTTTTCAACATTCACTGGTGAAGTTGGCAAGTAGATATTTTAAATTCCAGACTGATTACACAGCTCTCCTGTGCTGCTTTGTAGAGTTTTATTTTCACACACTGCCATGACAATCCATCATACTCTGTCCCCTAGGGAAGAGAAAGAGTCCATCTTTTTATAAATAGCTGCAGGAGATTCCTGGAGCAGCTCATGCCCCTCCTGTGCTTAAACCCATGGAGCTTAAGACCTAAGAGGCTCACTTTCCACTGCAAAATACCATTCACCATCAGTCCCACAAATGTGAATGGGGCTGCCTCCAGGTACCTCGACTAGAAAGAGAAAAGCAGCTTATAAAATATGCTCCTGCTTATGGAAGGAGAGAGATAAAAGGAAGAGCAACAGCAGTGCACAATGCACCTAAGAGAATCTATGGCCTCATCAAAACCGGTTTTTTAAAATGTCAGAAGTCACTTGAAAACCTGAAATAAGGAAAAAAGTAATACTTAAAGGAAGTGAATGATGGGCAGAGAAAAACTGGGAATTTGAGAAGTGTCAGTCACTCAGTAATGCCTACTTCATCCAATATTGTTATCACAGAGATAAAGTTGGTAATAACGCATCAAATTGAAAATGTGTTTAATTCATTTAAGGGGATTTAATTCATTTTTTCTTGATTAAGAATCAGTGCACAAGAGCCTTGATGGACATAACTATTATATAAAAGGTTTCAGAACCAGAGTTCAAATTCACTCCAATAACATATCCTGGAAAACTTTACATAAAGTAATTCTGGGTATTAATCTATCCAGTCTCTCAGGAAGAGGCTGCCATATATGTGCAAACACCACCCAAATGCCCAAACACTGGTTATATTAACCCTTTCAAGTGTTCAGAATATAGATTATAATTGCCCAACAACACTTCCCACATAAAGTTCCAAGGGATCTGCTTGACTTATATAACAGTGCCACAGAGAACCCAGCCCCATGTGTCACTCTCAGGAATACCAAAGAGCAGACAACAAATCCTCCCTCCCTTTGGCATCAAGACTTCAAGTCTTCAGCTGGGCACAGTAGCTCACGCCTGTAAACCCAACATGTTAGGAGGCTGAGATGGGAGAAATGCTTGAGCTTGGGAGTTTGGACCAGCTTAGGCAACATAGCAAGACTTTATCTCTACTAAAAATAAAAAAATAAAAAAATGAACTCGGCTTGGTGGTACATGCCAGTATTCCCAGATACTTGAGAGGCTGAGATGGGAGGACCACTTGAGCCCCAGAGATCAAGGCTGCAGTGAGCTATGATTGCACCACTGAGCTCCATGCTAAGCAGCAGAGGAAGACTCCATCTCGGGGTGGGGAGAGAGTTTGAGTCTCCCAAGCATCCTGTGCAAAGCCTATGCAAAGCCCCTTGCTGGGACTGTGCAACCAGGGCAAAATGCTCCTGCTACATGGGGACAGGATATCACAGAAATATTCACTGTGCTCAGTAAAAGGGTGTCTCTGATGGAAACCAGTTCCAGGCTTGTTGTCACAGGCTGTTGCCACTTTATTGAGCCACGCTTGCCTTTCTGCTCCTTGCAGAAACTGTTCCATGAAACCTTATTGATTTTTGCATATTTTATTTCCTATAGGATTATTTCATGAGGCACACTGCTTGCCTATGCTGCAATATGACTGGTGGCCACTGGCCCAATATTGGTTGAAAAAAAATTACTGGGCAAAGGATAAAATAAAACAAGTATTCAATCGTTCAGAAAAATATCCAAACTGTGGATGTGCTGATTTTATTCATTTAAAATGAAGTTAAATTAATAGCATAATTCAAAATCCTGCCTATGACCTAGCAGAAAGAATTAAAGGTAATGAAAAGGGGTTTTGGTAAAATCTGTATGTTTCAATAGAAAAAATAATGCTATGGAGAATAACCCTCTAGTTGAAGCTGAATTTATATAAAATAGGCTTAATAAATACAACACAGTTTATAAAGGTTACATACATGAGACATTTTGTTTGAATTAATCCATAGATTTAATGCCCCCCTGCAAACTTCACAGACAGTGCAATTCAAATCTCTGTTTAAATCCTTGTCCCTCCTCCCCCCACCCCAGTCTCTCCCCAACACACACAAGCTACTAAGTAGGTGTCTCTCAGGAAACTAAGGCTCAGGTTATTTCCATTGCAACTCTAATGCTTTATGAATCAAGCACAAATGCATACATCCACTGCTTACAAACAGGCTTTGCTCAAGAAATTCATTTGTAAGCAGACTATATAGAAATCATAATAAATGTTCTTAAGGAAAACTATGTACTTCAAGTAATTTGCATCCCCAGGCTATTCATAATGAGCAACATAACACACTGTATCCTCACAGTTAGCACAGTAACACATGCACAACAGAAACCAACTACCAGATTAAAACGCTACCAGGGGAAAATTCAGTTTGTCTTGCATTTTGAGGTCCTATCTTCATTCATATCTCAAGCTCAACATGCCAAAGGGCAGTTCCCAGGGCCTAGAGGAACAAGGACTAGAGCTCGAGAAAGGTGGTGGGGGCGGTGACAAAGGCAGCGGGTAGGTGCGAGGGGTGTTTGGCTACTGCAGATCCCTAAGCTGGGTATTTCTGATTCCAGCTGGCTCTCTCATTGCCTCTCCCCCAACCCCACCTCCAGGTTCCACCTGCCTCCTATTATTCCAAACTCACCAAGTCCCACAGAAGCTCAGGAATAATCACTCTCTCTGGACAATCTGTTGTCAAAGAATGTAATATTGCAGATATTCCCTGAAACAGGAACACACCTAGAGGTTTTCTTCAGAATTTTATAGTTCCTATCCCTTAAGGCACTTGTGTCTTCTGTTCCCAACCCTTTTTAATCCTCTCATTCTTTCCTCCCTAGTCTACCATCACCCTCCCCTTATCATCTTAAACTCAAAGGGAAGATAAACATCACAGGAAGGGATCTAGTAAAACATCACTGTAACACCGAAAGGGGCTCAGGTATCCAGAGCATTTAATCACAACAGGGTGGGTGTTGGGGCAGAGGATGAGCTTACGGTAGGAAATGCAGAGAAAGGAGGCGCTGGGCCCTCAGGCCAGGAGCTGAGGCCAGGAGGAGAGGTCATGGTAACACAGGAGGGGCAGTGGCCACGTGGAGGACCGAGGAGCTACAGAGGCAGAGTTATCCCCTCCCCTGCACCCTGTCTTGGAAAGGGCAACACATGACAGTGCACCTGGGCTGGAGAAGAAGGGGTGTGAGTGCGGTGGTCTAGGGGAGAAGAGCGGTCCCAGCAGCTGACCATGGAAGGGGTAGGAAAGGGAAACCTACATGACCGTGAACTTGCTGAGGGCTTCCTGTGTGCCTGGTGACCCTTTAAATCTCGCTTCCTGAACTAACTCATGGAGCCCTACTCATGAGCTAGGTGCTGTTATTTGCAGATGGAAAATAGAGCACAGAGAAGCAGAGCAATTCGGCCAAGCCCTGGAGAGAGAGCTTCACTCTCTTGCCTGCCGCCTCCTACCGGCATCCTGGAAAACACCAGGTGATGAAGGGGGCTGATGAGAGAGAAAGCCAGGCTAGAAGCCTCATGGGAACACCCACCAGCTCCAGGGACTGAGATTGAATCCTTAGCCTCCTCAAGTCTCAGGGTCCTTAACTGTCACATGTGGGTAATGACTGCTGAGAATTAAATTCATGGGGAAAACCTCCCAGGGCGTCTGACTTAGAGCAGGTACTCCATAATCAGCAGCTGTTATTACTGTTGTTGTTAAAATCTGGAAGTCTGTATTGCTTATGTTTCTTCCAATGAGGAATGTGCTACAAATCAGATGTGAACATCTTATACTCACTGCAAATTCACGTTGAATATTATAGAATATTAGAGTCACACATTGAAGGAAACTCAGGAGACAGTTATAATACCAATAAGCTAATAAAATGTTCTCTATTCTAACACATTTGTCATTTCTTATATTTAGAGTTTAACTTCCTATCCAACCCATCAAAAACTTTCCTCAAGATTAGCTGAGATCTTTTGATTTTGCATATGTAACTTCAACAGTTCAACCTCAGTCCTTTGTCAAACAATAAGATTGAGCACAACAGAAAAAAATCTGAAGTATGTCACCAAATTCAGGCTCATTTCCTATGACTTGAATCCAGTGAAGAATTAAAAATTAGGACAACTCTTTGCTTTAATCCTCACAAAGGCAGAGTTTCTGTAAGAAAGGCAGGCTATGTTTTCCACATGCAGTGAGGTTCATCCATTTAAATTAAGAAGACACAGATTTCATCCCAGAAATTACTGGGTGGAATCTCACAGTAAATAAGTTCTATTTTCCCCACTGTTAAGACCAAATCTAACTCGCCTCTACATGGATGGAGGGGGGCCTCCTAGACCAGCACCCCCACCCTGCTTCTCCTCTGTGCCCTCAGCCACCTCCACCTCCGTCTGCACCACTTCATCACATGGCTCTAATTATCCAAGGGAGTGCCAGAAAACACGGAAAGGGAAAATTGAATTCCATGCTGTCAATCTTGTTTCTAGTTCACAGATTTGATGAAATAGAGATGAACAAAGAAATATTGGCAAACACACGGTTTGGAGACTGCCTATAATACAATCCCTGAAGCTCCATCCATCGCTCACAACCACCAGGGTTCAGTGTGTTATGAATATGCATAAGACGCAGGGACACAGGAACACTCGTCTTCCTTGGACAGCAGGAAAGATATGCTACTTTATCTCTGGAGTGAGAAAAAAAGAGCCACGAATCCGAGGAGTAAAAAATAAAAGGTTATGTTTGTACCTGCAGGGTAAATTATGGGGGGCAAAACCTACACCCATTTAACCAACGGTAACATTACATAGACTCTACCCACACTGCGTCAATTATTATGAAGTCAAAAATCGCATATATTCAAATATTACTTAGATGTAATTCTTCAACCACATAAACGTCAGCAATACGACACAGGCACACATCACGTCATGATCCTAGTCTTAGCCAATTATGCTATGTTTATCTTTCATTTCTCAACAGAGTGGTGCACTTGTTTTTTCACTTGGGGGCTTCCAAAAATCACTTAGATGACAACAACAACAAAAAGAAATGCAGGCAATCACATGAGTGGCACAGACACACCTTCTTTTCTAGCTGCCTTTTTGATATTTAAGTAACTTTAATTAGACATCCAGAAATCCCTTATTGTGGGACACACAACATGGGCGGGAGGTGGTGGGGGTTGGATAAATAGAAGAACTTGTGGATGGGGCAAGAACAAGCTTCTTAAAAACCTATGCGTATCAGCTGTTTTTAATTTAAAGCAACCACTAAAGTGTCAAAGAACAGCTGAATATCCTGCATTTTAATAAACTTTAGTCAAGTTAGCTTACAGGAAGTTTACTGTTTCTGCCTTCTGTATTTGCTGACCATGTTCCATGGCAGTGTAAGAAGAGTCTTTCCTGGAAGAGACATGGTAGTAAACATCTCATCACAAATCTACTCTATATCAGCACTACAAGAAAACACATTCAACACTTCCAACTTTGAAAACTGAAATCCGTGAAAAAGCGTGAACACTTGGAAGCAGACCCAGGTCTAGCATAGGAGAAAAATCTAGGATACAAAATGAAAATTGCTTATTTCATGATGAGCACCACTGCCCAAAGCAAGACTCTCAAAAAAAGCACTGCCCAGGTGCCACAGATGAAGGAGATACTACCTGTAGCTACCCCAAAGGGAGGTGGGAAAGGCAGAGGGCCACAAACCTCTGGCACAGAACACAATGCAGTCAGGGAAAATGGGAAAAAGAAAAAGAAAACAAAGTTTTGTCTTCCAAAAAGCAACCTTCTTCCCATAGGTTCTCCCTTCCATCACTAGCACAATTTTAGGCTTTTGCATCATCTTACCAGCTGGTGTATTACCCTGTTCTTTGTAAACAAAGATTATAAATTCACCTCCACATTACAAAGGCAACTAAAATAAGGTCATCTAAATTTAAAGAGAAAGGGGGAAAATAAATGAAGAATGTCCTTACCACCAGCAGTGCCTGCGCTCCACAGAGCGGCCAGAGTCTCTGGCCACAGCCCAGCACTGCACTGCACAAAATAATACAGAATGTGGTTGTGGCTCCATCTTTCCAAGACAATGATGCCCTTTTTGCTCATAAATCAGTCAATTGATTTTTTAAAATTTTTCATTGCTATATTTTAATTTGTAGACTCCCCTTTCCCCAAATTAGTCTGTGATTAATTTTAATGCCCTTATTGTTCCTTGCAGGTTGTGGTCCTTTAGTGTTTATTATCTGTAATTGATTAATCTTGTTTCTGTGTCTGCTGACTAGCTATCACCCAGTGGATTTTCTAATATGCTTGCAATATTTGTCTGTGAGCTCATAATAATTCAGAATCCTTTATCCTCGTGGAAGTCCCTTGAGTAACCTGGGTTGTGGAGACATCCCTGATGAGGTCATATGGGGTGTCTGAATTTGCAGACCAAATTTGACATTAGTTCCTGAGCTTGGTTCTTCCACACAATGAAAATTTGGCTCATCAAACAGAAAAGGGAAAGCTAGGGCCCAGTTTCCACTGTGGGTTCAGTTCAGAGTATGTCCAGTGGGAGTGCCCTGCCCAAGTCTCAGCCCACTTCTGGTATGCCACTAGGCTGGCAGCCTGCAGCCTCTGCTTAAAACTGTAGACCCCACTACACAGATCTTCTCAAGTTATTCCCCTTGCCATTCAATGCTGTGGCCTCCCTCTTCATTTCTGACACCTGAAGAATTCCCTTTCTTGATTTTAAGCTTGAGTACGTATTCTTAAAATACTTTTAACATTACAAATATGGTATGTTTTTCTAGTCTTTGATTTAGGATTGAAGGGTGCTATCCATTTTAACTGATTCTGCCATTCTGAAAAAAAGACAGCCTCCTCAACCTCAAAACTCCCTTTTATCATCTTCATAGTAAATTTACTAAGCATTTACCTTTTATAAAGATTAGTACTCAGTTCTGTATACACTTCGTACAGGAAAGTATAAACCATGTCTTCTGCCCTCCAAGAAGTTACAGTCCAGACTAAAAGATAAGACAGCTGCACACAGAACAAGTAAGTATTGAGTAAATAATACAATCACCAAGGGTTAATACTTGAGAAAAATTGCTTCTCAACCTACTGTCAAAAGAAGGAGTGGGAATATAAAGCTCAACTCTCAAAACGCTTCAAGCTTTAATAGTGTTTTAGAAAGTTTTTTTATCTCAGTTGTACCAAGATGGAAGTGAAAGAGCTCATAAACAGAAGCACAGCAGGTTATTGAAGAGGTTCAGAAATCTTATAAGGCACTAAATAGTTGGTAGCAATCATTCTGGAAAGAAATGGGTAGAAACTGCTAGAGAAGAAATGATGAGCTGTGGTGAGAGTGTGAACGTGGGATGTCAGCACAGCAGAGACATCAGAGATAATGAGGGCGGTTTAAGAGATGTTAAGTTCACAAAACTGTTATGTGAAAAACAAAGCTGGAAATGGAAGTAGAAAAATGTGTCAGGTTTGGAGATGTGCTTCAAGTCATCTGCAGAGATGTGTTGGTGAAGGCTGAGTAGTAAACAGCAGCACCTCTGAGAAGAAGAGGATAAAGACGAAGAGTGACTTCAAGTGCTTCTGTCACTTTTAACATAAATAAAGCCAATCAGGGAAATAACCACACTCGAATATATTTTCCATTGGCTCAATCTGAAATTGTACCCTTAAAAGAAAAGAGATGCCCCATTTACAAACATTAAGGCACAAATGACAGAAATGCTGGGAGCAGAATGTCATTACGTACTCAATGTCTAAAGAACATGGGATGATTCTAATGAACATCTGTATTTTAATGAAGATAATGTGATGGAAAAGCATTTACTGGAAGTGAGATTAAATCTGCTGACAAAGACTGAAAGAGACAGTCAGTTGCTCAAGGGAAGAAAGTGATCTAAAATAAAAGCATGATTTTCTTTCATTATTATATAAAGTTTAATTAAATATTTCCACTTTCGAAGTCAGGCAAATGATGTCAATTACCAAAAGCCTTTGTGCTGATTTTAAATGAAAATTTGACAGAACATAGACATGTACATCTTAAGATTTCAAATCCAGGCCCATCTGTAGAGAACAATCAGAGAACAGCAATAATATGATAGGTTTTTAGATCCATACTAATAACATATGACAAAGAAATTTACACAGTGGCCCCATTTAAACAGTTTTAATTGAATTTTGGTTACAAAGCTCAGAGCCCGGCTCTCAAAACATACTGCTATTTACAGAAGCAAGCTTTCGGAGTTGCCTGAATAGCAGGGTAGTCAACTATTAACTCCGGCCTGCCCAAGATCACATCTCCCTGGCCACAGTGACTGGCTCAGAAATGAACACACAACTCAAGGTGGTCTAGTGAGACTCAACTCCAGGACTTCTACTTGAACTACTGCCAGCCCACCCCCCTCAGTGTTGGGGTGTGTGATCCAGGAGGGTAACAGCCCACAGCTGTTGCTGACATCTTAGCTCCACAAGGGAAGAGTCCACCCCAACCGATGATGAAGTCAATGCAGAGGAGAGCAGCAATGGCATCATTTGAGCCTCTGGACTCTGCTATACCTAAGGGAGTACCTTTGGAATTTTCACTTACATAAACCAGTAAATCCTCTTGTGTAAGTTTAGGCTCACCTGGGTATTCACCAGATGAAAGAGTCTTCATCCAAATATTGATCAATATCTTGAACAGCCTGTAATCAAATTCTTTTCAGAATTGCTTTTTTGATCTTCTGCCTACACATACAGACATTCTTTTTTTTCTTTACTATCTCAGATTTCGGGTTAAGCTCCGATAATTCTAAGTTAATTAGCTTCAATTTATAGTCAGTGAAGTAGGCATGTGTTGTCCGTGAAGAGCCTCCAAATGCAGGTAGAGGAAGTTTTCAATAACTCAAATCTAATTACATTAATATCATTCTTTAACAGCCCCTCATTTTCCTTAGAATGAAATTCAATCACATTTTTACCTGGCTTCCTTCTTCAGCCCCTTCTCTTCTCATCTCCTTCCCCATGGGCTAACCTTCAGCCATGCTAAATTTATTTCAGCTCTACATACATACTTTGTTCTTTTGTCTGCTGTAGTATGCAGAATAATAGCAGCCCCAATGATGTCCGTGTCTTAATCCCCAGAATGCATGAGGATGTTAAATTACATGGAAAGAGGGAATTAAAGTTGCTCAGCAGCTGACCTGGAGATGGGGAGATTATCCAGGTGGGCTCCACATAATCACAAGAGTCCTTACAAGTGGAAGAACAAGGCAAGAGGCTAGGGTTAGGGATTTAAAGATGTCCAGCTCCTGGCTTTGAAGATAAAGAAGCACAACCCAAGGACAGCAAGCAGCCTTTGTAAGCTGGAAAAAGTAAGGAAACTGACTCTCCCTGAGAGCCTCCAGAAGCAATGCAGCCCTGCCAACCTCCTGAGTTTAGCCCAGTGAGATGCATTTGGGGGTTTCTAGTCTCTAGAACAGTAAGATAAGAAGTTTTTTCTTAATATAAGCTACAAAGTGTGTGGTAACTTGTTACAACAGCAATAACCTGCCAATATATTTATCTAGAACATTCTTCCTTTCCCCATCCTCCCACCATAAATGCTTACAGTTCTGGTGGTCTCAGATTGGATACTACCCCCTTTCTGAAGCATTGTATGACCACCCATGTTAGGTTCCCCTCTTCCATGCTTCCGTAACACTCTGTATTACCCAGCATTGACATCCCATAATTCTAACTGCCATTATACAATTAGAATTATTTGTCTATATCCCCAGTAAACTGTAACTTCCCTGAGTTTTTTTACATTTGAGTATATTCTACACAGCAGAGTGCATGAAACATAACAGTTTTTCAATAATCATTTGTTGAGTGAATGATGTTATCAATGACTGAATCAAAGAATCAATAAAAAGATGTCATACTTTCTGTAGAAATGAAATATACTAGCTTTCTTATTGCAGGAAAAAAATCAATTTACTAGGAAATCGGATTCCAAAGTGACATAATCGCTTGTTCAGATTTATCTAGGAGTCTTTCCAAATTGCAATACAGCGTTAAATACTACACATTTGTAATAACGGCAGTGGGCTGTCATATTAAAGTATCAGAAAACAGGGCAGAAATAAACTACATTTCCCTTAAATGCTGATGCCAACGAGTATCTGGTGTCCTCTGTCACCAGGGCTCCCCTCTGTCCCCATGTCTCAGTGGTAATCCTCCATGAACAAACCCCATCCAACCCTCTGGAGTTCCAACAACCTTGCCTAGGTGATGTGGCATCATCTTTACCGTCCTCTGCCCTTAACTTTGAAAGCTCTGAAATCATTTACTGGGTGAAATAAATAAAACAATTCCCTGACCCAGTAGTGGCCCCTTGGAAAGAGAGAGCACATTTACTCCTTTCTTTAGGGACACAGGAGGCAGCAGCGGGACCCTGAGCAAACAGAGTCAGAAGGTGAAACAGGCTGAGTGGACTGCCCAAGGTGATGATCCTCAGGAAACAAGTGGCAAGTGAAGCTTAGCAGCTGCGGCAAACTGGAAAAGGTCGGTGAGAACCTCAGAGAAGGGAGAGGGGAGAAGGAGAAAGTTCTTCTGCCCAAAGGCTGCTATCCCTAAGAGAAGGAAGGACATAGGATATTTCTAAATGTACTTTCTCCACTATACTCTCCAATATAGTAAGCACTAGCTACATCTGCCTATCTAAATTTAAAATTTATTAATTAAAACTTCAGTTCCTCAGTGATGCTAGCCAGGTTTCATGTTCAATGGTCATATGCACCTAGTGGCTACCATACTGGACAGCACAAATATACAATCATGCACCACACAACAGCATTTCAGCCAATGATGGACTACATGTACAAGGATGGTCCCATAAGACTTTAAGGGAGCTGAAAAATTCCTATCGCCTAGTGACACTACAGTCATCCTATCATAGTGCAACGCAGTGCTCATGTGTTAGTGTTGCTGCTAGTGTAAAAAGCCTTCCGTGCTGCGAGTCATGTAAAAATACAGAACATGCATCATGTACAGTACATAATACTTGATAAAGGTAATAAATGACTATGTTACTGGTTTATGAATTTGCTATACTATACTTTTGTTGTTATTTTAGAGTGTACTCCTTCTACATATGAAAAAAAAAGTGAAACAGCCTCAGGTAGGTCCATCGGGAGGTGTCCAGAAGAAGGCACTGTTATCCTAGGAGATGACAGCTCTATGCATGTTACTGCCTCTGAAGACCTTCCAGTGAGTGGGACAAGATGTGGAGGTTGAAGACAGTGATATATCAGTGACCAATTCTAGGCCTAGGGTAAGATGTTTGGTCTTACTTTTTAACAAAAATGTTTAAAAAGTAAAGAAAAAAATCAATAAATTTTTAAAAATTGAAAAAGGCTTATAGAATAAGTATATAAAGAAAATATTTTTATACAGCTGTATGTTTGTGTTTTAAGCTAAGTGTTATTACAAAAGTCAAAGTTTTTTTAAAAATTATAAATTTATAAAATAACAGTACAGTAGGCTAAGGTTAATTTATTATTGAAGAAAATATTTTTAAATAAATTTAATGCAGCCTAAGTGCACAGTGTTTATAAAATCCACAGTAGTGTCAAGTAATGTCCTAGACCTTCCCATTCACTCACCACTCACTCACTGACCCATCCAGAGCAACTTCCAATCCTGCAAGCTCCATTCATTGTAAGTGCCCTATACAGCTGTGCCGTTTTTATCTTGCATGCCATATTTTCTAAGTCTTCTATGCCATCATATGTTTAGATACGTTAATACTTATCATTGTGTTGCAATTACCTACAGTATTCAGTACAGTAACATGCTGTACAGGTTTGTAACCCAGGAGCAATAGGGTATACCATACAGCCAACATGTCTTATAGGCTCTACTATCTAGGTTTGTGTAAGTACACTTTATCATCTTTGCACAAGGATAGAACTGCCTGAACAATGCATTTCTCAGAATGTATCCCTGCTATTAAAAGACACATGACTATATGACCAACTGTAACCTTTAAATTGGATAACTAAGATTTGGATTACTTCTTTGAAAATTCTTATTCAATTATTTGATTTGTCCATTACATGATACTCCAACCTGTCAAACTGGGTGCCTTAAATTAATAAGACAACTTGCTTTCTGTTATTTTGTATTGCATGTGATGGCTACAAATACACTTTGAAACTTATTTACTATATTCTCTGATGCATCTGACCTTGCCCTCAGCCACTCCCTTTAGAGTAGTAAGAGCTTACCATTGCCCCCAGTATCATGCACAAGGTTCCATTGCATTGGAGGAAAAACATGAATTTATAAACAAAAGACTGATAAACATATTTTCAGTCATTTCTCAGAACATATCCCTGTGGTTAAGCAATGCATGGCTGTTAATATTTCCACCATGACCAAAAATGACATTGGGCAGCGCTGTAATAGATTTAGTGTATGCTTTGGCGCTCACCTGGCTATTTAACGTAAGTGCTATCAACTGAAGGGGGGGATTTAATGTTTCCAATGTTCATACTAGTAATAGGTACAATTAATGTGGGCTTGCAGTAGCTGGGACAACTTTATTGCTTAGGATACACCTAGATTCATATTTGTAAGATGCCCAAATCCAAATATCCCACAATACTTACTAGATTTAGGGCAGGGTAGTATCCTGTCACTTTCACAGATACTGCCATGCCTTGTACCCCAGTTAAAGGTAAGGACAGCATAAAGGGATCTTAGTAAATACCATTATTTAATGATTAATGATGTTTCATGGAAATATTTCCTTTTAAGATCAGGAACAAAATAAGGATGTTATATATGCATATAAAAATTACAGAATAATCTACAGAAAACCTTAAAGAATTTGTAACTGAAGTTAACAAGGCAGGAAGATACATGTTCAACATAAAAATGTAGAATACATTTCTATGTATCAGCAACATTTTTTTTAAAAAGACAACATTTATAATTGCATCAAAAAATATCAACTAACAAGAATAAATCTAACCAAAGGTGTTCAAGGAATTATCAGGTAAGTAGATTATATATATTCTTTAAAAGGTATATATATTCATGCCTCAATTAGCAAGAAAAAAGAAGATCTAAATAAATGGGGATATCAAAACCACTGATTAAAAGACATGATATATTGCAGACATTAACCTCTCCCAAACTGATCTATAGATTTAATATAACCAAAGCCTTACTTGACAAGTTCCCTTTAAGGTTCACATGGAAATGCCAGTAGTATTGGCTATGACTTGAATGTGCATGTCTCTCCAAAATTCATATATTAGAACTTCTAAGTTGATAGTATGAAGAAGGGGGGCACTTGGGAGATGATTGGGCCCTGAAAGCTCTGTCCTCATGGAGAGGATTCATGTCCTTATAAAAGAAGCTTCAGAGAGCTCCATCTGCCCTTTTGCCCTTCCTCCTTCTGCCATGTGAGGATGCAGCAGCAAGGCACTATCTTGGAAGCAGTGAGCCTTCACCAGACACAAAATCCATCAGTAACTTGGTCTTGGATATCCCAGCCTCCAGAACTGTGGGAAATAAATTTCTATTATTTATAAATTACTCAGTCTTGGGTATTTTGTTATAGCAACACAAACAGACTAAAACAGTATCTAAGATACTCTTAACATGAAAAGGGACAAGGTGGGACTTGGTCTAGCAGATATCAAAACACAGCATACAACCATAGTTGTCAAGTCTGTGTAATTACCGGTGCAAAAATGGACAAATTAAGCAATGGAACAGAATGAGGAGCCCAGATACATAAATACATATAGGTATATGTTTATGTGTTTACATTTATTTAACAAAGGTACAGAACAGAGAATAATCGTCTTTTAAATTACGGTGTTGGGGAATGTGAGTTTCCATATTGGAAGTTAGCAGGAAGCAAAAAGAGTGTTAAGAAGACATAAGGAGAGAGAAGGAGAAAGGAAGAGGGAAAATGAATTTGGCCCTTATTTCACATCATGCACAAAAATATGGTCTAAAGAAAAAACAAAAATCAGAGCTGAACTGAAAGAGATTGAGAGGTGTTGAGGTAATTTTTTAAGAAGTTTTGTTTGTAATTGTGATAAAATACACACAAAATTTACCATCTTAACCTTTTTTTTTTTTGAGACGGATTCTTGCCCTGTCGCCCAGGCTAGAGTGCAATGGCATGATCTCTACTCACTGCAACCTCCTCCTCCCAGGTTCAAACAATTCTCCTGCCTCAGCCTCCTGAGTAGCTGGAATTACAGGCGCCTGCCACCACGCCCAGCTAATTTTTGCATTTTTAGTAGAGACAGGGTTTCACCATGTTGGCAAGGTTGGTCTCGAACTCCTGACCCTGTGATCTGCCCACCCCGGCCTCCCAAAGTGCTGGGATTACAGGAGTGAGCCACCATGCCCGGCCCATCTTAACCATTTTTAAGGGTACAGTTCAATCATGTTAAGTATGTTCACATTGTTGTGCTACCAATCTCCATGAGATTTTTGAACTACCAACCCTCGTGGGTATTTTATTTACTCTTTCTTGCACAGATAGCATATCACAAGCTCACTCATCTCTGTCACTCAAGTGGGAGACCTCTAACCCTAGGGTACCTATCACCAGCAGACCACAAGACCTAATTAATTAATCTAATTAGAGAGTCCTAACTTGAATGGAAGAGTCCTCCCCTGCTTCAATGAAAATAGCACAGGGACATCCGAAGTCAAGGCAGATATCAAGGTTAAAAATTAAATCCCAGTGGCTAGAGGGGATTCTGCAGCTGGAAGGAATGTCCACCAGTGCTGGCAGCAGCAGCTGCAGACCCTAAATTTAAGATTAGCAGCTCTCAAGACTGTGGCTAAAGAACACACTAGATTGCCTGAAACACTGCAGGTGTCATCCAGGCCCTTGCTATGAAAAAGACAATCTTCTAGGAACTCGATGTTCCAGGGATTCTGCTGCTGCTGTCATCACAGCACATTCTCCTGGGTGCTGCTTTCCCACATTTGAAGGCCAGAAGAAGTGAGGATTATGCTCAATTGAGTATTTTCAGACAACAGCCTAAAAGCCCACATGAGTTCACATGCATCTAACTAGCTGGTAAGCCATCTAGATGATCTGCAAAATTATCTCTTTTCAACATTGTCATCTTCAACTGCAATGTTGAAGATCACTGCAACGTTACACAAACAAACTGAAGGGTCAGAGATGAGGCTACTCTGAGTGGAGGAACACCCTAATCTTAAGGAGAAGAGAGGCTGGCATTGGATATGGGCACATCAAATGCAATAGAGAAATAAAGGCAGCACCTTGTTAATCTCCACACAAAGCAACAGGAGCACAAAGGACAAACAGCAAATGTCTGGTGGACCTCAGGACAGGACAGGAGGCTTCACAGACCAGTGTCATGAGCAGTGACAGCAGGGAGGCAGGCAAGGCCAGGCACCTGCATGTGCTTCAGGACAGTAGAGCAGGGTCACAAGAGATGAGGCCATGTGCACTGATTAAAGCCCAGCCCTAGACACTCGACTCAAGTAGGCGTTTCATCTTCATTTTAGAGAACCTAGAAACCAGTGCTCAGGGTGAAAAAGGACAGGTACATGAGTGGAGCTGAGTCTGTCATGGACACGTGGCATCATGAAGCACTGACCTCTATCTGGTGACCCCCAATGGTGATGCAGCCACTGCATACGTGTCACAGATGTGAAATATAAGAAAAGTCATGATGTTCACAGTCACCTTGGTAATAATTGTTTGGTCCCTAAAAGTTACATGTGTGCTATATACACGCATCCAGAGGGAAATGACAAGAAAATTCCCCTTTAGGCTGGCATGCTCAGGCTCAGTGCACCACTGGACAAAGGTCCCTTGAGATGGTCACCAGATGACTGGCTAAATTAGGCCTCAGATTGTAAAGCATTGTGTTATGGCGATACGGGTGTGGGGGTGAATCTGAACCCAGTGATGTGACTGGAGGTTGACAACAGCATCCAGAGCTGCTTGGACTCCACTGCTCTAAGTCTGGTGGACTTGAAGAGCCATTGAGCCTCAGAGGACTGTGGCATTTGGCCTGCTCCCCTACCACTGGGAATGGCCCACGGTATCAGGGACACCCCCTTGGGTGACACTGCTGTACCCTGCTCAGACCTGCTGTGGAGTGAGGTGAGCTCTCACGCTGCTCTCCCAGAATGAATTGGCTCCAGCAAAGGCAGGGTAAAAAGTGTACCCATGCCCTCCTGCCCACACTTTTTGAACCATGTGGTCTAAGTTTGCATGGTAATGCAAGTGATTTTTGTTTACTCTTATAGGTTACGCATGTGTGTGTTTCTTTTCCTCAAAATTCAAAGTTAGGGGATCTGTACTGTGATCTGCAGCCTGGCCTGTGACTTGTGTGAGCATAAGGGGCACCTGCCATCCACAGGCACTGATCTCTGCAGGTTCAGCCAATCACCAGTGAACATCCGTTAATGTGTATTTACATCATCTGCTTGTTACTAATCACATCTGTTAAATCTACCATCTTTGTTATTGCTGTGTGGTGTTTGAGTCCAAATTCAAAAAAACAAATCCTGTTTCAAAAGTGGTTTATTCCTAGCATTTTGGGAGGCCAAGGCAGGAGGATCACTTGAGCCCAAGAGTTCGAGACCAACCTGGGCAAAATAGTGAAACTCTGTCTCTATAAAAAATTTAAAAATTAGCTGTAGTGGTGCATGCCTGTAGTCCTAGCTACTTGGGAGGCTGAAACAGGAGGATTGCTTGAGGCCAGGAATTCAAGGTTCAGTGAGCTATAATCTTGCCACTGAATTTCAGCCTGGGTGACAGAACAAGACCCTGTCTCTCTAAAAAAAAAAAAAAAAAAAGAAAGAAAGAAAGAAAAAATGCGATAAAAATAGTGGTAATATCTTGGTGAACAAAACTTTGTGTGATACAAATATACAATGTAAACTAGTATGTGTTCATTCAAAAATACCTCAAAGAGGGATGGTTTCATAGATTTTGCCAAAATAGAGAAAGTACCAATAGGAAGGCAGAAGATGAATAGCTAAAGGTCAGATGTAACTTGACCTGCAATGCATCTACCTCAACTCCTCTGTAAACTGACCATCATAACACTCTCACAAACAAAGACATAACAAAGAGTTTACGAAAGTCTCAAAGTGGCTTCTCTGGGTACTCCAATATAGCTTTTTTTTTTTTTTTCCAGAACAAGCACAATTAATTTCTTCTATAAACCTAAGAATGTTGTCAGGAAAGAAAGAGAAGAACCCTGAGTTACACAGGCACCATTCAAAATTGTTCTCCTTAGAGGTTTAAAAATCTCCTCAGAGTTTTAAAAAACAGATCCCACTCTGAGACGCTCCTAAAAACAGCTGAAAGGCTGATGAACCAGGCTACGGTCAGAGAGAAGATAGAAGAGCTTACTGACAGAATTCCTACATCAAATGACACCACTGGCCACCAGTCTAATGCCAAAATACAATGGCAACAGAAAATCAGAGGCACTCGATGGAGAACAACGACGATCCACAATACCTGCCAGCAGCCAAACGCCTGAGTGAAGCCCGTGAATCAGCTCTTAGTACATCTGGTGATCACAAGGAAAAAGTGCTCTACAACTTTGATCTTTTGACGAGAGAAGAGCATCTTTTAAATATATGTGAGCTTCGCTTTTGTAAGCCAGGATGTAGACTGGGAACAGTCCTCTGAGGTTGGTGCTACTGGAGCACTGGCCAGGTATCTGTGGAGGGAGCTGACAGCCACAACTACCACTCCATACCTGATTTATCCCCAGGGAACAGTTGGTACAGGGCAACTTGAGGTCCAAGAGTCCATTTCAATTCTATTGTGAGGTCCCTGGCATATTAAATAGATGCCAAGATTTAATTTTTAAGTGGTATTACTTTAAATGTTTAACATATTAACACTTCAAACAATAACAATTATAATGTAATATAGTTACGCTACTCACAATCTAAAAAGTACACTAAAAATACTAATTCTTGGTACACTGTCAGCAGTGTGATTGAGCAGGTTTGGCGATATGATGAACATATTCTACTTTTAATCTTACTCATAAGTCTCTATCCCTTATAGTATATCCTTTTTGGAAGATAATGTGGAAAGTCTAATGATGAGACTTGGGCCCTATGGTCCTCTTGTCCTCACCCTCACACCACGACATACCCAGGTGGAACTCAACATCATAATGAAACGGGAATGGTTCCCTTGTCCCCCTCCCAGGGTATATGACAGGGGGAGTAGTTCACTTCTTCAGTGCCCCACTGCTCCAATCTCTAGGGGAGCATACAGACAGGCAGTGTGAGGGGCTCCGACCCCAGAGCAGTGTCTAGGGGTGAATGTTTACAGCTGAAGCCCCAGTGGGCATGTGTTACAGGTGCTCTTTTAGTTTAGCCATCCATAGGCGGCTTGTGTTAAGTCAGCTCAATTAGACCCCCTGCCCTATCACAAGGACAGAGGGATTTCTGTATCCCAGAGTTCTTTCCTTAGTGTACCGGAAGAATCAGATCACACGTGAGATTGGAGAATGAGTGCGAGGTTTTATTGAGTGGAAGTAGCTCTCAGCAGATGGGGAAGCCAGAAGGGAGATGATTTTCCCCTGGAGTCGGACCACTTAGTGGCCCAGGCTCTCCTCCAACTGCCCCAGGCTAACCTCCGCATCGTTCCGTAGGCCGAAGGCGTGCCAGTGTCTGGTGGTGTGCTCTTCTGCCGCTATGTTCCCCTCGATGTCCTCTTGACCTCCAGCCCCTTATGTCTTCCTCCACTAATGTTTTCCCCTCGATGTCCAGCTGCTTGTGTGTCTGCCTGCAAAGGTCTCGGGGTTTTCATAGGGACAAGATGGGGGTGTGGTGGGCCAGGATGGTCTTAGGAAATGCAACATTTGGGCACAAAGGCAGGAGTGCCTGTCCTCACCTAGGTCCCTGAGCACAGGCCGGGCATGAAGCTCTCTCCAGTGACCACACCCTTCCCTTCCCACCACTTCCCTTCCATATCAATAATCCTCCCCATCTTGAGCCACTGTTGAATAAGGAAGAATGGGGAAAATAACCAACTTTTAGCCAAATTTCCAAATAACCACATTTCAAGTACACTGTGCATGGAGAAGGAGAACTGCTTTGCTACAGTGGAACATTGTCATTTAGAAGGAAGGTAAGTGAAAAAAATTTAAGAGAAAACATAAGAGAAAGTGCTCCTCATTGTGAGATACAATATTAAAAGTAGTACCCATAAGAAAAGAAAATGATTAATTGGATTCTGCATCAGACATTGTCCTAAGCTCTGTACACATTCTCTCATTTACTTCTTATAAGAACATCACGGTGTGAGTCATAAACTTCCCCATTTTACAGACGAATAAACCGAGGCTCAGAGAAGTCAGTAACCTGAATGAGGTCACGTAGTGAGGAGGTGAAGTCAGGGTGCTCTTAACAACTACGCTAACAGCTGCCTTCCTATTGGGCATATGACAGAACATAACTAGAAACCACACCCTAACACTTCAATAAAATGTACAAGCCAAATGCCATCAAACTGTGTTCTGGGAATATATTTATTATTATCTCCAAGTTGAAATATCCAAATGTCCAGCTTTTAATTGTGGGACATTCCTTGATTTGGTCCTTGCAGAGTCTGCAGAAAGAAATCTCAAGGGCCATCTATGTAGGTAACTTGGTAATAAAATTTAAAAAAATTATTTCACTAGTAAAAGGCTACTTTTATTAATATCTGGGAGGCCAAGGTGGTTGAATTACTTGAGCCCAAGAGTTTGAGAACAACATGGGCAACACAGAAAGACCCCATCTCTACAAAAAACAAAAAAATTAGCCAGGTGTAGTGTTGTGTTGTGTAGTCCCAGCTGCTTGGGAGGCTGAGGTGGTAGGATCCCCAAAGCCTGGGGAGGTGAAGGCTGCAGTAAGCCGTGATCGCACCACTGCACTCCAGCTGGCGACAGAATGAGACCCTATCTCAAAATAAAAAGCAAAAACAAACAAACAAAAAAACACTTTTGTTAATTTAAAATACAATTTTTCAAAAATTATTTTAAAATTTGTGATTGACCTTTTAAAAAATGTATTATGTGTCAGTCATATAATCAATGGATAGCAAGAGTTTGAGAAATGCAGGCCCAAATAACAAGGGGTATGAGCCCGGGGAAGTTAAGCAGATGTTTTCAGAGGGATGATAGACAGGAGAAAACAGGCAAAACCACCCGGCACTGAATAGAGCAAAACATAAGGGAAGAGATCAGAAGAGCCACAGGCTCTTCATGCACCTTCTGGGGTTTTCCTCTGTGGAAAGAGAAGCCAGAATAGTCTTTACATGCCTCTAAAATAAATCACATCTCCCCAGCACAAAGTAAAAACTGAATTAAATGTAGCATACAGACCACTATGAAGAATAATCTACAAAAATTATGATGTCATCTCTAAGTACCTACTGGTACCAACAGCTTTAAATTATGGGTTAGCATTTTGGTTTATTAAGAAGCTCCTTCAGATGTATTAAAAATCCGTTTACTTTTAGTATTGATTTTTTGATAAATATATTATCCAGAGAGGTTATATGCAGTGGTTTCCCTGGAAAAGCTGACATTTATTCAATGATATTTGCTTTACTGAATTAAGTAGCAATATATGCTCATATATCTTTGCTCTATCTGGGAAATTATCAGAGTTAAGGGAAGAGAATATTTTATGAAAATATTAGGGTATGGTTTAATAATATAAAGCTTAGGAAAAAATCTACTTGTGTAAGATCTAGTTGTTATGGATTAATTCTTGACTTTTATATCAAAACATCATAAAGTTAATTCTCAAAACATTATTTTAGTCAATTAATTGGATTTTTAAAGATAGCACTCCTTTATAGAACAAAAAAGTAATCATTATATTCAATTTAAATAATGTTCTCCTGTAATAATTTACCAGGACCATTTTATTAAGTAATAACCTCTAAGGCCAAGTGGGGCAGAAGTTGCCAGCTACTCATCAAATGTCCTTTTCTTCTTCTTCTGTGCATCCAACTAAACCATACTCCCAGCTGCCTTTCTCTCCACTTCCAGACTTAGCCCACAGAAACCTCCACACAGATCCTCCAGGGACTTTTCCTGTGCCATCTGGATGTCCACTTGACATCTAGAATCTTGGAAAATACATGTTGAAGATGCAGAGTCCTTTTCAACCAGGATGTCTATGTGTAACAAGCTCCCAACCCAACCACCTCCAAGCTGGGACCACAATAGACTATAATGTGAATGGGAAATAAAGGTCCACAGTGTTACTGACATTGTGAGATTTATTTGTCACAGCATCTAGTGTTACACCAAGACATACGTTTTTTCTATTATGTAAATTCTTAGCAAAAAACAAAGAGTTTCCTTTTCTTTGGAAAGTTCTTTAATCTGAAAAAAAAAGGGATCTAGACCACAGGGCCTACTGAATTCAGATGTGTCCTATTCTCAGATCTCAGTAAGTCGATAGACATATATGAAATAACCATGTCATTTGCTCTTATAATGGCATAAAAGGTAAGTAAAAATGTCTTACATGAATGTAATTCATTATTTAGCTTGGAAAAGAACACATTTGTAAGATGAGTCTTCAAATAATGAAGAAAGCCTTATAATAAAAAATAAATAAACATGACAAACTACCAGCTCCTTTAAAGAGCATGCCTTTTATCACAATTTGTTTTTTATTGATTCATGTTTGGTGAGTTATTTTGCATATGTGTTTTTTTTTTTAAAACCAACTTTCATTTTCAATTATTAAGAGTTAGCAACCACTCCCATGAGCTACCTCGGAAGGTTACCTTCCTTTTCTTTTTAATTTACTGGGAGAAAGTTTATCAGCTTAGAAAGAACTGGACTTAAGAATTTAAAAACCAGTAATTTTTCCCAGGTGATTAGTAGAAATAGCAATAAAGGCAGGAAATGCAACAAATGGCATGACTTTCTAAAGGGCTTCACACCAATTAATACTTTTGAAAGGTTTTATTGCATTTGTCAAAGATAAGTCTTAGAGAGATCTCCTCTTTAATACTCGTAAAATAGATATAAGTGAATCAGGGAGGAAAGAAAAATAATCACTTGAATCAGAAGACCCTTTCAAAATAAGACTGTTAATAATCCCTTCCTCTTTGTGTCAGTGGGTATGCAGAGCCACAAGCCACAGAGGAGAGGCTCTCTAGCCGCTATGCTGATCCCAGAAAACCGTGACCAAACTTTACCCTGCTGGCTGAAAAAGCATCTGACCTCTGGGATTTACTCTGAATCAAAACATGGGCAGGATGCTGCCTGTGAAAGGCTCACATGGGATTTAAACGTGCTCCCCTGGAGCTCAGAGGATTCTCTCTTCTGTGCTTTGCTGAGAATATGTCTCTAAAGAAAATATTGTTCGTATCTACTGGGGAAGGTCAGTAATGATAATGACCTTATGAGATGCAAAAGTAAGTAAGAACTCTTAAGCAGGCCAACAAGAGGAGGAAAAGAAATGCAAAAGAGCATATTCATTAGCTCATTTGCAAAACCTGACACTGCATCTTAACTAGAAGTCAAGCAAAGTCACCTGGGGCAACAGCAGAGGCCCCAGTGAAGGAGCAAAGAATTCCACGTCTCCATCTGCTGGGGGATTTAAGGAATTACTGAAATTTTAAAGTGTGGCATGGCTTAAAGCTTATCAACAATCTTATTAAAGATAAATTAAATGAGAAAAGAAGCTACTGCCTCATTTCAGGGGTAAGAAAATGTGAATGCTCATACTAATCACAACTACAGACTTTTATTACTTAAAGGTTGCAATGAAACAACACACAACCATTTCTCTTTTCAGTGCCAGGGTAACCGTATATGAACAAAATATAGGCATTTTATGAAGATAAGCGGTCTCTCAGCGAAGGCAACCCTTCCCTGCACAAGCACAACTATACTTGAGAAAGGAGAATGATATGTATTCAGCTTCCTAAAGATGCCAGCCAGAGCAAATGGGCAGATAGCGACTTCTGGCTGTCTTGATTACATCTATCAAATCTTAGCGTTTTCAGCCTGCTAGGGACTCCAGATAACAAGCCCTTTCTTAAGTGAGTCCCAGGCTTCAAAAACCACCATAATGGGTAGCCAATTAGTAGAGGAAATTAATCTTCAGCAAGTCTATGCCACTTCATGAATTTAATTTTCTTTTCTTCCATTCAGTGCATTATTCTAATGCTTGATTTTTCTGTCAAGTAAAGCATTGATCAACTTTGCTAACCTCAGAAATCTGTGACCTCAGAAACCTTGTACATAGATCCTCCAAGACAATATTAATAATAATCATCATCATCATCATTTAAAGACAGGGTCTCACTCCATCACCCAGGCTGGAGTGCAGTGGCACAATCACGGCTTGCTGCAGCCTCAACCTCCTTGGCTCAAGCAATCCTCCTGCCTCAGCCTCCCAAGCAGCTGGAACTACAGACATGTGCCAACATGCCTGACTAATTTTGTATTTTTATTTTTGTAGAGACAGGTCTTGCTATGTTGCCCAGACAGGTACTGAACTTCTGGGCTCAAGCAATCCTCCTGCCTTGGCTTTCCAAAATGCTGGGATTACAGGTGTGAGCCACTGTGCCCAGCCCAAGATATTCTTTATCTGGTAGGATACAATAACAGCTATTCCACAGTACATACTTCATAAGTATTTACTGAAAAAAAAGGAGAACCAAAAAGCTAGGGAGGTCACCCACTTAGGTCTCCTTCCTGAAGCTTAAATATTAACTATCTATAACAGCTGGACAAATCTATAAAGATCATCAGATTCCCTTGGTAACCTTTCCCATGGCTATATTAACAAAAAGCTCAGAAAATGTTTGTCTATGATGCCTTTCAAATATTAGCAAATTCTGTTAGGACTCATTTCTTAGGAAATAAATATGTTGCCTTACAGAATTGGGCTATTGATAGGCATGTGACTATTCACCTATGGGATTTGCTATCCATGCACATGAAATTTCCATTAAGCACAATTTTCAAGTCTTTCAAAACATGTTTAGCCACCTTTGTATCATTTTGTCACTACACACTTCATAAAAGGGGTTGGAATTATTTCATCATTACAATATATATGACAATTTCACCGTTAAAACTCCCAGAAGCAGCACTACTGATGGAACTTAGATAAGCTCACTCATATATGTTTTAATATTTCACTTTCTCCAACCCTCTACCATCCAGAAAGCCTACACCTAATTCTAAGTATATGAATACTACTCATACTTTCATATTTTTCCAAAGCAAAATATTTCATAATCTCAACCTTCATAGAATTAATATTTACAGTTATGTGGCTTCATACAATATAATTTTATGTGCATTATTTCATTTGATAGCCTAGTAAAATAGGCATTTATTAGTATAAAGAGGGACTACTTCTCAAAAACAGGAATGAATTATTTATATTGACTTTATTCAAAAAGAAAAAGAAAACCCTAACACTCAGGGATAGTCTTTTGCAATGCTTCCAAAATCTTTTTCCCTTCTTTCTTTTCCTTCTCAACTTCTCTGAGCCTGTAACTGTAACTTATCGAGGTATGCTCATCACTTAGCATGGCCTAGGTCAGTCGTTTTCAAAGTATCTGCCAGAGACCCCTGAAATCCCTGAGACCCTTTCAGGGAGGCCACAAGGTCAAAACTATTTTCATGATCATAAGAAGACATTATTTGACTTTATTATTCTCAGTTCACGCTCAACTCTCACAGGTCTACACCACTGCTCTCATGCCCAATGGAAGAGATGTTTATGGACTCTTGTGTTTTCAAACTTTCTCAGTTTTAATTTCTAATTCAGAAAATAGAAGTAGATATTACCCACTTGAACAAAAGCTCTGCGGATTTTTCAAAACATTTACAGAGTATAAAGGAGTCCTAAGACCAAAGAGTTAGAGAACCATTCAACAACTCCAAAATCTCAGTGGCATATACAACACAGCTTATTTCTCATTCAGGCACACACCCACTGCAGTCATCTGAGTGTGTGTGAATGTGTGAGGGGCAAGGGAAGGCATTTCTACATCTTCCTCACTCAGGCATCTGGGCTAAAAGCGTCTCAATGCTGCCACAGTCACCATGACAGGAAGAAGGGGAGAGAACACCTTGACTCTCATCCTGGTTCTAGCAGCTTCTGCCTGAAAATAGCACATGTCACTTTCACTCACACTCACCAGCCAAAGCATGTGCAGTAACATCTAAGTCAAATGCAACAGAGATGCCCAATGTTCCCATGTTTCTAGCAGGTGAAAGCTGGAAGCAGTCATTCAACAACGCTGACAACCACAGGGGCTATCTCTTATGACAGTTCATCTCTTCCCAGCATTTTTTCCAGAACTTAATCATCCTCCTGACTCTTCATGGGGTCTAACACCAAACACATTTCAGGCAACATGGGGAGAGATACTATTTAAATATGACACATGCAAGATCACTTATGTAAATTGGGTTTTCTCAAAACCATTGAGAAATATCAAGTGTGGAGAAAATACATTATGGTGAATGCTTCCCAAAGCTAGTATATAATGCTATTGTATCAAGTGGGCCCTCTAAAAGTCTTTGTTTGACTGATGTATAAAACCAATTATTTGTAATAATTTGTGCCATCAACAAATGTCCAACACCTTTTTATAAGAGCAAGACTCAGATCAATTCAAATAAATTAACATTTCTGTCTGAACTGACTCATCCAGCCCAAGTAACAAATTCACATGTCAGTGGTGGGTTGACCCAATGACCCATCTGCTAAAAAATACAAACTGTATCATTTTGTTTTCCAAATAACAAGCATTGATTGCAGTGTTAGAAAGGTCACTTGTCATCAGTTCAGTGGTTGACCTACTGGCAAATTGCAGCCTGTCACTCCACAGTAAGCCAGGACAATCAGGAACTAAGGGATGTTTTGTTTACAGAGTACAATTAGGGAGGTGACACCATTTTCACAAGGTGTGTAATAGGATGCGTCTTCAACAGAGAAAAAAGATGTGTCATGAGAAGGCATATGATGGTTTTCATAATTTCCCAAGATGACTACCAGAAACCTCATTTATTTATACTTACTTTGAAAAGCACTGGATCAAACCTAGTCTGCACCTTCAAGTTTTATGCCAAGGATTTCAATTTTTTATGCATTTTCTATGGGTAACAGAATAAATATAAAAGATACCTCTTTCAAGGAAAGATACAAAGCAAGGAAATATACAATTAAGAAACAACCACATATTAGAGGACTCAAAGCATACAAATAAGGACTGGTCATTTGAAAAACAAATTTCCAGTGACACCCTCTCTAAAAGTGCCACTATATTAATATGCTACCCCACATATCCAATTAGACACTTACTAATGCTGCATAATCAGTTGTTTCAATTTGTCCACCCACCAGACAGAGGCATTACAATTGTCCGGCAGACAATTAATTAAATAGCTATATTTATTTCTCTTTCGACCACTTAAGCTTTTACATATTGCTTTAAGATATAATTCATCACAATCTCCTAGAATAAAGTATCAGTTAACTATGCATTAAAGTCCACTTATTTAAAATAATGATCTGCACAATCATCTAGTGGAGTCTGCCAAGAAATTCTGTATGATTTTTTCTGTATTCAGTCCCATATTATGGATAGGATACAAATGAATGCAAGCATGTATCCAAAAATAAAATGTAATAATTCCTTATGCATTTTCCAACAAAGTTAACCACCAAAATATCTACCAATAGGATAAGAATCTTTATATTTGAGACACCCACTGAGGCATAAAACCATGTGAAGCATTTGTCCTATTTAAGAAAGTCCTAAAATTACACACTTTAAGTTAGTGGCTCCAAATCGGTATTACATAAGTCCATCAGCTCTACTAAACCTCTCCAGTAATGACCAATGATCATCACGATATGCTCAGAAAGTGCAGACGTGGCTCAACCTGGGTTTTGTAAATAAACACTTTCAATGCAATTTGATGGAATAGCATTTTGCCTAAAATGTACCAATGGAGAAAAACTGTGTTGGCATGACACGAAGTCGGTGTACCTCAATTAATGTCTCTTGTAGCCCCACATTTATACTGCAAATTTTGCTTAGCTTCAAAAGTACAGAAAAATTAAGTAATAAACGCACACTTCCCTTAGACTCAACATTTGTTAACATCTTACCATATCTGCACACATGCGCGCTCTCTCTCTCTCTCAACATACACACACACTTTTTTCTGCAAAGATATCCTAACACTTATATCTTTTAACACTTCAGCATGAATCTCCTAAGAACGAGGGTATTCTCCAACATATTCATATGCTTTTTGGTACTCATTTACTAACCAAATTTCCTTATTACATCTTTTCTGGAGACACTCTTATCAGAAATTTTGAATTTTCCTCTACACATACTCAGTTAAATATTTTCTTTTCTTCTCACTTTGCCAGAAATCAACACTCAAATCACCCTCTTCCTTCATATCCTTCACCAGCTCATCGCCTATGTCTGGACCTCTTCCTCTTCCCATTCCATGTACTTGGCAGTCCCTAGAACTACATGCAGTTTCCCAGGCAGCCTTGTGAACACCTGTGCTCCCTTCCCACCCCTCACTGCCTTTACACAGGATGTCCTTCTGTCTGGCGTTTCTACCTGTTCCAGCATCACTACTCACCTTCTCTTGCCCCTCTTGGGTGCTCCCACCTCCTGGAAGCCTTCCCCTTGCCCTCACCCCATGGCCTCCAACTGGGTGGCAGCCTCCTTGGGCTCAGAGCAGACAAATGGAGCTTCCCCCAGAGCATTCACTTGCAACACCACTTCTACATGGCCTGGAAGACTGCAGGCTGATGTCTCCCTGAATCCCTGGTGACTGGAACAGCACCTTGCACACAGCAGTGCTCAAAAAGCAGTGTCAATGTCAAAATAAAAATGTAGAGACTAATCTCTGAATTTACTGTTTTATTCAGGAGAAAAGAGCTGCAATTTGGGCACACATGCAGACTGGGTGGTCTTGGTAGATCTGAAGAATATAGAAGGTTGGAGGTTTTATAAAAAGCTGAAACATAGTTTTATAAAAAGCTGAAACATAATTTCTAGTGCCATAGTTCATTGGCACTAGAAAAGTTTGGAGAAGCTGGGCAAGCTCTGATTGTTGAGTGACGATGGTGGGTAAGGTGGTGGGATAAAAGGAGTTTTAGGAGTCACAGCAGGTATTCCAGGAACTATTACATAAAACTGGTTTCAGGTTACAGCAGGCAGCTTCAGCAGCTGGGCTGGCAGAGAGCGACATACTTGGAGCAATGGTGTGTGTCCAGGGTGCTTTTCCCCTCCGGCCTCTTGACTCTGTTTTAGTTAGGTATGACAAGAATGACCCAATTCCTGGGATCACCTTTCACAGTGGGAAGGAACTTCTATTTGTTCCTGGTCTTAAAGTGAAAAGGATAATCTAGGCCTACCAATTATTTATTTAAATGTATTCGGCTCTTTGACTTCTTGGACTATGGAAAGTCTGGACAGCTACTTTTTTATGGGGGACCCTGTAATGATCCCCCACAGGCAGAAGGAGAATACAGTGAAGCAGTGCCCTAGGTCACACAGAACTTTCAAGGCCTTCCCCATCTTGGTGTCAATGTGAGGGATCTTCTAACGTCACCATCCACTGGCCAGTGGGCTGTGCCGGTTAGCACAGTGATGGCCCACTCCAAACCCCTGTGACTCCATGGATCCACCCCAGTAAAGAGAGGCCACTGGGCTGGGCACAGTGGCTTCCACCTGTAATTCCAGTGCTTTGGGAGGCCAAGGCAGAAGGATTGCTTGAGTCCAGGAGTTCAAGACCAGCCTGGGCAAGATAGCAAGGCCCTGTCTCTACACACACACACACATACACACACACACACACACACACACAAAATTAAAAATTAGCCAGGCATGGTGGCATGCACCTATAGTCCCAGATACTCCAGAGGCCCAAGCAGGAGGATCCCTTGAGCCCACAAGTTTGATGCTGCAGTGAGCTATGATCACGCCACTGCACTCCAACACAGGCAACAAAGCAAGACCCCATCTCTAAAAACAAATAAATAAATAAAATAATAATAAAAAGAGAGGGCACTGTTCTGCTGCCCTGAATCCAAGTGGGAAGTCTTCCTCAGGCGTTGGACTTTCTGGTCTTTAGAGAAAATGTTTTCAAAAATCAGCTCCATCTCTACCCACTAACCCCTCTGACTCTGGGACTAAGGGAATGTCCATGAGTGTCACCTCAAAACTCATTGTCCCTTTCTTGACTCATATTGCCAAGGTGGGTTTCTCTGTCCCAGTAAATTGGCCCTGCCCAGCATGAGTCCCTCACACTATGGAGCCCGACAGGTGGAACACACAGGCTGTGAGAGCTGAGTGAATCCTCGGTGGATATTTTCAGGAAAGGTAGCATAACCATCCCCTTGCTGATCACCCTTAGTCCTCACCTCTCCCACCTCTCACCCACTCCACTACCAGATGCTAACTAAAAGATGTACAACATCTGTCATGATCAGCCTGTTTATTCCATTACTTGGCTCCACATAACTCTTATGATGTCATCTTGTACAATTTTATGGGAAATTTAAGCAGGAAATAAAACTATTAAAACACATTATTTATAAACACAGGCTAATTTGTATACTTTTTAGCAAATATTTAAAACACAGCTAGCCACTATTCTTACTTTTTGTAAGCTTCCAATCTGCCAAGACAGGAATTTGGAACAAATTTAAAGGAAAACATTTGTTGAATGTTAAATATAAACTACTGAAATAAGTGGTCATACATAATATAGTGGCTGACATTGGCCCCCTTGAAACAGTGTGATATTAAAAATCAAAATATTTTTTAAAGAATGACTGCTTTAATCTCTGAAAGTTTTTGTATAGAAAAACTGAATCATTGAAAACATTATGCTGCATGAAATAAGCCAGACACAAAAGGACAGCACTGTATGACTCCACTTACATAAGCTACCTAGAGTGGCCAAATTCATAGAGACAGAAAGTGGAACAGTGGTTGCCAGGGCTGGGGGAGGAGGAAGGAGGAGTTAGAGTTTAATAGGTACAGAGTTTCAGTTGGGGGAAGACACAGAAGTTCTGGAGAAGGACAATGGTGATGGTTGTACAATGTGAATGCATTTATAATGCACTGAACTGTACACTTAAAAATGGTTCACATAGTAAATTTGACGCTATGTATATTCTACTACATTTTTTAAAAGGAGGAAAACACCAAATCAGATGTGTAATTCAAGAACTAAAATCCATCCTTCCTTCCTTCTTTCCTTCCTTCCTTCCTAATTAACATGAAACGTAATCCCAGCCTTTGGCTCCATCACCCAGCATCTCCCTCATGGGAAGAACCCTCCCTCACACACCCATTACCCACACAACCAGTAAGGGCCACTGAAGGGGCACATGGTGTCCACGCACATGGAAAAGAGGCTACACAGAGCCTGTGGTGTTTCACTAAGTGCTCCCCACAGGTCACTGACATGAAATGGTTTGTTTTTTCATAATCATCTAAAGTTATTTTTCTAAATTTTGTAATTTTGAAACTGCTGAGAGACTACAACTCCAGTCCAATTTATTTTGCTTTGTCTCATCATTCACCATATAAAAGCTGACTGTAAACTCATTCTAAGCCTCACCAAGGTGGTCTGAGTAAGACCTAGGGAGGACGAATGCTCACTAGTGATTATATTACAGCTAGAACTCAGGTGGGAGCCTCAGTGTGGACAACTGAATGAGATATTCAAGGAAGGAGAGTAACTCAATTTTCATTTCTTGGGTTCAGTGACTGGAATTATTCAGAATCAACTAAAAAAAAATGTCAAATTCAATGCCCACCTCCCAAACATTTAAGTGTTAATTTTTATGATAAAGTTAGACTTGGTTATAAAGGAAATGTGTCAGATGGAAATGCTGGGGCCATAACCTCAAATCCTACCATCCAGATAAAAAACACTGTTAGATGGACACAAACATGGGAACGAATGATAGACAATGGGGACTGCTTGGGGGGAATGGTGGGACAGGGGTATGGGCTGGAAGGCCACCTATGGGGACTATGCTCACTACCTGGGTGATGGGATCATTTGTATACCAAGCCTCAGCAACACGTAATTTACCCATTTAACAAATCTACACATGTACCCCCGAACCTAAAATAAAAGAAGGAGAAAAAAAATCAGTGTATTTGATTGTTTGCAGATTCAACATTAATTTTTTACAACTTAAAAAATCTTGACTCAAAAAAATAGGCACTGCTGCATCTAAATATCTGAAAATTTCATTTGAGATATTAATAGGGTTTTGAAACAAATATACTGATTAAAGACTTTTTTTAATTATTGTATTTTAATAGACTTATTTCAGCTTGGGGCTTTTTAATCCAATCAAAAATTAGATGAAGATTTATATCTTCTATTTCTTACCTGGCGTCATTCAGAAGAGAAAATAAGAATTTAGCAAAAGCTGCCCATTTAGCTGAGTCAAAATTAAGCTAAGAGATGAATTCATACCAAATTGCCTCTAAATTATTTAATAATACTAATAAAGGAAATAAATCTGTTGAACATTGCACTGGGCCGGGTTAGAGGCTAAGCTCCTGGTGTGTGTTATTGGGTCTCACCTGGTCAATAACTCTTTGAGGTAGGTTTTAAACGTCTTCCCATGGCTTTCAGGGTCCTATGTGGTCTGACTCCCACCCCTAGCTCCAGCAGAGCACACTCCTGCTCTTCCCTACGCTGGATCACTCAGCCTCCATGGCCTCTTGGTCTTGACAGGATTTAGGTCTTTACTGAAAGATGCATCCTCAGAAAAGCTGTCCCTGTCTGCAACCCCCATTGCTCTCTAAGCCCTTATCCTGATTCCTCTTCAGCACTCTTGGCACTTCCCACCATGACAGTCTATTTTCTACCCTTACCTGTGGACTGCCTGCCTCCTCCATGGGATTTAATCATCAAGAGGCTAGAAACTCCATTGCTACAGCTCTAGCACCTATAGCCAGGCCCATAGTAGTCGTTCCACGAACAGCTATTACTAATATTTTACAGATAATAGGACTAAAACAGGGAGCTTCAGAACTTGACCAAGGTCAACAGCTGCACATTGATAGAGCCAGCAGCTGACCTGGGCAGGGCATGTAGACCCATGGTCAACAGCCTTCACATTCATTTCAAGAAGATCCAAATGCATGCACCTGAAATGAAAGACTAGCCTCTTCCCCAGATGCATGTTCTCACGTGAAGAGAATACATAAGGGTACTCCAAAGAACAAAAGTGAAGGCTGTCGTTGTGCCATGGATGCCTGGGTAAAGTATTCCTTTTCTGAACTTCAGTTTCCTATGTTGTAAAATGAGGATAATGCCACCCAATCTACCAGGCCCATCACGAGAACCAAATGATACAGAACAAAAAAGCAAATGTTGTTGACTGCTTAGTGTCATTTATATGTACAAGATTACTTTGTTTTCTAAGGCAGACTGATCTGAAAATACTGTGCTGCCACTTGCCTAAGATTTAGACTTTTTATCTTACTTTTTTTAGAGAAGAAAGCTATATGGAAAGCTAGATTTGATGCTTTAATGTGCTGGGTCTGATGAACTATATTTTGGATTACCTCTTAAATACTCGCCACTAGAAAGTCATTAATAAATGTGGGAAAATGTGGTTTTCTAGCATATAATCGTAAGCCCATCCAGGAACGATCTTATCAGACGAAGAATTTAAGGTAGGCTGAGAAGAGGATCTTTATTTGTTTCACTCGGTGAAAAATCTCAGGCATCTAAAACAATGCATAGCACATAGCAGGTGTTTAATAAACATTTGTTGAATGTTGACTGATTTGAAAGAATGAATAGGATAATTAGAGAACTGTCTGAATATTCTGTGCCAAAAACATTTCTCACTGGAGACATGCTGAAATTTTAGAGGGGAAAAGTCTTCAAGCCCACCGTCATCTTCTCTTTGTTACTCTCTAAGACCTGAATAAGTCCTGAAGTGTGAATAAATAGGGAAGTCTTCCTTAGCACAAGGAAAATGTGCCTGATAAGTGCATCCAAAGAGAAAACTTCAATTACTTTGTCTGTCAATCCATCTTCCTTCCCAAATGTGAAATTGACTCTAAACAAATATATGTAGTCATTTTTCTATTTTCTGGGTCATCACACAGAGTGCACACGCTGCTCCATCCTGACACTTTCCTCTCTGTCTTTCATACGGGCACCCACAGACGTGATTCAATTCTTAGTCACATTTCCATGAAAATTAGCAGCAGCATCATTCCCAATTCCCCACAGATATAACTAAGACATGGAAAGCTAAATGAGCTTTATGTAGTCCCATGCTATACTACCTGGAAAAATACTAAGAGAATTATGTTTTCCCAACACTGATATCCACTTTCACTTAATTACAGCCTTTCTAGAGGTAAGAAAACTTAAGGGGACAACATAGACTATAAATACATGTCATGAGTATCAAATAGCTACGGTTATAGCTATGATTATAAGTTACCTTCACATTTTTAATATTGTAGATGAATTTGATAATTTTTTTATAAGACAGGGTTACATTTTTAAGCACATAGAATCTACTAAGTATCAATTATATAGAACTGGAACACTGAGGTACAAGTACACAAAATACCACATTATCAAACCAGGTAGGTGTTTTTATATCATAAAACCCTTCTTAATGCTTCTTAATCTATGTGATAATTATAGAATGTGCTGCAGTATATAAAGTGATAGGATGTAACAGTGCTAACAAAAAATACCAGGTTACTATATCAAGATTTTTGTGTTCAAATAGTAATCCTTATGATAAAGTTCAAGAAATTTCCCCACTGTGGGCTGGGTGCAGTGGCTCATGCCTGTAATCCTAGAACTTTGGTAGGCTGAGGCACGTGGATCACCTGAGGTCAAGAGGTCGAGACCAGCCTGGCCAACACCGTGAAACCTCGTCTCTACTAAAAATACAAAAACTAGCTGGGTGTGGTGGTGGGTGCCTGTAGTCCCAGCTACTCGGGAGGCTGAGGCAGGAGAATCGCTTGAACCAGGGCGGGAAGGTAGTGGGAGGCTGCAGAGGTTGCAGTGATCTGAAATCGTGCCACTTCACTCCAGCCTGGGTGAAAGAGCGAAACTCTGCCTCAAAAAAATAAAAAGAAAAAAGAAAGAAATTTCCCCATTGCTACTAGAGAAGATCAACTGATATGAAACGAATCACTCACTCACTGATAACAGAGAAATTAGGTTTGGCATGGTTTCACCACCAAGAAAACCGTGATGACTCAGAGCTAGCAGCAAAAGTTTAATCTACTATGACATGAATGTTCACTTGAAATACAAAAATTTAAACGGCATTTAGTATTTATTCCCCCTAAATATGTATTTCCAGAGCTAACGTCACTGCTCCAGAGTAGTTATCAAGCCAGCTTGCACAAAACTCCAAACTGCATTTTAATTTTTTAAAATGTGGTTAAAAATAACCTCACACATAAGGATATGGGGAAACAAATCTATACACTGGAGCACTAACTTTTAAAAAGACACAGAAAAAGTAAAAAGCTAAAAATTAGAATGAAATGTTAGTCTCTCACTGTCATAACTTTTAAATTCATCTTGATGAATTATTATTCTTCATTTATAAAGATGGGGTCTTCCCACGTTGTCCAGGGTGGTCTCGAACTGCTGAACTCAAGCAATCCTCTCACCTCAGCCTCCCAAAGTGCTAGCATGACAGGCATGAGCCACCGCACCCAGCCCTTGATGAATTATTCACTTATTAGAATTACAGGACTGTGACAAAGATTTAGGTACTAAAAAATAAAGAAAATCACATCACGATGCTTTTCAAGAGATAGCAAATTTAAGGCAATGATAGAGGAAATCTCTAATCATGTTTTTTCTTTTTCTTACTGATTTTGATAGCCCAATGTTTAGAAAACACATCTTCTGAAAGTGAGAGAAAATGTGAAATGTTTGTATATTAATAATTATATGAATATAGAAAACAACAACAATATAAACCATGGGTCCAAAATAACAATTACATGCTGATGCCAAAATGGTCTAAGACGGGCATCAGCAACATTTTTCCATAAAGGGCCAGGGCATAAATATCTTACGCTTTGTGGACCAGTCTCTGTTGCCACTACTAAACTCTCACTGTAGCTTGAAACCAACCACTGACACCATTTAAACAAATGGGCATGGCTGTGTGTCAGTAAAACTTGTAAACGCTGCATTTTGAATTTCACATCACAAAATTTTATTATTCTTTTTGCTTTTTTTTTAACTATTAAAACATGTAACAACCACTCTTAGCTCACAAGCCACACAAAAACTAGCAGCGAGCTGGATTTGACCAGCAGGGCAGTTTGCCAACTCTTGGTCTCTAAAGTGTTACGGAACCAACCTATATACATAAGACAAATACACATACCCATGAAAGAATAAATCCAATAGTATTTTACATAAAGGTTTAGAAAATTTGCCCTCAGAAAGCTATGGTTCTATCTGATTTTCCCACCCATTTGCCCTGAGAAATTCATAAGAGTCATTTCTGTTTTAGCATGGGAAAACCAGCCTTGGAATCAGTTTTTGAAAGGAATAAATCATTTGCACACATTAATGGAAGAGGAGAAGAAAAAGAAGGTGAAAACCCTGGAAACTAAGAAGCATTTAAAACTTATGGCTGTATATACATATTGGAAACTCAGTTTAAAAATCTAGACTTTAGGATAGTACATGCATGTTTATAAGATGCTGTTTCCTCACTTCTAACAACGGTGCTTTGAGAATGTAACTCCTCACTTTGGTCGATGGGTCAGCTGGGCACAGCTCCACATTCTTTTATAAAATATTGGGTTGATATTGAGAAACTGCTTTTAGAACACTTCCAGTCTATAGCACACTTAATTATATATCATTTTAGATTGTTCACTAATTGTATTTTTGTAACTTTTTTTCCCCAAGTAGATAAGTTCCTAAAGAGAAAAAGTCATTTCTTATAATCCTTCCTCTCCTACAATAATTACCATCATGTTTAGCATACATTGGGGCTCAAAAACAATTTCTAATGACTAAAGTTTGTTTAATGAGTAGTAAAAAAAAAAAGAAAGAAAAAGAAAAACTGTATTTTCAGTTCTATATTATGGCAAAAATATTTAATCTGATGGAGCAACAATAGTTTTCAGAAATCTGAGCTGCACCCATGCACATAAGCACAGCCAGAGAGGTGGGGGAACTGCCAGTCCTTCCCTTTCCTCACTCAAATGCTGACACCTAAACCACTCTCAGGTCCAAACAATGAGTTGCAATCTGTTTGGGGGTGAGGGTCCAAAACACACCTTCTGTAACTATCAGAAATAAGTCAGACTTGACAAAAGCGTTACAAGATGTAACACTCACAGATCTTATGCTACAAAGGCCTAATATTAATTATCAAGTATTCTATTAATCAATAGAAGAATAAATCATAAGAAAACATATAAATGCCTCCATGTCATTCTTCTCAAGTCAGAAGAGCCTTCAAAGGCCATATATGTGCAGCATCACTTCCTCTTCATTCACCTTTGTTCTTTCAATTACCTAACTGGCTGTGCCAGGATACACCTGGGCTTTGAACTTTACTACCATTTTTTTAACGGCCTGTGCTAGAAACCTATGATTTTAATATTTTAAAGTTGACAACTTAGTCTAAGGTGGGCCATTGAAAAAAAGAAAAGGACAAGATGGTGACAAGAAATTATTTATTTGGCCTCATTTATCAAGGGAGGTGAGTTATCTTGTGCCAGAAACAGAGTCAGGAGAGGCTAGAAAAGATTCTGAAATACTTGGGCTTATTTTTAAAAGCTGATTTTTTCAAGTCAAGTTTCAATTTAAGAACAAAAATAATGAAGTCAACTACCTAATGTGAAATATTTCAAATTTTTTATCAAATGAGGAGTTAATAGACAAAGCAAGAGTAAGTGCACTCTTCTGGGGCAATCTACCAGGACTAAATCTAAGGACCCTCCCCACTCTCACAGCCTCAGCTAGCCCAGCCTCTCTGGACACAGGCTGGATCCTCTTGAGAGGGCAGGAAAGACCAAAAGGCCATCAGGGGAAGACACCTGTTTGGGAAACGACGGCCCCACAGGAGGAGCACAGCTGTGTTCTCCTCTTCCCCTCTCTTTATCGCTGACAAGAACAGAAGCAGGAACTGGAATTTGGAAAAGCAACTAAACCTGATTTAAACAGTCATATTCAACAGCACACACACATACAAAGAAAACAAGAGACACAGAAAAGGAGGGTGTGAGCTGCAGCTGCAAGGAAATAACCAACAGCTAAAAAGGTTTTGAGGTCCAGTGAAGCCACAGTGATAAAGAGCTCAATGCTCCCTTCTTTGAAGTTATAAGTAGTTAAATGTAGGAAGGAGAGGGCAGGAACACAGTGAGCATCATACTGTTAAACCTTAGTGACAACATTAAACTCTACTTCACGTTTAAAAGCTACCTTTACAAGATTACTTACTAAGTGTAATTATTCCTACGCTTTGGAGCATTAATGAAAAACTCTGCATTCATTAAAAAGTGTAAAAATTGTGTTGTATCTGAAATCCAAATCAGAACAACATGTTTCACAGTTTGAATCCTGAGTGGAGCAAACTTATCACCAAATCTGCAGACCTAAAGTCCTAAAGGGATGTCCAATGTCATAGCCTGAAAAAGGGTCCATTGCAATAATCAAGCTCCAAGCTGATTAGAGCTCACTAGTCACCATCTTCCTACTTTTCCCTCCCAACAAGAAGTAAAATTCTTTTTGGTGTTCAGTGGAACACATCTTTCACTCATCAGAAATTCACTAAACATTTCTTCAGTGGAAAAAATACCCACATTTTTGCATTGCCATTTTGTCTTCAGAAAACTTTCAAGATCACTGGGCATTCTCCTAGATCTCCCAGGTGCCAAGGGAGCCCCTGAGGCTAAGAAAAGTCCCCCACCAAGGCCTCCTATGGAGACTGTTATTTGGATTCCCCAACTGGAGTTCTAACACTTAGACACATTTACCAGAAGAGATCTCAATCTTTTTCTCATATTTGCTGCTTGGGAAAAGATCAACTGGGTAATGCCCACTAATCTAGCTAAGATGTACTTGCAAATAAAAGAAGTATAATTTAGACTTTAAGGGGAGAGAGATAAAACTTTTATAACCTATCCTGTTAATTGCACCACTCTCACTAGCTAATCCAACTTTGACTGCCACATCCAAAGACCAACACCGTCACTCATTTAACCAATATCCAGTGAACACATAGTATGATTGAGACTCTTGTGTTCCTCTTTAAAACAAAACTTAAAACTAAAAGCAAACCTGATGGCATCCATGGATCAGAAGTCGGTTTAGTCAAGGTGTTCACTTGCTCCCAATTGAAGTCATCACCTTCAGATTGACTATATCCACATGTGCTATACGGCTCATCAAAGAGGCAGCCACCTAAAATGTAAAAGAATAAAAAGTAATGTAAATACCAACCAGACCTCTAGAATAAGCTATGATGATTGCAGGAAGCCTTAGACTTGATGCCAAGTTTGATGCCAAACTAAATCTGATTAGGTCTTTCCACTCAGGAGCTGTGCATCCAACACTTAGTGATCCCTTGCTGAGTGCTGCTGAGTATTAACCATGCCTCACCCACATCACTGTATTACGCAGCTCTCCAAAAGCAATCTAATGTTGGTAGAAGCCAGCTGAAGGTAAGATCTGGCCGGGCATGGTGGCTCATGCCTGTAATACCAGCACTTTGGGAGGCTGAGGCGGCCAGATCGCCTGAGGTCAGGAGTTCGAGGCCAGCCTGGCCAACATGGTGAAACCCTATCTCTACAAAAATACAAAAATTAGCTGGGCATGATGGCAGGCACCTGTAATCCCAGCTACTCAGGAGGCTGAGAGAATCGCTTGAACCCAAGAGGCGGAGGTTGCAGTGAGCCGAGATCATGCCATTGCACTCCAGCCTGGGCGACAGGGCGAAAATCTGTCTCAAAAAACAAACAAACAAAAAAAAAAAAAAAAAACAAAGAAAAGAAAAAAAAGAAAGTAAGACCTAAGCAAATTTAAAATTCATAGTTTCCAGATGTATAGGAATTTGAAAAATTGCTCTTGCATTAAAAATTTTAAGAGAACTGACTTAAATGTTCAACATGTTTTCAATAAAGAAGAAACATTTATAATTTGTCCAAAAAATGAAAAAAGAAATGCTTTCACCTCAATCCTGGCACAATAATAGAGGACAAAATGCAGTACAAACCATGGTACAGCTTGCAAAATATTTTCCAAAGAATTATTCTAAATCTAACAAAGAAACAGGTTTTACTTTAATACTTTGGAGATATGAGGTCTCAAAATCAAAAGAGATGATAAATTCACTTACAGTCCACACAAGTTTTAAAGGGAAAAATAAATTCGAGACTAAGCATGTGGTAAACATCTGCTGAATTCTGGTACTAGAAATGAAACTACTTAAAAAAAAAACAAAGAATAATAGAAAATGCAAAATATACATAGTAATTCAGCTGTTTCAGCATCAATAGCATTCAGCACGTTGATGATTTTGTCCCATCTCATATCCTCTTGAATGCCTCCTGTTACTTTTTATAGTATAAGATCTTTTCTCCATGTTTCACATGGGGAAAGTGATTAATTAAATTGATCTTATTAATTATTATGAAAATTCTACTATCCATATAATGCTATTAATCATATTAATTCAAAAAATTATAATTGTTTGCCACTGATGACAATTAAGTGTTCTCATTCAAGAAAACATGAATTTAAGAATATTTTTACATTATGTCCACAATGTGTGTCCTGTTGGCAAGAAGATAAGTAAAACAGCCATTGTCCAACCTCAGAGCAAAAACAGATGTTAGAGGTCACCTGGTCCAACTTCTATCCAAATGCTTAGGTCAACTGTACAACTTCCCAGCCAGCCAGCCAGCCTCTGAATAGATGAGGCACTCAGAATTTTGTAAAGCATCCTGACTATGTAGAACATCCCCCCTTAAAAAGGGCCAAACTCTGCTTCTTGAAATGTATACCCATTTATCTTTGCTCTAGCCTGTGAAAAAATAGAAAAAAAAGAAGGAAGGAAGGAAGGAAGGAAGGAAGGAAGGAAGGAAGGAAGGAAGGAAGGAAGGAAGGGGAAGGGGAAGGGGAAGGGAGAAAGAAAGAAAAGAAAGAAAGAAAGAAAGAAAGAAAGAAAGAAAGAAAGAAAGAAAGAAAGAAAGAAAGAAAGAGAAAGAAAGAAAGAAAAGAAAGAACGAAGGGAGGAAGGAAGGAAGAGAGGAAGGAAGGAGAGAAAGAAAAGAAAAGAAAAGAAAAGAAAAGAAAAGAAAAGAAAAAAGATCTTAGCTTTTGCACAGGAAAGCTGATTATTTGAAAAGAGCTGTCATGTTCTAAGTCTTCACTTCTCCAGGCAACAGGCAAAGTATGCTTTGCTCCCTGTAATTCCTGCTACTAAAAGGTTTACAGGCCCTTCAACCATCCTGGCAGCTGTTTAGAATTCAACGGGCTACTGCCCTTAACCACATTCTCTTCTCAACAGTGCAGACAGGGTGCTGGTCCATTCTCAGCTTCTGCGAGCCTGAAATCCCATACGGCTTTTGTACACCACTGCCACTGAGTCATCTCTCCACTTTGTAAGAAAGTAGATGGTTTTCTGAATTAAATCCAGGACTCTCCATTTATCCTTCCTAAATCCCATCTCATGCTTTTGTGCATCACTCCATTCTACAACTCTGACATTGTCATTCAATTGTGGTAATAGCCATCTTACCTAGTTTTGTGTTGTCTGCAAATCTGATGAGCATGCTTTCTACATCTGCCTCCAAGGCTCTGATAAACAATGTTAAACAGGATAGCATCAAGGAGCCTCAGACTGTCTGTCCCAGCTTTCTAGATTTGTCTTAGTTGTTAGCTCCAGATCTGATGGTGAAATTAGTGTCCCTGGACACTGTCTTCTCTAACACTTTTAACAATTACTTGTTTCAACTAAACACTCCATTGAGAACAAAACAACTCAAAAGATACAGACTTAATTCAATATTTCACTTGACAACAACGGGTCATTTATATTGCCCTCTTACTGAGTTTTAACAACTCCAGAAACAAAATGGATTTGTTTCAAATGCGTAATACTAACAACTTTCCAGTTTGGGGTACGAAATGTTAGAAGACTGCAAACATTTACGAGAAGTATTGTCTCTCGGTTGCAAACCCTAATTTTGATGTAGAAAACAGCTTCAGTATTCTAGCAATAAGCTCAAATGGCAACAGCACTAATAACATTCAAAAAGAATGAAATCCTCAATTTTGACAGAGAAGGTCCCCCAGTGGAAACAGATAGCACTCAGATGAAAGTCCTACAGTGCGATCTTAAAACAGTGAGAAATAGTGATAAGCATCCACAAAACAACTTAAGGCTGGCTACAGACCCGGTTTACAAAACCACTATTGCACTAAAATAGAACCACATATAAAGCAAAAGCATGCACGTGTGGCTGAGAGCAAACCCAGAAGACTAATACAACACTGGTGCCAGGTTATAATTTTCCCATTACACAAAGCTGTTCTTATCACTTGAAATGAAACAAATAAAGTATGATATGGTTCTTTCGGGACTTATGAATGATTATTGAACTACTGGAAAATGGGATCAACTATGAATTTCATATTTCCCAGTGAAGATACATTTCCCTGCACACCAATTTTCAGATCCACCCCTAGCCTTCATTCAACAGATGTGGGACCCCCCCAAAATAACAAAGATGGTTTATTGAGCTAAAATAAGATGAGTTAAAGTAAATGACATCAGAATTAAAATAACCAAGTAAAGAAAGAACAACTAAGCTTTCAGTTTTCAGGACAGCTTTAGGTAATAGCAAAATGTATAGGTTCTGAGTCAAACACACGCATATCCCCAATTCTTCCACTGTTAGCTTGGTGATTTTAGACAAATCACTTAGTCTCCCAAGTCTAGATTCTTTATGTAAAAAACAGAGATAACATGTACCTCACATGGTATTTCTGACAGTTAAATCAGACAGCAAATATAAAGTCAGTGTAACAAGAGTCAGGCATGTTCAGCCAGCATCAATTATTATCAGTTCTTAAATTCTTCTTGCCAGATATACCTCATAGAACAAAGCACTCTCAGGAGTGCATTTCATTGCAACTAGTTGGAATATATAATTGAAAACTTGCACTTCATGAGAAGATGAAGAGTTGTGAGCATTCACATAGGTAACATCCTGTAGGTTCCTCTATTAAACATGGAAGTGCCAAGAACAGGCAGTTAGTGAGGTTCTTCAAATAAATGCTATGGGGGACAATGAAAAATATATGTTAAGGAGGCAAAGTCCCCTGAAACACAGTAAAAGGACGCATTTCTAAAAATACAGTCTTCTTGATTTTCTGAATAATACAGACAAATTTTGCCATCATCTACAGCAGTATGGTCAGCAACAGACTCCCTAACTTTTCTCCAGAACTGTCACACCTGGACTGGCTCCCAGCAGTCCATGGTTGTACTATATTTCTCTGTTAAATCAAAGTAAATTATTCATGTTTCACAGGGGGGAATCACGACTAAATCACGACTAAACCCAAGTCATATACAAGATGGAGGAAAGTTGATACAAGCTGGGTGGGGTGGTGTTGGCATCACTCATTCTCTCTCTTTTTCTCTCTCGCTGTCTCTCACACACACACGTGTACCTGCATGTCTCCATCATACCTTGGGAAAGGCTTTTCCTTAGCAACTTTGAATACAACACACAGGTTCTAGATAAGAATGAGTTACTATGCAAAAAGAAGCGTCAATGGATGGCAAATACCCAGGTAATTGATGACAGTGATGATTCCTATACTGTTCCAAGACATGCAATTCAACACAATAACATAAAAATTAAATCGATAAAACTGTTAAAAGTATAAGTTAAAAGGCAAGGAAAGTAGAGCAAAGAAAAGGACACTAGAAATGTGGCTAGGACTCCACCCACCCACCACCAAAAAATTTTTTAAAAAGTCACTAAGTTCATGTACCGGAATTTATCCACAGATTTCACTTTGAGTTTTGGGGTAGCCAGTGCAAAGAAGAAAATATGACTGATCATAAATTTACAGTATCTATAAAATAATATATAAATCTGATAATAGAGACTAACATTTACCCAGGACTTGTTTAATCCTCACACCAACTCTATGAGGTAGATACTATGATCCTCATTTTACAGATACAGAAACCAAGGCATACAAAGTTACACAGCCTGTCCAAGGTCTCAAAGCTGGAGAGTCGTGAAGCAGATACTTGAATCCAGGCATCCAGTCATAAGGGGCCCATATTCTTAACACTACAGGATAGTATCTCCCAAACTGGAGACCAAGAAGATACACAACTACCCTCACCCTAAATTCAGAGAGAACTATCTTCCTTCCCAGAACCCTGGGAAGAAGCAATTGTTGGAAGTTAATGAACAGAGTTCTCAACAGCATCCCTCAGAACAGAGCAATGAGGTTTAGGGCCCATTCAATAACATCTTATGACAGTATGTGACCACACTCCAAGTCAACAAGCTTGATTTGGTGGGAGCCCAGTGCATTCTAGATTAAAACTGAAATATGCTTTAAAATTATCTTTATGGGCCAGGCACTGTGGCTCACACCTGTAATCCCAGCACTCTGGGAGGCTGGGGCGGGCAGATCACCTGAGATCGGGAATTCAAGACTAGCCTGACCAACATGGAGAAACCCCATCTCTACTAAAAATACAAAATTAGCCAGGTGTGGTGGCACATGCCTGTAATCCCAGCTACTCGGGAGGCTGAGGCAGGAGAATCACTTGCACCTGGGAGGTGGAGGTTGCAGTGAGCCAAGATCATGCCATTGCCCTCCAGCCTGGGCAACAAGAGTGAAACTCCAACTCAAAAAAAAAAAAAAATATATATATATATATCTTTATGGATACTCTTGCTCTCAACAATGACTTCGTGGGCTACTATAAGTTTGCACATTTACTCCAACTAAAAACTGCAGGTAGTGTGTGCTAATGTTATTCAAGTGCAGACCCACATGCTTTTTATTCTTTGTGTTTTTCAAGACAAGATCTCATTCTGCTGCTCAGGCTTGAGTGCAGTGGCACAGTCCTAGCTCACTATAGCCTTGATCTCCCAGGCTCAAGCAGTCCTCCCACCTCAGCCTCCAGAGTACCTGGGACCACAGGCACATGCCATCTTGCCTAGCTAAATTTTTTTTTCCTTTGATAGAGACGAGATCTCCCTATGTTGCTGATTCTGAACTCCTGAGTTCAAGTGATCCTCTCACCTCAGCCTCCCAAAGCACTAGGATTAAGGCATGAGCCACCATGCGCAGATCCTACATGTTTTAGAAATCAAAGAAAATGGAGTTGGGCCCAATATTCTCTCCTGAAAATCACAGAGTTTCAGAACAGAAAAGCCCATAGGCAGAGTAGAAAATCTGCTCCAAAGCAATACTGATTATAACTGTGTCTTAGTCACCTTGGTACTCCTTAGAGCAGGCTGCATGATAAACACCCAATAAAGCCTTTTTAAAAGGATAGGTAATGAATCCCCCAAAGTTCTATGCAAAATCTGGCTGCAATTATTTTGCCTGGAAATTTCCAAAAGAAGCATAATAAACATCTGAACAACAAAAACAATCTTAACCTTCCTCCACAAACCATCCAGCCCTGTCCTGGTGTATCCCAGGAAGAACCAACTGCAAAATGTGACAAAATCAACGAACTTGTTCATTTTTCTAGTATGGTTGGAAACTATAAGCAAGTTAAATGTTAATGAAGTCTCCACAAATTATGGCTTTTGACTTACAAAAGTTGAATTCTCTTTCTTTTTTTTTCCTGGCAATTATTAGACAGCAAGGCTAGTTGTTGATAAAGGTCATTCTTGATTTATGAAAATAAAATATTGTCACTTGCATAATGGAGGATATTTATCTTTTTTATTTCTTTGGAACAGCTGAGGATGATTCAGTTGATCCAAGAGTAGTATGAAATCATTAAGTCATAAGCTATAAAGAAAATGGCCCATTTTCACCCCAAAGGAAACCTTATGTGACCATTCTACATCCTACTGAAGCTTCAGGCCTGGAGACAAAACAACGGAAAACAAATTGACAAGAAATAGAGTCTACCATTTAAAGCAGTATATTAAAAATTGTTTTTTTTATTGTGACTCATAGTCATGACATCTTGACCCAGTACACGTAAATCATCTGTACACTTTAAAAACCAAATTTATCTCTACTGAGATATACAAATATTTATCATTCTGTTCTAAAAGGAGGTTCTAGATCCACTAAATTGATTTCAAGATCCTTCAAGATTGCTACTTGTATTCTTAAGGTTTTGGGGTGAGAGCCATCACCTAAGACTGTTTATTTAGCTTGAAGTTATCAACCAACACTACTGTGTGAGAGCACTGCCACACAGTCTAAGGGGAACCTGTAAGCTACAAAGTTCTCTGGTATCAACAGCTACCATTTTGCGAACACAGACCATGTGCCAGTCAGATTCTGCCTAAGGCAAAATATAGTCATGATGTCATTGACTCCTCACAACCAGTAAGACTTTTATCTCACTCAACATGTCTGATTCAATTAACATGTTACAGAACAAAAGCCATGCAAATATAAACATGTATTACCTAATTTTAATTTAAAAAAAAATTCTAAAGGCAAGCATCAATATTCCCTGTACTAGTTATCAAGGTATTACACCTCTTAGCTCTAAATCTTTTTCATTTCAAAAATGTATCCAGATGCTTTAACTACGTTTTCTGTACTAGTGGGCAAGAAGGTATAAGCTTTATCAGTAGAGGGTACAGGAGAGATCCTGCAGGAGGAAGGAGTGGCCTCCCTGAGCTCCCTGGCAGGTCCCTCAGGGCACAACGCAGGGTCGCCCCCCTGCCTGGCTCCTCCAGTAGCAGCAGCTTGCCCCTGCACAGTGCCCCAGTGGTTCTGTAGCAAGTGCCTCCAGCAGAACATTCCCTATGAATAACTTTCACGGCCAATCAGAGGGCACATTACCTCTGAGTCCTGCAGGTGCAGCCCCATAGTAACTCCTCTGCCATCCACTGAGCCACAGCCTTCCCCTGGATCTCAGCAATGAAAGAGTCTCCTCCCTGGAGCTCTGTCTCTGCCCCTGGGCTAACGTCAGCTCCATACATCCACTATTCCTTTATTCTTCAATGCTCTCCTTAGCTTGTACTAACCCATCTCTTGTATTCTAATACCCGTTACAGTTATAAATGTTCCCTAATTAAATTACTATGTTGCTTCTCTCTCCTGATTGGATCCTGATCGGTACATTCTTATTTTTACAAATGGCAGTTTAGAAGGGTCAAATAATCTCACCCAAAGACACAGGAGCTTCAGTGCAGGACTAGCAATTCAAACAAGGTCTGTACTCACACATTTTCACCAAGCTCTAGAAAGTAAGTAAACAACAATTTACAGTGCTTATATACGAACTGTTCAGTGATTTGCATTGTAAATAAGCTCTCGAAAGTGCTGTTTCTAAGAAGCCAGTGGAGGACAATCAAATGTTAATTTCATAAACTTGTAAGATACACACATATTTTGAATTGTTCTGCCTTTAACAGGTTAAATTGACTTACATACACTAGCAAACATTCTTCCTGTTATAATTATAGTCCATTTAAAGTTATTTTGTAAAAAGACTGTAATACTCCTTGATGAGTTTTCTGGAAAATTTTTCTCATTGTTCCAAATACAGAATGACCCCATTTAAGTCAGCCTTCATCAAATGCATAAAGTATTAAATGGGTCTCTCAATAGAGAAGGCAGATCAAAAAATAGTGCTACAGTACCCCCCAAAAGAATTAATGTTATATGTTCTATTTTCCTAAATTACATGAAATCTCAGAGGATCCTATTTATCTCAAATTTAAAACTGTGTAGAATAAATGGCTATAAACTACACAATGCAAAGGATAAACAGAAAGTGAGATTTAATAGACATAATTATTTTAGGAGTATTAAAAAAAAACTATACCAACATAGCAGAGGCCCTGCTTTCTTCTTTTAAATCACAGTGACTTCTACATTTAATTGCCTGACAAACAATAAAAGCATATAATGCCTCCTAAACTTTGAGTGCCCCAGTGATGTTTAGTGAATCAGACACTAAGCATTATAGAAAGGCTCTTCTACATAATTTAATTTAGCAAGCAGTTTTTACACATTACACAGGCATTTAAATGGCTAATGCTATGCTCTATTATAAGAAGTGCTATTTGCCGATGGATATATTTTATATGATACAAAGGAAATAAGTTGCCTTGTTCTTGAAGTTTCTATGATTTATTACAGTTACCCCATCTTCATTTCATATCAATCTATGGATTCCTAATTTTTTAAAAGGCTGAGTTGCGACAAACAAAGATGTATTTTTCTTATTGATAGTAAAATTTTCTTTAATGTGCAGTAGTATTATTCTATTCCTAAATATTGTACAGATGCAACCAAATTATTAGGAACTTGACTATCTCAATTTTTCCACATACAAATAAACACCTCATAGAGCTACTATTGGATTGAATTAAACCACTTGCATGAATTCCCTGCATAAATGTGAATCTATCTGAATATAATACTGGTGCTCTTATCCTCTATACCACAATAGTGAAAACGAGAGAGAGTGTAAAAAATAGTTGTCTGCCTCTATCGTAGAAGCAGGAGTAACAAATGAAAACAAAATGATGAAACAGCTGCCAGAAATGTCTCAGGGAGAAGATCGTCAAACTAAATCAGTATTTATGACCTGATCTCTGAAATCACTGTTGTCCTGAGTCCCAAACTAGAGCAGTGATTTTCCAAGTGGGTCCCTGGACAAGCCACCATCACCTAGGAACTCAGAAATGCAAATTCTCAGGCTTCATCCCAGACCTACTGAGTCAGAACCTCTGGGGGTTGGGCCCGGCAGCCAGAGTTTCAACAACTCTCCAGGTGGCTCCAATGCACTCTAATGTTTGGTAATCACTGTTCTGGATCAACCTATTTAACTAGAATATTCTGGGAACAGCCCCATGAATCTGTGGTTTTAAAAAAAGGTCCCAGAATAATCTAATCATTGACCCAGAAAGAGTGCTCCAGAGATCAGTAGTCTCAAACATTTTTCAGAAGACATCCTTTCTTAAAAAGGTATAACCATCCTATGTGTGTTTATGTATAAATTATAATCATGTAGTGCTCTACATATGCAGATTATTACAAGCATGCATATACTGACCTTTTTAAGTATTATTAGAAAATACATGTAAGCTGAAGTTCAAATCTTTTCTTCCATACATCAATGAGTTGTACTGTATTCCTCAAAAAGGTTGTGAAGAAAGTGATTCAGAGATTATTGCTCTAAATAATGCTTTTCAGTCATAAACACCTCTCAGATGATAAAGGACAACAGAATAGCACGGCTGGATCAAAGTGTTGAATTTTTTGCTTAAATTTCATGCTAAGAAAACCCTGATCTATAATTTTTCTCCTAAGTAGAGTTACTCAAAACAAGAAGAGATATCTTAGGTAGAAAACAATCCTGGTTACTGGTTAGAGATACCCAGGAAATTAATTAAAAAAAAAAAAAAGAATTGCATTTTATGCCCAGTAGCACTGCTGCCAGTTTAGTGTGATTTACAAATCCACCTCTTGATTTTATTAGCATAAAATCATTATCTGGGACAGCTGATAAACTCCTGAACTCACCAATATGCAGTACAGCCAAACCATGCTATTTATTCAGCTTAAAACAGACAGCCAACTATTTATTTTCACCAGACATTGATTAACCTAAACTCAACTAAATGTACTTCCCTCAATGAACATTTTTTCTACACATTATATTCATTGGGTAGAATCAAATTATAAGGAAAAAGTAAATATAGTTTCACATATCCTGTCGGTAAAATATTCATTCCAATTTCCTATCATGAGGAGAACTTCTTCTAATACAACCATGGGGAACTCGTACAGATGAGTGTATTTAATTGGGATCATAGAACTGAGATACAGAGAGTCCTGGATCAGTTACATGTGTCTTGCTCTTTGCATCAAAAGGAGATATGCAGTCTTCATATCAAAGGTATGCTCAACTTACATGATTTCAACATTGAAAAGGAAGGGGCATATGACAGAGAAATCATACATTTAGTCCAGAAGCCTAACAATCTTACGCTCCAAACAAGCTGAAACTAAGAAATTAGAAATATGAACTGGTGCTCCTCCACCTCCACCTAGTTAGCCTCTGCTCCTTCCATCTCCAGGCTTTGCTTAGTGTGACATTTCACTGGGGTCCAAATAATTTTCATGCTTAAAGATCAGCATTTTAATTAAAGTGTGTCCAAAATCCAAATCACCAATCTAATCCTATGCTCAAATGCATAAACAGCAATCCAATGACAAGGGGGTGCAGGGGATGACTTTATTGGACTTACTGAGAAACATTATGCTGGTCTCCCACCCAAAAGGTTCCTTAAGGATTTTGGGGTGCAATTTTGAACATGAGCAAGTCCCTGAGAATGTGGGCCCTATAGAATGTATGAGTCCTTTGTAATATCTATCACCTAACTCCCAGGGAAATAGGGAAGATTGAACTTAGAGGTGTATGTGAAAGTGTAGTCACTGTTACAAGGTGATGAACATCAAAGAAAGTCACAACTATGTTTGGCACATGCTATCTGAAACAGGATAACAAAGTCACAGACATTTCTTTCTTTATCTTGCCTATATTGGCTGAGTGACTGCCTCTCTCTGCCTGACACCTTATCTCCTAAACAACTGCTTAAATTTTTCTTTCAGTCTCCTATTCCTACCATGCCACAATTTGAGTTTCAGCTCATGTTCCCGTTTGATTTGACCCATTCCCTCAAACCTGGATTCTGCTCTCTCCAGTATATCCCACACACTCCCAACAAGCTGAATTTTTATAAAATACACAGCTGAAAATGCTCTCTCCCTACTTAAAACTATTCATCAGCCCTTTATTGTCCATCGGATAGTACTCAAATTTTAATCATGTGACATCTGTTGTTTTTCTGATTCAACCCCCGTCTACCTCTTTATCTTCATTCCTTGCCACCACTTCCCTTTAGTTTTACACTCTAGTAATTCCCGACTATCTGTAGATTCACCCCCAATGATCCTCCTGCCCATATGCTACCCCTATGCTCATGCGGTCCCTGCACCTGTTCAGCACTTGTCCCACCCCTCCCCCAGCATCTGCTTGGAAAACTCTTGCACACTTTTCAAATCCCAGCTCGGACAACACCTCTCCCAGGTACCTGTTGCTGAGGGCTTTTCACAGATAAAATCAATCACTCCTTCCCATGTGGTAACCATCACTGCCAAATATACAGGTTTTCTTGATGTCCTTATCATACTGCAGGGCAATGTAACTTTGGACATGCTTGTCTTCTCTATTGCACTGGGCGGTCCTTGAACAAGGACAATGTTCTGTTCATCTCTGTCTCCCCAGTCCTGGAAAGGTGTTTGCCACTCATTAAATACTTGCTAGATTTAACAGAATGTTGTAAAGTTTTTTGTAACAAAGGTAAGAATAAAAACTGTTTACTGCTCTATCTTTATTAGAAAGGAGCGCTGAAGAAAAAACATCTAATGGACTCCATTCACTGAACACTCTGGCTACATCAAAGGAAGAAGAAACTCCTGATTCTAGAGTTTTGCCTTTTTTATCTGACTCATGGCATCTCCCTCCTTCCCTGTCACCATCACTCCTCCTAAGGACTTGTGTGCCAGGCATGATGTCAGGCACTAGGGAGGAAAAGGGGAAGGGATAAGAGAACGGACAGGATGAAAAAGAAGTCCTTGTCCTCAAGGAAGACAACTTGTGGAACACAGAGGAGTTAAAAGGATAAATATGAAAAATGCTGTAAGAGCCAACAGGAAGAACAAAAACTCATCCTGAAGGTCTCCTTTTCCTACATGAGCCAGATAAAAAAAAGAAAACCAGAGAGTCAGTACCTAAATGTAAGAATCTACTAAGATATCAATGGCCTGTTATTCTAAGAATGTGCGTAATAAGGCTGTTATCTGGCAGACCTCAGCATAAGTCAACAAAAAGCACACGGACTTTATGTGCATCATACTGGAACTCTGGTTCAGCTCCTCAGTCAGTGTGTCTGCCGCTTTTGTTTCAAACATGAGAAGAATGTCAATAATTACATATTATGTGTATTTCAAATTTATGAAACATACAAGTAGTTAATACATATTCAATCTCAAGTTTCAATACTCAGGCCATAAAGAAAGCATGCTTTAATGAAAAATTTTTCCTTATTAATTTTTTAAATAAGGAAGCTAGATTCCATGCAATTCTCCAAGCTCTGAGCAATACTTAGCACAAAAAACTGTGATGAATCAGCTTTCCTTCCCATCCTTTTCCATGACCAATTAGTTGCTAAAATATAGGGAACTAAAAACATTAACCCTTCTCAAGGTCAACACAGCTGGGACGTCTTTCTCTCTTTTTCTAACTGAGTGTTTACTCAATATTCCATTTACTTTTTAGCATGTATTATTTTACCACTGACTGAAGAGAACAGATCTGCTGAGAGAACAACCCTGGACCAAGAGGCAGATGGTCTGGGTTTCAGTCCTGTCCTTGCCTGTGTGTGGCTTTGGACAAGGCAACCAAGCAGCAGAATGGAGCTAGGGTGGAAAGAATGTAGATTTGCCACCAGAAGGAGCATAGGTGAGTCCAACCCTATCAACTTACAAGCTTTCCTCATCTATTCATCTATAAAACCATCTACCTTCTAGAATGTTATAAGAATTAAGTGATTCTGCATATATGTGTGTGTTTCTATAAACACATACATTATGCTATGTATCTATCGACCTACTTACCTATCTAGCTACCTGGGACGCACTTACCTATCTAGCTACCTAGTAAATAGTTAACTGTGGGTTTCCTTTCCTTTCTGGGTCTCAGTCCTGTCTATAAAAAAAAGCATGATGACTTGGATCACTGAGTTTTTCACCCTGTGATCCTCAGAATCCTCAGGCTCTCTCAGCCCACGAGGGCGAACCCAGCGCAGGCCCTTCTAAAACCCTGCTTCAACCAGATATATTCAACTTTCATTTACTTAAAAGTTGGTGTACTGTGGGCAACAGAAAGACTAGGCCACAAAAAAAATTAATATTTAACAATACTAGACTCTTCCAGGCCTAGATTATCTCTAAGGTAATATTCCCACTCTAAGATTGCACATGCTATTATTTTTTTCTTTGCTTCCCTTAAAGACAATAATTCTTTATCAGCAACATAATTAAGGTTAGATCAGGTGGACTGTTGGGGAAAGTGGCTATAATAGAAAAACTAAATAAAATAATGTTAAATATACAAGCAAGAAGGATGGCTAAGCTCAATGCTAAAGCAAAAAGAGAAGCGGCAGCAGAAGAGAAGGCAGAAGAAACCCTACTGATATGAAGATCAGTGCTAGAGCTGGCCAGACTCCCTATCTATTGTGAAAAAGTAAGAAACTTGAGGTTACAGGACAAGGCATCTAGGATTGTCAATCCTACATGGGCTGGGACCCATTTTAGGTGACTGTTCCTATCCCAGTCAATCCAAAATGACATCATATTTGCTGAAAAGATCACTGAAGAACACCTAATATTATAGTTTCCGTACAACTCTCCTTAACCCAAACCTCTTCTCAGCCTCTGCTTACTAACGTCTACAATTATTTGAGTAAGTCTACATTTTTCCATCTGTAACAAAGAGGCTTGAAATTTAAAACTCAAAAGAACATAATATGAAAATGGCTTCACATAGCCAGTCCTCTAACCACAGCTACTCCAAAAAAATATTTATTTAGACCTATTGTGCACAGGGCCACATAAACAATCCACAAGTAAGGATAACTAGATATTAGATATTTCTTATTTTGATGCAGATTACATAAGAATATTAGACATATGAAAAGTGGGTGGAAAATAAGTTTAAAAAAAGAAGACAGTATCAAATTCAATGACTTCATAATATGCCTGGGATGAGCCTTATCTGCGTCCAGAAACTATTCATTGGGATATGTTTAATATACCAAGAGAGTAGGGAGTTCTGTTTCTCAGGAAGCTTTTTTATTTTTCATATGGCTGACTTGTAAGAACTTGTGGTTGCTGGGATAAGTTAAACAAAGTGTCACCATATATTTGGTTTTAATAGTCTGAGTGGGTAATTTTATATTTGATTATCTGTGGCTTGGATCTCTCTTTGAGATATTCTTTAAATACCCTTATTGTTGGCCCTTGGCCATATTGGACACTTACCTTTAACAATACCTAGTACTGTGTGTGTTGTGAATAGAGAATAAACACTTGTGCATCGATGGAATATTGACTGGACTTAAGAAATAGTAACCCTTCATGGAGCTAGAAATTTGCCTAGAGGAGGCTTCACAGACCAGCTCAATTTCTGTAAGGTTTAAACCAATGATCAAATGTGTGCTTAGTAGCTGCAACCCCTTGCTGAAGGACAAGCTACAGTTACCAGCTGATAGCTCTGTCTCAGCCATCACCAGGAAACACATCCCTGATCACAGACTCCCTCCGACAGTTACTTCATCCCATTTGCTGTACTGAATTTGCCAGTATAAACAGTATGTTCATTTTACCCTGGGTTCAGGGGAGAAATGAGGGCGTGTACATCACTTTTCAGCAGTACACTTCACTGATTCAAAAATTCTGGGGTTGGGAGTGAGTAAAAACCAAGTTGTATCAATCTCATTTTTCTCCATATGCTCTATAAACTTCAGAGAGATGTTTATCACAGAAATACAGATAAGACCTTAACCACAGGAGAGCAAAATGTGATATCTTTACTGATAATTAGTAATAAAGACCTTCATTCTACTGAACTTTAATATATTTCTAACTTCAGAATTAAAAAGTAAAACCCAGGGGAAACCAGAAGGTTTAATTAGGTCAGAGAAAGATGTGGACTTGAAGTGTTTCCAAAAAAATCCTATTACAGACAAATTGTTAATTGCTAGAGCCACTAAACACTGTATGTCCTTTAAACACTGAGATATTAACACAAACCTAAATCCTGATTTACAAATTGGGTGGTAAGCCTTCACTTCCCTAATGTGTTTCCAGTAGGGCTCCTGAAAACACCAACAATTTCTATCACACAAAATGTTTCTTTAAAGGTTACTGATCTCCAATATTCCTGCAATGGTGCTGCTATTCTCATTCTGGATTACAAGCTTTTGTCTTAGCTCAGTGGTTCTGAAACTTTGAAGAGCTTATGGATCCCTTTGAGTATCTGAACAGAGCTACCCAGGATCCTCCTCCCTAGGACAAATGCGTATCTGTGCAAATTTTATAATTCCTTTCTTAGAGGTAATTCAACACTTACTCAAAGTGTGCTTCACTGGCCACCTGCATCAGAATCACTGGGATAAATTACTAACACATGAATATTGAGTCCCGTTCTAGATTTACGGAATCAGAATTGTTGGGAGTGAGGTTGGGGCTCTGAATTTTAGGATGTGTCCCCCGTGATTATGCCACTGGTTGATGGGCAGGTAAGCACCTCTGTTATGGCCATTTTGCTATGGCATGCACTTAATTTTCCCTGAGAAGCCCAAGCTCTTTTATCTCCCCATGACTAAAGGGCATCACCACCAGCATCCCCTGCATCCCCACCCACTCTTCACCCTGGGCTTGGGATACCCCATACCCACTCGCCTGCAACCATGCACATTAAGCTCAGACCCCCTTCTGGACATTACCTGGAGACACTTCTCACCTACCATCCCAATAAGCTCCTGCTCACTCATCCATTAAGACCCACTGCCACAGAATGTACTAGCACCCTTCTCTATTCCTGGGTTATTCATTTTTCACTTCATCCCAATTCTCCTACGTACGAGATTGTGCCCCTTATCACCCCACATGGTGTGTGTGTTTTTACTTGGCTTCCCAAGAACAGATGAGCCCCAGAGGCTTACTGCAGAAACGCCCACCTGCTGCTGGCTGCCCAGGGGTCACTCCTTGACTATGGTAGCAAGACTGAAGGATACCCAACTTACATTTCTACAGTGGAACACAGAATTATGTCATTCTCCATAGGTGAAGCTGACCTTAGAGAACACTCAAAAGTATTGTGCAAATATGAAAAACTAAGGCTGATTCATCAAAAGCAATCCAGTCAACATCCAAAAACTCCTGATTCATCCGAGGGCACTCTTAGCACAGTAAGAGATGCCCAACACAGAATCCTGACCCTTGAGTTTAATTTAGTCAGGAATACAGAACACATGTGTGACCTACTATAATTCAACATTGTGACCAGAAGATGACATGGTATCAGAGATTACTAAAAGGCCTACTTCAGATTAGGAAGAACAAGGAAGAATTCACAGGGGAGAAGGCATTTAAGGTGTAGCTGGGAAGCTGGGAGAAGTTCTGAGAGGCACATACAGAGCATTCCAAAAGAGCCTTAACAGAGGACAGGTGGCCCGTTATGAGAAGGCCATGGTGTGTGTGTGGAATAAAAGTTTGCTGCAGCGCAAAGAATATTTAAAACATGGCTGAAGATCAGGCTACAAAGGTGGATGGGAGCAGCACAGGCCAAGCTGGGGTCCACACTGGGCAGGAAGGAGACTATTACACTGCCACATTGATGATTCCACAGGGCCATGCACAGCAGCCTGGCAAAAAAGGAGGGCAAAAACGTTGTCCCCCCTTTACAACACAAGGGAAGCCATCCGAATGATGTGGCTTGCCTGCAGTCCCAGAGCAGATGATGCCAGAGGTGGAATTTGACCACTGGTTTCCCAACCCCTAAGAGGCACATTTTCCTTATTGTATATATATATTGTATATTGTACATACAATTGTTATATACAATCATAGTGGGATGACTATTCCATGGATGCTCCTCACAAATCTACTACATAAGTAAATTGCATCTCTACTAAAAGGCACACATTAGATGTCATCCTTGAATTTTATAGCCAAACAGCACTGACATCTCAACACCACTGGAGATCCTTTACAGACTTATTAAGTAAAGATTTGATGGTAACAGAAACAAATTAATTAACAAAAGGCATGGAGAAGTGAGATTTATTTCCTCAAATTGATATCCGAGAAAATTTGCTCCCAGAATCAACTATGGATAATTCTGCCAAACAAATCAATCCTTTACAAACTAAAGCATGTTAATTAAGCAAGAGCACTTGGAGAGGCAATACACTGCACTAGGCATGTTTACAGAAGAATGAGGGATGCACAGAATTAACTGCTTGTTTGCTTTTCAATCTGCATCAGAAACCTAACTGGAGAAACCTAACCTAACACTGAAAGCAACCACAAGGAACCATCAAGAAAACAGACACAAGGCAAGGGTGCTCAGAGATCAAAATCTCTCTTCAAAATTGAAATGCTAATGTACTCCAGACTCGGAATTGCTGTACTAGAGAGGAAATTAATATCAAAGCTGGAACAGTATCTACTGTTCCACTCAGTAAGATGAAAACAATGGAGTTTGGCCAAACAGTACAAGGAAATATAGGAATCTGATACAACAGAGGAAATGAAGACAAATCTTGCAAAGAATTCAAAATGGAACAAAGTTGTGCAACTTACCCCTGTGCAAGTGGAACACTAGAGGGAGAACAAGTTTTGTGTTGAAAACTGTATGACCACAGCAGCCTCTCAGCTTAAAAGTCCATAGTCTTCAAACTCTCACCTTAGCTGCCCGCACAGCGAGCAGCAGGTAAAGGACCAGTGCAAAATAGAAAATCTGTAGAACAGCACAAATATAATTAGTGTAACCTATCACTTTTTGAAGGTAGGATTTTCTAAATAAAAGGCTTGGCTATGCTTTGGGCCAATGATATTTAAGAAAAGCAACCAAGAAATGAGGGCAGATTGTTTTCATCTCATTTTATTTCTAGACAGTTTAAAAGCCAAATGACACACATAGCACAAAATAAAATTCTTATACCTATCCTCATATCCTATTTTTGCTTCGGACCCAAATTCAGTCAGCCACCAACTCAGTTGCTCTTCCACATGGGCCACACATGCCCCTCTCCTCTGCTGTAGCAGGAAGACCACCCTTATCCATACCCCAAAAGGCTGTGCTGCCATTTTCTTATTCCTCTTCTCATTTCTGGTCTTCCTCCTCACTATATAAACATGCTGATTGAAGAGATCACAGTATCCAACTCCTGGAAGGAAACTTCAAAATAAAAAGCTAAGCTTGTTTTCCATACTCACCTCCAATAGAGCCTACTTTGAATCTTTCCAGTTCATCTTTTTTTTTTTTTCAGGCAGTCTCTGGTTTGTCTGTGTTTTTAATGATAATTCTACCCCTTCCTGTAGGGCTACGTGTCTCTCCACTACTACTAGTTGTTTGATTTGTCTGATTACTATCTTCAAATTCTTGGTCCCAAGTATTACAAAGTGTACCCTGGTAAATTTAAACAGAAGAGAGTTTCACCGAAGGGTCAGTGATAAATGGTAAGATTAGAGAAGCATGCTCCGGCAGGAGCCTGAAGAGGAGACACGCACAGGATTGGGCCACAGCACAGTCTGCTCAGGAACACGGACGCTCACGGCCACTCATCCAGCCTGTGCCCTTTGCAAAAGCCTCACAGTGAATAATCTCTAACTAGTTCAAAGTTCACATTCCCTGCATTAAGCTTCCAGTTGGCTGCATGGAGTCACAGATCCACATTCCAGCTACCAGGGAGCAGACAGAGGGACTATCCAGCTCTCTGTGGCCTCCTCAGAAAGAGGTAAGATCTGCCTCCCATGTGCCTTGGGATCCCCCCAAACATCACTGTCCACTCCTGATGCTTATTTCTTGAGAGAACAGACCATGAAATGAATAAACAACACTGATACAAGGATGCTATGACAGGGAGTGGGACTGCCAGTTCAATCAAAGGACTTGTTACCTCATTTTCAAGTGGCATGACTGCTTGGCAATTATTCCAGGTAATATGGAAAGGAGGCTGACATCTCAATACTGAGAGACAATGAAGACTGGCAGGGAGGGAACATCTTGGGAGCTAGAAGGCTGGCCTATGGTGAATAATCCTGGTGTCTGTTGGTTTACTCTTCACATACTCACTGTTCAGCTATTTTCTTGCTCTGTGTGTCCATATTTGTTTTAGATTCAAGTACCTAGAAGAGGATAATTTGTATTCTATGAAATTCTGCCTATAAGAAGCACACAGGAAATGTCGGGTAATTGCACAGGGTCTCTTTAAACTGCTTAGTACAAGATCCAGCAGAATGCTGTGCACATTAGGATTCTCAAAAATCATTCACTGATGACAAAAACTACAAGGTATATGATGAAAAGAGTAAAGAAGAAATAGAAAACCAAAACACAACCATACAACATGGGCTAAGACTTAAAATGTCAACTAATCTATATTCAACAAGAAGTTCTAAAGCATTTTCACATACTGGAAATATAAGCTTGTCATTTTGAAAAATAAAACACAATAAAAAGGAATACTGCACCCATAGAGATGTATGGGGTAGGCTTCCAGCATACACATGAACCATTACTTTACTGGTGCCAAAATGAAATAGGAGGAGATGGGTCAAAAGTGGAGAAGGGGGGAAAAGGTGAGTAAAGCCAAAAATCCAACAGTGTAGCAGGTCCCAAAATGAAATAATGTGTAGACAGCCAAAAAAAAAATAGAATTATAAATGAAGCCAACAGAAAATGGTATGACTCCACCAATAACATTAGCAAATACGGCCAAAACAAAATGATATGAACTAACACTAAACTGGCAGTTGAAAGAACAGTAAATTTAAGCATTTAAAACTTTTTAAAGGTGTTATGGCAAAGAAAGTCTGCAGTTACAGATAAACTCACTCTGTTGATTTAAACCTATTTATATTACATATAGTGAGTGAGAATGGAATTTGATACTTACTGATCTCTTACTACGTTGTGTTGACTTAACTTACCTCACTTAACACTCATACTCAACAACCCTACCATATAGGATGTACTGTGCTCATTTAGCTGATGGGCAAACTAAGGCTTCGAGAAAGAAAAGATTTCTCAAGATTATATAAGCAAGCTAATGATAGTAACTAGCACTCAAATCAAGATGTGTCTGCTTTCAAAGCTTATTTTCTTTCACTCTTAAAACACGCTGCTTCCTCTTAAAATGTAGAAAATAAATATATCTATACATATATATGTATAGATATACATATAATTCTGACTTTACTTTCAGTCAAAATGAAGAAAAATATCTACCTCTATACAATCAAAACAATACGGACACACATAGAAAAAGGAAACCCATATCCACCTCAATTTTTTTCTTTCACAAATGTAGAGATAACTTGCTGGCTCTCAATGGATGATTTACAAAACTACTAGTTTTTCCAAACAAACATGTTCAGTCAAATACATATGGCTAGAAAGAGACCTGTATCCCCTTCCAAACTGGTTTTGGTTCTCTACTAAACCAAAGGTTTGCAAGACTGCTCCTCCCCATCTCGTTCATCACATTACCAGAATCTGCCCCTCCCCCCAAATCATTAAACTCCTAAATAACTTTTTATTTTAAAGAGGGGTTAGACAGAAAGAATACTTACAAAAAATAAAAAGAAATAGATTTTAGACCAGGAATATCTATCAAAGTAACTAATAAACTTAGAAAACACATTCATTGCCAAGTGCCTAACTAAAAGGCCAAAAAACATCTAGGTACGTAGTTTTCTCTGAGTATTGTTTTCTATGACACACGAGTCTATGTCTAACATTAATAAAATCTAAAATTGGCCAGGCACGGTGACTCATGCCTGTAATCCCAGCACTTAGGAGGCCGAGGTAGGCGGATCACCTGAGGTCAGGAGTTCAAGACCAGCCTGGACAACATGGTGAAACCCCATCTCTAACAAAAAATACAAAAAATAAAAAAATTAAAAAAATTAGCCAGGCATGGTGGCATGCACCTGTAATCCCAGCTACTCGGGAGGCTGAGGAAGGAGAATCACTTGAACCCGGAAAGCAGAGGTTGCAGTGAGCCGAGATCACGCCATCGCACTCCAGCCTGGGCGACAAGAGCAAGAGACTCCGTCTTAAAAAATAAAAATAAATAAAATCTAAAACTAACCATTACTGTCATGTTTCCTACCTTTTGAAATTATAGAAATTTTTTTAAAAAAAGAATATATTCGAGGCCTAGCATACATACTTTTCTAGAATGTCATAAAGAATAAGCTCAAATGACATTCAGAATCATACCTCAAAGATGATCAGATCCCGAAGACACAAACACACATATAGCAGAATTCAACTTGGTTTAATAACTTAGGCAGGAAATTTGGCTAATCCATACAAGATGAGATAAAGAGTTGAAACCAAAAAACATTTAATTAATTCTGTATGTGTGAGTTGGAGGGGAAACAGGAGGAAAAAGAAAAATCAAAAAGGTGTCATTACGCTTGGTAAATGCCAGACAGCAGAAAAGTCATTCAGCCAACAACTCTGCATGGGCAACCTAATTTGGTTGGGGTGGCAGCCCAGCCCACCCTAACCAAATAAGGTCTCCCTATGTCCCGTCAAACTTGCACTTCACATTGGTAGCACTCAACACACTTGTCATTATTTACTAACTGTAAAAGAAACGACAAAAATTGAGAAAGCATTTTCTATTAGCTAGAGAGGAAGGTATGTGGAAAATTTTCACAGAGGAAGAATCATGCCCTAGAGAGTGAACTGACTAGGTTGAAGGCTTTTGCAGTAGTTAGTGTATACCAGATGTATATTAGGTGCCTGGTAGTGTGCAGGTCACACCGAAAAGATGGGTCTCATTTAATTCTCTATCAGGATGTAGCAACACCATCAGTAAAGAACTGTATATACTGTACACATGAAGAAACTGGGGTTTGGAGGGAATATGTTTTCTACCCCAAATCACACAACTTGGACATGAAAAACTTGACTTTCCAGACACAGGTCTAATTCCAAATAATACGTAAAGAACATGACTCCTGACTCCCTTTGTTTTCAGATGAGAGACTCAAGACCCCAGGACATGAAATCACTTACCTGGAATGGCATGGTCAATAAAGGCAGATTATGGCAGTGGCAATGTATTAAGAGGAGTATCAATGGGAATTGAAGATCCAAGCAAGTTAAATATGTGGGTGGAGGGATACAAAAACGTTGAATGAGATTCTAACATTTTAGGCTATTTACAACAGCACAGTGAGTCAGGGGAGGGTCCAGTGGAAAGCGACTGGAGACACATCCGGCAGACAGGCAGAAATGTCAGTTTCACCTCAAAGTTGTGGCAGAAGTAGTCTGAGCCAAGAAGCACAGGCATTCCTGGGGTCAGCAGATCAGGGCAGAAAGGTAAGCTGGGAACAAAGTGACATTGACCTTGAACATTAGGCAAGGGCTTATCTTCGAGGCTGATGCTTCCCAGTCAGTGCTTCCCAGCCTTCCTCATTACCATGGCACATACAGAAAGCAAATATGTGTGCATCTCACTGGGGTAAGTGAAAAGCACAGTGTCTGTCCTTCTGCGGGGAGGGGGGCTATGTGGAATGGAGGGGGGGGGTTCACCTGGAGCCATTTGGTGCATAGAGAGCTCTGTTCTGCCACAGGCAGCATCCTTGTTCCTACCCCAAGGGGGACTTGCTTCCATTTGATCATTTTTGGCCTTTGATGCTCAACTCTGGATGTTGAAATGCATAGCCGCATTGGGAGTTCAGTTTTGTTGGAGACAGAGGCTGTGAAGGAGGCAATTCTAGGTGGGTGTGTACTCATACGAAAGCAAAGAAGCCAAATGAAGTAACCTGTGGTCATGAGATAGCACGTATTTTTTCCAGATTTGTGGGGAAAAGAACCTGTGCTGAAAGTGACCAACAGGTGGGGAGGATAAGGTAGGGGCATGGCATGAGAGAGGTAAGAATGTCAGATTTTGGAGCGTTGGAGGGTCTTAAATATAAAACAGAAAACTTCTATTGGCTCTAATAGCCAGTAAAAAGTCATTCTGAACAGCTGAGTAAAGACTGATACGAGGAATGTTATTCTATCCGCAGCTGCACAATATTCACCAGAACAAAAAGAAAACTAGACCAGGCATAGCCAGTGAGCACACAGGTGGTTTCCAAAGTTAGGGTAAAGGGTTAATTCTACAAAGTACTTCAGAGGAATGTGAAAGATGTTATAAAACAGTCTTTAACGAGCTTGTTTTACTAAGAGGCTTAGAAATCACTTGAGTGTTCTTTTTTTTAAAACAAATGAAACAACAGAATGTAAAAGCGAAAAGAGGATATAAACTTAAATTTAGCTTATCAAAACTAAACTTAAACCATGGTATTTCCTTTTATAGTTATTAAAGCGATAACAGAGAAAAATATCCTTTAGTCACAACACTATCCTGTAATTCCTATTTTCCTAGCAAAACCTAGATATTATGTATTTGTGGATTTTTATGGAAACCCTTATCAAGTAGAATACCAGATCTTAAAACCAAAAATGAATAAGACCTTTGCTTAGGGAGTCAAAAAACCAAGTTAACCAACGTTATGTGTCATTATAATGGTAGACAGCAGGCCTCTTAAGCCATTTGCAAACACAGGCTTTTATCCCACTTGCTTAACTGAATTTTTTAAATGCTTGTCAAAGCGAAGACAGGTCTGGCCTTGGGAGGCAGATAACTCCACTTAAAAACACAATTGCTTAACTCCAGAGATTTCTGCAAAGATTTTTGGTTTTTCAAGATCCCTAACATGGAATTGAGAATATATATCTACACTTTATAAACCACAAGGCAGTAGATCCATCCATCACTGGAGTGAGTCTAGCAGCAAGCCTCATCTTTATGCCTGTGACCTGATAAGCACAAACCATACACCACCTCCTCACACTGATCGGCTCAGACAGGAGCAAATGGGGCCAGACTCTAATTACCCTTCCAGAGGGCCCCAGTCCTACAGAGGTCAGGACATGCACTTCCCACAGGGCCCCAAGGAATACTTTTAAAAACACACCCATAATCTCACTTAAAATAAAAACGTTAGTGGCTCACATCTCTGCCTATTCCAAAGTATACAAGGAAACCAGGAAGGTTCTGGATTGCAGGGAGAAAGGCAATTAATGAGTGATTACTATTTAAAGACAAAACCCCTGTCAAAACAGCTTGACCAAAAAAAAATGTGAGTTTTTTTTGTTGTTTTTTTTTTTAACTCACAACTTGCAGTAGTGCTGCCAGCAAAAATAGTGGGTGGTAATTCTGCCAGCTAAAAGGGTGCCGAAATGCAGTTGGGTGAGAAGAACAACTCTGTCCCCTCCTCCATTCCCTTTCAGCAGTGACTGAGTGGGCTACCTCCCAGGCCTGTTCCTGCAGTGCCCCTTGGTTCTTCATGAGACTATTCAGGGTGTTTTTCTGGGCAAGTAACTCCAAAGGCAAGCATGAGAGCAGCTCGAAGACTTAAGAACATGTCACAGGTAAGTGAAACTGCTCCTCAAATGCAGTTGTCTCATCATGAGAAACAGACCATTTAAATTGTAATCAAGAAATATCAATGGAGGAATTCTGAAATTATACTAGAGTTTAACATGGACAAATTGGTCTAAACTTTTTACAGAAGAAAAGTTTTCAGGACATGTAGTCAACATTGGTGGTTAATCCCACTGGGGTGGGGGAGTTCCTTAAGGGCTTCCTCCAATAATGGGAATGGAAGGCTGTGGGTTCCTAAGTCAACAACTCTGCTTCCTGTTTTTCAGATTGTTTAAAAGTGGCAAGGAGGATTTGGGGGGAGATAAAAGATTTCTATCATCATCACTAATGATGCTGGGATTTATACTTGGCTTTTGCCTCCTATATTAACTATGATCCAATTAGACAAAGAGGGCAGGAAAACTCAAATGTCAGTGGGTTAAATAAGGTATCAGAATATTTCTCACCAAAATATATTTCATGTGTGTAAGTAGCCCGGAGCTGATTTGGCAGCTCTGCTCCACAGTGTCCTTAAAGAACCCCAACCCTTCCACCCACAGTTCCACAGTACCTGTGGTACAGTCCTCATCGTCACTGTCAGGAGGGGGCTCCAGCCAGCACATCCACATCCCACGCAGAAGGACAGAGGAAGGGGAGGAAGAAGGGGGCACTCCCTCCTCACAAGGAGCTTGGCAGGTGCTGTGCAAGCACTTCCACATTTACCCCACTGTCTACAGCTGTACCGTTCAACACAGGGCTACTAGCCACATGTAACTCTTTAAACTCAAAGTGACTAAAGCTAACTAAAATTAAACATTCTTTCCTTAAAGACTCTAGCCACATTTCAAGTGTTCAGTAGCCTTGTATGACTAGTGGCTACTGTACCAGACAATTCCATCATCACAGAAAGTTCTCCTGGACAGTTCTGGTCTACAGCCCACACCTGGCCACACCTACTGCAAGAGGGACTAGGAAATATAGTCCTTGTGGTGGGGGGCCACGTACCCAAATAAAATCATACAATCCCTTCCTGTAGAAGAAGGCAGTATGTTGGGGAAGAGGGTAGTGCAGCCTCTCAAACATTTTCCTGAAATCTCAAAGGTGTCACCTCCACAGAGATAATCCTCAAATACAGGCTTTTAAACTTTTCATACATTCCTTATATAAAAATGGTCCCCTTGAAATGCCAAATGTTATGGGTCAAATTCTGTCCTCATTTCATCCCCCCAGATTCTTATGTTGTACTCCTAACCCCTCGGGACCTCAGAATCAGGTCTTATTTAAAAATAGGGTCATTGCAGACATAATTCGTTGAGATGAGGACATAATCAAGTAGGGTGGACCCTTAATCCAAAGTAACTTGTATTCTAATACAAGGTGGAGTTTAGACACAAAGATTCACACACAGGGAGAACAAGAATGCCATATGAGTAAAAAGGCAGAGGCAGGAGTGATGCACCTACAAAGCCAAGGAACAGAAAAGAGAGCCAGAAAACCACCAGGAGCCAGGACAGAGGCATGAAACAGATTCTCCCTCACAGCCCTCCAAAGGAACCAAGTCTGCCAATACCTTGATCTTGGACTTCTAGTCTCCCGAACTGTGAGACAATCAATTTCTGCTGTGGAACCCGCCCAGTCTTCCGGCCACCCTAGCACACTAATACACCACCACCTAGGATGGCTGGCATATGAAACAGGAGCTCATGGAGGCTCCCTCTCCTTTTCTGCCTCTTCATCTCTCTGTTCCAGTGTGGACAGACAAACAAGCCATGTGGTGCATCTCTAGAGTGCACCTGATTCCTACTTCAGTATCCTGGACACTGCCATGCTTTGCAGTAATGCGTATGTCTGGGAGTGGTGTTCTGACTCCTTACATGTCCCATACTGTTACATTTAAAAAACAAAAGTGAAACTTAAAAAGATCCTATGCTTGTTCTAGGATCAAAAAAGCCAGAGAAAAGCTTTGAGACTGAGATTCCAAAGATGACCAAAAATCATGGCCACAAACAACAGAAAGCAGAAGGGAAACACCCTGGGAAAAGGAGGAAAAAGCTTTCACTGAGAGTGAGAAACAGCCCTGGGAGTTCACACCGGGAGAAACCCTGGAGTAGCAGAGACCTGCTTTACCTCTGCCCTCTCCCTGGAAGGTACACGTACACTTGAAGCTGGGTCACCTTCCTCCATCCACCCTTCAGAGAGCAAGCTGGCCACAGAACCAATCGCCATCCAGCCACCACGTGGCTGGTAAAAAGAAATGTGGAAAGGAAGCGTCTTACTGTCCTACTGTCAAGACTATGATGGGGCCAGGTGCAGTGGCTCACACCTGTAATCCCAGCACTTTAGGAGGTCAAGGCAGGAAGATCACATGAGACTAGGAGTTCAAGACCAGCCTGGCCAACATAGTGAAACCCTATCTCTACTAAAAATACAAAAATTAGCCAGGCATGGTGTTGCACGCTTGTAGTCCCAGCTACTTGGGAGGCTGAGGCAGGAGAATTGCTTGAACCTGGGAGGCAGAGGTTGCAGTGAGCCAAGATCGCACCACTACACTCCGGCTTGGGCGACAGAGCGAGACTTCTTCTCAAGAAAAAAAGAAAAAAAAAAGAATTTACTAGGTTGACAAAAATTTACATATCTGAAAATATCTGAATTATATTCATGTTTTTGAAGGATATCGTCATTAGATATAGAATTCTACATTGGCAGAATTCTCCCAGGACTTCAAAAAGATCATGTCATTGTCTTCTGGATTCCATTGTTTCTGTTGAGAAATCAACTGAAAATCTTATTGTTGCTTCTTTGAAGATTACATGTCTTTTTTTTCTGGCTGTTCTAGCATTTTCTCTTTGTCTTTGGTTTTCAGCTATTTGATGATGATGTGCCTAAATATAGTGTTCTTTGTGTTTGTCTTGTAAACATTTGTAATTTTCCCAAATTTCTGCTTAATGTCTTTTATCAATTTTGGAAATTTTCAAGGATCATCTCTTCAGACATTGCCTTTATCCCCCTATTCTCTCCTCTTTTTCTGGGACTCCATTTCCATATTAGGTTATATTCACCATGTCCATTTGTCTCATAGGTTTGTTTCTGTATTTTCCATCTTTGTCTCTCTTTGACTCAGTTTGGATATTTTATTCTGTATTTTCACTACTTTTCATATGTGCCTAATCCTCGGTTTAAATCATTTTAAAATTTTAGCTATTTTACAATCTTATAATTTCCAGTAACTGATATCAAAATTCTCAGCCTTGTCTTCAATTCCTTTACCATATTAATCATGGTTACTTTAAAGCAAATGTCTCTCAATTCCTTTTTCTAGATGCCCTTATATCTGTTTCTATTATCTGTATTTTCTCTTGGTTTCTGGTCACTGATTTACCATCTCTTCTATGCCTGGCTAATGGTGATTGTCTTCTGCCAAGTACATATGCTAGGGGCACTGGCAATCCATCCCACATTGATCTAATCAGTAATTGTGATGAGTCAAGCTGGTCTACTTCCTATTCACCCTAACACCTAAGATGTGGCCTTTGGGATCCAAAAGCCTGAGGTATTTACCTCTTCCTTGGCAGGCCCTAAACTTCAATTTAGTTGCCTCTCCCAGAGCCTGTGAGTCTTCTGAGAGCTCTGCTCTTTGATGTCTACTGTCAAGTTACACCAAAGTTCAGGCTGAGAGGCTGAGACACTCAGTCTTGAGGAAAAAAGTGGCCCCAAATGCAGGAATCACTGCACTGGACCTTCTGGATCATGGAACTCCTCTTTAGAAGTCCTCTCATGACTTCAAATAGCTGGCCAGATATATGGTCCTGTTTTCTGATTGTTCTTAGCAAAAGGGTTGGCTTAAAGGGTTAGACGTATTGCCATTGACTGATGAACTGATACACTCTTATTTCCATTATCTTATTTAACCCTTGCAACAACTCTAAGAAGTACCACTTATTAAAATTATACAGCAGAGAAGATGGAATGTTTAGAGAATTTGGGTAACTTACCCAAGGTCATCAGCTAACAAAAGGCTAAGGATTTGAACCCAGTTCAATAAAAGTTAGAGGTGATTTTCTTGACCACTATTATTATTCCTTTGATTTCATCCTTTCTATAACATAAGTGATAGAAAGACTCAGAAAATGGCATGCTGGGGTTCAGGGCTAGTATTCTGACTTCAGACTCTGATCCCCTGGATGGTCTCTCAACTAGAGTTAAGAATTTAAATACACTTAGCTTTTGTTTTTTTCTTATGAGAAAATATATTTGAACTGCAAACAATACAGCCCCAGCTCAGTCAAAAATAAGATAAAAGTCGATGAACACAATTATCCTCATAGTGGCTCTGGGAAAAATATTGGGGGTGTCCAATACAGTTCTCATTTTTCAGACAAATAGACCAAGGGCCACAAAGAACCTAGCCTCTGGTTCATTTATTCACTCAATACATATGTATTTATTACCTACCATGTGCCAGGTACTAGTCTAGGCACTAGGAATATATTTTAATAAGTGAGACAACCTAAACAATAAACATAATAAGCCAATCATATAGATCTTAAATTCTATGAGAGGAAAAACAGAACCTCATAAAATGCACTGAGAGTGCTGGGTAGGTTGCAGTATTTTACTTTTATATAAGACCTTCTCAAATATAGTTGATAATTACTCTACCTTACTCCCACTCTATTCTTCATGAAGACATGCCTCTTTACAGAATAATTGAACCTTTTTTTCCACCTGCCATTTCAGTTTCCTAGATTCCACCACCTTTCAAGGCCCTAGGACAAAAACCTCAGCACTCAATATTCATTCTGAGAAACTAGCTTGCCTTTATGACTTGCAGGAAAACAAACACACTAATCATTCTTTTGTAACAGAATCCAGTTTTCTTCACACCGTGGCCTTTTTGAGCCTCAAATCTGTAGAGATATGTGGTCTAATTTTTTCAAACCTGATTTTACTTAGTTTTCACTAGACCTCTCTAAGAAGCTCTACTGAGTAATTCTTGAAAATGTATAGTCTGGTTTAGGCTTTCCCCAGTCTGTCCAAATAACATAAATCCACGTGTGATGCTTTCCCACTAATTGTGGAAAAATCTAAGTCAGAAGCCTGATTTCATGGTAATCATTTCCATTTGATGAATTTTGCAGTTATTTCGGGATACTCATGAAGCCTCTTAGAAAAGAGCACACTAAGCTCTGAATAACAGCTACTAAATAATGCAGTCCTACTTTTATGTAAACAAAAGTATTATTAATTTTAATAACTCCTATATTCTTAATCTACAGTTTAAGGAACAAGCATAGGTTTCTCTATAAACCGGCTTACTGACCAAAACATATGTAAGAAATAATTACACTACGTATAAACTCCTTTTCTGTTTTATGTCCCGAATATTCAAGAAAAATTCACTGACATTAGCCAACTACATGCTTAATCCTGCACTAATAAAGCCCTATGTCTACTTCTTAAATAAAGCAGGAGTTCCATATGTCTAATTTATTAAAATACCAGGTTTTAGCAGCTCTTTCTCTTTTTATTTTAATATCATATTATTCAAAATTTGTCATGTAATTGTCTCTACTTCCACCACTTCAGTATTTCACAATAATTGCCCAATAAACACTTAGGAACAAATTGACAACTCACTGACATTAGCTAGAATAGAAGAATTTCTCAGACTGTTGTGAAAGACTCCATTTAAAAATGCAGTGGAATAAGTATAAGAATATTAACTTTCATGTATGTAACATGATACACTGTAGCAAGCATTTTCACACACATTATTCCACGACATCCTCACAACAGTGTATTAAATTTGATAAGAAAGGCATTAATTCCCATTGTGGTAGCTGATAAAAATTAGGCAAAGAAAAGCTAAGTGACAATCAGCGGCCATACAGGCAGTAGCAAGTGGTAGAACTGGATGACTGGACTTTTTCCTTTCTATTGAGAACAACTTAAAGCTTAAGCATGGGACTTTAATGGATTCAGCCCAAGACCAGACTCCTTTAATGGTTAGGTGGCAGCCATGCATGTTTGGCCCCTCTTTCTCATCCGTCAGACAGGAATATGATTGCTTCTTTCACAGCATTGTTATGAAAATTAAATCAGATAAAGCACATGTAGCACCTAACTAATGGGTAAATAATCTATGCAAATCAATCCAATTTAATTTCCAATTTTTAAATTAAATTTTTACTTTCAAGAGAAATGATTGACAATTTTCTAAATTGAGGCTTACCACAAGCTGTCTTTGGCTATTTCTCATACTTCTGGCTGGTAGGATTCAAGTACGCTCTGGAGTCTGTGTTCAGAGCCAGAACTCTGATCTGCTATGCAGAATTACAGAATCTCCTTCAAACCAAAGGAGTTATATACTTATTTATTTTTCACTTTTTGTAGAGACTGGGGTCTCTTCCATGTTGTCCAAGCTGGTCTCGAATTCCTGAGCTCAAGTGATCCTCCCACCTCAGCCTGCCAAAGCGCTGGGATTACAAGAGTGAACCACTGTGCCCAGATAGGAGTTCCTTAAAAAGATAAAACTGCACTTCTGAAATATACATCTTTTTATCCACCCAATTTCCTGGCACTATAAATAAAAATGATTACCAGATGGCTGGCTGAATGACTGGAGGAATGGGTGGGAGGATACTTGTGAATGGATAGGAAAAATCCAGTGCATCAACTATTTTGCACAATCAGATCGAAGAAAATCCCAGGAGCCTAGTCACCATAAAAGAAAATGAACTGAAAGCCCATTTTTTGGCATCCATTCATCCAAAATTCTGTGTTGGACTACTTTTTAAAGTTATTAGAAACTGTCAACATATTTTTTAGTCACTGTAACTTAAAATAATTTGACTTTAACTGTATATAATGCCTTAAAAATAGGAAGATAAAAATTCTACATAGAATTTCTTACACTGTGCTACCATATACCACCTTTTCCCACGTAATTCCAATGTTTAAATATCTAAATATATCTATCATACACCCACATCTTGTCTTCCTTCAAACTCCAGGAAATTTCAGTGGGGAACAACATGTTAATGGCATAAGTAATTAGGTTCTAATAGATGTCATATTTTTTACAGGACTGGGAGGAATGGAAGGTGTCACATCAGAATAACAATAGCTCTTGACAAATGGATGCACAGCCATTCCCATAAACAGGAATTTCCCTGCAGGAAAACTTCCTCCCATGGGATCTTCAATTTGATGAAAGCAATTACAGGACAAAGAGGCTGATTTCCCCTGCATCTGCTGAGGTGAAGCCAGTGCTAAGGTTTCACTTATACTGAAGAAATTCTTGGTTTCCTCCAGAACAGAACACCCTGAAATATGAAGCTAATCTCATCAGAGGGACAGGCACCTTACCAAGATGAAAATTCCTTAAGATTTATTTGCCCAGCCTTAAAGCTTAGACAACTTATTAAGAGTTACAATAGTTTTGTCAAAAATGACAGCCTTCAGTGCTTCACAGAAGCCATAAAAAAAACAAAGTCCAATACCGATGTGTTTTCGTTAACTGAAAATATCAGTGACCAACAAATACAAAGTTTCATTAGAAATCATCAAGAAAAACCAGGCTTGGGAAGATAAATTCCTTGATGCCCATGTTTTAAAAATGATCCTGTCTGTGGATTAAACTGCAAGTCATTTGGGCCATTGCTCAGCCGAAAAGACAAATGTTTCAGAGTAGAAGGCCACTCTCCTCTGGCCTCAATGAAAACGCATGTCACCTTCCGGCTACAGACCCAGGTGGCCGCCTACCACCTTGCATTCTCAGGAGCAATGCCCACCTGTGCACAACACATGAAAGAACATGTTCACGGAACACCTACTGTATGGCCACCACTATGCTAAAAATTTTTCAGAAGGTTTCTCATTTTGAACTCAGAATAAAGAGTTATTTATACACATTATGACTGTTTACCCATTATAAAAATGTAGGCTCAGAAAACTTAGTACTTGCTCCAGTACACAGAGCCAAGCAGCTAAGCTCCAAGAATTTACACTACACACACACCACGGGGGAAAGAAAGCACTTTCATCTGAGGAATGTGAGCCCTTACAAACTGTGAGGCCCAGAGAAGCATTAAAATGAGAACTCAATCATGCCCTACTCCCTGCTTCAGCTATGTATTCGTCTCTCAAAGCAGCTTCCTGTTGCCAAAAGTAGCTATAAATTAATCTAATAATGCCACACTGGACACTATAACCCATACCGTATAGCTTAACCATGTATAGCCATATCACTAATCAATGTTATTTCTGTAAACCAATGAGAATTCCTGACAAACAACTTTGCATCTGCCCACTCTGTCTCCTTTTTCTGCCTTTAAAAATCCACTGTGGCCTGGCTCCACAGCTCACAACTGTAATTCCAACATTTTGGGAGGCCAAGACAGGAGGATCACTTGAGGCCAGGAGTTTGAGACTGGCCTGGGCAATATAGCAAGATTCTATCTCTACATAAATTTTTAAAAATTAGCCAGGAGCGGCGGCACATGCTTGGAGTCCCAGCTACTGGAGAGGCTGAAGCAGGAGGATCATTTCAGCCCAGGAGTTTCAGGCTGCAGTGACCTATAATCAGACCGTTGCAATCCAGCCTGTGACAGAGCGAGATCCCATCTCTAAAAATAAAATAAAATGAAATAAATCCACTTGTAACTGCTGCTATACAGAGTGTATATTCGGGGCAACTTGCATTTATGCCCCCAGGTTGCAATCCTCAAACTTGGCCCCAATAAACTCTTTACTTATGTTAATTTTGCTTCAGTTTCCTCCTTTTAGGTCAATCCCACTACTCTATACTGATTCTTCTGCAATAGAACCTACTACAATTCAGGAGGGTCACAGGCCTGCTTCAAGCTTGGAGCTGAGGGGTAGGGTGGGGTTGGCAGGACCAACCAATGCCCTCAAGCCATGGGAGCAGCCCAGTTCAGCAGAACTTCCTCTGAGGATAGAAATGTTCAGTACTGTTCCATACAGTCCCCACCAGCCACATGCAGCTAATGCCACTGAGGAACTATATTTTTTACTTAATTTTTATGAGTTTAAATTTAAACAGCACAATGTGGCTAACAGAGACTGTAATGGACATTGCAGCCTTGGAGTTTAAGTAGAGACAAAAGACATTTTTTCACGTCAATACAGGACAGGAAATACAAAGTGGTAAATACTCTAAGAGACACACAGATGGAGCCACTTTCCTTAAATGTTCAAGGAAAAGACATTACCTATAGCTGTAGAAAATCAAAGATGATGCAACCCCACCAGCATAGGTGATAGAACCAGAAGTGTTTTCTAAGCAGCAAGAGCCGCAGAAGCAAAGGCAAGGAGACTGTCTAAGCCCCAAGGAGCAGGCCCATAAGACGGTAATGAGCAGAACATGGCAATACAACGGATAAGAGACAAACTAGACAAACTAGGAAAATCCAATGACTCCCAAGGTGCCTGCTGTATCCACTCCCCATTTATCCTAAAGTTGAAGAATGGGAAAGCAAAAGGAAAATGGTTGGTGCAAAAGTAATCGCAGTTTTTGCATTGCTGAAATTTTCTGTTTGATATTGGAATACATTTTTAAACAAATGTGGTTATGTTATACATCATTTTAATGCACATTTCTCGCTTTATGTTGTCATGCTAATGACTTACTACTTGCTGTTTATTATGGAAATGATGTTAGACAGAAAGCAAATTTGAGCAATTTTCTTATTCAAGTTCAGCATAGTGGCTGGCCATCAGAAGTTGACAACAACCAACTGAAAGCAATCATCAAAGCTGATCCTCTTACAACTACATGAGAAGTTGTCAAAGAACTCAACGTCGACCACTTTACTGTGGTTTGGCATTTGAAACAAATTGGAAAGGGGAAAAAGCTCAGTAAATGGATGCCTCATGAGGTGAGCGAAAATTAGAAAAAAAAAACTGTCATTTTTGAGTGCCATCTTCTCTTATTCTGTGCAACAACGAACCACTTCTCGATCAGATTGTGATGTGCGACGAGAAAAGTGGATTTTTATATGACAATCAGCAATGACCAGCTCAGTGGCTAGACCAAGAAGAAGCTCCAAAGCACTTCCCAAAGCCAAACTTGCACCAAAAAAAAATCATGGTCACTGTCTGGCGGTGTGCTGCCAGTCTGATCCATTACAGCTTTCTGAATACTGGCAAAACCATTACATCTGAGTATGCTCAGCAAATCGATGAGATACACCAAAAACTGCAACACCTGCAGCCGGCATTGGCCAACAGAAAGGGCCCAATTCTTATCCACAATAACACCTGACTGCATGTCACACAACCAATGCTTCAAAAGTTGAACGAACTGGCCGGGCGCAGTGGCTCACACCTGTAATCCCAGCACTTTGGGAGGCCGAGGCGGGTGGATCTCGAGGTCAGGAGATCGAGACCATCCTGGCTAACACGGTGAAACCCCGTCTCTACTAAAAATACAAAAAAAAAAAAATAGCCGGGTGTGGTGGCGGGCGCCTATAGTCCCAGCTACTCGGGAGGCTGAGGCAGGAGAATGGCATGAACCCGGGAGGCGGAGCTTGCAGTGAGCTGAGATCGTGCCACTGCACTCCAGCCTGGGCAACAGAGCGAGACTCCGTCTCAAAAAAAAAAACCAAAAGTTGAATAAACTGGGCTATGAAATTTTGTCTCATCCAACATATTCACCTGACCTCTCGCCAACTGGCCTCCACTTCTTCAAGCATCTAAACAACTTTCTGCAGGGAAAACGCTTCCACAACCAGCAGAATGCAGAAAATGCTTTCCAAGAGTTCACTGAATCCCGAAGCATGGATTTTTATGCTACAGGAATAAACAAACTTACTTCTCGTTGGCAAAAATGTGTTGATTGCAATGGTTCCTATTTTGATTAATAAAGATGTATTTGAGCCTAGTTATAATGATTTAAAAATCATGGTCCAAAACTGCAATCACTTTTGCACCAACCTAATATAATCAAAAGAAAGGCAGCCTTATCAATACAAAGGAATGAATGATAAAACTCTATGTCTATGGAAAAAGATCACTCTAAGGGCAAAACATATTGATAAAGCATCTTTGAGAAGCGTGCATTAAAGATGGCAGAGTGAAATCCAAAATATTTAATGAATGTTATATTCATTAATCAAAGGGAAAGCTACAGTACCCTGAACTGGCCACACAAAGACAACACTGGGATATGCCAATGAGCAGCCAACAGCCACAGCCTGGGGAGAAGGAGCAGAGCCTATCAGAATCCAGGTTTTGGTTTTCAGCGTGTCTCATTGCCCCTATGCTGAGAATGCCAGATTCTCATCGTGACTTGGGCCCACATTGGTCCAAAGGTACAGAAGACAGGGCTAGTACAGGAAACTGCCATAGACAGGCCAGGAGACCAGGGGCTGGCACAGGCCCCAGCACTGAACACACAACATTCCCCAGGACCACTAGCACTAGGCAGTGGCTACTTACCAGCCAGTCCACAGGTATTTTAACACTTTAGTAGCCAGATGCACACTGGTTGAATACAAGCCCTGGAGTCTGTCTAATCTATGGGAACAAACTACACCTTATTACATGGAGCAGAGGAAAAACAAACAGGTAGACGGAAGATTACATACGGGTTTCAAATTCACTGGCAACATTTAAAGACAAAAAAGTTTCCGTTTAAAAATTCCAGAGTTGGCCGGGCACTGTGGCTCATGCCTGTAATCCCAGCACTTTGGGAGGCCGAGGCAGGTGGATCACGGGGTCAGGAGTTCAAGACCAGCCCAGCCAACATGGTAAAACCCCGTCACCACTAAAAACACAAAAAATTAGATGGGCGTGGTGGCGGGCACCTGTAATACCAGCTACTTGGGAGGCGGAGGTTGCAGTGGGCCAAGACTGTGCCACTGCACTCCAGCCTGGATGACAGAGTGTGACTCTGTCTCCAAAAAAATAAAAAATAAAATAAAATAAAATTCCAGAGTTGGGGCTGGGCGTGGTGGCTCACGCCTATAATCCCAGCACTTTGGGAGGCCAAGGCAGGTGGATCACCCAAGATCAGGAGTTCGAGACCAGCCTGGCAAACATGTAAAACCCCATCTCTACTAAAAATATAAAAATTAGCTGGGCACGGTGACACAAGCCTGTAATCCTGAAGGAAGAGAAAGACCTCTCATATTATTTTATATTGTTTTATACTCAGTACCTGTTTTAAGAAAAAACAACAAGGAAATAAGACCAAAGACAGGCAGCCCAGCGCCAGGCCCGAAACCAGGCCTGGCCCTGCCTGGCCTAAACCCAGTAGTTAAAAATCAACTCATAATTTAGAAAGTGATGTTATTCATAGATTCCAGACATTGTATAGAAGAACATTGTGAAACTCCCTGCCCTGTTCTGTTTTTCTCTGACCACCAGAGCATGCAGCCCCTGTCACGTACCCCTTGCTTGCTCAAATCAATCACGACCCTTTCATGTGAAATCTTTAGTGTTGTGAGCCCTTAAAAGGGACAGTAATTAAGCATTCGGGGAGCTCGGATTTTAAGGCAGTAGCTTCCTGATGCTCCCAGCTGAATAAAGCCCTTCCTTCTACAACTCGGTGTCTGAGAGGTTTTGTCCGCAGCTAGTCCTGCTACAATCCCAGCTACTTGGGAGGCTGAGGCAGGAGAATTGCTTGAGCCCAGAAGGCGGAGGTTGCAGTGAGCTGAGATCATGCCACTGCACTCCAGCCTGGGTGACAGAGCAAGACTCCATCTCAAAAAAAATTAAAATAAAAATAAATAAAATAAATTCCAGAGTTTGGCATTTATGAAAACTCAGAAGATCTGCCAAAACTAGACCTATATTCCTACCTGGAGCTAAGCAGTTGTGACCCTTCTTATGCCCAGCCACTTAGTGACTAAGGTCACTTGTCTCTCAGCCCTGAAGTCATGTGAGTGTTGACCAAAAAAAGCCAAACTCTATAAAATATTCAGAGAGATTTATTCTGAATCAAATGTGAGTACCATGACCTGTGACACAGCCTTCGGAGGTCCTGAGAACATATGCCTGAGGTAGTTAGGTTATAGCTTGGTTTTACATATTTTATGGAGACAAAGGGCATCAATCAATACTACATATTTTGGCCAGGGTGGGGTGGGGGGAGGCGGTGCTTTCAGGTCAAAGAAGGATTCAAAGATTTCCTGATTGGCAATTGGTTAAAAGAGTTCAGCTTTACCTGAAGTTGAAGTCAACAGGAAAAAAAAAAAAAATGCTTGACTTTAAGATAAGGGAAGTTGTGGAAGCCAAAGTTCTTGTTAGGTAGATTAGATGAGGACTCCCAGTAGCAGGCTTCAGAAAGAATAGATGGTAAATGCCTCTTTTAAGACCTTGAAAGGTGCCAGACTATTAGTTAATCTCTTTAGGACTGGGAAGGACTGCAAGGGGAAAGATCTAGTTATGTTAATAGACATTCTTTATAGATGAAAAGAGCCATTTCAAAATATGGCAAATTTTTTAGGTATATTTTTTAGGTATATTTAGAGACATATTTTAGGGTAAAATATTTCTATTTCCTTCTTTATCTGTCATGTGATGTTATACTAGAGTCAGGCTGGAATTTGGTACAAAGACTATGTTCTATCAGTCTTAAGATCTCTGTTTTAATGTTTGTTTGTTTGCTTGCTTGCTTTTGAGACAGAGTCTCCCTCTGTTGGCCAGGCTGGAATGCAGTGGCACAATCTCGGCTCACTGCAACTTCTTCTACCTTCCAGGTTCAAGCTGTTCTCCTGCCTCAGTCTCCCGAGTAGCTGGGATTACAGGCGCCGCCCACCACCATGCTCAACTAATTTTTGTATTTTCAGTATAGATGGGGTGTCACTATGTTGGCCAGGCCAGTGTCAAACTCCTGACCTCAAGTGATCTGCCTGCCTCAGCCTCTCAAAGTGTTGAGATTACAGGCATGAGCCATCATGCCCAGCCAGATCTCTGTTTTAATGTTAATGCTGGTCAGTTGTATCTAAACTCCAAAAGAGAGAAGGTACAATGAGGCATGCCTGGTCCCCACTTCCTTTCATGACCTGAACTAGTTTTTCAGGTTTCTTTGGAATCCCCTCGGCCATAAGGGGGATCCATTCAGTTGGTTGCAGGGCTTAGAATTTTATTTTTGGTTAACGTGTGTGTGTGTGACCCCCACCGTGGAGTTTTATCTGTCCATACTATCAAGTGGCACTGAAACTAAGAGAGGAGCTCAAGCTGTAGCAAAAATAAATACCCAGAGGAAGACAGGTAATTTTTTGTCCTAATGAATTTGAAAGCTTCATTCTTTGGAGAATTCACTTTTTCCCTATTATGCCAACGAGGCTACCATGGACTAATTTTAACTGAATTTAGCAATACCCCCTAGAACATTAATGCTAGTAGAACTTTTTCAAGGAGTAGTAAAATTCCATGCCATTTGCTCCCTTCTTTTAATTAACATAGGTAATAGATCTGTAGTCAGTTTCACTTCTTCTGAAACCATAACTGATAAATATTAAATATCAACCCTACCAGAATCCAGATTTGCCTTCCCTCTCCCAAAAATGTTTATCTGTTCAAAGAATTACATGATAGCAATTCTTCGATTTAGTACTCACAAAACTAGTAAGGACTTAATTATAACATTAAACTCTTAAGTAGACATGAAATCACAATAATATAAACAGATCCCATATTTATTAGATAAGCCAAAATCAAATTTAAAAGCTGAAATGTCACAGATTACAGGTGCCTGCCTGGCATTTGCACTGTGCCCTCATTTGCTTTCAACAGAAATAATGTACCATCATGTTCCTTCTTTTCCTGTAGATCCTCCTCCACACTCCACTGCCCCTGACACATACAGATTTGGGGTGCTTGATCTCTGTCGTCCTTTGTGGTACTCGAAATGAAGATTACTCATTTGTCCTCTGGGCCCATTGTCCTAGTGAGCTCAGAAATGGCTTCAAGATATTTAATGCAAAGCTGATGTGTGCCAGCTTTACTTTTGGATGTAGGTTTGGAATATACTGAGAGTTCTGACCCCTTCATAAGTGTGAAATGTTTAGTGTGAGGAACCTTCATCTCTATGGTAGGTAAGGTAGTCATAGAGGCAGCAGACAGCCAAATCCCCTAGGATTAGGGAAGGGTACCCGGAGAATCTCCAACCTGCCCCACAAGGGTTTACACCAGATGTTTTGTGCAGAAAAGAGAACCTGCCCAGGGGGCTTGCCTGGGCATGCCCACAGTGGACTGGAGGCCCACATGCACTGGGGGAATGGGGTGGAGCCACCAGGAATTTGTGCCTTATGCAGGGGAGGAGCCTGGCCTCTTCAACTCCTGCATGGTGGCTCTGGTATTCAGTTTGTGAGGTGGAAACCTGCTTACAGGGACCCTCTGTTTGCTGAGAGCATTCCTTTTGCTTAATACATTCTGTGCTCTGATTCCTCAAGGATCTAGAACCAGAAATACCATTTGACCCAGCAATCACATTACTGGGCATATTCTCAAAGGATTATAAATCATTCTACTATAAAGACACATGCACACGTATGTTTACTGCAGCACTATTTACAATAGCAAAGACTTGGAGCCAGCCCAAATGCCTATCATTGATAGACTGAATAAAGAAAATGTGGCACATATACACCATGGAATACTATGCAGCCATAAAAAAGAATGAGATCATGTCCTTTGCAGGGACATGGATGAAGCTGGAAGCCATCATTCTCAGCAAACTAACAGGATCAGAAAACCAAACACCACATGTTCTCATTTATAAGTGGGAGCTGAACAATGAGAACACATGGAAACCAAGGAGGAGAACAACACACACCAGGGCCTGTTGGAGGGTGGGGGGCAAGGGAAAAGGGAGCATTAGGACAAATACCTAATGCATGTGGGGCTTAAAACCTAGATGATGGGTTGATAGGTGCAGCAAACCACCATGGCGCATGTACACCTATGTAACAAACCTGCACATTCGGTACATGTATCCCGGAACTTAAAATACAAAATAAGTAAAATAAATAAATTGTACCCTCCTCACCCTTCAATGTGTCTACATGCCTAATTTTTCCTGGTCATGAGACAAAAACCCAGATTTAGCTGAACTAAGGAGCAAAAATCCTGCATCAGTATGTCTAGCCTATATTGTAGTGCAATGATTCCTAAACATGTGAAGCTGGCTGCATAGGGAGCCCTGGAAAAGCTTGCTGGAAAAGAACCTCCAAATAAACACAGGGATTCTTATTCTGCGGTTCAGTTATGGGGCTCAAGAGTCCATATTGTGAGGCCAGGCACAGTGGCTCACACCTGAAATCTCAGCGTTTTTGGAAGCCAAGGTGGGAGGACCACTTGAGACCAGGAGTTCGAGACCAGCCTGGGCAATAGTGAGACTCCGTTCCTACAACAATTTCAAAAATTAGCCAGGCATGGGGGTGCATACCTGTAGTTCCAGCTACTCATGAGACCAAGGTGGGAGGATCACTTGAGACCAGAAGGCAAAGGCTGCAGTGAGCTATGATCATGTCATTGCACTCCAGCCTGAGCAACAACAGAGCAAGACCCTGTCTCTAAAAAAAGTAATATTTTTAAAAATAAAAAATCAAATATTATAATTTATTAAGATCAAATAAAGTAACACAATCCTGATTTTAGCTGGACTCCTGGCTACCCAGAATACAGACTGAATATTCCAGTCTTCCTTGAAGCAATAGGTATTCTCATAACTAAGTTCTGATCAATGAAAATGAAATGGAAGTAGAAGTATCATGTGGCTGCTTAAGACACCACCTTCGAAGCCAGCTCATACTGGCCCTTCCCCTCGCCCTACTGTTCATCACTCACCCCTTCAGGCTAGCTGAGGATGTGATGGCCAGGGCTGGGGAAGGTATGTTGAACCTTCATTGCCACATTAGGAAGACAGAGAAGGCAAAGAAGGAACCTGTGTACTCCTTTTCCTTTAAAGGAAAAATAAATTCTACTTGCTTACACCATTCTTATTTTGTGTTTTCCATCTTGGGCTGGATCAAATCCTAACTAAAGACCTAAGTTTTTATACCAATAATTTCTATCAAGACGTTAGAAAATGTTTTCTTATTGAATTTTCTTGCTCTCCAAAAAGAAAACTTAATTTTTTCTTGCTTCTGCAGATGTACAAATTATTCAAGATGGCAACACATAACAATTTGATCAGCAAAGTCTATGAATAAATTTTTTATCAGTTCTCTAATGTTAGTAGGTTGGAGAAAAGCAAGAACAGAGAGTGATCTCCTTTCCCTTACTTTCCCCATTTATTTCCTCTTGTAACTCAAAATTGATGGTATCAAGTTTTAAGGGTCTGTTATATTATTTCGTGCCATGGTTATCTTTCCCCTCTCCCTTAATCCTAAAAGATACTGATAAGACATGAGTTTCAGAGAATCCACATAGAATCTGTACATAAAGATACATGGTAGGATCAAAGAAAAGCTATTCCAGGAGTCAGAAATCCTGCATGTTTATCCCAGCACTATTGCAGATAACTTAGATGGCCTTGTTATGACAGTCATGTACCCTTAGAGCCCAGTTTCCTTAGCTGCAAACTAAAGGATTAAATTAGATCTTCAGGTGCCCTCCTAACTCTACTATTCTATGGCCCTAAAACGATACCTCTTAAAATGTCTGAAAGTACTCCAAATTAATACTTGCAATACCAACCAAGCTTATTTCAATTGAGCACGTCTATTTTCAAGGATAAGATACTATTTTATACCATTGCATCCTAAGAATACTTCTCCATTGCTATAGTACTAAACTGATATTGATTATTACCAGTAAGAACAAAACTTGGGGGAAAATTAAGGACCATAAAGTCTTTGAAAGGAATTTACTGGATATTGAATGTTTTAGAACAAGTTTCAAAATCTTAAATTGATAAACAGAGAGCAACAACTTGATGAAGAAGTGCTGTTCTCTTTCAGTGTGCAAACCCTGTAAGATAAAAGTTGTTAAATACAATTTAATTCACTCTGGAGTACAGTTAAATAGATATGATGGATGGCAGGTTAACTTGATCTTTCTCATCGGTTAAATTATGATAGATGAGGGATGTTCACGCTGAATTTCCAGGCAGAGTCTGTGTTTGAACTCCCTGTCTTTATCAAGAGCTTCCAATCAACAACTGTTCTAAATCCATCTCCATCAGATCAATGTGACACTCTGCAATTATGATAAAGGGGAAGGCCAGAAACCTTACAGAATAAGTCCCTCGGTATTGTGTGTGATGTGAAGTGCAATCAACATGTCAGGGAAACAAAACTGTCTCAACAAATCTGCAGTATTTTGGACTTCGAAGTGAGCTTTTTAATCACCCCTCTCCTCAGTGAAGGAAAAATGTTTCTGGATCCATAATTACTTGTCTTTAGGGAAAGAATTTACTATGAGGCACTGGTATAGAAATTTCATACTTCATGTTTCTGAGCAATACAATCACAGATAAATGACTTTTAATTACCTATTCTAAATTCGAATGAAGAGTGATACAGACCAGCTACACTGTGGATAATCCAAGAATAATCATTTGGCCTTTAGGTAACAATACAGGTGTTTGTTGAGTGCTAAGTGTATTCAGTGCATTTATGTTTCTAATTATGTGTGCTTTAAGGTAATATGGACACTTCTCTGCTACCTCATGAAAACACTAATTCATAACTTGAGGAGGAACCATAGGAACTCTAAAAGTAAAGGAAGACATCCTTAGGGGTAACATAGAAATGACTGGCCATTAAATATTCAAACAGTGTCAGACAACAATTTATGCACCAAATTTCTAAATAAATAAGCATCCAGTACGTAACAGAGAAAAAGTGAACATGACATAGCTCATTTTCAGCATCAATCATCCTATGGTGACACCCTCTAAAGAATCTAGAATTAAAGATTTGTTAAAGTTATCATGCATTTTAGTATGTTTAGAGGCCACTTTCATTTACAAGGGTCCATTTTGGCCCTTGTAAAACTGGTTTTATTACTTAAGTGCCAAATGTTAATCATTACAGAACCCAAGGACAGTGTTACAGTGAGGCTCTAGGTGTAACAGATTCAGAGCCAACGCAGATTTTTTTTCCATAAATATTTGATACTTGAAAAGTATTTCATATAAGCCTGAAAGTACATGTAGAGTATATTTTTCAATCATGAATACACTAGAGACAACTTCAACACGGAATGTATAAAAGCTTTAATTCATTATTTTATCATTAAGATAAAAATGAGACTAAGATTTAAATTTATGTTGGCTTTAGATGGTTCTATATGATTAGTTTTTTTTAATCCTTCAAGTTAAAAGTATCCTAAAAAATAGAAGTAACTGAGGATAATAACTGAAGTAATAAATTCAACTGTGTGCTTTGAAATGATAAGGACAAAATACCTACCAGTGGCTCCAGAACTGACAATATGGCAAGTAAAACTAAGAGCCCCAAGGCCATTTTTAATTGCTCTACTTAAATGAATGTTACCATTTCCATTTGACATCAACTCTACCTTGACTATATTCTTCTAAGTCTTTTGTACTGTTTTTTTTTCAGCCTTATTATAAAATAAATGCTATTTTAAATACAATGGAAGTTCTGTCTGTAGCAGAAAATTAAAAGAGCCAGGAAGAGATAATATAACACTCAAAGACCAGCCTAAGGCATGATTGTATAATCTATCTTGAGAAGATCATCTATTTCACTACCCAGAGGGGGTTCCACAAACCCTGAATCAGGGTCACACAACACCTGTGCCAAATCCTTGGGGAAAATAAAGTTAAGCCATAAGTGAGGACCATTTATTTATTACCTTGATGTACAACAAAGGCCAAGCCATTCCATTCAGGAACACCTCCCATAAAAAGTTGGAGGGGGCCAGTGTGGGCTCACATCTATAATCCCAGCATTTTGAGAGGCTGAGGCAGGAGGACATTTGAGCCCACGAGTTTGAGACCAGCCTGGGTAACAAAGCTAGATCCTGTCTCTACAAAAAATTTAAAAATTAGCCCAGTGTGGTGGTGCACAACTGTGGGCCCAGCTACTCAGGAGGCTGAGGCAGGAGGATTGCTTGAGGCCAGGAATTCAAGACTGCAGTGGGCCTGTACTCTAGCCTTGACAATAGAGAGAAACTGCATCTCAAAAAAAAAAAAAAAAGGTTGGAGGAAAATTAATTTTCAAAAAAAAGTAATAGCTAGATTCTTGATGATCCTTCATTTTAATTATAAAACTACATTTACATTGAGGTAGAGTTTACAAATAGTCTAGGACACAGATTAATTATTTCTGTTCCTAACAATTATAATAGAGAAATGCTGCTGATAGAGGCAGGAGGCAGACAAATGCCTAGGCAGATAGGGAAGGGTCCCTGGTGAAACCTCACCTTCAAGCCTAAAACAGCCTGAAGGCTGAAGACCGGACTGCTGGTCTCAGATGAAACCCAAGACCCAAAGGGAGAACATCTGCCCCAGTTTGCCTGCCCTTTCCTAATTGATTCTTTCTGAATAATGCCTTTTAACCAATGGAATGTTGTCTTTTCCAATACTACCTATGGCTTGCCTGGGCATGCCCACATGTGCCCTGAGGGAACTGGGCGGAGCCATCAGGAATTTGCGCCTTATGCAGGGAGGAGCGTAGCCTCTTCAGCTCCTGTATGGTGGCCCTGGTATTCAATTTGTGAGGTGGAAACCTTCTTGCAGGACCCTTTTCTTTGCTGAGAGCTTTCCTTTAGAGGTTAATAAATTCCACCCTCCTCACCCTTCAATGTGTCCATGTGCTTAATTCTTTCTGGTCATGAGATAAGAACCCAGATTTAGCTGAACTAAGGAGTCAAAATCCTGCATCACTGCTATTTTGGATTTTAAATCATTATACAAAACCAGAATTAAACATACTGAAATACTGTTAAGTATGAATCAGAAGTCACATTATTAAATAACAAATATCTGAACCTTACTTATAATTTCCTATTACAGCACAAAAATAAGTAAAACTTGAAGAACTTGGGGAAGCCTTCAAAGAATAGGCCAGAGACCAGAGACAAGAAGATTTGGGTCCGAATCCCAAATTTGTAATTCATACTTACTGATTCTGTGACCTTGAGCAAATTACCTTAAACTGTGATGCCCTTGATTTTAGTGCCTGTAACAGAAATGATTATAAAACCACAGTTCTATTTTGGGGATTACATGAGATAACATTTGTAAAGCACCTGGCCTAGTGCCTGGCACACAGGAGATGATCCCAAGTAATAGATGTTTTTCAAACACTTAACATAATTCTTTGGGATTAAATTTCTCACATTTGGACTTGCTGCAAAATTGCACACGTTTAATACAGCACACAGGAAAACCTATTTATCCATTCTCAAGTTATTCCAGAAATAAAAGCCAAACACATATTCACTTTCCCACATCCAAATTTGGGAGAAATGATAATTTGGCTGTTTATTTCAACTTTTATGTCTGCAAAACAGCTTTCCAACATAAATCCAAATTTGACATGCCATTGGCTTGCCACAAAAAAATCAGTTACTTGGCTGTCTCTCAAAAGATTTTACTAAATACAGCTGTGAAACTTCATGACAAAAAAAAGTGGGAATGCACAACTAAGCAAAAATTTATCTGAGTATATACACTTAAAATCATTAATGATTAGTACTACAGACATATTTTCCTTATAAGCCAAAATAATTCAATGAAGAAATAAAGCAGCCTTTCAAGGTTAAAGGCATCTGCTTGATGAGAAAATAAACTGAAAATATAATGCATGTGTACACAAAAAACTGACCTTTTCTCCTAAGGATCTTGGCAGAGGTGATCCTTAGATCACAAAATTAGAGGTGAAAGAAGCTGGTCTCATGGGTTACTCAGTCATGGACCCTCCATTCAAGAGCCCCTTCTTACAATATCCCTGTTAGTCACCCAGCCTCTACTTAAATAATGTTGGTGACAGGGAAGTCATTACTTTTCAAGTCACCCGTTCCATTATTTCACAGCTCTAATTGACAGGAAGAACTTCATTAAAAATAAAACCACCAAGAAACTTCAAAGAACAACAAAACTATTGAAGTTTGTCTTACCACTGAATTATATAAAATTAGTTAACTAAAAAGCCCAGGTCTTTTTCTATGAACTGCTGTCAAGGCTGATATCCTCTATTTTTCACTTACGCACTTTCTCTGACTTTGATCTATTATTCCACGGAATATAACAATAGTTCACTGATTTGCAAAATAATAACAGAGTTGCATTAAAAAGTCATGAAATCTTAAGTTGAATAAATAGAAAAGCAGTATCAAGTTCAAAGGAACTGATACCCTCAATGTACCCAAAATAGGGAAGTCACATTACAGTCCAGTTTGGAACACCATTCTGCAATAAGGCACAATGGTACATCAACAGACTTCCAAAGAATGGTCATTCTCACTCTTGAGAGATTGAGAGATGGCAAAATATGAGGCTCAACTGAGGAACTAAGCATATTTAGTTTGGTTAGTAGTTGAGAAGGGAGGTAAAGATACACCACTCATTTATTCATAAACCTCTACTGAAGAACTTCTGGGTACCAGAAGTGTGCAAGTAAAAGATTAGTAATCCTTCTATGAGAGCTTAAAAAATTAAATATAAAATGATATTATTAACAACGCACAGGATAGGAGAATGTATTTGTAAATCATATTATCTGATAAGCGACTTTTAACCAGAATCTATAAAGAAATCTTAAAACTCAACAAGAAATGACCCAATTAAAAATGAGCAAAGGATCTGAAAAGATCTGAAAACGTTTTTGAAAGAAGATATGTAAATGACCACCATGAACAAAAAAAGATGCTCATCATTAGTCGTTAGAGAAATGTAACTCAAATCCACAAGTACCACAGAAGCAGATTATTTCCCTGACCCCTTCACAGGCGGGAAATGGAGTGCACTCGTGCTGGTGCTGGCAGGGGCGAATTCTACTCACTGACTGCTCCAAACCTCACAGGAGGGGGAGTGCATGTGAACAGGTGCAGGAGCTGGGGCGAGCGCTTTTGGGGAGGAGCAAGAGCGAACTCTGTACTGGCCCTGCAGCAGGGTTTAGGGTACAGTGCCCGTGATCCGAAGCCCCAGAGGAAGTGCAACAGTGCCCTTTTAGCTTTGCTGTCTGTGGATGGCTTAAGTGTTAACAGCTCAGTGGACGGTCAGTGTGACAACCGTTTGCACCCACACTTGTGGCACCCAAGTTCTTCTCTGGCGTCCAGAAGGAATGAGGTCACACGAACGAACTGAAGACAGTAAATGCAAGGGATTTTATTCCTGGTGAAAGTGGCTCTCAGCGCGAAGGGGAGATGAAAAAGGGACAGGGCAGGAAGGTAATGTTCCCTTGGAGTCCAGCCGTCCTGGCCAGAATCCTCTCCAAAGCAACATCATCAAACTGTCCCTCCGAGGTTAAGCTGCTTCTTTCCGACATCCAACCATAGTCTCCGATGTCCAGCTGCTTCTCCCCTCTGCTGGCAGAGCTCTGGGGTTTTTATAGGCACAGGATGGGGGTTGGGGGCAGGGCCATGGGTGGTTTTGGAAAAGGCAACATTGGAGCAGAAAACAGGAGCATAAGTTCTCACTTTGGGCTGCAGTTCCAGGCTCTTTGGCTTGAGGATAGGGACTTCACCAGGGACCCGTCCTTTTCTGCCCAGAATTTCCCTGCCTCCTGTCCCTATCACCACCTCATACCCATTGGGGTGGCTAGAACAAAAAATATGGACAATAACAAGCACTGGCAAAAATATGGAGAACTGGGAATGCTCATCTGTTAAGTCAGTGAACTGTACAATGTGTGGATTATATCTCAAAAAAGTTGCCTTACAAAAGGACCCCCCAAAAATGATACTCTGTACAATTTCAGTAGGGAGACCCAAATATCAACACTTAGAAGAATGAGAAAATGAGATTTAGGGACAGGATAAATATGACAGTCCATCATTTAGATGTCCATCATTTAGATGTGGTGAATAACCAGAATGAACTGTGTCACTACTGAAGACCCTTTGTCTCTGCCAATTCAGGAGAAAGTTGAATAAGTTTCTGAACTAGCTGCCATAGATGGAATGCAAATAAACCATTTGCATCTGTTGAGTCCTAGGGTCAAATACAATTAGAAAATACTACCCGTTTATGTAACTGGTATGTGTATAAAGACAAAGAGCCTGAACATTGTAATACAACACTTATTTTTCAATAAAGGGAACAGCACTACTATAAGAGTAATTAGTTTAAAACTAACATTATGAGTCAGAGTCCCACTGCCCTACACATTTTAAAGTTTATTTTGAATATATGAATATACGAGGAACAGCCACCAAATCTTTAATACTACTTTCTTAATCTCTGCTAATCGCTCTGCTACAGCCTTCCTGCTAAATGTATTCCAGTGTATGTCCTCTGACCACTGGGAATTGTATCCATTTTATGTACCCATATTGGGGTTAAAACAATAATAACAGGTTCACAGCTAGATTCTGAAAAAATCTTTTCAGGCAAGGTCAAGTAATCGATCTTACAGAAAACCAATGTTGTAGGGATAATGCCGGGTACCAGCAACCTACAGGTGTGCTAATGGTTTAAATGAATCCGCCTTCTTTTTAAGACAGTTACTACTTGTCAAGAGCCATATTTTCTTGTAGGTTTGGTCTAGGTTAAATCAGGTTTTACTAGGTCCATGTTGCTGTAAATTTTTTATTTTTAAATGAGAAGTGAGGAAAAAATGGTTAAAGTCACACTTTTTCAACAACAGAAACGATCATGATTGTCTTTGTGTAACAGATGAAAAAGAAAACACATAAGAAGAAAGAAGCTTTATAAATATCACATCAGTGTATACAAGAATTTTGAGAAAAAATTAGAAAAGTGTTACTACTTTCCATTCAACAAATGTACTAAGTGACAACTATATGCAAGACACGACACCTGACCCTTGAGAATCACACTTTTTCTCCTCCAGGAGTTTACACCTCACATTAAAAAAAAAAAGGAAATTACTAGGGAGTACATAGAAGATATGTGAGTTAAGTTTCCAGAAATGGTAAATCATTAGGAATTCAGAGCAGGTCACTTTTAGAGGGTGTTGGGAGCAGGGCCTGGAGGCACAGAACACTAATTTCAATTTCAATCACTGAAAGATATTTGTAAGGAAGCTTCAGAAGCAGAACTTGTAACAAGGAAAAGAGTGCAAGTTGCTTATGAGGGAAATGCAGGGAGTATAGGAAGGCGAGGAGGTAACACAGGAGGAAAAGGCAGACAAAAAGGGTGCTCTCCCAGCCCGCGCCCCCAGGGGACAGGGTCTCAGAATCCCGAAGGGAAACGCTGGAAGTGGCGCAAGGAACATGCCTCAAAATCATGCCTCCTGAGGAATAACAGCAACAGGAGAGCCACTGGTTGAGAGCTTCTCCCAGAGAATGTGAATTCCAGCCTACAAGCTGGTGGGCAGAGGAAACTTACACGGTTCTAGCACGAAAATTCACCCTGGAACATGGAAAGATGCAGAGCACAGAGGGCAGGGGTGGGCACTGACAGTCAGTGGAGGTCTCATTCTTAGACACTGCCAAATCTCTCTCCATGGAGTGGGACCCTCGGGCACTCACACCAGCCAGGTACTTAAGGGCTCTTTTTGCCCTTGTCTTTACCAAGAGAATTCACCAAGATTTTAAATGTTTTCTGATCTATTAGGTTAATGGTATCTACTGACTCCATGTTAGAAAAAGCTTGCTTGCTTGAATGTAATTATTATTTTGCATGAGTTTGTAGATTATTCATCTAATACAGCCTCAGGAAAACAGGATGTTCAAGAAAGATAAAAGAAAATACCAGCAGCGCTGGGAATGGGCTGACCAGCCTGTTAATAGCCTGTAGGAGGCCACAAGACTTTCACCAAGAAAAAGCAATGATTAACAGCCACCTGATACTATGCATGTTCACAAGAATGCTCTGATCATCATTTCCCCTATTTCCCTTAAAAACTCCTGATCTAGATTCACAACTTAGAAAGGCGGTCTTCAAACGCTAGTTCACTGACTTCCTGGAGTTGCTGGCTTCTTGGAAAAAAAAACTAACTTTCCATTCACCAAAACTTGTCTCTTGAGTTTTTGGTTTTCAAGTGGCTCAGACCTGAGTTTAGTTACATAGTGCCATTCTAATTTGCATTTCTCCTATTATAAGTGAACTTGAACACCTTCTCATAGGTCTAAAAGCCATTTGCGTACCGATTTACATGAGCTCTCTGTCCCTGTTTTATCCCTTTGTCTCTTAAGTTTCTCCTGTGTTCTCTGATTTTTAAGAATCCTTTAATATTAGGTAGATTATCCCTTTATATATGATGTGTTGTAAACATTTATTCCCAGTTTATGATTTGTCTTTTGGTTTTGCTTATGGTAGTTTTCTTCATACATAAAAACTTTTTCTTGAAAGTTTTTATGTTGCCACTGGCAAACCTGTCAATCTTTTCTTTTATTTCATCTTGGTTTTGAGTTATAGAAAGGCTTTCTTTATATCCAATTTATAAGTGAATTTACCCACATTTTATTTTAGTATTTATCTGGCTTCACTTTTTTTCTTGATTTTTCTTTTCTTTTTTTCTACAATTAGATGTCTGACCCATCTGGATTTTATGATGGTGTACGGTGTACAGTATGTCTCCTACTTCATATTTACCAAATGATTATCTAGGTGTTCCAACACAACTTATTAAAAGTCTAACTTTTCAAATAAAAAGAAATGGGCCATCAAGCCACCAAAAAACACAGAGGAACCTTAAATGCTTATTGCTCAGTGAAAGAAGCCAATCTGAAAAGACTATACACTGTATGATTCCAACAATATGACATTCTGGAAAAGCCAAAACTATGGAGACAGAAAGCAGATTAGTGGTTGCCAGAGATTAGTGGGACAAAAGGGTGAATAAGCAGAGCACAGAAGATTTTTAGAGCAGTAAAACTTGTTTTATGTATGATACTGTAATGCTAGACACATGTCCTTACATACTTGTCAAACCCCATAGCATATACAATACAAACAGTGAATCCTAATGTAAACTATGAACCTTCATTAACAGTAATCTCTCAATATTGCCTATGCAATTACAACAAATACACTACACAAATTCAAGATTTTAAGAACAAAGGAAAACTGGTGGGGAGAAGGAATATATAGGAACTCTATACATTTCATTTGATTATTTCTGTAAACTTGAAACTTCTTAAAAAATAAAATCAAACTAAAACAATGTAGTACTGGCATAAACACAGACAGAGTAATGAAACAGAATAGAGAGCCCAGAAGTAAACCCTGGCATATATGATTGAGTAATTTCTGACATGTGTGTCAAAAACATTCAGTGGTAAAAGAACAGTCTTTTCAACAAACGGTACTGAATAAACTGGATATCCACGTGCAAAAATAATGAATTTTCACTCTTGCCTTATATCATAATCAAAAATTAACTCAAAATGTATCAAAGACCCAAATGAAAGAGGTGAAACTGTATCACTCATCATGACATTGGATTTGGCATTGATTTCTTGGCTATGACACTAAAATCACTGGTAACAACAATAAAAATAGATAAAATGGATTACATCAAAATATAAAAATTATTTGTATCAAAAGTCACAATCAACAAAGTGAAAAGGCAACCCATAGAATGAGAGAAAATACTTACAAATCATGTATCTAATAAAGAGTTAATATACAGAACATATGAAGAAGTCCTAAAAATCAACAATAACAAAAAATCCAATTATAAAATAGCCAAAGGACTTGAATAGACATTCCTCCAAAGAAGATATACAAATGGCCAAAAAGAATATAAAAAGATGCCAAACATCATTAATCATTAGGGAAACGCAAATCAAAACCCAATCAGATATCACCTCATGCCCACTGGAATAGCTAATATCAAAAAAAAAAAAAGAAAATAATAAGTGTTGATGATGATGTGGAGAAACCGGAACCCTTTCACACTATTGGTGAGAATGTAAAATATTATAGTCTCTGTGGTAAAGAGTATGGAAGTCCCTCAAAAAGTTTAAAATAGAATTACCCTATGATCCTGCATTCCATTTGAGTATATATCAAAAAGAATTCAAAGCATGGTCCTGAGAAATCTGTATACCCATGTTCATTGCAGAATCATTCATCACAGCCAAAAAGTAGAAGCAACCCAAGAGTCTACTGATAAATAAATGGACAGACAAAATGTGGTACATACACATACAATGGAACATTATTCATCCTTACAAAGGAAGGAAATTCTGACATGCCACATGCATGAACCTTAAGGACATTACCCTAAGTGAAATAAGCCAGTCACAAAAAGATAAATATTGTATGATTCTCCTTATATGGGATACCTAGAGTAGTCAAAATGAGAGGCACAAAGTAGAATGATAGTTTCCGGTGGCTGGGGGATGGGGAGGTGCTGGGAGTTAGTTAATGGGTACAGAATCAGGTTAGCAAGGTGAAAAGAGTTCTGGAGAATGGTTGCACAACAATATGACAAAACACTAGTGAACTGTATACCTTAAAAAATAGTTCAGATGGCAAATTTTATGTAGTATGGATTTTACCACAATCAAACATAGTCTATTAATTTTTTTAAGTCTATCATTTCCCACTGATTTGAGAAGCCACTTTTATTACAGTGAATTTCCATGTGTTCTTGGGTCTATGTCCTGATTTTTTTTCTCTGATGACCAATTCGTATGCCAGCACCCACTATTTCATTACAGAGGCTCTAGAGTGTGCATATTGGAAAAAGCAATTTCCCCATTACTCTTCTACTGTCAGGTCTTCCTATTTTTGTACGTTTATTTTATATGTGGATATTAGAATCAAATCATCAAGCTCAAAGTAAAACTTTGTCACTTTTATTAGTATTGAATTAAATTTATTAATTTGAAGATAGCTGATATTTTTATGATAATGAGTTGTCCTATCAAAGAACAAATTATAACTATCCATTTGTTCAAGTCTACTTGTGGGCCCTCCAGGAGAAGTTTAAGGGTTTCCTTAATTTTTTAAGAGACGGGGTCTTGCTATCTCACCCAGGTAGACTCAAACTCTTGCGATCAAGAGATCCTCCTACCTCAGTCTAACGAGTAGTTTGGGACTACAGATACACACCACTACACCTGGCTTTTGACTTTTGTATGTTAATTTTATATTCTGCTATCTTATTTGAATTATTTTACTGTGTTTGTTTTCTCATTGATTGTTTGGATTTTCTAGTATCATCTGTAAAGAGGTAGTTTCACCTTCTTATGTGTAATTCTTAAGCCTCTATTTTTCCTTGTTTGATTTCATTGGCTATTATCTCCAATGTAATATTAAACAGCAATGAACACAGTGGGATCCTTGCCTTGTTTGGAAACTTAATAGGAATGCCTCTCTTATTTAACCACTAAGTATTATGCTGACCTTATCTGTAGTCTAAATGTTTTATCTACACCTAATGAATTGTTTAACAATTACTATTTTATTAAGTGTGTTTTTTATTTTTTATTTTTTTTGTATTCTAAATTTAATAGTTTTTTGGGAACAGGTGGTGTTTAGTTACATGGGTAAGTTCTTCAGCGGTGATTTCTGAGATTTTGGTGCACTTGTCACCTGAGCAGTGTACACTGTACCCAATATGTCATCTTTTATCACCCACACCCTCCCAGCCATCCCTCCACGTCCCCAAAGTCCATTATATCACTCTCATGCCTTTGCATCCTGATAGCTCCTACTTACAAGTTAGAATATACAGTATTTGATTTTCCATTCCTGAGTTACTTCACTTAGAATAATGGCTGCCAACTCCAAATTGCTGCAAAGGCCATTATTTCATTCCATTTTATGGCTGAGTTGTATTCCCAGTGTATACATAGCACATTTTCTTTATCCACTCATTGGCTGATGGGCATTTATATTGGTTCTGTATTTTTACAATCGCAAATTATGCTGCTATAAACATGCATGTGCAAGTGTCTTTTCATATAATGACTTCTTTTCCATTAGGTAAATACCCAGTAGTGGGATTGCCGGATCAAATGGTAGATCTACTTTTAGTTCTTTAGAGAATCTCCATACTATTTTCCATAGTGGTTGTACTAGTTTACATTCCCACAAGCAGCATAAAAGAATTCCCTTTTCATCACAACCATACCAACATCTATTATTTTTTAATTTTTTAAATTATGGCCATTCTTATATCTCATTATGGTTTTAATTTGCATTTCTCTGATAAGTAGTGAGGTTGAGCATTTTTTCATATGTTTGTTCGTTGTTTGTATATCTTCTTTTAAGAATCATCTATTCTTGTCCTTTGCCCAGTTTTTGATGGAATTATTTCTTTCTGGCTGATTTGTTGGAGTTCCTTGTAGATTCTGGATATTAGTCCTTTGTCAGATGCACAGTTTGCAAATATTTTCTCCCATTCTGTGGGTTGTCTGTTTACTCTGCTAATTATTTCTCTTGCTGTGCCGAAGCTTTTTAGTTTAATTAGGTCCCATTTGTTTATTTTTGTTTTTGTTGCATTTGCTTTTGAGTTGTTAGTCACAAATTCTTGGCTGAAGCCAACGTCTAGAAGAGTTTTTCTGTTGTTATTTTCCAGAATGCTTATGGTTTCAGGTCTTAGATTTAAGTCTTTGATACATGTTGAGTTGATTTTTAAATAAGGTGAAAGATGAGGATCCACTTTCATTCTTCTACATGTGGCTTACCAGTTATCCCAGCACCATTTATTGAATAGGGTGTCCTTCCCCCACTTTATGTATTTATATGCTTTGTCTAAGCTCAGTTGGCTGTATTTGGCTTTATTTCTGAGTTCTCTATTATGTTTCATTGTTCTATGTGTCTATTTTTATACCAGTACCATGCCGTTTTGGTAACTAGAGACTTGTAGTATAATTTGAAGCATGGTAATGTGATGCCTCCAGATTTGTTCTTTTTGCTTAGTATTGCTTGGGCTATTCAGGCTTTTTTTTTGGTTCCATATGAATTTAAATTTTTTTTTTCTAACTTCTGTGAAGAATGATGATGGTATTGAAGCAGGATATTTCCCTGACCCCTTCATGAGACTCTCAACAGGGGTGCCTTGTTTACTTAGCCCGCCACTCTCAACTCCTCAAGGGAGGGAGCACAAGCAAACAGGTGCGGGAACTGGAGTCAACAAGCACTGGAAAGGGCTAGCCACTTCAGTGACAGCGGGATCAAACTCCACTCACTCAAGACTTGCTGTGTTCCACTCCTTGCAGGAGGGAGCACACAGGTGAGTGGGTGCTGGAACCAGCTAGATGCTTTAGCACAGGCAGGGGCAAACTCCATGAAGCCCCACAGCAGCATCCAGGCAGGATTGCCTGCCACTCCTGAAGCCCCAGAGGCTTCAGTGCTCTTTTAACGCTGCTGTCCACAGATGACTTAAGTGTTAACAGCTCAGTGGGCCCTTTGCCTTTTCGCATGAGGCAGCTGCCCTCTGCCAGTGAAGGCAATGAACTAGTGTGACTGCCTTTTGTATCTACACTAATGGATCCCGAGCTTTTGTCCAGTGTCCAAGAAAAATGAGATCACATGAATGAACTGAAGCATGGTAACTGTGGGCGATTTTACTGCTGATCAAAGTGGCTCTCCGCAGGAAGGGGAGACAAAAAGGGGATGGGGCAGGTAGGTAATCTTTCCCTCAAGTCCAGCCGTCTCTGATCTGATTCTTCTTCGAAGTTACACCATCAAGCTGTCCCTCTGAAGTCAAGCTGCTTCTCTCCAACATCCAGCCGTAGTCCCATCTACCAGCTGAGTCTGGGGTTTTTACGGGCAGAGGATGGGGTGGGGTGGGGCCATGGGTGTTTTAGGAAAAGGCAACATTCAAGCAGGAAAATAGGGATGTAAGTCCTCACAGTTTCAGGTTTTTCAACTTGAGAGTGGGGTTTTCACCAGAAACCCCATCCCTTTTCTGCCTAGAATTTCTTTGCTCCCATCCCTATCCAGTCTATCACTGATGGGCATTTGGGTTGGTTCCAAGTCTTTGCTATTGTGAACAGTGCTGCAATAAACATATGTGTGCATGTGTCTTTATAGTAGAATGATTTATAATCCTTTGGGTATATACCCAGTGATGGGATTGCTGGGTCAAATGGTTTTCTAGTTTCTAGGAATTGCCACACTGTCTTCCACAATGGGGGAACTAATTTACACTCCATCAACAGTGTAAAAGCATTCCTATGTCTCCACATTCTCTCCAGCATCTGTTATTTCCTGACTTTTTAATGATTGCCATTCTAACTGGTATGAGATGGTATCTCATTGTGGTTTTGATTTGCATTTCTCTAATGACCACTGATGATGAGCTTTTTTCATGTTTATTGGTTGCATCAATATCTTCTATTGAGAAGTGTCTGTTCAAATCTTTTTCCCACTTTTTGATGGGGCTGTTTTGTTCTTATAAATAAGTTTAAGTACTTTGCAGATTCTAGATATTAGCCCTTTGTCAGATGGATAGATTGCAAAAATTTTCTCGCATTCTGGAGGTTGCATGTTCACTCTGATAGTTTCTTTTGTTGTGCAGAAGCTCTTTAGTTTAATTAGATCCCATTTGTCAATGGTGGCTTTTGTTGCCATTGCTTTTGGTGTTTTACTCATGAAGTCTCTGCCCATGCCTCTGTCCTGAATGGTACTGCCTAGGTTTTCCTCTAGGGTTTTTATGGTTTTAGGTCTTAGGTTTAAGTCTTTAATCCATCTTGAGTTAATTTTTGTAAAAGGTTTTCTACATATGGCTAGCCAGTTTTCCCAACACCATTTATTAAATAGGGAATCTTTTCCCCATTGCTTCTTTTTCTTGGGTTTGTCAGAGTCCAGATGGTTGCAGACGTGTGGAGTGATTTCTGAGGCCTCTGTTCTGTTCCATTGGTCTATATATCTGTTTTGGTACCAGAACCATGCTGTTTTGGTTACTGTAGACTTGTAGTATAGTTTGAAGTCAGGTAGCGTGATCCCTCCAGCTTTGTTCTTTTTGCTTAAGATTGTCTTGACTATATGGACTATTTTTGGTTCCATGTGAAATTTAAAGTAGTTTTTTCTAATTCTCTGAAGAAAGTCAATAGTAGCTTGATGGGGATAGCAGTGAATCTATAAATTACTTTGGGCAGTATGGCCATTTTCATGATATTGGTTCTTCTTCTTATCCATGAACATGGAATGTTTTTCCATTTGTTTGTCTTCTCTCTCATTTCCTTGAGCAGTGGTTTGTAGTTCTCCTTGAAGAGGTCCTTCACATCCCTTGTTAAGTTAGAGTCTTAGGTATTTTATTTTCTTTGTAGCAATTGTGAATGTAAATTCACTCATGGTTTGCCTCTCTGTTGGTCTATTATTGGTGTATAGAAATGCTTGTGATTTTTGCACATTGATTTTGTATCCTGAGACTTTGCTGAAGTTGCTTATCAGCTTAAGGAGATTTCGGGTTGAGATGATGGGGTTTTCTAAATATACAATCATGTCATATGCAAACAGAGACAATTTGACTTCTTCTCTTCCTATTTGAATACCCTTTATTTCTTTCTCTTGCCTGATTGCCCTGGCCAGCACTTCCAATATTATGTTGAATAGAAGTGGTGAGAGAGGGCATTCTTGTCCTGTGCCAGTTTTCAAAGGGAATGCTTCCAGCTTTTGCCCATTCAGTATGATATTGGCTGTGGGTTTGTTATAAATAGCTCTTATTATTTTGAGATACTTTCCATCAATACCTAGTTTATTAAGAGTTTTTAGCATGAAGAGGTGTTGAATTTTGTCAAAAGCCTTTTCTGGATCTATTGACATAATCATGTGGTTTTGTCATTGGTTTTGTTTATGTAATGGATTACGTTTATTGATTCGTGTATGTTGAACCAGCCTTGCAACCCATGGATGAAGCTGACTTGATTGTGGTGGTTGAGCTTTTTGATGTGTTGCTGGATTTGGTTTGTCATTATTTTATTGAGGATTTTCGCATCGATGTTCATCAGGCATACTGGCCTGAAATTTTCTTTTTTGGTTGTGTCTCTGCCAGATTTTGGTATCAGGATGATGTTGGCCTCATAAAATGAGTTAGGGAGGATTCCCTCTTTTTCTATTGTTTGGAATAGTTTCGGAAGGAATGGTCTTTGTACCTCTCGTAGAATTCGGCTGTGAGTCCGTCTGGTCCTAGGCTTTTTTTGGTTGGTAGGCAATTAATTACTGCCTCAATTTCAGAACTTGTTATTGGTCTATTCAGGGATTTGACTTCTTCCTGGTTTAGTCTTGGGAGGGTGTATGTGTCCAGGAATTTATCCATTTCTTCTAGATTTTCTAGTTTATTTGCGTAGAGGTGTTTACAGTATTCTCTGATGGTAGTTTGTATTTCTGTGGGATCAGTGGTGATACCCCCTTTATCATTTTTATTGTGTCTTTTGATTCTTCTCTCTTTTCTGCTTTGTTAGTCTGGCTAGTGGTCTATCTATTTTGTTGATCTGTCCAAAAAACCATATCCTGGATTCATTTATTTTTTTCGAGGGTTTTTCGTGTCTCTGTCTCCTTCAGTTCTACTCTGATTGTAGTTATTTCTTGTCTTCTGCTAGCTTTTGAATTTATTTGCTGTTGCTTCTCTAGTTCTTTTAATTGTGATGTTAGGATGCCAATTTTAGATCTTTCCTGCTTTCTCTTGTGGGCATTTAGTGCTATAAATTTCCCTCTAAACACTGCTTTAGCTGTGTCCCAGATATTCTGGTACATTGTGTCTTTGTTCTCCTGGGTTTCAATGAACTTATTTATTTCTGCCTTAATTTCATTATGTACCCAGTAGTCACTCAGGAGGAGATTGTTCAGTTTCCATGTAGTTGTGCGACTTTCAGTGAGTTTCTTAATCCTGAGTTCTAATTTGATTGCACTGTGGTCTGAGAGACTGTTATGATTTCCGTTCTTTTGCATTTGCTGAGGAGTGTTTTACTTCCAATTATGTGATCAATTTTAGAGTAAGTGCAACGTGGTGCTGAGAAGAATGTGTATTCTGTTGATTTGGGGGGACAGTTCTGTAGATGTCTATTAGGTCCACTTGGTGCAGAGCTAAGTTCAAGTCCTGAATATCCTTGCTAATTTTCCATCTCACCAATCTAATATTGACAGTGGGGTGTTAAAGTCTCCCACTATTACTATGTGGGAGTCTAAGTCTCTTTGAAGGTCTCCAAGAACTTCCTTTATGAATCTGGGTGCTCCTGTATTGGGTGCATATACATTTAGGATAGTTAGCTCTTCTTGTTGCATTGATACCTTTACCATTATGTAATGCCCTTCGTGTCTTTTGATCTTTGTTGGTTTAAAGTCTGTTTTATCAGAAACCAGGATTGCGACCCCTCCTTTTTTTTTTTTTTTTGCTTTCCATTTGCTTGGAAAATATTCCTCTATCCCTTTATTTTGAGCCTATGCGTGTTTTTGCACATAAGATGGGTCTCCTGAATACAGCACACTGATGGGTCTTGACTCTTTATCCAATTTGTCAGCCTGTGTCTTTTAATTGGGGCATTTAACCTGTTTACATTTAAGGTTAATATTGTTATGTGTGAATTTGATCCTGGCATTATGATGCTAGCTGTGTTATTTTGCCCGTTAGTTGATGCAGTTTCTTCATAGTGTTGATGGTCTTTACAATTTGGTATGATTTGCAGTGGCTGGTGCTGGTTTTTCCTTTCCATGTTTAGTACTTCGTTCAGGAGCTCTCGTAAGGCAGGTCTGGTGGTAACAAAAATCTCTCAGCATTTGCTTGTCTGTAAAGGATTTTATTTATCCTTGAATTATGAAGCTTAGTTTGGCTAGATATGAAATTCTAGGTTGAAAATTCTTTTCTTAAGAATGTTGAATATTGGCCCCCACCCTCTTCTGGATTGTAGGGTTTCTGCAGAGAGATCCACTGTTAGTCTGATGGGCTTCCCTTTGTGGGTAATGCAACCTTTCTCTCTGGCTTCCCTTAACATTTTATCCTTCATTTCAATCTTGGTGAATCTGAAAATTATGTGTCTTGGGGTTGCTCTTCTCAAGGTGTATCTTTGTGGTGTTCTCTGTATTTCCTGAATTTGAATGTTGGCCTGTCTTGCTAGGTTGGGGAATTTCTCCTGGATAATATCCTTAAGTGTGTTTTCCAACTTGGTTCCATTCTCCTTGTCACTTTCAGGTACACCAATCAAACATAGGTTTGGTCTTTTCACACAGTCCCATATTGCTTGGAAACTTGGTTTGTTCCTTTTCATTCTTTTTTCTCTAATCTTCTCTTCATGCTTTATTTCATTAAGTTGATCTTCAATCTCTGATACCCGTTCTTCCGCTTGATTGATTTGGCTATTGATACTTGTGTATGCTTCACGAAGTTCTCGTGCTGTGTTTTTCAGTTCCATCAGGTCATTTATGTTCTTCTCTAAACTGGTTATTCCACTTAGCAATTCCTCTAACCTTTTTTCAAGATTCTTAGCTTCCTTGCATTGGGTTAGAACATGATCCTTTAGTTCGCAGGAGATTGTTATTACCCACCTTTTGAAGCCTACTTCTGTGAATTCATCAAACTCATTCTCCATCCAGTTTTGTTCCCTTGCCAGTAAGGAGTTGTGATCCTTTGAATAAGAAGAGGCATTCGGCATTCCAGTTTTTGCAATTTTCAGCCTTTTTGCTCTGGTTTCTCCCCATCTTCATGGATTTATCTACCTTTGTTCTTTCATGTTGGTGACCTTCAGATGGGGTTTCTGAGTGGATGTCCTTTTCCTTGATGTTGATGCTTTTCCTCTCTTTTTGTTAGTTTTCTTTCTAACAATCAGGCCCCTCTGCTGCAGGTCTGCTGGAGTTTGCTGGAGATCCGCTCCAGACCCTGTTTTGCCTGGGTACCAGCAGAGGCTACGGAACAGTAAAGATAGCTGCCTGTTTCTTCCTCTGGAAGCTTTGTCCCAGAGGGGCACCTGTCAGATGCCAGCCAGAGCTCTCCTGTATGAGGTGTCTGTTGGCCCCTGCTGGGAGGTGTCTCCCAGTCAGGAGATACAGGGGTCAGGAGGCAGTCTGACCCTTAGCGGAGCTCCCTTACACTTATGGAGGCAGTCTGACCCTTAGTGGAGCTTGAATGCTGTGCTAGGAGATTTGCTGCTCTCTTCAGTTCCATCAGGAAGGAACGTTTAAGTCTCCTAAAGCTATGCCCACAGCCACCCCTTCCCCCTGGTGCTGAGTCCCAGGGAGATGGGGGTTTTACCTATAAGACCCTGACTGGGTCTGCTGCCTTTTTTTCAGAGATGCCCTGCCCAGAGAGGAGGAATTTAGGGAGGCAATCTGGCTACAGTGGCTTTGCAGAGCTGTGGAGGCCTCCGCCCCATTGGAACTTCCCCCAGGCTTTGTTACACACTGTGAGGGGAAAACCGCTTACTCAAACCTCAGTAATGGCAGATGCCACTCCCCCCACCAAGTCCAGTGTCCCATGTCAACTTCAGACTGCTCTCCTGGCAGCAAGAATTTCAAGCCAGTGGATCTTAGCTTGCTGGGCTCTGTGGAGGTGGGATCCACTGAACTAGACCACTTGGCTCCCTGGCTTCAGCCCCTTTTCCAGGGGAGTGAATGGTTCTGTCTCTCTGGCATTCCAAGCACCACTGTGGCATGAAAAAAAATTCCTGCAGCTAGCTCGGTGTCTGCCCAAATGGCTGCCCAGTTTTGTGCTTGAAACCCAGGGCTCTGGTGGTGTAGGCACCCAAGGGAATATCCTGGTCTGTGGGTTGTGAAGACGATGAGAAAAGCGTAGTATCTGGGCCAGAGTGCACCGTCCCTCACGGCACAGTCCCTCATGGCTTCCCTTGGCTAGGGGAGGGAGTTCCCCGACCCCTTGAGCTTCCCGGGTGAGGCAATGCCCCACCCTGTTTCTGCTTGCCCTCCAGGGGCTGCACCCACTGTCTAACCAGTCCCAATGAGATGAGCCGGGTACCTCAGTTGGAAATGCAGAAATCACCCGCCTTCTGCATTGATCTCACTGGGAGCTGCAGACTGGAGCTGTTACTATTTGGCCATCTTGAGAGATTCCCCCCCAACCCACATCAGTATTTTGATGAGAACTGAGTTGACTCTGTAGCTTGCTTTTGGCAGTATGGTCATTTTCACAATATTGGTTCTACCCATCCATGAGCATGGGTGTTTCCATTTGTTTGTGTCACTTATAATATCTTCCAGCAGTGTTTTGCAGTTTTCCTTGTAGAGATATTTCATCTCCTTTGTTTAGTCCTATGTATTTTATTTTATTTTACTTTATTGGTAGCTGCTGTAAAAGGGATTGAGTTCTTGATGTTATTCTCAGCTTGATCATTGTTGCTATATAGCAGTGCCATTGATTTGTGTACACTGATTTTTGTATCCAGAAATTTTACTGAATTTGTTTATCAAATCAAGGAGTTTTTGGATGAATCTTTAGGGTTTTCTAGGTATACAATCATTTCATCAGCAAACAGCGGCAGTTTGGCTTCCTCTTTTCCAATTGGGATGCTTTTTATTTTTTTCTCTTGTTTAACTGCTCTGGCTAGGACTTCCATTACTGTGTTGAATAGGAGTGGCGAAAGTGGGCATCTTGTCTTGTGCCAGTTCTCAGGGAGAATGCTTTCAACTTTTCCCCCATTCAATATGATGTTGGCTGTGGGTTTTACATAGATGGCTTTTATTACTTTGAGTTACATCCCTTCTATACCAGTTTTATGCAGGGTTTTATCATAAAGGGATGCCAGATTTTGTCAAATGCTTTTTCTACATCTATCAAGATGATCATATGATTTTTGTTTTTAATTCTGTTTATGTGATGTATCACATTTATTGACTTGTATATGTTAAGCCATCCCTGCATCCCTGGTATGAAACCCACTTGATCATGATGTATTATCTTTTTGATACGCTGTTGGATTTGGATAGCTGTTATTTTGTTGAGAATTTTTGCATCTGTGTTCATCAGGGATATTGGTCTGTAGGTTTCTCTTTTTGTTATGTTCTTTCCTGATTTTGGTATTAGGGTGATACTGGTTTCATAGAATGACTTAGGGAGGATTCCCTCTTTATCTTTGGAATAGTTTCAGTAGGACTGATACCAATTTTTCTTTGAATGTCTGATAGAATTCAGCTGTGAATCCACATGGTCTTAGACATTTTTTCTTGGTAATTTTTTTATTACTGATTTACTCTCACTGCTTGTTATTGGTCTATTCAGAGTTTCTATTTCTTCCTGGTTTATTCTAGGAGGGTTGTATATTTCCAGGAATTTATCCACCTCCTCTAGATTTTATAGTTTGTGCACATAAAGGTATTCATAGTAGCCTTGAATGATCTTTTGCATTTCTGTGATATCGGTTGTCATATTTCCTGTTTCCTTTCTAATTGAGCTTATTTGCATCATCTTCTTTTCTTGGTTAATCTCGCTAATGATATATCAATTTTGGTTATCTTTTCAAATAACCAGCTTTTTGTTTCATTTATCTTTTGTATTTTTTTGGTTTCAATTTTATTTAGTTCTGCTCTGGTCTTTGCTGTTTCTTTCCTTCTGTTGGGTTTGGGTTTAGTTTGTTCTTGTTTCTCTAGTTCTTTGAGGTGTGACATTAGGTTATCTATTTGTGCTCTTTCAGACTTTTTGATGTAGACATTTAATGCTATGAACTTTCCTCTTAGCACCGCTTTTGCTGTATCCCAGAGGTTTTGATAAGTTGTGTCACTATTATTGTTGAATTCAAATAATTTTTTAATTTCCACCTTGAGTTCGTTATTAACCCAAAGATCATTCAGTTATTATTTAATCTCCATTTATTTGTATAGTTTTGAGGGTTCCTTTTGAAGTTAATTTCCAGTTTTATTCCACTGTGGTCTGAGAAGATAATTGATATGATTTCAATTTTCTTAAATTTATTGAGACTTGTTTTGTGGTCTATCATATGGCCTATCTTAGAGAATGTTCCACGTGCTGATGAAAGGCTTTAAACCTACCTAGAGCCAGAATAGATTTAGGGAGTAGTGTGAAATATAAAAGTAGAAGCAGCAGCAGGAGTGTGCTTTTTAAAGTGAGGAATTGGTGTTGAACTTTTCAGCATCTATAAAAAGAATTATAATAAACATCTGAACCATAATTCCATAAATTCCATGAAGTGAGCAAACCTGAACACATTTTTCAACACTCTATAATAGTTTAGTACTATTTTTGATAAATCATTAAATAAGCAATTTTAAGCTCCTAATTATTCTATGTAAAATATTGATTATTATGCTATTTTCTATTGTTTCTATTGTAGGTACATCATAACCGTCACAGTATTCATATTTGCTCATCTGATAAGTGGACTAAAGAAATAAAAAAAATGAACTGTGGAGTCTAGCCTCTACCAGTATAATTTAAGCTTTAAAGTATTTGATAAAAATTCCACTTCTGTACTAAGAAGCATGTTTTTTTTCCTCTCCCTGGAGGTCAAGAACAGCAATAGAGAGCTAATCTAAGCCTATTTTAAATAATCTATACCAGTTTCAACACTCATTATGCTCTCATTGTAAAAATGTTCAGGTGAAAAGCTCATGGAATACAACAGCAGGTTGAAGGCTTTAATTCAGTGGGAGGAGGGGACACCACAAGCCAGTAGTATAAAAAGCCTTTTTAACAAAGGATGTTATTCTCTTAAAGTAGTAATCTATAGCAAATTACACAGAAAGAGCTTGATTATAGTTTTCAGTCTTTTTAGAAAAGGATAATTTAATATGAAGTTAAAAGCTGATTCATTTTTGCTAGGAGTTTACTAGCTGTCAATTATACTCTTTATGAACCATCCACTGGGTTGATGTATAGTTAAACACAGACTGGAAAACGTTATTTGGTTACAGTTAAGGCTCTCAATATGATATTGTAAAAGCTGGACATGGTACCAAAAATATATATACTTGAACCTCTGTTTAACTTATATTTCTAAAATCTATATATTCACTTCATTTAAAAACCTTACTGAATGCTTTCTAAAAGCCAATGAAAGAGCCTAATAAAGCAGCTAGGTAAAAATAATCAAAAACACTTTTGAGTAGCATATTCTGCAATATTCTAGTGCTAAAGTAATTCTGGATACAGAATATTAGAAACAGTCAATAGACAGAATGTCAACTTTTGGGATCACTGTGTCTGCACACAGAAATGAAATATTGTAGTGGCAGGGACTTTGAAGATCACCCACTAATAAATTAAACCCTCTCCCAAAAATTGAGAAAAAACTGAACTCAAGGAGGCTGAGTGTTTTTCTAAGCCACATACCAAGTTACTGTTAGAGCCAGAACTAGTTTGGGGCTTCCCCATCAAGTATTAATCCCACTCTATCTGCTTCTCTCCCTAAACTCCAGTTAACACAAAGAATATGAACATATCTTATAAAGTATGAGACAGTAGATATTTATGTATTCATTATTTATTATTTAGAGATAGGGCCTCACTCTGTAACCCAGCCTAGAGTACAGTTGCATGATCATAGCCCACCGTAGCCTCGAATTCCTGGGCTCAAGCAATCCCCCCACCTCAACCTCCTGAGTAGCTGGAATGACAGGCATGCACCACTACACGCAGCTAATTTTATTATTATTATTATTATTTTAGAGAAGGGTTCTCACTATGTTGCACAAGTTGCTCACAAACTTCCAGCCTTAAGTGATCCCCCTGCCTCAGCCTCCCAAAGTGCTGTTATTATAAGTATGAGCCATCATGCTTCTGACCCTAAACAGAGTATTTTTAGATACCTGGCACGGTATGTCAATTTATATTTTGTTTAAAGACCCAGAGTAAACTTCCATTAACTCATTTTGAAAAATATCCTGTAGTGATTAATGAAACACTTTTCTCCCTTCATGATTTTGACTTCTATAATACAAAGTTAAAAGGTTAAAAGCTCAAGTAATTAATAATGCTTTATATTTTCCTATAAAGAGATTCCTAAACATTCTCTTATACATGAGGCAGGTTTTAAAAACTACCTCCTTCATTATCTCTATAAGAAATCCAGACATCAAGAGTTACTAAATAACAATATTCTAAAAATGACTGCCTTAAATGTCAATGTTTGTATTTGTTTCATGTCCACACCCCAACTCACCCCTATCCCCCAATCTGGAAGTATGTTTACAAGGCTACCCTCAAAAGAAAAAATTTCTCTCCTAGGAAGGTTAAAACGTCAAAGGATTAATAATTGATGTTTTCTTTCCATAGTTTTTTAAAAATCCTAACTCACTGCTAATACTCTCAAAATTCTCAATATTTATAGTATATTTAAGTGTAATCTCATAACACAGGTAGAAGCAACTTTCTTTCTTATTGGCAAGAACAAGGTATACTTTTCATTGTGTTCCGCTGGGATAGTCCATCCCTCCATACCAGAATCTTGGTTTCCAATCCCTTATAAATTATCTTCTAATGGAAACAGGCACATTTTGTTGTTTTTTTTTTTTTTTTTTTTTTTTTTTTTGAGACAAGGTCTTGTTCTGTCATCCAGGCTGGAGTGCAGTGGCATGATCACAGCTCACTGAAGCTTTGACCTCCCAGGCCCAAGCAATCCTTCTACCTTAGCCTCCCAATTAGCTGTGATTACAGAGGTGCACCACCACCACTCTTGGCTAATTTTTTTTATTTTTTTGTAGAAGTAGGGTCTCCCTATGCTGTCCAGGCTGGTGTCAAACTCTCAGGCTCAAGTGATCCTCCCATCTTGGCTCCCAAAGTTTTAAGACTACAGATGTGAACCATCATAACTGGCCTGCAACAGGCATCTCTTTTGAGCTACTGTAAAATCTCAATAAGGAATTAAAAACTGACCCCATCCAGAAAACCCTCTTTATTGCCTCTTTCTTGTCACTTCTAACACTCTCATGCGTGTAACAAATGACTTCTATATGTCACTCTCAAATGGTCTGGACCCAAAACAATACTGGAAAAAAATATAAAAAGGCTTTTAAGAATAGAGAATCAAAAAGAACTATTTTAAAAGGTAACAAAAATCATACTCTCTCTATATATATGTATATACACACACATATATAGTATGTTTTCTATTATAGTATATATATTATATATAAATATATAAATTTATATATGGTATGTTACCTTTTATATATATATATATAAATCACTATAGTGCTCTTGTATCATTTGGGTTATTAAAGAAACTGTAAGAAAAACATGAAAACTATCTAGTGGACTTGAAAACACAGAAATAACTTCATCTTAGAGAAAGCACTTGTAGTTCCAGCTATTCAGGAGGCTGAGGCAGGAGGACTACTTGAGTCCAAGAGTTTGAGGCCAGATTGAGAAACATATCAAGACCTCATCTCAAAAGAAAAGAGAAAAAGAAAGAAAGTAAAGAAGAAAGAATGAAAGAAAGAGAGAGAAAGAAAGAAATTCATCTTAATCCTTAAAATCAACAAAAAAACTATGAACCAACACAGCAGACAGGTTCTGTCTATCAACAATACTGTAAAGTCAATGTGTATATTCAATACTACATAATAACAATTACACTGGTTTGAGTTTCTCCAACATGAGGTTTCTTCTCTTCTTATATAACATTATAATCCAACTTTAGAAAAATAATAAAACATAGGCAATGAAGAATATTTTAAAACTATACAATATTAACACCTAAGTACAACCACCATTAAAACTTTGAAAGAGAAAGAAAGAGAGAGGCAGATAGGAAGATAGAGAGAGAGAGACAGAAAGATAGCTAGCTAGCTAGCTAGATAGACAGATAGATAGATAGATAGATAGATAGATAGATAGATAGATAGATAGATAAATAGATATTTTCAAATATTTTAGATATAAATACTTATTTGCTATTGTAAAAGTAGGTCATGCTATTCACAATTTGTATTTATTTCTCGTTTGATATATTTATTTCATTGAACATGTTCTTTCTTATCAAATGACATGTTAAAAAATTTGTTTCTAGTGAATGTACAGTAATTCTATTAAATGGATTTAACAATTTATTTCACCCATCCCCCTATGTTTCACATTTACTTTATTTTCAAATTCAAGCTCTTAAACTCACTTGGTAGCTAAATGCTTAAATATTATTTCCTCAGAATATATCACATAGTGAAACTACAGGTTCAAAGGCCTCACATAATTTTAAGGCCTTTGTCACTTTTTCTCTAAAAATTGAATAATGTAAATCTCCCAGCTAAGTGTGAAGTTGTTCTATGTCCCAAGATTCTTGTCAACAAGATTGTCTACTATATTTTTCAATCTTTCTCAGTTTCACAGATTTAAATAAGTAAACAATTATTATTTAAATTTTTATCTCTAAATTAGAATTATGTTCATTGCCTATTGATATAAAGATACCATATTTCCGTTCATGTTTTAAAATATACTCATCCTTAATCCCCAGTGACAATTCAGCTTGATACAAAATTCTAGGTTAACACTTATTTTCTCTTTGCACTTCAAATTTCGATGTCTTCTTTCATCTAATGTTAGAGAGACCACTAGCCAGACTAATAAAGAAGAAAGAAGAATCAAATAGACACAATAAAAAATGATAAAGCGAATATCACCCCTGATCCCACAGAAATACAAACTACCATCAGAGAATATTATAAACACCTCTACGCAAATAAACTAGAAAATCTAGAATAAATGGATAAATTCCTAGACACACACACCCTCCCAAGACTAAACCAGGAAGAAGTCGAATCCCTGAATAGACCAATAACAAGTTCTGAAATTGAGGCAATAATTAATAGCCTACCAACCAAAAATAGCCCAGGACCAGATGGATTCACAGTTGAATTCTACCAAAAGTACAAAGAGGAGCTGGTACCATTCCTTCTGGAACTATTCCAAATAAAAGAAAAAGAGGAAATCCTCCCTAACTCATTTTTTAAGGCCAGCATCATCCTGATACCAAAACCTGGCAGAGACACAGCAAAAAGGAAAATATCAGGCCAATATGCCTGATGAACGTCGATGCGAAAATCCTCAATAAAATACTGACGAAGCAAATCCAGCAGCATATCAAAAACCTTATTCACCACGATAAAGTCGACTTCATCCCTAGGATGCAAGGCTGGTTCAACATACGTAAATCCATAAACATAATCCATCACATATACAGAGCCAATGACAACAACCACATGATTATATCAAAAGATGCAGAAAAAGCCTTTGATAAAATTCAACACCCCTTCATGCTAAAAACTCTTAATAAACTAGGTATTGATGGAAAGTATCTCAAAATAGTAACAGTTATTTATGACAAACCCACAGCCAATATCATACTGAATGGGCAAAAGCTGGAAGCATTCCCTTTGAAAACTGGCACAAGACAAGGATGCCCTCTCTCACCACTCCTATTCAACACATCACTGGAAGTTCTGGCCAGGGCAATCAGGCAAGAGAAAGAAATAAAGGGTATTCAAATAGGAAGAGAGGAAGTCAAATTGTCTCTGTTTGCAGAGGACATGATTGTATATTTAGAAAACCCCATCATCTCAACCCAAAATCTCCTTAAGCTGATAAGCAACTTCAGCAAAGTCTCAAGATACAAAATCAATGCGCAAAAATCACAAGCATTTCTATACACCAATAATAGACCAACAGAGAGGCAAACCATGAGTGAACTCACATTCACAATTGCTACAAAGAGAATTAAATACCTAAGAATCCAACTTACAAGGGATGTGAAGGACCTCTTCAGGGAGAACTACAAACCACTGCTCAAGGAAATGAGAGAGGACACAAAAAATGGAAAAACATTCCATGCTCATCATGGATGGGAAGAATCAATATCATGAAAATGGCCATACTGCCCAAAGTAATTTACAGATTCAATGCTATCCGCATCAAGCTACCACTGACTTTCTTCACAAAATTAGAAAAAAAATACTTCAAATTTCATATGGAACCAAAAAAGAGCCAAGACAATCCTGAGCAAAAAGAACAAAGCTGGAGGCATCACACTACCTGACTTCAAACTATACTACAAGGCTACAGTAACCAAAACAGCATGGTACTGGTACCAAAACAGATATATAGACCAATGGAACAGAACAGAGGCCTCAGAAATAATACCACACAACTACAACAACCCAGTCTTTGACAAACCTGACAAAAACAGCAATGGGGAAAGGATTCCCTATTTAATAAATGGCTACGCATATTCAGAAAACTAAAACTGGACCCCTTCCTTACACCTTATTAAAAAATTAACTCAAGGTGGATTAAAGACATAAATGTGAGGCCTAAAACCATAAAAACCCTAGAAGCAAACCTAGGCAACACCATTCAGGACATAGGCATGGGCAAAGACTTCATGACTAAAACAACAAAAGCAATGGCAACAAATGCCAAAATCGACAAATGGGATCTAATTAAACTAAAGAGCTTCTCCACAACAAAAGAAACTATCATCAGAGTGAACAGGCAACCTCCAGAATGGGAGAAAATTTTTGCAATCTATCCATCTGACAAAGGGCTAATATCCAGAATCTTAAACAAAGTACTTAAACAAATTTACAAGAAAAACACTAACAACTCCATCAAAAAGTGGGTGAAGGATATGAACAGACACTTATCAAAAGAAGACATTTATGAGGCCAACAAACATGAAAAAAACCCTCATCATCACTGGTCATTAGAGAAATGCAAATCAAAACCACAATGAGATACCATCTCATGCCAGTTAGAATGGCTATCATTAAAAAGTCAAGAAGCAACAGATGCCGGAGAGGATGTGGAGAAATAGGAATGCTTTTACACTGTTGGTGGGAGTGTAAATTAGTTCAATCATTGTGGAAGACAGTGTGGCGATTCCTCAAGGATTTAGAGGCAGAAATACCATTTGACCCAACAATCCCATTATTGAGTATATACCCAAAGAATTATAAATCATTCTACTATAAAGACACATGCACACATATGTTTACTGTTCACAATAGCAAAGACTTGGAACCAACCCAAATGCCCATCAATGATAGACAGGATAAAGAAAATGTGGCACATATACACCATGGAACAGTATGTAGCCATAAAAAAGGATGAGTTCCTGTCCTTTGCAGGGACATGGATGAAGCTGGAAACCATCATTCTCAGCAAACTAACACAAGAACAGAAAACCAAACACCACATGTTCTCATAAACGGGAGTTGAACAATGAGAACACATGGACACAGGGAGGGGGACATCACACACCAGGGCCTGTCAGGGGGTTGGGGAGTAGGGGAAAATTAGGAGTAATACCTAATGTAGATGACGGGTTGATGGGTGCAGCAAACCACCATGGCACGTGTATACCTATGTAACAAACCTGCATGTTCTGCACATGTACCCTAGAACTTAAAGTATAATAATAATAAAAAATAGTCTGTAGGAAGTCCATCATTTTTTGATACTTACCTGCTTATTATCTTTGAAAGCTCATAATAGTCTCCTTCTCTCCTCAATATGCTTTATTATTATATATATATTTTTTGAGACGAGTCTCCCTCTGTCACCAGGCTGGAGTGCAGTGGCGCAATCTCAGCTCACTGCAACCTCCACCTCCCAGGTTCAAGCAATTCTCCTGCCTCAGCCTCTGGAGTAGCTGGGACTACACGCACGCGCCACCACGCCCAGCTACTTTTTTTTATTTTTAGTAGAGATGGGGTTTCACCACGTTGGCCAAGATGGTCTCAAACTCTTGACTTTGTGATCCACCCACCTCAGCCTCCCAAAGTGCTGGGATTACAGGTGTGAGCCACCACATCCAGCCTTTTTTTTTTTTTTTTGAGATACGGTCTGGCTCTGTCTCCCAGTTGGCGTGCAGTGGTGTGATCTCAGCTCACTGCTACCTCCACCTTCTGAATTCAAGCAATTCTCCTGCCTCAGCCTCCCGAGTAGCTGGGACTACAGGCACATGCCACCATGCCCAGCTAAATTTTGTATTTTTAGTAGAAACGGGGTTTCACCATGTTGTCCAGGGTGGTCTCGAACTCTTGACCTCATGATCCGCCCGCCTAGGCCTCCCAAAGTGCTAGGATTACAGATGTGAGCCACCGCACATGGCTTTTTTTTTCTTGTTTTCTTTTTCTTTCTTTTTTTTTTTTTTTTTTTTTGAGATAGGCTCTGGCTCTGTTGCCAGGCTGGAGTGCAGTGGTGCGATCTCAGCTCACTGCAACCTCCGTCTCCTGGGCTCAAGCAATTCTCACACTTAGCTGGGAGTACAGGTATACACTACCATGTCCAGATAATTTTTGTATTTTTTGTAGACATGGGTTTCGCCATATTGCCTAGGCTAGTCTTGAACTCCTGAGCTAAAGTAATCCTCCTCCCTCAGCCTCCCAAAGTGCTGAGATTACAGGCATGAGCCACTGCATCCGACCTAAATTTTTACCATGAGCTCATATTCACCAGAAAGTTTCATCTTCCAGGCGCCTGGGAGGCATTCTTAAGAATAATTTTGTGGTTGCCTCTACCTCTACCCAGTGTGACTACAGACTACCTCATCAGGTTTTACATTGGTTTCTTAGCCCAGGGTTTCCCTAGAATAATTAGAGGAAAAATTCAATTCCAAATCCATGCATTGCACAGTCTAGAAGGTGCCACCTAATTTGTCTTCTTTATATCTACTACCTAGGACTTCAGCTTCTACAGCTCATCCTTTTGCCAGCAGGCAGAGTCTGGCAATCCAATCACCCTTTCCTGGCTACTGAATGTATGTAGGGTACCCAAATCTTGCTCACACTGGGTTCTACAAGGCATAAAACCCCCCAGCACACAAAGGGTTTACTGGGTCCAGTCACCTTATCACCTAGGTGGATTCAGTCTCTCTCAGCACTGAGAGTCTTAACTTCTTTCTTGGCAGCTAAAGATTTTTTCTTCCTTATTTTCAATCTCAGATACATATTTATCTCTATAAAATATTTTATCTATTATTTTCATGTTGGCATGGCAAGACAGGGAGTTCCACATTAACTGACTCTGATTGCATATTCTAACACATACATTTTTAAGAAACAAAACTTGTGACACATACAAACTTCTAGAAGTCCTCATTATAGTTTTCCATTACAAAGGCAGCATAATAGAGTGATGTATGGCAACAGTGACCCTGTAGTGCAATGAGGGAAAGGATGCTCTTTTCAATTAATGGTGCTGGATCAATTGAATGTGGAAGAAAGGCAGCTTGATCCTACCTCATACAATTCACAAAAACCAATTCCAGATGGATTGCAAGTGTAAATGTGAAAAATAAAGCAATAAAGTGTTCACGGAAAATCACAGAGTATATTGGTGACCCTGGCATAGGCTAAAAAAACTTAAACAGGCCACAGAAAATGTTAACTATTAAAAAAAAAAAAAAACTTGTAAGTTAGACTCTATTAAAATTAATAGCTTTTGGCCAGGTGCAGTGGCTCACACTTGTAATCCCAGCAGGCAGATCACCTGCAGTCAGGAGTTTGAGACCAGCCTGGCCAACATAGTGAAGCCCCGTCTCTACTAGAAAACACAAAAATTAGCCAGGTGTGGTGGCACGTGGCTGTAGTCCCAACTACTCAGGAGGCTGAGGCAGGAGAATCACTTGAACCTGGGAGGCAGACGTTGCAGTAAGCTGAGATCGCGCCACTCTACTTCAGCCTGGGCAACAGAGTAAGACTCCATCTCAAAAAATAAATAAATAAAAATAAATTAATAGCTTTTATTTATCAAACAACATCATTAACAGAGTGAAAATGCAACCTAGCAAGTAGAAAAATATATTTTCGATAAGTATATCTGACAAAGGACTTATTTCCAGAACATAAAGAAACTACCCTAATGAGTATTTAAAGCAGCAGTCCCCAACCTTTTCAGCATGAGGGACTGGTTTCGTGGAAGACAATTTTTCCATGGGATGAAACTGTTCCACCTCAGATCATCAGGCATTGGTTAGAGTCTCATAAGAAGTGCACAACTTAGATCCCTCATATGCGCAGTTCACAAAAGAGTTCGTGCTCCTATGAGAATCTAATGCTGCCGCTGATCTGACAGGAGGCGGAGCTCAGACAGTAATGCTCCCTGGCCTGCCACTCACGTCCTGATGTGCAGCCTGGTTCCTTACAGGCCAAGGACTGGTACTGGTCCCCAGCCCAGGGGTTGGGGACCCCTGATTTAAAGGATAGGCTATTCAATGAAAATATGCAAAAAATACTTGAATAGATCCTTCAAAGATATCCAAATGGCCAATAATATAAGAAAGGTGCTTCACTAGTCATCAGGGAATTGCTAACCAGCCCCATAATGTGACAATACCACATAACCACCAGAATGGAGAAAACGAAAATGACAGACCAAGTGTTAGTAGTATGTGCAAAAACCAAAACACTCTTACACTGTTGAGGGAGTAAAATTTTTACAATCACATTGGAAAACTGCTTGTGTTACTGAATTTAAACAAATGCATATTCTAACACTTATGAATTCCACTTCTAGATATATACTCAGAAAATAAAGATGGCACTAAGATCTTAGAAGCCTGATACAGTAATATATTTTAGACAATTATCCCATAAAATGAAATATTTTGTACTTAATGAGGTAAGTTTCCATCATCCAAGAAAATTTTATTCATGTGATACATCTTCCTTTTATCATGATGCTGGATTGATAAAGTAATGATATAAATTGAGAGGTTTACTAAATTGAACTACGTAAAACATGGAAATTCTAAGATTAGGATGATGAGTAAATTGAGCCAAATGGTATTTCTCTGAAAAGCTGTTACAGGAAAAAAACAAGTAATGGAAGCTTCACCTCCAGAGCCATTTAAGAGCAGGGTGTCTATTGCTAGATATTCAGTAGCAGCTGTGGAGCCACTGTATTGGTGCAGAATTTAGAAATGGAGTATCAGTACAGGGCTAGGGAACAACAGACCACATGTGGGGTTTGGTAGTAGTCTGCTATTGTTTTAAGGGGTGAGGATGAGATTTTGTTGTAGACAACTTCAGTTCATCCAGTAAACACACTGAACCACTCATGTCTTCCACAGTGTCCCCTCTGTTCTTGCATGTTCCTCTGCCATACAACTCACGAACTATTTGTACACATTTCTTCTGTTAACACATCAAACTTGACTACAACAGAACAAAATGACAGCAATGTCATTTGCCTTTCAGTTTTTACCACTTGGCAATAATTGGCACAAAGGAGAACTTAGGAGCATTTTCTGGAGAACACTTTCTTTTCCATTGTATCAAAAACTGTCCTAGTATGATTTTTGAAGATCTATGAATTCCACCTCCATCTCCATGTACAGAATGTAGACTGGCATGACATCCTCTATCTGTGCCTAAGGAAGACAACATTTACCATGCCAGGTTGGTGTAGCCTCTCTAGATTACTCTGTAAATAAGCTGAATGGCAAAATTATTAGAGCTATATTACTCATAAGGATTGAAACTCTCATAGTTTGACAAGGATCACCTCGCTGCCTTAAGACTCTCTATTCAACCATTGAGATGTCTTCTAAGGAAAAGAGTGAACAGTAGTAATTCAGTACTACTTCAAGAAATCTGACAATCACACAATAGTGTTCTTTCATCGCCCTACTGGACAAGATCCCTATTAAACTCCTCAAGCATGTGTGCCAAGTTTTCAACAAGACTGAACAGTGGGTCCTCAATTAATATCTGATATCTTGTTTGTTTGTTTGCTTGTTTGTTTATAGTCTAGGATTCAGGAACATAAAAAAAGAATTCAAGAGAACTTTCCTGAAGGGGTACATTTTAATTCTAACAAGACCAAATAACCAGGTACCGAGGTATGCAGAAACCCTCCAGATGGGTGATGGGCACAATTTTGAAAATCTCCAGCAAACTGCTTCATCGAGCTAAACTAAAATCAGTTCTGGGAAGATAATGTGTTAGTAGTGATCCTTTGCTGGATTTTATTCATTTCCCTTCATACTAACACACCCCGACATTCAATAGTGATAAAATGGCACATATGGATAATGCTGTTTGGTATATGCTAACAATCTTGGCAGGTTTCCCTTTAATAAACCACTCCAGATGTTAGTTTCAGTAATTATGCCTGACATCATTCAGCTTTAGGAATGAAATACTGCTGCTACAATTTCTTGTTTGTGTTTCTATGGATCATCTGCAAACATAAAGCCCGCACAGTAAAGACACCCCCATCGACAGGCCCTGCATAAAAACATGCATAAACAAAAACCCAGCAATAGGATGATCAGCATGAACTGGAAGCTATGAAAACACAGAATACTATGTCATTTGGTTCTGTTGTAGTCAAGTTTGATGTGTTAACAAAAAAATGTGCACAAATAGTTCGTGAGTTGTATGGCAGAGGAACATGCAAGAACAGACGGGACACCGTGGAAGACATGAGTGGTTCAGTGTACCTGTTGGATGAACTGAAGTTGTCCACAACAAAATCTCATCCTCGCCCCTTGAAACAATAGCAGTCTACCACCAAACTCCACATGTGGCCTGTGTTCCCAAGTCCTGTACTGATACTCAGAATGCACATAAGTTTTCAAATAATTCTTATATGGTACATTTGCACCTCTACAGCTAATGAAGTATTTCCACATTTCTATGTATGACTATTTCAAAATATGCCAGAAAAGTGATAAATCTGATTCAAATAATTATCTGTGATATAAATACAACAGAGTATCATATATAAAAACATGAAAATACACTCTGGAAACCTGTTTCTACGAAAATTCAAATTTAGATGTCATGCACTAAGATTTAAACACATTGTTAGAATCACAGAAACACGAGATTGTTTTCATTTTCCAAAGGCCTAATTTGCAAAAAGATTTCCTATGATCTTATTAAGAAATAAAGTAAGTCAAAATAGATCTATAACTCAGTGTCAGCATAGTAAGTTGTAATGATTTGATTTAAAGAAGAAAAAACCCTGAAAAGGCATAGCTGATAGTACAAGTGAGCCATTTTCTTGACTTTAAAATGAGCCTACTTGATGAAGAATAATCAACCCAATCTTTGGGGACACTTAAACGTTCATGCTAAAATGCTGACATTAACCATTAAAAGGATTAAACTGACATCAAATGATTTCTGACACTAGAATATTGAAAGTATTAATAATGCTGTCAGTGTCATCTATGGCACTGAGAAACGAACTTTCGAAAGAATAAATTTTACAACACAGAATTTATGCAACATTTTTAGCCCATTTATCTTTAAATGATTATGAGAACAATGTCAGTATTCCAATCAGAATCCAACTGCTTTGTGGATGATACAAAGTGGAGACCACATTTTGACAGGAGGGTGGCCATCAGTTGTGGGCCATACCACTCGAACTACCTTAATATGCAGCCTGGCACTAAGTGCCACTCTTCCTGCTAACTCTGCAGAAGCCAACAGAGCAGATAATTCTATATGAAAGCCTTCTGAGGTAGATGAAAACTAAACAAGAATACCATGTAAATAGAAAATAAACAACTCTATGTCAAAAACAGACAAGAGCATTTTTTAAAGCTCTAAAATTATAAAATGATGCACAGAAAGATTGAGCAAATTGTTGTAAACTTACTGAATAGCATGTGTGGCTGAATGCACTTAAAACTTTCAGAAATAACTGCAAGACGGTGGAACCCAACATCCCCAGCAAACCCATGTAAGCAATAAGTGGTCCATTGATCAGCATGAGATGCAATAACACAAATGATTGTGAGGCAGCCCATCTCTAGTGACTCGAAGAAACCCAAACCATACGCTGCATTGTGTTCATGTAGACAAAACCAAAAGGAGCAAAGTATTATCAAAACCAGTCTTACATCTAAAGCATACATTTTTCTGTCAGAAAGAATATAAACGACCTGGGACTCCTTTCCGGTTTGTAGGTTTGCTTGATAAGTGATTTTACTGGCATTACGAGCCGAAGCACCACTTACAGGAGACGTTAGAAAACAGCGGCATGGGGAGTGAGGCCAAGCTGTGTTCCAACCCTGACTTTGCGACTGAGCAGTTACACAGTATCAGTAAATCACACTCTAAACCTCTGTTTCCTCATCTGCAAAATGGGGATAACAACAAGCCCTCCTTCTCATGGCGACTGTCAGGATTAAATGGAAAAGCGCTTAGGAAAGACTTAGCACAGGAGCTAAGGAAGCCTGTAGTAAGTCGTCAGTAAGCCTTCAATAAAGCTTTGTTTCTGTTTCTTTCTTTTTACTTTTTTTTAACTTCAATTTAAAAAATATTGTTTTAAATATATTGATCCTGACCTCACATTCTCTAAAAGAGCTATAAATGTTTCATGAATACATTCACCCATTCTTATATCTTGGTCCTTCTATAGATATTTTATACGGCTGTGGAAAAGGGTTTCCAGCGGCACGGCGGCTCATGCCTGTAATCCCAGAACTTTGGGAGGCCGAGGTGTGTGGATCGCCTAAGGTCAGGGGTTCAAGACCAGCCTGGACAACCTGGTGAAACTCTGTCTCTACTAAAAATACAAAAATTAGCCAGGCATGGTGGTGGGTACCTGTAATCCCAACTACTTGGGAGGCTGAGGCAGGAGAATCACTTGAACCCGGGTGGCAGAGGTTGCAGTGAGCCAAGACCGCACTACCGCAGTCCAGCCTGGGCAACAGAGCGAGACTCTGTCGAAAAAAAAAAAAAAGGAAGGAAGGAAGAAGGGAGTTTCCTACGTTTCCTACTATTGACTGTCTACACCTAATCAAATTCAAAGGCAGTATGTTCAAAAGCATTCTCTGTATGAGGCGGAGTCATCATTATACACCAGTAATTTCTCACAATGTTTCATGAAATGGAAAGTGACTTAGAAACATGAGACACATGGAATTCACTAAGACTAACACACTCCCCTCCTCCATTCTAGGGCTGGTGAGTCCTCAAGTTTAAGAGAAGTTGACAATACAAGGGAAACGTAACAGAAACAGAGATGTCATTAGGCCTGGAGAAGACCACACTGCCAGAATGCAGATGACCAGGCTTCTGTGATTGCTTGTGTCACACTTGATCACTTCACTGGCATGGCAGAAAGCAACATGACTCCAAGGATTTCTGTGACACCCCACGGCCTACTGAGTAGTAGTCAGGTATCAAGGCTTGCTCAGATACGGCACCACAGAATTGCTCCATTACGATTCATTCACACTACTGTTCCCATTTTTGAAAACGCCAGTCCTATCTCTTCCTTCCCCTACTCCTGTTCATAGCTGTGCCACCTTCCTTCACCCCAGTGCCCCAACCCCACCCTGTGTCTGCATCTCAGGTAACTTCCTGGCCTTCCCAAGCCCAGTGCAAATCCAGCTTCCTCCATGATGTCTTCCCAGATTTTCCTTAAGTGTATTTACTCTCTTCTTCAGTCCTTTAATAGCAGCAATCTCCCACTTTGTAGGAGAGTTCTTCATTGATATTACAGATTGCTTCTATTACACCCAACTCAGTCCCTGAACCAAGAACCTAAGTGGGACTTGTATACACGCCACACAGCATTTCACATGGTAGGTAGTCAATACATCTTTTTGGCAGAAGGAGTGAATTACCTTAAAAGTTTTCAAATATTAGGCATATGTTACTGGTTACCAATTTACCATATGTTCCTGTTTATGTCTTGTCATTGGCTTTTGCATATTTCTGGAACAGGAGGGTATTATTAAACGGTAGGAAGGTAGGTCTTTGGGATCGAATGGTCTGGTTTCCAATCCTATTCTGCCACATACTGACTGTGAGACTGTGGACAAGTTACATCAAATGAGCCCTATGTAACAGTGGATAAGAACAGCTCTTACCTTCATAAGGATGGTAAGAAGAATAAGATCCTGCATGTGGAGTGTTCATCAAGTAGTACCCCTCCAATGTCACCCGTTAATCTTTGTATAAAAACACATTCATGTAGATCAGTCTCCCTCACTTAAGAATAAAATAAGCAATGTCAAGGCAGGCTGGTCTGCAGTCCAACTCGGCCTGCTAGCCACAGTCATCATAACTGATCTTCAGAGAGTGACCATTTACAGTGTTTACATTAGTGCTACACAACACGTAAGCATTTGGTAAGGTGCTCATGTGAAATTCAGTGCCCCTGAAAAATTACTCCCAAAATATAAGCAAACTAATTCCAGGACATCATTTTCAGATTCTTCCATAACTTCCAAGGTTTTGTTCTTGAACTCTCTCTTTCTCATTGGCAAGTTAATTAAGGAAGGATAAATGTACCATCTCTCACCCAAATCTCTCATGCATATATACATCACAATAATGCCATTTCCAGAGTCACTGCATTTCTCTCCAATCATCAGGTAATCCATACATTGTGGTGGACACGAGGTATGGCATGTTGCTGTTATCATTAGAAAAACAATGATTTGATTTAAACCAGTGAAAACAGAGGAAGATAGGACTTTGTGACTATAGTAGCAGTCATCCAAGGAACTCAAGAATAAGCATGGCTGGCTTCACAAATCACTGAAAAATTTCTAATTATCCAACTGTTTCACATAATGATTCAAAATAAAAATGTTGGTGGCCCCTTAATAATACCATTAAAGGAATACATTTTTTAATCCCATTAAAATGTTCTGCTATCCACACTCTAATACCCAGTTTTTTAAGAAAGGTTTCATACTGTCACCCAGGCGGGAGAGCAGTGCTGTGACTTGGCTCACTATAGCCTTAACCTCCTGGGATCTAGCCATCCTCCACCTCCTTAACCTCCTGGGATCTAGCCATCCTCCACCTCCTTAACCTCCTGGGATCTAGCCATCCTCCACCTCCTTAACCTCCTGGGATCTAGCCATCCTCCACCTCCTTAACCTCCTGGGATCTAGCCATCCTCCACCTCCTTAACCTCCTGGGATCTAGCCATCCTCCACCTCCTTAACCTCCTGGGATCTAGCCATCCTCCACCTCCTTAACCTCCTGGGATCTAGCCATCCTCCACCTCCTTAACCTCCTGGGATCTAGCCATCCTCCACCTCCTTAACCTCCTGGGATCTAGCCATCCTCCACCTCCTTAACCTCCTGGGATCTAGCCATCCTCCACCTCCTTAACCTCCTGGGATCTAGCCATCCTCCACCTCCTTAACCTCCTGGGATCTAGCCATCCTCCACCTCCTTAACCTCCTGGGATCTAGCCATCCTCCCACCTCCTTAACCTCCTGGGATCTAGCCATCCTCCCACCTCCTTAACCTCCTGGGATCTAGCCATCCTCCCACCTCCTTAACCTCCTGGGATCTAGCCATCCTCCCACCTCAGCCGCCTGAGTAGCTTGGACTACGAGCATGTGCCACCATGACCAATTGTTTTTTTGTTTTTGTTGTTTTTTGTTTTTTCTGTTTCAGAAACAGGGTCTCACTATGTTGCCCAGGCCAGTCTTGAACTCCTGGACTCAAGAGAACCTCCCGCCTCAACCTCCCAAAGTACCAAAGTGCTGGGATTACAGGTGTGAACTATGGTGCCTAGCCTCACGCTCTGACTTCTTAAAGTTATTTAATATCCTCAGGCTTGATCAAAGGTACCATCACTGATTTTAATATGCAGTTAGGACTATATGAGATATAATATCCCAGAAAGAAAAGGCACCGAAATACCGAATTTGGTTTTCAACATGCCAAAGTCAGTTTTCATACTCCACTCCTCCCACAAACATCGGTAGCTCTATTATGTACCAGGCTCTGTGAGTGTCACTTGAGATAAGAGAAAATTAAGACATGGTGTCTCCTCAAATGCCTGGCAGTCAGAATGGGGCTAGTTTAACAGAGATTTAAATCTCAAAATATAGACATATAATATGATTCAGGTTTTTATTTAAAGCACTGCTCACAAATTTCCATGCTGTTCCCATATGTTCAACATAAAACATTTTGGAATTTTTGCTTCCAATATTTCCAAACGCAAAAGCACTCTGATTTACATATATTTCCCTATAAAGAAGTTGGTTAGAATAATGCAAGGTCTTAAAAATAAAAAAAAATAAAATCAAAACATTTACTGAATAATTCTCTTTTAAAAATTACTTAGTCGAGATGTGGCATCTCAGAAATACCCTCACCTCCATAGTGAAAAAAAGGTAAATATTTTTCTGTGTTATAGGACTAAGCTTTTGAAATCTATTGTAATGGCATGTTTCACATTCCATTAAAATTCCAAAAAAACCCAAAGAACTCAATATACATATAATCATAACTTAATTTATCTTTGAATCAGAAAAGAAGTATACACTTGAAGAAGGCCTGCCCTGAAGCTCAGTACTAACTCTTTATTTCTGATAACTATGTAGCTGAAGAAATGTTAGGCTTTCCCTGAAGAGCTTTATCAAGGCAATAAGAGTTAATGAACTTTAGGTAACAACCATAATTTTAAAGTACTGAACTATATCACTTGCAGACATTCTTCAATTTATATATGCCAGGAATATTTCCTGGCTTTCAGACTTGAAATTCTGAATAAACTTCTCTCTTGAAAACACTTATCAGACATATAGTTCTCTAGAACCTATTAAATGTCAACTTTCATTCACTTTAAAAATACCTAACAAATCATATTTGCCAAGAATAGGCCTGAGCACTTTTTAAGACACACTGTCCCTGTTTATAAGGTACTCTCAGCCCAGTAAGCCATTCCAACAAATAAAAGAAAGTATAAAATAATGTGATATGTATAATAATGTAAATAACATATAAAGTAGAACAATGGAAGAATACACAATGGTTAACTATGTACCTTGAGAGCTGACCTCAGAACCTAACTACAGTTTAAAACACAATTTCTTTTAAGAAAACCATTCCAAGCAACTAACAAATTACCTTACAGAAATGCAGCTTCCACTGCACACTGGTGACCACCTGTGACTAGCAAGAGGGCCATTGTGAATCTATGTGTATTTACATGTGCTCTTCTAGACAGGAATGGTAACAGAGAAGTCTAGCTTTCTGTAGCTTTGATGATATACAGATCATCTATCACAATTCAGGATTTGCTGCTGAATGAGATTGATTTCTGTAGCTGTTATTAAAAGGTCTTTATGGTGCCCATTTGGCAAATGGATCCCTCCTTTGATTTCTGATGATACTTTTTAAAAAAACAAAGTGTCCATACAGTAGTCTCTTTATACAGTATAAATGCCTAAGGCACGTGAATGTAAAAGATAATGTAAATAGAGCAATGAGTGATAAAGGATAATGATTTATCACCTTCATGTTAAGCTCTTTGTAGGAAGGCACATTATTCAGTAAAAACACTGAGTGTAAACCACCAATATGAATTAAGAATATTATTTTTAAAAAATTAAAAGATAATACTTATTACCATCTTAACGAGTGCAGTAAATAAGAATAAAGGCAGTCATGTCAACAGACAAGGAAAGTCCATTAATGGAGCAATTATTACTTGTTGCTTATTTTTTCAATAGCTCATTGTTAATTTCAAGTTCCCATTCATCCTGCTCATTCAATTAATTACCTCATGGAAGAACAGTACACATGAACATTCTGGTTACTTTCAGGCCTGAGATCAAGTTGATTAAAAAATGAGCAGGAGGCCATAGGGCTTAACTGTAACCCTAGCGTAGATGTCATTGGAATTTTAAAAGCATTTGTGGAGTATTTCCTAAGTATGAGGAGATCAACATCTTTCCTTGGTGAGGAGAAAATCCAAAAGCCACCTCAAAGAGACATGGGGTGGGCCGAGGGAGGGCATTGCTACTGTGGCTCCAAGGGTGCGTGCACCTGATGTGCCTGAGACCTTTCCAGCCCTTTGAGCCCAATCCCGAACAGTCTGAGATGACACTGCCTAGAACTCAGGGACTTCTACAGCTGCTCCTTCTTCTTTAACTTATCTTCTCTGCATTGACACAAAGTTTTTGATTGATTGATACAAACTTTTTTAAAATCTCGTCAACCAGGATGCAGTTCTTTCTTCCATGAATCCCAGTTACTTTATATCTCATTTATGTGGCATTTATACTTGAATTACCTACATACCTATCCTCTTTCCTTCCATATTATAATCAGATCCTTAAGAACAGGACATGCCATATTCCTAGCTGAGATCCTGTTTGGACTACAGGCACAAAATAAAAACTAAATGAGTAACTCCTGAAATTCTTAAAGCTAGATCAGTATGCTATTTTGCATTTAGTTGCTGAAACCTCCCTCACAGTCACCAGGGCTGAGGGTTTCTTCCAGCACTAGAGAGGCAAGAAGCCACCCAAGCCACCAGGAGCACTGTCTCCTTCTAAGGGATATCCAGACAGCAGCTCTGTCTCATAAATCTTCCCTGGCTGACAAAATCAAATACAGGAATAAATTTATTCCTGACAAGTTGGCCACAACCAACCGTGCTGGATGTTCCAACAAAAGTCAAACGCACGGGATGAGAGATGCCAGAAGGGGAACAGGTGTCACCTTACAGCAAATCCCTGGAAAGGGCCTGGACTACTCTCTTCCCAAAGTCTTGGGCATAAAGTCTTCTTCCACAACTCTTCTCTCCCCATCACATGCTGACCTTGGAATACTCCTGAAGGCCATCATCTGGGGTTTAGTTTTACCCAACACCTAACCTGTCCTCGACCTTCGCAGGAAGAAAGGTAGAAGCCTCAGTCCTCCAACAATTGGCCAACAATACTCATAGACAAAAGCTTCAGATGTCTGAGCAGCTTTTCTGGAAGGACCATCTTGTGTATTTCCCCCACAGAATCTTTCCTTCTCCATTATTCTCTTTCCTTTCTTCTAGCAGAGGTTTCTTCTCTGAGGAATAAAGCTCCCTTAGAGAAGCCACAGGCACTATCAGGAGAGGGTGTGCAGTGCTAAAACAGGTTCAGAAAGACAAAGAACAAATCCTGCTCCCCATTTCCGCCACAAAAAGCCCAATGTAAGTCTTTCAAAAGTGCTACCGGGCTGGGAAGTAGCTTACACTAGCAGATACGTGAGAGTGTGACAAAATATGATGCCATATGCTCAGTATGCCTCCATGAAGGCACGACTAGAGAATGTTTTTAATTTTTAAAAAAATTTTGACCAGGCACAGTGGCTCATGCCTGTAATCCAGCACTTTGGGAAGCTGAGACGGGCGGATCACAAAGTCAAGAGATCGAGACCATCCTGGCCAACATGGTGAAACCCTGTCTCTACTAAAAATACAAAAATTAGCTGGGCATGGTGGCGTGTGCCTGTAGTCCTGGCTATTCGGGAGGCTGAAGCAGGACAATCACTTGAACCCGGGAGGCGGAGGTTGCAGTGAGCCGAGATTGCACCACTGCACTCCAGTCTGGTGACACAGTGAGACTCCGTCTTAAAAAAAAAAAAAAAAAATCTTATAGCTCCTTGTTTATGCTCCATGCAAACATAGAAGGTACATGTAGTAAAAAGTAATTTTAATCCATCTCCTTTACCATAAAATATGAGGTACGGTATTGCTGTCCATTAAGGAAATCATCATTCTACCTGATATAAACATCTTCTGCTGCCAACACATTATAATGTTTAAATACGCATTTTAAATGGAAACTTAAATTATTCTAGTGAATAAAATTATCATCAGGAAGGTTTCCTAAAGCAACTATGGTAGCAGCGGATTTTTAAATTATCATCTAACAGGCTGCTGATATCAAATAAATTAGAGTAAATCAAAATAAGATTAAATGTGTAAATAATGTATTGCTTCAATCCCACCATAGGTAAAGTCATTACATTAAAAAATTTTTATTTAAAATTGAGAACATTCACCAAAATTATCATATTTGAATTTCCCTGGTGGTTTTATGCTATTATTTCCTTGCCAGACCACAATTAAATCTTAAATTTTATCTCATTCACAACAAAATCCTTTTTGCTGTGAATTTAGAAATCTCATATTTTAAGTATAGAATTCTGTGCTATCAAAAGTGATGATCTGCTCTTGACAAAATTACATTATCAATATTTAAAACATTTTTTGCAATCTAATAGTAAAACTGGTCAGTGTCATTCCCAAGGTACACATTAAAATTTTACTTTAAAATGTTATTACAAGATTAGTTGAGGTTATAAACTAGAAAAAATCATTTTGAATAAGCCAGAAGCAATAACCTTATTTTATAACAATTCTTTCTACGACAGCTTATATTTGTCTTATAAAACAGTCAAAATCTTTTTGAAACTATTACTTCTTTCAGGAGCTTTCTCTCTGATGTCATTAACTTTGGCCTCTTTTTTATCTTCAATCTTAAATTAATTCCCTGGGAAGCTTGTGGCTTGTTGGCTGGTTGGAGGGATTAAATATAAGGATTTATAAAGAAAAGCAGCTTTTGATACAATGCTATTAGAACATGATCACTTACCCATAAACTGTTAGATACAGAGGTTTTTTTCATGTTAGACACAAATGTTCATTTTAAAAGCCATTATCATGCAACAAATAGAATGAGGATTATTTTTGTAGTTTATATTCACCTTACAAATAAATAATCAGTGAACATGACTCCAGGATAACAGACAATGATTTTTGGCTCCTCTGTATTTGCTTGCAGTTTTTTTTTTTTGGCAATCCGTTTTCATCATGATATGCTAAATGGACCCTTCTTATACACTAGTCAAAGGATTTCATTGATATTATGCAAATAAGAATATGCCTGAAATATTCTAACTTAACTGGGAGGAGTGCTTTGGGGTTTCTATGATTTAAGGCAGTGGTTGTGTAGTAATAAAAGACTATTGTTTAAGGCAAAAGTGTTTTTTAAATTACCACTCAATGCATTTTTTGAGTAGTTTTTGAGAAAGCATTTTAAGTAACAAGAGATTCTACAGTAAACATCAGGTTTTTGCTTTAGAGTTTTGCCCCCAGCATCTATTCATTCTCTCTTTGGTTAGTAATAGCATCCCGAGTCATTTTGATGGATTTATCCCTCCATCAGGTGCAGACCTGGGAGATCCTTGTCCCATGGACCTTTCTCCAAAGGACTCTGGGTCTTGACTGGGATGGTGCAAGGACAGAGACATGATTCTATTTCATTTTTTACAACATGCCCTGAAAAGACAGGGCAGTAGTTAGATAGTAGATCCTGCTCCCTAAAACTACCCTCTATCTCTCTCAATCTTTATTCTGAGCCCAGTTTTCTGGCCTGCCACTAGAGTCTGTGAGCTTCCTCATGTCCTTATAATAAATTCCTTTTCTGCTTTAAGTGAACTGCAGTCCAATTTTATTGCTTGCAACCAAAGCACCCTAAATGATGCAGGTGCCCTTTTGTGAGATCATCTCTATGATAAAGTAATGGATATTGACTCCATTTTAACCATCAGGTGCTCTTTCTAGAGATGAATTACAGCCTGACCTTGCCTAGTGGCTCTGAGGAGTCCTTAGGAGGTAAACTTAAAAACAAACAAACAAAAAAAAAACCAATAGCCTTAGGAAAACTACTTCTAATGGTTTTGCTTTTGCTGTGTGGCCCTAGGACTTGGTAACTATCAACATGGTAATGCTACATTTGCCCATTCATACAATCAACCTTCTAACTTATGATCCATAATCTCAATTATATTTGTAAAAATTCCAGTGACCCAGTTCCATAGACTCCTTCTCACAATAAAATAAGCAATGAACTAATCCATATTATGTCTTTGTCTCACCTATAATACACATTAAGAGTCTGGATATAAATAGTTCTACAAAGCTAGAACAGTAATTGCTCCTTTTCTAATACGTTTACTATCATCTTTAAGAATCTCTCACACCCTTCGGGGCATCAAGATACAATGATCATACTTTAGTTAAAATTTCTTTCCACAAATCCCTTAATATGAAATAAAATTAGCCATCACTACTGAAATAGGATGTTCATCAGGCCAGCAAATAACAGTACAAGCTTGGGCTTGTTCCAGCAGGGTTCAGACAGGGGCAGGGGCACTTGGAGGCATTCTGAGATGACCCTGGTGGTGGGTGGAATTTTAAAAATGCACTTACCCACCCCAGATCCCACATCCTGTAGAACTCGTGACTATGATGATGTGCCACTCCTGTGATTACGTTTATAATCGTGTGCCTATCATCATAAGCATAATAATGATCATAACATGATTTTGCCATGTTGTTAGATGGCACAGTTGGCCTTAAGAGTGGGAGAGTATCACTGAAACCCTTGTACACAGTTGTTGGGAATGTAAATTGGTTTTGCTATTATGGAAAACAGTATAGAGATTCCTCAAAAAAATTAAAAACAGAAACATCATATGATCCAGCAATCCCACTTAGGTGTATTTACCCAAAAAAGAAATTGAAATCAGGATCCTGAAGAGCTATTAGTACTCCCAAATTTATTTCAGGACTATTAACAACAACCAGGATGTAGAAAAGACCAAAATGTCCATGGACAGATTAATGGATAAAGAAACTGTGTCATATACATACAATGTATTATTATTCACCTTTAAAGAGAAGGAAATTCTGCAATGTGCGATAACATGGATGAACCTTGGGGACATTTTGTTAAGTGAAATAAGCCAACACAAAAGGACAAATAGCGTATGATTCTATTTATACAAAGCATCTAAAACATTCAAACTCATGGAGGCATAGAATAGAATTACGGTTGCCAGGGCTCGGGGAGAGGGAAATGGGGAGTTCCTAATCAGCAGGTATAAAGTTTCAGTACTCCAAGATAAGTTCTAGAGATCTGCTGTACTATATTGTACCATAATCAACAATAACATATGGTACACTCAAAAATATGCTCAAAGAGTAGATCTTATGATCCCATGTTACGTGTTCTTACCATGTTATTTATTTTATTCATTCATTTATTTTATTTATTTATTTTTTTTTAAATGAGGTCTCCCTCTGTCACCCAGGCTAGAGTGCAGTGGTGTATAGCTCCCTGCAACCTTTAACCCCTGGGCTCAAGGAATCCTCCTGCCTCAGTCTCCCGAATAGCTAGGACTACAGGCATGTACCACCACACCAGGCTACCATAACTGAAAAAACAGAATAGGAGATTCTAATTTCTGAGTCTGACCTAATCACTGAGGCTGTTCTCAGTGGAGCGCTTTCTTAGACTGGTGTCCAGGGAAAAGTCAGAGAGCTTCCACTGGATAAACCACTGCAGGCCCTGAAGAGGGAGGGAGCCACAGGAAAAGGCAGGCAGATAGCCTTGAAAAGCTGCGAGCAACCCCCTGCTGATATCAGGGAGAAAACAGGAACCTCAGACTGACAACTACAAGCAACTGGATTCCCCCAACAACCTGAATGAGCCTGGGGGTGCATTCTTCCCCAGAGCCTCCAGGTAAAGGCTGAGTCAGGAGACACCTTGATCTGGGCTTCCTGATACCCTGAGCATAGCAAGCCCGCTCACTTCAGCCTTGCAGAACTGAGAGCTAATAAGTGAGTGTTGTTTTAATTTGCTAAATTTGTAGCAATTTATTATGCAACAAAAGAAAACAAATCCATCCTTTAATCAAGAAGTTCTTGATCCCCTCAAATTACTTCTCACACCAGGATTTCTAGGTCTCTTCCCACAGAAAAGAGTGACTTTGGGAAGTCATTCTCTAACTTCCTATGCCAATCTCCCACATCCAATAAGATACTTTACTTGTCACTGAAGATGAAGAAAGAAAGGAAAGGATGGTTACAGTTAAGAATGGTGATCCAAGCTGGGCACAGTGGCTCACGCCTATAATCCCAGTGCTTTCGGAGGCTGAGGTGGGAGGATCCCTTCCAGCCAGGAGTTTGATACCAGCCTGGGCAACAAAGCAAGGCCCTGTCTCTATAAAAACATTTTTTTTAATTAGCCAGGCACGGTGGCACACACTGGTAGTCCTAGCTACTCGAGAGGCTGAGGAGGGAGGATGGATGGCTTGAGCCCAGGAGTTCGAGGCTGCAGTAAGGCATGATTGCACCACTGTACTCTAGTCTAGGCGACAGAGCAAGACCCCATCTCAAAAAAAAAAAAAAAAAAAATGGCAAGCCAATCCAGTGCCAGGGATTTCATGGGCAGTCGTCATTAAATGTGCATGGCAAGCCTGACATGAGACTGTTCTTCCTCATTGATTACTCAGAGACACTAAGCCTCATGGACATGACCTCAAATAGGGGCTAAACATTACACAGCAGCAGGTAAAAAGCAAACAAGGAACAAGCTTCTCTCTTATAAACTGGCTTTTTACTCTTAAATTTGCACTCACCCCAAAACCACTGCAGGATACTAAACCACATGAACACTAAAAAAGTATCCAGAGTAGGTTTCAGTCTCAGGGCCCTCTGGCCAGCATAACTTGCACCCCCCCAATGCCCAAGACAGAGAGGAAAGAGGCAGCATCTGAGCCCCATTTAAAATAAAAAATCATAAACGACTTCCTCCAAGCCCCTTCAGCAAATTATTTGTGAACCTCAAATGTTTGTGATTTCTTACAAATAAATAATGTCTAATTTTTAAGCTACATTTTAAAACTAACTCAAAGAGGTCATAAATTTCATCAACCCTATGGTTACAACACAATGGGTCTTTTTATTTGTCATCTCTAACAAAAAGAGCAGTTTAAATACTTTCTCCTATCAAATGCAGACTAAGTAGACACCATACCAATCCTATAAACAATTGTCCCATACCCTGAGAAAGCTAAAATAAATCAGGTGTAACCTAATAAAAGTCAGGGAGCAGAAATGAGTGAAACTTAAGATGCTAGAGGCTTTCTTCTTTATTCTTTTTCTTAAGAAAATTTACTATCTTTAAGAAATGGAATGCACAGCCACATGATTCTAAATAAAATTGCCAGTTAGTATGTTTTCTAATGCTAGTTTCTTCATTTAGATGCTTCAGATACCTTCTTAGACATTCCCTTGAAATAGCTTTATTTCAAAGCTATTTTATACTTAGTGGGGTATCCTCCGGCCAGAATATTTAAATACATGTGAACCAGGATAAGGCTAAAATCTAGCCTGCAGGTTAAGAACTGGTTAAAGAATCTGACCAACTGAACTGGAATCCCAGCTCTGCAACTTACTAGCTGTGCAGTCTTGAGACCAACATATAATCTCAGCTGCTTCTTCTGGAAAATGAAAATCATAATCATACCTACCCCACAGGGTTGTAGAGGTAAAATGAATAAACATACATCTAGCACTGATATAGTGCTCCTATGTGCCAGACTTAGTTATAATTATCAGCCCTCATGAGTGTTTGCCTCTGTTATACTCACAAACTCTCATCACAGCACTGTCAGTGCATGAGAAGCATCCAGGAGAGACCTCTGGGGACTTCCAGGGGCCCCTCTCCTTATATCCACCCAATTAAACCATAAACATACTTATCTCCAGCCATAGGTATGAGAAGACCACATTTTTGATACAGAAATGAAAAAAATAATGTTAGAACTTCGGAATTGTTATTAAAAGAAATGCAATTGAGAATTGAGTGAGCAACGTGGCTTATGCAGTGACTATAGCTATCTATCTAGAAGTCAGCATTTGGTAATTACACCAGCAGTGCATTTGGGAACCATTTCCAAACAAAAATAAGGGTTTTTTGTTTTTTTTTTTAAGGAATCTAACACCTCTTTAATTCCAAAACACAGGAAGTGAAAGAGTACTGAGCAGAGATACACATCAACGAACTGATGCTAAAAACATCATCATGAGGAGAGAACTTGATGGCCCGTGTAACAGCCCCGACATTAATCAGGCTCCACTTCCCTGTAAACCAACAATTACACATTTGCTCATTAAGAAAAAGTGCTTTCAGCCAAGTCCTATAAAGTGTGGGCTACTCTCTAGTCATGCTTGATCTTGGCAAGCTATTTAATTTCTTCAACAACAAAAAGGATAACATCAGTACCTTCTCAAAGTTACCAAAGGATTAAATGAGATAATGCATAACAGTTGATAAAATGGGCTCATTAAGTTTATCCATTATTATTATTATTATTATTCAGGCAGTTCCGAGATTCATATTAAAATATGAACTACATCACAAAAGGGAAAAAAAATCCTCAGAACAAATTACTTCTTTTCTTCAGATGTTAACCTTAAGAAAGTTAAGGGTTTCTAAATTGTGGTGTCAAGCCTTTCCCAGGGGCTCAAGGAGGACCTACGCACTGTTCACCCACATTTCTCTTGACAATATCAAACATCCCACTCCATATTCCAAGATCCAAACAGCTCTTCAGCTGCCAGAGAATATGGGAAATGGTGACCTTGAAGCATCTGGGCAAGTTCACTATCAAGAGTCACATGCTAAGACAGGCATGAACAAGGGTGGGGGAAGGAAAAGCAACACTCCCACCCCATAGCCCACACTTAGCCCCTTATGGGCATGGCCTATGCAGATTTAAGGATTAGAAAGAATGACACATTTCACTATGTTCATAAAGTACTTTCACCAGGAAGCCGAAAACCAGTAAGTATCTGGGCACATCTTTTTCTTTTTCTTTTTCCAGTTTTCCCTATCCGAGCAAAATGACCGACATCCTGGTAAAGCAGCAAAGAAACATTTCCCATACACATAAGTCTCTGGCCCATGTGCAATTGGACAGAGGAAATATACAACAATTGTAGCATGTGAAACGGTTTTCCTACGTCTACCCGAAATGTCATCCCTTACAAACATGAGGCACCACAACACAATTCCCCTCATCACTATATGATGACAATATATTCTTATATTGTGCTGCAATGTATTGAACATCAATCAATAAAGTGTTTACAACACACTAAGGCCCTTGGGGATGGAAACCTGCCAAGTTGAATATGGCACGCTGCTGTACGCAAGTGGCTATTCACATTGTTGCCTTGGGCTTAAGGGACAGAGACGCCATTCACACACTACACAGAATCCACACCTGGCACCACTGCTCCTTTGCCTGCCCCTCCATCACATTTCATCCCTTCACATTTGAAATATTTAGCATTTATAGCTTCCGTCAATTGTATCTCAATAAATGAGTAAATAAAGCCTATTGTCAGCCAGGCGTAGTGGCTCATGCCTGTAGTCTCAGCACTTTGGGAGGCTGAGGTAGGTATATTGCTTGAGTCCAGGAGTTCAAGACCAGCCTGGGCAACATGGTGAAACCCTGTCTCTACAAAATCCAAAAACATTAGCCAGGTGTGGTGGCACTTACCGGTGGTCACAGCTACTTGGGAGACTGAGGTGGGAGGATGACCTGACTCCAGGAGTTTGAGGCTGTGGTGAGCTGTGATCATGCCACTGCACTCCAGCCTGAGTGACCGAGTGAGATCTTGTCGCAAAAAATAAAATATTTTTTTTTTCAAAAAAAGTCTATTGTCAAAGTTAAAAATTGCATGACAAGCTAATGGAGCACAGTCTTCCTATTGTTTTAGACTCACAGAATCTACTAGAGACAATTATAACCCACCATAAAACTATGACTATACAAATTTTACATATAGATCTCTGAGAATATTACAGTATGCCCAATTATGTATTTATTTATTGTTTGTTTTTGAGACAGAGTCTCACTCTGTCGCCGAGGCTGGACTGCAGTGTCGCGATCTCAGCTCACTGTAACCTCTGCCTCCCGGGTTCAAGTGATTCTCGTGCCTCGGCCTCCCGAATAGCTGGGATTACAGGCACATGCCACCATAGCCAGCTAATTTCTTTATCTTTAGTAAAGACGGGGTTTTACCATGTTGGCAAGGCTAGTCTCGAACTCATGACCTTAAGTGATCCACTTGCCTCGGCCTCCCAAAGTGCTGGGATTGCAGGTGTAAGCCACTGCACCCCAGCCCAGTATGCCCAATTATCAACCTTGATCTGAAAGTTCTTTAATAGCCATACCTAGGAACCAAACCTGGAAACATGTGAAATGCCCTAGATATGAAAAAAAGTGATAAAACACAGGAAGATGTGTTCAGTTATTTAAATACTTAAACAGTATATCTTCCTAATGGTCTAAGTTTTACTTAATGAATGACTGCAGTTAGTAAATGCTACATATCTTGGAGTTACAGAATGCATTACAACACTTGACTCTATGATAAAGGCTCAAAAATGTACAGCCAAAGGAAAAGATAATCTCATTTTTTACCTGATAGATTAGAAAAACATTAAAAGATCTGAGCATCCACTGCTGGGCAAGATGTGAGGAAAGGGCACGCCTAACATTGCTGCAGGCAGGAAGAACTGTACTTCCTTTGGGGAAAGCATCTGGTGATGACTGTTTAAAAACGCACATTCACTTTGACTCAGAAATCCCACTCTCAGCATACGGATACATGCATACAGATATCTTTTGTCACAAAAAAAGTATTTTTAACAGTAGAATATGAAAATAGTCTGAAAGCACATCAACAGGGGCACGACTGCATAAGTCAGATATATCCATCTATAGAATATTATGCTGCAATTAAAAGTAACGGTAACGAAGGAGATCAATAGGTACAGACCAGCAAAGATATTCTGAAATACGAAATAAAAAAGACTTTGGTAAGTACGGTATGACATAATACCATTTCTGTAAAAATAAAACAGGGGTGGACTTCATATGTATGTACATATTTAAATTTATATACCTCTGTATACAGAGAAACATGGAGAAAAACACAAACCAAACTGTTAACTGCACACGCCCAGTGGTCCTCTGAAGGCCGGCCTCCCGTTCCCTCAGGGCCCCGTCCAGGCAAGGGTACAAAATGCCTGTGCTCCCAGAGTCACTCCTCTCAGTGCTCCCTGCATGTAGTTCTCATATACAGAACTCCATCCCTGATGCAATCAAATCCCTTAAGTGGGTGACCATGTATTTATCACCCAGATTGGGAAACTTTTAAGAATGGAAGAGGGTGCTTTGAAACATTAGCTGGAGAAATAGGTGTCAACAGGAGCCCTATCCCCTGGAAAAGGAGACATACAGCCACCCTACCCCTGAGCGTGAAGCCAGGACTTCCTAACTACCCACTTTCTCAAGGCAACCCCTTTGTGGGGAGGGGTGTTTTCCTTTATCCGGGACAATCACCACCCACTTTCCAAGGGACAATGTCCTAAGTCCTTCCATACTTAGGTGCTCTAAGTGTCAAGTCCTTCCTTCCCCCCTCTTTCATTCCACAAATACACACAGAGCCCCTATGACTCCTTCATTCAGTCCTTCATTCAATAACCAAGTGCCTGCCATACACTCAGGTGCCCGGAGTACGACAGTGAGGAGTACAGAGATCCTGTCTCTGTGGACCTAACATTCCACCTAGGGCAGAGATGATAAATAAATAAACAGATATCTAATAGGATAGGTGATAAGTCCCACACAGCAAACCAGGGCAGGGTAGGGGACATAGGCAACAGGACAAGGGAGTGGGTACTGCTCTTTACATGGCGTGTGGGCTTCTCTGATAAGGCAGCATTTAGGCAGAGATGGAAGGAAAGGGGCACAGAGCATTTCAGGCAGGAGAAATAGCAGGAACGGGCTCCAGAGGGGGAGCGTGATGCCCATAAGTGAGTAGGAGGGAAGTTGCAGGCCTGATCATGGAAGAAGGCTCTCCATGCCACTCAGGGAAATGAGCCCAGACACCTGTTCCAAGAATTTGCCCAGCCACGTGTACCAAGAACTCAGTCTTGGGTGCAATCAGTATGACATTCATCAACCAGAGAAGTAAGGGCCTTCTAAGGAAGGTGGTCTCATCAACTCCCTGTAAACAGTGGCCCTTCTGCTTCTCTTGTTCAAGGTAAGAGGAGAAAGAAACTTCAGTCCTGGTGGCCATCACTGCAGATATTTAAACATTATAGTTATGCTGTATCTGTTGAAACATAAGGCTGTTAAACCAGTAATCACTCGTCAGCTTTGGTCACAAACATCTAATATTACTGCTGAAAAGTAAAATACTTCCCTTACACAATGCACTTGTTAATGTCCAAACAATTCCCCGTGGTCATATTCAGAGAAGAATCTGGTAGGACTTCGTAAACTGTAAGAAATATGTATACCATCAGGTGGCCCAGAGCAATTCTAGAAATAACGTGGTTTTACACCACTGTTGCATCAGCTTTGAAAGAGAAAGATTTTAAGATGAGAAAAAGAGAAGGGTATTTAGAAGGAATAGAATATTACACTTGGCCTGCCACAAAGTGTCAGCTCTAAAAAAAGGTCAGAGGAAATGCCACTCTTTAAATCCTGAACTAAATTCCCAAATAATTTTTATCGCTGGACCTAGTCTTGGCTTATCAGTGACTTCACTGGCAAAACAGCAAAGCATAGATAATTAATATCAGTTCAGAGACATATAAGCCCCTGTCAAAGAACTAAAAACATACTCACCTTTTTAAAATATTTTCATATTCACAGAACTTAAAAAACATCTGTTATATTGTTCCAGTTTTTAAATAATCTGGCACATTCAAATCAGTAAAACATTTGTCAGTAAGATTTGTACAATTAAATCTTTAGACTTGGGTGTCCTAACACCTAATCCATGCGCGTGCGCGTGCACGCGCACACACACACACACACACACACACATACACACACACACACACACACACACACACACACACAGCTAGAATCTCCTGGCTGACAGAAAACCTGCCCTGGTGGGACATGGACCAAACATTTGTCCTTGACAAACTGTCTGAGACATAAAATTTTGGTGAGGTTTGGGGGTAGGGAGATGACAGCTGAGCTAAAAACATCACTATTATTGATTTTGGCTTCATGCTGCTCCTTTACAGCTGTCCTTTGCAAGCTGAACACAGTATAAGTCAGGCCAAAGGACAAGACGGACAGGAGGCTAAAGCTCACCAACACCCTAGAAGAAGAGAAGGTTACACCCACAATTATAGCTGATCGCCAGCCACCAAACTTTTTTTTCCTTAATGCCAGGGCTCCACAGTGGCCAAGAGACAGGAGATGAATGACTTTTTCTAACAATTGCAACAATAAATAATTTTTATTTTCTAATAGCTAAGAATACTGTGGAAACACTTAAAAGAGTAAGCCAAGAAAAATGTCTTTGCTTCCCTGGGCTTCTAAAAGTCTAGAGTCCACTTCTTGAGAATAAGAGCCAAGTCTGAATTATGTCTTCATGCCTTGGTGCCTAGCACAGTATCACCCATACATCCATTTCACAATGTTAAAAAAATGCTGAAAGGCCGGGCACAGTGGCTCACACCTGTAATCCGAGCACTTTGGGAGACTGAGGCGGGCAGATCACCTGAGATCAGGAGTTCAAGACCAACCTGGCCAACACAGTGAAACTTCGTCTCTACTAAAAATACAAAAAGATTAGCTAAGTGTGGTGGCAGGCACCTGTTATCTCAGCAACTTAGGAGGCTGAGGCAGGAGGACTGCTTGAACCCGGGAGGCAGAGGTTGCAGTGAGCCGAGACCATGCCATTGCACTCTAGCCTGGGCAACAGAGTGGGACTCTGTCTCAAAAAAAAAAAAAATGCTGAATGAAAAAGCAAACAAAAATTTCCCCAACAACCACCAAGTTTACTACGATGCCGAATATCTCCAAAGGTTACTGTGTGCAAAGGGGTGAGATGCAGAGTAAACCAGCGTCAGCAGAACCCAACCAAGTGAGAAGGGGCTTGGGGAACTTCTGAAAACTTGTCCTGAGTAGTCAATGTTTATTCTGTCCTGACATTAGTGAACTCCCGGTGATGTTTTAGACTACCTGTTTCAAACTTAATTTTTATGTCCATTTTTGTTTCCATCTAAATACATGGGCTCTCAGTGGGCTCCTGGTGAGTTTAAGCCCTGGTGTTCATGTGGTGTGCTCTGGAACAAGGGCTCTCGCACAGCGGATGTTATTCATCTTTCCCTTAAAAAGTCACCATGTCCTCAGCATCCATTTCAGTTTCCAGCAAGTTGTGTGAGATGATTTAAAATGCAAACTACCTGCACAACTGAAATAATGTTTTTAAAACATTAAAGAAGGAAGGCCCTAACGAAAACAAAAATCTCTGATCTAAGGACTCCGCCAACAATACCCAAAAAGACTGATAACATTTTCTTTGTAATATTTACGAAGCAGGATTATTTTACTAAAACCCAATTTAGTTTAGGTTTTCTTCCAAGTTGATTCAAACTGTATTTCAAGATACAGCTTGGGTAAGCACATTGTTTCAAATCTTAGTTATTACCATGTCAACTTACAACACTCTTTACAAGAATCACAGGCTAGATCTATTAATATAACAAAAGCTTCACTTTAAGGAAAGAGTCGGCGCCTAAATTAGCCCTTCCTACTGATGCGTTTGAAACACTGGGACTGAAAGTCATGTTTTTCCCTATAAGCAAAATCATAGTGTTCAGCTTCATTTCTATGTAACTACAGAAATACGATTAAGAGCCTACCAAGGCAGAGCTAGACAGGATTTAACAGAATGCACTATGTGTATTAACTAATTGATTTTATTTCTACCAGTGTCTGATTCTCTATGTTATGGGCAAAATAAGAAAATCTCCCAAGTAACTAACTTCTCTAGTCTTCACTAGAAAACTTACTTCTCCACACATTATGGGCTGCCCACTCTCTACCTAGGAAGAAGAAAGAGCTGCCTCCATAAAATTATCATCTCAAACTTCGGCCTTCTCAGCACTGCCTGCCCACCCTTTGGTTCAACACCTCTTTGGTGTTCTCCCTCCTTCTCCATGAAAGAGTGCTGCAAATTCACTCCTCTCCTCTCAGTGCCTGCCCATCTTCCTCCCAACATGCTTCCCCATCACACCACCAGCCCTTCAAGAGAACGCAGAAGCCATAAGCAGTAAAACTCCTTCAGCTCCCCTCTCACAAACCTACCTATCTCAAAGTACTTCCATCACTTCCTCTAGCTACAGTGGAAGAGGAAACCCAACTCTTGAAGCTTTGTTTCATCTTTTACAAGGATGGTTTTCAAATTCAGCTCCCTTTTAGAATCACCTGGGCAGTTTTAAAAATCTCAACACCAGCCATCCCCAACACCGATGACATAGGAATCCTTCTGAGTGGGACCCACCATCAGTGTTTTTTTTAAACACTCCAAGTGGCTCCAATGTGCAGGCAAGGTTAAGAACCCCCTTCTCTTTCCTCACATTCACTAGGGGTATTTAAATATGTGCAGGTCTTTCCCATCTTAAAAAGCACAGGCTCCCTCAGTCCCATCTCCCCCTTCAGGTCCATCCACATCTCCCTCAGCTTCTTCATGATGAAACTTCTCAGAAGAGCTGCGTGTACTCTTCTCCCCTTCCTCACCTCCACTCTGCTCTACCCAGTGCCTTGCAACTTGCTGTGCTGTCTCCTGGCACTGCTTTCACCAGGCTACCAAAGGCCGTGTGGCTCACCCCAGTGTCCCTCAGTCCTGTTGTTCCCAATGTCCTTGACCGCTCAGCAGCACATTTCTTGGGATTTGTTTCTAGTTTCTTTCCTAGTAAATAGTGTGGCCTTCTGACCTGCAAGCACATATACATCTTTCTTTTTTTATAAGCAAGGCTTTATCCTATTATACCTTTGAATGTTTTTGTTTCCATTTTTATTCTCTTCCTTTGGAAAAACAAGTAATATGTGATGAATAAGCCTTTGTCTCTCCTATGTATCATCTTCACAGAAATCCTTTTTCTCTCATCTTTTTCACTTTGTTTTGTAGAAGTTTCTCAAGTCTGTTGATTCCTGTGTTTTCATTTGTGTTTGTTATATTTGGTGGCTTCCAATGTGACTTCCCTCTTCCTAATGGTTTTTCTCCTTCTTCACGCAGATTAATCAGCTCACTTTCTATCTCCTATATTTCTTATTTTCTTTAACCATATATCTTTCCTTTAAACTTTGAGAAAACCCAGTTTTCATTATTCCTTTAAGGCCACAAAATACTAAGATTCTGAATTCTTCTTTTGTTGGTGAGATAATTTGTCTTCTGATGTATATTCCACATCTAGCTTTGTCTGTGTTCCATTATTCTATGAACTTGCCTGCCTATGCCAAGGTGTGGCAGGCAGAACTAGAAGGCATTCATGCTGCAGTGGAGACAACCTGTCAGTTCATAGGAAGAGCAGCCAGCTTCAAGTCCAGCATTAATCTCCAGTTCTCTCCACTATGGTCAAGTCCTGTACCCTGGGAGTATTTTACACTCAAGTGTAAAACTTTAGCAGCATTGATATAGGTTAGAAAGAAGCCCCTCATGTCACAGGCTCCTGAACACCACCTTCCTGAGCCTTCTTTCAGTCTCACTTTGAGAAGTCTCCCACTCTCAGGAAGCTGCCCTAGACATTAAGATGGCACTCAGTCACGATGGTGGCCTAGGTGTGCACGCAGGTGTGCGTGCAGATTGGGCTCCAACATCAGGGGCCTCCACTCACTAGACTTTTATGTTCCTGGGATCCCTAGAGCTGTTTAAGTCACAGCCTGCCCAACTCTACACAGAAGCTCTTTTCCTCCCTCACCTCCGAGTCCTCCAGTTTTCTGTGGTGCACAACTAAGTTGCACAGAGAGAGTCGCCCCTCTATTCTCTTATTATTTTAGTGAAGCCATTTAATTTCTACAGGCCTGACTCCTTGAGAAAACTATACCCTGCCTCAAATTAGAGGACTATGTAAGCTCACAGCATCCTCTCTCCTTTGGTCCAAATGTCACTCTATTTGGCAGGTATTCTTTAAAATGTGGTTTGAAGTTGTAGCTATTTAACAGAGCATAGCATCTTCTTCTTTGTTTCTCATTCTTTTTGTTCCTTTTGGGGTTCCAGGTATAAAAATTGAGTAAAACCATGTCTTAATGCCAGCATCTTTTAACTAGGTCTTCGTTTAATTTTTAAGCAGTTTAATGTAATGCCAATAAATATTTTTCTTTTAGTAAAGCCAACCAAATACTAAGTATCCCAAAAATCTTAACTTGATTAAACCGTGAAAAAAAAACTTAACCTGAAATTTATTATTCTAAATATTTCCAAAGACTGGGATCATTTCTAAATGACAAATTATTGTTTTTGCTAAACTTCAGTTACCTTACATGCAAATCATAAACACATATTTTGCTTTAGACTGATTCACAATCCCCATGAAAAAACACGCCACCCATTTCAATGACTATGGATTCCAATGTTTGTAAAGAGCTTGTGAAGCCCGTTTCTAAAAATAAGATGTTTGGAAAATGATGATTCCTATCGATGCCACAGATTATCTTTCAATTAACTGAATCCTAAATAAACTCAGGCTGAATGCTTTGAGGAGGGAGATTCTTCCCTACGAAACGACGTTTAAAAGTTAATAAATGTTGATTCTAGGTGACCACCTTCCTTTCTTACCCTTGCCAAGTAGGAATGAGTTTTTATAAACTCTACCACTTGTACATTTTTAGACTTCGGTACACCAGCCAAAAAAGAGGTTACCATATATGATACAATTCAAATCTTATCTCCATTTATGTTTAAAGATTTTATTTGCTTATTTTTTTAATTTAAAAACTCTGGCTTTCTCTGCCCCCACCTGGCAATGTCCAATTCTTTATTTAATTCACTTACGAATGAAAGGTTAATTTTCTCTAAATCCAGTTACTTACTTTTGAAAGAATGCCTTACAAATGATAATCATTATACATCCACACTATTATATATTCCATTTATACAGCTCATGTGACATTCTCCTATTTTATACTGTAAATGTTTTCTTCATAAAAAGACAGTTGCCTAGGTTTAAAACAAACCTAATTTCAGTTAAATTATTATACTTCTTTTCTAATTCAGAGGGACAAAATGAATAACTGCTGGACTGTGACCCCTCAGAAGCCAGAGCTATATAGTGAAAAGGAAGAAAAGGGGGAGAGGCAGGGAAAAGTGTCTCTCTCAGGACCAAAGCACACATCCTGGTAATGGAGGCAATTGCAGTAAATGCAACCTGACAAGTATTCAGAGACTGGAGCAATATTCCGTCAAGCATTTTTAAATTCAGTTCCACACAAGTCAACTCAGTTTTGCCTAGAGATTTTACCAGACATTTAGCTGGTGTGTATATAATTACCTGTCTCTCTGAATCGGGGGTGGGGAATGAAAAACAGCACAAGGAGGTGCATGATGTTTAAAGAAAGCAATAAACTAAAGACCTGATGTGAAAGAGAGCTGAAACTCAGGGACTCATTCAACGATAAAAATGTTTATCTTTAACATCTTTAAACAACAATTTCTTGTTTTAAATCTAAAGGTCATCAACTTTGTTTTGCTCAGAAATTTAAAGACAAAAATGTAATGTTATAATATTTATTCCTAATTTTAAGAGTTACCTTCATCATCTTATCTATCATGGGTATCAAAGACCACTACAGGATTCTCAGTGTCTATTACAACTTCTAATCATCTTCTGTAGTTAATCAAGTTACACTTACCATACCATAAGCATCCTTGAAATACTATCTGCAGAATTCATTTGAGGTGTTTGGTAGCCAAAATTCATTGGAGAAAGTCTAAGATATAACTCCTATATATAAGTTCCAGCCCAGTTTTGAAATGATAATAATTTTGCAACATACAAAAGAGCGACAGTATATGAATTCTTACACCAGACCTCTATAAAGTGTCACTTAAGCAAAATAAAAACATGTATCAGATATTTATATATCTCTCAGTTCCTATGTTCTCTGCTTCTACTGGATATACCTTTAAGACTTCTTGACTCATCAATTATTAAATGGGGAGAAATATAATGGTTTCATCTATTAAACATATTCAGGATCATCTATAGAGTAATACACATTTTCTTTCTGTGTTCCACAGTCTGACTTCATAACATCAAGCATGCTACAACATAATTTATAGGCTGAAAACATACTTTAAATCAAACTTTTTTGAAAAGAAAGACAGAATCTATATAAGTAAAAAGTATAACAAAGAGATAAGCTTTTTATGTTATCAAGGAACTCTCTATAGCTTCACTGTCCAATTTATCAGCCACATGTGGCTACTGAATACTTGAAACGTGGCTAGTCCAAATTGAGGTGTAAGCATAAAATGCACTGCAAATTTTGAAAGCTTCATGAAAAAAAGGTAAAATATCTCATTAGTAAATTTTATATTAATGACAGATTAAAATAATAACAAACATATTAAGTTAAATAAAATATATTTAAACTTTACTTTTTTAAATGTGGCTACTAGAAAATGTTAACTTAAAATTGTGGCTGGCCAGGCATGGTGGCTCACACCTGTAATCCCAGCACTTTGGGAGTCCGAGGCAGGCGGATCATCTGAGGTCAGGAGTTCAAGACCAGCCTGGCCAATATTGTGAAACCCTTTCTCTACTAAAAATACAAAAAAGAAAAAAAGAAAAAGAAAAATTAGCCGGGCTTGGTGGCAGGTGCTTGTAATCCCAGCTATTCGGGAAGCTAAGGCAGGAGAATCTCTTGAACCCAGGAGGTGGAGGTTGCAGTAAGCCAAGATTGCACCACTGCACTCCAGCCTGGGCAACAAGAGCAAAACTCCGTCTCAAAAAAAATAAAGTAAAAGATAGCATGCATTCTCTCCCTAACCCTCTCACCACATGTGCCTTGCATGGGGAGGGAACGGCAAAGCTATCCATCAGGAAGTTTACTGAAACAAAAGATTCAGCTCATTGCCTTTAGCCTTATCCCTGACATTTAACTCTTCCAAAAATTTCTTCTGCTCCACTGCTTCCTGCTGCAAAAAGTTTCCAAGCAAACCGTGACCCCAATCTCCCAGGCAAGCACATGCTTTATAAATCAGCTGAGCTATGGCAATCAATGCTGCTCTAGAAACTGGGGGCCCAATAGGCATGCAAATGGACAGACACCTGTAGGAGTTCACAAAACCCTCTCAGTTAAACACAAGCAGGGCTTCAACACACATGTGGCCATCCCTGCTCAACACCCAAGCCACATGTGTGGCTCTCGTAGTATTGTCACTCCTACCAGGCAGAGGCATACTTTCCAAAGGACTGGTAACCAAGAAGCAATGGAGGAATGGATTCGGTGTTGTGACCAGCAGGATCCCCCTGCTGAATTCTCCCCTAAGCCTCCGAAAGCTCCCCACTGCTTCAGTGGTTTCACATCTCCCTGCCCTTTCTTTCCTAGGTTTCAAGGATAACTGGAAACCCACACTGGTCATTGAGCATTCATAGCATGGCAGTCCAGCACTCTCTAACAGACCCTGGGGCAGCAGATTTAGTGTTTCCAGGAAGAATTTCAGGAAACTCAGTCATTCACTCATTCAACAAATGTTTATAGAGCTCCTACTATGTGCCAGGCACTGGTCTAAGGCATCTGACACATGTCATTGAGGAAAAGAGACAAAGATCCCCTGTTCAAGCAGAGAGGCAGGCAATAAACAACAAAGATAATTAAAAGACAAATTATATAGTATTCTAGAAGGTGGTGACTAAGCAGAAATAAAAACAGCTCAGGGTAAGGAAGTTCTAGGCCTCTGGGTGCAGGAATGGCAGTTCTGTGGCAGTGGCCAGGGTGAGCCTTGCTGAGAAGTTGACACTAGGACCTAAGAAGGTGAGAAAGCAGCCATTACAGCCTCCAGGGAGGGAGCTGAGGCAGCAGAGGCCCCACTGGCAGGAGGCAGCTGCATGAGGGGCAGAGAGACAGAAGGTCACAGAGGTGATGGGGCCAGGCCATGCAGGACTCAGAGGCCACTGTGAGGACTGCAGCCTCTGGAATGGCAGAGGAATGATTCACTCTGCCTTGTGTCTGTCTCGAAAGGAGCACCTGCCTAATGTTCTGAGGATTCTTCTCTAGGAGTCAAGGGGCCAAGCAGGGAATATCCAACAAAAATGTGTAAAACGTGTTAAATACCGTTGCAGCTGAGAGCTACATAATAACAAACAAGACAAAGATAAGAATAATGGTGTCTGCTCTGGGCTGAGAGAGAAAAGGCTGTGGGTGGTAAGTGACAGAAGTGGGGAAAACCACCATTACCAGGACCCAAAATGGTGGCACTGTGACTATTCACACCAGAGCTGTCATGGGGGACACGAAGCAGCGTCTGCGGGCACCACCGTGGTGCAGCTCCTCACCATGCACACCCTTTGAAGAAGGACTGCTAAATAATAAGAGCTTGACTTTCCCTTTCATACAAAAGAAACCATTTCTCTAAAAGCAAATACATTACAACCACCACCATAAAAATAAAAAACGGGGGACACTATGAACCCTGGGACTTCCAACCTGATTCCACATTTACTCAGAACTTGTGGCACGTAGGTGGACTGCCCTTCGATTACCTCTCTGAGCAGGAAAATGTGAGCATGTAAAGAAAAAAAAAATGATCAGTATAAATAAACATTAATACAGAACTAATTTTCTGAGTTCTCATTTCACTGAATAATTATACCTTTGGGCTAACATGAATAATTTATTAAGTAGCATGCAGTTTATATGTAGCCTTGCAACTTTCTGCCCTCATTATACAATCATTTGAAATCTTTCCGAGGCAAACCATGGCGGAAAAAAAAAAGTGACTTCCATGCAAATGTCCTTTTTCTATCAGCCTATGGATAGTTTACTAAGTGTCTCTTTAGGTTAACAAGAGCTATTCGAAAAGCTGTTTAAAGATCCTCTTTCTGAAATATGTTCAATAATTCATTAAAGTTCTAAAAAGCCAAACTCCCTTTTTTCTTAGCTTATTACGCACACTGATCCTTAACTCAATTTAGCTTTTAAGAAATGTAAAACCATACATTGCTTTCTGGCTTCTTCACAGTTATCAAATAACCTATAATTCAACTAGAATGCCTGTTAAAATATTATCCTCATAAAATAATTCTGTGTTAGTGCTTTGGGACCTATAGGCCCGAGGGGGTTCCATTTAATATTAAAATTGTCTTCATTTGCACCTGTTGTAATAAGAAGCTGCTGTGTAATGAAGCATCAATACGTTAACTCTTAGAGCTGACCTGTTTTGATAAGTCTCACAGAACACTGATTCTATCTAGACCTGAGTGGTCCTCCGCATTTTTCCTGCTGCTTCATATTCTGTTACATGATATCATCATAAAATGGTAATCTAATTACTACAACTATTAATTATGCTCATGATTAATTTGAAATACCTGACACAAAATGTAAATGTACAGCCAGAGACAACACACAGTCGTAATGAAATCCTAACACCTGAAACTGTTTGGCATCATTATCAGTCAAGTAACTGTGCTTAATTTCCTCTCAGCTGGGCAGAGTTGGTCCCTAGTATTGTTTACTGAAAATCTGCTTCAATACAAAACAATTACTGTGCACCTGAAACATGGCCTGGAGTGGCACACTCCCAGCATCCTCCCAGGCCAGCCCTAAAATAAGATCATCAGTCCCTGCTTTTGACTTCCTCTTAATACCTCCCACCTACCCCCTGCCAAATCCCTAGTTCTCTCAAGAAGTCTGCTGATTTTCTTGGAACCTCCAAGTAAAATAAGGTTTACAACCCTTTTGTAAACTGCTATGCAAATTGTTTACATTGGATATAGTGGGAAAAATGTTGCTTGAAGGGGATAAATAAAAACAAAAATGTTTAGACAAAAACAGCAGGGCCTTAGTCTGAAGACTGTATTCCTGATATACTGACTAAGAACTGGAAAGATCAGGAGAGGACAATGTGTTGGGTTTCCAGAAGACAGCCTAGAACTGTTGGAGGTGGAATTAAATCTATATAATTGCCCCTAGTGTTGGGACAAAGTACTGTGAAGACTCGTCAGACGCTGGTGTCTTTCTATTAAATAACTCAAAGAGAACAGTTAGCTAAGACATAAGGGTGCCCCAGTGTTTATGCTAGCAAAAGCACCCTGATACCTGCTCCCTCTTCAGGTTCAGTTACAGTGAAAGGCGGGAGTAACATGGACAGGAGTGTTATTAGTGTTATCATTCGTGTTTTCCTTTCCATTTGCATTTCAATCTCCCCCTTGCAAGCAAGAATCCAGGTCTTTGTTCTGGGAAGAGAAGACAAAGGAAGGGAACAGAAAGAGAAGAGAAAATAAAGGGAACAGAGAAAGTGGGAAAGAAAGGAAAACACAGAAGATTAAAGGGGAAAATCTTCACGGAAGGAGGAATAAAATGCTTTTTAAATAAAACTTCAATAGCTTTGCCTCAAGTCTTTTATGGAAACATTCTTTATTAAATGAAATGTATTCTAACGATATGTCTTTAAAATATTTTATGATGGCATGTCTTTCTCCTAAGATCAAAACACATCCCATCATTTGCCATCAGTCAATTTATCTTACTGTTTGAGAGGAAATTTGCTACTTATGATTCATAGAATATTAATAAAAGTTAAATATATTCTATTTTTTTTTTGAGACAGAGTCTTGCTCTGTCACCAGGCTGGAGTGCAGTGGCGCGATCCCAACTCACTGCAATCTCCGCCTCCCGGGTTCAAGCGATTCTCCTGCCTCAGCCTCCTGAGCATCTGAGACTATAGGCATGCACCACCACACCCAGCTAATTTTTGTATTTTTAGTAGAGATGAGGCTTCACATTGGCCAGGATGGTCTCGATCTCCTGACCTCATGATCCACCCCCCTCGGCCTCCAAAAGTGCTGGGATTACAGGTGTGAGCCACTGCGCCTGTCCAATATATTCTATTAAACCCTGATTCAAGTATAGGTAAGGTCCAAAGAATAATTCCAAATATCCTAATTTAATGCTCTTCTAAATTATAACTTCAAGCAAAATAAAATCACCAGAAGACAGAAGAAAGAATAATTTTGCCTCCCAATCTTTGAAGCACTATTTAAACTAGAACCTGATCTTACATAGTATGCCTGGAAAAATTTACGAGGTAATAAGTAAAATGCATATATCTATGTAAATGAAAATTTGAATATCTCAAAATACACATAAACTAAAAACCATAGACTGTACAACATCATAAGGAAAAGTTCAAGGCTGAGATTTCTAGAATGCAGTACTTACACATATGTGCAGGTAAACATGCATGCACACACACTCAGAGCCCTCATAAGGAAAATTGCTTGGCTGACTGTCATTTCTATCGAAATACATAAGTTGAAAAGATTTGACAATAAAACCTTCTAAATCATCAGTCTAAACATAAAATGAATAGGTCACCTTCAATAGCAAATTAATTGCAATCCCTGAGGGGTCCCCTACCAGGAAATACATTCACACTTAGTAATTTTATGACAACTCCTACATTTTCACCTCCAACCCAGACTTCTCTTCCATGGACACCAGCCCACAGGTCCAATACATACTTCTCGTCTCCACTAAGGTAGTGACATCTCAAATTTAAAATGTCCAAGCCAAACTTCTGATTTTCCCCATCACACCCCAAACCTGTTTTCCCCCACAAACTTCTACATCACAGTTAATGACATCTCACATCCTATCTCATCCCCATCTCACATACCATCTTACGGTGGCAGATAGTATTTTGTAAAAATACAGCCCCAGTAATATATCCAGACATCTGTATCTTCTCCCCTTGAACCTGGCTGGGTCCTTGTGATTCCCTCAACAAAAGAGTTATGTCAGAAGTGACTCTGTGGTTCCCATAGCTAGACCCTAAAAATGCAATGCAGCTCTGCCTGGATCTCCCAGGACTGGTTCCTGGAACCCAGCCACCACGCTGCAAGGAAAGCCCAGCCACATGAAGAGTAGCATGAAGAGGCCCATATGGAGAAAACTCTATCCTCCCAAGACCTGGGATGCGCTCCTAGACAACAGCCAGCACCAGCCCACTGGCCTTGGGAGACAGTCACCTGGAAGCATCTCCTCCAGCTTAGGGCCGTGGATATGAGAACAGCGCAGGCTCCAGGGCCCTGTGCTCACAAGGGCTTATGCTCAATGTTTAATGCTCTGTGGTCACAGTCTTATTTTATCTGTGAATATGTGTTCTTTAGGTGGAACAATGGCACATGAGCTGTGGACCTGGATCCTTAGCTCCTGCGTAATCCCACATCCCCAGGACAGGTTCTCAGCCACTCACTACCCACTCTCTTGGCGCCCTGGCCCCACCCTGGCTCCTCCACACAGTGAGGGCTGCCTCATCTGCCCCTGGCAGAGAGACACAAAGAGGGCTGGGTACACACATGCCTATGATGTTTCAGAGTGTGGGATGTTGCGGCTGTCCCATCCTGGGCTAGCAGAACCCTGACATGTATGACAGGTGACTCTGTATGAGTAAGCCCTTACCCTTTCCCAATCTAGCTACCAAGCACATCCAGCACGGAGGCTGAAATCCCTAGAGGGTCACCAGTCCACTGTGGGTTGAGGTGGCGGGCCCAAGCGAAAGGGAAAAGTCTGGCTTGACATCCCCACTCAGAGCTAAGGCATGAGTCATCTGTCCTGGGGCTGGAGGGGGGCAGAGGGACCTGGCAGCTAGTCCCATGGGGGCACTGAGGCAGGACCCCCAGGTGCCTATGACGGTCTGCTCTGCCCAGCAATTATCCTCAGCCCTGAGGGAACCCATCAATATGAGGCAAATGAAAACACCACGACATGTCCAGAAACAGACCACAAGAGAAAGGAAAAATGTTTTCTATTTCAGTATGTTTAATGGCACTTTTACCCTGCTTTTCAAACAAAAGGCCCTTGTCCTCTTCATGGTACATGAGCCCTGCTCCAGCATTCGGCTGACACCCTGTGAAGCTGAGACAAGCCTTCCCCCACGGAACCCTGCCCAGACTGCAGATCTGTAAGCAACGGAAATGGCTGCTATATTCCTTTAAGTCACTGAGTCTGGGGTGGCTGATTGTGCAACAAAATATCAAGAACACTTACTTTGCAGTTTCTTTTCCAACCCCTGTTCAAGTTTGACTGAAGCTCCATGAAGGCAGTGATTTTGAGGGTGTTTTGTTCACTGCTGTATTCCCAGTGCCTAGAACACTGCCCCACCCCTCTCAGTTGCCCAATAAATGAATGAAGTCCCACTTTGCTGAAACTTGATCTTTAGGTGGTCACCAGTAGAGTTAAGTTTTTAACTAGTTTAAAATACTGGCAGTAAACAGTTGGAAAGTGTGCAATGATGCTGCTGACTGCCAGTGTGCTTAGTGAGTGCGTGACCTTTCCTTATGTCCATGGCCTGGGGGTTCTGGGGAGAGGGCACCAAGTTAGGACTGTGCAAGCAGGACTTGCCTTCCTTGCTCCTGACCAGTCACTTAGCCCTCAGAGTCCACGTCCTGGCCCATGACCAATGTGCTGCCACACAGACCTGCCAAGAAGAGCAGAGGGGATGATACATCTATTTCAAAAACAAGTTCAGAACACTTACTCTGTCCTAAGCAAGTATTCCAGGCAAGTGAAGGAGGTGCAAACATGATGAAGACATGGTCCTCAGCATAATGTTATTAAAATGTATATATCTTTTTTAATTCTTAATTTTTTTGTGGATACATTATAATAGGTATCCATACTGATAGGTGTATATATTTATGGGATACATGAGATATTCTGATGCAGGCATACAATGTGTAATAATCACATCAGGGTAAACGGGGTATACATCACGTGAAGTATTTATCCTTTGTGTTACAAACAATTCAATTATACTTGTTATTTTTAAATGTACAATTAAATTATTATTGATTATAATCACACTGTTGTGTTATCAAATACTAGATCTTATTCATTCTTTCTATTTTTTTTAGTACTCTTTAACCCTCCCTCTTTCCCCACTACCACTACCATTCCCAGACTCTGGTAACCATCGTCCTACTCTCTATTTCCATGAATTCAACTGTTTTAATTTTTAGCTCCTACAAATAAGTGAGAGCATGTTAAGTTTGTCTTTTTGTTCCTGGCTTATTTCACTTACCATAATGACCTCCAGTTCCATCCATATTGTTGCAAATGACAGGATCTCATTCTTTTTTATGGCTGAACAATACTCCACTGGGTATACATACCATATTTTCTTTATCCATTCATCTCTTGATACACACTTAGATTGCTTCCAAATCTTGGCTATTGTGAATAGTGCTGCATCTCAGCATAATCTTCTATCAAGATCATATATATGGTCTGGATATAGTGGCTCATGCCTGTAACCCTAGCATTTTGGAAGGCCAAGGTGAACAGATTGCTTGAGCCCAGGAGTTTGAGACCAGCCTGGGCAACATGAAGAAACCTCATCTCTACAAAAAATACAAAAAAAAATTTAGCCAGGCATGGTGGCACCCACCGGTGGCACCCGCCTGTGGTCCCCACTATTCAGAAGACTGAGATGAGAGGATCACCTGACTCCAGGAACTCAAGGCTGCAGTGAGCTGTGATTGTACCACTGCATTCCAGTCTGGGCAACAGAGCAAGACCCTGTCTCAAAAAAAAAATCATATACATGAGCACACCTGTCAAACTATATTGCCATTAAAAATAAGATCAGAATGGCAATAACAATTATTATTCAGGCTTACTGCAGTCTTCACCCCATGATCCCACATTGCTCCTCACCATCAGATGCCATTCAATACTTACCCAATCAGGACAAAGAAGGTATACACCAGGAGTCTATTGGAAGTATTATATTCTGGCAGTGCAAATCATTTTGCATGTGGCAGGAGTTGCATGTTTGTAGCAGAAACATGCTCACCTCTCCACAGGATTACTTACTGGGTCTTCTTGATCCCCCTGGATGGTTTTTATCCATGACTTCATTTTTATGAATGATTGGGTAAAAGACATTCTTCTGACTTGGTGCAGATTACATTTCCATTTACTAGCCTGGAAATTGGCAAGAGACAGTTGTCTCCCTCTTCTTGGCACATTCATTGTCACTGCCTTCCCAAGGACTCATCCCAACCATTCCCTGTGGAGAATTCAGTCAGGGCTAAGGTCTTTACAACAGCAAACTGCACTGGCAAGAATCCCACATGAGCAGTTTATATGCTCTGCAGATGCAGCTGACACAAGAAACAAAACCAATGGGAGATCTCAGGTCTTCTTAGTGGAATTCAGAAATTTAACCACATCTGTAAGGGGAGCTTCTAAAAGTCACATCAGTGCCACATTAGCTCGTAATATGAATATTCTGAGTGTTAGAAAGACCAATAAAGATCCTAAAGATCATTCCTTATGAAAAGAAAAACAGCTTTTAAAAAAATCTGTAAATTGAACAGATCTTTTGCTTTGCCTCTTCATCATTTTTCCCTGTGCAAAGATAGTCCTGTTCTTCAAAACATATTTCTGCTGTAGCCTGAAGTGATTCATCCTGTCACTAAGCTGACATTGTCATGTTAGAAAATGCTATGTTCTTTCTTTTCTTTGCTTTTTTTTTCTTTCTTTTTTGAGATGGAGTCTTGCTCTGTCACCTAGGCTGGAGTGCAATGGCGTGATCTCGTATCACTGCAACCTCCATCTCCCAGGTTCAAGCGATTCTCCTGCATCAGCCTCCTGAGTAGCTGGGACTACAGGCACACGCCACCGTGCCCAGTTAATTTTTCTGTTTTTTGGTAGAGACAAGGTTTCATCATGTGTAGGTGTGTAAAAGGCAAAACAGAAATTCCACGTCTGACTGCAGCCAAGGCCACGCTAAACCAGCACACTGTGGCTCTGGAGGCTGTGATGGTCTCAAGAGAGCCCATTCTAGAGGTTTTGTGTGGACACTGCTAAGGCCCAAGAGAAGAAACTCAGGGAAAACATGAGCAGGACATACCTTCTGATCTCAACTAGGAGTGTGGCCCACCGGCCCCAATCCAGCAGACTCCCGGAGGCTGAGGAAAAGAATCTAGAATAGATCCATAGGGGTAGCAGGAACATTCCAGATCTCTGTCTTCCCTACTTTGGGAAGGGGTTCCCCAAAAGAAAATTTTTAATCACACTCAGCTTCTCAGCCTGGGCCACCATACAAAAACCTCTTGAAGCATAAATCGACCAAACCCACTTCTACTGCTTGCTTTACTTATTTTATTATTTTTTTTTTTGAGAAATTGTCTCTCTTTGTCACCCAGGCTGGAATGCAGTGGCATGATCTCGACTCACTGTAACCTCAGCCTCCAAGGTTCAAGCGATTCTGCTGTCTTGGCCTCCCAAGTAGCTGGGACTACAGGCATGCGCCACCATGCCAGCTGATTTTTTTATTTTTAGTAGAGATGGGCTTTTGTCATGTTGGCCAGGCTGGTCTTGAACTACTGACCTCAAGTGATCTATCTCAGCCTCCCAAAGTGCTGGGATTACAGGTGTGAGCCACTGCACCCAGCCAGAAAATGCTACATTATGGTCATCTTTCCTTTTTGTAAGCAAGTGTAGCACGTCCACTTTCACCCTCCAGAAGGCTGGATGGAGAGGAAATCTTCAAGCCAAACTGTCCACAGAGCCCTCTGAACCCAACAGAGTGGGAACACATGACAGATGACTTTGAAATGAGGCAAGAAAGTCAAAATCACTGACTTTCTAGGAAAGATCTAAGGCTTCTGCACTAGATTAAGCAAGTTTACAGACCGGGCCATTTCTTTTGGCACCAGGATTCCCATCAACCCATTGACACTTGAGTCTTCATTGCCAGAGGCACCCCAAAGGTCAAAGAAAACATGTGTCACGAATATAAAAAAGATATATTCAGTGGAGCTAGTGCTATGAAGAATGACATAAAACTGCTGTATTAGGAAGACGGGAAGCAGGAAGAACAAGCCCTTCACTGATCCAACTGCTGTTTACTGAGCATTTACTATCTGTCAAGCACTGTAGTAGGTGCTGGAATGTCAGTTAAGCAAGGTAAGCCAGGCCTGTCCTCACTTGGAGCTTCCTTTCACTTCAGGAAAGGAGACACAGGTGATAATTAAGGAAACACATTAATAAACAAGATAACTTTAGACTGCAGGTAAGTGCCTAGGTGGAAAATGAATTGTGGTGATGCTGTAGACAGTGTGGGCAGGCTGGCCACCATTCATTCACTTATTCAATAGATAGTTATGGATATCCTAAGTGCCAGACATTGTTCTGGAGACTGGGAACACAGAAATGAATTCAGAGAATACAGAGCAGAGGGATTCCTGAATTCATGGACTCACATACTAGTAGCAGGAGACAAACGAAAATAGGAAAATATTTAGTATGTAAGATGGAGAACAGTCAGTGAAAAAAATAAAGCAGAGAAGGGAGATTGTGTGTGTGTGTGTGTGTGTGTGTGTGTGTGTGTGTGTACATACATGTGCATGTGTATACCTGCAATTTTAAATATGGTCATCAAATAAGAACTCATTAGCAACCAGGGACAATTTGACTGAAGACCTGAATATGGAAATGGTAGCTGTCTGCAGAACTGGGGAGAGCTTCAGGCAGATGCACAGAAAGGGCAAAGGCCCTGAGGCAGAAGCAAGGTTGGTGAGCTAAAAGGTTGGAAATCTCATCAATGTGACTAAAGCAAAGATAACAAGAACTGGGGAATGAATGAGGTAAGAGCAGTGACCAGCACAAAAGCACTGCCAGAAACCAAAACAAGCGGCCAAAAGAAATGGTTTCTGCTAACATTCACCATTCAGTCTATTTACTAGGAAAACTTCATGTGAGAAAAACAGCACATTCTCATGTCCCAGCATGTTCTCATGTCCTCAGCTGTTTACTACGTCAAACATTAAACCCAGGACCTACCTGAGTTAAGACACTGTGTGCGGCACTTTTTCTGTAAGTTATGTTAGGCTTCAGAGCCAACCTTCCATCCTTGAATAAAACGTCTTTACAAGGAGGGGAAAGCAGCACTCAAAATCAAAGGCATCAGACATGCAACCCCTAACACAGCTGGTGACTTGAGTATCATGGAAATAAGGAAGTAGAGAGGCTGGTTGATTCCATGTAAGTCTGAAGCTAAAATCCTTGAGAAACGTCTGCATCAGTGACCGACCATTCTGCTACCTCTTGTACTAAAGTTGTTCATTTTTATAGCGTGTGTGTGTGTGTATGTATATATATATATATATATATATATATATAAATTTACTTTAATTTTAGGAAGCCACAATGTTTTTAATAGATTCTCAGGCTTTCTAGGGATCATGCTGGAGAAAAAGAGACAAATGCTGTATAGCTTCTACAATTGAGTCACCCCAGAGCCCAGAACAGCATTTAAGAATGAACGGACCAGGAGAGGCTGGTCAAAGGGCATGAAGCTTCAGTTGTGCAAGATAAACAAATTCTGGGGATGTAATGTACAGCATGGTGACTACAGCTGATAATACTGTATTGTATCCTTGCAATCTGCTGAGAGAGTAAATCTTAACTTTCCTTACCACAAATAATAAAAGGTAACTATGTGAGGTGAGGGGTGGTAATCATTTCACAATGTATATATGTATCGAAACATCATGATGTACACCTTAAATATACACAATTTTTATTTGCTAGTTATACCTCAGTAAAACTGGGGGAGGGGAGGGAGAATGAAAGGGTGACAACACAATGTTCTTCCCCCAGGAATGTGATTTAAAAATCCTCATTGTTCCCTGGGAAAGAGACTTCTTGATAAACAAGGCAAGTGCAAGCCAGCATGAGCGAAACAAAAATGCAACACCTTTTCATTTCACTGCTGCTTTTTTAAGCAGCCATGCTTCATGAAAATTTCGGTCCATCTTGAATGATGCCCTGCACAAGGCCAGTGTACAATTAAAATCGTATGCCCCTTTCATGGCTCAGCTCATGCAAAATCACTGTGTAATTTGAGTAGAATACGGCATAGAAAATGAGTAATGGAGCTTGTGTGTGTGTTCTGTCATTCTGCATTACGGCTGTGTATAGAAAATAAGATGCAAACAACTAGTGATGAGCGAGGTGAAGGAGGAAAATGAAAATGTCAAGAGTGGGAAGAAACTGTTAAATGGCACCAACTGCTCGGGCAAGGTGTGTGTCTACTCATGTGCTGCTTGTCTCCCTCAATCTATCATCAGAAAGGACAAGCCACCTCGGGAGGAATGACTGTCCTAACTCAGAAGGATGGAGAGGCCCCCATCGTGGACTGCCCACGGCAACAGCACACTTGCCCTGGACTGTCAGTTCACGGGCTTCACTGTAATCTGGTTGCTGTCAATGGCAGATCCAGAAATAGCAGCACACAGAGCGTCCTGGCCTTCAAACCCTGCCAACAATTTGGCAAAATCTAAACTCAGAGGGTAAGTATGGTGACTGGAAACATCTTTTAAAGGAAGAGTCAAGGGACAGGGACACAACTATTTTCTCTCAATCTTTTGTTAAACTGAGAATCCAAATTTTAGCAAAAAGGGTCATTGTATGTCGGAAAGTGTAGAGCTGGTAAGAAGCAGAAAGTTTCCAAAGGAAAATGGAGATACCTCTGCTTCCTACACATCCACCTTGGCCTTACAGCAGTGAAAGGGGGAAAGAACTGGGGAAGGAAGATGAAAATAAGACAACCAGATGACTGCACAAGATAAAGCTGCTACTACTGCAAGCTGGCTACCTGTTCTCAGGAGGAGGAGGACAAATTTTGAGGATGGAGAGAAGATAAAACAATTAGCATAAATGAATCCCCACCATGAATAGGGAAAACAATGAGAACTTTTCCTAGTTCCATAGTTCCACCAAATGGGTTTTGTCAAATGCACGTCACATATTCACCATCACAACATCATACAGAAGGGTTTCACTACCCTAAAAACCCCTTCTGTTCTACCTTATATCCCTCTCCACCATCCCCAACCACTGAACTTTTCTGGCAACCATTGATCTTTTCTTCTTTAAATTATAGGAAAATACAAATAACATAAAATTCACAGTCTTAAGTGCATTTACAGTGTTAAGCAACCATCGCCACCAGAACTCTTTTCATCCCCGCAAAACAGAAACACCATCCCCATTACATAACTCCCCACTCCCTTCTCTCCTATCTCAACTGCCCTCCCCTCACCCCGGGGAACCACAATTCTACTTTCTGTTTCCAAATCTGACTACTCTTGATGCCTGATAAAAGTGAAATTATTTGGAATTTGTCTTTCTGTGATCAGCTTATTTCACTCAGCACAACGTCCTCAAGGTTCATTTGTGTTGTAACACGTGTCCCTTTTAAAGCTGAATAATATTACATCAAAGGAATATACTTCATTTTGTTTATCCCTTTCATTCACTGATGAACACCTGGGGTTTCTTCTACCTTTTGGCTATCGTGTATAATGCTGCAATGAACATGTGTGTGCAAATTTCTTTTAGAGACTTTGATTTTAATTATTTTGGGTATATATACTGAAGTGGAATGTTGCATCCAATGTTGGATCATTCTCTTTTTAGTTTTTTGAGGAACTGCCATACTGTTTTCCACAGTGGTTGAACCATTTACAGTCCTATCAACTGTGCATAAGGGTTCTGCTTTCTCTGCATCCTCACTAATAGTCATTAGTTTCCTTTTTCATTTCTTTTCCTTGTTCTTTTGCTCCTAATGGATGTGAGACAATACTTATCTTTTTCCTATGTACATAGTTTTGCCTTTTCGAAAATGTGAGATAACTGGAATCATAAAACATACAGACTTATTCAAACTGACTTCTTTCACTTAATAATATGTATTTAAGATTCCTCAATGTCTTTTGGGGGCTTGAAAACTCATTTCTTCTTAGCATTGAGTAATATTCCATTGTCTCAATGTACCAGTTTATCCAGTCACCTGGTAAAAGACATCTTGGTTGATTCCAACTTTTGGCAAAAATGAATAAAGCTGCTATAACCATGTGTGCAGATTTTTATGTGAACATATGTTTTTGACAAAAACTTAGGAGCAGAATTGCTGGATCATATCTAAGACTATGATTACCTTTGTAAGAAACTGCCAGACTGCTTTCTGAAGCAGCTGTTCTATTTTGCATTCCCACCAGCAATGAATGAAGGTCCTTCTTGTTCCACATCCTTGCCAGCATTTGGCATTGTAAGTGTTTTAGATTTTAGCCATTCTAACATGTGTGTAGGTGGGGCGTGGTGGCTCATGCCTGTAATCGTAGCACTTTGGGACGCTGAGGCAGGAGGACCATCACTTAAGCCCAGGAGTTTGAGACCAGCCTGGGCAACTTGGTGAGATCCCATCTCTAAAATGTTTTAAATTAGCCGGTGTGAAAAAAGAAAGAAAGAAACAAAAAAACTAGGAATACAGCTAACAAACAAGATAAGTAAAGGACCTATTCAAGAACTACAAAACACTGCTCAAAGAAATCAGAGACATGAACAACTGGAAAAAATTCCATGCTCCTGAATATGAAGAATCAATATCATTAAAATGGCCATACTGCTCAAAGCAATTTATATAGATTCAATGCTATTCTTAGTAAACTACCACTGACATTCTTCACAGAACTAGAAAAATCTATTTAAAATTCATATGGAACAAAAAAAGAGCCTGAATAGCCAATGCAATCCTAAGCAAAAAGAACAAAATCTAGAGGCATCATGCTACCTGACTTCAAACTATACTACAGGGCTACAGTAAACAAGACAGCATGGTACTGGTACAAAACCAGACACATATACCAATGGAACAGAACAGAGAAACCAGAAATAAGGCCACACACCTACAACTATCTGATCTTTGACAACGCTAACAAAAGCAAGCAATGGGGAAAGGACTCCCTATTCAATAAATGGCACTGGTGTAACTGACTAGCCATATGCAGAAGATTGAAACTTGACCCCTTCTCTACATACTATGCTAAAATTAAGATGGATTAAAGACTTTAAACGTAAAACTCAAAACTATAAAAACCCTGGAAGACAACTTAGGCAATACTATTCTGGACATAGGAAAAGGCAAAGATTTCATGACAAAGATGCCAAAAGCAAAGCAACTGCAACAGAAGCAAAAATTGACAAACAGGATCTAATTAACCTATTTATGCCTAGTGTTCCATTATTGGAACACTAAGCTTGTGGGGTTTTTTATATCCTGCTACTCAAGGTCATCGCCAAGGTCTAATTTTTCACACAAAAAAATTTGTAACCTCCAGCACAAGTGGGTTAAACTGAAGATCTTCTGTACAGCAAGAAACTATCAACAGAATGAACAGACAACCTACCAAATGGGAGAAAAATTTTGCAAGCTATATTATCTGACAAAAGTCTAATATCCAGCATCTCTAAGGAACTTAAATTTACAAGAAAAAAATGAACAACTGCCTTAAAAAGTGGGCAAAAGACAAGAACAGAGATAATTTTCAAAAGAAGACATACATATGGCCAACAAGCATATGAAAAAAAGTTCAACATCACCGATCATTAGAGAAATGCAAATCAAAACCACAGTGAGATACCATCTCACACCAGTCGGAATGACTATTATTAAAAAGTCAAAAAATAACAACTGCCTGTGAGGTTGCAGAGAAAACAGAACACTTATACACTGGTGGTGGGAGTGTAAATCAGTTCAGCCATTGTGGAAAGCACTGTGATGATCCCTCAAAGACCTAAAAACAGAAATCCCATTCAACCCAGCAACCCCATTACTGGGTATATACCCAGAGGAATATAAATCATTCTACCATAAAGACACATGCATGTGTATGTTCACTGCAGCACTATTCACAACAGCAAGGACATGGAATCAACATAAATGCCCATCAATGACAGATAGGATAAAGAAAATGTAGTACATACACACCATAGAATACCATGCAGCCATAAAAAGAACAAGATTGTCCTTTGCAGGAATGTGGATGGAGCTGGAGACCATTATCCTTAGCAAACTACACAGGAACAGAAAACCAAGTAAAACATGTTCTCACTGATAAGGGGGAGCTAAATGATGGGAACTCATGGACACAAAGAGGGGAACAACACACACTGCGGTCTATGGGAAAGAGGGCAGAGGGTGGGAGGAGGGAGAGGATCAGGAAAACTAATGGGTACTAGGCTTAATACATGGGTGATGAAACAATCTGTACAACAAACCTTCATGACATAGTTTACCTATATAACAAAGCTATACACGTACCCTAGAACTTAAAAGTTAAATTTTAAAACAAAATTAGCCAAGTGTGGTGGTGCATGCCTGTGGTCCCAGCTACTTGGGAGGCTGACCTGGGAGGATCACATGAGCTCAGGAGGTCGAGAAAGCAGTGAGCCATGTTCATGCCACTGCACTCCCACCTGGGCAACAGAGTGAGACCCTGTCTTAAAACAATAATGATAATAATAATAATAATAATAATAATAATAATAAAGTACATAGTGGTATCTCTGTTTTAATTTCCAATTCCCTAATGACATGTATTGTTCAGACATTTTTTTCATAAGCTTATTTGCCATTTTCTTTGATGAGGTATCTGTTCAGATCTTTTGCCTATTTTTTAACTGGGTTATTTGTTTTCTTATTGTTGAATTTTAAGAATCGTATATTTGGGGCATGAACCCTTTTTTATTAGTAGTAGTAGTAGTAGTATACTTTAAGTTTTAGGGTACATGTGCACAATGTGCAGGTTAGTTACATATGTATACATGTGCCATGCTGGTGTGCCGCACCCATTAACTCGTCATTTAACATTAGGTATATCTCCCAATGCTATCCCTCCCCCCTCCCCCCACCCCACAACAGTCCCCAGAGTGTGATGTTCCCCTGCCTGTGTCCATATGTTCTCACTGTTCAATTCCCACCTATGAGTGAGAATATGCGGTGTTTGGTTTTTTGTTCTTGCGATAGTTTACTGAGAATGATGATTTCCAACTTCATCCATGTCCCTACAAAGGACATGAACTCATCATTTTTTATGGCTGCATAGTATTCCATGGTGTATATGTGCCACATTTTCTTAATCCAGTCTATCATTGTTGGACATTTGGGTTGGTTCCAAGTCTTTGCTTTTGTGAATAGTGCCGCAATAAACATACGTTTGCATGTGTCTTTATAGCAGCATGATTTATAGTCCTTTGGGTATATACCCAGTAATGGGATGGCTGGGTCAAATGGTATTTCTGGTTCTAGATCCCTGAGGAATCGCCACACTGACTTCCACAATGGTTGAACTAGTTTACAGTCCCACCAACAGTGTAAAAGTGTTCCTATTTCTCTACATCCTCTCCAGCACCTGTTGTTTCCTGACTTTTTAATGACTGCCATTCTAACTGGTGTTAGATGATATCTCATTGTGGTTTTGATTTGCATTTCTCTGATGGCCAGTGATGGTGAGCATTTTTTCATGTGTTTTTTAGCTGCATAAATGTCTTCTTTTGAGAAGAGTGTGTCCATGTCCTTCGCCCATTTTTAGATGGGGTTGTTTGTTTTTTCCTTGTAAATTTGTTTGAGTTCATTGTAGATTCTGGATATTAGCCCTTTGTCAGAAGAGTAGGTTGCGAAAATTTTCTCCCATTTTGTGGGTTGCCTGTTCACTCTGATGGTAGTTTCTTTTGCTGTGCAGAAGCTCTTTAGTTTAATTAGATCCCATTTGTCAATTTTGGCTTTTGTTGCCATTGCTTTTGGTGTTTTAGACATGAAGTCCTTGCCCATGCCTATGTCCTGAATGGTAATGCCTAGGTTTTCTTCTAGCGGTTTTATGGTTTTAGGTCTAACGTTTAAGTCTTTAATCCATCTTGAATTGATTTTTGTATAAGGTGTAACGAAGGGATCCAGTTTCAGCTTTCTACATATGGCTAGCCAGTTTTCCCAGCACCATTTATTAAATAGGGAATCCTTTCCCCATTGCTTGTTTTTCTCAGGTTTGTCAAAGATCAGATAGTTGTAGATATGCGGCATTATTTCTGAGGGCTCTGTTCTGTTCCATTGATCTATATCTCTGTTTTGGTACCAGTACCATGCTGTTTTGGTTACTGTAGCCTTGTAGCATAGTTTGAAGTCAGGTAGCATGATGCCTCCAGCTTTGTTCTTTTGGCTTAGGATTGACTTGGCGATGCGGGCTCTTTTTTGGTGGGTATGAACCCTTTTTATGTTTTATGAACACTTTCCCCTAGTCTGTGGCTTTTTATTCTCTTAAGGGTGTTTTTTGAAGAGCAGTTTTTAATTTTAACGAAGTCCAGTTTAGCAATGTTTTCTTTCATCAGTCAAGCTTTTGTTGTATCTAAAAATGTATTGTGAAGCCTGGTCACATGGGCTTCCTCTCATCTTGGTCAGGCGCGGTGGCTAACACCTGTAATTCTAGCATTTTTGGAGGCTGAGGCGGGCGAATCACCTGAGGTCAGGAGTTTGAGACCAGCCTGGTGAAACTCCATCTCTACTAAAAATACAAAAATTAGCCAGCTGTCATGTCAGGAGCCTGTAATCCCAGCTACTAGGGAGGCTGAGGCAGGAAAATCACTTGAACCTGAGAGGCAGAGTTTGCAGTGAGCCAAGACCACACCACTGCACTCCAGCCTGGGCAACAGTGCAAGACACTGTCTCAAAAAAAAAAAAAAAAAGATATTTCTCTTATCTTATTGTCTAATTTTATAACTTTGCATTTTACATTGAGTTTATGATCCATTTAGAGTTGGTTTTTGTAGAAGGTGTAAGGTCAGTGTCTAGATTCATTTTTTTTTTCATGTAGATGTTGAACTGACATCATTTGTTGAAAGGACCCATGTGTGTTTTATAATGTTTCTTCAACCATTTCTGCTGACAAGTGTCTAATGAACAAACAGCATACTGTAAGGTGGTTCGGTACAGTCTGCATCATGAATCTCTATATCACTGTGATAGTGCCTATAAGAGTCTTCCTTCTAGGAATAAGAATGTATAGGGTTGGTCACAGATCAGGGTAAAGAAAAATACTGTTACGTGCTTCAAATAAACTTTTAAGGCTCTTTAATGTGAAAATTTAAATATTTGTAAACTAAGATATCAGAGTTTTATTATTTTTAAGTCTTTTTGCCCAAAACCACAATAAATTACAGTGGGGGGGGGGGGGATTTGAAAGTTGTATATTGTTTCCAAGAGGGATATAATATACAAATGAGTTTTCTCATTAAGAATTTCAGAATCAAGCAAAATGATCATTGGCTTCAGACATAGTAAATTATTTGTTTTAAAGACTTTTTATCCTTTCCTTAAACAAATATAGGGCTGGTTAAAATCTACCTTTTATCCCAAGAATGCAGTTGGCCCTTAGTATCTGCAAGGATTGGTTCCAGGGCCCCTTGAAGATATGAAAACCTACGAATGCCGAAGTCCTGTAGTACACCCTGCAGAACCCATTAATACAAAAAGTCAGCCCTCCACATCTAAGAGCTCTGCATCCCCTGAATACTGTACCAGTAATCCGCACAGATACTGTGGGTCTGACAACCTCAACAAGGCAAATATAGCAATAAACTGAGTCACATAATTTTGTTTTGTTTCCCAGTGCATATAAAAGTTATGTTTACACTATACTGTATTTTATTAAGTATGTAATAGCATTATGTCTTTAAAAAAATGTACATACCTTAATTTAAAAATATGTTATTGCTAAAAAAAATGCTAATCGTTATCTGAGCCTATGGCTAGTCATAATTTTTTTTGTGGTGGAAGGTCTTGCCTTGATGTGGATGGCTGCTGGCTGATGAGGGTAATGGCTGCTGAAGGTTGGAGTGGCTGTGGCAATTTCATTTTTTTTCTTTTTCTTTTTCTTTATTATTAGTATTATTTTAAGATGGAGTCTCACTCTGTTGCCCAGGCTGGAATGCAGTGGTGCCATCTGAGCTCACTGCAACATCCGCCTCCCGGGTAACTACACCATCTGTAGTTACTTTCTCCACTGAAGTCCTGAACTCATCAAAGTCATTCACGAGGGTTGGAATCAACTTCTTCCAAACTCCTGTTAATATTACACTCCTGCTGATATGTTCACCTCCTCCCATGAATCACAAATGTTTTTAATGACATCTAGAACAGTGAACACTTTCCAGGAGGTTTTCCATTTACTTTGCCCAGATCAATCAGAGAAATAACTATCTATGATAGCTATAGCCTTACAAAATATATTTATTAAACAATAAGACTTGGAAGTACAAATTATTCCTTGATCCGTAGACTACAAAATGGATGCTGTGTTAGCAGGCATGAAAGCAACATTAATCTCCTTGTACATCTCCAGCAGAGCTCTTGTGTGACCAGGTGCATTGTCAATGAGCAGTAATATTTTGAAAGGAATCTTTTTGTCTGAGTAGTAGATCTCAACAGCAGGCTTAAAATATTCAGTAAGCCATACTGTAAACAGATGTGCTGTCATCCAGGCTTTGTTGTTCCCTTTACAGAGCACAGGCAGAGTAGACTTAGCATCATTCTTAAGGGCCCTAGGATTTTTCAAAATGGTCAATAAGCATTGGCTTCAACTTAAAGTCACCAGCTGCATTAGTCCCTAACAAGAGAGTTGGCCTCTCCTTGAAGCCAGGAATTGACTTCTCCTCTCAACTTATGAAAGACCTAGATGGCATCTTCTTCCAATAGAAGGCTAATTTATCTTCACTGAAAATCTGTTGTTTAGTGTAGCCACCTTCATCAATTATCTCAGCCAGATCTTCTGGATAACAGGCTGCATCTGCAGAATCTGGATAACAGATTCTGCATCTGCACTTGCTGCTTCACCTTGCACTTTTATGTTCTGGAAACAGCCTCTTTCCTTAAACCTTATGAACCAAACTCTGCTAGCTTCCAGCTTTTATTCTGCAGCTTCCTCACCTCTCTCAACCTTCACAGAATTGAAGAGAGTTAGGGCCTTGGTCTGGATTAGGCTTTGTCCTGATCTAATCTTCTATTCAGACCACTCAAACATTATCCATATCAGCAATAAAGCTGTTTCACTTTCTTATCATTCGTTCACTGTAGTGGCACTTTCAATCTCCTTCAAGAACTTTTCCTCTGCAATCACAGTTGGGTTAACTGGCACAAGAGACCTAGCTTTCTGCCTATCTCGGCTTTCAACATGCTTTCCTCACCAAGCAAAATCATTTCTAGCTTTTGATTTAAAGTGAGAGATGTGACTCTTCCTTTCTCTTAAACACTTAGAGGCCACTGTGGGGTTATTAATTGTCCTAATTTTAATATTGTTGAGTCTCAGGAAAGAGGGAGGCCCAAGGAAAGGCAGAGAGATGGGGTAACAGCCAGCCCAGCAGCAGAGGAGTGAAAAGCACACATTTATCAATTAAGTTGACAGTCTTATATGGGCACGGTTCATGGCATCCCAAAACAATTACAATAGTAACATCGATGATCACTAATCACAGATCACCGTAACAGATACAATACTAATGAAAAAGTTTAAAATACTGTGAGAATTATCAAAATCTGAAAAAGAAATACAAAGTGGGCCTATTTTCCAAATATGCTGTTGGAAAAAAAGCACCAATAGATTTGCTAGATGAAAGATTGCCACAAACCTTCAATTTGTAAAAAAGTATATCTATGAAACGCAATAAAGCAAAGCACAATAAAACGAGGTAAGCCTGTATACCAACAGTTCTCCAAGGGTGGTCCAAAGACCAGCAGCATGTGCATCACCTGAGAATACATTAAAAATGCAAATTATTAGGCCCGACCCCAACTTTGGAGCTGGGGCCCAGCAATCTGTGTTTTCACAAGTCCTCCTGGCAGGTGATTCTGATGCACTGTAATGGCTGTGAATCACTGATCTACATGACCAAGTCAACAACCCCTGAAGTCAAGGGAGCAAGTGTTGTTAATCACCACGTGCCAGATTCCAATCTGTTCAGAGACAGGCTCAAAGAGAGCTGGCTATGGGCATGACCAGGACACACCAGCGTAGCCTTACAAATGTAGAGCAGTTCTGACTATATCATATTTCTTTATTATGCTACAATTAAAGTAGAACCAAAATTTCACCATCTTGTAGGAAACTGTATCTTCATATATTCCCTCTCACTGCCCATGAAATACATACCTTGTCTAGAATGAACCTTTATCTGGATGGCTGCCTGGGTCACAATAACTTACCTAATAACTTTCTCACTCTAACCTTTGTAAGAATTAAGGGAGAAGCCCAGAAATATATTAGTGAGAGATAATGTCAAAAAATCTAACTCAAGATTTTTATACCAGATTTTATTTCAACACATTGCAGAAATAATCTGAATTTGCCCTTGTGAGATTGAGTTTTTCAATGGAATTCTTGCACTTGACAGGAGACTATTGATTCATATTTCATCAGAGTTTTGCCTGGCTGCTTTATGAGTAAGAGTTTACCCTCAGTGTGCATCTTAAAATTATTGCTCATTCAATAGCTAAATACATAAGAAAATGGTACCCTGAATTCATTTCACCCACCCCGGTATCACTGTTACGTGTCTCAGGAACATGTTGTTTAAGATAAACAGGGCCTGTGGTGGCCTCCGAATGTGCTAAGACACATGGCAAAAAATAGTAAAGCATGCAAAATGCTAGAGCAGAAACCCGTTTCTCCTTGTCCGTGCCATTCTCCCCTCCAACCATCCCCCACCTCCCCCTAAAAATACAGAGACCTCCCTAGACAATTCCAACTTGGAGGAAACAAGGATGATGTGAACACAAGCCACTCACTCAAGAAGGGCTCTCAATCTTGCATAGGTTACTCAAATAACTGTCACAGTATGAAGGAGCGGCCAGTACCACCTAGAATCACTAACAAAGCGCTCTGAGCACACCACAGGATGTGCAAGCAGTCCCTGCTCAGGTAAGACAGGTGCTAGGCCTTAATGGAAAGCTCGGATTTCAGCACAGGAGAGCAGAGGAAGGCTCTGGAGCAGAGAAATGGGTATAATGAAATGCAAAGCCAGGTAATAAAAATCACACAAATACTGAGGTTCCCAGCTTCCTGTGGGAAGAGCGAGTCCTCCAGTATACGAGAGATAAGTCAGAAACACAGCTGGAACAAGATGGGAAGAGCCTGGAATGGACTATAATCACAACAAAGGTATGCAAGTAACATTTACAAAAGACACATCAAAGTAAAAGCCATGTTTATCCACCGTTATCATCTTGTCATCAATGGTGATCTACCACCACCAGCAATGTCCATCAAAGCCCAGAGGCAATGAGGATGCCCCTGCCCAAAGGCTGGACCTGGGGGACACAGGTGTGTGTGACTCTGCAATGACTGCCTAAGGCCATGCTAACAAAGATCCCAGGTGCAAACTCTGGAGACAGTAATCCCACCTGCACCCCTTATCTGTACAGGCAGGACACAGGCAAGGGAGGAGAATGGGTTTTTGTGAGTATTGACACAGCTCACTTCAAATCCTGGGCATATGTTTACAAAAGAAACCTGATGTCTTCCAATGGATTCCAATCCCTGCTTCCAGGCTCACCAAGAAAAACCAGATTTTAATGGGTTCCCCACAGAGCTCGCCAGAAAGAATGACTGTCCTGGCTGGCTAAAGGTTGTGGGCACACAGTTTCCCCAGGCTTGTCTTATTTTCTCATTATAAATTAATAAAATACCAACATGACCTGTTTTGGCAGAGACCCAATCCTGGCAGACTGACAAAACCCTGGCTACTGTCTCTCAAAAGAGCAAGGGACAGACTCTGGATTCTAAGATCCTTGCAAACTCCTGAGGAGATGGCACCCTCTGAGGAGATTATCAGGGTTGCTACATGGTCTATTCTTCTACAGTGTCACTCCCTGGATGGACTTCTAATTTCCCAGGTATTATAAATTCAGAAGAGAATGGCACCATCGCTGGTCTTTATCTGTGTTATATATTGAATTATTATTGGTCTCACAGCCAAAATGAGTAGCATTCCACAGTGGCAGAAAAGACAGCTCACACATATATTGCTTCTGAGGCTACACAGTTTATATTAGCATTTGTGCTTTTAATACTTTGCAACAACCAAGGCCCATTTCAGCAGCCTACAACTGAAATGACTTTTTTTATTTTTATAAGCCTTCTCAAAATGTCTTTATTTTTTAATGATTAGGAAGTCACCCAAACAAAAACAACTAAAGCTTTACCATTTTGACAAAATAGGTGGGTCATGAATCAAATTCATTTCTAAACACTAAGGATTTTCCTGGAATTGTTGAAATCGTTACATAAGTAAAATGGAAAGATGATTAAACCACAGGCATGAAAATGTGCCCGATTCTGAACTACTCCCCTAATAAATAGTGCCAAATGAGATTTGTTACTTAAAATTAGCTTTTGTATAAATTAAAAGGTGGCTTTTACATTAATTATTTAATATTTAATTATTTGCTGGGTTTCACTTTAAAAACTAGAAAACTACTCCAAAGTCTAATCATACAAATTTTGTAGAGTTTTAGGGAAAAACATATTATTTTTCTAGTTAACTACTTTAATATGACAGAAAATGCATAACTGTTTCAAATAGATGACAGTTTTATGTAGACATATTAACTGAAATGAAATCTATGAAGCAAACATATATTGAATACTTAATAGTAAGCATTAGCACAGAAGGTCTTTTGTTCAACCTTGAGGAATGATTAATTGTTTAGGTAATTGGAAAGATCATCGTTTCAAAATGAAAATTGCAAAATAAATAATTCATTTTGAACTTAACTGATATAAGCGTATATCATCTTCTACTGTATGGCCATAGTCTTTTCAGAGCATAGGTGTGCTAATTAGAATACCCACTCATTTGTCTTGCATAAACCTCAACCATTTATACTTTGTCTGATTTCCTACTTAGATTTCCTCTACTTATTTTCCAATTTTTTTTCAGCTGGCTTGCTTACCCTAGTGCAATAGCATTTTTTTAATAGCTCACTTTTAGTCTTTCCAAGGGACTCATCTGAGTTTTTATGGAATAACTCTCTTTCTATTCCCCTACTCATATTTCTTCAATTTTCTTGATAGAGTAATCTTGTAAATTAATTAAATTACAAATAGATTTGGCATAAAGACAGTTGAGATATATACAACTGACCCTTCTACATAGATGAATTGACATAAAGCTGACTCTTCTACATAGTAGAACTGACGTACAATTCTACTGTGTTTAGCATGGGTGGGCATCAGTTTACATGTTCTACAGAGGTAATAGAGAATTATTAGTCAAGTGTATTAGTTTAAAATGTTTCCACAGTATAGAAAGATTTTCTAATTTGAAAATAACATAAATACGAGCATCTTTCTCTTTAAGTAAAGGTAATATAGTATCTAACAATCTATTATAAACACAAATAACAGGGTGTTTATTTTGAAAACTCATTTCTCATTTTGCAAAAGAATCTCAGAGCACCTTTTGTAAGTAGAAACCTCCAAAGTATTATAAAATATTCTATTTATGGCATTTAAACTCATTGCAATTCAATTCATTGGACCTTTTAAGAGAAAAATACTCTTATTTTAATAAGTAATACTAGCAGACAAGGAAATTCATTTGAAAAGAGAAAACATTCCCATTACACTATTATATTTAAATATGTGCTGTCTGGTTATTACAAGTTTTCTCCCCTTTAAACCTTTTTTTAAAACTTGATTTCATCAATATTAAATTGTTTTCATAATAGAATGTTTTGAAATTAATGACTAAGATTATCCATTCATGAATTGTGCTCATATGTAAAAGCACAATGGTCAAAAGAAAAAGAGATAATCTGAGTAAAAATTAACCACTTTTCTTCGGGCTGCTAAGAAAAAAGCTCAGATTATTTTAAATTGTGTATTTGCTTCACTATTTAAAGAAACAGTAACCTGGATTTCATGGTCCATTGAAATCACCCCAAAAAAATAGAGAAGAAATTCACATAAAAAATAAAGGAATGAGGGCTGGGCACAGTGGCTCATGCCTGTAATCCCAGCACTTTGCGAGGCCAAAGCGGGCAGATCACAAGGTCAGGAGATCGAGACCATCCTGGCTAACATGGTGAAATCCCGTCTCTAATAAAAATACAAAAAAATTAGCCAGGCATGGTGGCTGGCACCTGTAGTCCCAGCTACTCGGGAGGCTGAGACAGAAGAATGGCATGAACCTGGGCGGGGGAGCTTGCAGTAAGCCAAGATTGCACCACTGCACTCCAGCCTGGTCAACAGAGCGAGACTCTGTCTCAAAATAAATAAATAAAAATAAAAATAAAAAATAAAGGAATGTACCTTTTGGCCTTAAGAAACATAGGTTTTTCCAATAATGGGTTTTATTTTGGGCCATGTCAGTACATAAAGTTTTATTTTATAAAGCATTATACTAGGGAAAAACTAAGCAAAAGTAATTGAAAGAGAGCACCCAGCCAATACCCATGGGAGGACATGTGTTTTCAGTCATGAACATCATCATCTCATGGTTTCACAAAAGAATCTTATGTCTTTTTTCTTGTACCAGAGCATAAGGAATATCCTTTTTAAGGGAATAAGACAGTATTTAAATTTTATAAAATATTATACTAAATATATTCCTAAGTATTGTGAAGAAATAAGTTTTATAAAACCTGCAAATGAAGTTCACCTTCCCAAATACTATCACCCCAAATATGGAAAATGCATGAATGCCCCATTATTAAAAGATAAACAACACAAAGATGAAAATTTTTTCTTTCTTCTTCTTTTTTTTTTTTTTTTTTTAAGTAAAGGCTCTTACTGAAGTCTTGGGCCCCTTTACCTCTCAAATACATTCAGGTTGATGTGGCCACAGGTAATTAAGCCAGAAGGGTGAAAAATACTCACAGTATTTACAATAAACGTTAGCGCGACCACATCAAATGACCACATAACAAAGTCAACATGTAAGCTTTCTATAACCCACACATAATGCTGCTCGGAAAAGGGAAGTGCAAAGAGGAATAACAAAAAGAAAATAAAAACAAAAACCAGTAGCTCCAGGCGGTCTTTTATTTCCCACATTGTGGAATAATTTTTTCCATTCCCCAGATGATTTAAGTTGACAAATTGGTTCTTCTGGTTGCTTAGCTTCCTGACCTCAAAAAGTCCATTTTCTAACTTCTATCTCATCCAGCTGTTGACAGGCTAATGCCACCAACCAATGTAATAAAAACTCCACGGAATTTAGGATTAGTGTAGGAAATTGTAACGACAGTAGAAGAATTAGATGTGAAGTCTGCCCAACTTTTAAGAACACATCTTGTCCCTAAAAGAGAACAAATAGTTCTCTGGAAGGAGTTTAATGTATATGCCGTTCCTCCCAGGGCCCACTGCTGTACAGCATTTCCCAGGAAAAAAACTGGAAACTTCTTGCCTAAAACACGTCTCACAAGCTGATACAGTTTAAGGGCACTCTCTATTTTGGTACAATTTTTCTCAGAAATATTCAATTTTCTTTCCTTCACAGAACCGTGAGTCAATAACCTAGTATTGTTACTTGCTTGATCAATCCTGAAATATTTGGGACAAGGTCTGCCACGGAAGCAGGTAGAACACAGAGTGGTTCAAAGGTCAGGTTTCTGCCCTGCCATTTACAACCAGACAGTGCTCCTATACTAATCCTCCACATCCCTCATAGCCCTCAAGAGCACACATTCTGACCTGGATTCGCCTTAGATCATTTACTTAACCTCTCCAGGCCTCAGTTTCCTCATCTGTAAAGTGAATTCATATTTGCAATAGTACTCACTTCACAGATAAGATGAATTAGAAATTTAAGTATGTAAAGCATAATGCTGGACCGAAAGTAAGTATACAATAAATGTTTCACCTATTCTTTACTGCTTTTTTCTCTGATCATAAAAAGTTAATGCCTATAGATGAAAGTCTTCCATTTTAAAAGGGGCTTTGATTAATCACTATTTTCTCAGTATCATATCAAATTCTTCAAAAAAGGTTAGTGATTGCAGTTATCCATCTGAGACAGAAGTACAGCTGTGGGCAACCGCCCACTTCTTGGGATTCATGCCACCGCTCTAGTTTTACATATGGGTATGATTAAGGTACACACATTTGTGTTACCTTTTTATCTGGAAGATGTGTGTTTTTTTTCATGAGTGAGAGAACTTAAACATTCTGTTAGTATGTGATAGCAATCATATCTTGATATATTATGCAGTTTTTGAATTAACTAAGTCCTTTCCTGTCTCTCTTTCTCCTTTTCTTAATATTATGGGTATTTCTGATCACATTTCTAAGAATTCACTAAGGATAATTAGGAAAAATCAAATGTAAAGTTTAAACAGACACACGTACATACACACATACTTACTGAACATATTTAATATTAAAGACAAATTAAATCTACTCGCTGAGATGACAAGGTCCCTGGAGAAGGAAGATATAGGTTGACTGGAATGTGTGGGGACCTTTCAGCAGCTCCAAGTAGGACACACAGCCAGGTCCTGAATCAAGCTTTAGCTCCGGGACAAAGAGAAAGAAAAGCTGAAAAGACCTGCATGTTGAACAGATCATAGTTTATATGTTCTTGGGAGTTATTTCCATTATCATTTTTAAAAATTCTAAATTTTTAGCAGATTTGTGCTCTATTCTCATCTGCATTTATCATGTCACCAACAATGCATTTGTTTTATAAAAACCCTAACTTCCAAAAGACTGTAGCCAAAGGCTCTATTGGCTTTAAAACAAGGCTTTAGAACCCCAACTTCAGGGTGCTCTAAAATGAAAACTAAGTAGACAATCTACTCAACTAAGAGTTAAGCACCCTCTTAATTAATCCAACTATCCTACTACATATTAAGGTTTTGATGTAGATGGCATTAACTTGGGAATCTAAAGGCCAGATTCCAGCAGCAATTCTTCCACTAAACTAGGTGAGTTTATTTCCTTTTTCAGAGACTGGCTCCTCCCTTTCCCCATGGTTCTAGTGGAGCTGCCAATCACCTGTCTCCCTACCACATCCTTAGGAATAAGGATGACCTAAAGTTATAATACCCAACTCCTAACCACACCAATTGGCTGCTGCACTTCTGACTCCAAATCTACTCCTAGATTTCCCAGTCATATATATATATTTTAGTTTACTTAAACTAGTTTCAACTGGGGACTCTGACACTTGCAACCAAAAGCATCCTAATACACAATGACCTGAGAAAAGTAAAATTCCTCGGACCTCAATTTCCTCATTATCACAAAATTGCAGTAAGATGATCTCTAAAGCTCCTTTCATATAATTATTTGCTTCAAATTATATAACTATCAGATAATTTGGAATGACATATATATAATTAATTCATTCAACTGGACACTGGAAGTTTCTTTCTGTAGCAAGTTCTGCCTACCTGTACTGAAACAGGAGAGAAACCCCACAGGCTAATCATCAGCATAATAAATTATATAATATTTTATTAACATTCTAAGATATAGGAAATTCATTTTAAGTATGATTTCCCCCTCAATGCTCAGTATCTGTCACTGCCAGTCATCCATCCATTCTGCCATTTATTTTTGATTACAGACCATCTCCACCCCTAAAACCCCTACCAAACAAGTTATCTGGAAAACACTAGTTATGCACTTCCTTTGAATATTTAGAAACTGGAATTTGTTACAAGTAAAATAAAACATGATAACAAGGCTATTTCCTTCTTTAGTAATCTACTTGTTAAGATGTGGCAATACTCTTTGGGTAAATTTTCAAATACAGATATATTCTAACTAGAAGTGAAAACTAATGTAAAAAATATTCTATTTGCTCACTGGAAAAAAGTCAATGAAAATACAGCAAGAAATCATGTGCTCTACAATATCAGGATGATATCTGCTTGTTCACCATATAAATGTAAACAGCATGTGGAATATGAATATAAAAGCATATAGAGGCCGAGAGCGGTGGCTCAAGCCTGTAATCCCAGCACTTTGGGAGGCCAAGGCGGGTGGGTCACCTGAGGTCAGGAGTTCGAGACCAGACCAGCCCAGCCAACACGGTGAAACCCCATCTCTACTAAAAATACAAAAATCAGCCAGGCGTGGTGGCAGGTGCCTGTAATCCCAGCTACTCAGGAGGCTGAGGCAGGAGAATCACTTAAACTCAAGAGGCAGAGGTTACAGTGAGCCAAGATCACGCCATCGCACTCCAGCCTGGTGGACAAGAGCGAGACTTCATCTCAAAAAAAAAAAAGCATATAGAATAATACAAGTCAGGCTGGGTGCGGTGGCTCACGCCTGTAATCCCAGCACTTTGGGAGGCCAAGGCAGGCGGATCACGAGGTCAGGAGATCGAGACGATTCTGGCTAACACGGTGAAACCCCATCTCTACTAAAAATAAAGTTAGCCAGGTGTGGTGGCAGGCATCTGTAGCCCCAGGTACTCGGGAGGCTGAGGCAGGAGAATGGCGTGAACCCTGGAGGTGGAGCTTGCAGTGAGTGGAGATCGCCCCACTGCACTCCAGCCTGGGCAACAGAGCAATTAGTACAAGTCAATCAAATTGGAGAAAATGCTGAAAAATGGAAATGAGATATCTAGTTTAAATTCACCTGGAAAACAAGAAAATTTACAAGGTAAAACACTACAGTTTTGGAGAAATAAACATGGTTAAGATTATTCAAGATGATCAACTTTTCCACTGTGAGGAAAAGAGTTTAGAATAATTGTTGCCTGTAGAAAAATATTTAATTGGATTTAGAAGTGTCGTAATGAAATATGTCCTGCACCAAGTAATTAAATCAAAAGAAAATAATTTTCTAAAAGACCATAAGAAATGCATCTGCATTTCTGACTACCCAAATTATTGCTGAATCAAGAGTAAAAAGCATTAATTGGCAGGCTCCAGCCTATCTGTTAATAAATCTAAAATTAGCATAAGAACTAACCTAATAATACTTAAATAACAAATGCACTAAAACTGTAATTCTAATTTGAAGAACTTAATATTGTGATGTAGTACTTCATGTTTTTGCCTCAGAAGATGGTCTACATAACAGTTTCAACCATTAAAAATGCACTTAAAATCATTAAAAAACTAGGGCAGACACAAAATGTGGATGCTTTCAAACACACATCATTAGATAAATATGTCTAAGAAATTATAAGTCACAGAGAAATTTATACAACATGGGGCAGGCAGAAACATGGATAATTCTTTTCATGACAGAGTTTGAAATCTTAATCATATGCACTGTCTTTCTCCATTTATAAAACCTTGAGCCCTAGAATAAATTACTTTATTAGGAAGCATAAATTTAAAAATGAAACAAACTGGATTTATCACATGAAGTTGAAATTATTAGTCTTCATCTTCTGTAAAACACTCTCCTCTTACAGATATAATGCTTTCTCAGATACTTTATTCTGGACCTCTTTCTACTAATCTGGTTTCGCTGGGTCTTTCTAGGAAATGTGACTATCTCAGTGTTTAGGGTAGAGTAGAAGGGGCATATACTCTGTGAGACTTCAACTAATCAGTCTTCAGTTTTCTCTGTTTGGTTAACTGAATGGTTTTTCATTCACCCTCAAGTCATATAAGAGCTGAAATGGCCTAAAGAAATGTTATGATTAATAAAAGTATAGAGAACTTTAACTACCTGTTTCCTGGCAAAAGCCAAGAATAGTTCTTCATGCTTAAATTAATACCAAAACCCCATTAGGTAAGGTTAGTCAAAATACAAAGTTACATTTTTGAACAGTGATGTGATTCATGTGTGGGATTATTTGTTAAATTAAGGAAAAGCACCAGAAAATTTTCAAAAGTTGTAAACGCATTCTGTTCTAATGAAACCCTATGAAACATAGTATTCAATATTTGTACTCAAGTCCAAAACTGCAGTGGAACTTTCAACAAGTCCATCTTGCTTATTCATGCCTGAATTCCTTTGTGAGATTTTTCAATGTGCATTAATTCAATGATTATTAAGAACCTACTATATCCCCCAAAGAAACGTTCATAGAATAGAAGAAAGAAAAAGAATATAAAACATACCATGAGGAATGCAAACACAATTGAAAGACACTAGACACTGCCTGGCACACAGTAGATGCCTAATAAATATTTGTTGAATGAGCAAACAAATGAATGAGGTGGCCCCAATGCTAGTGGGTAAGAGGCAGTGTGTACACATTAAGAAATGAACTTAACCTTTTCTACTGTGGACGCTGTCCAACATAACTTCAAAGAATATCATAACATGCAATTATGACTTCCTTTTTTATCTTGAGTATGAAGAATCCCAATGCTTAAAAGAAATAAAACAGTATAAGAAAAGCCTGACCAAACAAAATTTTATTGTGATGTCCTACAGGATATAAAGGGAAATAAAATTTATCTTAAACTTGACAATATACAACATTTTACTTAGCCAGATACACATGTGCAAATGAATTACACTGTTTTTTTTTTTTTTTTTTTGAGTCAGGGTCTCGCTCTGTCACCCAGGCTAAAGTGCAGTGGTGCAGTCTCAGCTCACTGCAACCTCCACCTCCTGGGTTCAAGTGATTCTTGTGCCTCAGCCTCCCAAGTAGCTGGGATTACAGACATGCACCACCTTGCCTGGTTAATTTTTGCATTTTTAGTAGAGATGGGGTTTCACCATGTTGGCCAAGCTGGTCTCAAACTCCTGGCCTCATGTCATCTGCCAGCCTAGGCCTCCCAAAGTTCTGGGATTACAGGAGTGAGCCATCACACCCAGCCTGAATTACACTTTTAATTAACATAAATTAATTGATATGACTGTAAAGTTACCAATTACTATGCCTGTTGCTTTCTCTTCAATGTCCTCACTCTAAACCTCCAACCCAGTCCCTTTGTTTAAATCCAACATCTCCTTCAAAGTCTTGCTTAAAATGCAACTTCTTCTCTGAAGTGCTTTGGCATCCTGCAGACTGTACAGACTATTTCCCTCCTCTGAAGTCCTTTACTGTGTAGCACGCGCCTCCTCTGTCCTGTACTGACAGCCATGTAAGCAGGTCTCATCTCCCCCTTAGGCTGTAGGCTTCTCTAGGAAGCCCACCTTGCTTACATTTTAGCCCCACTTGTCCAATGGAGGGCCATGCAATTCTGAGACACACAGTATTTTTGAATCATTGTGGGAATGAATACAATCAATATAATCATGACAAGGAAGACTGGGGTTTACTTGGAAGTAAATGAAATAGAACAATAATAATGTAATGGTTACATTACCTATGCACTCATAGATCTGAAAATGGCTTAACTTCCAGGCAAAACACTGAGCCTTGGGAGAACCCAATGGAGGCCTGCAACTAAGCCATCCATAAAAAGCAAGCTATCTCCTCTACCTGGAACATTGTCACTTCCAGTTTGTCATCTATACATCCAAGTTTCCTTGAATGCCTACTAGATTCCAAGCACTGCAGTGGTTAACAGGTAGGTACACTTTAAAGGACATATTCAGGCTGGCTGCCAGCTCCCAGAGTTCAGCAGCTCACATCTTCCATGTGAAGCACCCAAGCAAATACTTTTTGAAAGGCTCTCTTTCTCTCATGTGAGTGCACAGTCAGAAAACAGAAGCGTTTGTCTGCCCTGCAGTCTCTCATTCTCTCCACTGCTCTTCCTACCTTTCCCAAACAAATGGCCAAATAAGTCATTTACAACATAAATAAACTGAGTAACTAATCTTAACCCAATGGGTAACTCTATCAAATGTAGTGGAAGTGGGCATTCTATGGATTTTACTGTACCTTAGAGGTCTCTGAACATGCTAATATATCCCCTGTTAATTTAGTAGAACTGCCTCCGCAAGGAAAATGTAGGCAGGCAAATGTGACTTCTGGTTCATCCCCAGAGACTCGTTCTGTGTCCAGTGGCTTTTCTGGGATTATTTATGGCATTAACTTGTCTATGCTCAGAAGTTTCCGCCATGTTTGGGCTCAATATGAGCAAACTTCAGAGCTACTTAAATTTTAAAAGAATGTTCACAAGTTCATTATTTATTCAGTGGATAAATAATTTATTAATCCTTTACAATGTACAAAATTATCTACAATATTAAAGGACACTTAGCTGGAAAAGACATAAAAATAATACAAGGCAATAATATGATAAATGACAGGCCAAGAAGGACTCTGAAAAGAGAAGGTCACTTCTTTATGAATAATAGAAGCTAATATTTATTGGGTGCTAACTACCTATTAAGCACATAGTACTATGCTAAGCACTTTATAGAAAATATCAGTGCATTAAATCAAGAAGTACTACTTACCTGGTGGAAGAGCAGAAAGGAAATGAGACTTGGGCCCTGCATTATAAAATTGCCTTAGCTATTATAATCAAAAGCATTTTAAATATAAAAATATAAAATACACGTTGCTTTAACAATAAATGTAAGTCCATTTTCTTCTGTTTTTCTATACTGCTGGAAAAATATTTTAAACTCCAACATATATGAAATACACATTCCAAATACATGGCATAATTTTGGGGGGCACAATGCAAATTTTAAGTTCTTTTTTATATTTAGCTACTGATCTCTAAGTAAAAATAATTATTTTCCCTGAAAGCCTAAACATACCCTATGAGCTTCTGGTAGGACAAATTTAGTTTTGTTTTTACATTTGAAAAAACAAAAAATAAAATAAAAGATATGCCTGTGTGATACATTAATAATTCATTGCTTATTATCTTAGGGACATTTAATATGAAAATAACATATCCTAATTTGTTGTCATATGCATGTTATTTCTTGTTCATGTAAATAATTCACACAAGAGGAAATAATAAAAGCTTTCTACACTAATTGAGATCATTTGAAATATGAACTTAAGGCTGTTTCTATTTGTAAATAAGTTGGCTAAACACTGTGTAAAAGGTGATAACTAGGGATGCAACAATAGATCTGAAATGAAAAGAAATCCATCGTCAAGGATTTTACAAGAATAACAAAAGAGAAAGATGTTCACAAATAACTTACAAAGGCGAAATGTGATAAATGCTATACAAGTGGCAGCAAATTTCAGAGGAAAGGAGGATAAATGTTTATTGGGAGAAATCTAAAATATTGTTCAATCCATTTGGGCATTAAAGATAAGGAATAGACCTTTAACAAGTAAAAATGAGGAAAGAGCTTTTCAGCATGTCCTACCTTCACAGCCATGGGGACAAAGACATAGCCATGGTATAACTGGGTGTAGCTAGGGTTCCTGTGAGTATACAAACAGTAATGGCCCAAAGACAGGGAACTGGGCATTGTGGAGAAGACCAAATACTATGATAAAGAGCCTGAACTTCATTCTATAGGTCTGCATTTCTCAAATTGAAGAGAGGCAACAGTACAATGGGAATCGAGAGGCTGGAGATGGCAGTGAACAAAATGGGAAAAAAAAAATCCTGTTCTTTATGGAATGAACATTCTCACGGAGGATACAGCCAACTAAAACAAAAACAGCAACAAGAAAAAACAGAAAGGAGCTACAAGGAGGACATATGCTTGAGTGTTTGAGGAGCATCAGGGCCCATGGCAGGAGATGGGATGAAGCTGTAGGAGATGAACAAAGAGAAGTGCTAGAAGCAAATCACACCATACCCAGCGGGCCTTGGAAAAGATTCTGTGTTTTCCCAGGTGAAAAATGGAAGACTTTGGAGGCTCTGTGATCAGATTCATATTTTGGAATGGTCAGACTAGACCATTATGGGGCAATGCTGAAAAGGGGAAAGTCCTAGGGAAGAATCACGCCAGCAAAGACCTGCAGGAGGGCCGGGATGGTGGTTGGAAATACTGTGAAGGTAGAATCAACAGGATCTGCTGACTGGCTGAATGTAGGCATGAGAGAAACAGGAATCAGGATGACTCCAAGTTTCTCAGCTTGAGAACCAGACAAAAGATGCTGTCCTTTCCTGCGATGCGGAGGATGCAGGAAGAGCATTTGGAAAGAAAGGAGGGGATCAAAGGTTCCAAGTGAGTAGTGCCTGGTCACTCTGCCAGATAGAGAGAGCAGGTCAGATTTGAAATTAGATCTGTCAAAGTGTGACAACCACACACTACACACACAGGTGACAACATGGGGATTCCAAGAGGAGTGAAGGGAAGGTGGGAGAGTTCACATGATGCTAAGAAGATGGAAGTCAAGTACAAGGCAAGACTCCCTGCCAGGAATGAGGGGAAGGGAAGGCATTTGGAGACTTGAAGAAACCAGAAAGGATGTGAAATATTTGCTGAATGATTCTGAGACACAGCCATCCAAAGATGAATTTGGGGAAGAGCAAAAACATGGTGACTCCTCCTAAGATTAGGTAACACGACCACAGAATACATGAAAGAGAGTCCATTTCATCAAGGAATGGTTGCAAAATCTGAACCCCTTTGAATTTACCAGCAATATGTTTCTTTCCTTGGACTCTCTTATTTTTGCAACATCTCATTAATACAACTAAAAAGCCGACTTACACACCTCCAAAGAGTTGGTGATACAGACTGCTGCCTGGTCATGGCTCATTGCACATGGCACTCTGAAATGAATGAAGAAAAGGAGCACTTTCCTGCTTTCAGAGAATTGTTGCTCTACCGTTTTTCTGCTTCAATATGCTGTCTCAACACTGCTGCTGTAATGACATACTGTGGTGTGATGCATCAGTGGCTAATCCTGAGGATTCTCTATTATCTCCTGCATTAGGATGTGCAGCATCAGAAATCTGATGGATTAATGAAAGACTGTTACTGCTAATTGCTGACATAAGACTATTTAGGGCACTGAGGCAATTGCTGAATTTTTTTAGACATTTTCATCCCTTCTCAGAGCTGTACTAATCAGGCATGCTAATTCCTACAGTAAACAGCACGTAGCTTTGCTGAGAGACCATTCTAACTCTCCATTATTTCATCCCAAATACCATCCCTAAATCCAGATAATTTGCCTTAGATCATTTATCAGCTGTAACATGCAGCCTATCCAGACTTCTGGCACAGTTGATGGCTGGAATTTTACACATCCCTAATTAAAACAGATGTGGCCAGCTCAGGGAGCCTTTTTCAGCCGCCCCAACTTGGACAGTGTCTGAGCAAAGGAAACCAAAAGCTCTGTTCATGGAAACGACACCAAGTGCTAAGGCACTGGGGTTTCTTGGAGGTGATTTGCATCACTGAAGACCTATGGATTGCCCAAATCTTAGCAATGAAGCAAAAAGAGTAGAAACACAGACTGTGGAATTAAACGCAAGTTCCAATTCTAATTTTACCCTTACTATCTGTGCAACTTGTAGGCCAATTACGCAACATCTCTGAGCCTCACTTTCCTCTTCTCTAAAATGAGCATATAACATCATTTCTTTACATATAAAATGTCTAGAGTAGAGCACTGCTAGAAACACAGCACAGCCATTGATCCAGAAAAACACCATGGTCTGGTTCTCATCATAGGTATGTCACTACAGTGAAATGGATATGCTAGGCAAACAGCTTCATGACAATTGGCCTCTGACATCATCCGATCAACTCCCCTTGTGCTGATTCCATACTGGACCAACCTTCTAACTTGGCTTCCTACTTAGGCTATTTAGTTCTGAGCACAACGTGCCTAGCATAGAACACTATATCACAGTTCTATCTGTAAAGTGATAAACTAGCATTTGAGATTTTTATATATCTGCACCCTGTGATTTTAACTTGAATGAGTACAATCAGCACAGGATATATTGACAATCAAATTTCATAACATCCATACTTAGTGTTAATAACTATGCATTATTATCCTTGACAGATCTGTAGTGCTAGAATAATTGCAAAAATACCCCAGACTCAAGAGAGAGGGCAGTAACAGGGAACCTACCCGTCTATCTGGGAAATAGTCTGTATCTCTAGACCAGGGGTGCCCGGTCTTTTGGCTTTCCTGGGCCACACTGGAAGAAGAATAATTGTCTTGGGCCACACATAAAACATACCAACACTAACAATAGCTGATGAACTTCTTAAAAATTGCAAAAAAAATCATAATGTTTTAAGAAATTTTACAAATTTGTGTTGGGCCACATTCAAAGCCATCCTGGGCCGCGGGCTGGACAACCTTGCTCTAGACAATTATCTATCTCCCAAATTGGACTCTTTAATCCTCAAGAGCACAGCACCCACCAATTAATCCCCCGGCATATCGTGAAATTACAAAAAAAAAAAAAACAGCCTTGTAGTTCTGAACGTAAATGTGTTATTACAGCAAAGTTAATGGAAAGAAATATATCTTATCACAGTTATCAACACTGAGAATCACTATTATAGAAAAGCAAGCTTATTGATTCTTTAAGAAAGGATGGGTAAAAACAAAAAAGAAATTAGCACAGGTTTTGATGAGACTGCATAATATTTTCTCAGTGGGATTCAGTTTCAATTTAAAGCTGACAGGACATTTTGAGCTTAAAGATACTGAGTGATTTGGTTAAAATTACAGAGGATTGGATTCAAGATTACTTTGTAATCTCATGACTTTAAAACCTTCTTAATTAAAGTCTTACATTTGTTTTAAATAAAACAGGACACAGAAGTGTAGAACAGAAAAGCAAATCAGGATGAGGGAAAATGTTTCTGGCCGGTAGTCCCCGGGATCTCTGAATTTAATTTGATACTCAATTAAAGAGGAAATCAGATCCTGGGCACAGGCTCTCACTTTCACATGGCACATAAGCCAACCCAACCTAAGGGTCCCCATGTAAATTACCACTGGCTCACGTGACACTACACTATATGCCTGCAACCATCCCCCTTCATAGATAACAAGGCAAAATGTGCTATTAATGGTGTCTGTGTTTATCTTATCTCAAGGAGAGAAAAACAAAGCTTTAGTTTTGAAAAAATTACTTCACAAGGGCTCACTTGTATAAGAGACTGACAATGTAAATCCATCATCCTCTCAAAGATTTCTTCAGAGTTCATGATAGAAAACATTTTAAAATAACAAAGATGAAACTTTAAAAGCATTACTCAAAACTTTTTTCTTTAATTCCCCCACTTTTAATTCTAAAATAAACCAGCAAAATAGCCCAAAAGGCTACTCCATCTTTTAAAAATGTTTAAAAACCTCCCTTCCACGTTGCGCGTAAGTGACTGTCCTAGGTCTCTGCTCCTCCTCATAACCACATCTCTCAGGAGACAGTCTCCATAATCACTCTCTCTGGTCCTCACCCCAACTCCCTGCAGCCTCCAGTGTGGCACCTAAACGGCTCTTGCTGAAGTCACAGGGACATCCAGGCCAAGGAATCCAAGGCTGTTCTTCTCAGGTCTCATCTCTCCTGCTCTCTTGTCTATATCACCTTTGGGAAACACCCTCCTCCCTCTTCAGGGGCTTCCCTGGTGACGGCCGAATCCTGGTTTTCCTCCTCTCCACCACCAGACATTAGATGTCTGGAGCCCTCTTCTAACACTCTTCCTGCTCCCTCGACAATTTCATCCACCCCTTTGGCTTCAACCATCTGACCTCTCCTTCTGAGCTCTAACCCCACATACCCAACCACCCATTAGACATGTCAGAGTGGCCATCTCAGGCACCTCAATTTCCATTCGTTCAAAACATTCCCACAAACCTATTCCCTGGGTGAGTAAATGGCATCCCTCTCCACCCTGAATACCCTCTTACCCTTATCCCCATGATCTGGTCTACCATCCAGGCCAGCTGATTTTAGCTCCCAAAAAAACCTCCTCATGTCCCCTTGTCATTCACCTGGAATACTTCAATAGTCTATTAACCAGTCCACTGCCACCCACTCTACCTCCTCCATGAACATTTTTAAGTCCATTCTCTTCACAGTCTGAGAGATCTTTAAAAATATGATGTGTATTTTGAGTGTGTGGGTCTGCACATTCACACACACACACTACACACACACAAAATCTGGTTACCCTATGTTACTCTAGGCTAAAATGGTTTCAGTTGTGCTTAAAATCTTTAATGTGGTTCTGGAAAACCTCCAATTTCTGGCTCACACCTATATGTCTACTTTTTTCTAATACAACTTGCCCTTCACTCTCTTGAGTACAACCACAAAGCTGACCTTTCAGTTCCTAAAACATTTCATACATGCTCCTCCAAAAAGGGCTTTTGTACATTTGTGACCTCTGTTATACCCCACCACCCTCTACCCAGCAACAGGTCCCCTATTGTGTTGATTAAAAATTCAGATGTTCAGGCCCCACCCTAAATCTAATGAATGAAAACATCTCAGGGTAACCAGAACACATCCTTTCAACAAGTGGCTGGATCATTCTGATGAGCAGGTGTGGGAAGCTGATCTAAATGATCATCAACCTAATGCTTGAATCCTCTTGACCACATCCACGAGGCTAAATTCTCTAATCTCGGCATTTAATTAGGCAATCCATCCCTTCTGTGGACAGGTTAGATGGTTCTTCCCTACATTGACCTGAATCCTTCCTCCCAAACCCTGTACCCATTGATCTTAGTTCAATAATATCTTACAATTGCCCTCATATGACATGATTGGCACCCCCGCCATCTTAATGGCTTTCCTCTGAGGCTGCTTCCATGAGTGTACCATCATTTTGAAGCATACTTCGTAATATCAGTGTAAGTGGTTCCATGATACTTCTCAGTGAAGCTAACTCAATGGTTCAAACCACTCTAAAGCAAGTGACTGCACAGTGGTCATGAAACCAGCATCACGTAGATGGAGATGAGCTGGAAACTGCGAACCTTGCCAACCTCAGCTTCCTCATTGTTAAACTGGGATAGTAATAGTGCCTTCTTTGGGCTGATAGAAGAATTAAAATTGCTCAAGCATGCACGGAAAGTACACAGTGCCTGTTCCATAGAAATGTACACAAATGGAATGTGAGCTCCATGAAGCCAGCATTTTGGGTCTATTTTGTTGGGCAGCAGCAGCATTTAGGACAGTGCCTGACAGGGTGGGCCCTCAATTATCTGCTGAATGACTGAATTATTAACAGTCATGGACAAAACTAGAATTGAAATGTTAAAATTTTCAATATAGTAAAAAAAAGATGAAAATGAATTCAAGCTTAGTTTTCCTTTAAATTAAAGCACATTCTTGAAGTGACTCTTAAAATGCCAACTAATGGTTTTAACAGATTATATGATCTTTTAAATATCTAATTCTTTTAAGAAAAATGGCAAAAGACAAACGATTTACAATCACGTTTTTGTATGATAGCTGCAATTTTCAGAAAGTTATCGTTTTAAACTTTCATTTGAAAGACAGTAACTACTTTGCAACAACAATACACTAGGGAATAACAGAAATACATTAGTTGCATTAATTTTAAGTAGAATCATTAAGCTACTTATCTTTTTTTGTTTCTGGATTATTTTACTGCTTTGATATTAATGTGAAAAATAGTGAATGCTTCAAATGCTTTTAAAAATTCAGTCTGGTATACAGAAATGAATAGTGGTTCACAGAATACATATCCTGTGTGTGTGTGCGTGCATGTGTGTTTGTGTGTGTGTGTGATGGAGTCTCACTCTTGTCACCCAGGTTGGAGTTCAGTGGTGCAATCTCGGCTCACTGCAAGCTCCGCCTCCCAGGTTCACACCACATATTTTTTATATTACTTATTGAAATGGTATCTTTGTCATGTGGCCATCTAAAAATTCTTCAAATTATTTTAGACAAAATAAGGTGGCTTTTTGTTTTCAAATAGACACAGGTAGAGAGCTGCATACATCAGAATCTCCATTTGTGCAGGGCCTCTTATTTGGAATCAATGGAACTCCTTCTGACTCTAGTCACTGTAGCACCGCACAACACCCCATTTCCTAACTAACTGCTACTGTTGATTTCCTTGCTGTCCTTAGAGAGGACCTTCTGTCAGGAAAAATCACCGAGTTAAAGTTCAGCTCTACTCTCCACTACAAAAATTCCCTGTCTGAAATGTTGAAGGAGGCATTTAACATTGGCAAAGCCAAGTACTCAACTCCCATGCCTCTGGTGCCCGCCGAATTTTCTCATCTTCACATTCCCTTAGCACAAGGCCTGCAAAATACTTCCTAAATACTTCCTAGAATGAACCGAGCCTCACCGCAGGTTACTGGGCATTCTGTGTCCCCAAATCTCCCTCCTTCCATGTACCCTAAGGCCCAGAGTCAGGTCCTGAAACATGAGGATAAAGACCTTTACCCCAAAGATGGGTGGTCACTGGGAAGGGCCAGTTCTCTGGGAAGACAGGATCTCATACAAGGGCTGAGGAGGCCAAGAACAGAATGGTTTCAGGACATATGCCTCAGGACAGAGAGGAATAAAATGCTTCCCCGCCTGGCTGCTGGACTAAACCAAGCCTTTGAGGGAGACAGCTATAACCCTGCAAAGGAAAAGGCCCATATCCGGAGGCCCAAAAGGATGGTAACATCTGATAACCAAAAATTGAAAAGGGAAATTGTCCCACCCAGAGTAATGACAGGGTGGCTGGTTGTGCAAGTCAGTGAGGTCAGGAGGTGAGTAGAAATGGCAGGGATGGAAACAACAACTTCCACAGGGGATTCTCATTCCACCAATATTTCAGTGTGAGTCATCCCAGAACCTCGAGAAGAGGAAGGAGACCAGGGAAGTCCCTCTGCTTGGAGGAAGGACACTAAGCCACCTGCAGAGGGGGATAGTGCCGAGGGGAGAGTGAGCTGAGTGTGATGCACTCCCAGGTGCAGGCATGGATTGGATAAACCACGGAATTGTGTCAAAAATCTCCCGACTCCAGCCCCAGCAACAGAGCGAGACCTTGTGTCTACAAAAATTTTAAATTTTTAAAATGTTTACACAGGAGTTCCAGATACTCAGGAGCAGTCCCAGCTAGTCAGGAGGCCAAATTGGGGGGATTACTTGAGCCCTGGAGTTCAAGGTTACAGTGAGCTATTGCACCACTGCACTCCAGCCTGGATGACAGAGTGAGATCCTGTCTCTAAAAATAAATAAATAACCCAGATAACCCCAGTGTACAATCTGCAGCAACATGGGTCAGGCTTAGACCCTGAGCAAGGGGCACTGAAATTGTACACAGGACAACCTCACTGCTAACCTAGCTCTTTGTGAAGCCACCAGCTGTGTGGCTGGGAGAGGGGAGAGGGTCATACCAGCAGAAGTCATCTGTATGCCCCTTCCACTCTCCATACAGGTTCTTCAGGTCACTCATGTCCAGGCTGACAGTTGGAGTCATTAAAGAAGTCCCTGATAGTGGAATTTAGGTCCCTGTGTATGAGATTATGAAATGGAAAATATTCTCTCTGCCTAAACTCTGTCCATCAGGGCTGTACTCTATGGAGTCTGCTAAAGTCCAAAGATCATTAAACCCTTTTAAATGAAGGTGGTGACCACAGTCTTTGCCAAACGCGAGTGCATGTCTCACAGAGGGAAGGGCATTTCCTATGTCATATTACCTGATTGGATGGTATATGGAAATAATCTTGTTTAAAAGCAAGCCTAGAATGAAGTCCTGCTTTGGAGAATTTAGTTCTGAAGACGGGGCTACAGAGCCTTTCCTTTTCCCAGTGAATGTCATCAGAGGAAAAGGTGCTAAAATTACAAGAGCCTAGCATTAGATGCTTTTATGAATGTTAAGGCATTTTAGCCTCACAGTAGGAAGTATTTTCTCTATATTACAGGAAAATGAAGCTGAGAGGCTGAAACGGCTGTTTCAGCTGGATGCCGAGGACCTGGGTTTCAAACCCAGGCTCATGGGCCCCAATGTCACACACTGACCACTAGTAACTGGTCTCACTGCAACTTTGCCAGTTATTGATAGAGACAGAGGAAGTCTATCTTGATGAACAAACCCCCTTGGCCAGGCGCTGTTGCTCACGCCTGTAATCCCAGCACTGTGGGAGGCCGAGGCGGGCGGATCACCTGACATCAGGAGTTCAAGACCAGCCTGGCCAACATGGCAAAACCCAGTCTTTATTAAAAATACAAAAATTAACCGGGCATCATGGCAGGTGCCTGTAATCCCAGCTACTCAGGAGGCTGAGGCAGGAGAATCGCTTGGACCCGTGAGGCGGAGGTTGCAGTGAGCCGAGATCACGCCACTGCACTCCAGTCTGGGTGACAGAGCGAGACTCTGTCTCAAAAAAAAAGAACCTCTCAAACTCCCAACCTTTTCATTCAAGAGGTCATGGAGAGGTGATAATGAAAAGCTTTATTTTCTATTCTCTTACCTTGCAATATAATTTCACCACAGGGCAAGAATTAGGCCATATTTCTTCTTCATTTTTAAGCCAAAAATAGCAAACAGAATCAAATAGTGTGGGCAACTTGACTTTTAAAAACATCTATTTGTATCCAATTTGATAAGAGTCGGGAAAATTACTAGCAAGCAAAAGCAAATCAGGAAATCTGGAAACTTCTGATTTATTGATAAGCTATTAGGTTGTTTTAACTACTTTCCTATCAAGAAACAAAGGAAACAGATTCGAGATGACATTCTGATGCCTGCTTAAAAAGACCTTTATGTTTTCTTAGTCTTCTAAAAGCTTTTTTCATGAAAGATTTTATCTTATTACTCTCCCTAAATATATACGCTCCCTGACCACTATAGGTGCATTTCAAGCTCTTGTAGAGTTTCTGTAAATTCTGTTAGAGGCAAAAAGTGATCATTTTGAGTTCCTTGAAAATAGTAGCTAATGGAGGAACAGCAGAGGGAATGTGCCTGGTTACTCAGCAGCAGCAGCTGATACACACATTAGGCTCGCCACACACACACCAGGCTCACTACACCTACACCAGGCTTGCTACACGCCCAGCACTGTTCTAGGAGCTCTGCACAGTGCATTCATGCAGCCTTCGCAACAATCTCATGCAGTAGATACTACTGCTGTCTCTATTTAATAAAAGCAGAATCTGATGGCGAGTGCGGTAGCTCACGCCTGTAATCCCAGCACTTTGGTAGGCCAAGGTGGGCTGATTGCTTGAGCTCAGGAATTCAAGATCAGCCTGAGCAACGTAGCAAAACCCCATCTCTACCCAGAAATACAAAAATTAGCTGAATGTGGCAGCACGCACCTACAGTCCCAGCTACTTGGGAGAAGGATCACTTGAACCCAGGAAGTCAAGGCTGCAGTAAGCCATGATGACGCCACTGCACTCCAGCCTGGACAACAGAGTGATACCCTGTCCCAAAAAAAAAAGCAGAATCTGAGGCACAAAGAGGTTAAGAAACTTGCCCAGGATACACGACAAGAAAAAGGTAGAACTAGGATCAAAATCCAGTCAGTCAGTCTACAGTACTGCCATCCTCATAGTTCAGTAGAGGCTAACTGATTTCAAACTAGATAACTAGGGGAGATGTCCCTTTAAGGATGTACTCTGACCTTATTATGAATACAGAGTTCAGACCTCTAGCCTTCATCCTTTGGGAAGCCTGTAGAGTCAAGCACAGTGGAAAGAACATGGAAGAGCAGTTGCTGGGAAAAGCAGTTGCTGGGAGTTAAGGTCCCACTCACCGCTATAAATAGTTAGTTGTATGGCCTCAGGCAAATCACTTTGCTTCAGGAGACCTTATTTTTAAAATGTAAAATCCCAGAGGCAGGGGAAAGAGGATCTGTATAATAGTTTCCAGTATACACCGCCTGATCCAGTTTCAGATCCACCAGTACTGGCCAGTATGTTTCATCATAATAGTTACCCCCACCCCCTGCATGATTTTCTATAGTCCTTCTCTCATAATTTGGTCTCACAGTTCACTCCAAGTGTGCCCAAGGCAGAACAGTGCAGCAAGAAAGAGCTGGGGTTGGTCCAGAAAGTCCTGTGTCCACCTCCATGGCTGACCAGCTTGCAGCCACCAGTTTGTTTTTTTAGGAGGAACAATGCCACCTACCTCACATGCTTGTTCTGGGGGTAAGTAAAGTGTCAAACACCTGTCACATGGGAGGAGCTTGTGAATAAGAGTTATTTTTAATATTCTAGGCCTCTTACCTGAACTGTTAAGCCTCATAAAAAATGCAAGCAAAGACACTCAAGGTAACATTATTAATAATGAAAAACTGTTAGGAGCCTAAATACCAACAACCCAAAAAATAATATATAAATTATGGAATAGTATTAAAGTCACATGCAGCTATTAAAAATCATATTTTCTAAGACTATTTCAAAGCATGGAAAAATCATGATGATCTCGACCACTGAAACAGGCAGGCTGTAAAAACTGCCTATATAGCTGTATTCACTATTATACACAACAGTAAGTACACATGTATAATACATATATACGTGCATGGAAATCTGCAAAAATACAACAAATTGTTAGTAGTGCTACTTTGAGTAGGTAGTATGTTTTATCTTCCTTTTAATACTTTCTGGTATTTCCTAGTTTTTCCTACAATAACAATATTAGACTCATAATCAGAAAAAGGGTTAAAAACAAAGTGATTCTGACACCCAATACATATTTTTCCAAAAAAAGGTAAGATTTACACTAAAAGCAAAATCGTTTTAAGTAACTAAATTGTAAAATATCACCCCAACAAGAAATTACCTTATGCCAAGAAGAGTAATAGAAAAATTATAATTTCCAAAAATTCAAACTAAAATAAGCAAGTTTAACATGCTGAGAATTTATAAAATAAAAAGGTATCATAAAAATTTTACACAAGTTTGACTGCCCAGAATCACAGAAAAATCAGAAATGGAAAGTTTTAGAAAATGATTTTTCTTCTTATGCCTGGAAAAAAAATCTTGGAGGGATTAGAGGTTCAGATGAGAACTTGGCTGAACTTTGGCTTGTTTCAACAAGCCCAATTTTTATTCTCTTTCTCTCTCCTCAACAGACACATACACAAAGCTGGGCCTAGTGAAGTATTTCACTCTCAACTCTCAGATTAAAAGAAAAATACAAGAATCTACCTTCCCCTACTCCCCTAGCAGCACCATGTACCTGCTGCCTGATGCTGAAACTGACTTCAGCAGGGACGTCATTTTCTCCTATGCCCATCTCACTGTCCTCTCCAGCCCTGCAGGAGGGCAGCAGGCCTGACTTGGGGCTTGCCATTCTGTAACCACCCTGACTCCCTAGGGTTCCACAGGACAGCATCTCTTGATGACTAACAAATTTCAGCACCATCCCAAGGTATTTATCTAGGGTGTCCTTCCTTCTAATTGTTTACATCATACAGACAAGAGCCCTGTTAATAGCCTTTTTGAAAGGACAAAACAGGTAAATAAGGGAGTCCAGCACAGACCACAGAAAACCCAGTATAGACCCCTGGGAGCCCAGTATCAATTCCTCTCATAGCAGCATATGAGAGGCCTGACCATGAACCATGGCTGCTATGGTAAGGAGGGTGTGAGAGGGTAGAGGAAGTAGCTAGAAGCTTGATCGATAAAGGAATAATGCATATACACAGTACATATTTTAGGATTCTTAAACCAAAAAAAAAGAACAAATACACTACGTATTTCAGAAATTGCAGGCCATGTTATTATTTATAAAAATTCAATTTTTAGAATATTCTTCTCACACATCTATTAGAATGGTCAAAATCTCGAACACTGACACCACCAAATTCTGGCTAGGATATGGAGCAGCAGGAACCCTCATTCATCACTGGAATGAGAAATGGTCTAGCCACTTAGAAGACAGTTGGGCAGGTTTTTACAAAATTAACCACATTCTTACCATATGATCCAGCAATCACAGTTCTTGATAGTTATCCAATGGAGTTGAAAACTTATGTCCACACAAAAACCTGTACATGGATGTTTATGGCAGCTTTATACAGAATTTGCCAAATTGGAAGCAACCAAGATATCCTTCAGTAGGTGAATGGATAAACTGTGGTACATACAGATGATGAGAGTATTATTAGGCACTAAATAGAAATGAGCTATCAAGCCACAAAAAGACATGGAGGGAATTTAAATGCATATTATTAAGTGAAAGAAGACAATCTGAAAAAGCTACGTATTTTGGGATTCCAACTATACGACATTCTGGAAAGGGCAAAACTATGGAGAAAGCAAAAAGATCAGTCGTTGTCAGGGGTTGGAATCAGGTGATGGATGTATAGATGGAGCACAGAGGATTTTTAGGGCAGTAAAAATACCCTGTAGGATACTATAATGGCAGATATATGCCATTACATATTTGTCCAAACCCACATAATGTTCAACATCAAATGTGGCCCACTAATGTAAACTGTGGCTCTGGGTGATAACGGCATGTCAATGTGGGTTCATCAGCTTTAACAATGCACCACTCTGTGGGAGCTGTTGATAATGGGGGGCTATGCATGTGTGGGGGCAGGGCTATATGGGAACTCTAGCACCTTCTCAAATCTGCTGTGAACATAAAACTGCTCTTCTTTAAAAAATACTCTTTTAGTCTTAATTTAACAGAGTTTCAAACATTTGTTCTTTAGATCAAGGATTCTAGAGTCTGGGTTCAAATCCCAGTTTACCAATTATTAGCTATGTGACCTTGGGCAAGTTTCTTAACCTCTCTGTGCCTCTACTGCCTCATATGAATATTTACTCACAGTGTTATGAGGATTAAATGCATTAATAAATTTAAAGGCCTTAGAATATTGCAGCATACAATAAGCACTGCGTAAGTTTTAGCTGCTATTATTTTATAAAGTTTTGTTTATTTATTTATTTATTTACTTAGTAGACACGGGGTCTCACTAGGTTGCCGACTGGTCTCAAACTCCTGGCCTCAAGCAATCCTCCTGAGCCTCCCAAATCACTGGGGTTATAGGTGTGAGCCACTGCACCCAGCCTATTATTATTTTATTGTTGCTGTATTACTGTTATGATCTATTTGAACTGGCTTTTGATAGGTTCAAATATTACTGCCTCTTTCAACTATGCCTATTTAATCACACTCAGAAGTGTATAATACAGCAGTAGAAAGAGTGTACATCTTGGAATGAGAGACTTCTTGGAGCTGCTTCAGTGATATCATGTCCATGTGATGATCTGAGCACAGTACTTACCTTCTGTGAGCCTCAACTTCCCAGCTATAAAGTGTGCATTATATTTCCAATTCCCAAGAGTTTTGTGAAGAGTGGAAAACATTTGTGAAAAGCAGATTCTCTCAAGCACTGCAATGCACCTAAGGATAATAGGTCTAGAATCCGATTCCCCAGCCGCCCAGCTCTGGCTTGATGAAAGCATGTGAATCTCCCTCACTTGGCAATTACAAGCACTTTCACCCACTCTAGGACACAGAGTTGTCCTCATCTGTGGCAGAGAAGAGGGGTCGGGGGTCCAGGCATTCTGAGTCATGTAATGGAAGAACAGAAGCTGCTTTCCATGTTTGGTTAGCATAAAATTGAGAATTCCCACCAAGATACCATGCAAAGGATAGAAACAGACTTAGCGGGTAGAAGCAGGAAGAGAAAGAATGTTGTAGAAACCTATGGGAAACAGACAACAAGAAACAAAGGAGAAAGGCCAATGCCTGGTACAGTGGTTCCTGTGTAGCAGCCAGCGGTTTCTCTGCCCTAACTCCTGTCCACCACATCACCATGGGAAGTTCTCTATTCAGCCTAAGGTAGGGAAACACCCATGGACCGCCTGAGTGGTTTTCTCCTAGAGAAAAATCTAGTACTTTATAGGTTGTATGCATCGGGGCAGGCTAAGTCATGCTGCAGTAACAATCACAAAATATCAAGGAACATATCACTTCTTGTGCACCCTCCATGCCCACTGGCCATCAGCTGGGAGCTCTTTTCCAAGTCATCCTCACCCTGGGGCTGAAGAATCAACTGCAAGTTTCCATGGCACAGGATGTGGTGAAACAAGCACGAGCTTTCCTGCTTCTGCTCAGAAGTGACATTTAATTGGCCAAAGCAAGTCATATGGTCACGCCTATGTCCAAATGAACAGGGAACTGCTATCTACTCTATGCGCAGGAGGAGAGTCCGAATATTTGTGAATATTCATATATCCAGTGGGTCCCCAACACCTGCTGCCCACCTGTTCATTGGACAACACATTCGGGACGTCTTTACTAAGGTCTGAAACAGATGACGAGAGCGTGAAGCAGAAGCTTCAACAGACAAACTGTGACTACTTCTCCCCTGTGTCTTCAACAAGTGATTTCTTAAAGCTTAACCATTAAATAGTACAGAACTTAAATGGTTATTTAAGACCCTAAATAATCATCACCATCCTGTATTTTAAACACACACACATTCACACACACACAGCAGCAACTGCCAACCATCTGTACTGAAAATATTCTTTATTTTACAAATAAGACTTTTCCGGGACTGGAGTCCCCAGTGAAATGTTGCTTTACAAAGCCCAGTCAATCCCAAGTGAAAGTTCTTTCTTTCTTAGAAAATGTCATCATCTGTAAATGTTCCCTGGTGCCAAGCTCAAGGAGGGGCTCCAGAGTTTCTCCCAGAACTAAATCCTCTGTGAATCAAGCTTTTAGATACTCTCAACATTCCTGGCATCCAGACATTCATACAACCCTGAATTATTTATTCACCAATCTTTGCACAACTTCCTAAACACCAATGGAGATCAGGATGGTTTCAGCTATTTGATGTTACATCTTCTCAAGTGGCTAAAGAGGCTATAAAGCACCCCATTGCTTAAGCCTGCCATCTCAGTTCCATTAGCAGTAAAGACCTCTCTATTCAAACTGCTAAGTAAATCCTCCGAGAGCCCGGGGACTGTTTCATGCTTGAAAGCAACTGTTAAGAATTTGACAACAACCAAACTGTTCCTATTTAATCCTTCTCCCAAGGTAAAAAAGAATTATAGGTAAACATATGCCTTCATTATTTGCTTTGCTGCATTTCAATACCCAATCCCACACAAAATTGCCAGCCAAGGATTTAATGCAATCACTTCTATATTTCAGAGCTATCGCCTCTGCAGAATAGAAAAAGCTTAACAAGCGTTATGGTGCTGGTTAGCCAGGAACCGTATTTTGTATAGCACGCATCTTAAATGTCACGGGGGTTTGGGGTGAAGTAAAAGGCATCACAAATCAAAGGGTACAAACTATGAAAAGAAGAACGAGGAAAGGTGCTGCAGAACTGAGATTCTTACTTGGTTCTGAAAGATAGTAGATGTGGGCAAACAGGTTTGGGGATTTATTTTTGGGTTTTTTTCCTTTCAGGTTTTTTGTATTGCTTTTTGTTTTGAGCCTTCAGTAATTTATTCACTTGTCACATCCTCAATTTACTACTCCTACTAAAACTAATTTTATTACTATACTAAATAGAAGTTTCAAACTGTGATAAATCTGAGTTAAAGTGAGAGAAACAAATACTCTTTTAAAATGTATTATTCAAAAAAATAATCAGTAAATCAGAATAAGGGAAATGGCAGTAATGAGAAGAAGAAAGAGGCATGAAAACTTAGTTGATTACAACACCTTTCTAAGCCATTAACTCAGGACTCTTCCCTCAGGGAACATTTTCTTTATCTTAGTGTTTCATTCAACGGTCTATTGAAATGTGCACTATTAAGTAACCACTTCCAGAAAAGTTTTTTGAGTGGAGAGGGGGTTTGTTTTGTTTCAGGATTTTTGGCTACATATTTAACAAGTTGCATGTGAAAATAAAATGTTCTTATTAACAGTGGAATAATATTTCCAATATGGGTCTGTCATCAACAAGTCAGATTCAAGGCAACATCTCAGAGAACAGATTCCAGTCCACTCGCTTCTCAAGAGCCCAGTCTCTGCCGCTCCTCATTCCAACAGCTAATTCTAGCAATCCTTTTCCTCAGAGCCAATTCACACAAAACCGAAAGTCCAGGGCAGCATTCCAGATCTCCCAGACCAAGAGTAGGTAAACCAAATTGAAACCAGAAATGCTCTCAATGTATTCAACAATGCGGCATTCCTCAACTTCCCACTTCCCAGACATTCCCCCAGATTAACTCAAGCGGTTGATGATTATCCTCTTCTCACGAAATGCTTATACCAGCGGAAAGGAGAAAGAAACACATATATTACATTTAAAAATGCATATTTACACACACACACCAGTGTTTAAGCTTGGTGCAAACCCTCTTTAAAATTAAGTTTTTTGATTAAGGATTATATTTTTTCAATTAAGCAAATAACTTCTAAATTTACTCTGGAAAACTATGTTTTTTCCCAAAAATAAGAAGACACTATCTGACTCATTTCAATAAATCTTTATTGTATGTATAATAGTTGCTCCAGGGAAATAAAAGAAAAAGGGGAGGTTATGCCTTTAAAGAGCTTACAGATTAACAGAGGAGAAAGGTGTTTAAACAAATAACTATAACTTCTGCAATGTATAATGGTCATATATTGCAGCCACTAGAAAATCATCAAGCAGGGGACACTGCAGCAAGACCTGAACATCGAGGAGGAGTCTAATTATTCAACCTACAAATCGATATTTCTGTCCCATCACTTCAAGCTTCCCAAATGTCCCTTTTCCAAACTCCCTTTAAAACCATAAAATCCTCTTAGAAAAAGATCCTGTGCTCAGAATAATGATCTCGGCACTTCCACTGATAATGGGGATGGGTGACTTCCAAACATGCTCCACCATGCTACAGTATGGGGTCCTGAATTATTCTCTACTGGAAAGAGGGCATTCTGCTGTGAATTCTATTTCTAAGGCATCTACTCAAACATATTACGTTTAATACCCTTCTGATTTTTTGTGAATGCAGAACCTCCCTCTCTGTACTTCTGTTTGATCAGAGAGGTGCTGACAGTGAGAACAACCTCGACTAACCCACCCCAGCCCAGCCACTCACATGTGGAAGCACTAAGGAAGCACATCCTGGGCGCTGGCCAGGAGAGCAGGCCAGACAAACAACAGACACCAGGATCAGCTTGGCCATGCGAGTGAGAACAGGCAGATCTCCCCAGGCCTCCCACCCCAAGTGGGAAGACAGGCAGGATGGGGACCAGAGGACAAGCTTCTGAAAACTATGCTTTCCTCACCAGCACAAACTGGCTGCAGCTTCTCTCAAGGCATTCTTCCAGGAAACCAAGCCAGGGATGGGAGACAAAGAGGAAAGAGGCGGGCCCACGAGTGAGGGGTGCCCGGGCTGGTAGTGGGGAATGGACCCAGTCTCTGCCGCACAACACTGGGCCTTTCTGAGAACCAGCAACACTCAGCTAGAGAGCCACAACCACCAAAGAGAAAGGGGTGAGTGATCCCAAGACCTTGGGCTGCTCCCCTGGTCAGGTGTGGAGTGAGATCTGCAGTGGAGCATTGTGGCATGTCTGAAACACCACGTTTGGGTGCACTCTGGGAGGCTGAGGCAGGAGCATACCTTGGGCCCAGAAGTTCAAGACCCCAAGGGCAACACTGTGAGACCCCCAACTCAACAAAAATTTTAAAAATTAGCAGGGTGTGGTGGCACTATGCCTGTAGTCCATGTACTCAGGAGGCTGAGGCAGGAAGATCACAGCCTTGACCAAGAGGTCAAGGCCGCAGTGAGCAGTGATGGCACCACCACACTCCAGCCTTGGCAACAGAGTGAGACCCTGTCTAAAAAACCAGCATCCTAACAGGAACCCAGCTGGACTTTCCTGATGTCCCTTAAATCAGGGGTCCACAACCCACAGGCCATGGACTGCTACCAGTCACGGCCTGTCAGGAACCTAGCGGCACAGCAGGAAATGAGTGGCGGCTCGCGAGCATTACTGCCTGAGCTCCACCTCCTGTCAGATCAGCAGCAGTGTCAGATTCTCATAGGAGTGCACACCCTATTGTGAACTGTGTATGCGGGGGATCTAGGTTGCACGCTCCTAATGAGAATCTAATCCCTGATGATCTGTCACTGTCTCCTATCACCCCAAGATGGGACCGTCTAGTTGCAGGAAAACCAGCTCAGGGCTCCCACTGATTCTGCATTATGGTGAGTTATATATTTGTTTCATTATATATTACAATGTAATAATAGGAATAAAGGGCACAATAAATGTAATGCACTTGAATCATCCTGCAAACCATCCCCACCCCACCCCATCTGTGGAAAAATTGTCTTCCATGAAACTAGTCTCTGGTGCCAAAAATGTTGAGGCCTGCCACCTTACAGGAAGGGAGGGGAGGACTTCTCAAGAGAAGACAGAAGGGCACCTGTTCCTTCTGCTGCTTCCATGTACCAGAGAAGGAAGGCAGAGGCCTCCCAGATGACAGGGATGGCTCCTCAGAGACTAGGCTGGAGAGGTACTGGGGAATGGACCTAGTCTCTGTAGCATGACACAGGGCCTTTCGGAGAGCCAGCTACACTCAGCTAGAAAGCCTCAACCACCAAAGAGAAAGGGGCGAGTGATCCCGTCTCTCTTCCTGCTACAGCCTGCCCTTCCATGTGTGTATGCAAAACTAAGCATGATCCTTGAAAAAAAGAGAATGAAAAATATAGAAATGATGACAGTGCTTTACTGATAATAAGATCATGGGTGATTTTTTTTCCTGTTACAGTTCCCGAATTTTGTTTATTGTTACATTAATTGTTTAAAGTAACTGTATTTAAATGATGAGGTTTTTGTTTTAGGCAAAATCAAACCAGCTGCCCAAATTGAAAAATTATCAGAGTTAAGCAACAAACGATTTTGAAGAACCTTCCTAAAAATTCTCAATTATAATCTATGGGAACATCAATGTAAATGTTAACATACAGAAAAAAGCCACTCGGTAAATGTTATTATAATAATGTGTGTGTTGGCTAGGGGATGGACAACAGGAAGTATCAAAGTTTAATTCTCAACTCCAAACTCCCTCTAAAAAGTAAAACGGTTCAAAAAACTGATCATCTCTCTTAAAAACTTGACAAAACTTGTAAAACCGTTATTAGAATGAAGTTTATTCATAGGTTCCCTGGAGTCAAAAACAACTCTTTAAGCCCATGCAAAAAGCCACCTTACAAGATAAACACATGCCTGTGCTCAAGACTGACAGCACATCGATCCTGTGTCAAACTCATTACCTGTTTGTCAACAGCAGCTGACAATTTCTTAATGAAAAATGAACAGTATACTGAACCACTATTTCACATTAGACAGGGGAAGGCAACAAAATGCATCTGGATGTTTTGGTTGGGGATGATAAAAGTCAGATTATTAAACAGATTGGCTGCCTATAAGTGATCCAATTTTCTCTAAAGAAAAAGACAATCCTTCAGAGTTAAAACAATCTATTTTGTTCTTTTTATGATCCCTTATCATTAGCTTCCTACTTCTAAGCTTGCAAGAAGCTCTAATCACCCCAAACACAAACATTCCTAGGTTCCTTAATATTCTTTGGGTACCTTAATATTCCTTCTGTTCCTTAGCTTCTAAATGATGTTTGATCACACAAAATCAAACTTCTAGCATCTTTTTCAGTTTCTGAAACTGACATTCCAGAAGTACTTTAAAGACAGCCTTCCCTATATCACAGGCACGTTGCCCTGTGTGTACTTTATTACTGTGGTAACTCATTTGGCCTTGGTGTTTGTACTGTTTTACGCTGAGTCTGAGTTTTATGTAAATTTCCACAATAACGCTTAAATCATTTGTATAACTAGTAGGTTTGATTTGGATTCATTTAACACATGTTCTCTGGTTCTCCTTACCCTAAAGTATTCTGGAGAGGGTGGAAGAAAAAGTATTTTTCCTATCTGTGATGTATGCACCATCGGCAGACCCCATTGTTAAATGAGTCAAATCAGCAATCCCCCCACTAAGTCATGAACGTGTCATTCTCTTTTTTCCAATAACTATCTAGCAGCCCAGTAAGACTATAAATGTTAAGCCTTATAAGGAAAATTCAGATTTCCATTCAACAGAGCATTTTCCATCTATGCAACATTATAATTTATCTACCTGATACAAATAAAAATCATTATGAATTAAACCAATTGGAAGGGACAAAAGTAATCTGCTGACCCCAGAAGGTTAATCAAACTGGGTCAACCTTTTCCTTGCACTGGAATCAACCAAGTGTTTATTTACTGATGGATAACTGCATAGGCAACATGGTCCCAGCTCTCAGGGTATTTTTTTTTTTTTTGAGACGGAGTCTCGCTCTGTCACCCAGGCTGTAGTGCAGTGGCATAATCTTGGCTCACTGCAACCTCCACCTCCTGGATTCAACTGATTCTCCTGCCTCAGTCTCCTGAGTAGCTCAGACTGCAGGTACATGCCACCATGCCTGGCTAATTTTTGTATTTTTAGTAGAGATCAGGTTTCAGCATTTTGGCCAGGATGGTCTTGATCTCCTGACCTCATGATCCATCTGCCTAGGCCTCCCAAACTGCTGGGATTACAGGCGTGAGCCACCGCGCCTGGCCGGTATTTTCAATTTATTTCAAGAAACAATATGACTGAAATCATTATTGAGCATCTACTGTATGAAAAAGGGGAACATGACAAAATATAATTAAGGATTAAATTGTATGGAGTAGCTGAGAGAAGAGAATGACTGGGGGAGTTTTTAAATGAACAGTCTTCAAAATCTCCATGCAACATCCTTACAGGATTGTTGGATGCTTGGTGTTGTATCTGAATTACCATAGGTACCCAAGTTTGAGAGCCCTCCAATTGTCCTTTGAGGTCATAAGCAAACCTATCTTCCCAGGCACATGGGGTGATATCTGCCCTCAAGTGGATAAACACTACAGTGGCAACTGAATCACAGATGGGACGCTGGTTTCCTGAGCCAGGTAAGAGGGCGATTTCTGTTACCCTCCAGGTCCTGCCCTCCTGCCTATAAACTGTTCATGGAGAGAGATGGAAGCAGAATAGGAGCTGGGAGCATGAGTGGCAGAAACACATGAAGGGAACCCTCCCTTCTACTCGATGGGAGCTAGGTACATTCCACTTTGTAAGCCCAATTAGTTACATGTTATTTTACAAAGCCTTCTTGCAGTGACTGGCCTCACCTACACAATGCTAAAAGAAATTACACCTTCCCTGAAGCCAAAATGAAAGAAACAACAGAAATGAGTGAGAACCTTACAGAGAAGGGCATTTCAGCTTCTCTTTCTCACATATCCAATTTTGGAGGACCTGGCTAGAATGCAATGATTTCGTACAGCTTCACTCCCATTCACTGAAGAGCTATGACTTAGTCCAAACATTAAGTTGGGATTTAGATAAATGGAAGGTAAGACATTTTAAATAAGAGGTCTAATATGAAGCAAGGGTCCAAGGCTGATAAAATCAAAGTGAATCGTGGAACAATTGAGAGACAGGTCTGACCAGCCTGGTCAAGAGATGTTGGGAATCATAGAAAGTGCGATAAATCTGTAAGAAGAAATCGGCATGAGGAATGCCCAGAACGTAGACTTAAATTATCTGATGCAGTGAAAAATGAGGCCGTGAAGATTTCTCAAGCAGAATAAGGATCACTTGTCCTTAAAGCATCAGAAAATGTGGCCAGCACCTTCACAACAGGTTCCATACACATTTTGCACATTTATTCAGAAAAGAGAGCAAAAGTAAACTGTAGCATAACAGTAGATTGCCTGTCATACATGCACACACCACACACACACACACACACAGAGCACATACACAATGCAAATTAGTTCACTTTACTTTCTCTCCCTTCTGAAAAATGAGACAAAGCAAAAAAACATGTTATTCCAAACACATATGAAAGGAATTCATGTAACCTGTGGTCTTAGTTACAGTCATGTGTCAATGACAGGGACACGTTCTGAGAAACGTATAGTTAGACAATTTTGTCATTGTGTGAACATCACAAAGTACACTTACACAAACCTAGATGGTAGAGCCTTGTATCAGTCTGCTTTCATGCTGCTGATAAAGACATACCCAAGACTGGGCAATTTACAAAAGAAAGAGGGTTTAATGGACTTATAGTTCCACACAGTTGGGGAAGTCTCACAATCATGGCAGAAGGCAAGGAGGAGCAAGTCTCATCTTACGTGGATGGCAGCAGGCAAAGAGAGCTTGTGCAAGGAAACTCTCCCTCATAAGACCATTAGGTCTCATGAGACTTATTCACTATCATGAGAACAGCATGGGAAAGACCCGCCCCCATGATTCAATTACCTCCCACCAGGTTCCTCCCACAACATGTGGGAATTCAAGATGAGATTTGGGTGGGGACACAGCCTAACCATATCAAGCCTACTATACCCCTAGGCTGGTATGGCCTATTGCTCCTAGACTATACACCTGTACAGCATGTGACTACACTGAATACTGTAGGTAACTGTAAGACAATGGCAAATATTTGTCTATCTAAACATAGAAAAATATGGTACAGAAGATAAAAATTGTACACCTGTATAGGGCAGTTACCATGAATGGAGCTCGCAGGACTGCAAGTTGCTCTGGATGGGTCAGTGAGTGGTGAGTGAATGGGAAGGCCTAGGACATTACTGCACACTGCTATAGACTTTATAAACACTGTGCACTTAGGCTACACTAAATTTACTTTTTTAAGCATATTTTTATTTCTTTAATAAGTTAACCTTAGCTTACTGTGGCATTTTTGCTTTATAAACTTTTAATTTTTTTTAACTTTTTGACTTTTGTAATAATACTTAGCTTAAAATACAAACACATTGTACAGCTTACAAAAATATTTTCTTTCTTTATATCCTTATTTTCTAAGCTCTTTTATATATGTTTTTCTTTTTTTGTTTGTTAAAAACTAATACACAGGCACATACATTAGCCTAGGCCTACACAGGGTCAGGACCATCCACATCACTGTCTTCCACATCTACATCCTGTCCCACTGGAAGGTCTTCAGGGGCCATAATAACACACATGGAGCTGTCATCTCCCAGAATAACAACGCCTTCTTCTAGATACCTCCTGAAGGACCTGCCTGAGGCTGCTTTTACAGGTTACTTTTTATTTAATTAGAAGAAGCAGTACACTCTAAAATAACAATCTAAAAGTATACATAACCCTATAACATAGTCATTTATTATCAAGAATCATGTGCTGAACAGAATTGTGTAATACTTTTATATGACTGACAACACAGTAGGTTTGTTTACACCAGCATCACCACAAACACAAATAATGCGTTGTGCTACAATCTTCTGAAGACTATGATGTCATTGGGCAATAGGAAGTTTTCAGCTCCATTATAATTGTATGGGATTATATGTGTCCTCATACATGTGGTCCACTGTTGACCAAAACAATGCTATGTGACACATGATTATACCCCAGCCTGTCTCCTAGTCTGTATTTCTCAAACTTGAATAAAGTTCAGAAAATTTTTGAAGAAAAATAATTTTCAAGGACCCAAACAATGTCTTCTTAAAGGGTTCTGGAGGACACTGGTTGGAGAAACACTGACTTAATACTAGAAAAAAAAAAATTCTAAAACGGACTTTCATAAATGATAGAAAACACTTTAAGACACCCAGATTTTAAAGTTTAAAAATTACGTGAAATTCATGTTGGCTGAGAATAATCACAGGAACCCAAGTCTGAGAACCTCACTTAGAACCACTGTGCAAAACCCAGCAATTCCTATCAAATAAGTTGTTCTTGTCAGTTTGCCCTAATTTCAAGGTCAGCATAAGAAGTTTTCTAGTTGAAGGAGTCTTTGAGACCTTTCTTAAAATGACCATTTACCTTATCAGCTTTTCAAAATGCCCAATAGGTGTTGTCTTGTTCTTTCCTATCCCACTTTATCTGATGGGTCTCCCTGTTGATGTTTGTAATATAATTATCACTGTCATGAAAATGCCTTCCAATTCCCACTACTAACAGAATAGTGTAAGTCATTTGTTTAGGACGTTCCCAAGGAAACAAAATTGCCACAACTCTTATTACCAGGAACATGGGAAGTGTCCCTCATTAGCAGCCATCATTAGCAAAATTCTCACCATCTGGTGAGGCCAGTTCCTCCTAAACCTTTAGGAATCCATGGGAACTACCTTCTCACCTCTGTGGAAATACTCTCCCTAACTCAAGGCTAATGGTCATCCCTGGGCAGTAATCAGACACTCAAGAGCTCACAGGGTTTGGGAGATCCTCCAATGGCAGTAGATCAGAAACTGTCTTGCCCTCAACTGCAGGCATGCCTGGGAACCACACCAGCAAATGAAGAGAAGAGGGGGTGCAATGGTTGTCAGTTCCACGGACAGTAAATATCTTCTTAAACTGAGATTCCATACAAAATTGTTTGAAGACAGGGCTTGCCTTTAAAAAAAAAAAAAAAAAAGGAGACAGGCAGTTTCTAGAATGCACTGCTATTCCATGATCTCATTCTATGCAAGAGGACTCTGGTTCTCCGAAAGGGGAAATGGCGCCCCAAAGCACCAGGCAGTGAGCACCTAGTGAGCACCTAGGCCTGTCCTCCAGGCCAACGCTTCGCCACAGGACTACCTATGCTGCTGTCCCCCTATGCAGGTCATAGCTGGGTAGTGAGCTGGGAACTTTGTCTCATCATCCAGAATCTCCCATCATTTACAGCTATGCAAAGACAGACCAGGAGGATAAACTTCACTATGATGTGAGAAGACCCAAATCTCAGGAGAAAGACAGACGGCTGGGCAGAAAAATCTCAGGAACTCTAACTAAGGACCAGACTTATTTTTAGCTTGAAATGACATTAGCTAGAAAGTATACACTAGGAAGGAATGAACAAGCATGTGTAATCATTTAATAATAGCACAAACATACCCTGGGGAAGAAAACAGGAATTATGAAGGGCATCCTAGAGAGCTGACCCTGACATCTGCCTCCACTGCCTCTAATCAGTCGACCTTATGGGGTGCACAGGGACTAGCCTGCACTTTAAGAGTTTTCCAGATGTTTCTGGGGTTGCTTGCTTCCTACATCTGTTCTAACTGGGAAAGGCTGCTCTTTCATCACATCTTCCCTTATCCCATACCCCACCCTGCTCCCAGAGAGCTCTAAAATTCTCCAGGCTGTTTCAGAGCAGACAATACTATTCTAATTCTCCAGCTTCCCGAAGACAGCTGTGGGCAGTTGGATGTGGTTGTCACCGGTCATCTCCAGTCAGCATGGCTCAAGAATGGGACGCAAGAATGGGAGCAGGCCCTTCATGAACAAAATCAGTGCCTTTAGCTCAAGGCTCAAGGGGTTAAATGAAAAATCCAAAGGAAATCTGACTCCACAGATATCCCCACACCAATTTCATTCAACTTCTCGGGGTTGAAAAGGAGCCAGGTGCCTCCCATTCTCATTTTAGAGACCTCAAAAGCTCACTGACATTAATTCCAGAGATCAATGTAGAGCTTCAAAGGAAAGAAAAAGAAAATCAGATAACCAATATAGTGGTTCTTAATGTAATCTCACAGAACAACAGGATTCTCTTTTCCTTGGAACTCTGAGAATGTTTCATAAAAATGGAATGTAAAAAATTAGTAGAAACCGTCTTTGTTCTGGACAAGCTGTATTTGAATCTGTGTGAAGTCAGGAGTGTGCAGAAGCATGCTGGCCCCAAATAAAACCTGAATCAGAAAAAAGTATTCTTTGTATCTCCAGACTATCCATGCCTCTTTTTCCCAAGTCATCTCAATACTCTCAAGGTATGTCTATCCTGTCGTCTCTAAAACAGCCTACTCAGAAAGAAAGGAGTTGTTCGTTCCTTTGATGTGAATATCAGTCAGCCTGATGCCTCTCCCAGGAACGCTGCCTTCCCAGCATCTTGTCTGACCGGGGAGTGAAAGGCTTTAGGGTTTCACTCATTACTGCAACAGGTGGGAGAGAGATCCTGTAGAGCAGGAGGGCCCAATGGCCCTAAAAGGCCACCACACAGGCAGCTGGTAAGGCTGGAGCTGTAATAAGCTGGCTACTGCCTCACTCCACTCTCTTCACCCCCTACACCATTCGGGATTAAATATCAGACAGCGGGGCAAAAGGAAATCGTGTTCAGTGTGGGGGCTTTGATATACGAAGAGAGGATGAGCAGTGCTCCGAGGAAGGCAGAGCGAGGAATGAGTGGCTTGCCTACGGCATCCAGGACACTTATTTTAGGAAAGTGACATCTTAGCACTCAGCAGCCTAGCACGTATCACAGAGAGGGCCTCACAACCCTGTCCTCTGCCAGATCAAGCTGGCACATGCAGGAGAAATCTTTGCCCCTTCAGTGGTAAGAGATCACTAGAACTGTACTCAACTGCTTAATTTATTTAACAAACATCACTAATTGTGAAGCACAAAGAGGTTAAGTAATTTATCTGAGGTCACACAAGAAGGCCTGTGGTGTCAAGATCTGAACCCAGAAATACGGCTCCCGAGTGCAAGCTCCAGCCTAATCCTAGGCTAGGCTAGGCTAGCTGCCTCCTCTCCTTAAGTAGGAGAGGAGAGATGTGCAGAAGAGACAACTCGGCACACCCCAGCACATCAGTCGTTCTTATCACAATTTATCAACAGGCTTTTTCCACATGCCAGTGAGTGAAGAAAAGAACCAGCAACTGGTTGCAGTGAGAATTTCTGTAATAAACATGCTTAAGCTATCTCTATTCCTCGCAGCTCCAGATCTCAGTTTCTGCATCATTAAAATTGTGTTAATTTAAGCTCCCTTAAGGAGCTGGTGAGAATGTTTGATGCAGTAACACTGGCAACTTTGCACCCAGGGCCTGGCATACACTGAGTACTAAATAAACGGCAATTCCTTCTCCACCTTTCTGAAGTCTTTTGTGAAGTTCCCATGAAAACCTCCCAGGTTAGGCACCTGAGTGTCTACAAGCAGGAGAAGAGCAAATCTGATGGGTTACAAGTAAAATTCTGGGAGCCCCCAGATGAGCTGGGTGGAGTCAGGCAACTTCCAATAGAGCAGTTTCCACCAAAACAAGGTAGAAAATCCATGGCCAAGATTTTTAAAATCTGCTTTTTGGGGAATTCAGGGACCTGAAAGTAACAACGGAGCTTCCTCCAGCATCTGTAAGGCAGACTAAAGAAAACAAGACATCCTCCCTCCCCACTCAACCAAAGCCAAGGTCTGTGCCTGGAGAAAAAGGTTATGAACTAGAAAGATAATGAAGGGCAAGGGAAACAGCCTAGTTATCCTTTAAACAAATACAAATTAGCCAAATAACATAAAACCACCTCGCTCACCTCCATTAAGCAGGACCTGTAAGTCACCATCACGCTCTATCTAATGTGCAGTATATGTGACTGTGTGCTTATGGCTAGTGTGGTATACAGAGGAATATTTACCCTTGGATGAATTCAACAATTCAAAGTCAGACATGAAAAAAAAATCAAAAATGATTTCTACCTTCTCTGCTAACTTCAGATTTTACCTTCTCTGCTAACTGGGATAAGAAGCTCTCCAACCGCACAGGTCTGGGAAGGGGAGAAAAAGAAGCCAAATCCCTGCTGTCTCCTCCCCATCTGGCCCCGCCCATCCAAGATCACAGCCATGGAAGCCACTACGGTAAGATGCCTCTTCTTCCACAGAAGCAACCACAGTAAGATGCCTCTTCTTTCTGGACCTGTGCAGATCCTAAGGGTCCCCTAAATTACCAGTCCCAGGGAACAAGGAATGGCAACCACTTGCTTCTCTAGCTTTAAACTATTCACGAGAGGAGTCTTCCTCCAAACACCCAGTGCAGGCCACTAGATCCGCAGGACTTTCAAAGATGGTCTGAGTCTTCAGTTCAGAAAGACAACAGGTAGCAAAGTGCTGAGCAGCCACCTCCCACTTCCCACTCTGCCTGGTCCTGCAGACCAGTAAAGGGAGTGGCTGCTTTGAGAGGGACTCCAGAAAAGCTCCCTGCCTTCCTGACTTCCTACATCCTGCTCATCCCCAGAAACAAGGTTCCCAGGTTTCAAGCCACACCCTCTCCCTGTCTGTCATGCTCTGCAATGGCAGGAACCAGGCCCCACATATCACCTAATCCCATGTCAGCTCTTGGTCTGTGCTTAAGTAGGAGAGGAGGACTTGCCTGGTAGAGCTGGACTGGGAGGGCTGGGCTGACAACACGGCAGACCTCTCCCAAATCACTACCACAGCCTCAGACTGCAGAATGAGGGCCTGAACCTCACACGCTTAAGCAAAACCAGAGCTGTCCACAACAGGTAACATTGCAAATAAGTAGTGTATGGTTAACATTAACTCATCCCACACAACTGGAACTCTGCAAAATAACCAAGGAAATAATCCTTAAAATAACCAAAGAGATTTGGTTCGATTCACGACAAGAGCTTAAAAAGACGAGCTCATTTTCACCTTGCCTCCCTTATACATCTATAGGAGAAAAGAATGATGATGTGCTATGAACAAGAATCTCTTTTCTTTCCAAAAACTCTTTGCTACAAAGTATGGTACTAGAACGGAAGTGGGGGGGGGACATTTTTGCTGATTTCTTAAAAGAAAATGAGTGTGATAAATACAGCTAATTTCTAAGAATTTATCATCAAAATTTTATATAAGCACAGCCTTTCTGCTTCACAATATTTATTAATACTCCAGCAAGCTTGTCCAACCCATGGCCCACAGGACACATGCAGCCCAGGAAGGCTTTGAATGTGGCCCAAAACAAATTTGTTAACTTTCTTAAAACATGGGTTTTTTTGGTGATTTTTTTAAGCTCATCAGTTATCATTAGTGTTAGTGTATTTTCTGTGTGGCCCAAGACAGCTCTTCTTCCAACACGGCCCAGGGAAGCCAAAAGATCAGACATCCCTGCCAGAGATTAAACTTACTTAGTATATCCTATTAAAAAATTCACCTGTGTTGCACTGAAACTTTTTCTCTGTATTCCAAATGGTATCAATTTGTCAGCACCAAGAAAGAAAATTCAAAACTCTATTTTGAGGACCTATAGCAGCTATATCAAATAAACTGAAAATTACTGTGTACTACCACAGACAAATATGAGCATATTAGAACTATTTTATCATTCCATCCAACACTAAATTAGAAGAAATAGGGACACCAGCTGAAGTACACCTTTGCTGGCTGCTGCGTGCTCTTTCTGTATTTCTGAGGAAGTATGGCACCAGGTGAACAGGGCAGCTCCCAGACATCTTTCAGAAACCAAAGCCTCTGTGGCCCTTTCTGTATACAGTTACTGCTAACCATGCACTGCACTGGAAGGTAATGTCAAAATAAAATTTAAAATCTGTTTGCATCCTCCTTCTGAGTACACGCATTCTTTCCATATTCATAAATTCAGCATCACCATCAATACTTAACATTCCCGGCACAGACACCACTTGCAAATTTCCCCATGCAGCCCCTCCAGGGCCCACTTCAGACTCATTTGAATTGGAATGAGTATTTCCAGGTGCTGTCACTAATGCCAAGACTTCAAGGATTTCCCATACCAGAGAATCTCTGTTTCCTAGATTATAGCACATATTCCACAGGAATCAAGTTTTCGTTGTTGATGTTTGTGTTTTACCAGAGCAGCAGCTATGTCCAAACTGGTCACGAACCTCCAGCCTTACCTCCTGCATCTGGCATGTGGCCAGGCAGCCGCTGTGTCTCACTCTTAACCCTCCAGATCCTAAATCTGGCCCCTCAGGTCCCAAATTTAGTGTAAAGCCCTGCTCGGCATGAAAAGAATTGGAACAACTCATTCACAACCTGGATCATTTTTCAGTCTTCCGAAGGAAGAGACAATTTTAGCAGATCTCAAATAAAAGAATAAATGTATTGGGCTCAATTCCCAGTAACTACACTGATCAATACATCAAATGAAAATCATTTCTTGTGTGAAAAAAGAAAAACAGCACATCTTATGTAATGTGATGATTTTATAAATAATTATGTTGGCATCAAAATCTGTAAGGCACTGATCCCCACTTTATAAAGGATGGGGTTAGGCAGACACAAGCCCCCGATGTTACTATAAACTAAAGCCAGTGTGTCAGACCTAAAACCCACTGAAAATTGATCCTGGCCCAAGCATGTGTATGCTGCAGAGGCCAGGGTGCCACACAGCAGCAGGGATCAATGCTCCATTGTGAATCGGGCTTAGCAGACTCCACAGGCTGCTGTGTGTTCCACAGCATGATCCCTGAAAGGATAAAAATCACTAATTCTGAACCAGGAGAGCAGGAGGTTTGCCCATTTTAAAGCCAAAGCTACCAACTGGCATTACAGAAAGGAAGTTGGAGGAACAGAAAGAATCAGCAGGCTTCAGACAAACAGATACTCCTGACAGCAAAGCAGAGAAGGAGAGAGAAATGGGAAGTCCATCACTCAGGATCTGCCCACCAGACTCTCCCCATGGAGCACATCTGGCCTCACATGGATCCTGCAGACCTCACCCCAGGTTAGGAAGAAGAGTCAAGGCCAAACAGGCAAAGCCCAGGTAGCTGTTAACAGGCAGGGGCCCTGCAAACGTTAGCTTAACATCCAAATCAAACATTTACCAGAAAGATTCAACACCAATCTCCCAAGACGGAGTTGCAAAGTAGTCTCACAGTTTTGCAATGAATCTCAACAAAACAAATTCTACAGTTAAAACTCCAATTACTTATTTACCATAAAGTTAACTGACAGCATGACCAAAGATTATTAAAATAATTCCAGGCCGGGCACGGTGGCTCACACCTGTAATCCCAGCACTTTGGGAGGCCAAGGCAGGCAGATCACGAGGCCAGGAGATCGAGACCATCCCAGCTAACATGGTGAAACCCCATCTCTACTAAAAATACAAAAAAATTAGCCAGGCGTGGTGGCGGGCACCTGTAGTCCCAGCTACTCAGGAGACTGAGGCAGGAGAATGGCGTGAACCCAGGAGGTGGAGCTTGTAGCGAGCCGAGATCACAACACTGCACTCCAGCCTGGGCGAGAGAGTGAGACTCCGCCTCAAATAATAATAATAATAATAATAATAATAATAATAATAATTCCAAATACATCGTTCTTAGATATTTTCATAATAACTCATATTTTCTCTTAATATTTTTAGTGTCAAGTATTGAAATATATATATTATATATATTTAAATTCACTGAAGCATTGTCAAGCTTTTTTTAAATGCCAACACTTTTATTTTTAAGGTTCCACGTTCACAGTGCAAGGAGAAATGGGACTAACTAAACAATAGTCCTATTTAACATTTCTATAAAGCTCTATAGTAAATAATATGCTTTAAAAAAAAAAGCATTGCCACAGTCTTGAAAACATGGGAAGACCCCAAGCCTACAAAAAATAAAATATTAGCCAGGCAAGATGGCATGTGCCTATAGTTGCAGCAACTAGGGAGGCTGAGGTGGGAGGATCCCTTTAGCCCAGGAGTTCAAAGTTACAGTGAGCTATGAAGACACCACTGCACTCCAGCATGGGCTACAGAGCAAGACCCTGTCTCAAAAAAAAAAAAAAAAATTGCCACAATCAAACTTCCCAGATAACCCAAATATCTAATGTTAAATTCAACTGAATCCAACCAAACCCAAAGCTTCTCACTGGTCTTCTTTTAATTTGTGCCTCCCTATTAATTCCTCCTTCACAGTCCTTTTACTGTGCTAGATGGAGTCAAGTTCATAGAAGTGGATAACTTGCCCAAGATCTTACCACCAACTTAGTGGTAGAAACAACTACACCAAGGTCCCCACCCAGCTCTGACTTGAGGTCACCTCCTGCAGTCCTGACCACTTTAAAGAGCACAGACTTTGAAGGAGACGGCCAATTCATTGCTGATTCTGTCACCGACTTGCTAAGCAGACCGTAGCAAGTTACTTAAGTGCTCCAGGTTTAAGTCCCCTCATCAGTAAAATGCAAATAATGGTGGCACCTTTCTCCCAGGCCAGTGTAAGCATTTGTGTGTGACAGTGCCTAGCATGCCTAGGGGCTCAAGGAACTATATACTGTTTCTGTAGTTATTATTATTCTCTCTCCCCTAAATATGAAAAATTCCTAGCACTAACCAGATTACCAAATTAAATGGCACAAGATTAATTTATGAAATGGGTACAATGCAACTGATGTATGAGAATGTAGATTACTGTTACCCGGGTGTAGCAGGTTGAATAATGAACACCCCAAGTCATCAAGTCTTAACTCCTGAAACTTGTAAAATGCTACCTTACTTGATAAAGCGGTCTTTTAAAATATGATCAATGATCCTACAATGTGGAGATAATCCTGGATTATTCAGGTAGACCCCAAATCCAATGACAAAGATCCTTAAAAGAGACACACAGAAGAGAATAAACCCAGAGGAGAAGGTGATGTGAAGACGGAGGCAGAGATTGGAGTGATGCAGCTATGAGCCAAGGCTCGCAACAGCCACCAGGAGCCAGGAGAGAGGCCCGGAACGGGGTGTCTCCAGAGCCTTAGGAAGGAGCGTAGCTGCTCACACCTTGACTCCAGACCTGGCCTCCAGAACTGTGAGAGAAGAAATTTCTGTGGTTGTAAGCTGGCAAGTTTGTGGTCATTTGTTACAGCAGCCCCAGGAAACTAATGCACCGGGGGAGAGTAGTGACTCATACAGCAAGAAATAAAAGGGGGCAGAGAAATATCCAGAGCTAGGACTGTCCTTCCTGCAGATATGCCAGTGGGGAGGAAAGCCTAACTGAAACTCAGACTTAAGATCCACGAAACTGTTCAGAAACCGCGGGCTAGAAAAACGGTAATTTGGATACAACAGCCAGTTTTCTGTCTCCTAAAAGGTGGACATTTGTTCCCCTGTAGGGTGGAGCAATCCTTCTGTCCTAGGAAAGCCACGCCACTGGGCCAGCCGCTTCTGCAGCCCCAATGCAGGATCTTGAACCAACAGAGGGGCTCCGGGGCTCGGTCACACAGGGGAGGTCAGCCTTTGGAGAATTGTTGTCTTCTCCAAGCATGAATTCAGGTTCTGTGTTTCTCAGGAGGTGAGCCTGTTCTCAGTCCAGCAGAGCTCCCTGCAGATGCAGGAGCAGTTTCCTCTGAAACCCTGACAGCACCTAGAGGCCCAGGTAGACACAAGTGCAGCAGAGGGGAACTGAGGGGCGCAGCGTCTTCCTCTAGGCACCTCTTGGGCCACAGCCTGGTGTGCATCAAGCAAGCTTACCGGTGCAGGCAGCAAGAGCACACAATGGCACAGCCAGCACCAGCAGGTTACTCCCTCCTGCAGCTAGTGAGGAAGCAGGGGAAGGGCAGGGCCTGGAGTGGAGAGACTGCTGAATGAGCAAGGGAACCAAGTCCTTCAGGGAGGGGAGCGGGTAGAGACAACGCACAAGGTGGTGATCACAAGGACATGGACTTTTGAGTTACTGAAGTCAACAGAATGTATTTGATAGCCACAGACTGATGAGGTCTGGTGACACTGAAGTCAGGAAATGCATTTGCAAGTAAAGTCAGTGCAATTCAGTCAACACTTGTGGGTTGGTGTGGGGAGCAAGTGGTGTGTTATGTGCTGGATTTGAAAGGGGAGACAAGATTGCTGCCTCCAGATTTCTGGCTGCGCAGAGCTCTGTAGGATGATCATGAAAAAGCCGATGTTAGAAATCACAATGATGGCAATGGCTGGCCTTCGAGGCATGCTAACTACTTGACAGTCACTGTTCTCAGCCCCGGATGTTTATTACCTCATTTGGTCCTCGCAACAGACTGTGAGGTAGTCACTATTCTCCCCGCTCTACACATGAGGCATCTCAGGCTCAGAAAGATAAAATAACTTACCCTTCAGCAAACAGCTAGACCAGGAGGAGCTAGGTTTCAAATCCAGATTGGTGGGCCCCAGAGTCCTGCTCCTAACCTCTGCAGTAAGTGTGAAAAGAAAGCAGGGTCAAGCATTATGAGAACAGCTAAGAGAGCAACTGACTTTACACCAAAGCAGGGTGCATTACAGGAGAAGGGTGCAATGGCAGTGACATGCAGATAGACGGTAAAAGGCATGTAGAAGATCCCAGGAGCAAGGTGGATGGATCCCACCCAGCACCTAAGCAAAAGAACTAGGGTGAAAGGTGAAGGTCAAGTGTGCTTCAAGAGTAGCAAATGCACAGTGCACAGTCCCCAGCTCGGGAGGGTGCCACAAGAAGGGAGGCCAAGAACAGCTCTCATCACAAACAGGCCTTTGCTTTCCCTCAAGAGGGCTTTCTATCACATGGGTGGCTTTTTTAAATGGCAGATTCTCCTGGGCCCTGTGTTAGCCTCTGGAATGAAAAATGTAGCAGGGTGCTACATTTGAATAAGCACCCCCAGATGATCCTGTGAACCCCAGGTTGCAGAAACTCTGCTGTGGCAACTGGGAGCATGCACAGACTTAAGCCACAGAAAGAAATGATGAGAGCTGTTGGGAGCTCTCACTGAAAGCAAGGAACTGAGTCAGGGGTTATAGCAAGGGACCCAGCAAAAGCTGGGATAGTGGAATTTCCATATAGTACTTTTAGTAAACTTACACTTGTAGAGACAAATTAAAGAATTATTTGAGACTATTTAGACCTGCATGAACTCTCATAGTGTAATCTGCATGCTAACTTTAGCGGTTCAGCTATGAATTACAAATTCAACCTGTCCAGGGGTAGTGAGCCATTTTTTATTTTAAGCTTGAAAATTGCCCCGTAGTAATTTTGAAATATTTTAACTCTATCTCAGAACATACATAAAACACAATGAGTTCACCTTATTTTCTAATAAAGACTTCAAAGTTCCTTTTCTTTTTTTTAACAATAACACTTACAAAACCTCAGTAGTGACTGAAGAATTACTTCTTCTCAACAACAGCTGAGTTAAATTCCTCTAATCTGGTTGAGGCCAAGAAATTCTAAACACTTGATTAAACTACTCATGCCACAGAAGGCCACAGTGTGTTTGGGAATGACGAAAATTAGAATGAACGAAAATATCTTTATTTAGTCTAAAATGTGATAATAATGCTTTAAGATTTGCTCAGCTCTTTAAGCATCCTTGCAAGAAATAGAGTTTATATCCTTTAGGAATGAGACTTTACTATTAAGTAACTGGGTATGAATCACCTTAAATTGGCTACCGCGCCAAGGGACACACAGTTGCTTGTTTATTCTGTTGCCTTAAAAAAAAAAAAAAAAAAGGAATTCAGAACTAAATTCTCAGGCCAAACAGCCAGTCAACAAAAAACAAACACTAAGATAACAGCAATGTTTAGCAGAAAAAAAAATCTAACATGAGGCAAAAGTTGAATAAGCAAAAAACATGTCTTCCAAGAAAGTGCTGACATCAACAATACTATTAATACAGCAAAGCTGAACTATGGTTAGAAACCCTGTTATAAAAGGATACCCAGACTTGCACTATTTTAAAAATAATGTTACTTGGTTCTAGAAATTTCTGAGTACCTAATTTCTGTCCCTGCATCCCAAAGAACTGAGCATAGAACTAAGCCTGCAGTAGATGATCAATAAACACACGTAGACGTGCTCAGTAGAGTTTAATGAATACCAAACATGTTTGTCTTAACCTCAGAATTATGCTTTGCTTTCATTCCTATGAAAGTTTGTATAACTAGAAACACAATCACAAGCACTTAAGTCAGATTTCAGTTTCATAAACATAGGATCATAATTTTGAGCCACACTGTTTACGAGAAGATATTACTTAGCTATTGGCAATAAACATTTTGAGTTTTAGGAAACCAAAGATTTCCTGGGTAATTCTGAGCTCTGGAATAAGAAATACTGACCAATATATATTTGGATTAAGATAAAAAGAATTTTACTTTGTTGTAGTTTTAAATACATAGCTTTTTAAATTGGCCTTGGTTTCATTCACAAATATGATCTAAATTTATACCTAAACCCCACTAATTTCAAGAGGACTGTCTATATTAACAATTTTTTTTAAAGGCAAAATATCCCATTTTTTAAATGCATTGTTTCAGGCCTGGAACGCTGCACTATTGATTAATGCTAATATGAGTTATTTATAAATGGCCTGACAGATGACCCTGAATTGTCCATATCTGGATAGTTTTAGGGAGTAAGCTTTTCACCTATCCACTACATGTGTATTCTCTTTGCAAATTTGTACTCTCTTTCAAATAGTGTGGTTTCTGAAATCTTTACAGGAAATCTAATGCTTACGTAATTAAAACTAACACTTTACATAAAATCTGTAATGCAGGCTATTAATGGATATGCGAGCTATGTATCCAGACCCACTGGACATTCCATAATCCACTTCATGATTCCTGCCTACCCAGCTTAGTGTAGATGAGTGCAATACATGAATGGAGAAGCAGGGACGGAAACTTTATTAGCAAAAAGTGACTTTTTAAGAAAACTGCAGCTGACCTCAGGTTGTGGCAGTGACTACCTATCTGTGTCTAATTTCATCCTGCTCACACCTTCCCACTAAAATACATAATTAAATTCCCATGCCAAAGAGAGTAACAAAACTGACTCTAGTAAGTCAAGAATCTGTCCACTTGGGGGAAAATTACCTCCCATGACAATATTGATCCGAAAGGTAAAGAAACGATTAGCATCCAAGTCTGAGACCCAGCAAAGGGACCAGAAGAGAACACAGAGAGAACAGCATTCTCTCACCAGCCCCACTTCACACCTCAAGGCCTCTGGAGGTCTTCCATGAACCAAGGCTTCTACTGCTGCTCATAAAAGTAGTCAATCATTCCCCCTTTACCACACATGTGCACACAGTTAAGTTTCTCTATGGTACAAAAACGCTATGAATTAAAAGATAAACGAAGGCTGGCACAGTGGCTCAACAATCCCAGCACTTTAGAAGGACAAGGAGGGTGGATCACTTGAGGTCAGGAGTTCAATTCCAGCCTAGCCAACGTGGCAAAACCTAGTCTCTACTAAAAAATACAAACATTTTCCGGGTATGGTAGCATGTGCCTGTAATTCTAGCTACCGGGGAGGCTGAAGCACGAGAATCGCTTGAGCCTGGGAGGCGGAGGTTGCAGTGAGCCGAAATTGTGCCAATGCACTCCAGCCTGGGTGACAGAGAAACTGTCTGAAAAAAAAGAAAATAAAGGAAAAAAAAAAGATAAATGAAGAAAGTAAGGGAAAATACTTTGAAGAGAAGGAAAGGAGTGAGTGGCATTTCTACAAAGAGTTTTAACAAACAAATCAGATAATGACTCCAGTAGGAAAAAAGCAAAGGAAAAGGCAATAAACATACAGCAGTCCCCCCTTGTACCCCAAAAATAGGTTCCAAGACCTATTTGGTGGATCCCTGACACTGCAGACAGTACCAAACCCTATATATACCATGTTTTTTCCTATATGCACATACCTATGATGAAGTTTATAAATTAGGCGCAGTAAAAGATTAACAACTAATAATAAAATGGAACAATTACAACAATATACTGTAATAAAAGTATGTGGATGTGGTCTCTCTCCAAATACCTTACTGTACTGTACTCACCCTGCATCTTGTGATGATGTGAGATGATGAAATGCCCATGGGATAAGATGAAGTCAGGTGAAAGACAAGGCATTGTGACATAAATGGAAAATTCCAGAAGTAAACGATTCATAAGTTGTAAAGTGCTCACTGTTCTGAGTAGCGTGATGAAATCTCACTCAGTCCCACCCAGGACATGACTCCTCCCTATGTCCAGAGGATCCACACTGTCTACACTCCCTGCCCAGTGGTCACTTAGTAGCTGACTCCGTTCTCTGGTCAACTGTCACCGTATGACAGTGCCTGTGCTCAAGTCACTCACATATTTCACTTCATAAGGGCCCCAAAGCACAAGGGTGGAGATGTAGTAGCTTCAGACTGGGGTTGATTGTGGGTAACTGAAACCTCAGAAAGCACAACTGCAGATAAGGGGGTACTACCATACACAAATGCCTAAAACACCTTACCAATACTTTTTCGATCTTTTTCCAAGAAAACCATCTTTTGTCAAACAAGTGGGAAAAGATTCAAATGATTCAGGTGCATCTTTCAGAGGTGTGGATATAAATGGGTACAATGTTTCTGGAAGGCAGTTTGGCAGAGATCCACTAATATATCTAGGGTGATTTGTTCTACGTAAATAATCAGACAGGCAAGCCTCAAATGGCTTCAGCTGTGCACAAATTCAAATATTCTCAGATGAACAGCAAAGATGCAAAAATTACACAAGAAATAGTCTTAATAATATCACTATGAAGATCATCATCTATTGCTGATAGTAAACATGTTAAAATGCAGATAGAGTAACATTACTATTGAAGTCTGTGCCACGACTTTCTGCTTTTAATGTAGCCACCTGAGACTTCACTGTAGACTAAAATGCATTTGACATGCTGGGCCTCCCTTACAATGCTAAGTCTCCTAGGATGACATTATCATAGAGCAATGTTACCAAACAACCTTCATCTCATTATTGTCCCCCTAAAAGGCTCAACATTAACTATGCCAGAACAAAATCACTGTTTGACAGACATTCCCCAACACTTACATAGCTAATAAAAAAGCCATTCCATCCTCAGGTCAATCTGCCTCATTACCTAGAGGCGCATTTTGCAGCCAATTCCTCCTCAGAGGCACATCAGGAAAGCATCAATGTTGCTTAGATTCTGATACTTCATGGGCACCTTCCTAAAGTTCTCCTATAGTCATAATGGCTCCCCACACAATACCTGTTCCAAAATACTCCAGGCATGCTTCTCATGCTGGCTTCAAGGTAAATGGAAATTAAAATAGTCCAGCAAAAGCCATCCCTGCCTTCATCAACAGCAGCAGCTCTAGGATCACAACCAAGACCTTTCTGGGCCTTAAGAGAATGGCTTGTCTTCTGTCAACATCAGGCCTAGCAAGTCACTGAAGGAGCTATTCAACGAGTGGCACATTGGCTGCCAAGGTGATTCTACAACACCCTTAGCCAGAAAGACCCCAGAACTCCAAGACACTTCAAGAGTACTACTGTTGTCCCCACTGTCAAAACTCAGTCCCGAGAAGTGGGCTTTGAGGATGATCATTTAAAAGAAGCTATTTTTTACCTTGTGAGGTAGGCTGATTTGTTTCTAAATCAAATCAGTTATACATCATCTTTGCCTCCCATAGAACTACCTTCACTCAATTGTTTTCAAGTTATTCCTTTAATTTGGAGACCAGATTTTTAAAAAGCACACATTATTCTGCCATATTGACAAGAAAATTGTTAATGAGAAGAGCATCACCCATTCTGTTGTCCAACTTTCTGACATAAAACCCTGGGTGGAAACCTCAGAGTAGCAACAAGGAAAATGGTTTCTCTCTGAGACAAAGGCTTTCTGCATTTCCTTCTGCAGGACAGCAGGCGAGCTTAAAACCAACATCTAATGAGCGATATACACACCTTACTTTTTCACCCTGATGTGAGTAATTTTCTTATCCTTCTTTTTTTTGTTTGTTTGGTTTTTTTTTTCGTTTTTGAGACAGAGTCTCGTTCTGTCGCCTGGGCTAGAGTGCAATGGCACAATCTCGGCTCAATGCAACCTCTGCCTCCAGGGCTCAAGCGATTCTCCCACCTCAGCCTCCCCAGTAGCTAGGATTACAGGCACCTGCCATCATGCCCAGCTAATTTTTATATTTTTGTAGAGACAGGGTTTCACCATGTTGGCCAGGCTGGTCTTGAACTCCTGACTTCAGGTGATCCACCCAAAGTGCTAGGAGTACAGGCATGAGCCACCACGCCTGGACAATTTTCTTTTCTTTTTATGACCCACTTCAAATAATTTAAATGGAACTGACTTTACTATTTTGTCTATAAATTTGAATTTGTTACTTTTTCCAATAAAAAATGTGTACTGCTTCCTTAACATCAACAGAAACTTGACTGGGAAAGAACGGAGAGGGTCGTATAGAGTGACAAAGCTACTTAATTCTACCCCTCAAGGAGCTCTCTAATCCATTTAGAGAAAATAATATTACATCGGACCTAAGAAGTTCTGGGTTCAAATCCCAGCTCTACCATTTACCTTCCATGAAACCTCAGATAAGCCATGTAGGTTTTCTAAGTCTTGGTCTCCACATTTGTAAACTGTGGGTGTCTGGTCTTCTTCACCAAGCTGTTGAGATTTACAATGTGCAGGGTAGGCAAAGGCAAGCTGAAATCTGTAAAGCATTATATCTGAGTAAGCTCTTTATGTCATTAATCCAGAGGTTCAAGGTTAAAGGCTTGCAAAGTAAAATTCCTGCAATGCCCATTTCCTCAAGCAGGGAACCAGCAGGTAGAAAGTGGACGTAAGTGATTGCTAATGCATTAATGACTGACATGTGGCAGTGACAATAAGATGCACAGATGCAATTTGACATTAATGGAGAGATTTGCCTGTGGTCATGTACATGGGGGAAGCTCCACCGCTTCTTGCCTTTAACTTGGGTATGAAATCAAATGTCAGCCAAGATTAATTAGAAGCCTGGAGTTTCATTCTACTCTGTTGATAGAAAAAGTACATTTCCATAATGTGAGGAAGCATTTATGTGGGATGCAAATCTGGCTGACATTGAGGGAAGGGCTGCTTTATTGTGAATGCTGCCTGTGTGGTGCTTATCAGGGCAATTACTTTCCGCTCAAGTGGCTTGCTTTTTAACATTTTATTATCTTAACGACAAAAAACCCTGGAAGCAATAATTATTTATTATGTTAATTCTTTAGCTTTCTTCCTGAAATTTCGGTAAGACCATTAAAAACTAGCTGTGCCCTTGAAACAAACCATGAGTTTATTAATACTCAACCAATTAAGGGGGAAAAAGCAAAGTAAGAGATGCTCCACACCAGCAATTATTAACTAAGCAGTTTGCACACTTTCCTTGCCACTGATTTTATTGTAGAAAATATCCTATATATTTAACTGACTGAAATGTGTTTCAATTGTTACAAGGACTCAGAAAATCTGAAAGGAACAGAAGAAACCTGCCACCATGTCTAGGAATTTTTCTAATCCAGGTTGTAATAGAAGCCATTTTCCTTTTCACCTCTCACAGATATGGACAGAACCTCCGAGTCTCCCTTCAGCCCGCTGTGGAAGGCCTCCAAGGCAAAGGGCTATGTTCTGTCTCGGTTCAGCAACACTTCCCCAGCTCACACACTTGAATGTGCACACACACACCTGCCTTTGTATTTATCAATCAAACCCTGGGAATGTTGCTCTTTCTTGACAACTTTCTCTATCAACATCACCCCTTTTTTATAGCACACACTCCAATTTTTACCCTCCCAATTCTAGGACCCTGCTGACTATAAAGATTACATGGACCTCATAATAGCCCCTGGGCAAGGGAAGAGTTAACTGAGGAGCCTCTTCCTCTTATGTTTCTGAGATAGCACCAGGCAGCTCTGTACCACATAACTGGGGGTAGCGTCAGGAGACAGGAGTGATTTTCCCCCTGCAGGTGGGCAGAGGCCTGACAGCTCTGCTTAGGACCAGGCAAGTCCTGAGAGAGTGGCAGAGGGCAAGAAAGCATTTGATGACACCCTTGGGGCATCCCCATGGCTCTCCTGACCTGTTGAGTGGAATATATGATGAGTTACAGCTCCCAAAGCACTGAAAAGGCAAAATTGCCTACTCTTCTCTTTACATTTTGTTCTATTTGCCCTATTTTTACTCTCCTAGCTCCCATGTCGCCTGTAGAAACATGGATTATGTAAAACCTCAAAAACCATTTCGTGTCTTTATTTTTCTATTTTTTCAGGTGGCTCTTAAAAACCTCTGGTACCATCCAATTTAAAACAAGTCTGACTGCTTATGGGTTTGACTTGGTTTTCATCCTTAACAGAACTACAGTATCTCTTACTTCAAAAATGCTAAAATATGTAATGCAATAAATAATTTAAATCAAACAACGGGTCACTAAAATTTTTACTGGGAGTTCCATTACTGTTGTGATAATGCTGGGAAATAAACTTCAAAGTTTTCTGGGAACAGAATTATCAGCAGGCAGGAATAAGCAACGGGACACATAGGGAGAGCCCCCTGAGGTTGGTATTAATCTCTCATCATGCATTCTCCCCTTCCCCACTTCTCAATTGCACAGCCAGCATCTTCAGGTGCTGAATTCACCTCCCTTACATGCAGAAGGCAGCTGTCAATCACGGTTCATAAAAGTCAGTATATTTCAGACTATTTATTATCTTTCGTTTTCAAAATAAACACGGTTCAATTATATTTCCTGAAATTGTTTCCCTCTCTTTAAGCACAGAATACCTGTAGCCTGGTGTCTAAATATAAACACAAGCAACTAGAATTAAAAACCTAGCACTCTGGAGATTTTCGTTAATTCTTTATGTTAATTATCATTTATTTTCCCTCAAATAAAAGTAAAAAGAATAAGTTGGCTTGCATATTCTCTCTCTTTAATGGCATTTAAACATACAGCACAGAAGCTGTTGTATGTGCTTTAGAATACTTCTGAACTTGTAGTGGTGGGGTTTCCAGTCTGTTGTTTTATTTTGGGGAGTAGGGGACTTAGGGATATCAATTAGTGGCCCAGACTCACTTGTTAGCCTGGCTCTCCCCACTCCCTCCCTCTGACCACTGGCAAGCTGCTTCTCCAAGCTCTCTGATCTAATCCTGCACAAATGCTTAATAAGGTTGTAGAGATTTAATACAATTAGGAGTGTTGCTCACAAATTAACCAATCCATTAACACTTCAGCAAAGAAACAATTCCAGAGGAAAAGACAGCCAAATGAGGATTAGAAGACAACTAGCTAAGGATACAATCTGTTTTAAAAAACACACGGGGATGCATTTTCACACCTACATTTTGTATGTTTTGTGTTTTACACATAGAAAGCAAAGAAAAATGGAGATAAGTTTTGTCATCTGGAAATCTTCCTCTTTCACTTTTTGGTTTCTAGAAGCAGGAAATGAGAGTCACTCTTTGCCAGCCAGTTCATACATACTCACAAAATCATCACAGTTCCTTCTTTACTGAGTTAAACACTCATGGATTCAAAATTCACATAATAGCTATTTTAAGTAACTTTCTCTCATCATAAGATGGATACATAAACATGTTCAAGAAAGCCTGGTAGATCCAGAAAAACTGAAAGTAAAATACCAATAAATCCACTATCTATAATTAACTGTGGTTAATATTTTAGCTTGTATTCCATACATTTCCAAAGATTTTTCAATAAACATGTTAAATAATTAAGTAGTACCAGCATAATCCTACACAAATGATTTTGTCACTAGTTTTTGTCCCACATCACTATCTTGTGATTATCTCACACCCTTAAATATTCTTGTCATCATTCTTAGTGGCTATATGGCATTCTATTACATGAATATACCAGGATTTAATCCACTCTCTATTGTCGGATATTTAGGTTGTTCCCAATTTTTTTACTTCTCCAAATAATGCCTTAATGAATACGCCTTCAGGGATTCTTTGTATATATCCACTCTTATTTCCTCAGGAGACATTTATCATATTTGGAAAAAGTTCCACTATTTTCTTTAGGTATCCAAGTGACCATCTTTCCACCCTCCAGGTGTGCACACTCTGGAGACCTCTGTTTTGGATGACCCATCACCCTGGGAACAGCCACTGATCAATGAATTGACCTCAGATAATCCCCCACACCTTACTATCTTCTTCAGTCCCGTTCAAAGCTTATTATAAATATCCTTATATACAAAGATTAAGATGCCAGTGTTATATTTCCTGAAGAAAAATTAAGGAGAAACTTGACTTAATATTAGCAAAAGGGATAAGCATCCATTCCCTGTGCTTCGTCATTTTCTTCGGTAGTGCGTTACAAAAGCTTTGCCACCACTCTGTAGAACTCACTCAGGGGAAACCCATGCTCTCGCTTCTGCTAGGGCCTGAACCAACAATTTAACCATTGTTTCCAGATCCATGTAATAAGATAACAACACCCACCTGCTTCCCATTAGAGACAAGTTGGAAAGACCACCCAAGTGTAAAGGTGAATGTCACATAATAAGTGGCTTGATGACATGCAGCACGTGTTAAGCATCTCTACAGCTCTATCTGCTTCTTGTTCTCTCAAAGTTCTGCTTCCTGGAATAAGGTGCGAATTCAGCTGGAAACTACCCACTGTCCAAAACATTTACTTACAGCATGGGAAACTAATGGTTTTGCAAGATTCTTTCAGGTTAAATGAGGAGTATATGCCTTTGTTTAGTGTTCATTTAATTATTAATGACTAATAAAGTCTTAATATCTACATTATATTATGTCAGAATTACTTGTTTTGATTTCAGGAGCAGAGAGACATACAGTATTTGCCAAAGTCACAGACTAAGACCAGAATTGAGTTACTATATTGTAAACCAGAATTCACCAGCTTGATTTCTGCCTCTTGGCCAGGGTGGTGGGGGGGAGTTGCAGGGGAGGATGTCACACTTTCAAGTGTTCAGGTCTCTATCTAGAAAGATTAAAGTTGGGCCATAGGGCCCAGCTCCAGCATTCCTACCATGAGTATGAGAGTCCCAGCAGAGCCACACTCCGTGGCTATGGAAACTCAGGGGTACAGAACACCGACAGGCCAAAGGGCACCCGTTTCTGTGCTAGGATCAGGTAGATTCTCCTTTCCCATTTGCTGTTTCTCAACAGACCTCATAGCTGCCAAAAGAAAGCCATACCCCTCACCTGTAAACACTCCCATGCAGCCACCAAAGGAACCACATGACCTGCTGCTTTCAAGGAAGCTTTCAAACAACAGACATTCGCTGGAGGGCTTCTTGTCTTTCACTGTCAAATCCATATTTCATTTAAGAGTAAAACAATGGGATGGATGGAGCAGCTCACACCTGTAATCCCCATACTTTGGGAGGCTGAGTCTGGAAGATCACTGGAGTCCAGGAGCTCAAGACCAGCCTGGAGAACACAGTGAAATACCATCTCTCCAAAATTTAAAAATCAGCCAAGCATGGTGGTATGCACCTGTGGTCCCACCTACTCAAGAGGCTGAGGCAGGAGGATCACTGGAGCCCAGTAGGTTGAGGTTGCAGTGAGTCCTGATCCCACCATTGCACTCCAGCCTAGGCAACAGAGCAAAAGTAAAGCAATGTACTAGAGATTGAGGGTTTTCCTCCCTGTGAGGTGTTATAAAATTAGATATACAATTTAACAACCACACATCTTCCTTCAAGTGACCACGGTTAAAGGATACATTTCAGAGCAGAAGAACTGGTGACATTAAGGCAAAGATGACACTGGTAAATATTAAACACAAAAAATTACTTCTGGTGTTTCCAAATATAATCATTAACAATTTGTTTTTGTGAGCATTTATGATCACACTCAAACATCACATTAGCTGTCAAGAAAAGAATCTTCAAACAACCAAAAGTGTGAAGATTCCTGACACTGATTCTTTTAAGTATAATTGCAATGCTTTCCAAATTTTTCTAATTATACAATAAAAACTCACAAAAATGAGATTTAGTTAGATTCGGTGTGCATTATAAAGTAAGATCATTAAAATCTATTTTATCAAATATTTATGTAGTGATTTTTCCAATGATAGTCAATCCTCATAAGTTAGTATTTTCTACCTCTTAACAAAAATATGCTAGCTGCTATAACAATTTATTTTTAGTAGCACATACCTCCATTTGATTAAATATGTAAGAATTAAATACAAAGTTGGACCCTGAAGTCTTTGGAAATTAATGTAGTTATTTCTGAAAGTATATATATAATTACTGTTTAATTATTCTCAGAAGTCAAATGCCGGAGTTCAGTATAAACAGTCATACACATTTACCAGAAAAATAGCATGTTTTTAATCAGAATCCTCACTTTATAATAGCTCATAATTTTAGGTGTCCATTATATGGCATTCCTATAGACTAATAAGAAACAAAGTAGATTCATTATGGTTTTATAACTTATTACAAAATATGATTAATTCTATTAAATCTACAGTGCTTCAAAATTGACTAAACTGCTTTTAGTAATCTGTCATATCATTTCTTTTTACCATTTAAAAATTTTTTCCTCAAAATGCAAATTAAAACTTACTTGAAATTAAAAACTATGTTAGACTTTATCTGATAGAAAGCACGTCTGATTTTACCGACAGCTTGATGAGAACTGCTTTGCGATGGAATCATATATTGTTCACTTATTGATTAGCCTAAATCTTCACCTCTAAGGTTTAACTATACATATGTGGGTTTGGGTGTGTATTTATTTATATAAATATATTTAAAACATGTATTGGCTAAAGTATATTGAAACTAATATTATTTTTGTTTTCCCAATGACTTCTTCATATTTCTGGGTTAAACAAGATGCTTTTAAGTTAAAAAACAACAGGTGAAATTAACAGTCATTGAGGAAATCTTTGCAAAGCCTCTTGGTCTACTTCCCAGCAAATGAGAGGGTGCATAACTGGGCAACAAATCCTTTTGAGACTACTTGGTTTCCCAATTTTTGCTTTCAACAATTTTGAGAATGAGCTTAATCAAACTGTCAGCTAACAGGTCATTAAAAATAATTACTGATACTAGATAATGATGTGAATCTTGGCATGAAACTTGAAAAAGAAATTCAAAGAAGTGGCTAATCCTATCCATCTATTTATATGAACAAAGATTCTCAGTACCTATTTATAAAAATGAAAAATGGAAATAGAATTGATGTTTAACCCAGTTTAACTCAACCAGTAAGTAATATCTACCCACAGATAAATGAACTATTTCATCGAAAGCCCAGTTGATTTCTGAAACAATTCTTCCAATAAATTTTAACAATGATTCGATTACATACTAGTGATAATTCAACTACATAAAAATCTAACACTTAAAGGTTTATACTCCTATAAAATTAAATATAGAATTAAAATTTCAACTTTTTACATATTTTTGTTACAGAGAAGCCTGATAAGTAATCACAGACTTTCAAGCACAAATGTGTTATAATAGGATATGATTCTATAGGGAAAGAAAATGGGAGTACCAGTTTAAGGAGAAAAATTAAAGAGGTAAAGTTTCTCTCAATTAAATAAAAGTTTGTTCATATATTTTTAAATGGACAATGGAGGGTATCGAATCCCTTTGGTACTTGGGTCTTTACAATGGATACCTTTAAAAGATGTTTGTACAAGTTGTATTTTAAAATGTCAATATTTACCATAGGGCATACGTTCTCTCCTTCTCAACTGTATGTTTATGTCATGCAAATTTCAGATGTGAACTTATCAATGTGCAAGGAATGCCTAGTATTTAAAAATTCTGTTTTTAAATGTTTATAGTGCTTTGAGTTGCTGTTTTATTAAACATTCTTTTATTGAATATACAGGCTTTTAAGTCAGATGCCAATGCCCCACAGACCTTGGAACTGAGCAGTATCAGCTCCCTGCTCAGAAAGCCATTTCACTGGCAAGGTTTCATCACGCAGTATCTAGCCCTGGTTTTGCTCCCAACCCTAACAGTTTGGCTGGTTTATATTATAATATAATCTCCAAAATAAGCAAACCTATCTGTTGACTTTGTTCTAAAAGTCACCCCCCAAACTAAAGATATCAACCTGATTAAGTGCCTAAGGACTGATGTTCTTTCCCCCAGGTCCTTAGTCCTGCCACCTCATTGCCAGTGCACTTACAATACCTGAACCATTCATCCACCCGTAGTGGACTCCTGACTAACCAACCAACAGAGAAGCATACAAAAAGATCCCGGATATTGAAACAGAAGCAGGTTAAGCCCACGATGTATGCAGCGTGATTGTAAGCCTGTCTGATGTAGACAAAGAACTACAAACTGTAGGTTAGTGGCTGAAAGGATCAAGCTGATAATGTTCAAATCTCAGCTCTACCCTTACAATTTGCCTGATCTTGGCCACTTTGCTTCAGTTGATTTCCAGGCCTGTAAACTGAGGGTAATTTAGGTTGTTATGAGTATTAAATCAGATAATACATAATTAAAAAGCGCTTAAGACAATGCCTAGAAATTTTAAGTATTCTATGAGTATCAGCTGTTCTTTTGTGGTGTTATTACACATTTACACACAAGAACTTCAGTGCTGATTAGATATAAAGTAGATAAGGCACCACCCAGTGCCTCACCAGGCATGGTACTGGTTATGCTTTCACTTACCAATTCACTCTATGTGAATGAACACTCTGTCCTGTCCACATCTGCAGAGGAGAAATACGATGACAAGCGGCCTGGCCACTGACAATGCCACTACAAGAGGAGTGGCCATGGTTAAGTGGGATACAGATACCTGTTTGGTTTACCACTTCCTTTCAAAACCCATCTATCACATGAGAGGGAGATAGATGAGGGAAAAGAAGAAGAGGAAAAAAAAAGAGAGAAAGCCTTGGACCTTGATATCAGGCATGGGAATAGAACAGTAGCCAATATTTTGAGTCATGAATCTTCCCCAATACTCAACACTTTTCCAACCTCTGGCCAAATTCCAATCCCGCACAAATCCATCCCTTAAATACAGCACCAAATATGATCTGCATGGGACAGAAGGGAAGACTGCCAAGCCACCAAGTTCAAAAACAAAAACTATTCAAACTTCGTTCCTCTCTGCAATTTCCAATCCTCTCTGCAATTTCCCAGATGTTCTCCTTTCTGCATCTACTCTAAGATAACCACAGCCTTCGAAAACTCACTTGCTTAGAAGACATCCCGTTTTAAGAGAAAAAAAAATTAAAAACCATTTCAAAAGACTATGTAAAAGTTTATTCTCTCCCTTCCCTCTGCATCAACCTGAATAGTGCCTAAAGGCCTCATGGGCAGCTCCCGTGTCTATTGTCTAACTGCAAACCTCCTAGTTACCTAGGTGACCACAGGAGAGCTTTCCCTGCAGTTTTCCCACGGATCTTTCCTCCTGCACACTTGGCCTCAAGCTCCCTTGCCAAGGCCAGCCTGGGGAAGGAGCAACCTCCTCTCTCCCTCCCTAATTTCCACGCTGTCTATGTCAGTTGAGAAATAGAGGGCTCGACTTGCTTGGATATCCCTTCAGTTTTCCTGTGAGCTCCTTAACGACAAACCCTCATCTTGGAAACCTTTATATCTTCAATGCTCAGCACAGGCCTGGCTCCCAGGGCCTCAGCACAGGACTTATAAATGGGTACTCACCCACAGAAGGCACAGATACCTCGTCCAGCAGGGGGATATTATTCTACCTCATTTCACTCTCAGTGCTAGGTAAGCATTGTATTTGGAAAAGAATATGCCTTGCAAACAACTCTTGAATATTCTTCCAGCCATGGAGGACTTCTCACCACTGTGTTTAGTTTCCGTTTATAGAACTGAGGCATGAGAGAATAATCTTGGGGTGGGGGTACCCAGAATCTAATAAACAATATGTATTCAGAAAGCATCCCAAGAGAAAAAAAAAAATGCCAACACAATCACAATTTCTCACTGATCTTCGTCTTTATTTTAGGTAGCCAAAAAGTATTATTAGAGTATCAATTTTACTTTTCTGGGCCTTGAGTTACCATGAAGAGATTTGACCCAAATCACATGCTACATGGCAGCAGAACCAGACATCAGAGCTCAGATCTCCTAAAGCCCAGTCCTGAGGTCTTTCTCATCCCTAACAATCGACGACAAACACCTCATTTTATCTCTATCTGCCCAGGAATCTTTCCAAAATCAGTACTTACTTACAAACTTGCATCTGTTGACAATGACCATTACTTCATAAATAATTTTGATAAAATGTCTGAATTCATAATTGCATAATTTTTTAAAGTCACTCTGAAAAATGCTAATATTCTCGATACTCACTTATTCTACTTTTGTTAATGCAGTTTATTTTGATGTAATTCTCCCTAATGACACTGCAAGAATGTTATTTAAATAAGCAAAGTACATAACCACTGTAGAGTACTATATACCAAACAGTTCTTTCCCATTGCGGATAAAGTAAGAATTTACTCACTAGATTATTTTAAATCCTTCAAATACAGATCTACATGTTTTCTTTACTTTGTCAAGCCTCAAAAGGCAATGAAATTTGTTCTAAAGAAGGTGATTAACATCAGTCTCCTAGGGCCTCCCACCTCCACTTGAAGTCAAAGGTCTTAAATTATTGCTTACCTTACTGGCATTTTCTCCCTAAGACCACTCAGGCATACAGACTAGAGATTTACAAAGGATTTTGCACCTTTCACGTTAAACAGATATTCGGATGGAAAACACAAGAAATTACAAAAACACAGTTCTATCTACGGGATTTGTAACCAGAGAAAAGACAACATTCTGCCCTCCTCTGCTCATGAAAAATATAAGTAATTCTCTAACCAATTAATTTCAGTCAAGTCACTAAGAAGCTAAGTATTTTTCCTTTTAATTTACTATTTCAGAGGGCTGTAAAATAGCAGTAAGTACACTGCACTTCTGGGCTGTGCCAATCTTACAATTGTTTTAACATCAAAATGAGAAACTGTACCAAATTCTTAAGCCATACTTGAAAATTATAACATGCGCTTTGGACCCAACAGACAGGGACAAGAAAACAGGCTTTGGGCCCAGGGAAATGAGCACTTTTGGATCTAAAATCAGCTGTAGCCACTGTCCATGGGACATCCTGAAATGTGTTGAGGCCTCAGTTCCATAAACCCTAAAATACCAGTGCTGTCATCTTCACCTAATAGGATCACATTGGAGAAGTATATAAATGATATGTAAAGGACCTAGCACCTAGGTGGCATGCAATTGTCACATTTCCTTTTTCCTTATTTCTAGGAAACCAGGAGAAATGGTAGCAAATTTATGAATCAAGATCACAAATGGAAGAAAAACTGGGGCTGAGGAAAACCATACCCTTTGGGGTTTGTAGACATAAAGGAAAAATACAAGGCAAGGTTATTGCTCAAGGCTATTCTGTAGTCATAGGGCTCCAACAATAACAGCAGCTATTCTGGACTGGGCACTGTGTTTTACACAGGATGACCAAGGAAGTAGAATTCATACCCTTTTCACAGATGAAGGACTAGAGAAGCTATGTGATTCTCACAGTGAGGAAATAGCACAGCCACCTTGAGAACTCAAGTTTAATGAGGCTATTATAACCTTCAGAACTCACCCAGGGACACAGGGATTGAAAAAAATTCATATTATTTGATCTCTGAAGTAAACCCATGAATGAGAATGCCACCGATTGACCCTATTTGCAGATAAGGAAGTGAGTTCACCGAAGTTAACAACTTCACCCTTCAGATGACAGTAAGCAGCAGTGCTGGCCCTTGAACGCAGTTCTTCCAACCCTAAACTTTTCTTTTTCCCATGCTGCCCATGATTTCCCAACTGTTCTGAGAAGCTGAGGCATTTAGGTCATATGTGCTGGTCCTAGCAGACCCCTCTGTAAGTCCCAATTTCCCACCTCTTTTTGTATCCGTACTCTTTACCATGTGACCCTGCAGCCTCACATACCAAGGAGTGAGGACTATTTCCCCACCCTTGATTCTAGGCTGGCCTTGTAACTGGCTTTGGCCAGGAGAAGAGGTGGAAGTGACAACGTACTCTTCCCAAGCATTAGCCCAGAAGTCTTGGTTCACTTCTGCTCTCTCTTTGGAATGAGAGATCACATGTACGAGAGTCCAACTGTCCCAGCTGAGGACATCCTAGACCAGCCTACAGAAGGACAGCAGCAAAATTTCAAGAAAGCTCAGCCAAGATCACCGAGGAGAGACACATATACACAAAGTATACCGAGCCCAACTTAGGTCAGCAGAGGCACCCATAGAACATGAAGAATAGTAAATGGTGGTTGTTTTAGGTCACTAAGTTTTAGTAAATGGTGGTTGTTTTAGGTCACTAAGTTTTGAGGTGCTTTGTTACACAGCAATAGCTAACCAATATACCTTGTTTGCCAATTTGGATAGCCTTTTTAAAAATATGTTCACATAAAACTTTATTTAACCAAAAGATTTGTACACATTTCTACCTATGTAAAATTTGCTTAGCCAAAAGATTTTGATGCTTTAAAAAAATAAATTTTATGCCAGGTGGGGTGTCCCATGCCTGTAACCCCAACACTTTGGGAGGCTGAGGCAGGAGGATGGCTTGAGGCGAGGAGCTTGAGACTAGTCTGGGCAACATAACGAGAAGTCATCTCTTCAAAAAAAATTTTTGTGAAGTAGCCAGGAATAGTGCCGCATGCTGCTTGGGAGTCCCAGCTACTCTGGAGGCTGAGGTGGATCACTTGAGCCTGAGATGTCAAGGCTGCAATGAACTATAATCGTACCACTGCACTCCAGCTGGGGTGACAGAGCAAGACCTTGTCTCAAAAAAAAAAAAAAAAAGTAAATGAAACATGCACACACAAAAGGTACATTTGGAGCACTGATGCAAATGATGAGATTTGAAACTAATTTACTTTCTGCCACCACCCAAAAAGGTTTAATGCATTTATAATGATACATAAAATACAGCAAAATAAATTAAAATGATGTGAGAAGTGACTAAGAATCAGGCCAGCAAAAAGACCCAGAAACAAGCATCGACTGCATAGATGAATGCTCTGGCAGTTTGCTGCTTTTCGTCCAGGTACTATCTACTCTTCAACTGGTAACAGAACCTATTTATTTTTATTTTTTTCTTGGAGCCCAATCACAGGAGTGAGTTGTACCATGAGGGAAGAGAATTTCTCTTTCCACTAGGCTTGGAGCCAGAGGGATTTAGCCTGTAACTCCTTAGAAACATCACATAGAGAGAAAAGATGCTTAGCAAGGAAGACTTGGAATCCCGTGCCCACCTTTGGCCTTCTCTGTTACCTGTTACAAGAGCCAAAAAATTCCCTGTTTGATGCAGGCCAGCTTTGACTGAGGTTTTCAGTTCAATATAAAAGTTCCAGCTACTACAAAACATGCATTTGAATCTGGCTTTCTAACAGCCGACAGAAAAAAGAAAGTTGATGGGTTATATTGCTCACTGTGTCCACGAGAAGAATCTGACTGCACAGGAGAATCACACCTTTCCCTGAACCGGAAAGAAATCTCTCCAGAAGGTCATCATACGGATTTTATATGACATAATACAACATCACTTAATATCTTCCTAGCAGCCACAACACTACATTTGAAATGCTTTTTCTTAGAGCACACTTCAATACAGGAGGATGGCATCAAAGTAAAGCATAAATCAGGAAAACACTACTCTGTGTATGTATGGGGAGGGAGACATAATATGGTACATGTACCCCACGTTCGGATGACATGGTTGGGTTGGGAGTGGAGACGACTTTACCTCCCAAAGTCTCCGTTGATTCTCTCAGCCAAGCTTTTATTTGTAAATGGGGGGCAATAAGTTTGAGAATATCATACCCTCTCAGCACACTATTTAGCACATACTTAGTGCTCAATATATGGTTATCACTTATGACTATCAATGCTAAGCCCCTGAAATAAGGCTTACGTATATTATCAATATTTAAGAAGAAAGCCACAGGCCTTAACAGTCTAGTTGCTGAAGAGCCTTTGGCGTCACCTGTGAATGGTAGCTACATTCTCAAGTACAGAGAGAAAGAGTGAACTTCGCTTATGCTAAGTGCATAGCTTAGCAGATGAAGCCTATGGCAAATGTTCAAAGCATCTAAAATCTTGCAGACAGCCCTTCAACACCCACTTCTTGTTAGCAAGCAACCTCATGCTGTATCAGGCACTCTCTCAGATGGGACCCAGTGCTCTAGACATGTCTCCCATGCTCACCTATCAAAAATGACCCAATGATCCAAGTCTCATTCTCTTTTGCTGTGCCATCTGACAAACTAATCTGAACTAAGACATAAGCTGATGACAATCCTCATACTCTTTAAGATATTGGAGAGATCCTTGAATCAAATGTCATTTTACAAGGGAGAATCTAAAGATGTCAACTTATCGAGGTGACAGCTAGTTAGAGATGTCATATTTAAGATAACTTAATGAGCCACCTCTCCTAGAGACGACATTTTGACAAAGACCTTTCTTCCTTGGCCAAAATGATGAGCTAGTGGAAATTTCAAGTGCTTTAACAGACCAATATGCCCATTTTGAGGTTTGTGAGACTTTTTAAAACTACTGCAATCAAAGCACCAAGCTTTTGGTCCATCCTTATGGGGCACCTAAGACAAATCATTCCACAACGTTCACATGTTTCAATGAACATGAAGTAAAGGACTAAGTGCTGGAAAATAATCTTCCCAAAATACTTTGCAGATCATCTTGTCTCATGATCTTCCCTGAATGAGTCATCTCAAAATGCAGCTCAAATTGGCAAATTTAGAGATCTAAAATCATCTGTGTTCTGATTACTCCAAAATGTCTTTATTCTTTCACTATATTCTAAACATTCCAGAGTGATGCCACATTTACTAGAGGTCACCAAGTTGCAAGATATATACGAAGCAGATAAGTTTCTATAATGTAATTGTTTCATAACTCATTTTCTCTTCTAATGCTGAAAAGCCTCTGCTTTATAAAAGAAATGCTCTCTGGCCAATTATAGTTTGCTATGTAAAAATTCATGTATTAATAGTAATCCTCAGATGCTTTCTTAACACTCCTCATAGTAGATGTGATAAATTCAATACAAAGGCAGGGTCTCTGAGTCACTGTTACTTTCCTTCCAGTAGCTCTTCAACTTTAAAGAAGATCAAAATCATATGAGGTATTTCTTTCCAGTTTCTGACTCTGTAGGTCTGGTGGGGCCAGGAATCTGCATTTTTAACAAGTGCTTCAGGTGACTGTAATGCAGGTATCCAGGATGCAGGGCCTTCCATGGCACCGAGCAGTGCTGGCTTTTCATGATGCCAATTTTAACATGATTATTTTGCTAATTTCAGGGGGCTTTTTTCTTTTCAAACATAATGTTGGCCCTGTTTATAAAATCTAGACATACATAACCACATACACATACTTCTATGTCACTTATACAACCTCCCAGCACCACAACTATCAAAGCCTTGGACCCAGAAAGGGGATGTGTTAGTCTGAATCATGTGAAATTGCCAATATTCAACACTTTTTCACTTATGAAAGCACAGGGTTCCTATGCTTAAATCTGTAATCTGCATGAGGATGGGGGAACAGACTGATGGACCCGTCTTATTCTGACCACTAATTACACATGAAGCCCTATCACCCCAGGGGCCCCTGACATCACAGCATTGGTTCTCTGATTTAGTCTTTGCAATAACTCTGCAAGGAGGCTGGGCATTAGCAGCTCACGCCTGTAATCCCAGCACTTTGGGAGGCTGAGGTGGGAGGATCACTTGAACCCAGGTGTTTTGAGACCAGCCAAGGCAACAAAGCAAGACCTCTGTCTCTTAAAAAAAAAAAAAAAATTGGCCAGGCGCTGTGGCTCACGCCTGTAATCCCAGCACTTTGGGAGGCCAAGGTGGGCGGATCACGAGGTCAGGAGATCGAGACCATCCTGGCTAACACAGTGAAACCCCATCTCTACTAAAAATACAAAAAATTAGCCGGGCATGGTGGCGGGCGCCTATAGCCCCAGCTACTCGGGAGGCTGAGGCAGGAGAATGGCATGAACCTGGGAGGTGGAGCTTGCAGTGAGCCAAGATCACGCCATTGTACTCCAGCCTGGGCGACAGAGCAAGACTCCGTCTCAAAAAAAAAAAAAAAAAAAAATTAATTAGCCAGGCATGGTGATGCACCTATGCTCCCAACTACTCAGGAGGCTGAGGTGGGAGGATCGCTCGAGCCCAGGAGTTCAAGGCTGCAGTGAGCTATGATCATGCCACTTGCACTACAGCCTGGGTGACAAGAGTGAGACCCTGTCTAAAAATCATCATTATCATCATCATCATCATAATCATCATCATCATCCTGCAGGGTATTTTAAAATGAAATAACACACCCAAGGTCTCATGGCTACTTAGAGGTAGAAGGAGAACTCAATGCCAGGAAGACCTGATCCAACCAGAGGCTACTACTGCCCTTCTTTCAACAGCTCAGGGATCCCCATGGCTGATGTCACAGCCTCAGACCCCCACTGTGTCCTGTCCCTCTCTGACAAAGCATGCTGCACTCCAAACATACCAAGCATTCTCAACCAGCTGTCTCACAGGGGCCCCTGCCTACTGAGCAAGATTAGAAAGAAAAGCAGAGGCTCTTTAAAAAGTCACACATTTGGGATGAAAATGATGACAGACAGAGAGACGAGGGAGAACCTCCCTCACACACACACACACAGAACACAATGCCAATGAGAGCCAATGACCTGAACTCATGGTGGAAATTTTACACCACATTTGGTGTTCAAGACTTCAGAAGTTGAGGAAGTAGAAAACACAGTTTATGAGGTTGTTGTCAAAGTAGCCTCTTTTTATTAAGTTTTATCACTTGAGAGTATGATACACTGAATGAAAAAGGAACGAGAACATGCCTGCTGTAATGAAGATGAGCCTGATGTTATCATGATGCTGTCTGAGCTCTGTGTAGGTATAATTCATTTCATTCTATATCAGAAATAAAAGGCAGCAGAGATAATATATATTATTCCCTGTCATGGAATCTTCTTTCTGGTGATACCATGGTTCCTTTAATATACCAGTGACTAAATCAAATCCCCCTAGAGTACAGTCATGATAAATCTACTGCATAGTAAATTTCATTTTTTAGTGATCAGTATTATATCAAAATGCTACTTTATAGCAATAACTGATTTATACATTTTTATTATACACAATAAAACTACAGTCTTACTTTTATATATTTAATTAACAAAAGGTAATACTTTTTCCTTTAAATTTAGCAACTGTGTCTCTATACACCTATAAATTGCTAATGGCACCAGGCACTAAACACACAGCCTGGTTCTATTGTTAAGGTTATTGGAGATACCTAAGTCAAACTTGATAGGAAGTAGGAAAAAAAAAACAGCCTTAAGCATAAGTTATTTGATTTTTTTCTTCTCCAAGGGAGCTTCTTTAAATTGTTTCTTCATTCATTCAACAAATATTTATTGAGTGACTACTACATGCTAAAATTGTTAAGTAATCTGGTTTTACACATTATGAGTATGTTAAAAGGAATGCTTTAAACCACCTTATAATTGTATATCTAGATGGAACATCACACTGAGTCCATTTTAAGTTCATTTTAAGCATGTGCTTATTACATGATGTAAAGTACCTCAAGCTACTCAAACAGAGAAGAGAGAACAAATAGTATCCATCAAAAACAGGCTGGGCCAGGCAGAGTGGCTGACATCTGTAAACCCAGCACTTTGGGAGGCTGAAGACTACTTGAGCCCAGAAGTTTAAGACTAGCCTGGGCAATGTACCAAAACCCCATCTCTATCAATTTTTTTCTTTAATTAGCCGTGCATGGTGGCTTGTGCCTATGGACCCAGCTGCTCAGGAGGCTGAGGTGGGAGGACTGCTTGAGCCCAGGAAGTCGAAGCTACATTGAGCCATGATCAGTGATCCTGCCACTGCACTCCAGCCTGGATGACAGAGCAAGACGCCTTGAGAAAAAAAAATCAAAAAAACACAGACTATACAAAGGGTGTGGTCCAATTCCTTCTCACCCTCTGTCAAAGCCTACCTGTTACCTGTGAGCCCATTTTGATTCCATAGCTAGAAGCCAGGGAAAAGTAATGGGGCCTCAGACTCCCAGAGTAACCCACACTAATATGCACTCTTCTCATTGTATGCAATAAATCTGCTTTCTGCATATTGAATAGAAAGAGAGATTAAAATGAATATTCACCCATCTGAAAAACTGATGCTCTATAAGCTTTTATGCTTTGCAGCCCATAAAAAGTAAATGCTTTGCTTCTGCTTTGGCTGGTGCATGTTGAAATAAATCATTCTGTTAAACAGTGGCCTTTTCTTCAGAGGGAGATGCTAAAACCTTATCAGTTTTGACAAGTCTCTGACTCCTCTCCTCTCATTCATCTCTCCTGTATGTCCTGCAATCCTTGCTCTTTTAGCTTGCAAGGTCATTTCCAACCCCTGCTAGCCCCAGTTTCGAAAGGAAGCCACACAGCCATCTTCAATCAGATTCTCCACCCTGCCCTGACTTCTAACCCAAAGCCCAACACTTGCATTTCATATAAAGTTTTTGATGACTCATTAGTCTTCTGAGTTTTAAGCAGGAAAAATGGCTGAATCAGATTTCCAGGCAGATTTTCATGACTTCTTGAATTACATACCTAAACCCTCAGTGCTGTAGAAGTCACTCCTTGCAGACGTAAGAAAAGTACAGACAAGCCATGTCCTAAAGATGTTACACACCTACACAGAGCCATCCACACCACTGCTTTTTCTGGTCTACTACAAGAAGGCCCCAAAGGTTAACATGAACCCTTTACTTAGTTGGCAAATATATACTACTTCTTCCAGTTTTACCACTACATGTAGATTAGCAGCAACATATGACACAGCAGAAAAAAGAAAAAATTGAGTAAGACTGTAGCAGGTGAATCTAAAGTTGTCTCTGGATCAGTGCTGAATTTCAACAAACTACACTACAAGTAGCAGTGGAACTACAACTCCCACTAAAGAACTCAATTTTACAATAAAGACTTAGAGATGCACACGTAAGCGGATGAAAGTCCGCTCTCGTGCCTTTCTTTAGCTGTCCAGGAAGCCATCTATGGATGGGGCTGGACCTTGCTTGGCTCAGGCAGGGGGGTTAAGGGACGCAGCTACACCTAGTGATCAGCTGCGGATGGCAGCAGGAGCAACCGGCAGCAGGGAAGCACTCTTCAGCTGTTTCTCAGAAAGGCCGGCTACAAAGCGCTCAGGATCAATCTGTTAAAAGACATCATGATTATTTTTATTTACCTGGAGTGTTAAATGACAGAGATGCAATGGTTGTCTTTGAGGGTTCAGAGAAAAATTAGGCTCAATTTTAGGATACACATTGTCAGTACTTTAAATAAATGTCCAAGAAAAATCTTCATTATTTTTTTCTGTTTTTTGAGACGGAGTCTCGCTCTGTCGCCCAGACTGGAGTGCAGTGGCGCGATCTCGGCTCACTGCAAGCTCCGCCTCCCGGGTTCACGCCATTCTCCTGCCTCAGCTTCCGGAGTAGCTGGGACTACAGGCGCCCACCAACACGCCCGGCTAATTTTTTTGTATTTTTAGTAGAAACGGGGTTTCACCACGTTAGCCAGGATGGTCTCCGTCTCCTGACCTCGTGATCCACCTGCCTCGGCCTCCCAAAGTATTGGGATTACAGGCGTGAGCCACCGCGCCTGGCCGAAAAACCTTTATTTTCTTTCTATTTGGAATTTGAGTTTATTGCCAAAGGCAAAGTTTCACAATTCCACATTACAATTCCAAATCTTACATCTACTAACTTCCAGTTCTCTCCTGAGAAAGTCCCTGTTTCTTTCCATTTTAGTAGATTTTGAAATTTTAATAAATGAATAACTTCTCAAAGTGTGGTAACTATACCTGCTTTATCCTTGCCCATTACCATCCACAAAGGGGCCGTACAAATGTAAGTGCTCAATAAATATTTATTTGAATTAAATATTTCAATAAGAATTATTAATAAGCACTATTAAATATTCTAATAAGCACACTGGGCTGCATGCTTATTATAACAAGCCAACAAATATCTCCTATACAAAATATCAACCCAGGGAAATTTCCAATGGCTAACCATTACAACAAAATTTAATTGTTACATCGTGGTAAGTAAAAACATAGGAAACTTTTTTATTCATTTGAGTTTTACAACTGGCTGGATTTAGTCTCTTCCCCAGTGTCTGGCCAGAGACAACACGATCACATCACCATGTTGGTAATACCGGCCGTATTAATCAAGAGGCTAAGCAGTGAATGAATGGATGTGATATTTTTACCCCCAGTTCTCTTTCAGCTCTTGTCAAGGGAGGCTGATAGGGCAGGCAGAAGATCTCAGTTCTTTTAGAACAAGGGTTCTCCAATCTCAGGTCACATCAGAATCCCATGGGGGGCTTGTTCTAACACAGATTGCCGGGCCTCATCCCCAGGGTTGCGGATTCAGGGTCAGAGGGTTGCAAGTCTAACAACTTTCAATGTAATGCTGATGCTGCTGGCTCAAGGACAACACTTTAAAAACTCCTCTTTCAGGGCCAGGCGTGGTGGCTCATGCCTGTAATCCCAGCACTTTGGGAGGTGGAAGCAGGAGGATCACCTGAGGTCAGGAGTTCAAGACCAGCCATGGCCAACATGGTGAAACCCCGTCTCTACTAAAAATACAAAAATTAGCCAGGCGTGGTGGCAGGCACCTGTAATTCCAGCCACTCGGGAGGCTGAGGCAGGAGAATCGCTTGAACCCGGGAGGCAGAGGTTGTAGTGAGCCAATATCACTCAGTTGCACTCTAGCCTGGGGGACAAGAGCGAGACTTTGTCTCAAAAAAAACAAAACAAAACAAAACAAAACAAAACAAAAACCTCCTCTTTCAGGACAACGTTTCTTCAACTGTGGCTACAAACCCTGACCACCCAGGGATGCTGGGGGACCTCTGTCGTGGACATCAGAATCACCACAGCTGGGCCCCAGGAAGCAGCCTTTGAAAGGAGGCCTCCAGATGCTCCCCGTGGACAGCAGGTTTTGAGAAGCACAGATTAAAACCTAGCTCACCATCAACACTGGTGCAGTTTCCCAGGCCCTCCCCAGAGCCACCTAACGTCACTGAGGCAGGATGTCACTGTGATCTACCTGCACAACTGCCACTCTTCATGGCCCTCCTTCAACTTTCCATGTGTTTCTCCTTCATAGCTAAGAGGGCACAAGGGGAGTGACCCTCCCTTGCTAAGATCTCTAGAGCTTGTCACATCCCACACCTGAGTACACAACACTTCTCTTCTCATCCTGTTTTTGTCTTTTTCTCTCACATACTCCCAGACCCTTAATTATGCCCTGGCCTTGCCAGCCTCCTCACCAATGATGGGGGCACTACAGACTAGGAAGCTTGGTGACTAAATCTTTCCTCCTCTCCACCCAAGGCAGCCCAACTTATTTTTCTCTGCTGGGTTTTTCAGAGCTACAGTGTCAACTCAGGCTTTCTGATGACTAAACTGAAAACCACCGCGGTATTTTAGGAAGCAAAAAAGCAACATCCTCTTATAATGCAAGATTTACATTATTTTGTACCTTTTTAGAATGTTTGTGAGTTGGAAAGACATTAATAATTAAACCTTCCCTCGCTTATAAAATAAGCCTATTAACATGCATGTTATATTCATAAAGATAGTAAGCACACTAAAAAGTGAAACTATAGGAAAGTTGGTTTTCAAAGAGAAGAATCTCAGAACTAAAGTAAAATGCATGGTGGACATAACCCCTAAGAAAAATGTTTCACTGTTGAAAAGCATAAAACTCATTAAAATGCCTGATTCCCTAAATGAAAACTAAGCCTTGGGATATTTAGATAATACATGCTCATTCTAGAAACTTAATGAAATCTAAAACAAAAATTGAAAGAAAACAATATTTAATCTAATACATAGTTCCTCTACTGTATACAGCCTCACAATTCCTAGAATATATTACAATCCTTAGAGAATTATGAAAAATTTAAATAAAGGTATTGACTTTTCTAGAATTGTCACAGAATTGCTTAAATTCTGAAACCAACTTTTACCAAATCTAAAGGCTAGGCTATGCTTCATTTATAAAGAATTTATATAATCTGAAGACATAATTCAAATTACTTGTTCATTAAAGAAAATTCATTTTGAATTACCAAAATTATATACACACTTATCCATATATCACTACATGTCAATAGATTCTTTTCTTAAAATCTGTAAAAATAACCCTTTGAAAACATGAGAGACTAAAACCTATAATTTTCTAGATCGGAACAATTTATTATGCTCAAGCAATTCTTCTTTACATATACAGAACACTAAGAATGTTATAGTAATTTCTTAGCATATTTCTTTCATGCTCACTGATTTAAATTTGAAGTATTTTCTTCATTATCAATTTTCAATCTAGCGAAAGCACCTTGAAAATGTAAAATGCTATGACTATAGTTATCTGAAAAAGAAAAAATAAACTTAACTGCTAAACAAACATATTACCACTCTTTGCAAAGGGTGCTTTAAAATTCTGTATTTTGAAAAAATTTCAGATTTATAGAAGACTTGCAAAAACAATACAAACTGTGCAAGTACACCCTTCACCCAGCTTCCCCCTAATGTTAACATCTTACATTCACAGAGCAGAATTACCAAAGCTAAGAAATTAACATTGGTACCACACTACTAACTAAATTACAGGCTTTATTCAGATTTCAGCTGTTTTCCCACAAACATCCTTAAAATATTTTAAAAAATTAATTTCTCCACGAGTCCCAAATTCACAAGGTTATGTTAACATTTAATATATTTCAAATACCACTGTAGCTGAAACAAAGAGCTAAGTCTATATTTCTATTTCTGCAAACCAAAGCTTGCTTAGCAGAACTTAACACATCAAAACCATTATAAGGTAGAACTAAACACTTCATTGTATTATATAATATATGTTGCAACTTGGCTTTTAAGAAATTGGGTCAAAGAGGAACAACTTGCCAACTCGTTGGTTTCTCACCATGCAAAAGGGAATTTCCAACAAAGGTAAAATAATTTAACTTTCTTTCTCATGTCTTACTTATATACCATCTTACCAGTTATTTTTAGTGAACACTAAAGACCTAGAAGATATAAAGTGAACCTCCATTATTTTGCCTAACAAATTAGAAACGGTAATGATAAAAAACAATTTTTCAGCCTGGGCACGGTGGCTCATGTCTGTAATCCCAGCACTTTGGGAGGCCAAGGCAGGCAGATCACAAGGTCAAGAGATTGAGACCATCCTGGCCAACATGGTGAAAACCCGTCTCTACTAAAAATACAAAAATTAGCTGGCGGTGGTGGTGGTGCACACCTGTAGTTCCAGCTACTCGGGAGGCTGAGGCAGGAGAATCGCTCGAACCCGGGAGGTGGAGGTTGCAGTGAGCCAAGATCGTGCCACTGTACTCCAGCCTGGCGACAGAGCAAGACTCTATCTCCAAAAAAAAAAAAAAACCCACAATTTTGTAATGAAATCCATCATTATAAGTAAGCAATGTCATCACAGGCCCAAATCCTAATACTTTTCCAGTAAGTTTAGCATTCTATTTCTGATGTCTGGTATCCAAATCACATGTAGTCCACCTCCAGAAATGGTTAATTAACAATCTTAACAATTCCAAACCCATTCCAAAAGAGGACAGGAGAGCACTGCAGAAAGCAAAGGGCAGAGTGCCTTGTGTAGATAATGTCTGAGTTATACAAAAACCCTTGACTGATTATATTTATAAACCCTCATGATTAGTCCATTGGCCTAAAGAGAACCCAGTGTGGAAAAGGCAAGCCAAGTCTAACTTTTAACAATCACTTCTCTCCCTCCATTTTATTATATATTGGTCCATTCACACACAATTTGAATATGTGCAAATGATCAAGATTCTCATTAGTGATTTATTCAACAAATAGTAATAATGCCTGTGACATCTAAGGATCTATGAGAAATGTTTTGTGAGAAAGTCAGAAGAAAACGAAAATTGGCTTTGCCCTCAGGGAGCTTACAATCTAGCTCTTCTGGCTCTAAAATTTATTCCCATGTCAAGTGAAAAGCAGCCAATTACTACAATTTCTGGAAGAAACATAAAAAAGAAATGTGTCAATGCCACTCCTAGCATTCAGAATTAACTTCCTCAACATACAAAAACAAAAAACAAAACCCTGATTCACACCTGTACTACCTAAACGCAATATGGAGAGAAAAATAAATAATGAAGTGAAACATATCTGATCCTTGCACATATGAAATTTGCCATCTTCACTTTTCACTTTTTTTTTGAGACGGATTCTCACTCTGTCACCCAGGCTGGGGTGCAGTGGTGCAATCATAGCTCACTGCAACCTCAAACTCCTGGGCTCAAGCTATCCTCCTGCCTCTGCCTCTAGAGCAGCTGGGACTACAGTCACACGCCACCACACCCAGCTAATCCAATTTTACATTTTTTAAAGTTCAACGTTTCTGAGGCATGGCTTGGATGCTGCCCTTTACCCACTAGCATGCCAGGATAACTCTGGCTTTCTAGATAGAAAAGAAAACACATTTCACTTAATGGTATGATTAACTCAAACAAATAGATATATTTCTTCCAAATGAAAAATCAGGCTAAATTTTAGTAGAAGTCTATTTTGGCTTGACTGATCATTTACATCAGCCTTAACAAGGACATGGGTCAGTACAACTGAGGCTGAAATCCTTTTTGGTGATGAGGAACCCATGGTTTAAATAAGCAATATAAATATTTGTTTCCACTCCCTTGCACACAATTTAAAAATCCATCCAAATGATATTTGACACAGCTTAACTTTAAACAAATCCCAAGAAGGGAGTCATGGATGTTAATAAAGAGAAAACCATCACTAGGGCTCTCATACTTGGCTTCTAATACTAATGAGTTACAAGGCTCTCAAATTCTACTCTATTATTCACTAATAAGAACACAGACCAAATTCTGCATCAGTTTTATAATCAGACGACAGTGCATCATTGTGTTAAATCCTCTGGAGCACGTGCAATTACCAGGCAGTTAGGGAAACACAAAACTTGGAGAAAGGATATTTCTGTATTGAAGTTGATGCTTTGGGTTTCAAAACCTACACGTTCCACTCCTTCTCTGAGGCCAACTGTGATCAAGGGTCCTGCAGATCAGCAACACACAAGACACAACTAATGTGCCTGTGAGTCCAGAGCTCCAGCAGCCAATGGTCCTGGACCCCAAGAAAATAAAAAGGTTTCCACGCACCGGAGGACCAAAGGTTTTTACTGCTTAAAATATGCTCTTTACTGTTTATGAAAGTCCTCTTCATTAAATTCTTAAAAAGCCCAACTTACTCATTCAACTCACTTGTTCCCAAACGCAGAGACCTATTTTGCAAAAACCAAGTTTAAGACCAAAGAGCAGGCTTTTTTATTAAAGAAAAAGAAAGCCCACCGCCCCCACTGCATGTGGACCTTAATGAAACTAATCTAATAAACACTAGAAAGAAGGTGTGCAAATGGGCCAGCATTTGCCGTCTATCCACCTGTGTCACCCAGGTAATAAAGGTCATCCTGGTTGTAAACCCCTGTGACAGCGTGCCGGGTTCGCCCCCACGCCGGACCCCCGACTCCGATCCACAGATCCTCTCCGTGAGGGGTTCCTCTGGGCTTAGAACGCCCCCGCGCGCGCGTGCAGGCACACACGCGCACACACTCACACGCTTGCTCGCACACCGCCAGTGCCTCTCCTTCCCACCTGGGACCCCCGGGCAGCCGGGCTGGATGAACAAGTTGCAGCTGGCCGCGGCGCTCCGCTAGGGGGACGAGGGTGGGGAGGGGGAGCCCAGCGGGGCGCAGGGCCGTGGCCAGGGCCTGGGGACCTGCCCGCTTCCCTCCGCGGCCGCCAAGCCCTACCGCTGGGACCGGCGAGGAACTCCCCCCAGCCTCTCCGCAGACGCTGCACGACCGCGGGGACCTCCCGGGGTCGCCAGCCGCGCCGGGCAGGGGGCGACAGGGAGGGCAGGGCACCGGGAGATCGCCGCCGCCGGAGCGGCCGCCAGTTCCCGGCGATCGCTGCGGGCGCAGCCGAACACCAGCGGCCTGGGCCCGGCCGCTGCTCGGGGTCGGCGGGGACCGCGCAGCGCCTACGCCAGGCGGCCCGGCGGCTGCAACTGGGAACTTCAAGCAAAGTTTTCTGCTGTTCCTTTTGCAGCCGGCCAGGGACTCAAGAGTGCAAGCCGCCCAACCTTGAGCACTAGCCCAGGCCGCGGAAGGACGGCGGCCGAGCTGGCAGTCCCGGCTGGGGAGCTCGCCCTCGGGGTCCGTCCGCTCCGCCCGCCCGAGGACTGGGTGCCTGCCAGCCCCACGGCCCCTCGCCCAGCGCCCGGCTCACAGGCAGAAGCGGTGTCCGGCCCGCCGCGCCCCCCGCCCGGCCCCGACGCCAGCCTTAGGGCTCTACCACCAGGGAGCTGTCGGCGTCCCGGGCGTCCCGCGCCGGCCCGCGCGCCTCGGGGGCGGCAGAGGCGGTCCCGCTTACCTGAGAACGTCTCGCCCGCCGCAGTTAGCAAAAGTCCGGCCAAAGTCGCCAGGCAAGTCCCAAGTCCCCTCATGGTGCTGAGTGCGGGCCGGGCCGCTCCCCGGCGGCGGTGGGTGGGCGCGCGAGGGCGGAGGGGGCCGGGAGCTTTGGTTCCGAGGCAGCGAGGAGAGACGGGTAAACAGCAGAGCGCTAAGCCAAGCCCCCAAAGTGCCAACAGTTGCAGAAGTCCGAACTCCAGCGGCTCCAGGGGCGCGGGCACAGGGTCCTGGGTCCTCCTCCCCTGTCCCTGGCCCCACTCGGCGTCTGGCGCCGCTGGCAGAGGGAGCGGAGGGCGAGCCCGCGGAGCCAAAATCTTCCCTCGGTTCCGGTTGCTGAGCTCGCCGCCTCTCCCCTTCCCCTGCCCGGGACCCGGGACCCGAGCTGCCGGCCGTGGCCGTGGCGGTGGCCGTGGCCGTGGCCGCGCGCGTTCCGCCCGCCGCCTCTCCACAGGCAGCCCCAAGCCCAGCCCCGGGCGGCGGCGCGCCGATGACCGAGCCCGCGCCGGCTGCGCGCGGGGCTCTTGCTCCCCGACTGACTGGCGGTGCCCCGCAGGCCGGCTGAAGGGAGCGCTCACGTCACGGCCGCCCGGCGCCGCCGCGGCCCGCTAGAGGGCGTGAGCGCCCGTGCCCCGCCGGCCCGCGCCCGAGCGCCTCCGGGAGCTCGGCTGGGGGCGGCCCCGCGGCCACAGCCACTACCGCCGCCGAAGCGGGCGTCAGCCGCGCGGGGAGGAGCGGCCACCGGGCTCCCCCCGCCCACCTCCTCGCCCCGGCCGCGTCTTCTATTTTGGTAGCTGGCTCTGGGGAGGGTGACTGTGGAAGAGGCTGCGCCGCCGCCAGAAGTTTGTCCCGGGTCACGAGCCGCGAGTAGTTTGTGAGCGCGGCCGGGCGGGACCAGCGGCCTGCGACCCCGCGGGCGCGGCCAGGCGGCTTCGAGCCTGGCGCCGGACGGCGATGTCACCGCACAGGGCCAGCTGCACCCGGAGTCGCCGGGCCTGCGCTGCTCGGCGGCTGCGGGAAAAGCGAGCCAGGAGATCGCTGAGGCTCCGGAGGGCTGCGAGCTTCTCTACGCCGCGGGCGGAGCGAAGTTGGCGGGCGCCGGGAGATGGCGCGGGAGCCGGGAGCGCCGAGCCCCGCGATCGCCAGCCCGCTCCCGGCCGGGCCCGCCGGGTACACGCCGCTGGCCCCGAGCACTGGCGCCCGGGAAGCAGGGCGCGCTTCTGCTGTTCTGCGTCCTCATCATGCCTCGGTGTCCCGTGTGGGCCCGAAGCGAGCCGCAGGCAGTACACGGAAGGCGGTGGTCACACCAAAACCAGGGTTTGGACATAACCCGTGGTTTCTGTATCTGGTGCAAAGTGCTGAGAAACAGGGGAGAAAGAGAAGTGGGGGGTGAATCAAGTAATGTCTTGAAATATTTTAGTTTTACGATTTTGGGTCTGAGTGAATTAAAAAAACCTTACAATGCTTCAGCAAAAAATAATTTTTTTATTTTAATTGTAAATTTTTTTGTAAGTGATCCTTCTATCTTCCAGGGAATAAGCACATTGAGCCAGCACCAACCAGACAGCTGTAAGCTCCTGGCCTAGCTAACTGAACGCAATAGAAGGCTTGGGAAGAGGTTAAATTAGGAACCAAAGTAACTGAGTGACAGGGTTCTAGCAATGATTCTGGCTAGAAGGCAAACCGGTGATACAGAGGCACCCAGGAGCTCTCCTGCACTTTTTCCGCAAGAGGGGTCCTCTGCTTAGTGCTCACTGCTTTCTAGTGCTTATAAACACGTAAAAAAATAAATGGATTCCACACTCATCTTGACCCTGTTCTCCACTGTACACCAGAACCAAGAAAGATACAGCTGTCATCCTCCCAAGGCAAATTTGGGGACTAGAAGACTTGCCTTTAGTGTGGCAACCAACACTCCTCTTACTTCAGGAAGTCCACTTACTAGATACTTACCAGACCTGCTCTTTAGAAGTCTCTATATTAATCATTTGCTTGTTAATATGAGCTTACATTGTCCTGCCACTTCTCCCAACTATGTGCTTATGGAACCTTATCTTTAATTGTGAAATGAACATTGAAATCTCAGAAAGGAAGCAATGTCTTCAAGATCAGCAAGTGAGGATGGTCAAATCTGCAACCTGGGCTTTCCATTTTGATGTACTTGTGTTCTATACTGCAGTTCAAATTTGCTTTAAAAAAAATTAGTAATAGGCTTTCCAATGGAGTTTTTCTGCTAGTGGGAGGACAGAGGTGGAAGCTAGGGAGACAAAAGTTGATCTAATCACTTTGCTTCAGAGTAACTTCTTTAAATTAGGTGAAGTTAATATTAGGGTAGGATTTCATTTGCAAAGTATTTTATTCTTTCAGCAAATATCTACTGAGTCAATACCATATGTCAGGCACTGTGCTAAGTACTGGAGGTTGTCTTAGGCTGGGCTCCCTCAGAAACAGACCTGGAGGTTAGGATTTAACTATAAGTGGTTTTGAATTGGGGAAGTGATCCCAGAAAGCACTATAAGGAAGGTGAGACAGCAAGACAGAGAAGAAAAAAAAAAGCAGACATCGATATGAGATGTGTCAATAAGCAGGTTACCACTATGGGCAAGGGAAACTCAATCCCCCTGCGGGGGGACGATGAGGAGCTGGATGGAAGAGGAAAGGGCCACTCTACGGACCTGCCACTGAGGCATTAGACAGAAATCCCTGCCAGTACTCCAACTGCTGCTGCCACAGGACTCCTCTTGGTAACCTCTACAAACCCTGTCCCTTCTGCCTGTTACTTAAAGCTTAGTGGGAGGGTCTGTAAATTTCTATTACCCCTGTTCTCTATCTTTACACTGTTAAGTTGACTCTACCCTTTGCAGCCTTCCATCCACATTTCAAAGGGTGGTGGGATTTTTGCCAGCAGCTTCTGCCCTCTCAATTCATGACAACTACTGTTAGTTTACTCCCTCTTACAGGTAACTGGTCAGAGCAGCCTTTGAGCCTAAATGGAAGTCCTCTGCTGAAATGAATGGATTGGACTTCCTCTAAGGAAGGGATGCTGTAGGAATCCTCCCAGTGGGACATTTGCTTTGACTTGTTTTTTCAGCAGTAGAGATTTAGTTTTAACCACATTTCACTCCTGACTCACTGAGGACAATAGTGACATTTGCAGAATGGCTGCTCAGAGTTAGGGGTGCTGTCAGGCCAGCCCCTGACATTGGTAGGCTTGGGCAAGAGTACAAATGCATAGCCACTTACCATATGCCTAATATTTCAAAGTTATTAATTAAGCTAGCAAACTACTATGTATATTCCTACCTTGACACATATAACAATAAAATTGAAATATAAAACCTACAGATTTTATATGACAAAAAGCAAAATATCAGCAACTGAATTATGCATATCTGCTAGACATTATACATATCTAGATTTTCTTTGATAGGCTATATGGATAAGTAATATACATGATTCATATATATTTATTCTATAAAATTGATATTTCTCTTTAGTAAAATCACTGTGTTGTTATAATTGAGATTTTCACTTAATTTGTGTTCCATTGACAGCGGTGATTGAAAGCTTTGCTGTTCTGTATGGTAGCACCTAACAGCATTTCAGGTGTTCTGTTCCTCAGTGACACTAGCTACATTTCAAATGCTCAGTAGCTTCATGTGGCTAGAGCTAATGTATTGTACAACATGGAGAGAAAACAAGTCCATCATCATAGAAAGCACTATTGAACAACATTGATCTAAAAGATTCATCTATTCAGGCCCCATGTGGTGGCTCACACCTGTAATCCCAGCGACTCAAGAGGCAGAGGCCAGAGGATCACTTGAGGCCAGGATTTCTAGACCAGCTTGGACAACATGGCAAGATCCTGTCACTACAAAACAGTTTTTTAAATAGTCAAACATGGTGGTTTATCCCTGTAGTCCCACCTACTCAGGAGGCTGAGGCTGGAGGATCATTTGAGCCTAGGAGTTTGAGGTTGCAATGAGCTGTGCACTCTACACTCCGTCTGGGTAAAGAATGAAATCCCAATTCTAAAAAATAAATAAATAAAGGATTAATGTAGTCAAATCATACAAAATGTTTGTACTTACACCACAAATGTAAATTCCTTTTTTTATTTCAGAAAATTAGAATTATTTTTCTATAGTTGTTAAAAGTTTTCTTTCAAATGATTTAAAGTTATCTATTAGAATTAAAATGCAAAATACAAATTATGACAATGAATATAAACACTGAAAAGTTATTTTTTTAAAGCATAAACATTTTATTTAATATTTGGAAATTTAATTACACCTTATTAATGTGTAAATAAAACATAAACTTAGCAATTCTAGCATTCATTGTCCACCTGGTTGCTAACATAAATAATCAGTATTATGTTTCATGTGTTATAACTTCATATCTACCATTTTAACAGTAACATTAATTAGTTAATTTTTCAAAATATTGGCCAATCACCACGTTCAACCGCATGCAAATGCTATACTGCTGTATGACTTCTGCCAGAACCATGAATTGTAACAAAAAGAGAAGCAAGAAAATGAATGTTTGGCATTGCTAGGAAACCCTCATTATTTAAGACTGTATGATATGCTTGCTATCTAAAAGGAAGGTTTTGACAGTTTAATTCATTTGACTTTTCTTTGAATCAAGCGCCTCCACTATACATCATCCACACGTTTAGGAGTGTCCATCTTCCATGTCAGCAGCAGCACACCCTGCAAATCTTCAGGTTGTGGGATGCACTCACCTTTGTTTCAAGGACAAGGGACTATAGGGGAGAAGTGTTTCTCTGGGGCCCGAACGGTGTTGGTTTTGAAAGCAAAAGTTTAGGGTAAAGTTTTATGCAGTCTTTAACACTGAGCACCAGACCTCTACTGACAGAAGTGGCTGTATGTTCCTTAACAAATTTATTTTTATAGGTGTGTGATGCCCAGGGCAGGAGCCCATCCTGCCAGTCGGTGGGCCGAATTGCTGGCTGTACTTGTGCAGTGCTGGGGCCTGGCAATAGCAACTCTGCTCTTGAGATTTGTCCAAACCCCATTAAAGTCAAAATGTAAATATAACAATGAAAACTGATCTGACCATAACCCATCCCTACCTATCCAAAACGTTATGTCGAATTAGGAGGTTAACCCCGTGCGGCAAGTTCCTAAGCTAGCTGAAGTATTTGCCAAGAAGCATGGACAAAATGATCATTTGGATACCTCCCAAGGTCACTCAATTGTAACCGATGGAAAAGGAAAAGAAAAGATTGTCATTGTTTCCATTGCTCATGTTTTCTTATCTAGGCCTTGCTGAAATGATTACTTCCCACTTTTAGATGCATGTTGGGATTATGAAAGTGTGGTTTGAGAGAAATGGGAAATGTAAATAAGCATTCTTGTATAGATTTCCAAAATGACATATTCAAGGATGGCAAGTTGTAGGAAGAGAAGGTAGGAGGATGAAAGGAAGGGAAGAAGGAAGGAAGGGATAAAGGAGAGAGCTAGCACTATCTAGAGTCCAACTTCATTTGAATTCCAACTGTGTGAGTTAAATGAGTTCATTTCCACTTCCTGACTTGTAGAAATGGAATTACATGTGAAAGCTCTGTGTAAACTCTGAGGCGCTGAGCAAACTTGATTATTTATTATGTTGATCTCTAAGCAAAGCTGGGAGTGAGTAGTGCCTCATCCCACTCCCCACCCATCTCGCCCCCATTATTCTTTCCCTCAGAGGACAGTGCAGGCATGCACAGCAGTGGGGCCTCGGCCACGTGATATGCAGATCCCTGTCCTTGTGCACACGCACGATTTGTGTCGACTTTACTTAGCTTCAGGCATGAGAGGAGCAAATAGAACTTTTCACCCAGGACTGACTTCACTTCACAGCTTCCCTCACCTTTTGAATGTGTATACATGAAACCAGGGAAAATGGAATGAAAATGAAAAACACATCATTAGTTTTTCACAGGGGTCAGAAGAAACCAGGTCATTTCAACTGTCACCAGCGAAGCCCTGTTTCACCTGAACAAATGACAAAAAGGGAGCAGGTGCCCTTTTTTGTGGCTGTTCGTATCCTACCTAAGGTCAGAACCTGTCACTGACAAAAGGCAAAGCTCATCCAAGCATAGTTCAAAGCCACTTTTGTATAAAGGCTTAAACTACTAGGATGAATTTTTTAGATGCCCCAGGAATTCCTTCTCGTGGCCTGATTAAAAGCAGAGAGGTAATAGGTTTTAGTTCTTTGCTTTGCTCACATTACCCTCAGAATATAAATTAATCTCTGCATTGTTGGTACTGAGGCAGTGTATTGCATATTCTTTTTTATGTTATGAAGATGTTATCAGCCTCTCACACTGTGTGATACTGGGAAATTCACTTAACCTCTCTGTGTTTCAGTTTCCTTATCTGTAAAACAAAGATAATCATTGTCCACACTTCACAAAGTTGTTGTGAGGATTAAATAATAATGTGATAAGTATTGTAATAAAACAGTAGTTCCTGGCTGGGTGCAGTGGCTCATGTCTATAATTGCAGCACTTTCAGAGGCCAAGGCAAGAGGGTCACTTGAGCCCAGGAGTTTGTGACCAGCCTGGGCAACATAGTGAGACCCTGTCTCTATACAAAATAAATAAATAATTAGCGGGGCATGGTGGCACACACCTGTGGTTCCAGCTACTTTGAAGGCTGAGGTGGAAGGATCACTTGAGCCCTGGAGTCACAGCTACAGTGAGCCATGATTGCACCACTGCACTTCAGCCTGGGCGACAGAGCAATACCTTGTCTCAAAAAAAAACATCAGTTCCTGGCACATCATTAGTGATGTAAAAGTTGTTGTTGTTGATGATGTTAACCATTGATTTTTAAATTAAATACTAGAGAGAACCGACCATGCACAAACTCCATGCTGGGGTTCTATATGTGTGCAGATGGGTTGGAAATATCTAACTGGGCCCAGTTACCATTTAGATGGGAAGACTTTCCAATAGATGTTCCTGTCCTTTCTCATCACACTCTTCTTTCTGGGCATAATGAGTTAATATCAGCTGCCAGACTCAGCACCAGACCAGTAAAACTGCCTGGTTTATCATGACAGGCCCTTAGTATTTCTCCATCTACAAAATGGGAATAACTCCTGTGCTGTCTACCTTCACTGTGTTGTAGAAGAGCCAATGACAGTGTGCATGAAAGTTCTTTAGAAACAGGGAAAGCCTATGCACATGGAAGGTAGTATACTGGGCCCTCAATTACTAGACTTTGATTGATGAATAAGGATGATCTAAGATCTATAACAGAGTTTCTCATGAAGCTCTTTTAATTAATTTTATCAAATAGGACTTAAAGTTCACAATTTACACATAGGTCATATTTTTATAAAAATCTTTTTCTGATTGGAACTTTTACCTATTCGCTATTTTAGGTAAAATGACTAGGTAGGTTGATAATCTCTAAAAATTCTCCTTTTAGTCACGGGATCAGTAGCAGGGCAGATCTTACAAGGCAATCTCAATATACGGTACCAGAAAATATGAGTATTACAGCCATGTCTGAGCCTGTGTTCCTAGGAACCAGGAGACCCAGGAAATGACCTGCTGGAAGGTCCCTGGCACCAGTCAGATCCCCTCTGAGAGTTGCTTTGTATACTCTGCTGGGGACAGCCCAGGTCTCCTGGTGACTTCCTTGATCCAAGTGCGGGCAGAACACCAGGGCTGCCTGACACTGAGGCCACCTGGGGCAACAGGTCACGCTGTACCCTCTCCTTGCACTCCTGCATCCTGAACTAGGGGAAACAACTCCCTACACAAAAGCAGTCTTCTGACCAGAATAGTCCAACTGCCCTGTCCCCTGGGGACAGGAGAGCCCGGATCAGGCTTTTTCCTGTCTGGAAGCAGGGTTCCATCTACAAGACCAGCGGCTGCAGCCACTGTATAGACATAGTAACCACTTGCCCACACACATATTGGCAATGGTTTTCAGGCTGGTTAATCATCTATAGAAAAAGCAAAAAGCCAATTTATGAAGATTTTATCAGAGCCCTCTGGAGGTCACTGTACAGTCTCTCTACTTTTGTTTAAGTCTCCAAGAAGTACTAGAAGAAAATGGTTTCTGCAAACTTTTTTGAGCTGGGAAGTTTTAGAGATCTGCTGGCTAACTCAGAGAGTGTGAAATAACACTTCACTGTTTGAATCATAGTATGTTCAAAGGCACAGGCGGCAGCTCACCAAGTAGCAGCTACTTTCCACATGAGGGTTCATTAAAGGAGAGAGCGTCTGTCTGTGTGTCCCTCTTTTTGCCCAGAGCCTTTGAACTAACATTTCATATTAGTTCTTGTGCCTTTGAGACAACTGTTTTCCTCAGAACACATTTTGGAGGTTCGTCAGATTTTCCAAAACTCAGGGTGGAAATTATAGTACTTTATCATGTTCCCATGGATTTGTAGTTCCTTTTTATTTTACTTTCTTTAAAACAAATCCTTTGAAGTTGATAGGTATGTTTCTTAAAACTCAGCTTGACTAATACTATTAAGAAACGTTATGCTAACAATGTCTTTCTTACCTCAGATTAAATTATTGCAACAATGGTGTCCTAGGTCCTGTGATCTGTAATAAGGCTGGGTTTCCAACAGAATATGAAAAAAATAAAAACATTTCAATACTAACATCAAAGAAAAGATCATCTTTAGTCTCTCTTCATCTTTGATATTTTAAAGTTTCCAAATGTTGTGGTTGGAATTGACAATTTCTAGACAGTCATTACTGTCAAGATGAGACAAGCTGTAGAGGAAAACATTCAAACTTAGTATGTTTTTTAAGGTAACATTTACTGAGCTCTTACTGTGAACGAAGCATTTTGCTAGGGCATTAAACCTCTGAAAGTCATGTACAGTTTTGATGCCCATTTTAGAGATGAGGAGACTGAGGCTTAAAGCTAGAGACTTAAATGTTATAAAGATAAGGCAGCATAATTAGGCCACGGTCACTGAGCTAGTAGTAACTGGTAGAGCTGTGATTTGTAGGCAAATATTCTAATTTCCAGAGCTCCCTTTCTTACCCATTCTGCTCTATTTTCCATCTCCATCTTTGTCACTTTTCCTACTATAAACTCACCATCAAATTGTTGTCTAACTTGCCATCCACTGACCACATGCTACACTGATCTAGTTAGATAATGATCTAAAAGCTCCCAACTAAATTGTATTCATCCATCAAAGATGTATAAGTTAGGACTGATAATCTGTGCATAACAGAAAACCCGGCCAACACTGGGGTAGAACATTGGTTAAGGGCACACTGCCTGTTCTCAAAGTCCAGCCTTTCGACTTGCTGAGTTACTTGGGTAAATTATTCAACCTTTCCATGCCTCAGCTTCCTTATCTAAGGATTGGGATAACAATGGTAGTCACTGTTTAAGGTTCATATGAGGATTAAATATGAATTCATGTAAACTACCTAGAAAGTGCTAGAAACATTTGCTGTTGTCATTATTTAAACCAATAAACGGATTTAGTTTCTCACATTAAAAAAAAAATCAGAGGTAGGCAGTCCAGGTGGTGCAGCCACATCACAAAGCCAGGAAGGAACTAGGCTCCTTCTGTCTCCCTGCTTGGACATTTCCTGCATGTCAGTTTCATTCTCTGGGATGTAAAATGTAAGTACCTCCTTCGGCATTCCAGACAGAAGAAAGAGGAAAGGCAAGGAACAAAAATGACTTATTCCAGTGGCCTTTGGCTTTTATTCCAGAAGGGAAGGCCTCCCAAAGGGTTTTTCCTACAGCTCATTAGCCACAATGATGTCCTATGGTCATGCTTGCTTCAGTGGAGGGGGGAAGTTTAGTCCTTCATTTTCCTCTCCAGTGGAGGAAGGCAGGGGAGAATGGGACTGGGAATGGGGGTTGAGTGAACTGACCTTCAGTACCGCCCAGCAGGCCCAGCTCAAACCCCACCTACTTGTCTTTCCCAATTATCAACATTACCTAGCCATTTCTTTGGCACTAATTTTTCATTCTTTCTGCCTAGGAACAATACTTTTGCATAGTTGGTTTCTTCTCAACCTTCAGATTCCAGTTAATGTCTTCTCAGAAAGGGATTCTCTAGCCACCCATTGAATATATGTTCCTCCTCTTACTCTCTTAATTAGCACTCTGTTTATTTCCTTTATAATGCTTAATTCAATTTTCAGAGTGAGAGAGAGAATATCTGCTGTATTTCTGATAAGCAGGGCTTTCTCCCCGCCCAAGGTATACAACTATGGCCCTAGTAAGAGGGAAGGGTACTGTCACCTCAGGAAGGAGGATATACTGTGGAAGCTCACATCAGAGAGGACGTGGAAAACCATCCCCTTCCTACTGCAGTAGATAACTGAAAGAATAAAGGAAATGAGCTGGGCGCGGTGGCTCACGCCTGTAATCCCAGCACTTTGGGAGGCCAAGGTGGGCCAAGCTGGGCAGATCACGAGGTCAAGAGATTGAAACCATTCTGGCCAACATGGTGAAACCGTTTCTACTAAAAATACAAAAATTAGCTGGGCATGGTGGCACACACCTGTAGGCCCACCTACTCAGGAGGCTGAGGCAGGAGAATCACTTGAACCAGGGAGTCAGAGGTTGCAGTGAGCTGAGATCTTGCCACTGTACTCCAGCCTGGCAACAGAACGAGATGCCATCTCAAAAAAAAAAGGAAATGAAATTAGAGCTAAGGGGTCAGGCATCAATGCAGATCTGTCCAAGAATATCAGGATTCATGGCCCACCTCTACAGAATAGTCTGAGAAGATGGCAGAGTGCTCAAAGAAATCCCAAGTTCAACATGGCACTATTTTAACTAGGTCAGGCATAGTAATTCCATAGCTGTACAGGGCAGTAGCTAGATGTTGAATGAATGAATTATTCTGAAAGATCATTTTGATGGGATGTGACTATTTTGATGGGAACTGGGATCTTGGCCTCACTACAATATAGCTACAATGTGATGTTTTGCTTCCCTGGAAAGATGATGACCACTTTAAGGCGGAGACAGTCTTTTTCTTCTTTGCATCCCCTTTGGGGCCTCTCACTGAGGCACTTCATGGGTGTGTGTTAATTGATTGAAAATGAGGATGAACATTACAATAACAGAATCAGGAAGAAGCGAAGGAGTATAAGTCCCAAGGTTGCCTGCATTTTTCTTCAGAGTGAGACTTAGAGCTCAGCAGAAAAAGAGAGATACCAGCAGATGTTACAGGCAAATACTGCCTGCTCAATTCTGTGTTTCAGTGCTACTTTAGGATAGAAGAATAGCCTTGAAGGTAATAAGATTCCCAGGGAACTTCTGAGATTTAAAAAATCAGTATTTAACCCTAAGCAATAGGGTTTCATGCTTAAATCATGACTTGTATCATACACATCCTTACCAGGGAACTAAGCTGGTGTCTTGAAATCTTGATTGAACATTTAGGTTTCATTTTGTTTCCCTACCAAAAGATTTACTTGGATTTTTTAAACAAAAATATTTGCTTGGTAGAAATGTAGATGTCGTATTCCTGCATAATAGTGTCATTTTTGTCAAATTTCACAGATATTCAATCGGCAACCAGAATCAGCCCTAGTGCCCTCTTGTTCTAATTGTCCTCTGTATGTTCAGATAGCTCCATTAGGCCACGTGACTCATAGATGCTTCTTTTGGGGATTCACAGTCCTGATTCCACCCCTTGCTATCAGTGTGACCTTGGGACACACAGGAACCTCTCTGATCCAGTTTCCACTCAGGTTAAAGGGACTAACAATACCTGTGCTTGCTGACTTGTGAAAGAATCAGAAGGATGAAATGAGATGTATGTGAAACACTTAGTATGCTGTTAGGTGCTATGTGGATGAAAATTATGTCTTATGATTATTACCATTAGCCTCTGTTTTAGGCCCTTTTTATAGGAAAAGATACTGAGAGCAGAAAAGTCAAATAATTTATCAGGGCTTTGGGTTAAAGATGGCAGACTGAACTCACACTTTTACCTTTGCCTCCTCCTGAAAGCTTAAAATAATAACAATAGAAGGATAAGGGGAAATGTAATTAAGCCATGAAGGCAAAGAATGCAAGAGAAGGCAACAGCAACAGACTTTTGAGAGTCGAAAAGCAGGCAAAAAAAGAGTGGCAACTGACTCAACAGAGCAAGGAAAAACAGATCCATAGCCAGCCAGCATTTGGGAGACCCAAGAAGTGCTCTGATCTGTACACAAGAAGTGCCAGCGGCCTCAGGAATTGGAGCTTAAAGTAGGCTGCAACCAGGAGGATTGGTTAAATTTTTTTTAATGTAGTGAACTGCCCTTCCCCCAAATCATCCTTTGTCCACTTAGCTGAGGCGAGTTGAGGCCTCTTATCCACTCTGACTGAAGATGAGAGGTTAATTCTCTGACAAAGTTTTAACAGAAGGTGTTCCCACTTGTGGAGACTCTGCCACAACTGAGGTTGGGCATGCCCTGTTGAAAATAAGTTTATGTGACAGCGCAAGTGATGGATATTGAAACATCTCAACCCTTCTTTTCACTCACCTCTCAGAACGCTGACAGTCAGCCTTACTTCCAACTATGTGGTCAATTTTGGAATAAGTGTGATGTGGTGCTGAGAAGAATGTATATTCTGTTGATTTGGGGTGGAGAGTTCTGTAGATGTCTATTAGGTCCACTTGGTGCAGAGCTAAGTTCAATTCCTGGATATCCTTGTTAACTTTCTGTCTCATTGATCTGTCTAATGTTGACAGTGGGGTGTTAAAGTCGCCCATTATTATTGTGTGGGAGTCTAAGTCTCTTTGCAGGTCTCTAAGGACTTGCTTTATGAATCTGGGTGCTCCTGTATTGGGTGCATATATATTTAGGATAGTTAGCTCTTCTTGTTGAATTGATCCCTTTACCATTATGTAATGGCCTTCTTTGTCTCTTTTGATCTTTGTTGGTTTAAAGTCTGTTTTATCAGAGACTAGGATTGCAACCCCTGCCTTTTTTTGTTTTCCATTTGCTTGGTAGATCTTCCTCCATCCCTTTATTTTGAGCCTATGTGTGTCTCTGAACGTGAGACGGGTCTCCTGAATACAGCACACTGATGGGTCTTGACTCCTTATCCAATTTGCCAGTCTGTGTCTTTTAATTGGAGCATTTAGCCCATTCACATTTAAGGTTAATATTGTTATGTGTGAATTTGATCCTGTCATTATGATGTTAGCTGGTTATTTTCCTCATTAGTTGATGCAGTTTCTTCCTAGCCTCGATGGTCTTTACAATTTGGCATGTTTTTACAGTGGCTGGTACCGGTTGTTCCTTTCCATGTTTAGTGCTTCCTTCAGGATCTCTTGTAAGGCAGGCCTGGTGGTGACAAAAAATCTCTCAGCATTTGCTTGTCTGTAAAGGATTTTATTTCTCCTTCACTTATGAAGCTTAGTTTGGTTGGATATGAAATTTTGGGTTGAAAATTCTTTTCTTTAAGAATGTTGAATATTGGCCCCCACTCTCTTCTGGCTTGTAGAGTTTCTGCTGAGAGATCAGCTGTTAGTCTGTTGGGCTTCCCTTTGTGGATAACCCGACCTTTCTCTCTGGCTGCCTTAACATTTTTTCCTTCATTTCAACTTTGGTGAAGGTAATTTATAGATTCAATGCCATCTCCATCAAGCTACCAATGACTTTCTTCACGGAATTGGAAAAAACTACTTTAAAGTTCATATGGAACTAAAAAAGAGCCCACATAGCCAAGACAATCCTAAGCCAAAAGAACAAAGCTGGAGGCATCATGCTACCTGACTTCAAACTATACTATGAGGCTACAGTAACCAAAACAGCATGGTACTGATACCAAAACAGAGATATAGACCAGTGGAACAGAACAGAGCCCTCAGAAATAATACCACACATCTACAACCAGCTGATCTTTGACAAACCTGACAAAAACAAGAAATGGAGAAAGGATTCCCTATTTAATAAATGGTGCTGGGAAAACTGGCTAGCCACGTGTAGAAAGCCGAAACTGGACCCCTTCCTTACACCTTATACAAAAATTAATTCAAGATGGATTAAAGACTTACATGTTGGACCTAAAACCATAAAAACCCTAGAAGAAAACCTAGGCAATACCATTCAGGACACAGGCATGGGCAAGGACTTCATGTCTAAAACACCAAAAGCAATGGCAACAAAGGCCAAAACTGACAAATGGGATCTAATTAAACTAAAGAGCTTCTGCACAGCAAAAGAAACTACCATCAGAGTGAACAGGCAACCTACAGAGTGGGAGAAAATTTTTGCAATCTACCCATCTGACAAAGGGCTAATACCCAGAATCTACAAAGAACTTAAACAAATTTACAAGAAAAAAACAACCCCATCAAAAAGTGGGCAAAGGATATGAACAGACACTTCTCAAAAGAAGACATTTATGCAGCCAACAGACACATGAAAAAACGCTCATCATCACTGGCCATCAGAGAAATGCAAATCAAAACCACAGTGAGATATCATCTCACACCACTTAGAATGACGATCATTAAAAAGTCAGGAAACAACAGGTGCTAGAGAGGATGTGGAGAAATAGGAACACTTTTACACTGTTGGTGGGTCTGTAAACTAGTTCAACCATTGTGGAAGACAGTGTGGTGATTCCTCAAGGATCTAGAACTAGAAATACCATTTGACCCAGCCATCCCATTACTGAGTACATACCCAAAGGATTATAAATCATGCTGCTATAAAGACACATGCACATGTATGTTTATTGCGGCACTATTCACAATAGCAAAGACTTGGAACCAACCCAAATGCCCATCAATTATAGACTGGATTAAGAAAATGGCACAGATACACCATGGAATACTATGCAGCCATAAAAAGGATGAGTTCATGTCCTTTGTAGGGACATGGATGAAGCTGGAAACCATCATTCTCAGCAAACTATCACAAGGACAGAAAACCAAACACTGCATGTTCTCACTCATAGGTGGGAACTGAACAATGAGAATACTTGCACACAGGAAGGGGAACATCACACACCGGGGCCTGTCATGGGGTGCGGGGAGTGGGGAGGGATAGCATTAGGAGATATACCTAACGTAAATGATGAGTTAATGGGGGCAGCACACCATCATGGCACATGTATACATATGCAACAAACCTGCACGTTGTGCACATATACCCTAGAACTTAAAGTATAATAATAATAAAAAAAGAAAAGAATGCTGACAGTCAGCCTTTTCCCCTCCACATACATCAAAAATCAAGAAGCAGAAATACCATTTGACCCAGCAATCCCATTAGTAGGTATATAACCAAAGGAATATAAATCATTCTATTATAAAGAATGAACACATATGTGTTCATTGCAGCACTATTCACAATAGCAAAGACATAGAATCAACCCAAATGCCTATCAACGACAGACTGCATAAAGAAAATGTGCTACGTATACCCCATGGAATACTATGCAGCAATAAAAAGAAACAACATCAGCCAGGTGCAGTGGCTCACGCCTGTAATCCCAGCACTTTGGGAGGCCGAGGTGAGCAGATCACGAGGTCAGGAGATAGAGACCATCCTGGCTAACTGGTGAAACCCTGTCTCTACTAAAAATACAAAAAATTAGCCATGCGTGGTGGTACCGCACATATAATCCTAGCTACTCGGGAGGCTGAGGCAGGAGAATCTCTTGAAACTGGGAGGCAGAAGTTGCAGTGAGCCAAGATCACACCACTGCACTCCAGCTTGGGCGACAGAGCGAGACTCTGTCTCAAAAAAAAAAAAAAGAAAGAAAGAAATGACATCATATCCTTTGCAGGGACATGGATGGAGCTGGAAGCCGTTACCCTCAGCAAACTAATGCAGGAACTGAAAACCAAATACCACATGGTGTCACTTATAAGTGGGAGCCGAATGATGAGAGCACATGGACACATGGTAGGGCACAACACACCCTGGGGCCTGTCAGGGGGTTGCGGGGAGAGAGAGGATCAGAAAGAATAGCTAATGGATCCTGGGCTTAATACCTAGGTGATGGGTTGATCTGTGCAGCAAGTCACCATGGCACATGTTTACTTATGTAACAAACCTGCACATCCTGCACAGGTACCCCAGAACTTAAAATAAAATTTGATGAAAAAAATAAAATAAAATAATGCCCACTTTTAAATATGAGTAGAAAACCAGAGACCCTGCCCCCACAAGAAAACTGAGGAAAATCCCTAATAAAAAATAAATATGGCCAGGTGCAGTGGCTCACATCTGTAATCCCAGCACTTTGGGAGCCCGAGGCAGAAGGATCACTTGAGCCCACGAGTTTGAGAGCAGGCTGGCCTACACAGTGAGACCTCCATCTCTAAAAAAGATTTTTTTTTAATTGGCCAGGGGTGATGGCATATGCCTGTGGTCTTAGCTACTCAGGAGGCTGAGGTGGGATGATCTGAGCCAAGGAGGTCTAGGTTGCAGTGAGTCGTGATTGTATCACAGCACTCCAGCCTTGGTGACAGAGAGAGACCCTGTCTCAAAAAAAGTATAGAATTTGGGATACAAGAGATTCAACATAATAGAGGCAAAAAAAGTTCTCAGGTATTATAATATACGGGTGAGAGCTGTGCAGAAAAGTTAGTGAAAACTGGATAGGATCAGAGGATCCATGAGAGACGTCATCACGAAGATGAAATTGACAGAATACTTAATACACTAGGCATACTATGAGGAGATATAAATATTTGTGGGTAGAATTCAGAATGAATTGGTGGTAGAAATTAGATGCTTAGCAACTTAAGCCAGCAAAAAACAAGTCTATTATTAACCTAAAATGTTAGGAAGGAAAGGAAATGTTATCACCTTATACAATAGTATCTCAGCTGTGAACAGCATTAGTTGTCATAATAATGTTAACAATGAATATTTCTCTGACCAAAAGTATCATACAACTCTATTGAGAGGACAGAAGTGTGGTGTTTCTGCAGTATGGGAGTGGTTGTGGTGAGGGGTGGTAGAAAAATAAAGAGCTGAATTCTCATCTCCCAAGGTGGGAGTCAATGGCAAAGTCCTAAATTAACAGTATAAACATGACAGTTAGAGATATGAAGGTCAATACCAACGTAAATGGCCAACAAAGTTGAAGGTGACTATCTCTCAGAAGGGGAAATGCATATGTGTGTGTTTGGGTTGTGGATACTGCATTCATTACTAGAGATTTTGTACATATGTAACTTTAATACAACTATAAACTAAATTTCCTAAAAAGTCAACTAAATTGCCAAACTACATTTTTGGCACAAGGGACAAAATTATAAGTTCTCACCTTGAATTTTTTCTTTGTTCATTGGATTATACAACTTGCCCCATTTCTAAGCACTCAAGGTACTGAATCTACAAATGAACAGTGGCCAGAATATATATAAAAATATAACTTTGATGCACAATCTCCTGCAACCAGCTGGGGAAGCCAAATAGTTTTCTATGTTAACCAGTCCGTGAAAGCAGCCTGATGTAACTCTGACCTATAGGAAATCGGACTACTCTCTCTAGCAACCGGTACAGGAAATTAAAAAATAACGTCTGTAGCATTCAGCCCCAAAAGTCCAGAACTTGATTAATAACTGACAGCTTTCCTAATTTTTGTCCCTCCTTCCAACTTAGGATCAATCAGAGAAAGCCAAATATACAACCCAAACCAATCACATAGGATGCTCTGCTCCCAGTGAGCAGCCTCCAATTTCCCTGGCCAGTGGCCTCCAATCAGAGCACACCTGGAGCCTGCCTTTTCTCCACTATAAAGTCTTCCCACTCCTCTCCCTGCCTTTGAGTCTTGGCAAAATACAAGTGATGGTGGCCGACTCCTTTCCTATAACAGGCTCTGTATAAATATCTTTTGCTTGTTCTCATTTGGTTGGTCTTCATTTACTTCTGCATACTATTTTTAGGTATTGCAAATTTTTAAAGATTGAGAACCATTTGATTTGTCAAAAATTGATGCCACTAAACCAATGATTCAAGTTCAAGAAGATTTAATAATTTCCTGAAAAAAATCCTTACATTTATCCACTCACATGTTGCCTTCTATTTCCATGTGCAAAGTGCTACACTGGGTATTACAGAAAATACAAAAATAAATTAGATGATTTGAGTATTTCACTTAATTGGATTTAATAATTTCAGAGTTTCTTAAATTCAGATAATCAAAGTTATCTTACGTTTAGGAACTCGAAGCTATATTCATACTTTTAAGAAAATGGAACATAATTTTAAAAAGCAAGTTGCCAAAACGAGAGATCAAGTTGTACTTTGTTTTGTTTTGTTTTTGAGACGGAGTCTCGCTCTGTCCCCCAGGCTAGATTGCAGTGGTGCTCTCTTGGCTCACTGCAACCTCTGCCTCCTGGATTCAAGCGATTCTCCTGCCTCAGCCTCCTGAGTAGCTGGGACTACAGGCACCCACCACCACGCCTGGCCAATTTTTGTATTTTTAGTAGAGACGGGGTTTCACCATGCTGGCCAGGCTGGTCTCAAACTCCTGACCTTGTGATCCACACACCTCAGCCTCCCAAAGTGCTGGGATTACAGGCGTGAGCCCCGGGTCCCAGCCGTACTTTGGTATTTTTTATTTTACATTTTCTCTCACATAGTCCAGTTGAAATTTTCTTACTTAACTATCTTGGCGTATGTCTAAAATTTGCTTTTTTTTTCCCCCCTTGAAATCTTATGTTAACTACTACAAATGCAAATATTAAGTGTATTTCATTTACCCACCAAATTGAACTGAATTTAAAACTGAATTGCAGATGTCCCATGAAGGGGCACAAATATGATTATGGAAAATTATTCTATTGAAAATAACAGTAGTTTTTATAGTGATATAAATCTGAGAAAGCGAAATAAATTGAGGTTGGAGAAACAGATGTATTCAATAAAAAACTACTGTGTGCACGTGATGAACTAGTCTTTAGCAAGATTTGAATAATGCAATCAGTAGGAATTTGGCTGGCCTGTGGAGTTTTCAAAGGCATGGATGTTCCAATAATAGCTGGAAATTTGTTGTGGACACGAGGCCATTAAGCCTGTCTCCTGCTGCATTCAATATAGTGGTAAAAACTATTATTAAATAACTGATTTTATAGCAACTGTTACAATTATTTGTCCAAAGTATAAATTAAAGTTTATGATGGAAGCAAATGTACATCTTAAAATGTATAATGCTAATTTAGGTTCCTTTCTCATTTTAAAATAACTACTCATATGAAAGAACAGTGACTACCAAAATAAGAGCAAATTAATAAGGCTGACAGGAAGACTTATCGAAAGTGTAAAACATTAAATGTGCCTTTACTTTTCAAACACAGAATCCTACAATTATCAGGGGTCTCGTCCCTCGCTGAGTGCACACAACTTCCATTAGCAGTAATGGCCGTGACGCAATGAAACCCCGAGAAACAATTAAGGAGCACAAATGACAGATCTGGTCCCCGAGCCTCCTGTGTCACGTGTTGACACCCACCACACCTGGTGAGGCAGAACCGTAACTGACTAACCTACTGATGTCAGTCAGTCTTTCTAACCGTTGCTTCTACCGGCATCATTTCCTCCCTTGAAGCCCCTGAAATCAAACTTGTCAATTTATAAAAGACAAAATGCTTTAGTAAATGAAAAGCCTCACACTTAGACATGAGAAAAGCTTTTCTGGTGCCAGGATAGGAACTGATCCCATTTTCTTTCCCTAGTTTGTTCCCTGCATCAGAGTGATTTCAAACTTGGAAAGCCTTTTATCACTGAAGCTTTTTAGAAATGATGGATTCCCAGGCCCTGCCCTATGTTTACAGAGTCTCTGAGGCTGGGAGTTGGCAGTGCATTTCCTAAAGACCTTCATGAGATTGGGGGCTGGGGTGTGAGCAGGGTTTGAGAAGCAGTAGCACTACCCTGTAATATTTAACTCAGTATTCAGCAAAAAGTAAGCATATAATACGTATTTGAGGATAAAACAATTTTAAGGAGGATTATAAAATATATTTTTATATATACATTATACATTATATATACATAAATATGTATATTATATATAATATAGACATATATATTCCTGAAAATTCTCAGGAACAACTTGACTCTACCTTTGACTAAAAGTAAATATTCATAGTAATAAAATGCACATATGGGTATTCCAGAGCATTGAGTTTAAATAAAAAATATTAAAAGTCCCTAAGATTGTTAATAGACCCAATGTGAGATACATATAAAACACACACACACAACGCGTGTATGTGTGCGCACACACACAGTTATTTGGAAAATGAAAATTTTTAGGAGCATAGAAGAGTTGGAAGCCACTCTAGAAGTCATATAATCTAGGTTTTTTTTAAAAATAATCTGTTTGATCATCATAATCATCTGGGGAGATTTGTGGAAGGATCATTTACGAAAATCTCCTCCCTAACTACTGAATCTAAATTTCAGAGAGGGGCCCTAGGACTCCGTATGGTTTAAAATTTTGAAAACACATACCATGACTCATGTGGGAATACTAATTTTTCTTCCCAAGAGTCCTTGTTCTTTCAGTGCTTCCTTGGATGGTGTGGCTTCCTGCCATTGATCATCTGGTCACTGTCCTTTGAACAAATCCGTCTGCCTGTTTCTCACTGAAAGCACAGAGGCAGGTGTGGAGTTGAGAGGTGGCATCTTTCCCCAGATTCTGGACTGTGGTCTACCAGAGCACCAAGATCCAGTTAACTATTTGGCAATGTTTTTACATTTTTGGCTGATATTGATCTAGCAAGCAGTTAACCAAAAATGTTGGGTTTTGTTTGTTTGTTTTGAAAGTATTGTTAAGCCATAGTTTCCCCATCTTTTGTTTGTGAATTTGAATGTTAACCTAGGGCAGAGGCCACTTAAGGTTGGTCTTATTAGATTTAGTTCAAGATCCAGGTTTTCGGGTTCATTTTGGATTTAATCTTTTAATATGTTAATCTGTGTCTCCCCCAGCTAGTGTCATGCTTGGATTTGTAAACAAGCCACTTCTGGCCTTACTGAAGTTATTAAGAAACACATTAAAGGAAAGAGAGGTGTAGGCACATCCCTAAAGACCCCTTTCTGCATGAACAATAGTTGTCGCCCTCTTCGATCGAGTTTTCACCTGGCCACACACCTGCCACATGTCTAACCATTCAGCCCAGGCTTCCCCATCTTGTTAATAGAAACTCCATAAGAAAGGCTTGTAAAGCTGCCTTCCTTGAAATTAAATCTTGAAACCTACGTTATTTAACATTACCCCAAATCTCTGTATCTGCAAGGTATATTTTATTTTATATGCTCAGAATATTTCATGTGAAAAATTTAGCTGTCAATAGATGCATTTCCCCATTTCACAACCTATCTCTTCTTAAAATTTTCTTTTCATAGAAACAGCTTTACCAAAGTAAAATTTCTTACGAGATTCTTTTTTCTAAATTTCCACCAACATACACTGTCACCTTTCGTGACAAGCTTCTAGCTGGTCCAAAGGCCACAGTGTCTGACAGTAATTTGCCAAGGTACCACATTTCAATTGCTTCAGCACATTTCAATTAGGAGACCTTTGAGGTGAGAAAAAAAGAGAAATGGAGTGGGAGTCAGGTGATGCTAAAAGAAAAACAAGATGAAAGGCCAGGATAAGGAACATCTTTGGACAATGGAAAGAGGAAAAATAAACCTCACAAGAATTCTCAGGAAGACCTGGACTCTGTCTTCGACTCAAAGTAACTGTTCATAAAATGCACATGTGGGTATTCCAGAGCATTGGGTTTAAATACAAAATTTCCAAAATCCCTAAGATTATGAATGGACCTAATGTGAGTACTTTTCCAGAAGTTTTAGTCTAATAGTGAAGATGTAACTTATATTAGGCTTTATGTTTGCAAAAAGAAAAACAAAAAACGTCTTAAGCAAGAAAGGGAATTTACTGGCTTACGTAATTTGTAGTCCAGACATTGGCCTCACTTCGGTCGGCTTGAATCCTACAATGATGTCATCAGGCCCCTGTTTCTCTCTGTCTTGCTTATCTACTTTCTCCCTCTGCTGATCCTATTTGCTGGTAGGTACTCTCCTGTTAATAGCAATATATCTGCAGACTCACACAGTCAGAGCCCACATCCAGAATAAAAGAAACAATATTTCGTCTCATTAATTCTGCCTAAGTATAATTAGTTGAATAACAGTCACCCAAAGATATCAAGTTCTAATCCTGGAACAAGCAAATGCTACCGTATGAGGAAAAAGCAGTCTTCAAAGATGTGATTACTTTAAGATTCTTGACCTGGGAGATTTAATCTGAATATTGCAGATGTCCCCCAAATGCAATCACAAATGTCTTTATAAGAGAGAGGCAGAGGGAGACCCCACACACAGAACAGGAGGAGGCAGTGTGACTATTGAGGCAGAGATAGGAGTGATGGGGCCACAAGTAAAGGAATGCCTGCAGCCAACAGAATTAGCAAGGAACAGACTCTCCCCTAGAGCCCCTGGAGGGAGCGTGGCCCTCTGACAACTTGATTTTGGCTCCTTAAAACAGATTCCAGACTCCTGGCCTCCAGAAATGCAAGGGAATAATTTCAGTTACTTTATGCCACCAAGTTTGTGGTAATTTGTTGCAGCAGCCCCAGGAAATTAATACACCAGGTAATGTGAATGGTGCTGATTTGAAAACCTGAGTCACAGGGCTACTTCTGAGCCAATCGCTGCATACTGACAAGGTGGGACTGGGTTATAGCAGGCGGAGAGGTTCCCCAAAAGGAAGGCATAACTGGAAATAGATGCAGGTAGGACGAGGGGACAAAAAAAAAAAAAAAAAAAAAACAGCAGATCTTCATTTCCTGTTTCAGAGAAAACAGAAAAGTTCAAAGTTAACATTTATATGCAAGAATATTATAGTGTTATGGAACTTGAGCTTTTGTGTAGCTGTGATGATATTGCCGAGCAGCATATTATCAGGATGCACTGAGTTAATCAGGAACCACTTGCTAGGAGCAGATTTGTTTTTATTGCTGATCACTGGAACTTCTCCAAGTCTGGCACATCTCTTTTTGGAAAAGTTGTATGTTAAGATCACACATACAATTCTAAATATAAAAAAAGTGCTGTGTTATTAGGCTAGGGTAGTAATTTGTATTTATTTTCTAACATTTTTCATAATTATGTCTAAAATAATGTATTAACAGTGTTTGCTACAGTAAAAGCTATGCCAGAGTTTACGGAGTGAAGTCTATAGCCCTTTCCACACCTCTCCTTGGATTCTAACTCAGTGGCCCATGAAGGCTGTGCTCCAGGATGGCTCTGCCTCTTGTGCGGGCTTTGGCCTTGGGTAACTTACACTTTCCAATGTCAGATTCTTTATATGTAAAATGAGTATAAATGACTTTGCAGCATTTGTTTTGAGGATTATGTTTAAAAAAAAAATGTGTGACAGCATCTAACAGGGTGCCCAGCACAAAGTAAGATGCTAGAAATACTCTATTGTGAATCCATAATCCAATAAGCACAGTTTACCTCATTATTCCCTACATTTGTCTGCTTATGCTTACCAACACTGAAGCTCTTTCAATGGCTCATTTCTGCTTTAAAAGATCTGCTTGTAGCTTCCACTTGGCTCAGCATGTTGGTGCGCAGAGGAGCCTGATGTCAGGTGTGCGCTGGATGTCTTAGCATGTTCTCTCCCTTTTCAAACCTTTGTAAAATGTAAAATAAGATCAGTGTCAGTTCTGAGTCATGCAGGACTAAACCTGCTTATTTATTCCAAAACTGTTTTAGATGCTAATAAGATTTTTTTAATATGACCAGGTATCACAGCCCACCTCCCCAACCTGAGATAGCTCATTTGCCTTTGTTGTGAAACTGTCAGACTTTATTTTGAAGATTCAAATTAATAGGATCTATTAGTTATTTCTCAGCTTTTTCATTATTTACTCTAAAAAGCTGTAGTAGATAAGTCAGGCATAATCTCCCTTTTGGACATTTTGCTGGAGGGAAGAGGAAAGCGAGCATCGCTTGATGCATACGGAAGAGCAATCCCTAGTTGGGGACACATCAGCCTTGTCTCTTGTTCCTGTGAGCCAGTGATCTGCCTCTGGACTAGTCGGCAACGCAGCAGCAGCTCTGAGTTCCCAGGGACATTTGGGAAATCTCTGGCCAGGTTGGGCAGGTTTGGGGGGTTTGTATTACTTCATCTTTGCCCAGGAAATTTTAGAATTCAGTTTCAGGGATCTCAAAATCGTTTGATTGCTAGCCTTTGTTCTTTAATGAATATCTGCTTATATTCATGGTAGCTGTCATTCCAAACATTATAAACCACATCTAAAATAAATTTTACTGGGCTTCAGGGGCTTGGGGAGAAATAGAGATGAAATATAGAGAGATGACTTTTATAGATATAATTTAAACGTTTGCTAAAATTTAAATAATGGAAGCTTACTATTTAATGAGGAATTTTATCTACTTTGCATATATAATTTATAGCTTGTTGCGTATCACAAGATCTCACTCATCCTACAGGAATACTTTGCATTCTGGAAATAGGTATACTAAAACCCCAAAGCATTAGAAGTAGTGGTATTATGAACAACTTTTCATCTCTTCTTTTTTCCTAGGCACATTTCCTTAAAATTCTACATTTAATAAATGTTATGTTCATAACATGAAATATTTTGATTAATGCTTTAAAAAAATAAGAGCTTTAAAACAGAAATAGCATAACATTAAGTATTTTGATTAATGCTTTAAAAAATTAACTTTAAACAGAAACAGCAATCATGAATATGCAGCATAATGTTAGTCTTTATAGGTTAAAGCTGGAAACATATCTAATAGCAGAAAATTGTTTAATTAAAGTCTCATACATGGGTATGAGTAGAATGCAATGATCCCTTACTTAATAAGTATTTTCATTCACTTTGGGGGGAGGGAGGAAACACACTTTAAAAATTTACACAAATTTTTCTGATTATCTTGTTTTTTCATCGTTTGGTCAACAAACCATCCATTTGATTCAATTCCAATCTTCACCAAAAACTAGTACCTTCCATCTAGAACCCAGATGGAAGGCTCACATTATGAGAAGCAAGAATGATGGTAATTAAAAGAACACCAATTTACATTATCAGGGGCCTCTTCTGAAAGTCTGACATTACTACAAACAGCCAACTTGAGACTTAGATGAAAGGGTCCTTTAAATGGCGTGGAATTAATATTGTATATATCCAGAAGTATCTGGAATTTGCAAATTGATGTGAACATGATAGGGTAGAATTTCTGCAAGTATTTTATCTCTGAGGTTGGATAATAAAAATATGGTTCTAATAAAAAAGCAGGCAAAACTCCTTCAGGACAAAAAGTGATTGTATCAAGCACTGTGAATGATTGTAAAATGTGGGAACTCAATATGACCGGCGGTGGCTCACGCCTGTAATCCCAGCACTTTGGGAGGCCGAGGCGGGCAGATCACAAGGTCAGGAGATCGAGACCATCCTGGCTAACACGGTGAAACCCCGTCTCCACTAAAAATACAAAAAATTAGCCAGGCGTGGTGGCAGGCGCCTGTAGTCCCAGCTACTCCTGAGGCTGAGGCAGGAGAATGGCGTGAACCCGGGAGGCAGAGCTTGCAGTGAGCAGAGATCGTGCCACTGCATTCCAGCCTGGGTGACAGAGCAAGACTCCGTCTCAAAAAAAAAAAAAAAGATTTACCAAAGCAGTTCCGAAGGTTAAGTCCATTTCTCATGAATGAGTGACCACTCATGTGGTCACCTCATGGCGATCACCAAGTGATCAACCTGATGAAAAGGAGAGCTCTGCCTCCACCGAGGGTTCTCCTCAGGTTGTTGTCCTGGTGGCTGGGTAGAGGAATGCCCTGCTCTAGGAAGGAAGTTATCCAATGTGGTAGGAATCCAGGACCATGACTAGAGGGACAGAATCAGCCAGTTGCAAGGCACAGATAAAGACCTAGCCACGGTGATTAAAGTTTGCAGATAATCTAGGCTTTGCTACTTGAAGGCAGAATAGACCAAAGTGACAAATGTTTATACCCTATCTCCTTAAGTCTTCAAACACTACAAATAATGAGTGAGCAGAACTGAAAAGTTACAGAGCATAAATGGAACCAATACTTAATGGAATATTTATTTTCTACTTAGCCCCAATGTAAAAATTAAAGTTATATTAAAAGTACTGATGACAGTCAAAGTTTAATGTTTATAAATTTTACTTTGCTTTAGTATAGATATTTTTTAATGTTTCTGATATTTTATCCCTTTTTTTTTGTTTTGTTTTGTTTTGTTTTGAGACAGAATCTTGCTCTGTCGCCCAGGCTGGAGTGCAGTGGCTCGATCTTGGCTCACTGCAAGCTCCACCTCCCGGGTTCACGCCATTCTCCTGCCTCAGCCTCCCAAGTAGCTGGGACTACAGGCGCCCGCCACCACGCCTGGCTAATTTTTTGTATTTTTTAGTAGAGACAGGGTTTCACTGTGTTAGCCAGGATGGTCTCGATCTCCTGACCTCATGATCCACCCGCCTTGGCCTCCCAAAGTGCTGGGATTATAGGCATGAGCCACCGCACTCGGACCCCTATTTTATCCCATTTTTATACCAAGAAACTAAAGATAGGCATGCCCATTTATGCCATTATTTTTAGATAATATACATAAAAATTACAATTAGATACATCATATACTGTATTCTTGCCTTTTCCACTTGTTCTCACCTGAAAAATCTACTCAGTCGTCTGTGTAACCAAAACTAGGCCTCGTCATTCACCCAAAGAGAGTCTGGGCCACATATCAGAAATGGAGTGTAGTTAATCTTTCTTGTTTTATCAGTGTGGTCTCTAAGCCAGCAAGCCCCTTAGGAAGGGATCTAAGTAATTCATTCACTGTGCTCTTTTTAATCAAAACTAAAAGACTCAGGCTTAGAGAGAATGGCACAGAATTTTTAACCCACTCTGGCTACTCTTTACATTGTTCTTACAACCTTTCTACCAACTCAGAATCTATGCTACTTCATCAGAGCTGCAAGCCAGAAGACATTGGATGTGACATAAAAGTTCATAGTAACATGAAGAAAAATCTCCATTTGGCCATAGTTCCAAAGAGAAGCTTCTATTTAGTTTAAATATTAAAGGATATTAAACTTGGCTTCCCCATCTACCACATCTATAAAATACACATTTCCAGGCCAGGCACAGTGGTTCATGGCTGTAATTCCAGCACTTTGGGAGGCCAAGACAGATCACTTGAGGTCAGGAGTTCAAGACCAACCTGGCGAAACCCTGTCTCTACTCAAAATACAAAAGTTAGCCAGGTGCGGTGATAAGCGCCTGTAATCCCAGGTTCTCAGGAGGCTGAGGTGGGAGAATCACTTGAACCCCGGAGGCGGAGTTTGCAGTGAGCCCATATAGCGCCACTGCACTCCAACCTGGGTGACAGAGTGAGACTCTTCCCCCCCACAAAAAAAAAGAAGACACACTTCCATATTAACTTATCTTTTATGACTTTAGGTCATATTCTTTATTACTGAAATAGGTCCAGAATTACAGAACTGGTCCTAGGGAGGATCTTTATTTCTTCCTAGGGACAGAGTCTAGAACTCATATAGGGGCTTCCAGCTACAGATGGACAGAAACATCTTCAAGGCCTGTTTCAGGGATGAGTAACAGAGAAGCTCACAAATCTACCACTGAGTACATCTGCTTCCTCACGCTTCAGTTTTTCTCTAGTCTGTTGTCCACAGTCCCTTACCTTCTCTTTTCTCTCCTCATCCACGTGGCTCTGAATCAGTTTTTACCTCACAGGCATAGCTAGAATTAGTCTTCATTGCTGGGAGTGCTTGTGACTGACTCTCCCCTAAGTAAGTGATGACTATTTTTTATTTTTACTTTATTTAATTTAATTTTATTTATTTATTTATTTTTTTAAAGACAGAGCCTCACTCTGTCACCCAGGCTGGAGTGCAGTGGCACGATCTTGGCTCATTGCAACCTCCGCCTCCAGGGTTCAAGCAATTCTCCCTCCTCAGCCTCCCAAGTAGCTGGGATTACAGGGGCACACCCTCATGCCCAGGTAATTTCTGTATTTTTAGTAGAGATGGGGTTTTGTCATGTTGGCCAGGCTGGTCTCAAATTCCTGACCTCAGGTGATCCGCCCACCTCAGCCTCCCAAAGTGCTGGGATTACAGGTGTGAGCCACCAGGCCAGGCCACTCTTTTTTAATTGTTTAATTTCTTCAGGGAGACAGAACTTTATTTTCATTAAAACTTTGAAATCATCAAACAAATGAAAGGCAAAATCAGAGGATTTCTCTTTTATTATTTAATGTTATTACTTTTTGGAGGAAATCACATCCATTTCATCCTTTCTTTTTAAAAGTTCCTACTCTCTGTCTAAATATTGGGTTTTCACATAAAGATGACCATTGTAGCAGAAGACACATATATACATACAAATAACAGTAATTCAGAATGAAAAGTGATCTAAAAGAGGCATGACCAAGCACTATTGAACAAAAAGAGGGAGAAGTTAACATTACTGGAAGGAGGACAGAATAAATGAGAAAGCCAAAGCGTGGCAATTGAGGTAGGCCTTAAAGAATGGTTAGGGATATTTACATTACTATTTATCTTTGTATTTCTCTGATGTCAACATTACATATATACAACATATATGTGTATATGTGTGACAGAATATAAATAGTCAGATTTTAAATGTAAAATCTGAACAGTTCAAATGTAAAATCTGAACTGTTCTGTTTTTATCTTCCCTATTTTGCTGCACTAGAGGAATGAAACGAAAAAATTTTCCTCCTCTCATGGCAGATTAAACCCTCCCTCATCTCGAGGAAAGGGTCACTAGTTTCAGGGATTGCCAATGATTCAGGCTCTTCAGACAGTGAGCCACCAGATATGCTGTGAAAGCTCACCAGGCAGGATTGGATTAGAGCGAAAAGCCTGTGCTCTAAAGAGGGACTGGGCACTCCCTAACTGGGAGGGCACACATGCTCAGGGTTTCCAGGGCAAAGAGGACCTTCTTCCTATGCCCTGGGACTCCCTGGGGAGGTGACAGAATTCCAGAGAAGCTATATGGTATATCTTCTATGTGGTAGATTATAGAGTGTGTATTAACCATGTCTTTTAAATCTATATTTTTAATTATCTGACATCTTGAGGCCTTGCTGACTGGGAACATCTGGATTTCCAGGCAGAAGTGTGCTGCACAGGTGGAGTCCTTATGGAGAACCTGTGCCAGGTCAGTGCAGAAGGGAAATGTAGGGTTGGAGCCCCCACACGGAGTCCCCACTGGGCCACTGCCTAGTGGAGCTGTGAGGAGAGGGCTACCATCCTCCAGACCCCAGAATTGTAGATCCCTCAACAGCTTGCACCATGTGCCTGAAAAAGCGGCAGGCACTCAATGCCAACGCATGAAGGAGCTGCCCAAGGCTGTGGGAGCCACCCCTTGCTTCAGCATGCCCCAGATGTGAGACATGGAGTCAAAGGAGATCATTTTGCAGCTTTAAGATTTAATGACAGCTGGGTTTCAGACTTGCATAGGGCCTGCATTCCCTTTGTTTTGGCCAATTTCTCCCATTTGGAATGAAAGCATTTATCCAATGCCTGTACTCCATGGCGTCTTGGAAGTAAATAACTTTCTTTTGATTTTACAGGCTCATAGGCAAAAGGAAACTGCCTTGTCTCAAATGAGACTTTGGACTGTGGACTTTGGGTTAATGCTAAAATGAGTTAAGACTTTGGGGGACTGTTGGGAAGGCATGATAAGTTTTGAAATGTGAAAAGACTTGAGATTTGGGAGGGGCCAGGGACAGAATGATGTGTTGGCTCTGTGTCCCCACCCAAATCTCATCTCACGTGTAATTCCCACATGTCGAGGGAGGGAGGTGATTGGATCATGGGGGCGGTTTCCTTTATGCTGTTCTCATAATAATGAGTGAGTTCTCATGAGATCTGATGGGTTGTTTTTTGTTTTTTGTTTTTTTGTTTTTTTGAGACAGAATTTCACTTTTGTTGCTCAGGCTGGAGTGCAATGGTGTAATCTCTGCTGACTGCAACCCCCGCCTCCCAGGTTCAAGCAATTCTCCTGCCTCAGCCTCCTGAGTAGCTGGGATTACAGGCGTCCACCACCACGCCTGGCTAATTTTTTGTATTTTTAGTAGAGATGGGGTTTCACCATGTTGACTAGGCTGGTCTCAAACTCCTGACCTCAGGTGATCCAACCGCCTTGGCCTCCCAAAGTGCTGGCATTACAGGTGTGAGCCACCACACCTGGCTGATCTGATGGTTTTATAAGTGTTTAGAAGTTCCTCCTTCATTCTTCTCTCTCCTGCTGCCTTGTGAAGAAGGTGCCTGCTTCCCCTTCCACCATTATTGTAAGTTTCCTGAGGCCTCTCAAGCCATGCAGAACAGTAAGTCAATTAAACCCCTTCCTTTATAATTACCCAGTCTCAGGGAAGTTCTTTATAGCAGTGTGAAAACAGACTAATAAACTGACCCTGCAGGGACTGACTCTCCCAGGGCTAGCCAATTCCTAAAGATAGTAAATGACTCACCTGCAGGCATATCTTTCATATGCCAACTGTTCCCTATCATCCTGAAGCAGCTGGGTTGACAAAATGGTGGAATGGGTCACAGTTACACCACCAACTAGGTGACAGTACTTTACAGGGCCGGGAGCAAATTTCTCCAGAAGGCTGTGTATGCTGTGTATCAGTGTCCCATATGTGGTACTGTTTCTCCCATAGCCAGGATTCATGGGTCCGGGAATCAAGGGGTGGAAGTGGAAGTGGCACCACTTACCATCACCCCTAGTGACCCACTAGCAAAATTTTTGCTTCCCGTTCCTGTGACATTACATTCTGCTGGCCTAGAGGTCTTAGTTTCAGAGGGAGGGATGCTGCCACCAGGAGACATAACAATGATTCCATTAAACTGGCAGTTAAGATTGCCACCTAGCCACTTTGAGTTCCTCCTATCTCTAAGTCAGTGGGCTAAAAAGGGAGTTACAGTGTTGGCTGGGGTGATTGACCCAGACTATCAAGATGAAATCAGTCTACTACTCCACTCTGGAAGTAAGGAAGAATAGGCGTGGAATATAGGACACCCTAAGAGCACTTCTTAGTATTACCATGCCCTGTGATTAAGGTCAATGGGAAGGTACAACAGCTCAATCCAGGCAGACTACAATTGGCCCAGACCCTTCAGGAATGAAGGTTTGGGTCACTTCACCAGGTAAAAAACCATGATCTGCCAAGGTGCTTGCTGAAGGCAAAGGGGATACAGAATGGGTAGTAGAAGAAGGTGGTCATCAATACCAGCTATGACCATATGACCAGTTGCAGAAACAAGGACTGTAATTGTCATGACTGTTTCCTCCTTATTTTAAGAACATGTTTGTGCATGTATACACTTGTACTAAGAAAACATCTTCATTTTATTTCCTTTCTTTTTCCTTTATCATGTGACGTAGATATTTATTGACTTCATATCAGCATTTAAGTATTGTTAACTTTATGTAATAGCATTTGGGTTGGGGATTGGTGCATTTCCAGTTGTGCAAAGGATAGCTGTATTATGTTAGGCATAATTATGACCTTATTATTGCCTTTATTTGAAGATTATGTATGATTTCAGAAAATATGTATGGGTTCAAGTTGACAAGGGTTGGACTTGTGATGGTTAATAGTAAGTGTCAACTTGACTGGATTGAAGAATGCAAAGTATTGTTCCTGGGTGTGTCTGCCAGGCTGTTGCCAAAGGAGATTAACATTTGAGCTAGTGGACTAGGAAAGGCAGATCCACCCATAATCTAGGCGGGCACCATCTAATCAGCTGCCAGCATGGCTAGGATAAAAGCAGGCAGAGGAATGTGGAAGGACTAGATTAGCTAAGTCTTCTGGCCTCCATCTTTCTCCTGTGTTGGATGCATCATACCCTCGAACATTGTACCCTCGAGCAAAAGCTGAAGACTCCAAGTTCTTCAGCTTTTGGACTCTGAGACTTACACCAGTGATTTACCAGGGCCTCTCAGGCCTTTGGCCACAGACTGAAGGCTGCACTATGAGCTTCCCTACTTTTGAGGTTTTGGGACTTGAACTGGCTTCCTGGCTCCTTGTCTTGCAGAGGGCCTACTGTGGGAGTTCATCTCATGATCATGTGAGTCAATTCTCCTAATAAACTTCCCTTCATATATACATCTGTCCTGTTAGTTCTGTCCCTTTAAAGAACCGTGACTAATACACCAACCATCCAATCTGGAGTCTATACCCCCAGCCACCTCCTTTATGGAATCTTATACTCTGGCTCACTATTCCCCTTTCCTAATCACTCCAAGGCCAGGTACAAGACAACTAGTGGCAAACTTTGTGCCCCAGAGCCCTGAAATTGTTCAAACTAGAAAATTCTTGACGTGCTTACCCTGCCTTGCTTGTTCCTTCCCACAGAAATAACAATAAATAATAAATGCTCTTGCCCATGTTCTGTCCTCACTTCCTCTGTCTCCTGACCAACCTTCTGCTTCCCACCGTGGCCCTATGTGGGGTGCCATGCCTTCTGCTTCTAGGAGAAGCAAAATCTGGCATAATTGGAGACTTCAATATCCCATTTTTGATAATGGATAGAACAGTTTGGCAGAAGATTAAAAGGAAATCAAAGACTCGAGCAATATTGTAAGCCAACTAGACTTAAAAGATATTGGTAGGGGCCAGGCACGGTGGCTCACGCCTATAATCTCAGCACTTTGGGAGGCCCAGGCAGGCAGATCATGAGGTCAGGAGATCGAGGCCATTCTGACCAACATGGTGAAGCCCCATCTCTACTAAAATACAAAAAATTAGCCGGGCGTGGTGGCACATGCCTGTAGTCCCAGCTACTTGAGAGGCTGAGGCAGGGGAATCACTTGAACCAAGAGGCAGAGGTTGCAGTGAGCCAAGATCACGCCACTGCCCTCCATACTGGACAACAGAGCGAGATTCTGTCTCAAAAAAAAAAAAAAGAAAGAAAAGAAAAGAAAAAAAGCCATTGATAGGATATTCCACCCAACTACAGAGGGGTACACATTCTTTTCAAGTGCAATTATAGGATTCTCCAAGATGGACTATGTGTTAGGCCATAAAAGAAGCCTCAATAAATGTAAGGATTGAAATCATACATAAAATATTTTCCAATCATAATAGAGTTATATCCAAAATCAATAACAGAAGGAAATCTGAGAAATTCACAAATGTGTGAAAATTAAATACCCTCCTTTTCTTTGAGACAGGGTCTTGCTCTGTAACCCAGGCTAAACGCTGTGGCATGATCATGGCTTACTGCAACCTCCAACTCCCAGACTCAAGTGATCTTCCTACCTCAGCCTCCTACATAGCTGGGACTACAGATGTGTGCCATCACGCCCGGCTAATTTTTTTATTTTTTGTAGAGATGGGGTCTTGCTATGTTGCCCAGGCTGGTCTTGAACTATTGGATTCAAGTGATCCTTTTGTCTTGGCCTCCCAAAGTGCTGGAATTACAGGTGTGAGCCACCACCACTGGCCTAATAATACATTTTTAAATAATCAATGGTCAAAGAAGAAATCACTGGGAAATTAATTTTCACATGGAAGAAATTAAATTTTTCATTCAATTCAAAAATTATTTGAATGAAAATTAAACCACAACATCCAAAACTTATGGCATGCAGTTAAGACAGTGCAATGCATAAAGGGAAATTTATAGCTATAAACACGTATATTTAAAACAAAAGAAAGATCTCTAGTCAATAACTTTAACATTCACCTTAAGAAAACAGGAAAAGAGAAAACTAAACCCAATGCAAGTAGAAGAAAATAATAAAGATTAAAGCACAAATGAATGAAATAGGGAATAGAAAAACAATAGAGACATCAACAAAACCAAAAGCTGGCTCTTTGAAAAGATCAACAAAATTGGCAAATCTTTAGCTAGACTGACCAGGATTTTTAAAAGGCAGACTGAGAGAAAGAGAGAGAGAGACAGAGAGAGAGAGACAGAGAGAGAGACAGAGACAGAGAGAAACAGGGAGCGACAGAGAGAGAAGACTCAAAGTGCTAAAACCAGTAGTGAAATAGGGGGCATCACTACTCTTCTTATAGAAATAAAAAAGGATTTTAAGGAAATACTAATGAAGAACTGTATGCCAAAGGAACCATGGGGTGGCTGACAATAGATGACCCAGTGGGAACCAGTATGAACAGATAATTACTGACAAGAGGGATCCTCCTCTTATCCACACACACTTACACACCTTGACACAGTAATTTAGGTAGAATTACCTGCTGGACAGGGCTGGTGCTTAGAGGCTATGTTAGGCTGAGTAACAGAAAATAAAGAATTACAATATTCCTCCTACATTTGAGACTCATACCTACTTCATTATTTTAACGTGTGAAAATATAGGAAATCTCAGATAATAAAATTAAGATCACTCATAATAACATCTAGAGAGATAGCCATTATTATTATTATAAAGTATCTACTTCTCTCCCTACTTATATGTTGTATGTAGAAATATCAGATATAATTTTATTTTCCAGCATTCAGCTTAATTTTTATTCTAACTCTTAGTCTACGGGTAGCAAAAACAAATCTCAGCCAATTCATGGTTTCCCCCCAGGCCTAGGCTTGCATCTAAAACTTCCAAGGAGCTTGCATGGATTTACATTCCTACCTGCCTGCTTCTCAGCTTCTGATCTATGCAGGAATCCTGACCACATGGTCTCTCCAGGTCTGATTATCTCTCAGGAACCTTGGACAGGCTGATCGTGTTGCTCTGGAGTTATGGAAAACTCTTAGAGTCTACATTCTTTCACCACAACTGTGCTATTCTCGGGGATGGGGAAATCGTGCTCTCTACTGCTGCTGGACCATCAGGAATGTGGCCTGGATTCCCCATCCAGATGTCTCTTCTGCTTCTGCATTTATTGGGCATGGAGAAAATCTGAGACCTTTCCGTTCTTCCAGCTTTGGTTCTGACTTGGGGACACAGGTCCCTTATGATGTCAGATCTCTAAACCACTCTAGGAGTATTATCATAATCATTTTATTGTATGAAAGAAGTATAATTTATTTAACCATTCTCTTGTATATTTAGATTACATTAATCCTTTATGAACATATATTATGTGGTCTTGAATATCTTTGTAATGAAAGGTTTATCCATATCCATTATTAACAGAAATTCCTAGAAGGGCAATTTATGTGTCAAAGAATATGCATGTTTTTAGTCTTTTCTATATTTTGCCAAATCACCCTCCAGAAATGTAACAAATTACTTCTCAGCAACAGTGGATAAGAATTCTTACATCCCCACACCATAGATTTGGCAACAAATTAGTTACACAGGGCATAGCTTGCTATATATTTGCACACAATGTCCATATGCTGTTCATGACTCCAAAATAAAAAATATGTTTTGATAATTTGTAATCACTGGAGAACCGCTCATATAGCTAAGGGTTGAAATGATTCTTTTAAAGCTAAAAAATAAGATTATTCATGAAACATGTGACTAAGAGATCACTTCTTGGCAGAGCTTCAACAGGTTAATGACCCGCTTTTTTTTTCTGCTATTCATTGAGTACAGAATTTTTTTAAGTCTGTAATAACAATAATTGTTGACTGTGGTGTGCAGAATGGCCCCCCAAAGAAGTTCACACTCAGTTTTCTGGATCCTGTGAGGATGCTATATTAAATGGCAAAAGACATTTTGTGGATAAAATTAAGGCTAGAGACCTTAAAAGAGGGTGGGCCCTATTCTGAATTATCCAGATGAGGGGAGATCAGAGAGGTCTGAGAGTGAGAATGGTTAATGCCCTGTTGTTGGCTCTTGTATGTAGACGCCCACATGCAAGGACCAGAGAGACACCTAGGAACTCAGGGAAGCCCCCAGCTGGCAGCCAGAAAGGATATGAGGATTTCAGTCCTACAACCGTAAGGAACTGGATTTTGCCAACAGCTTGAATGGCTTCCAAGTGGATTCTTTCCAGAGCCTCCAGATAAGAGACCAGCCAGCTGATACCTTGATTTCCACCTGTACTTCTGACCTATATAACTGAGTCAATACATTTGTGTTGTTTAGGCTTCTAAATTTGTAGTATCAGTTGCCACAGTGGTAGGAAATTCTTACATTTACTGAATAAATAAATGATAAATTATAAATTAAGTAAATGCATGAACAAATGAATTAAAGGTGATTTCAGAGTGGAAATTATTATATTCCTTCCCAAAAGACCCAGTGGAATCATAAGTACAGTTAATCCTGAAGGTCCTTAGAATATATTGTTTCACTTTGCTGATTCATGTCAGTTTTGTTCCATCTACAGCTTCTGAAGGAGACGATAACATGAGGTAGCCACCATCTCTCCTGCTGTGAGAATATTTATTATAGTGTTCAGTGACTGTTTTGTGCTTTGATTTCCCATGATTATCATTTGAAGAATGTGAACACTTCACATCCGGCACACGAACTATTACTGTTCTTAACCGGTGAATTCAGAAATAATCACCTGCATACATTAAATTTTTTCCCAATAGATATTTACTAAACTCCTGCTCTGAGTGTAGTTTTCTGCTAGGTTCTGAAGCTATTACAAAAGAAATGCAGATATGTCCCAAATTAAAAACTGGTTTATGTTCCAGAAGGTTTATTTCCAAGTTAGAAGTTTCTCACTTAGAACATGTTTTCACATACAGGCCATACTAAAAACATTGACTCTGTAAATAAACCAGCCCACAAAAGCCCATTTAACTCAAAATTTACTTGAACTGATAATAAAGGAATTTAACTATATTTAAACACGTATTTTCTATGGCAAAATAAATTCAGTTTTCCAACTTGCAGTGTTAGAGCCGCAACGTCCTGCCAAGAAGAACTAGTCCTTTAGCGGTGACATTAAGGATCAGAGACAACTGAAACATGGAGGAGACAGTCCTGTATTTTTAAAAATCATATGTTTGACCACCTTTTTGTCTTGTTTTTAGTTCTCTGTATCAGGAATGCCTGTTATCCTTATGTTGGATCATCTTGTTCTCTCTTCCATGTCTACCGCCTTCTCTCCAGTTGCATTTACTATATCCAGATTTTCTAATTATTATTGTTAAATCTTGCCATCTGTCATCTTAGATATTTCTTCTCCTAAAAGCTCTAATTGAGAGATAAATGGCACTTAGCTTCACAGAGAAGTCAGTGCTCAGATCCAGAACTGAAGTTTCCTTAACTTTTCATGTGTTATTATTAATAAAGGTAATGCTACTCAGTTAGAAATTATCTGTGATCTTTAAGACACACCACCCACATCCATGTAACATTTTTCTACAGTTCATTTTCCATGAACTGTTTTACTACTCAGGTTGTTAGATAATTTATGTAAAATCGTATATATGGTGAGATGATATGGTATGGATATAAATATCAACTACAAATAAGAGTTAGTGGTATAGGTAATAACTATTTCAGGAGTTAATAAAATGGGGAACTCAGTTTGTCCTTAATTCAACCATTCAATAATCCCCAAACACATGGGTGGTTTTCTTGCTGATAACTGTATTTCTTCCCTGTAAACGCCTCTTCTCTCATCTTTTCTGTCTCTGTATGTTTAAATCTTTTCCACTTCTATGGCCCAGCACATGCACACACTTTCTAGGAAGGCTTCCCTGGCTGCCCATCCTTAGGTAATCTGTTCTTTCTCTCATTTCCCGTAGCCATTCATTGCTACTTTTCTTATGACACAGAAACATGAAACTGGATAGGTGTGTTCAGGAAACTGCAAGGATGGACTTTGAGAAAACCAGTTGTTGAATGACTGAGGTAAGTTTAGATTTATATAAAAGAAAGAAGCAGAGAGAACATTTTAGACATGGTGAAGACGATTAGAGATGATGAACAAAGGCAGAGAGGCTGGAAGTCAGAGGCTGGCTTTATGGAAAAAGAGGGTTCCTATTGAAAATGGCAGAAGGTAAAATGTTAAAAAGGAGTTGAGGAGCAGATGGTGTAGGACCTTTCCCAATGCCTCAGGGATGAAGAGTTTGGACTTCATCCTGAAAACAACAGGGGGCCATCGGAATGCATTGTTAAAGTGGGCATTTAGGGAAATTAATTTGGCAGCAATATGTAAAATGGATGCAGGGAGCTTATTAAAAAGATATTTTGGTAATATGAGGATAGCAGGTACAAATTTTAAAGGCCCTACTCAAGTATGCAACAATAGCATAAATAAAACCCATAACTGTCCTATAATTCATTTCTCCAGCACTGTTTCCATTCGAATTGCTGCAGAAAATTTAGTCTAGTCACTTCCAGGTAAAATGAGTCCAATTCTGCATTTTCTCAGGGTTTTGAACTCCATCAATTCAAGAGGGTGTGGACAGGGTAGGAAGGTAGGAGTGAGAGACATTTGTTTCAGCCCTAACGCTATGGTGGAGGCTGTTTCCAGAGTCCCCATCTTGTTTGTCCTTTGTGTAGGACACATGAGAGGCCCCTCAGACCCAGGCTGGAGGTCATGGGAGCAAAGGCGGCCTACACAGACTCCTCCTTAGGAGAGGTTCCCTCACGATGGCTGGGAGACACTTTGTAGGTCCTTGTCTTAAATAACCTGGGTTCCCTCTCGGAGGGCCACGGGAACTTTTCCACTCCGTCAACACCACTCCAGCCCATGGGCACTAGGCAAATTGTCTCCAGCAGACACGCAAGTGGGAGCCACACTGCCATTTTTTCCCGCAGCTGCTTCTCCATGACTGCAGGGCGGCCGGTGCAGGTTTCTCTGCACATTTCACTGTCTGCTGTCTTCCAGTCCCACTGTATCAGAAGAACTTTCTTTCCATGGGTCTCTAAAGTTAACTAAGGGGATCTATTCTGTCCCCTCTCAGGGCTCATCCTGAGGAAGCAGAAGGCAGGGCACATGCTCCCCACACATACATTTAACTCTCTCTCTTTTTCCTTGCCAAACCCTCCCCTCATTTTCCTCTTTTCCAGCTTAGAGATTCTTCTTTTTCTAGTCTAGCTAAGAGAGTCTTTCCTGTGGATCCAAATCTTTCAGTATTACCCCAAGACCAGAGACTTTTGAATTTAAGGATCAGGCATCGGTTGCCTTTGCTGCCTTTCGTGGCTTCTGTGGGGACCATGGGTGTCTCTGGCCTCCCTCTCTAATTGGGGGAAGGGTCTTAGGAAAAAAATGAATGATTTAGGTGAGCATAGGAGCAGGCGTGGGTATTTTGAAATACTTTTTTGCCACATAATAATGATGTCCTCAGGGCCTAGACTAGGGAGACAAAAAAATAAGAAGGAAAAATCCATTGGACTTGAATGGAATATTAAAAGTAAGATAGAGATAGAGAATTTGAAGAACGTTTTCAAGATTTTGAGCCTGAGCGAATGGGAAATGAATGACATTGAGGGATAAAACAAGAATGAGAGAGTGACAAACTAGGTGCACTACTGAACCTGGGTGACAGCAGCATGCTGAGCAATACAACACTATGGAATGCACATTAATTTTATTAGGGATTTAAGAAAAGCAGGCTCTGGAGGAGCAATTCCCCTGATCCAGCTCACTAAGAATGGTTTGGAAATGAGCATATCCATTCATTAGTGTACCCTGGGGATTGTAACTAACAGGATGACTATTAGTGGTGACCACTGGGCCACCCAGATGGGAGCTGGTGCTTGGCCAACGGTTAAATGAGGTGGTTCATCAGTGAATATAGAATAAGAGCAGACAGATGATTGGCTGTAATTAGGGGCTGTCCAACTATAGAATAAGATGAATTTGCCGTTCTTGGTCCTAAGAATATTTCTAAGATACGTAAAAGTCTTTAGAATCAGAGCATTTCCTCTGCTAGAGAGTGTGAGTACACACTGACAAATTCTACTGTACCATTCATTTTCTATATTCTTTATCTGTCATCCCAAACCTCTGTCATTTCCTTATGACAGTTTGCAATTTCTTAAATTACTGCTAATCTTCCACTAGTTACATTTTAAATTGACGACTTCCCTTTTAAGGAAGCATACTAGACCCCTTGGTGAGACTTAGAAAGCACCCTCAAATTGCTAGCAATATGCTTGTGAATCATCTCTTGGGTGGCTTATTTCCTGGGATGATTTCTGCAGATGGCTAATCTTACCCATTTTATGTTGATTTCTGTTAGTGCTAACCCCTAAGCATGGCAATATCGGATTGTCCTGATTTTAGCTTATACATTTTTGTTGTTGCTATTCCTTAGCCTTCCTTTCTAAATTTTCATCTTTCTGGCATCTTCTAGAATTTAAAAGGAAGGTGATGGGGTAGCGTTGAATCCCATTTGGGATATACTGATAATTTGATATGTATTCCATATTGAGCTAATTAGAATAAAAATATATGAACTGTAGAGACTTGAGGGGGTCAAGGCATAATACTTTTTTCTTTCCTTTCCTAGTTTTTGTCTTCCCCAATGAAGAATTAAAACCCAGACACTGGGCAAATGGAGATGAAAAGAAAAAGCTTTATTACTCTGTCCCAAGTGCTTAGAACAGTGCCTGGAACATAATAGGTACTTAATAAATATTTGGTGGATGAACGAATGAGTAAAAGTTGGATTGGGCTGGGTGCGCGGTGGCTCACACCTGTAATCCCAGCACTTTGGTAGGCCGAGGCGGGTGGATCATTTGAGGTCAGGAGTTCAAGACGAGCCTGGCCAATGTGGTGAAACCCCATCTCTACTAAAAATACAAAAACTTAGCCACGTGTGGTAGCAGGCACCTGTAATCCCAGCTACTCAGGAGGCTGAGGCAGGAGAATTGTTTGAATCTGGGACGCAGAGGTTGCAGTGAGCCAAGATCGTGCCACTGCACTCCAGCCCAGGCGACAGAGTGAAATTCCATCTAAAAAAAAAAAAAAAACTGGATTGAAGAACACAGCTTACTGTAAAATCTAATTGACTTCCTAATAATTTACTCCAGAATTAAACTCACCCATCCCCTCCTGGCAGACATGGACAGCCCCAGACCTCATCTGTGGTGTTGAGAGAGCAAGCAAGAGCCCCCCTAGCAGGCAGCCACGTTTCTTCCTCTCAAGGGGAGGAGTTAGTGAGAAGGTGGAGAGTGGCTGGAAAAATTATTCTGAGGGGAAGCCCCCTCATGGAACAAGAGAGCATGGGATGAATCCTCCTTTATAACATTCCCAGATTTTGGCTCTTTTAAATCATGGAAACAAGTAGTTGAATATATAATCAAACAGAAACTGCCCAACATTGGGGAATACAGGAAAAGAATTAAACTGAGAAGCTTTTTCTCCATTTTTTTAATTGTGGTAAAATATATGTACCATAAAATTCACCACCATCTTAACCATTCTTTCTTTTTTTGAGACAGAGCCTGTCATTCAGGCTGGAGTGTGGTGGCATGATCTCCACTCACTGCAACCTTTGCCTCTAGGGTTCAAATGATTCTCCTGCCTCAGCCTCCCAAGTAGCTGGAATTACTGGCATGCACCACCACACCCAGCTAACTTTTTCTATTTTTATTAGAGACAGGGTTTCACCATGTTGGCCAGGCTGGTCTCGAACTCCTGGCCTCAAGTGATCCACCCGCCTTGGACTCCCAAAGTGCTGGGATTACAAGAGTGAGGCACTGCACCCGGCCACCATTCTTAACTATATAGTTCAGGCCAGGCGCGGTGGCTCATGCCTGTAATCCCAGCACTTTGGGAGGCCGAGGTGGACGGACCACGAGGTCAGGAGATCGAGATCATCCTGGCTAACACGATGAAACCCCATCTCTACTAAAAATACAAAAAATTAGCCGGGTGTGGTGGTGGGTGCCTGTAGTCCCAGCTACTCGGGAGGCTGAGGCAGGAGAATGGCGTGAACCCGGGAGGTAGAGCTTGCAGTGAGCTGAGATCCTGCCACTGCACTCCAGCCTGGGCGACAGAGCAAGACCCCATCTCAAAAATATATATATATATATAGCTCAGTGCTGTTAAGTACATTTATTTTGTTGTGCAACCATCACCACCATTCATCTCCAGAGCTCTTTTCATACTGCACATCTGAAACTATATACTCATTTGATAATAACTTCCTATATCTCCCTGCCCCTACTCCCTGGCAACCACCATCCTACTTTCTGTCTTTAAGAATTTAACTATGAGAGAAGGAGATTTTTAAAAATCAGCATTATCACAAATAAATGCTGGATTGGAGGACAAAGCTTAGATGTGTGGACACAATAAGCTTCTTAGCTCTAAATAACTCTTCAGAATTAAGTTCACTCTACTACTTGCCAACCACAGATTCCTCCCATCCCATCTGCCTCTCCCACCCAGGCTGCTGGAAGCTTGGGTGGAGTCAGACCCCTCTCTGAGCAGGCAGACCTTGAGGAGGTGCCCAGAAAGACCTGCCCCATCTCCAGGAGGATGTGACAACTCTTTATAGGAAGGAGGAAATGGGGTGGAGATGAGAGAGGCCAGGAGTCTTCCTTTGATGGAAAGCCCTTCATGGGATCATAAGGTCAAAGAATTTCAGAAAATGTGGAAAAACAGCCCAGAAATTTAATCTTCCTCTCACACTAATCACTGTCCAACCCCAAAACAGGAAATCCAAAGCTATGACAATTCAGGAGGACGATGGCAATTAGCTGGAAGTTATATCACTGTAGCGTCAAGTTTATCCACCTAAAATGAAAAATAAAAGAAACTGCCTTACAAGTTTATTACAGACAACTTTCATATATGTTTGTTTCTAAGTTGATTTTTTTGGTATTACGGAAAGAGTGGGTAAAAATTCTACAATCACAGGCTAAAGAGACTATTATCCCCAAGAAATCACTTTGCCAACCCAAAGTGAATCATTGGCCTGTGTCAGCTGCTATCTAGATAAACGATGTTCAGACATTTCCAAAAATCTGAGACAGAGCTGGGGGAGGGAGAGGGGATGAGCCAAGTAGCTTTCTCTTTCACTATTAGAACTTGCAGGCATTTCTTTCCTAACAAGAATGGTTCCTGTTTTGTCTCAGAGTAATAGACACCCAAAATGCTTCCTAGCACTAATTTTCTCTCAAAGTTGTTCAAAATTTTGGCTGAAGCTGAAGCCAACAAAAGATGTACTAGTAAAGGGCACTTGGTGTGGTCCTGTGAAGCAGAGAACATCAATGAGGCGTTTTCACCACAAGAAGCATTGTCTCTATTTTATTAAACATCCTGCTTCTATTACCAACACACTGAGAAAGGCAAATAATGCAGGCATTTGGGTTTTGGTTAACTTTAAATGGCTGTGAATTTTTTTTCTGAACACCTTCTTGAAGATTTTTTATACTTGCATAAGTTAGAATTCAGGGATAGTATTAGGTTGGAAACCTGACCAAGCAGCAGTTGGAGGACTGACTTTCCTGGGAAAATGCCAAATGCCTGAATCTGTCAGACAAATACTCCCATAGGTATTTCATCAGGTCTCCCCAGGTTTTGCTTCTGTTTTTGCAGGACTGCATGACATTCAGCATTCCAAGAATCTTAAAAAGAATAGCCATGTTGTTCAAGCTGTGATGTAAAAAAAGTATTTTGCCTACAGGGAGAGCTGCTCCCATGAAATCCACTCTTGCAGGCCACCCATGGTTTCACAAAACGATACTTCTGACAGGTGGCCCTTAAATATAGTTCTTATACTTATGATACATGATATTTTGTCTTAAAACATGATATTTTGTCTTTAAACAGAAACCAGTGCTTTACACCTTGAACACTAGCCTGGGACAATAAGAGTTCCTGCCCAAGACCTACTTTAGGAAGAACCAAGTCGAATTCACAGCTTCTCTGCTCTTAGGTGCAGGCTCTGTTCTCTTCCCTGACAATGATGCTCTGTGTGACTCTTTGTTCATTTCCCAGGATGGGGAGGGAGGAGACAGCACAATCAGATAGGGAAGGCCCCTCTGGGTGACCCTCATTCCATCCAAAAAAGCAGTGTTCCACTTCCCTCAGCTCCCTTATTCCGCTTGCCTTAGGGCCTGCCTATTGCCCTTGCCTTAGGGCCTGCCTATTGCCCTTTGAGTCATTCTTAAGAAAACCATAGAAAGCTGCGAGGGAGCTGACCTGTTGGATCCCACCAGCAGATGCATGTTGCTGCTATCAGCCTGAATTTCAGAAATCTCCAAGGCAAATCTTCTTGCTAGGCATTTTATTATTTATAAAAGTTCTGACACATTTTTTACAATTGCCCTTCTGAAAGAGGTTATTTCACCATTAATGGACTTTTTAAGCTGATCTGCAATTCAGCTAAATAAATAAGTAGTGAAGAAGGGCAGGCTCAAAACACATTACTCTTCACAGGAATTAAATTAGTGCTTTGAAAATTTCAGCTTTTAGAAGGGTGTTCTTTGCCTTTCTGTAGTCTACTAAGCTGGGACCAAGAATCATAAATAAATTGAAGTAATACATTGAGAACATTGTTTCACTTGAAGATGTATTTTTTCCCTAGACTTGAAGGTATTCCTTCTTTTGCATATCGTTAAAAGTTTCCATTTAATATGAATATTACACTAAAGGAATCTATGTACTTGGGTCTGGGCTACTTTCTGTTAACCATTGTTGAGGTATGTGACCTTTATCTATGGGAAGCTGGAATAGCACCACACTCTCAGTAAAAAGAACAGCAAAACTTTGCTAGTTTACATAGTTTCTGTGAATATCAGTTTCCTTATTTCTTTTCTTTTTTTTTTTTTTTTTTGAGACAGGGTCTCGCTCAGTCACCCAGGCTGGAGTGCAGTGGCACGATCTCGGCCCACTGCAACCTCCACCTCCCAGGTTCAAGCAATTCTGATGCCTCGGCCCCCCTTGTAGGACTTGTAGGTGGGACTACAGGCAAGCACCACCCAGCCTGGCAAATTTTTTTGTATTTTTAGTAGAAATGGGGTTTCACCATGTTGGGCAGGCTTGTGTCGAACTCCTGACCTCAAGTGACCTTCCCACCTCGACCCCGCAAAATGCTGGGATTACAGCCGTAAGCCACCGCTCCTGGCCCAGTTTCCTTATTTCTTTTTTTCTTTTTCTTTTTTTTTTCTTTTTTTTTTTTTTTGAGACGGAGTCTTGTTGTGTCTTCCAGGCTGGAGTGCAGTGGCGCGATCTCGGCTCACTGCAAGCTCCGCCTCCCGGGTTCACGCCATTCTCCAGCCTCAGCCTCCCGAGTAGCTGGGACTACAGGCGCCCGCCACCACGCCCGGCTAATTTTTTGTATTTTTAGTAGAGACGGGGTTTCACGTGTTAGCCAGGATGGTCTCTATCTCCTGACCTCGTGATCCACCCGCCTCAGCCTCCCAAAGTGTGGGGATTACAGGAGTGAGCCACCACACCTGGCAAATTTTGCCATATTGTACTTTAAAGTTTCTTTTTTCCTAGTGGTTCTTAACTTACAAAAATTACACTGGAATGACAGTGGTTTGGGTAGGGCGCTATTTCTCTTTTTCCCCTAACCATGCCCAGCTATTAAACACTAGTAACTGCTGGTTTATTGCTCTATTGTTTTCGTTTTTCTTTTTTTTTTCTTTTTTTCTTCTTCTTCTTTTTTTATTTTTATTTTATTTTTTTTTTTTGAGACGGAGTCTTGCTCTGTCGCCCAGGCTGGAGTGCAGTGGGGCGATCTCGGCTCACTGCAAGCTCCGCCTCCCGGGTTCACGCCATTCTCCAGCCTCAGCCTCCCGAGTAGCTGGGACTACAGGCGCCCGCCACCACGCCCGGCTAATTTTTTTGTATTTTTAGTGGAGACGGGGTTTCACCATGTTAGCCAGGATGGTCTCGATCTCCTGACCTCGTGATCCGCCCACCTCAGCCTCCCAAAGTGCTGGGATTACAGGCGTGAGCCACCGCGCCCGGCCTGCTCTATTGTTTTCAACAATCCCCCGGGGGCATAAGAAGTTAGTCTGTATCTTGAATCTCCTCTCAGTTGCCTCAACATAGCCTCTACTGTTCTTGATAGGTTTAAACTTCTTCATGCTCTGCTGCAAATTGGGAAGAGATTAAGAGCTATCCTTTTTATAACAAGCTTCTTCTTCCAAGGAAAATCTCTAAGTCAGGGCTCTGGAACTGGGGTGGGAATAATGCAACCTCTAGTCCCCCTGCTCTAGGAGCTGAGTGCTTGCTGGACTGGGGGTAGGGGAGGAACCGGGGAAGCAGCTGAGATTTTCTCAGCTTACTCCCTCAGCACAGGACCACTGCCTCAAGAGGTGGAGCAAGGGTTTTCAGGGCCCTCGTTTTTTCAGCGAGCTGTGTCTGAGGTGAAGCCTCATCTGGGAGTCAGGGCTGGGTAGAAGAAGGGAGCCCCCACCTCTTGAGGACACTTGCCCAGGACCAAGCCTCATCAGCAAGCAGCTAGGGGGAAGATGAGACAAGCTGATGTCCTCTTTCTGGGAAGAAAATCCACCTACGGGGAGCTGGAGGGAAAGAGAACCCTGTGTTCTTGGCTGCAGCGATGTGGAGTGGAGTTTCCACATTACTGAGCAGGGAGGAGGGAAGAGAGAACGGCCTTGGCGCACATACCACAGACTCACCTTTCTTACCAAATTTTCATAGATTTCTCTTAAATAGATGTTTCTCTACTTGCTCTTTTTCTTCAGAACTTTTTCAGAGACTTTAAATGGTTGTCTTTTAATGGCATGCATTTGATAAATGTTAGTTAACTTCCCCGCACCTTTGTTTCCTCACAAAAGGCTGAAAGGATCTCTAAAGTCACTTCTAGCTAACAATTGTTATTTTAGTGTTTCATAATCATTCACTGCCCTAGAAAGACTTCTTTGATCATACCCTATTTTTTGTTTTGATGGACTTACGGATCAGCTTTTTTTCTGTATAGCAGGTAGAGTCACAGAACACTACAACAGATGGTGAGGAAGTAGGTTTAATACCTTCTCTTTCCCACAGTTCAGAACCTTCACAGCCCTCTAAGTCTTTCTGTTTCACCAAGCTCCTCAGTGTATTTCCAAATAAATAATGACTCAGTGCTCCTGGGCTTTCTCAGGAGCCATGCTGTTTGGTTATTTATTCAGAATGGCAAATTCTGAAGAATCTTTATGAACCATAATAGCTTTCCGTAAGCATCTTTTGCCTACTCCACTACTGTCAGTTTCCTTTACAACAGTACAATTAGCACAACTCCTTCCTCACCATTCAGCGGTTTGTTGACATTATACCAACGTCTCAAAGTTATACTTTTGTGCATTCGAGTTGCTGATACAATTTCCCTGCACTCTGATTTAGTGGTTTTAAGTCCTGGTCACACACCTGTCCTCATCTCTGCTCTCTGCATAACCACTGGACTGATCAGCCATGACTCTAAACAATAGAGCAGCACGTGCCAAATTACCCGTGCTGTGTTCAGGGCTTCTCTGGGTTCCAACAAAGGACTTCAAAGTCTACAAGAGCTCAAACCAGGTAGCTGTATTACCTGTCTTACTTCCAGATCTAATAATTCACCAGGTAATAATTTCAATAATTTAATAATTTAATTAATTTAATAATTATTTAATTTAATAATTAATAATTCTGAGGTAATAATTTTTACCTCAGAATATCAGAAAGACTACCAGAGATTATGGACCAGGAATCTTGCTTCCCACGAGGTTGCAATTCAAGGATCCATTATGACTGAAAATGAGGAAAGAGGTAGAAAATAGAATATTTATAAGCACCTGATAGAAATATGGCCTCACAAAACAAATCCAATTCAAAGAAAGAAAAAGGAGAGGAACAAGGATCATGTGAGAATAGAGAAAGAAAATACTACATCTGCTGAAAAGCTAACATTAAAAGCAAAAAATCTCCAAAATTTTATAATAATTTCTAAAATATCACAAAGCAATACTTCCTGCCAGATCAAAATGAAATCCCTTGTAATATATGCCCCATGATTGCTAATCTCTGTTTATGACATTTATCTTTATGAGCTCAGAGTTCATAAGGGAGAAAGGCTAAAATACTATTCGCATTATCTTCCTCCTCTTCATGAAGAGAAATGTCAATGTCATAATAAAGATGAGGTTATTTTTTATAGATATATGCCCCTTTCTATATTATATTATGAAATTATAAATTTTAAGAAATCAGCCTAGTTTAAAAAATGTCCAAAAATATCTTCACTTTTATTAGTAGATGATAGAGTTATAGATATTCAAAATTATTCCTATTTGGTTTTGGAAAATGAATTTTGGACTGCAGGATGAATTTGTGTGCATTTGCTATTCAGGGAATTCATAGTGAGTGAGATGCTGAGGCCCTTGTGAAGATCTACTCAGGAGAAATTCATAAAGTCTCCCTATTTTCCCTCTGGTTCTCTGATCAGCTCTAGTATGCAATTCATTCCATATTTGCAAAAGTTGCCATCACCTTTCAGTCTTAGGCAAAGCACATTTGCCGTTCTAAACTTGCTCGTCTGTCAAGCTCTCAGCTTCCCTGGGGTTAGAAGAGATAAATAAGTGTTTTTTTGTTTTGTCATGAAAAGACTTTCTGGTCAGGAGTAAGAACCTGGAATCTCTTTCCTTCTAGGTTCTGCAGGCTGCATATGTAATCAGGGAAGGTGACAAGGCAATAAGAGAGTTCAAAGAATAGAGGGCCACTGGGAGAGAGCTTCATGCTTTTTTAGGGATGAACAGTGGATCACTGCTCCCAGAACTGGTTTGTAACATTTGCTAGCCTGCTATCATGTATACATTCAAATCCACATTTCTGGTTATATGTCCATTTCTGCATATCTTAGGGTTTGTGCCATTTCCAGTGATAGATACTCCTCCTAACGACGAGAGAAAGAAACAGATGGATAAAGACACAAGTGACCACATGAAATGGCAGAATCCTTCACATGGGGGCCGACTTTCTAGAGGCACTCTGACTTCAGCTAGCTGAATACCTTACCACTAATTAATGACCAAAATCAAAGATACTTCCCAGATGTTTGAGACACATTCAGAATTAATACATAAATCCAAAGTCATTATGTGAAGGAAACACTCTACTATTCTGTGGAAAGCTAAGTATTGTTATGATTTCAAAACAATGAGAGTACCAGTTTGGTTTTCCTACTGATGGGCATCTTACCATATTTTTCCAGGCATTTCCCCCAAGCATATGCTTTTCATTTGCATCAGAAGTTCTCCCATTGACATGATCATGTCCAGTGTTCACTCCAGCTGGTTTTAAACAACGAACCCACTGACTAACTGCATGAATAACGTTTCACTCAGGCAGAATGACAATTTCCTTTTTCTTTTCCCTTTGCTTTGTGACTTAAGGAGGGAAACAGTGATATACAGCTTGTGTTCCCAGTGATTTGAAATTGAAGCACATAACAGAGAGAAGCTAGGTATGATAACAGAGACAAAGGGTCTGTAAAGCATAAAGGGATCAAAGGAAAATGTCAGTGAAAAATAGATTGAAAATGAAAAGAGAGAAGTGGGCAGAAGAGGCTATAAAGGAGAGAGGAGCACCCTATCTATAGTAGAGGAGGGTGGAACGTGGGGTCAGAGGGTGGTACGCTGAGGACATTGAGTGATCTAAGAGAGGCTGAGGGTAACAGGCCGTTATTTTATTTTAATAGTCCATCGAACAAATCGTTCATTGAATTAGACTTGCCAAATGAACACCATATATCATATTGTAATGAGGAAGAAAATGAATGTATTTAAAAGAAGATTGGATCCACAAGATGAAAGAGGAAATACCTAAGATTGTGAAGATCTAGATTGTTCAGAAAAATGGAGCATGAATCCGTGTTTTCTGACTTTGTCACTTTCAGAACTTGTCCACATGAAGTCAAGATGGTAAACGTCTTATCTCATAACAAATGCGAGGAAGTGATTTACCATCTTCAGTTGCTGAGGACAGATGGTCATATATCATACACAGCAGGCATTATCAGGAGATAAAGTAAGCGGTACCTTGCATAGCTCAGTTTGAGGAATATTACAGGACACCTTATTTCAAAATACCCACTTACCTAAAGTCATTCCATTCTTAAAGCTTTGCTACTCTAGTTTGTGATGTGTTTTCCTTTGATGTTAGCAGGGATTGATTGACAGTCTATTAGAATAAAGTACTATGCAGCAGGGAAGGGGAGGGAGAAGGGAAAATGGGAGGAATCCACTTAGAAAAGTATAGAGTTTCCTAGGGCTGAGGAAGGGTTCCAGGTGTTAAATATTTTCCTTCTTTCCTTAACCTGAATAGATCGTTGTCACTTTCCTTCTCTTAATATTTTATAGGAAAACCGTTATGTTCAAGATTCTCGGCCAGGCGTGGTGGTTCACACCTGTAATCCCAGCACTTTGGGAGGCCGAGGTGGGTGGATCATGAGGTCAGGAGTTTGAGACCAGTCTGGCCAAGATGGTGAAACTCCATCTCTACTAAAAATCTTAAAAAAATTAGCTGGGCATGGTATGGGCACCTGTAATCCCAGCTACTTGGGAGACTAAGGCAGAGAATTGCTTGAATCCCAGAGGCAGAGGTTTCAGTGAGCCAAGATCGCACTACTGCACTCCAGCCTGGGAGACAGAGTGAAACTCCGTCTCAAAAAAGCAAAAAAAATTCTCAACCAGGGCCAGGGCCGTTCCCTGCACACTCCTCCCCTGTCCCCAATTGATCACACAGACACAGACACACAACAGGGTAAATTTGACAATGCCTGAAACATTTTTGCTTGTCATACTGGGAAAGCAGTGCTACTGGCATCTGGTGTGCAGATGGCAGAGAAGCTGCTCAATATCCAATAATGCAGGGGACAGCTCTCAAAAGAAAGGTTGATCCAGCCTAAAATGTCAAAAGTGCCAAGGTTGAGAAACCCTGGTCTCCTAATACAGTCATGTAAATGAAAGACAAATAGTTCCAGTCAAATTCGCATGATCATCCATTCACTCATTCGCAAACATTTAGTGAATTTCCCCTATTTTCCAGTGTGTTAGGTACTAAGATGCAAAGATGAGATACTCACAATCCGTGCCTTTAAGAATCTGCCACTTTCAACAAGAATGACATCATATCTGATATGAACATTCAGAGCAAAACCAGATGATTCCCAGATGTGCGATCAGGGAGCACCAAGAAATGGCAGCATTTAAATAGACAGGTATTAATCACATCGAGGAGTGGGGAGCACTGAGAAGAGGGTTAAGGTAAGGCACAGCTAGGAAAGAGAAACTGGAGAGGCAATTCATTATGCAGAACCGGGGCAAACCCATGGTACAGGATCAGAGCAAACAATCTGGAGTGGAAAGGATGAGAGGTTACATTGGAAGGGCAAATGAAGCCAGATTGCATGACGTCAAAAAGCCAGGCTAAGAAAGTTTTGTTGCTGTTTGTCTCCTTTTTTGTTTTTTACTACATGTTATAGCAAAGGGAAACCATAAAAGGTTTTTTGAGACAGAAAATATCATAATCAGAGACATGGAGTTGAAACACTTTCCTGGCAGAAGTGTGTGAGTGGTGGCCCCACTACTTCCTGAACGGGCCACCTGGAGAAAGAATAGGAGCACCTGCTCTGTAAGGCCAGGCTGCCTTTTGCAGACACTGATCTTGCTGCTTACCTCCTATTTCCTTCCTTTCCTCGCTGTTAGGATTTCATCTTTATTACTGGTTTTTGAGCTGTGACTCTAGGACTTCTTAATGACAATTAATTTTGATCTTCACATACTAGTATCAGAATCATGTGGGGAGGGTGGGGCAAGGCAGACAGGACTGAGGGGCTACCAAGGGGTGAAAAATATGTTCATTATCTTGACTGTGGTGATGGTTTATGGTGTGTGCATGTGGTAAAACTTCCAAATTGTGTGTTTTAAATAGGTGCAATTTATGTCAAGTATACTACAACAAAGCTGTTCGGGGAAAAAAAAGAATCACCTCTAAGGCTTTTTATAACTTAGTGTTTCTGATTATGCAAATTTGGGGTGAGGCTTGAGATTTTGCATTTCTAACACACATTGGGAAGCATTGCTCTATGCTGACCTTGATAAACCATTTCCCTTCCTCTTCTGCTTGGTTTCCAGATTTCCCTGTCAAGATTCCTCTTGAAGGGGTCTTGGGCACATGCTGACCTTACTTCATCAACCTCTATTTATCTCTGATCAGTGCGGTCTGCCTTCTCCCTTCTCCCACTCTAATGAAATTGCTCCTTCAAGGATCATATATGATACTGATCATCAGCGTTTCTACAGTACTTATTTGCCAACTTTGTTCTAAATACTTTATATATATTTTAACTCATGAATCCTCTTAACAGACAATAAGATAGATACTATTGTAATCTCAACGCTGGCTCCAGAGTCATGTTCTTAACCACTACTTGTCTTAATTGCCCTATCAATGGCCTCTTTTTATTTGACCGCTGAGAATGGAAAAAAAAAGCAACCCCTGACATTCCGAAGCTGGCCTGGCACTCATAGCTAGTGTTGGGAATAACACTCAAAATCCTAGGGAGACTGAACACTCAAACAGAGGATTCTTAGCAAAGCAATTTTACTTCTACGCAGAGGGGTGCTTCCCCTTGGCCAGTCGCCATGAGAGCACACCTGAACAAAGGGGCATGAGAGCCTTTACTCCTGACACAAGTCCTGCCCCTGTACGCTTTCCCCATTGGCCGGGGTCGGGTCGCACAATCTGAACTAATCACGGTTGGCTAGACATTTGAACTTTTTTTAGATCAGGTGGGCACGTAAGGGAGAGAGGGAAAAGAAGAAGAGGAAGGGGTGTCTGCAATGAGCTAGAGAGCTAGTTTTCTTTCCAAATAAGGAAAGGAATGTGAGCTGGTACTGATAAGCCTGGTACTGTGGCTTGTCCCGGCATGTAACAAAGGCAGAAAAGAGAAAAAAAGGAAAAGGGGTGGGGGGGGGGTGTGGATTACTATGAATTAAAGAATAAAGGATTGGTCAGGCTATTTGAAGAGAAACCTCATCATATCCCACAGCTAGGATGTGTTAATTTCCTATTAGACATAAACAACGTCACAGAATACCAACCTCAAACAAGCCTACCCTGAGACTGTGGTAAAATGAGTCAAAGCAAGTCCAGTTTGTCATTTTGTCTAAGAAGAGATAAAAGCAAGGTCGCTGTGTCACCCACAAAATACCAAACACCCCCTCTCCCAGCCAAAACGAGTGACTGCTACTTTACCAATTACAATTTTATCCTCTTTCTAATTGTCCCTCTCTACACATAAGATTTATTGAGATACCCAATCACAGAATTGTTGTACTCCTGAAAGTACCCAATTCAGGGTATGCCCCTGCTTCCTTCGACACCTCCTAAATCACCCAACCAAAGCCCAGATCTTATAATAGGTTGTCACACATCTTACTGAGACACGCCATAATTACGCTGGTGTATGTCTTCCCTGCCTGCAACAAGAGATAAGCCCAACTTGTTCAACTCTAAGTGTCTTCCTGGTAGCCTTTGGCTGGAGGGCACTGCCACCTCTGCGCCATATACAACTTTCCACTCCTTGAAATCCTCTTCTTCCTTGGCCTGTAGACATCATTCTCTCCTGGTTCTCCTCCTATTATTTTTTAACAACTTCCAATGATTTCTACTTCCTGGTATTCATGTCCTTGTGTAATCCCTTCCCATTGAGTGTGGGCTGGTAGTGACTTGCTTCAAATGGACAGAATACACCAAAAACAATAAACTGTCCCTCGTGAAGAGCAGGTAGCAAAAAGACTGGCTTCTGTCTTACTTGCCGTCTCTTGCTTTCTTACCTGCACACTCTTGGTGGAGCTAGGTGCCATATTGTGAGCTTCTATACGGAGAAGCCCATAGTGTCAAGGAACCCAGGTAGCCTCCCGGCTACAGCCAGTGAGCAACTAAGGCCATCAGTCCAAGCCTTGTAAGAACTGAATCCTACCAACCACCATTTGAGTTATGTTGAACTGGATCTTCCCCTCATCAAGCCTTGAGAGAACTCTGATCCTGGCTGAAACTTTAATTGCAGCCTTGGGAGAGACTTTGAAGAGAGACATCCAGCTTACCTGTGCTGAATTCCTAACCCACAGAAACTTAAGATAGTAAATTTTTGTTGTTTCAAGTCTCTAAATATTGGGATAATTTGTTATGCAGCCATAGATAACAATTACAGATCTCCATAATAGAAAGATAATTTTTTCCACAGCATAGATTTAGCTGTATCACTGACATAAACTCTTTCACAGTTGACCACTGCCTCTAGGGTAAAGGCTAACCTGATCCGTGATATATATCCTTTGCTTTAGTCCCAATAAACTGCTTATAGGTCTCAGAACATGCCAAGTGCACTCTCTCTGTGACTTTGACTTCACTGTTGACTTTCCCTGGATGTAAGTTTTCCCAAGAGCTCCCACACTAGAATTAACTGTTCTTCCTCTGGGGTTCCAAAGCCCAAAGTAATGGAGGCAGGAAAGGTATAGAAAACCCACAGAAATGAGGAAATAAAGAAAAAATACATTTAATAACACAAGAGACAGCAGCTAGAAGAATGATGGCAGAAATTCAATGGCCCCAAAAAGAAGGGACAGTGCACTGCAGCAAAGGGTGGGCTTACCCACAAAGGGGATGGAAGACATCCTTTGTGAGAGAGTCAGTCTGATCCTTAGGTTGGGAGTTATATTTGTAGCTGGGGGGAATGATGGTAGAAGCCTTAGGTGAAAGAATGCCATTGATATTTTCGCCCAATCAACATAAGCAGCCTGAGGCACAGGCAGATGCCTAGAGCCCTGCTCCCGTGTGGGTGCCCATCATGCAATAGCCTCTGGGTACATTTACAAATATTATTTTTAGATGTCACTTTTGGCTCTCAGAACTTTTGGCTATCAGAGTTACTTTACTCTCCGCCCTTAAATTAGGTTTCTTCCCTGTGGAATGTCAGGGGTTCTGTGATGAAACCATATCAACTGTGCTCAAAATTGTTATTAAATTTCCTTTTCAGAATGTTGTTTTTATTTTTCCTGGTTGGGGTGGCCATTTGGTGTAAAGAAATGAATAAGGGAAAAACCTTTGCTAAAGACAGCAGCTATGAGAAATATTTAACAGTATGCAAATTCAGCAGGCAGCTCCCCAAATGAAAGAGAAGGGAGGGGGTTTGTTCTACCCTTAAAAAAAGGAAATGCATTAAAATGCAGTCATTAACTAGTGGAGTATTCTAGAATTGGCAGTTACCTACTGAGATTTTGGGTTAAGTTTCTCTGGGGGTATAACAAAATTGTACATCCTCATGGGAAGCAAGAAGAGAGGAGGACTTGGAGCAGTGGAGCACGGATCTTAGCAGAGTGGAAAGAAAGGAAAAGAAATGCCTTCCCGGCATCATTCTGATGGAAGATGGGGAAAAGCTGCCTGTGGCAGAAACAGGGAGAGCAGTTCTGCCTGCCAGGGTTAGCCAGCGGCCATGTGTTACTCATTTACTCTGCAAGAGTTTTGATGCCAGCTCCGGCAAGTTTGAAAGAAGCACTCTAAGCCCTGTTTAGGATGTGGGTAGTTAATTACAGTGACAATACATTGAAAGGGAATAAGACAGCCATGTATCTTGGCTGTCACCGAACCACAGATTTTTAGGACCCAGAATAGGCCTTAGCACTGATAATATTTATTTCTTTGATCATCAAAGGTCATAAAGAGGCTTTTAAATATGAAAGGCATGCTAATATTTTATATGGTTTATGAATTTCTTGAACTAATGTATATGAACACAGCGTTGTCATTTTTGCTTTTATTTATATTGCTTGCCTGTTTGCTTGCCTGCCTTTCTCTCTCTCTTTCCTTCTCTTCCTCTATCATCTAGGAACCCTGCCAGCGTTCCCAGGAGCCGCAGGACCCCAGAGATGTTCCCAGCTGCATGATCCCGGGCATCAGCTGAGGGCAAGTCATCCTCTCTAAGGCTTTGAGTTGTGCAGGCTCCTTGGCTGCCTCAGCACCTCCCTCAAAGCAAAGTCCTCCCACCTTGGAGTTCAGCCCATCAAGCCTTCCACCTACCCAGCTGCCTCAGTCACCATCAGAGTCCATGTCTGAATATCACCACCACTGGCTGGATTGTTCTGAATATTCTCTAATCTAACCTCATTCCCACCCATCTCCATCCTCCCAAATTATTCCAAAATGTCCCTTTGCAATTCATAGTTCATCATCAATAAAGTCCCAGTGTATCTTCAACCTCTCACCTAAATATTCCATTCCGCTTCTTGCTCTAACTCGGGAGTTGGAAAACATTTTTTTGTAATGGGCCAGATAGTAAATATTTTAGGCTTTGCAGGCCACATCATCTCCATTGTCATTGTTACTTGAAAGGGGTCCCAATCCAGACACCAAGAGAGGGTGCTTGTATCTTGTGCAGGAAGGAATTCAGGGTGAGTCTGTAAAGTGAAAGCAAGTTTATTGGAAAAGTAAAGAACACAAAAGAATGGCTACTCTATAGGCAGAGCAGCCCCGAGGGCTGCTGGTTGGTTATCTTTATGGTTATTTCTTGATCATATGCTAAACAAGGGGTGGATTATTCATGAGTTTTCTGGGAAAGAGGTGGGATTTTCCCAGGAACTGAGGGTTCCTCCCCTTTTCAGACCATATAGAATAATTTCCGGGTGTTGCCATGGCATCTGTAAACTGCCATGGTGCTGGTGGGAGTGTCTTTTAGCATGTGAATGTATTATAGTTAGTGTATAATGAGCACTTTTGTCACCATCTTGGATTTGGTGGGTTTTGGCCAGCTTCTTTACTGCCTCCTGTTTTATTGACAGGGTCTGTGTGACCCGTATCTTGTGTGACCTGTATCTTATGCCGACCTCCTATCTCATCCAGTGACCAAGAATGCCTAACCTCCTGAGAACGCAGCCCAGTAGGTCTCAGCCTTATTTTACCGAGGTCTTATTCAAGATTGAGTCATCCTGGTTCTAATGCCCCGACACAATTACTTAATTTTGTTATTCTAGCACAAAAGCAGCCATGGAAAATATGTGAACAAATGAGTGTGCCTGTGTTACAATAAAATGTTATTTACAAAACCTGGGGGTGGGCCACACTTGGCCCAGGAGTGGTGGTTTCTTGATGCCTGTTCTGAGGGAAACCTGTCTATACCCCAAGGATTGTGCTTCCCACAATGTTCAGGTGAAGGTTGCTTTTCCCCCTTAGAAACTTCCTAGATCTGAGCTATCCATTACCAATCTCTTTGTTATCTCCTCTCATTTTTTGATGAATTGAACACTTGAATCACTTCGTTTTCAACCCTACCATCATTCTTGGAGATTTCAGAATTTAATAAATGTTCCATCTAACACCCTGGTCATTCAGTTCCTTATCTTTTAGAGCCAATAATCTCTTATTCCATCTCACCTCAACCACCCACTCACAAAGCATGCCCTAGACCTTGTTATCACCAAGCACATTCCCAATATTATGAGTGCAAACATCTTATTTCCAGCAATTACCTCCTATCCTTCAGCACATCCAGTCAGCCTACCTTACGAGTTCCCTGAATTTAATGAGACCTCCGAGCCACTGGCCCCTACCTCTCTGTCATGCCCTGCTTCCTTCACATCCTCATTTCTCTCCTGGGCTTGATGATCCAGCACCATAACCTCTCCCTGGAAAACATGCAGCGCCCTATTGCCTTTTCAATCTCCTTATCATATTCTGACCCTGGCTAAGCCTAGATATCCTCTAAATCTGTACCTGCTGCAGAGCAATTCAGTGTGGCAGCAAAGACTCACACAACCACACTGACTGGACTCACTGGGCACAAAATACAACAGGGAGCATAACAGACTGAAATCCCCATTCTGGTGGAGCTATCATTCTAGTGAGAGAAAAATAGACAATAAGCAAGAGAAATCATTAAAATATATAGTAAGTTAGAGGACGATAAATGCTAAAGGCAAAAAAATAAAGGAGGGAAGAAAGTAATGAAAAGAGAGGGAGATGGGAA